>NC_000012.12:10000-1424730 GCF_000001405.40 Homo sapiens | reverse complement strand
TACTTCAGTGTTTATTTCTTTTTCAAAGGTCAAAACCATTTTTAGTTTGTTTACTTCTAGGGATGAAGAAACAAGAGGAAAAGGGAGGATGACAGTGAGCTTCCTAAGGCTGCCTGGGTCTCTCCTGTCTTCCTGGTTAAGACACCACTGCCTTGAGGATCTTTAGAATTAAGAAAAACTACTCTTTTTTGCTTTTTTCCCAATGGTTCTTTTAGAGACATAAGAGACTACTCTTTTTAAATCGTGATATGAAGAAACCACTTTGTTTTAAACAGCTAAAGAACAGAATAGAATTGTACTTGTGTTGGTATACAGAGAATGAGCTTTGGTTCAAGCAAATATCAGGAAAGCAGTAAAACTGTAGCCAAAGGTCATAAGGTGTCGTATTTATGAAGCTGTCCTTCCTGACCTGCTCTAATTCTTCTATTACCCCTCTATTGAAAACACCTGACATTGTATGTTCAATCATTAGTTTTTTCTCTAAAGATTTAAGGTAGATTGCCTACTCATTCATTATGTCATTATGAGCTGCTTCTTCCTTCAATATTAGTTATTAGAAGGCTAGGACCAACGCTCAGTCAACCTTGGAGGTAACTAACTTCCTGAAGTGAGTACTATTTTATCCACAGCATCTCATCCACACTGAGACTTAGAAAATAGATTATTAAAAAAGAAACATACACACACACACACACGTACATACACACACGAAACCATATTATCTGGCAATCTGCCACCCAGAAAATACTAAAATTCAATATTCAACAAGTATTCATTGAATACCTATTACTTGTTTAACAATATTTACATCTACCTTTACTGTTACTTTGTAGTGCCCCTTGCTGATTTAAGACAGATAAAGTAGATTTCAAGACAAATGATATTTCTGAAAATCAAAAGGGATGTTTCACAGTGGTAAGAAGGCCAGTTTATCAGGAGTATATAACAATCATAAATGAGTCTGCAAACACAGCCAGAGCTTCAAAATACAATGTAAAACCTGAAATAATTCAAAGGACAAGCAGAAAAATCTCCGATTTTTGTTGGAGATTTGAATGCTTCTTTCTCTGCAATTAACAGACCTCTCCCTCTACAAAAATTCAGTGAAGACAGGGAGGATCTGACAGACTCTATCAACCACCTGACCCAGTTGATACTTACAGAACACTGTATGTGACAATTAAAGAATACCATTCCTTTAAGAGCACAAGTTATGTTCACTAAGATGGATCATGTTTTGGGCCATAAAACAACAGTCTCAAAAATGTAAAATAATTAAGACAATACAATGTATGGTTTGTGATCACAGTGAGATTAAACAGCTGTTAAAAGATAAACAAAGGCACGTTAAAATTTTAAAGAGTTTATTTGAGCAGACAACAATTCGTTAATCAGGCAGCCTTAGGCCATAAGTGGTGGGGGGTTCTGATGAAGAGACTGGTAGAAGACTTTTGTAAGGTGAAAGCAGAAGCAAGGTAAAGAAAATCTCTTATTGGTTAAAGTGGGGCAGTAATGTTTTTTGGATCATTCCAGTGGAAAGTCCCTGGTTAGAGGTTGGCCAGGCAGTTCCTGATCGGTTAAACTTGAGTATTGGAAAGCCCCTAGGTAGGGGGTTAGTTGGTGGTTTCTGATTGGCCTAGAATATGACTGTTTACAAAGAGTTGGGTTTCAGTTTGTTTATGTAGGAACTCAGGGCATTGGAGCTGCCTTAGCCTAACGGCCTCCCAACCAAAATTACGCTGAGTTTGAAATAGGTACATGAAAAAATGCTGAGCATCACTAATCATTTGCATGCAAATGCAAACCATGAGATACCATCACACACCAATCAAAATCGCTATTATTTAAAAACCCCAAAAAACAAAAAATAACAAATGCTGGAGAGGATGTGGAGAAAAGGGAACTCTTACACAGTGTTTGTGGCAATGTAAATTAGAACAGCCATTACAGAAAACAGCATGGAGGGTTTTCAGCAAACTAAAATAGAACTATCATACAATCCAGCTATGATACCACTAGGTATATATCCAAAGGAAAGGAAATCAGTAATCAAAGAGATCACTGTACTCCCATGTTTAGTGCAGCACTATTTACAACTGCCAAGATATGGAACTAACCTAAGTATCCATCAACAGACGAATGGATAAATGTGGCAAATATCTATACAATGCAATGCTATTTAGTGATTAAAAAAAAAAAGAATGAAATTCTGTCATTTTAGCAACACAGATGAGCTGGGAGGACAATATGTTAAGTGAAAAAGTCAGGCACAGAGAGATAAATACCATACTTTCTCATTCATGTATGGAAGCTTAAAAGGTTGATCTCATACAAACAGAGAGTAGAATAGTGATTACTAGAGGCCAGGAAGGGTAGGGGGAAGGGGAAAGCCAGGGGTGGGTTAATGAATATAAAATTGCTTTTGCAAGAATTATAAAAGTGAGAAAAATCTAACCTGACTCCATCTTGCTTCTAACGTCACAAGCTCACTCCCCTGCTCATTCCTGGGCATAGGCCAAGCTAACTATGGGAGGAATTTAGCTTATAGTTTAACTTTGAAGCAAAAATGATAATAGTCCCTCTGCAAGCTGACCCCCACGGGGGACTGAAACCATCTCTGTAAGACAAATGAAAGGCCACAAGGTTAGGATTATGGGAAAAGACTGAATTCTGCTAAGATGTAGGTGTAGTTAAATGATAACCAGCCATTGTTCCCTAGCTTATTTTGCCAGGCTGGAGTGCAATGGCATGATCTCGGCTTACTACAACCTCTGCCTCCCTGGTTCAAGCAATTCTCCTGCCTCAGCTTCCCAAGTAGCTGGGACTACAGGCACGCACCACCATACCCAGCTAATTTTTTTTTTTTTTTGTATTTTTAGTAGAGATGGGGTTTCACCATGTTGGCCAGGATGGTCTCGATCTCCTGACCTCATGATCCACCTGCCTCAGCCTCCCAAAGTGTTGGGATTACAGGCGTGAGCCACTGTGCGCAGCCCGTTCCCTAGCTTACTTTTCTAAAATTGCTTACTCATCAAGAGTCATGTAGCTGGAGGTTACAAAATTTGTAACTTCCCCAATTACTCCTATAGATAACATCACTGTTGTAAAACCTAAGATTGGTCTTTAAGATATTTTTCAGACTTTTGCATTCTGGCAACCAACTGACTCCACTCGGACCTGTTACTCATACCAAGGAACTGACTCAACCGGTCTTGTGACCCCCACCTAGAAACTGATTTAGTGTATGAAGATAGCTTTTGACACCTCTATGATCGCAACCCCAACCAATCAGCAGTACCCGTTCCTTAGCCCTCAGCCTGCTAAATTATCCTGGAAGACCCTAGCCTCTGAGTTCTTGGGGAGGAAGATTTGAGAAATATCTCTCGTCCTCTGATCAGCTGCCTTGAGATAATTAAACCCTTTCTCTACTGCAATGCTGCTGTCTCAGTGTATTGGCTTTTCTGTGCAGTGGGTGAGAAGAATCCGCTGAGCGAGTAAAAGCACAGGTAGATGGGAGGAACAAGTTCTAATGTTCCATAGCACTATAAGGTGACTATAATTAACAACAATTTGTTATGTATTTTTCAATAGCTAGAAGAGTGAATATTAAATGTTCCCAACACAAAGAAATGATGTCTGAGGTGACAGATATGCTAATTACTGATTTGAGTATTATACATTATACACATTTATCAAAATATCACTGTACCCTATAAACATAAAATTATTAGATGTCAATTTAAAAATAATAATAAAGGAAAAGATTTAAATACAATAATAGAATGCTTTATAATTAACCCCCCCCCCCCCCAAACCAAAACCAAACAAACAAACAAAAATACTGGGCTTGGGGAAGTAAACCAATAAATGCACACCCTTGCACTCCACACACTGTTCTTCTCACAAAGAAATACACTCATTTTGTAAAGAGTTCCAGATAACTCTCCTGTAGGGTTTTGCTTAAAAGTTTAACCTCGGCCAGGCATGGTGGCTCATGCCTGTAATCCCAGCACTTTGGGGGGCCGAGGTGGGTGGATCATGAGGTCAAGAGATCAAGACCATCCTGGCTAACATGGTGAAGCCCCATCTCTACTAAAAATACAAAACATCAGCCAGGCGTGGTGGCAGGTGCCTGTAGTCCCAGCTACTCGGGAGGCTAAGGCAGGAGAACAGTGTGAACTCGGGAGGCAGAGCTTGTAGCGAGCCGAGATTGTGCCACTGCACTACAGCCTGGGTGACAGAGCGAGACTCCGTCTCAAAATAAATAAACAAATAAATAAATAAAATAAAAAAAAGTTTAACCTCACAAAGCAAAACAACTTTTTTTTTAAAGGAAAAATCTCATTTAATTGATGTTGGGAAATTATTTAAGTCAGTCCCTGGTTCAGAGTATTTTTCTGGATCCAATTTCTAAAAGATGGTCTCCAAATTTGTATCTCTATTGAATGAAAAGTGCTTCAATTCATTAAAAAGTTAAGTTTGTAGCTGTTAAGTTGCCTAAATATTCAGTCTTTGTAAAAGGTATAGGTGTGTATCTTTGTTAAAGGAAATGCTGAATGTGAACACATTTAAAAATAATAAATTATGCAAATGATTCTTTTAAAGACTTCTAAGCAGTTCAAATCAAGGAAGAACAGTGTCATGCTTTATTATGCTAATAAAGCAACCAGTTAAATAAACAAACAAATAAGCCCGGTTCCCAAGCAGAGAACAAAAGGCTAAACCAAAGCCTCAAGGGTAGTTCTTTTCCATTTCAAAACCTTGAAATGTTTACCTGGGAAAGAGGAAGGTGCCTCTTTTCACTAAGAAAAATTTTCAAAATAATATTCAGTGCATGTTTTGAATGTATCTTTTTTTTTTTTTTTTGCCAGAAAATCACCATTACTTCTTTTTTAATTAGGAAAGTTTTAAAATTGTAGCAAAATACACATAACATAAAATTCACCATCTTAACCATTTGAAGTGCACAGTTTAGGAGTGCTAAATACTTTCACACTGTTGTGCAACCATTCTCCAGAACTTTTTCATCTTGCAAAACTAAAACTCTATATCCACTAAACGACAATTCCTCATTTCCTCCATTACTTTGGTTTTTCACAAGGTTTTATGTCTTGAATGAAATGATGAAAAACATGGCTTCCATTTTGATATGAAACATTAAGGGAAAAATAAATTTAAATGTAGAAATTTTGTCAGCTTTTTTTTTTCTTCTCAAGAATGAGACCTGAGAGATGGCTTACTAGATAGAATAAAGGATGTGAGTTCCAGCTTTAAAAAGACCACACTCTTGGAGGCTTCTTACACTACATGTTATTGATATTTGAAGCAAGAAAGGTATGTCATATCTACATAAAGAAATGTATCCAGGACGTATAATTTTGGAGAAAAAGTACATTTGTAGTATACTAATCCTAAAATGCATTACCAGAAAGATTAAGGTCAACACTTAGGAGAATAGTTACAAATTAGTCCAACATACATACATTGCTACCATGGGGTCCTTTTCTACTCAGATTTTAAAAGGAGTTTATTGTTAGTCTTATTTATAATTGGATATTCTTATGGGAATATTCTTAGGGGAGAAGAGATTTTCTTTTTTCATCCACTGCTAGGTTAATGGGGGAGAACCCTATAACAGAGACTAGCAAGAGAAAAACATACACATTTATTTACTGTAAGTTTTATGTAATGTGGGAGCCTTCAGAAACGAAGACCTCAGCCGGTCTCTGTGGCTCAGGCCTGTAATCACAGAACTTTGGGAGGCGTAGGTGGGAGGATTGCTTGAACCCAGGAGTTTGAGACCAGCCTGGGCAACACAGTGAGACCCTGCTTCTACCAAAAAATACAAAATTTAGCAGGGCATGGTGGTACACGCGTGTAGTCCCTGCTACTCAGGTGTCTGAGGCAAGAGGATCCCTTGAGCCCATGAGTCCGAGGCTACGGTAAGCTATGATCATGCCACTACACTCCAGTCTGAGCGACAGAGAGAGAGATCCTGTCTCCAAAAAGAAAGAAAGAAAGAAAGAAAGAAAGAAAGAAAGAAAGAAAGAAAGAAAGAAAGAAAAGAAAGAGAGAGAGAGAGAGAGAGAAAGAAAGAAAGAAAGAAAGAAAGAAAGAAAGAAAGAAAGAAAGAAAGAAAGAGAAAGAAAGAAAGAAAGAAAGAAAATGAAGACTTCAGAAAAGAAGGAAATCTGTGTATGATGAAGAGGAGACAGTCATGGAGAAATTGATTTGAGGACAATTGGGTCTAATCTAATAACAGTAATAAACTGGGAGGAATTAACAAGGCCTGTTGTTCTTTGTGTTCCTCTGTCTTCAGAGATAAGGACATTCTTTTCCTTCAGCTATGGGGTGGGTACCTCTGCAATGAAGGTTTTATGACTTACTTTAGAGGCAGGTCAGAAAATTCTTTATAGCTTGCTTCAGGCAAGAAGGGTGAGGAGAAGGTCAGAGAGACCTTCCTGCTTCTGTTGTTGTATCCAATGCCAACGTGCCATATTTTGGGGTAGCATGTCCTGAATTCCATCATTTACTCTCTTCTCTCTTGTAATCAGCATGAACACAAAGGCATAATAACGTCTTTAAAAAATCCTTCTAGCTATGTATCCTTCAGAGGTAGGTCAAGTTTTGATATAATTAGACATATCTGGCTTCAAATCTGGCTTCTACTGTGTACCAGGTATGTGAACTTGGATAAGTTAGCTAACTTCTCCATGGTTCAGTTTCCTCAGCAGTAAAATAATGAAAATGGTATCTATCTCTTAGGATTGTTATATTGGTTTCAATGAAAACATGCTTACAATGTGATTATAAACTTACAACTTAGTGTTTGGCACTTAGTAGGTATTCTTTAAATGGTAACTACTAGCATCATCCATCATTTACTCTTTATTTCCCAATGCCTTTGTCAAAAATAACTCTTTTCCAAAATCTTTTTTTTTTTTTTTTTTGAGATGGAGTCTTGCTCTGTTGCCCAGGCTGAAGTACAATGGCACAATCTTGGCTCACTGCAACCTTTGTCTCCTGCGTTAAAGTGATTCTCCTGCCTCAGCCTTCCGAGTAGCTGGGATTACAGGCACGCGCCACCACACCCAGCTAATTTTTATATTTTTAGTAGAGACAGGATTTTGCCATGTTGGCCACGCTGCTCTCAAACTCCTGACCTTAGGGTGATCTGCCCGCCTGGGTCTCCCAAAGTGCTGGGATTACAGGTATGAGCCACCGCGCTCGGCCTCCAAAATCTTTTTTGATTTGACATAGGTTCAAGTTGCTTGGGAGAAGGAAAAAAAAAAAAAGCAGCAGCAGTAGCAAAACTGTTTATGTGTTTCAGTACATGCTCATGAGATGAGATGGTGACTTAGAGAAGATAGAGGCACACAGAAGGGACCTGCTGAGTATGGTATGCAAAAAGGGCTGGCAGAAAGCTTGGCTTTTAATAGCAGACGGCAGAGTTCTGAGACAGCTAGTGAGAATCCAGGACAGAAGGATGAGGTGTAAAGGGAGTGAACCCTCTGGAAAACAGTGAAAAGCAGAAATGAAGATTTTAAATTTCTTTGTGGAGAGGAGGGAAGAAGAGAAACCTGAAAAGCAGAAAACAGGTGGTGTGCCGAGGTCAAACAGTAAACTAAAGACATTTCTGAGCATATAGAGGAAACACTATTAAACTGGAGTTCAGGTTGTGCAAGAATAGTTTGAATCCAGAGTTGAAGAGTAAGGAACTCTTATTCAATACTCCCATTAAATGAGAGCCAAGAGGAAGACAGAGAAAGTGAAGAAGGGAGGGGAACGATAAAAGCAGGAAGGGTATTAATGCTATAAGTGGTCAGCTTGTGCCTTCAGGTTAAAGCCAGCTAATAGCTAACATTAACTGAGCAACTACTGATATGTAAAAGCATTGTTCTGTTTTAAGGGCTTTATGTTACTTCATTTAATCATCAAACAGCCCTCTGAGGCAGGTGTATTATTATCCTGATTTTACAAATGAAGAAAGTGAGGTACACAGGAGTTTGAAACCAAGTAATCTGGTTCCAAAGCCCACCTTCTGACTAGGACCTGAAAGCAACAGAACTAGATAAAGGGACAATCAACTTAGAAGACAGTGATTCAGACAACGTCCAAAGGCAGCTGATTACTACTTTAATTCTCTGTAAAGCTTAATATGTAACTGTTCTTGTGAGCTCCTCACATCTGTAGTTTGTCTCTTTGAATTATGGGTGTCCAATATTAAAACAGAAGTGTGGGTGGGGATAGCCATGGAACCAATGGAAGGACAGACACCCTCTGTTTCACTTGGGCTGGTTTCCTCACCAGCCCCTACACATCATATTCTCATTCTTAGGTTGGAACCTCCTTGAAGTTAGTTCCTATCTGAAAACTTTTCTTTTCCTGTTTCATCTTCCCAAACTTTACTCAACCTCCAAGACCTCCTTTTTCTCCCTTCTATAGTTCCAAATTCCTCACTAGATTCCTGGTTAGTCACATTTATCAGTGAACTCAGAAACCACTTAGTTTCTTTTCAGTGAGGGTCTGTCTTGGGTAACCTACAGATATTCCTTACCAGCAAAGACCATTTTGTTATTTCCCCAGTTAGGAATTCAATTCAATTCAACACCCTTCCATGGAGTTGTCTACTATGTCCAAGGAACTAGACTGGAAAATGGAAGACTCCTCTTTGGGTATGGTGTAATGGAGACAGCAGGGGGTCTGGAGTCTGTCCTGGGTTTAAATATCTGCCGCTTGTTAGCTGTGTAATCTTGGAAAATTATTTAACGTCTATGAGCCCTGTATGAGATAAGATACATGAAAGTGCTGGACCTATAGTAAATGCTTAATAAATGTTCATTTTCTCCCTCCTATTTCTCAGCAGCTAGATCCTTGTGCTTCTTTAATTCCATTGGCTTTGTTCTAAGCTTTCCAGGAAAGAAGTTTCTTGCTAAAATCTCTGATCCACTTCTGAAAATAGAGGATCGAATTCTTCCTTGTCTGTCATATCAAAAGTCAGTCCTGATATTGGCCCAAATTGGTTTTTGGACCATTTTCTCCATACCAAGAAAGCAGTGCAATTCACTGCACCATTTAATTCTGCAAGATAATTTAACACCTCCCTTCTATGGATGTATTCTCTAGAAATTTAAGGCTTCCATTGTTGCACTGTTGCAATGAGAATAATTTTAGGATGTTTCCAACTGATAAGTACACTGACAACTCCACTAAGATGGACAAAAAGGAAATGCCAAAAGAGAAGGAGATGCTTGTTTTACAACACTTGTCTTAAAAGTTTGTGTTAATATTTACATCATCTCTAATGAAAAAGAAAAGTCTAGCATACTGGTCCAAATCCTGTTTTGAGATGCTACAGTGCTGATCTAATAGGCAGGCCATTTCCAGATTGTAGTAAGTGGCATGTTCTTATACCAAGACCAACTTTTAAGCCCCTTGGTAGGTCCATCCTTTACTGAAGGGACCTAGCACCAGTTCACACAAACTGCTCCACGGGGTGAAGTCCAGAAAGAGCATATGCTGTTCTTCTTGATGGCTAAGAACCACAGGTTACTGGAAGGAAAGTTTCTACCCGAAGGATTTTCAGTTGGTAAATGAAAAAGATTTCAGAATTACATTCAACTCCATTATATTCAGTGTAAAATTTCAGGAGGCAGACTCTAGGACTTCATTATGATTTTCCTTTAAATTCTCAACATTTCTCTAAAATTCTTTTGTTTCCATTCATCTTTCTTATCTTCCCTTTCTAGTAATAGCAGTGCTGACAATAAAGCTAACAACCAATTTCTATGCTCCTGGTTTCAATGTAAACTTTACTTTTACTTTTCTGGATTTTTGTGAATTCAGTAGTTAAATAAATACACACACACACAGACACACACACACATATATATTTACTGAGGACCTACTATATCCTGGGCATTTATTTAAATGATGGGAATACATAAGTAAATATATTAAAGTCCCTGTCCTCATGGGGCCTACATTCTACAGTAAGGAGGGAGGAGGAGGAGGGAGGGTAAAAGGAGGTGGGGAGGAGGGGAAGAAAGGAGAAAGAAAAAAGAAGAAAACTTACAGTAAACGGATAGAGAGTGGCATGGATAAACTAACTTACATAGGAAATCTTTGCTCTGGAACTCCCTGTTGGGCGGAGACTAAGTCACATGTGCACCACTGAGATCTATGAGTCAGCAACGTCATTGCTATCAATCGAATGTTTGTGTCCCCTCAAAATTCATATGTTGAAACCCTAATCTGCAAAATGATGGTATCTGGATGGCTTTGGGAAGATTATTAGGTCCTGAGGGTGGAGCCCTCATGATAGAATTAGTGCCTTTATAAAAAGAAACACCACGAGACAGCTTGCTTCCTCTCTCTCTCAGCCCTGTGAAGACACAGTGAGAAGCCAGCCATCTGCAAAGTAGGAAGAGGGTCCTCACCAAACATCTGACCACGCTGGGATCCTGACCTCAGACTTTCAGCCCCTAGAACAGTAAAAAATAAATGTTTGTTTTTTAAGCCAGGGGTCTCCAACCCCAGGGCCCTGAACCAGCACCTGTCCGTGGCCTGTTGGGAACTGTCCAGCACAGCAGGAGAGGAGTGGCGGGCAAGCGAGCATTACAGCCTGAGCTCCGCCTCCTGGATCAGCGGCGGCATTAGATTCTCACGGGAGCGCAAACCCTACTGCGAACTGGGCATGGGAGGGATCTAGGTTGCACGCTCCTGATGAGAATCTAACTGATGCCTGATGATGTGAGGAAGAACAGTTTCATTGTGAAGCCATCTTCCCCAAGCCCCCGTTGTGGAAAAACTGTCTTCCACGAAACCGGTTCCTGGTGCCAGAAAGGTTGGGGACTGCTGGTTTAAGCCATCCAGTCTATGATATTTTCAATAGCAGCCTGAGCTGACTGAGATAGTCATATAAGACTTCATGGCTATTGGACCCAGTGCAATTTAAACACATTACAATATAGACATTTATTCAAGTGATTTACTGAATAGTTACATAACTTATCAAATCATGCTCAAATTCTACTTAGTTATTGAACTTAGAACACCTAACATGAATGCCTGAGCAGAATGACATGTGAGAGAGAGAACCAATTTCTTTTTCTTTTTTTTTACCTTTTCTTTTTTTTGGAGACTGTCTTGCTCTTTCACCCAGGCTGCAGTGCAGTGGTGCGATCTTGGTTCACTGCAACCTCTGCCCCCCAGGTTCAAGTGATTCTTGTGCCTCAGCCTCCTGAGTAGCTGGGACTACAGGTGCCTGCCATGACACCCAGCTAATTTTTGTATTTTTAGTAGAGATGGGGTTTTGTCATGCTGGCCAGCCTGGTCTCAAACTCCTGGCTTCAACCAATCTGCCTGCCTCGGCCTCCCAAAGTGCTGGGATTACAGGCTTGAGCCACCGAGTCTGGCCCTCACATGGATTTTCTATAGGCCAAGAGGAGAGTGAAGGAACTGTTATTTTTTTTTATGAGTGGAGGCAGTCCTTGCTTCAGTCCGTGTGTCTTAGGAGGGCTGCTTGACAGCTAATTCTTTCAAAGATTTCACTGACTAAATGTCATACAATAGGGAATTTCTTTATAAAATTCAAGGTGTTTTCCCAAAGGAAAAAATTCCTCAACATATAGGAGATGAAACTTGTGGTGATGGAAGACAGCTATCACCATCAATATGTCTTCACTACCTCTTTTACTGTCAGATACTAGTTCTTCCTTCCAGACCACAGAAATGCCTGGGGACCTTAAGTCACAACTTTTCAATCTTTGTTTTGCATCCTGACCTATAAAATGAGGGCACTGGATTAGACGATGATGTTAGTAACAACAGGAACTAACATTTATTGAAAGCTTACTATTTCCTGGAGACGGATCTAAGTTAATGATGACAACGGCAACAGCATAACAAAGGCATGTACAGTACTGCTCAAAGCATTCTACAGCTATCAACTTATTAATCTATCCAATAATCCTAGGAAGTAGGCATTATTCATAAACCCATTTTTTGGATAAAGGAACTGGGGCTCAGGGAGTTTAAGTGACTTTCCCAAGGTCACAGGGCAGGTGGAGAGGTCTAGATTCAAAGCTGTGCAGTCTGGCTCTGGAGTCCACGTGTCTCACAACTTATCTACTCCCCACAACAACCTCCATCCTAAAGATGAAGAAATTGAAGTACAGCGCAATGACGTACCTTGTCCAAATCAGAAGCTAGTACATGGTGGTGGTAGAATCTGAACATAGGCATCCCGCTCCAAAGCCTACACTCTTAAGCGTTACGTTTTACCACCTCTCCTGAAATGGCCTAACTCCAGAATCCTTTTCAGCTCAGTACATCTGTGATTCTCTTCCCATCTATGGATACATCAAGTAAGGCTCACACTTGATCAGTATGTATTGGTGTCCTAGAAAATGTTTCAGATGCAAAACACACGTTTTTAAGTTTGATAAGGTAAATCGTCAATTTCAAAAGTTTGAATTTCTAAAGAAAATCTATCTTCTGTAAAATTAGTGAGGAAACAGGAGAAGGAAAGTGGATAGCCAGTCAAAACTTCTGCAGTGTTTTAGGGGTCACTCATGCATTTCTTTAGGTAAAATCCTTATGATATAATGAGGTTTACAGCACATTTTATAAAATTGGAAACACCATATCATAGAAACGCCAGTTATGGCTGGCTAATTGCAATTGCATGGTGTTAAACCAATGAAAGTTAATATATTAGTGCAATATGCTCAATAGTGCGATAATTGGAAAAAGCTAAGTTATCCTATTTTGGTAGAGAAAGGAAAATGAAGATTTCAGGAACAAGTTTATATACTGATTTGCTTACTTTCTAGTCTCCTGGTGAAGTTACCTATAGGCCTGTTTCCTAGAATACCAACAGGCTTCCTCTGATTGGCCAGAAAAAGGATTTGCGACAAAAATATAATCATGTCCACATATGTGGTGCTTCCAGCTGAAGGAAGCTAAGAAGCTCCTATGTTCTGCCAAAATAGACAAGGTAGGGGCATGCTCATTTCTAAGAGACCAGTAAACTACATCCAGCTACTGCACGGTCTCACATGCTTGATGATGACAAATACCTACCCTTGTCCAGTGCAGATAATTAGCACATTGACTGCTCTCAGCTTTAGCTTTCTCTGACATGCAGCATCCTAACCTGAAGAGCTTTCTGGTTGACCCAGTGCGTTTCAACTTCATTCATGCCCTCAGGATAAAGCCATCTGGACAGCTTCCCACCTCACAGCGCATGGCCCCTTTCCACAACTTACCTCTCCATCCTTCTTGGTTGTGCTCAACGTTAAGAGATCTACACATGTCCTCATCATTTTAAGAAGTTTAACACCAAGACAAAGACATTTCAGGGAGAACTGACTCCAGGGGAGTGAGATCACTGATAGGCATGGGCAGTGAATCCAGGGAGTGCAAGGCCACCAAATATGTGTGAACTTATTAATCATAATTATTACTTTTTCTAAGAAAAGGATTTCCTTAGTCAAACCTCAAGGGCATCAGATCAAAGGGAGATACTGCCACGGCTGGACTATACTTTCCAGCCAATTGTCCTGAAAAGGAGAATCTAGACAGTGTCCTGGCAACTGTTGAACACTGCAGCAATCCATGAAAAGGGAGGGAAAAGAATTTTTAGAATGACTTCTAAAAAAAGTTTTCCTTTACTTTGCTCCTCAATATTTTTAGGGATAGTTTGAGGGTAATGCCAAAGCCCCAGGGGATGTGTCCGAGGTGCTGACTGTGAGAGCTCATTCTTCTACAGAAACAAACAAAAGGAGGTTTTAGTTCACAGTACAGTTTTTTTTTTAAACACCATGTATTTATAATTAATCATCATAAAAAGTATACCTCAAACTTAGGCCAATGAGCAAAGTACTTGATCAATTTTCTATTGCCAATTTCATATAAAATTACTATAAACCTTGCCAGGACACTGTAAAATCACCCTAGAAAGGGTAATTAATAAAATCACAACTGGAGAAATTTAGTTACACGTCCTAGAAGTTCTCCCAAAAATGTATAAAAAGAAATTACAGAAGTGACTATTAACACACAACGAGAAAAAAAAAAAAAAGCCACAAAATCCAAACCCCACTATGTCAGCAGCACAGCAACACACACAAGAATCACGTGAAAATAAAAAAACAGAAAGCACACCAGGGATTTCATGAATTACAGAGAAATGAGATGTGAGAGTTACTGTGTAAAAAGAAAAATGAAAACAAACAAAAACCATTTCTATAGTTAAGGAAAGCTGTTTCTCACCGTTCTGAACAAAATGGCTGAACTAAGCCTCTGATTGGCTATGCCCATATACCCTCCTCCTCATCCTACAGGGAGAGAGATGACAAGGGGGCAATGCCCCAGGGCAGCATGGAATGAAAAAGAGGTGGTTAGTATTTAAAACAAAGACATAAGCATAATGTAGCAGAAGAGAATTTCTTGACTCTCTCATACAGATTCTAATTCCCTAAACTATCAAAATTAGTAGTTAATGTTGGTCCTCTGTATCTGCAGGTTCCACATCTGTGGATTCAACCAACCGTGGATGAAATATATACATATACATACATATATATATATAAATCAATAAAAAATAACAATGCATTGATAATAAAATTTTAAAAATACAGTATAACAACTATTTACACAGTATTTACATTGTATTAGGTTACAAGTAATCTAGAGATGATTTAAAGTATATGGGAGGGGCCAGGTATGGTGGCTCATACCTGTAATCCTAGCACTTCGGGAGGCCAAGGCGGGCAGATCACCTGAGGTCAGGAGTTTGAGACCAGCCTGGCCAACACGGTGAAACCCTGTCTCTAACTAAAATACAAACATTAGCCAGGCATGGTGGCAGGTGCCTGTAATCCCAGCTACTCAGAAGGGTGAGGCAGGAGAATCACTTGAACCCAGGAGGTGTAGGTTGCAGTGAGCTGAGATCATGCCACTGCACTCCAGCCTGGGCAACGCAGCAAGACTCCATCTCAAAAACAAAACAAAACAAAACACAGTATATGGGAGGATGTGTGTAGCTTATATGCAAATACTATGCCATTTTATATAAGGGACTTGAGCAACCATGGATTTTGGCATTTGTGGGTGGGTTTGTCCTGAAACCAATCCCCTGAGGATACTCAGGAACAACTGTAGTTTGTCATTATACTTCTTTTCTTCCTACTTTCCAAGATGCTATCTCTATCTCAGGGCTGGATCTGGGCAAAATTACCAAGTTGGAGGTTTTTCTTTATGTTTTGCTTTTCCTTCAACCTTTCTCTGTTTGTCTCTTCCTACTCCAGGCATCCAGTTCTATTATCAAAAACCTGTTTTCATGAGGAATCAAACATGCATCTTATATACCCTGGCATAAATTCAGTTCCAGGTATCAGGAAGCAGGCAGAAAAGGTAAAATGATCTCTTGGCAGGGAAAGACTGCTGACACCAGGCAGATAGCTCTCCATTTTGCCCACATTAAATATTTACATTGTTTTCCTTCTAAAATACAAGGCTTGCCTCAACTGGCTTAGGAAACGTCATCATAATAGGACTATACCTTCCGAATCTTGGAAGCAACAGCAATTTGAATACCATTGCTGCTTTCATCTGCACTATTTCTCCTGCTTCTGCTAAGATAACGCCATAGCTGTTATTTAGTGGAGACGTTTAGCAGGAAAGTTTTCCTTGATGCTTTAGTCATATGGATGTGATTACCTGACTGGTTTTTTTTTTCCCTTAGCTACATATTTTAAGACTGGGTGTGATAGAGATGTTAAAATTTGATTTTTGGTAATGGGATATGAGGTAATCTGTTCACCATTCTCTCCCATCCATCATTTTCAAGATTTGGGGAGAGTTCCCTTCTTCCAAGAAACTAGAATGGAATATGGTTCCCTTCAGATTCATCAATATCTCTTTTGCATTGATGAGAAGTTGAAGGCAACAATTTTCCTTAAGCATGACATGCTGGAGGGATCCACAAGGACAGGGAGTGAAGAACTAAGTTTCAATCTTCACTTTTAATAGGTAATGAGCAGAGAGTTCATAATTTGCAACTAAACAGAAATAACCTCCAAACTGTGCCTCACTAGGCTTGTAAGGAAAGAGTCTTGTTTTTCTAATAAGGCACTATTTCTTTAAAAAGAAAACCAAGACAGTTAAAAATTAGTAAAGACAGTTAAAAATTACATATTATTAGTGTGTATCTCTGAGGTTAATTTTTTTCTCAACCCAATTCAAGCATTCTTTATTGTTCAAATCTTTCAAGTATCTGCTCTTAAAATATCCAGTTCTTCCTATAAAGAAACTGAATCTGTGATTTTTTTGAAAAGAGTAGAGTTTTCAGAACTGAATTAGCTATTTATTTTTATTCTTCTAACTTATATCTCAGAATTTGCAACATGCTAGTACAAAAACATTTCAAAATTTAAGTGTGTGGGTTTTTTAATAAAACATTCCAGAGCCATCTTACCTGGTCTGGGGAGGGCTTGTGATTTGTTTGATTGGAATGGGAGGATTTGAAGTGGTCATCCTCGTAGTTGTCGGCCATTAGCTTCATTCGATTTTGCGTCTAGGAAGAAATTATTCATAAGGTTAAATTTAAGTAAAGTTTCTATGACACACTGTAAAGTAACGAGTATTTTAAGAGTTCCATAAGAAAGGATAAAACTAATCCTGTCTGCAATAAAATAAACTAAATATGGGATTTCTGAGGATACTGGAAAGAGTTTAGCCAATACTACGGGCTGAATTGTGCCTCCCCCAAATTCATATGTAGAACCCCTAAACCCCAACGTTACCATACCCAGAGACAGGGTCTTCAGGAGGTAATTAAGGTTAAATGAAGTCATAAGGGTGGGGCCTTAATCTGATAGGACTGGGCTTCGTAAGAAGAAGAAGAGAAAAATAGAGGGATTTCTCTTTATATCTCTGTCATATGAGGATCCAGTAATTAGGCAGCCTCTGCAAGCCAGGAAGAACCTTCACTAGGAACTGAATCAAACACTACCTTGATTTCTCCAAACTGTGAGAAAATAAATTTCTGTTTGATTAAGCTATCCAGTTAATGGCATTTTATTATGGCAGCTTGGGCTAAGACTGGCAATTAAATTGATACAGAAATTTTTGGGGAAGAGGCAATATCCCCAAATCAAGCACTTCATGAACTGTCTTTTTAAAAAAATAAAAAATAAAATAAAGAGACAGGGTCTCACTATGTTGCCCAGGCTTGTCTCAAGCTCCTGGCCTCAAGCCATCCTCTGGCCTCAGTTTCCCGAGCAGCTGGGACTACAGGTGCACGCCACCATGCTTAATTTTAAAATTTTCTTTGTAGAGACAGGGTCTCAATAAAAAAATCAATTGAACAACTATTACAATTTACTACAGAGTTCAGTGAGGTGTTCAGACAGAAGTGCTCTCTCTCTCTCATATATATATATATAAATAGCTTTTCTTTATACCATCAATAAACAATTCGAGTCTTAAAAATAAGTTAAAAGTTCTGAAATCCTTCTCCTCAACCCTAAGCCAGAAAAGGACTATAATCCCATTGTCTTTTCTCCATCTTTATCAAAAAGGAAGACTGGATTAGTGATTCTGTGTGAGTGGTTAATTTAGGCCTTGAATAAATGAATAATATATTGAACATTTTAGAAAAATTAACTCTGCAGAGTAAGCAGCTTAGAAAATGCCAGGGTACATGATGCATAAAATCAAACAGCAATATGTTACACTAGTAAAATATTGTTAAAACTTGAAGTTTTAAAGCATTAAAAATAAACTTGCTAATACTGTATGATTTAAAAATACTCACTAAAGATAATTTGGGTTTTCTTTGTTATATTTTAGAGAGAGTCTCATTCTGTCACCCAGGCTGTACAGTACAGTGGCATCATCACTGCTCACTGCAACCTCAGACTCCTGGGCTCAAGTGATCCTCCCAACTCAGCCTCCTGAGTAGCTGGGACTATAGGTAGGCACCACCACACCCAGCTAATTAAAAAATTTTCTTTTGTAGAGACAGGGTCTCACTATGTTGTCTAGGGTGGTCTTGAACTCCTGGCATTATAGATAATTTAAAAAATAAAGTACAAACAAAAAAGAGAAAAGAAAGAAAAATCATCTATAATTCCTCTATCAGTGATTGTCACTCTTAATATTTAGGTGTATCCATTTAGTCCCCTCCCTGTGAACATAAAAAGTGGCATGCTCTTCTGATTTATTCTACTTTTTCTCTATTTCAGCTACACTAGGATATTTTAAAAATTACTATATCTTATAGCATATTTTCATACCTGGTAGAATATGTCCACCAATTCTACTCTGTCAAAATTTGACAGGTTATTTTTAACACATTTTAGTTTCTAGATGAATTAAAAATAGTTTGTCTAGTTTCATAAAAAAAATTTACAGAGATATGTAATATGTCTGAGCAAGGGATTTAAAAGAGCCAAATTGCCTGAGTTTAAACTCTAGCTCTGTCTCTCACCAGCTGACTTCAGGCAAGCTATGTAAATGCTGTTGAGTCTCAGTTTCCTCACCTTTAAAATGGGGATAACAACAGTTTTCTCCTACATAAGACTGCTGTGAGGATTAACCTGTTGAATTAACACAAGGAGAGCACTTAAAAAGGTGTCTGGCGTAAAACTGACACCCAATACATTTTAGCTATCATCATTATCATGACCATTTTTTCATGTCATTAAATAGTATTCTAAAATACTGTTTTAAAAAATTACACATATATGTATACGTGTATATGTGTGTATATATACATATGTATATATATTTATTTGTTGGTTTTAGAAAGTTTATGTATTTTTTTTAGAAACTTTAGAAATGGGGTCTCACTATGTTGCCCAGGCTGGTCTTAAACTCCTGGCCTTAAGTGATCCCCCCGTCTTGGCTTCTCAGAGAGTTGGGATTACAGGCGTGAGCCACGGTGACCAGCCCAAAATCTACTTTTAACTGGCTACACAGCATTTGGCTGAATAGATATCCATTTATTTAATTTTTTTGAGATGGAGTCTTGCTCTGTCACCCAGACTGGAGTGCAATGGCGTGATCCTGGCTCACTGCAACCTCTGCCTCCTGGGTTCAAGTGATTCTCCTGCCTCAGCCTCCCGAGTAGCTGGGATTACAGGCGCCTGCCACCACGCCCGGCTATTTTTTGTATTTTTAACAGAGATGGGTTTCACTATGTTGGCCTTGCTGGTCTCGAACTCCTGACCTCATATAATCCGCCTGCTTTGGCCTCCCAAAGTGCTGGGATTACAGGCGTGAGCAACTGTGCCTGGTCCCCTGAATGGATATTTAGTGAGTCCCATACTGTTGAAGATTTAGGTTCTTTACATTTTCACCTAATAATGTAAGCACATTTTAAAGTCAATTCCTCCCTCCAGTACATAACGATAGAAAAAAAAAAAACCGATTAATAAATTATCTGTGAATCAAATTTCTCTTTTCTGGGAGGACCCCCAGAGACCTTTGCTATGGTCTGAATGTTTGTGTTCCCCCCAATTTTATATTATTTTATTTATATTTATTTATTTATTTATTTATTTATTTATTTATATTTTTTGAGCCGGAGTCTCGTTCTCTTGCCCAGGCTGGAATGCAGTGGCGAGATCTCAGCTCGCTGCAACTTTTGCCTCCTGGGCTCAAGCAATTCTCTTGCCTCAGACTCCCAAGTAGCTCGGATTAGAGGCACACACCACCACGCTGGCTATTTTTTTTGTATTTTTAGTAGAGACAGGGTTTTGCTATGCTGGCCTGGCTGGTCTCAAACTCCTGACCCCAAGTGATCAGCCTGCCTCAGCCTCCCAAAGTGCTGGGATTACAGGCATGAGCCACTGCGCCCGGCTCTCCCCACATTTAGATGTTGAAACTTAACCTTTGATTTGGTGGTATTATGAAATGGGCCTTTTGGAGATGATTAGGTCAGAGGGTGGAACCCTCATGAATGAGATTAGCATCCCTGTAAAAAAGGCCTGAGGGTACTATGCAATATACCCAGGGAACAAACCTGTGTATGCATCCCCCGAATCTAAAATAAAAGTTGAAAATAAAAAGAAAATAACGAGGAACAAGGTTCTATGGCCAAAGTTTGTACTTTGATTTGGGAGATGTAAATATCTAGTTCTATCACTGGTAGGAAACTGAACTCCTAAAGAGGACAGTGTCTCACTCAAAAGAGAAAATATGAAAATAATGTTTTTCTTCTGTTTTTGCTCTCCCAGCACACTTTGCTTGTGAGACCAACTATCGATTTTTTCATATAGAACTGTTATCTCCATTATCAAACTGGTGGCAAATAACATACTTTTTTTTTTTTTTGCAAACAGTAGTTGTTCAAAGGATTATTGCAAATGAATGAATAAGTAAATGGATGAGTAAATAAATGAATGAATAAATAAATGGATGAGTAAATAAATAAATGTATCCATTATACTTGGAAAAAGGCCCGAGGGAGCCCGTTTGCCCTTCTGCAGTGTGAAGATGCAGTGAAGCAGCATTATCTACGAAGCCGAGAGCAAGCCCTCATCAGACACCGAATCTGCTGCTGCCTTGATCTTGCACTTCTGGTCTCCAAAATGGTGAGCAATAAATTTCTATTGTTTATAAATTACTCAGTCTGAGTTATTTTGTTATAGCAGTCTGAATGGACTAAGACAATCTTGAAAAGATGTAGGCTAATTTTTCTTATGGCATGTGGTATTTCATGACAAAGTCTTCTGCAAAGCAGCTCTCAGAAAAAAGGAAAATAGAAGAAAGGAAAGAGGCATATACAGAAAGTGAGCGAAACATCTGTATCATGTCATTCAATTGGTTAAGAAACCTTTCCATGTTGACTTTAACAGGAATGTGGGTGAAAGTAGACTTGGCTAGTTATTTTCTTAGAACATGAGACAATCTTTAATATCTGATATCTAGCATAAGTTTAAAAACTTAAAAAGAAATCCTAATAAAGTACACACAAATCCATTTTCAAGGCAGAACGCATTTAAAGTACTTCTTAGGAGTGAGTACGTATGCCTGCCTGAAAAAAACTGATCCAAGTGGACAGATAAGACCAAAGATTCCTTATTTGATCCACGTCAGAGAATGAAAAAAACAGTTGTAAGAACTTACTTCTCCATTTCCAAAAAGACACGAAGATGATCAAAGTTTAGTGTTCCTAGGTCTAGTATGAAGAAACTTGGTGTGAAGTCTGTTCCCTGCATAGTTATGATGTTGAGCACTAAATATCTGACAGCTCACAGAGCATTAGATGTTACACAGATCATATAAATGACTCTGTGCTCTTAAGGGGCTCTCATAGTATGCTCTTCTCAAGATAAGACCAAAAAGCAAAAGGAGTAATTCCTTCATGTTTTACTGACATGAAAGATATTTTATATCCAAATGTTTTTCCTCTTGAACCGTGCCAGGTGCATGTGCAGGGAGATGAAACCCCTGGTCCCAACGACATAAAGAATAACGTTGTCTGAAGGAAGGAAGGGGGAAAAAAAAGGAAGAAGGGAAGAAGGAAGAAACTTGCTGAAATAGACTTCTTTGCTATCAATGTATATCTCCAGGTATACATACCCTCCCAGAGGAAAAAGGAGTTAGTTGTCTATTCTGTTAATTTTTTCTTCTACGACAAAAATGTCAATGTCCAAAATGTTAAAATAACTTGTTACAGAAACTACATTTCATAGAAGAATACATAAGCTAAGAGACAGGATAGGTTATCCAAACGCAGCTATTAAAAGAAAAAGTTTAAATTCTAATTAGATTTGTGTTTTAGTATTGATAAAAAAAATCTGAGAGTTCAGTTGCAGGTTCTATTAACCAGAATAAAAGCAGACTAATTAATTCTTTAGTAATAGAAGTCTGAAGGGACATCAGATTAAGTCACTGTTAAAATTATTATAATATCTGGTCTTTTCTTCATGAACAATCTGTCTCACTATGTATTTCACATCTAATTAAGTCATTAAATCCTCTCTAAGAGCTAGCTTTTAGTTTCACTGATCTTCTCTTACAGCTTGTTTTCTATTTCATTTAATTTGTTTTTATTTTCTTTGTTCTTTTGTGTGTGTGTGTGTGTGTGTGTGTGTGTGTTGGGGGTTACACAGATATTCTTTTTCTATTTCTTGATTTGGATGCTTAGCTCATTACTGTTCTTTCTTTTTTTCTTTCTCTTTCTTTTTTTTGAGACAGTCTCTCTCTCTGTCACCCAGGCTGGAGTGCAGTGGTGTGATCTCGGCTCACTACAACCTCCGGGTTCAAGCGATTCTCCTTTCTCAGCCTCCTGAGTAGCTGAGATTACAGATGCCCGCCACCATGCCCAGCTAACTTTTGTATTTTTAGTAGAGACGGGGTTTCATCATGTTGGCCAGGCTGGTTTTGAACTCCTGACCTCAAGTGATCCACCTGCCTTGGCCTCCCAAAGTGCTGGGATTACGGCGTGAGCCACCGTGCCCAGCCTTTTCATTTTCAATTTTATATATGTGTTAAGAGTATAAATTTTCCTCCAAGAACTGCTTTAGCAGCATCTCACAAATTTTGATATAAAGTGTTTTTCCCTGTTCTAAATATTTTGCAATTTCTCTTTTTTACAATATTTGCAATTTCCTTATTTTCTAATTTGCAAAATCTGTAATTTCCAGTTTTTTAAATGTATACTTTCCTATTTTGCAATATTGGTCCTTCTGAATTTCCCCTATGGTCTTTCTCAAAACTCCTATCAGATGAATGTACCTTCTCAGTCTGTTTTCCATGTCTCCTAATCTCTCTTTGATATTTTCAATTTTGTTTTATCCTTCTGCACTGCATTTTGGATAATTTCGGCAGAATCTTCAAGTTCATTAATTCTCCTTTCATATACGTTAACTTGCCACTAAGTTTTTAATTGAATAACTAGATTTATTGATTATTTGGTAAATCTACGTGTACTTTTAAAAATACTCTTTTTTTTTTTTTTTTTTACCGCCCTCCCTTCAAAAATAGTCAATTTCCAAGCCAACATTTACTGAATACTTACTAAGTGCCAAGTATTCTGAGAGCTTTAGGTAATTTAATCCTCATAGCAACAATATGAAGTTGGTACAATTTGCATGTCAATTTTATTGAGGTACAGAGAGCCTAAATAACTTAGCGACATTCATATGATGAATAAGTCACAGGGCTAGAGCTCTAATACAAACAGTCTAGCTTCAGAGCCTGTTCTCCTTTTAAAACTAAAATAATTATATTTTATATGGAGAATTTCCAAACATACACCAGAGGAAAGAACAGAAAAAACCCATACATCCATGTCCTCCTTCAGAAACGATTCTACTGCTCTACCTGCTTCCTTTATCCTCCCTCCCCTTTATTTGCTACAGCATTTCTTCTTCTACTACTATGACTACTGCTACTATTAGTGCTACTTCTATTACTGCTTCTTCAATTTTTGAGAGAACTGTAAATTCACATGGTGTTTTAAAAAATACAAAAATAGGGCTGGGCGCGGTGGCTCACGCCTGTAATCCCAGCACTTTGGAAGGCTGAGACGGGCGGATCACAAGGTCAGGAGATGGAGACCATCCTGGCTAACACGTGAAACCCCGTCTCTACTAAAAATACAAAAAATTAGCCGGGCGCAGCGGTGGGCGTCTGTAGTCCCAGCTACTCGGGAGGCTGAGGCAGGAGAATGGCGTGAACCCGGGAGGTGGAGCTTGCAGTGAGCCCAGATCACGCCACTGCACTCCAGCCTGGGCGATAGAGCAAGACTCCGTCACAAAAAAAAAAAAAAAAAAAAAAAAAAAAAAAAAAAAATACAAAAATAGCCAAAACAATATTGAATGAGAAGAATAAAGTTAGGAAGACTCATACTTTCTGATTTCAGATCCTACAGTAAATAGTAGGTTTACCTACAGTGTGTTATCAGCATAAAGATGGACAAAGAAATCAATGAAACAAAATTGAGAGTCCAGAAACAAATCATCATTTTTTTATGGTCAACTGATTTCCAGTAAGGGTACCAAGACAATCTAATGGAGAAAGAATACTCTTTTCATCCCATGGTGTGGGACAAATAGAAATAGACATGCAAAGAAAATGATGTCAAACTCATTAAGTCTCAGTCTCAGAACATATAAAAGAATAAACTCAAAATGGGCCAAAGAGCTAAATGGAAGAGCTAAAACTATAAAACTCTTAGAACAAAACATAAGAGTAAATCTTTGAGGCCTGGGTTAGGCAGTGATTTCTTGGATAATATACCCAAAGAGCGAAAGCGGCAAAAGAAAAAAAAATAAATCGGAGCACATCAAAATTTATAAAATTTTATGCTGTAAACAGTATCAACAAGAAAGTGAAAAGAGAACGACAGGATGGGAGAACATATTTATAAATCATATATATGATAAAGGACTTGTGTCTAGAACTCTTACAACTCAATAATAAAAATACAAATACCCCAATTAAAAATGAGCAAGGGATTTGAATCTTTTCAATCAACAAAGAAGATTCACAAATAGGCAGTAAGCACAAGAAAAGATGTGCAACACCAATAGGGAAATGCGTATCAAAGCCACAGTGATCTACAGGAACAACGGAGAAGCAATACAATATAAAACAAAACAAACAAAACCCCATAATGAGATACCACATCACATCCACCAGGGTGGCTATTAAAAGTCAATAACAAGTGTTGGTGAGAATGTGTAGGGACGGTCATATATTGCTGGTGGGATTGTAGAGTGGTAAGGTCTCTTTGCAAAACATTTTGGTAGTTCCTTAAAATGGCAAACATACAATTACCATATGACTTAGCAATTCCAATCCTAGGTATATACTCAAGATAACTGAAAACGTGTTTCCATGCAAAAAAGCACCCACAAATGTTCACGGCATCATTATTTATTATAGTCAAAAAAGAGGAACAACCCAAATATCCAACAACTTATGAATGGATACATAAAATCTGGCATATCCATATAATGAGCTATTAGCCATAAAAAGGAATGAAGTACTGATACATGCTACAAGTATCAATGAACCTTGAAAACATGATGCCAAGTTAAAGAAGTCCTGCAAAAGGCAACATAGTATATTATTTCACTTATATGAAATCTCCAGAATAGGCAAATCTATATATAGAGAAAGTAGATCAGTGGTTGCCAGGCCTGGGGGAAAGGGACAATGGCTACATTTAACAATTTGAGCAGCAAAATCAATAATGCTTTCAATTTGTGAAAATGTATTTAATATATAAAAAGCGATGACACTGAAATAATACTAGAAAAAGATACTTTAAAAAATAGGGTATTGTAGTGATGGTTACACATTTCTGTGATTTACTAAACAATATGGAATGGCATATTTTAAACGGGTAAATTGCATGGGATGTGAATCATATCTCAATAAAGGTATATAAAATAAGCCAATGTGCAGCCATGTAAGTAAATAATGCTTTTGCTCTTAAAAAATATTAAGAGAGGGCAGGCGTGATGGCTCACACGTGTAATCCCAGCACTTTGGAATGCTGAGGTGGGAGGACTGCTTGAGCCTATAAGTTTGAGACCAGCCTGGGCAACATAACCAGACCCTGTATCTACAAAAAAATAAAAAAAAATTGCTGGGCATGATGTCACATGCCTGTGTGTAGTCCCAGGTACTTTGGAGGCTGAGGTGGGAGGATTGCTTGAGCCCAGAAGGTCAAGGCTGCCTTGGGTCATGATCGCACCATTGCTCTCCAGCCTGGTTGACAGAGTGAGACCTTGTTTCAACAAAAAAAAAAAAAAAAAAAAAAAAAAAAAAGTAGGAGAAAAGAAAATAAACTCATTTGTCAGCACTGAAGTTTACTAGGGAACTCATTACATAAACAAATGAGTAAATGAATAGATGTGTGCAAGGACAAAGCGTCCCTGCCCTCTGGAGGATACAGCAACAAGGTACCATCTTAAAAGTCAAAAGCGGCCCTTACCAGACAACCAAACCTGCTGGTGCCTTGATCTTAGACTTCCCAGTTCCAGAACTGTGAAAAAATAAATTTCTGTTCTTTATAATCTACCTACCTACCGACTTTGTTATAGCAGCATACCATACACAGACTAAGTGGGAAACCACAATCCGGCTGTGGGGTGTTTATTATTTATCATTTCTTCTAGTCTGGTTCAGTCAGAGATAGGAAATAAATATTTTTTTAAAAGGGAGAAAATTATTGGTTAACAGTAATGTTTTAAATTCAGATTTAAGATTACAGATCTCAGTCTTGAAGACTGGGTTTACTAAACTACTTTGATTTTATACTTTATATTTTTTTCTCTTATGCTGAAAAATTTTGGTTCCTAACAATAACATAATTACTTGTTATTTGTTTTCTCTAACAATATAATGCTTTTAAAATTCAAAACCAATACAATTACTATCAATATGCCTTCAGGATGAACTCTAAAATCTATTTGGGCTGGGCACGGTGGCTCACGTCTACAATTCCAGCACTTTGGGAGGCTGAGGAGGGAGGATCACTTGAGCCCAGGAGTTTGAGACCAGCCTGGGCAACATGGTGAAACCCCATCTCTACAAAAAATACAAAAACTAGCCAGACACGGTGGCATGTGCCCGCAGTCCCAGCTACTTGGGAGGCTGAGGTGGGAGGATCGATTGAGCCTGGGAGGTTGAGGCTGCAGTGAGTGGTGACTGTGCCCCTGCGCTCCAGCCTGGGAGAGAGTGAGACCACTAAAAAAAACTTCGCATTTTTGTTCTTTTACTTGGAGTTTATCCTACTGAGATGTACAGAGAAAAATCTGTATTATAAAGTTAGCTGAAATAATTATTTGCTCAATGTGAATGTCAACAATTTAATATATAATTAGATTCATTTGTTTCTGTTTGTTTTTAAATTTCAAGGACTGCTTTTTTCCTTTTTTCAGATCTAATTTTATTTTTGATTATGTAATACATTCATTTGATTCTAGAGTCAAAACTATATAACTAGGTATAATCACAGAAGGCTTGCTTCCACCCCTGTCTCCTCTATCCTGTTCCCTCCTTTTTAGAGGTAACTTTTTTGGGTAAATTTTTGATTTGTCTTTCAATTGTTTCTTCTTGCAATTATTAGCAATCATATACTCATATAATTGCACATGTTCCCCCTTTTCTTACATAAAAAGTAATATGTTAAATACATTATTCTGCATCTTGCTTTTTCATTTAACAGTATGTTCTGGGAATCGCTCCATATCAATAGAGATCTTTCTCATCCCTTTCTACAGCTGCACAGTATTCCACTCTGATGGATATACTATAATTGACAACAAATATCCCACTGTGGCACAACTGGGTTATTTTGAATCTGTTGCTATTATAAATATTATAGCAATGAATTTCCTTGTGTATATGTTATTTTGTATTTTTGAAGATGTGTCTGTGGGACCAATTTCTAGAAGTAAAGCTTCTGGGTCACAAAGTCAACGCACAGATAAGCAATGTTACTACATATTGCCAAACTGCCTCTATAAGAGGTCTACATTTTGCATTCCCACCAGGAGAGTATCAGAGTTCCCAATGTGCACAGCCTGCTTAATTGAGTGTGTTGTTAAATTCTCGATTTTGGTCACAAAGCACCTCAGCTTGCCATTATCTTACTATGAATGGGTAAGGACCATGTACATTTCTTTCTTTGTGATCTTCAGGTAGGAACTTCCCAGACAAGTAGTGACATAAATTTTTAGTCTAAACCTGGGGAAGGTACAGGCTTGATAACTTTGGTTTCTTAGAGCTGACTCTGGGCTCCTTCCCAGAGTCAGGGCAGAGAAAAGCTTCTTTGTCATCTGTCACTGGTAGGCGTTTGACTGAACGAGTCTTGCTTTTCTGCACAGCGAGCCTCTAATGGACCCATCTTCAGCAGAGGTTCGGTTCCAACTCCCCACCTCTTGTGAGCTCAATGCCTCACCTCCATTCTCTGTATAGGCATTTTGTAAACCCAAGTCCTTCTAGTCATAACTACGTCTGCTAGCCCCTGGGCAGCTGCTGCATAGGCTCACACACCTCATCTTTATCTTTCAGCCCCCTCTTTGATTCTGACACCATTCTCTCACATGAGCTCAACCACACATGACAAATTTTTAGAGGTGGTAAAAGCTTATGCAGCTTCTTGAGGTTTGGAACAAAAGGCTTTCCGCGCTATCTGAAACAGATTCTAATCATCTGTTTACATATCTTTTCTTCCAATAGATTTGAGTTTATGAGGGCTGCGACAGAGTCTCATTCATCTTTCTATCAACTCAGTACCTAGTAAAATTGCCAGCTTAGATAAAATCCTTTATATGTTTGTTGAATTCAAGAATCAATTTTCCATGATTGGTGCAAAAAAATGATAGGTTTGTAGCTCCCACCTTTCCTACGATTAAGGACGACATATATTTTTTGGCAATGAGTCTAACATTTTGAATGCTTTTTCTATAAAAATTCCTTTATTAAATAATTCATTTTCCTCTTTGTATTAAACAAAAATAGATATATAGTTACCAATCAGAATTTAAAACCCAGTGTTACCACAGTGAGTTATCTCAGTCAAAAGCAAAGAAAATAGACATCTCAACTAGCACAGTTTTTTCTCAGATAAAAAGACAATTTCTGTTCCTTACACTAGTTTCACAAAAGAACTCTAGAATCCAGGGACTCCAGTTTACACATATTTATAAAGTTTTCTCCTTCATTTCCTTCCACGCAAATAGATTTAATATGAAAAGGAAAATTGTTGATTATGGATATTCACTTATTTACTTTAGGACTCAGTGATTTTTTTTTTTAAGACTCCATGTAGTTTTTCTTCTTATCTCAGGGTATTCTTGGGCACATCACCATTTATGGAATTAAGCTCACAAGACATCTGTTCTTTCAACATATTTCCCATGAAAACTACTTTTTTCCCCCTCTTGGTAGAAAGCAAATAAAAAAAATTTTTTTTGGTCTATCTGCTCGTTCTTAAGAAACTGTTCTCTTCCATCTCATCATGACCGTTTTTGTAATCCTTAGAAACGCTTGCATGGGATTCCTGGCTTCTATAACCCAGACACATAACCCAGCTGGGTGGACTTACAAACATAGCTTATAGTTTTCCCTGAGCTGAAGATATCCCTTCTTAGCTGCCAGAATGAGTATGTTCATCTTAATGGTTAATTCCAATTACCATGTATATTTAGCACTTTCCCATATGCTGTGCAGACTTTAACTTCGAACTCTGGAGAAGAGCAGCCTATATTTTCTCTCTTCAAACATATATTAACACAAGGATAAAAACACATTCAACATTTTAAAACTGAAAAAAAAAAAAAAACTACAAAATTTCTATTCCACTCCTAATTTTTGAAAGATTTCCTGTTTTCTGGCAAGGCCATGGTATATAATTATGGTACATTCTGGTGAAAAAGTAACAGTCAGATCTAAAAAGCCATTCCTAAAAGTTGGTCATGAACTTAAGTTCCAGGAGTGAAATACCTTTTGGGCCAATTTGCCTATAATGGCCCAGTGCAGTACCTAAAATGAAACTGTTCAAAAACAAAGAGTGGTTGAGCCTTTGCTCCTGGTCACTGCCCCACTTTGGAGTACAGATCTCACATCCTTGCAATAAACCTAATGCAATCCAATTCTAGTTTTAATGTCATAGGATCATTTCTCCCAGCTGTATCTGTTCTCAAAGAACAGAATGTTTAAAGGGAATTATTAGCTGGATTCAGTGAGACTCAACACCATATCTAAAGAAAAGAAGAAAATGCAGGCAAGTGCATTCTGTTATTCTAAAAATCAGTGAACAATGGCCAGGATCCAAGAACATTTACCACAGTTTGTCTGTAATTTAGGTTATCTGAGTGGCTGAGTGTATTAGTCTGCTCTCACACTGCTGTAAAGAACTACCCGAGACTGGGTAAATTTATGAAGAAAATTGGTTCAATTGACTCAGTCCCTCAGGCTTCACAGGAAACATGACTGGAAGGCCTCAGGAAACTTACAATCATGGCGGAAGGTGAAAGGGAAGCAAGCACCTTTTCTACATGGTGGCAGGAGAGAGTGAGAGCACAGGTGAGGGGGGAAGTATCGCACACTTTTAAACCATCAGATCTCAAGAGAACTCACTCACTATCATGAGAACAACAGGGAGGAATGCTGCCCCCATCCAATCACCTCTCATCAGGCCCCTTCTTCAACACTGTGAATAACAATCAACATGAGATTTGGTTGGGGACACAAAGCCAAACCATATCACTGAGTGTACAGTTGTATTTTACAGATACAGAGGCCACGAAAACAAGAAGTAATACTAAATTTCTTTTTTCTTTTTTTGTTTTTAGAGGAGTCTTGCTCTGTCACCCAGGCTAGAGTGCAGTGGCGCAATCTCGGCTCACTGCAAGCTCCGCCTCCCAGGTTCACACCATTCTCCTGCCTCAGCCTCCCCAGTAGCTGGGACTACAGGAGCCCGCCACCACGCCTGGCTAATTTTTTGTATTTTTAGTAGAGATGGGGTTTCACCGTGTTAGCCAGGATGGTCTCGATCTCCTGACCTCGTGATCTGCCCGCCTTGGCCTCCCAAAGTGCTGGGATTACAGGTGTGAGCCACTGTGCCCGGCCTAAAAAGTTTTTTTTTAAAGTATGATCACTTCCTTACTAAATATACAGAAATTAAATTGCTTAATGCTTTGTGGTTTTTTTTTTGTTTTTTTTTTTTTTTTTTGAGACGGAGTCTCACTCTGTCACCCAGGCTGGAGTGCAGTGGCGAAATCTCAGCTCACTGCAACCTCCGCCTCCCGGGTTCACGCCATTCTCCTGCCTCAGCCTCCGGAGTAGCTGGGACTACAGGCGCCCGCCACCACACTTGGCTAATTTTTTTGTCGTTTTAGTAGAGACGGGGTTTCACCGTGGTCTCAATCTCCTGACCTCGTGATCTGCCCGCCCCGGCCTCCCAAAGTGCTGGGATTACAGGCATGAGCCACCATGCCTGGCAATGCTTTTTATAATCACATAAATACAGCATATTTTCTCCTGCTTGAAGAACAGCTAAGCAAGCAGAGAAAGTGATCTTCAAGAATCCAAGCACTTTACACACACACACACACACACACACACACACACACACACACACGTGTGTTCTCTCTAAAGGAAAAAAAAAAAAGAACTTTAGATCACAAGAATAAAAGTTCTTTTTGATATTTAAATTGAGACAGGGTCTCCTCTGTCGCCCAGGCTGGAGTGCAGTAGCACAATCATAGCTCACTGCAGCCTTGACCACCTGGGCTCAAGCGATCTTCCCATCTCAGCTTCCTAAGGCCTGGGACTACAGATGTGCACCACCACGCCCAGCTAATTTTTAAAATTTTTGTTGTGTAGAGATGAGGTTTCCCCACGTTGCTCAGGCTCGTCACTAACTCCTGGGCTCAAGTGATCCTCTTGCCTTTCAGTTTCCCAAAGTGTTGGGATTACAGGCGTAAGCCACCACACCCAGCCAAAGTTCTTAAAGCTAGATGTTCTGAGGGAATTTTATCTTTTCTTTTTACAAAATCATGGTCCATACATGGTAAGAAAAGAATATAACTGAGTCAAAACATAAACCAACTATACACCTGTGTGTACATACAGTGAAGTATCTTTAAATAAACCCAGAGGATATAAAGGCATTTTTAGATTCTTACTGAACCATTCAGATTGAAAGCAAATGATATAAGGCCAAACTCTCCAATACCATTTTTTTCTCCTATACTCTGACTATTCATTATAAAAGGATTTCTCTGTATATATGTATCTGTACAAACATACGTGGTTACATTGTTAAAATTTTCCCACAGCTACTATTGCACTCTTGATTTTCTCTATTCTCTAAAGTTTCTTTTTTGTACAACTGAGCTAAATGGCTTTCAGTCTTTTCTGTAGAAGAAAAAAACAGAAAACCACCATTTATTAAAATCAGGCTTTTCTAAAAAAAGTTGTTAATTATAGAAAAGTATCTTAAATTATCTATCTCTTCATAGTTGTTGAAATATTTCCACTTATAATTTTATAAATCCAAATATTTGAAAAACTTTGATTTCCAGAAATATACAAGTATCAGGTATAGATTGATTCTGATAAGAAATGAATACCCATTAAGGACCACTTAAAATGAATTGGAAGCTGAATAAAGTAATGATACTAGACATCAAAGCTCAACTGCTGCCAGAGGTATGGTTTTCCAAAACAGGTAAATATGTGACTTGGGCTAAGGGATGAGGTAGTAATGAAAATTATAACTTAAAAAAATCGGTTATCTGCATGTAAGCATTAAAATTCAACCTACTGATTACTTAGATATCTAAGCCCAGAACATACATTTTATTTTCCTAAAGAGAAAAGGTAGTTTGCTTAAGTCTTCCTTCAAAAATAAATCCCCACCCTTGAGGCCTGATCACTCATGAGATCTGATCAAATTCCTCATCTCCCACTATCAATATGTCATCTCTCTGGCTTGTCTTCAGCAACTCCTGTTGAGTAGGTCTGGCAAGAATCCCCCAGCCATGACGTTTCTTCTTAGTAATTTTCCATCACTGACCCCCACCCTGCTCCTTCGCTACACATCTCCATTGGTCCTTGTGTATTCTGAGTTGAGCCCAATCTCTGCCCTCTAACACAAATCCTCATCTCAGTGGTCCCCTGAATAGTCTGCCTTACTGTCTTTAAGAAGTATCAGGAATATTTTTTTTTCTCCAGCACACTAAGTATAAAAGTACAACAAGAACTATACACACAGACAAACACTAAAAAGGCAGAGAGAAGGCAGACCAGTCAGGAGTGCTGTGACCTGCAGCTCCCTGGATCTTTCTGCCTTATATATCCAGAGGTAGAGCTGAAGAAGCCAACAACCAGGAAATGCCAACAGGCACAGACCAAAAAAGCTTCAACAGGAGCCCACTCTCTCTAGCCAAAGAAGCCTCCAAAGGAAAGGGACAGCCTAGCAACATAGAAACCTGTGGGACAACAATCACTCTATTCCAAAGACCATGTGGTCCCACTGTCACTCATGTCAGTAAAGACCAAGCGGCGGGCCCCATGCTCACCAGGTTGTGAGGAGGTGCTTCAGCCTCTCCTTGCTCCACTGGAAGGTGTCAGGGAAAGCCGAGGGAGGCAGGGCTATAATCTCCAACCATCAGCAATGAAGTCTCCCCTCCACAGTGTCACTAGAGACTAGGTGAGGATTCTAGAATTCCACCTCCATGGAGCAGTAACAGCCGTGTCTCCTGGTGGAGTCGGACCTTCACTACCGCACAGCAGTAACCAGGCCCCCCTTCCTTCACCCCCACTGTGTTAGTGGAGGCCTTCCTACCCTAACCAGGCAGGGATACACCAGTGAAGCCTAGTGGGGACATGAATACCCATCTCCACCTAGGAGTAACAAGAAGCCTCCACCCCTTGAGTGTCAGCAGGGTCCAAGTGGGAGAAACTGGACTTCTACCTCCACTGGGCAATACTGAGGCAGCACCCCATTCTTCCCCTGCTGGAGTGGTGTCAAAGAAAACCAGCTAAAACAGAAGTCTAAGTAAGACCCAGAGTCATATCGCATAACATCCAACATGTCCAGGTTTCAACTGAGAATCACTCAACATCCCAAGAACCAGGAAGACCTCAAACTGAATGAATAAAAGACAATTATGATTAAAGGCACAGCAGCGAACTGAAACATTCATCTTGCCAATAGGATTAGGTAATTAGGCAGCAACTGATCAGCTACCATAGCTGGACTACTGCTGGGCACCAGAAGTCAGAAACAGCTCTTAGAAGACATGCCAACATAGCTGCTCCCTCCCTCATCAAACTTGTCAGTAAGGCTTCATTAATTTCCTCTCCATTCCTGGAGTGGGATGGTTGAATCAGAGTGCGACTGTGTGTGTCTGGAAGTGACCTCAACTTAATCAGACCTCAACTCAATCAACTAGGAAACTTCTAGGGCAGGGCAACCTATTCCAGTCCCAGTTCTTGTAGTAATTTGACCATAGTGAATCCACAACTGGGTTCATTTAATACTCCAAAATTCATGGTTTGACCACAGTTTTATTTTGGTGGTGACTAAACTAACCCCACCTCCGGGAGATGAACTGACAGTACCTTTGGGCATCCTAAGCATGCTCTGGTAAGTACTTTTGACTTTCCTTCCAGTTTTTAGGTTCAGAAAAATTCATTCTTTGTCCCATGTTTCACCTTCCCATTTAGATTAATAGTAGTAAATGTTAATTTTATTAACTCAGTAATGTATCAATTTAGTAATTTTTACTTTTATCAATTTGAAAAATTAAACTTTATTATTTTTTAAATGTATTGATTTATTAATCAATATTAATAGACAGTTGGTATTTACTGTATCCTTGATTTTTTTAAAATTTTAATTTATGTCACTGTGGGTTACACTGTCCTAGAAATATATGGAGCCATACTGGCTAGTGATCAGTTCTAAATATATCAAGAGACAGGTTTATCGCTAAACAGGCTGACTTATCCCTGTTTAGATGTTTGTTATAAGCTAATCACTAATCATAACATACCAGTGTTTACTACTATAATTAGAAGGAAATAATCTACCAAAGAAAATAAAAATTTTAATAAAATGTCTACTGGTATTTTGAAGTATAATTTACCACCCAAATATACAAAGGTCACTTCCAGACACACACAGCCCCGCTATGATTCAACCATCCCACCCCATGAGTGGAGAGGAAATTAATGAAGCCTTAACGACAAGTTTGATTAGTTCATGAAATAAGTGTGTAACTTAAAATGGAGAGATTAACCTACTCAAGGGTTTTTTTGTTGTTGTTTCTTTAAAGGCACTACATATTTTTGCTTAGAGACTGAATGCAAAACAGATTTTTTAATGTAAGGTGCTTTTAAGGAAAATAGGCAAAATACCCGGGAATTAATAGGATTTGGACAGAATTCTTTTCTTGAGGGAGTGCTTTTCAAGACTACATTTATGTTAACTCTTTGGAGTATTCATGTAGCATTATCCTCATTTCCAGGAACAGAGCTTTATTAATTTATATATCAAATCAGCAAAATGGCTATGGGGTATATAAGATCACAATCACCTGTGATATATTGTGCCATAAATGCTTAAAGCATTTTCAACACATGTAAGACATGAAAAAAAGGTCTTAAAAACCCTAGAACTGCATAAAAACTCCTAGCAATGCATATCCAGTAGAGCCAATTCTGAAATCCATTACCAACAGGCTTACAGAGGGCATATGCTCATTGAACTATAATCTGTAAGGATGAAAAGAATGGCCTGTGTTAATATTTTAGTATGTGTCAGAAAACAGTAAAAAGTAAGTATAACTTGCCTATATTCTCTCTTAAGCAAGCTATTCCATTTTCATGGGTTTAAGTAGTATTTCTGTTCTGATGACTCCAAAATTATCATTTCTAGCTCTCATCTTTACCTGGAGCATCTCCAGCCAACGGCTTTCTTGATGTATCTATTTGGGTATAAATAACCTCGAATTCAACTCTACTAAAAATAAGCATGTTATATTCTCTTCCATATATGGCCTTTCTTCTTGATTACTCATTTTAATTAGGGAGACCACTTCCACTTACTTGGCCAGACCAGACATCTGACTGGCCAGTGGTCTGTGGGTAGTGACCGTGGGACCCAAGCATAGAAGAAACAGCACGGGAACCACCAATTACTTGTTCCTTTGCCACAGTGACCAAGAAGGCCTCATACTGAAAGAGCTAAAGGAGGAAATTTTTAGTAGAATTGGATTACTGAATTGCTGCATGGAGGGCAGCTTCCTCATAGAGCCGGCAAGATCTGCGGTGGACTTTGTGTAACCAAGAAATAAGCGTTTACTGTGTTAAGGCACTAAGATTAGGTGGTGTTTGATACACAGAATGGCCTAGTGAATACATTACTCCATCTCAACTACCCTATATTCTTGTCCTCATCATTTCATATTTGGGCAACTGGAATAGATTCTTAAACAGTCTCCCTGTTTTTAATCTTACCATCTTCTTACTCCAGGCTCCCCTTAACTTCCTCCATTAGCTGCCAGAGTGATTGATTTATCTATAAAAGAAAACTCTGAAAACATCGGTGAGACTAAAAGCCTCTCCATGGCTTGGCATCCCCTACAGGAGCAAGTCCAAGCTACTCTCAGCATTGTCAATCCAGGGCTCTCCGTGACCTGTCTCCTCCTGGCTCTGGAGTCTCACGTCACTGCCCAGGAGTAGTGCAGACTTGGTAATAAGAAGCCTTCTATGGCTCCCTGATCTCAGGATGCTTCATGCTTCAGCAACCCTGGCCACAATGATCCCTCTGCCTAAGAGCTCCTTTTCTAGCTCATTCATGAGGCTAATTTTTTTTTTTTTTTTTTTTTTTGAGACAGAGTCTCTGTCACCCAGGCTGGAGTGCGGTGGCGCAATCTCAGTTCACTGCAAGCTCCGCCTCCCGGGTTCACACCATTCTCCTGCCTCAGCCTCTCCGAGTAGCTGGGACTACAGGTGCCCACCACCACGCCTGGCTAATTTTTTGTATTTTTAACAGAGACAGGGTTTCACCGTGGTCTCGATCTTCTGACCTCCTGATCCGCCCGCCTCGGCCTCCCAAAGTGCTGGGATTACAAGCGTGAGCCACCACGCCCGGCCGAGGCTAACTCTTATTAGTCTCTTAGTATTCTCCTTTCTCCAAAAATATTATTTGACCTCTTCTGCCCCGAGGCTGTCTTAAGAATGTCTTCTTTGCATATATCAACAAATGCTAGTGATTAAGCAGAGATAATGTATTCACCTTTCTCCTTCAAATAAAGGGGAACCCTAATACCTTCAGGGGCAACAAGCTTGTCATACATGAAGGACTCGAGAAGCTGTGTTACCTACTCCATGTGTTAGTTTCCTGGAGCTGCCGTAAGAAATGATCACAAACAACATAAACACAACATAAATTTACTCTCTCACAGTTCTAGCGGCCCCAAGTCCAAAAGTATGGTGTTGGCAGGGCCATGTTCCCTGTGGAGATGCTAAGGGAGCATCCTTCCTTGCCTCTTTTGGCTTCAGTGACTGTGGACATTTCTTGGTTCATAGCCACCCAGTCTAATCTCTGCCTCTGCCTTTATATCACCTTATCTTCTGTATCTGTCTTCTCTCTGTCTCTCACAAGGACTTGTCATTAGGGTTAGGGCCCCACCTGGATAATCAAGAATGATCTCTTCTTGAAATCCTTAATTTAATCCCATCTGCAAAGACCCTTTATCCAAATATGGTTTCATTTACAGGTTATAGAAACTGGACGTGGACATAATGTTTTTTGGGGGCTATAAGTTTGGGGAGGGCATATGTTTTGGGGGGCATTCCATCTACTACAGCCTGCCTTCTAGTCCCACCAAATTCTTATCTGTCCCATACACAACATAGGTTCACCCCATTCCAGTATCCCCAAAAATCTTAACCCACTATGGCACAACTCTAAATCCAAAATTCCATCTAAACAGCATCACTTGAAAGTCCCAAATCTCCTCATCTAATTAATCTGAGTTGGGTATGAGGGAGACTAAGTATGATCCATCTTCTCCATCTGTCAATATGCGAAACAGAAAACAAGTTATCAGGTTCCAAAATACAACGGTGGGACCAGTATATGATAGACATTCTCATTCCAAAAGGGAAAAACTGGAAGAAAAAAAGGGCTCATCAGCCCCAAGCAAGTCTGAAATCCAGCAGAGAAAATTCCATTAGGTTTCAAGGTCTGAGAACAATCCTCTGACTCAAGGCTGTGCCCTCTGCCTGTGGTGGCTCCCCTGGCTTCTGCCTCTGGGTCCCTGGTTGCTCTGTTGACAGAAAATCTTTAAGTTTTGATTTTTTAAGATACAATTAATCAATACTGTCAGAATTCAGTAGAGCAGTTACTCCTGCAGGAATAGGCAGGGGATGGTACCTGAAAACGGAGTGTGAGAACTGGTTGCTGGGGTGTCGGCAATCATCTGCTTCCTGGATGTAGATGCTGGTTACATAAGTGTGTAAAATTTCACTGACATGTATACTTAGACATGTGTACTTTTTAATGTTTTTTTTTTTTTTGAGACGAAGTCTTGCTCTGTTGCCCAGGCTGGATGGAGTGCAGTGGTGCAATCTTGGCTCACTGCAACCTCTGCCTCCTGGATCCAAGCGATCCTCCCACCTCAGCCTCTGGAGTAGCTGGGATTACAGGTGTGCACCACCATGGCTGGCTAATTTTTGTATTTTTAGTAGAGACGGGGTTTCACCATGTTGGCCAGGCTGGTCTCAAACTCTTGACCTCAAGTGATCTGCCTGCCTTGGCGTCCCAAAGTGCTGGGATTACAGGTATAAGCCACCATGCCTGGCTGCATGCATTTCAATTAAAATTTTTTTTGTGACCGGGCACAGTGGTTTGCGCCTGTAATCCCAACACTTTGGGAGGCTGAGGTGGGCAGATCACAATGTCAGGAGTTCGAGACCAGCCTGGCCAATATGGTGAAACCCTGTCTCTACTAAAAATACAAAAATAGCTGGGCATGGTGGCAGGCACCTATAGTCCCAGCTACTCGGGAGGCTGAGGCAGGAGAATCGCTTGAACCCAGGAAGCGGAGGTTGCAGTGAGCTAAGCTCGTGCCACTGCACTCCAGCTTGGTCGAAAGAGCAAGACTCTGTCTCAAAAAAAAAAAAAAAAAAAAAAAAAAGGGCTGCATTGCAAGAAGCTTTAAGCAACAGAGGAAATGATCTCTGACAAGGAGAGTAATTTCTGTCAATCATGGCTCATGTTTTTTCTTTTCCTATAGTTATATCATTATGGTAATAAAAAGGAGGATATTTCAGTTATGGCTCCTTACTAGACGACACAAAAGTAAGAGACCCACTTAGTCTCATCTGAGATTGTTAAAATATGTATTAAGAGAAATAGTTACTTCAGTGCACAGCCATAAGAAGAGCTGCAAGTCAGGTGCTGGTAATTTCATCTACCATTCAGGAGGACAATGCGGGCTTAGGGAACATTGCTGTGACTGTTGTCTTGATGTCTAAATACAAAGAGAGCTCTAGATAGCAATTAGCTCAACTAGAACCAGCCTTAAAAACAGGTTTCCTTCTGTTCTTCCTGGCTATTGTTTCTCAATAATAAGATAGATAGGGGCCGGGCGCGGTGGCTCACGCCTGGAATCCCAGCACTTTGGGAGGCTGAGGCGGGCGTTATCACGAGGTCAGGAGATCGAGACCATCCTGGCTAACACGGTGAAACCCCCGTCTCTACTAAAAATACAAGAAAATTAGCAGGGCGTGGTGGCGGGCGCCTGTAGTCCCAGCTACTCGGGAGGCTGAGGCAGGAGAATGGCGTGAACCCGGGAGGCGGAGCTTGCAGTGAGCCGTGATCACACCACTGCACTCCAGCCTGGGCGACAGAGCGAGACTCCGTCTCAAAAAAAGAAAAAAAAAAGATAGGAAGGTAATTGCGAGGAAACTTGTTAGGAAAAGAAAACTTGATTTATAAGAATCTTTCATTTAGCAGAAATTGAAATTAAGAAATGTTAAACACTGTAGACTAGGGGAATATGATGCAACTGTGTCCTTTCACTGGCTTCAGGCCAATGACTGAGAACCAACCAGGCTTCTCTAAGCGTGTTTTATAACCTGGGTCTCAGGAGACAGTTTGGTGTTTGTTTCCAGGTGTGCACTTTGGGTGTACTCGTAAAGTGCATATGTAGATTTAAACACAGTAATATCCATTCAATCTCTTTGTATATTTCTAATGAATCAGCTTGTTAAAAGTTAGGTAGGCCCAGACTGTACATGTTCCAAATTATTTTCTGAGAACCCATAATTTTAGATTTAACCATTAGTAGGTTGTAATTTTCTGGGAGACCAAGAAAAACATCATATCCAATTCTAAATGCTCCATTCAGGAACAAGGCTGGCAATACCATAAACTTTAAGCATCTCTACCCTGAAAACCAACTACCACAAATACTGTTTTAGTATTAAAGCTCAACAATTTATTTATTTAAATTCTTATATTTCATAAAACTTTTGAAATATAGGGGGAAAATACTGAACTTCAGGTATGATAGATGTTCTTTCTTCAACAGTCACTATTTTCTATGAACTTTTCAGCAGCTTTCCAATCACTCATCTCTATGAGCTGTTAAGTATGCAAATTAATTGATTCTTAAAATTAAAAAAAATGCTGGTGGCTAAACACTATCTTAATAAATGCTGTGCAATACTTTGGAACCAGATTTGCATACATCTTGTCTATGTATACATGACAGTAATAGTATTTTAATAACAAAATTATTTCCAATGGTAATTTAGGGTTATGAGCACACAGATTTTCGAACTTAGCTGCTTAAAAATCAGCTTATCATTTTACCCTCTCCTCTGCTGTACAGCTGTTCATTAATCCAGTCAACTATTTATAAGGTAATTGTTAAAATTAGAAGACATCTTTTTAATACAAGATTTAGAAAGCAGTTTGACCTGTCAGGATTCTGAATTAATTTTTTAAAATTGGGGGCAGTCCTTTACAGTAATGTATATATTTTCACTGTAATTTATAAGGGTAGATTAAAGTACTATTTATTACAACAGAGTATGATGGGGTTATTAATAATATGGCTGAAGGCTATTGAAATCTCTCACCAAAAGCACATGCTGTAATGATGGTAACACATTTTGGTGTAGTGATCAGGAGTGTCAGCTCTGGAGTGATATGATCGGCTCTGAATCCTGCCCTGGCTCAGCCACTTATGAGCTACGGGACTTAGGGCAAGTTACTTAACCTCTTTCCCTCTCTGTAAAATGAGGATAACTCCACTTCTGAGGGCTGTAGTGATGATTAAATGAATTAATTCACATAAAGAACTCAAAATAGGGCTCAGCTGCCTAAACGTTAAACAGTATTTTCTTGAGATGACTAATGGCGTGAATACTGTTTTCCAGAAAGTCATGTGATAATACATTTGGTCATGTAAATTACAGCTTCTGAAAACGGCACTCAGTGACAGCTAATATTCTAGTTTAACACCACTCCTATTATCCTTGAATGCAAATATCATTTAATTCCACATTCGCTTTTTTTGTGTGTGTGTGACAGAGTCTTGTTTTGTCACCCAGGCTGGAGTGCAGTGGTGTGATCTTGCCTCACTGCAACCTCCGCCTCCCAGGTTCAAGTGATTCTCCTGCCTCAGCCTCCTGAGTAGCTGAGATTACAGGCGCATGCCACCACACTTGTCTAATTCACATTTGCTTTTAATGAGTATCTACATTAGTTCAAAAGAGACCAAAAGAGGCAGCAGGAACAGATTTTTGGAATATATTGGTCTGACTGGTTCCCACCAAGAGAAGTTTAACGGAGGAGGGAACGACCCTCAAACTAATCTTTCTAGTTTTACATATGCTTAATGAGATCCTCAGACCAAGGTCAATGAGCATAGGAAAGGCAGCTATAAATCACACCACCTGATGGACACAGAAGAAACAGGGAGAGGAGGGCACCAGCGTATGGGCAGGAAACCTAGGTTGATTTATCTGCGTTGAGACAATTCAAGAGGGATCAGGAAACACAGAAGATTTATAAATTAATTCCCTGTGGCATCATAAAAGGCAGCAGTTTGACGATAGGAAAGGCAAGTTAGATTTGATGCTGGAAATGAAGGGAAGAGTCTTATCAAATTGTTGTGAGGGATTTTCCTACATCTGGAAATGACGACAAAAAAATGCAACAGATGGATGAAAGGAGCCTGGGATGAGTCCAGGTTTCCCCACATTCCCAGCCTCTGGACTTTCTACTTATTAGTAACTCCAATCAAGCAGAATTCATCAAAATATGATCTATTTCTTTGAAGGATTCAAAAAAACCAAGATTTTTTCATCTTCATAATGCAATATTTTTTAATAAAATAATACTTTCATAAAAAAAGCAAATTTCTATAGACAGAGTTAAACAATCTTTACACACGTTTTCTTATGCTTTTTGATTTGCTTCTTTTTAAACTCTTAATGTCAGCCTTTAGCAGACGATACAGCTACAGGTAAATATGTTGATTTATCAAAATACAGAAAATAATGAATTTTAGACTTTAAAATCATTTGATCTATCCACCCAATATTATAGGTGAGGAAGATAAAGCCCGAAGAGGCAAGTCAGGCAGCCTGTGGCCTTATTTGTGTTAAAACAAACACAATTAAATCAGCCTTGTGGACTGATTTATATAAAAATAAAAAACACATTAGCTGCCAACACTTAGACATAAAGAGATTTGTATAAAAATCTGAATTCTCCAGGGAAACATGGATGCCTGAATAACACAGGGCTCGCATCTGACATGGTCACGAGAGCTGGAGTTAGAAGTGCCTGCCTCTGTAGACAACACCATGTGGCCCCTACTTTCTCACAGTTCTTTTTCTGCTGTGGCTTTAAACCACTCACTCCTTTTATTTATGAGATCTGCTTCGCCCATACAGCCCTAGGGTTAGGCGCTATTAAGTATCTGAATAGTACTTTGTAAAATGTGAAGTGTTTGATATTCGTTGATGGTGTTATTACGTTCAAGATTATATACTTATTTATCAACAGAGTTGGATCTAGAGCTCAGGTCTCCTGACACTCAGTTACTATTTCTATTGTACCACGCTATACATACAAACAGGAAAACAAGACAGGAATGGTTATAGAACGGGAATTCTTAGATTTGAACAAATAATCACACCAACAAGAATAACCTGGCTTAACATAAAGAATAAATACAATTAACAACTCTAGTCCAAGTGAAAAGTTTCTTTCTCTTTCTCTCTGCTCCCTCCCTCCCTCCTTTCTTCTCATTTGTTCAACTTAAGCCAAGGGAAAATGAATACGTGAATGAAAAAAAGCACAGAATGGCTTTGCTAACGATAAGGAAAAATAGTGACTTCAGGCTAGGAAATTCCGACCTATCATGATGAGTCTTGAAGAGAAGTTTAAAGTGGAGATTGAGCTGAGGAAGTGCAAGGCAATTCCAGAAGTGAGGACAGTGAATGAAAAAGGGTTTGCATCTAGTTTCTTTCAAAACAATCTGGATACCATCAGTAGGAACAATCTAGTTGATCTTAGTGTTTGTAATGGTTCAGAGGAAGAAGTATATATATTTGAGTACTTAATATACACAAATTTAGGGTTGAAAGGAGGTAAAATAATTTTTAAAAGATTAACATTTTTATCTTAACTAGTCAATAGAGGCCATTGAGGACGGCTGTGGTGGCTCACGTGTGTAATCTCAGCACTTTGGGAGGTCAAGGTGGGAGGATGGCTTGAGGCCAGGAGCTATGACTGCACACCGCACTCCAGCCTGGGCACCAGAGTGAGTCTCTGTCTTTATTAAAAATAAATCAGTAAATAAAAAAATAAGGGCCGTTGAATTATTATAGACTGAACTGTAATCTTCTGTTTTTCTCGGAATTGCATTCTTCTGTCAAATTCTGAATATTCTAACCAAAGTTTTCATTTTCTAGGATAAAACAACAGTCACCATCAAGGAGATAACATCATGCAGGACAGCTGGGAGGCTGATGCTGATGTGCACAGCAGATATGAAGTAGGCACCGTCAAGGGCAAGGTGAAGGGGCCCTGGCAGTGCCTAACACAGATGTGTTTTGAGGAATGTCTTCTCAGTCATAAAACAGGCACCTGGCATTATAGATGACAGATTCATATATAAAACAAATGGGTACATAAATGCTCTCTGAGGCTGGCCTCATTATCGAGGATTTAAACTAAGTGAGATGAACAGATGTTTACAACATTTTACTTTCCACAGTTTCCGCAGCACTTAAGCTGCTGCGATACTTGCTATTTAATTTTCCCTTTATTCACTAACAACTCAGGAGCTCTCTGCTGTTTTATCCTACCATTGTTATCTTCTTTTAGAATGTAAAACAGTTTTAATAGTATGATGAATGGGCTTTTCCAGTTGTTATAGAATTGGTGACCAAGGCCCAAAGCAGGTGACAAAAAAGAGCTAAGCAACCAAGATGTATAAAGGCAGCTTAGTGGCCAGTGGCTGAAAAGGCACTACTGTCAGCAGTCCACTGCCTCAGCAGGTGCCCTTCATCCATCTGTCTAAGACTGTTGTGAGCGTAGTGCTACTGCCGGAAGGACTTGCCACATGGAGAGTTACGTGTTCATTCACAAGAGTCCCCTTTGCCTTAGCTAAGACAGAGAGGGCTCAAAGAGAACCACTCCTAAAGACTGAGTGTGAGTACACGTCAAGGAGACTGGCATCTCATTCCATCAGACTTGTTGATTTGCCTTGTGCTTATCTGAGAAGGAGACAGATGGCAGACGGAAACAGAAGTATCGGAGGCGGCCTATTTCTCACCGTTTGGCACGGCGAGGATGCATGCGCTTTCTGTGGGTCAAGTGATATTACAGAAAGCTGTCAGGTTTGCGTCTTTTGGCTGCTGCTCCACCCCAAAGGAAACAATGTTGGCCAGAGAAGCAGCATCAGAAGATGAAGAAGGCAGAGGAGTGAAAGAGAATGGAACTTGTCCCTTTCCCCCTGCAGGCCTCTCAAGTGAGCTGACGAGGGGAAGAAACGATGAATAAGTTCTGCTTTGTTGTCTGATCTGCTTTCTTACACTGTATAGTATGGTGGAATCATACAGTATGTACTTTTCTGTGTCTCCATTTTTGCTCGGTGTGTCTTTGCGATTCATCCAACCTGTTGTGTGTATTTGTAGTTCATTTCTGTCTACTGCTGAGCAGCATTTCACTGCATGGACATACCAAATTTGTTTATTCATGCACTTGCTGTGGTAGTCAGCCTTCAGGATGGCTTGCAAGGATCTCTGTCTCCAGGTATTCGCATCACTGTGCTGTCCCCTCCTATACTATATAAGGGTTGGTCTGTGTGAACAGAATAAGGCAGAAGTGATGGTATGTCACTTCTGAGATTCAGTTATGGAAGACACTGCAAATTCCATTTTGGTTGCTCTCTTCCTCTCTCGGGTCACTTCTGGAGAAGCTGGCTCTCGTGTCCTAAGTAACCCTACAGAGGACCCCGGGTCAGAACCACCTGCTAAGCTGCCTGCAAATTCCTGACCCTCAGTCACTGTGTGAGACAATAATTACTACTTTAAGCCACTCAGTTAAGGGTAATTTTTATGCAGTAGTAGATAACTAATAGATTTTGGCATAACTGGGAATGGGGTAACACTGTAACAAAAACTTCAAACGCCGGTGTGGCTTTGGAGCTGGGTAGTGGGCGGAAACTGGAAGACCTGGAAAGATTCTGAGGAGAGACTAGTGCAAACCTCAAGTGCCCTGAATTGGCTGTTCACTGAAATAGGGGCTTTTAGGAGGCTGCCACTGGATCTTCAAGGGAAGCAAGGAACTTGTTACTGGGATCCTTGATATGCAGTACCAGAACTTTAGCAACAATGTCACCTACAGTTGTGTAGAAAGTGGAGAATGTACTGAATGAACTCAGAGATCTAGCTAAGTAGATTTCCAGTTAAAGTGCTGAAGGTGGGGGCCTGGTTTCTTCTTGCTGCTTATGGTAAAACGTGAGAGGAAAATACACTAGTGTGGCCACCCCAAAGACAGCTTAGCACGGTCCTTTTATGTATTTATGGGAATTTACAAATACAGCATAAATCTAAAATACATATATTTTAAAAATTCCCTATGTGTATTACAGCAACAAACTGAAAGTGAAAAATTAGACCAAAATATCACACAATATATTCCCTAAATTCGTCAATATTTGACCTGCAAGTAGTGTTCTTTGTGATGTGCTTCCCTTTGATAGTGTATTTGTCAAAACCATGAAGTCCCTAATGGGAATCATAGGTATAAAATACCCTAACTATGCAATTTATTTCAGGATGTCATCTGAAGGTTCAGATGCAATAATGTAAGTCAACAAGGTACACTCTACCCTCATATTCCTTAAATTTTAAGTCTTAACTTCCTGACTCCGTAAGAAAATTTAGTCCTCTGTTGGTTCAGAAAATAGGACAGAGAAAAGGAAGGGAGGACTGCTGTAGAAAGTAGTTAATAAAACTGACTAGACACATGTCTCTCTGGCTGACCATTACAATACAGAATAATGGCAACTTGAAATTCTACATCATGTATGTGGCTTTAAAGGTTGATTCTCCATTATTCTTATTGGCAACAAGCTTCCATCATGGATTTCATGTCTAAGGAAAAGGCTTTAAATCACTAAGTAGACTACAGACAGGTCTATTTTCTTGGCTAGTTAGGAGAATTTTTCGTATAATTTTTTTCTCATAGAACAGAATAAGTCCCAAAAGGTGATTTTCATCTAACTGGGTTCATATTAGATTATTAGTACGTCTTCACAAGATTTTAGCTTCGTTCAAAAACAACTCATGTATACTGCAGAGAGCCGACAATCAGTCTGACATGTAAGAATCAATTATTTACTGTCTCCAACTTGGCGGTCCTAAATATTGCTCCAACGGGGAGCGGTCAGGGCCCTGGGCTAAGAATTTGAAAATCAAATTTGAGCCTTTTCTTAAAAAAGTATCTGACCCCTACATTCTTCAGATCAATGTTAAGCCAGTTCTTCCCAAATTTTAGTAAATGAGAACAAATCACATTTTTCATATACAAAACAATATATTTATATTCTTTACTCAAAACTTTGAGATAGGTAAAGACGACACATTTCAAACCAGTAAAATGATTTGAGTTTGGCTAGAGAAGAATTAATAATAAAACTGCATTTTCTCTCATAAAAGCTGTGATCAAAGAACATGTCCACCAAAACTGAAAGCTGAAACAGATATTTTATTGTTGTCATAACCCTCAGTTCCTAACAAAGAGAGTTTACTGAACCTTCAAAAAGGTATTCACCTTTGTACTATAAACAAGACTGGGAAATTTTAGTCCAAATAATGATTTATTTGGAAAGTTCCAAGTGGCTAGAGTGATGATAAAGTGTCTTTTCAACCGCAACTTCATAATTAGTACACCATGCTTCTATAATAGACAGTAGCCTTTTCCACGAGGAGGAAAAGATAGATGATATACAGCCATTTAAAGGTGGGCCAATGGCCAGCTCTACATCATGTGAGAAAAAAGGTTAAAGTCAAAATAAGAAAGGCATTAACCTATATACATTTTCTTTTCGCTAACAACAAAGGAGTAAAATAACCCTAAATAAATGAATTGAAAGATAGCAAGTCCATATTATAGGACAAATTGTTTCTGAGTGGGATATGTGGACAGAGCATTGAATCGTGTTATCATGGTAACTGGCATTCTAATAGGGATGGGGAAGTGTGAAAGCATGTACAAATGCAGGTTCACAGATGAGTGAATGTGTGCTAGAATGTCTGCTAGATTGCAGAAACGGCCAATTCAAAGCATAGGCTGGTTTTCCCAACCTAATCAGTGAATGTCAAAGTACTCAGCTTTACCGATGAAACAACAAGAGCAAAGGTATCATAGGCAGTGCCACAAGAGAGACTGAAAACTGTTCACTAGAGAGTGGACGGAAGTTAATAAAAGACAGTTACTCAAAATATTATTCACTTGATTCAGGTATTTTTTCATACCACACCTACTGAAAGTACTTGGGGCAACGGTGAAATACTCTTCCCATCAAGAACTTAGTGATTAGGGAAATAAAGCGGTCTTTGGAGGATTAAGCAAGTAAAATACACATAACACAGTAGAAAACTACTGTATGAAAATGCTTGACTGAAGAATATGGGATCATTCTCAAGACCAACGGGATCACCTGATGTCATCTCATCTCAAGGAAGTAGTGCTGGGATGACGGGAGAAAGACCGCGTGTACCGAAAGGTGATGCTCAGCCTGGAACAGTGAAAAGGGAAACAAATCGCACCGTTTCTTTTTTGTTTCTGGTTCTTTACGGATGGAGAGGGGAAGGGCTGGCGTATAAATAGATCCCCTTTTCTGTGTCTCAGGGAACAAATGAGTATCATAAAAACATAAAATAGCATTGTTTGTATTATTCTAATTCTAATACAATCTGATTACCAACCATCTGGAATCTTCACAAAAGATGGTGACAGTGAGAAGAGAATCAGTTCTAATTCTAGCTCCACCGCTTAGTCTTCTTCATGGAAATTTAGCCACAGTTTTATCCTTTTTGGGTCTGAAGCGCTTCCCCAAATAATGAAGACACTCTCCAGAGCTGTGGGGAAGACCCGGTGATGTAAAGCCCCTGTGCCCTGCGCACGACAGTCAAGTGGCACGTGGTGGCCATTATTGTCACTGCTCTATTTTCACAGAATTCTGAAAAGTTATACTAGTCGGGGATACCCAGAACGGGAGGTAACATGTGGAAAATCACAGAACTCGAAGGCGAGTGAGATGGGATGTAGCTTGGGAGTTGACATTTTCCTAATGTTGAGGACTTCAGCCAGACGGGCATTTAAATGTTCTTCAGTGACGAAAATGTAAGATTTAAGAAAGACATATTAGAATTTAGAATTATTTTTTAAAAATTCTATATGAGAGTCATATCATTAAAAAGAACAGGTGGAAAAAAGAAAGGATAAAAAGTACCTCTACCTCTTTTTCCTAACTGCCCTGAGAAATACGTTCTTCCTCAGAGGAGTGGAACGCCATGTGCTGGTTGTGTAATTCTGAACACTGCGTGAGTCTGCACATTTAAATAAAGTGGCTAGAGACAACCAAGAAGTAGAGCCAGGCCGGGCACGGTGGCTCACGCCTGTAATCCCAGCACTTTGGGAGGCAAACACAGGTGGATCACGAGGTCTGGAGCTCAAGATCAGCCTGGCCAAGCTGGTGAAACCCCGTCTCTACTAAAAATACAAAAAATTAGCCGGGCGCGGTGGCGGGCACCCATAATCCCAGCTACTCGGGAGGCTGAGGCAGAGAATTGCTTCAACCTAGGAGGTGGAGGTTGCAGTGAGCCGAGATCGCACCACTGCACTCCAGCCTGGGGAACAGAGCAAAACTCCACCTCAAAAAAAAAAAAAAAAAAAAAAGGAACAAGAGCCATGCTTACTGAGACTACCCCTCCCTCAATGTACTGTGTGTCACCTATGGCACAGTTCTGACCACGAACAGGGCTATCAGTGACAGGGAATGGAAGGGGGGACTCTAAGCGCTTCAGGTGTGCTATCTTATTGAATTTCACACCAACTCTGTGAGGTAAATCTGAAGTGAATGGGTAAATAAGTTACATAATGTTTGGATGACCTGCTAAAGCTGTCAGCAGAAAAAGTTGGCAAGGCCAGGATTACCTTCTACAGAACGTGATACGATTTGGCTCTGCGTCCCCACCCAAATCTCACCTCGAATTGTAATCCCCATGTGTCAGGGGAGGGGCCTGGTGGGAGGTGATTGGATCATGGGGGCAGACCTCCCCTTTGCTGTTAAGATAGTGAGTTCTCACAAGATCTGATGGTTGAAAAGTGTGTGGCAGTTCCTCGCTTGATCGCTCTCTCTCCTGCCACCATGTAAGATGTGCCTTGCTTCCCCTTCACCTTCCGCCATGATTGTAAGTTTCCCGAGGCCTCCCCAGCCATGTGGATCTGTGAGTCAGCTAAACCTCTTGTCTTTACATTACCCAGTCTCAGGTAGTACTTTACAGCAGTGTGGAAGCGGACTAACACACAGAATGTCTGCCAGATGACTAGAACAACCAGGGTTTGATGCATTAGCCTGTGAGTTCCCTTAAGACGAGCACTGTGCTTTTGTATCCCTCACGCCTACAAAACACTGGAATCAAAGAATATATGGTGTGACAATTAATTCTAATGCACAGGATTACAAAATTGTAGTTGTAAATGAGATTATCTAGATTCAAACCAAATCTGTTTAAGTTTGTAGCCTTTACTTTTATACTGTTATAGTTGACTCTTAAAAACAGAAAAAAAAAAAAAAAAAAAAAATCCCAGCCTGTCCTGAAAAGCCCAGCCTGCCTATAACACATCTGTGTAGAGCACACAGGGGCAGAGCCAGATTTCACACCAGCAACCAACACAATACGGAGGTTGTAAAATTCTGGAGGTGAAAAGAAGAAAACAATGCTGAGAGAAAGGCCATCTTGTGACAACTGCTGTGACTAAACAGATTGTATTAATGCTTTCCAGGGTTCTATCGGAGTTTACATTAAATCTCGTGCGGGGGCCTGACAATCACAGTGGGGCTTCTTCATGACTTAAGGTCTGAACACACTGGCTGGCACCCACCACAGAACATCTGGAGTTTGTTAGACAGCCTTAGTTTATTTTTTTCACTGGCCCTGGCCCCTTCCTCTGATGCAGCCTCTCCAAGTGCTGCTTTGCCATGAATGAGTCAAGGAGACAAGTTACCCTGTAGGGGGTGGGGGGGCGGTGGTTAGAGGGGGTAAGTAAATTGGGACCATATTAGAAGGTGACCCCCAAATCTATATATCCCTCATTGCTTCACCTCTTTCTGACAATAGGAATCACATGTGAACGCCAAGAGCCTATCAGGCAGTGGCAGCTCCATTTGCTGGAAAGCCTGGTCAATGCTGACTGCTTCCCTGTTAGGAAATAGCCTTTAGACTGAGGCACATTCCAGCAATTCATGGACTAGAAGCTTTAAATTAAAACAACATTGATGCCATATCCTCTTTCCAAAAGGCCTCTCCCTTGTCCAAAAGTTAGTACACACTCTTGGAGGAATTAAAGAATCAAATGCCTTTGGCAAGACTCCTTCCTTCTTGCTCACAGCATCCAGATACGCTTTGAAAGGGCAGGAATGTAAAAGGGAGGCAGGAGATGACTGTAGGAAGGACTCCTGAGAACTGTTATTATTTTTCTCTTCATACAGGACACATCGCTACAGAAAATTCAAGGCATGTGGTTTGATATAAAGACACTGAGAATTGTTTAGCTACTTCCTTCTAAGGTTATAAGCTCAGAGATTAATTAATTTCCTTTTCTTTTCTTTCTTTTCTTCTTTTTCTTTTGAGACGGACTCTCGTCCTCTTGTCAGGCTAGAGTGCTGTGGCGTGATCTCAGCTCACTGCAAGCTCCACCTCCTGGATTCAAGTGATTCTCCTGCCTCAGCCTCCCAAGTATCTGGGACTACAGAGGTGCACCACCACATCCAGCTAATTTTTGTATTTTTAGTGGAGACGGGGTTTCACCATGTTGGCCAGGATGGTCTCGATTTCCTGACCTCATGATCCACCCGCCTTGGCCTCCCAAAGTGCTGGGATTACAGGCGTGAGCCACCGTGCCCGGCCAATTTCCTTAATTTTCACATAATGAAAACATATGTTCTTTGGAGGCCACTAATCAAAAACCACTGTAAATGAGGTATGGTATTCTGGTCTGCTAGATATTCAATTCTATTTGGTGTCTTAAGTGAAGAGATCAAGAACTGCTTAAATCATAGGCCTATGTATTCAAGCCTAACTACTTAAGATAAGTGATATTGCTGAATATATAAACTCCCACAGCAGTGAACTCCTTTCTCCAATAATATCCTCCAATTTGCTATTATCAGCTTTGATGAGCCAAATTTCAGTTTTCAACTACTGGACGGATGTCTTTCATAATAAGCACATTCTTCCTATCTTACATAACAGGTAGTCAAAATATTAGATGATGTCCTCTTCTTGCTAAAAAGTATTTTAGGACCCTGGAAAAGTTTTATTTCACTTGTGAATAAGCAATGGGTTACTTTTTGCTGGTCAACTATCCATCCTGCAGAAAAAAGACATCTTTTGGTATTTTCTCAGCAAAGTGTGCAACATAAATACATATAAAGACTATTTCTAAGCAGTTTTAATTTGATCCACAGAGAAAATAACTTTGTTGTTTAAATATTGATTCTTGTTAATATAAACATTATGCCAAAATACCATCAATTGATGACTGACCTCCAAAAATAGAAGAAAATAAATTTCTTTACTTGAAAAGCTCTTTCTCGGTCTCATTACTTGAGGGCAAAGAGCACACCTGGGCAGCCAAAATGTACAGACAACGTGACTGGGAATGCAGGAGACAGCCACGGAGGCTGGGACGCGGATGCTGCGCCCAGCCAGGAGCACTCAACGAGGAGCACTGCCGTTCAAGCAGGGCTCCGATGTAAACATCCAGCACTCTCCTTATCTTCCAAGGGAAATGTTTTTCTCCATTTCTTTATTGTGGTAAAATATGTCTAACATAAAAGTTACCATTTTAACGATTTTTAAGTTGATGGTTTTGTGTATTAGGTACATTCATACTGTTGTGCAACCATCATCAAAGGGGAAACTTTTAGCTTTTATTTTCACAAACAAAAGGTGTTACATGAATATTAAGTATTAAATTTTGAGAGCATTTAGGCTGGAAAAGAAAAGGGCCAACCTTTGTTCTTATCTTCAGAGCTTACCCAATCCTGAATAACTGGAAATCTTTTCATGAAAATATCCTTAGTGGCTGCTGTCATAGAAATCTTGCTGGATGTTTAAAAAAAAAAGCCTTTTCATGTCAAATGGGCTAATTTCAATAATTTCTACAATCCATTGTACAAAGTTAAAAAACATTCTCATAGAAGACCTGTGACATTGTCCAAAACAGCCCTCTTACCACGAATGCTCTGCATTTCCTAGACACAGATTTGCGGAGATAAAAAGTCTCTAATGATGGAAACTAACTAGCTCCAATGATCAGATGTCTAATATGAAACATGAGACCTTAAAGTACAAGCTGGCAAAGACCTGTGTGGAGAATGGTGTGAAAGCTGGCCCCACTGACCCTCCTGCTGGCATTTAATAATACCTGCTGCTTAAGCTGCTGTACCAGACGATCCTTCTCCCGCTTCAGGGCAGCCACTTCCTCTTGGGTCTTCTTCTTAGAGGACGAAAGCTCCAAGAGAGCTATATTGGCGTCTTTTTCACTAATGGCAGCCAGAAGAGCTTCTTGCCTGCAAAAGAAAGCAAATGCCAACAGCGCCATTCACCCCTTCCAACAATTCTTTGGAGTTACTATTACCAGTACCCCCATTTTGAGGGTAATAAAACCAAGAAAGCAAACGCCAACAGCGCCATTCACCCCTTCCAACAATTCTTTGAAGTTACTATTATCAGTACCCCCATTTTGAGGGTAATAAAACCAAGAAAGCAAACGCCAACAGCATCATTCACCCCTTCCAACAATTCTTTGAAGTTACTATTATCAGTACCGCCATTTTGAGGGTAATAAAACCAAGAAAGCAAACGCCAACAGCATCATTCACCCCTTCCAACAATTCTTTGAAGTTACTATTATCAGTACCCCCATTTTGAGGGTAATAAAACCAAGACTTTCAGAGTTTACACAGCTTGCCCAAGTTCACACCTGGAGTAAATGGTACAGCCAGGAATCCCATTCAGGCGAATGTGACTCTAAATTGTCTTTATCATGTTGTTATCTTAATAAGTTCCCCTATATTAGGCTAAGTGAAATAAGCCAGTCACAGAAGGACAAATACTGCACGATTCCATTTACATGAGGGATCTAAAACAGTCAAACTCACGCAAACAGAGAGTAGAATGGTGGTTGCAAGGCAGAGGAGAGAGGGGGAAATGGGGAGTTCCCATCAGTGGGCATAAAGCCTAAGTTACGTAAGATGAGTAAGTTCTAGAGATCTGCTGTATGACATTCTCTCTACAATTAATGATACTACATTGTACACTTAAGTGATTAAGAGGGTAGATCCCGTGTTGTCTTCTTACTACAATAAAATAAAGTTTAAAAAATATTCAGGCCAGGCGTGGTGGCTCGCGCCTGTAATCCCAGCACTTTGGGAGGCTGAGGTGGGTGGATCACTTGAGGCCAGGAATTTGAGACCAGCCTGGGCAACATGGCAAAACCATACAAAAATTAGCTGGGTGCGGTGGCACACGCTTCTGGTCCCAGCTACTCACTACTCGGGAGACTAAGGTAGGAGGATCTCTTGAGCCTGGGAGGTGGGGTTGCAGTGAGCTGAGATGGTGCCACTGCACTCCAGCATGGGTGACAAAGTGAGACCCTATCTCAAAAAGAATAAATAAAAATTGTTAACCTTTTAAAAAAAACTATATTAGTAAGAACTTAGTATTTCATTTTATATTTTAAAAAGAGTTCCTATAGTTGTAGTTGAATTTGAAAAGTAAACAGTTACTTTAAGAATAATCCTGTAACTTACATACTTTATCCATTTAATTTATTCCTTTGATAATTATTCTGTAGCTTCCAGATGATCTGAGGCATTACTGACACTGAAGACATTTTCATGCATACAGTGTACAACAAACTGCAGACTTTAATAACGTGGATATAGAAACACAGCCATCTATTCCTGGTGCATTATGAACATCAATCATTCTTTTCATCTCATGAATGCAAATAAGTTTGCAGTTGTGGCTTTACTGGCAATGATCTGCACACTTTGAAACAGTAATTTAAACTTTACAGATTCCTTGTGGTTTAGCTAATAATTACTTTATGGTTTGTGTCCAAAGGAAAAAAAGGTGGATTTAGTGGGGAAGCTGATGTAAGAAATTTACAAAATAATCACAATGGAGTTGGTGAACAATTAGTTTCATAATCCAAAATGCATTTCTCAGTAGCTCATCTTTTATGAAAGAAGACATATTTGATTTATAGGAACTATATAAGTGGCCTGAGCTTTTGACCTGAGGAAATGCTGAATCTGAGAATGCATTGCCCAAGTTTAACCTTGCTTCTGTCTTTTGTTAAGATAATTGAGCTTCAACAGCAGTCATATGGAAGAGTTTTAGTTTAGCCACAGACTGGAAGACTATCTGTCTACTGAATATTCTAATGGATATTTTTTATTCTGGATGTGTAGGTCTACTCAACTCTGAAAGCAATACTAACAAATAGAAGATGTGTACTCGGTTTACATCATGGAAATAAAGATTTGTTTCACTAGTTTTGCTGCTGGAAGAGGAGAGAAGATTCTCATCGCACTGTCCCCACACTACGTAATTCTAAGAAATGGCAGGCAACTTATACCACGAGGATCCAGTCAACACTAAAGGGATAATGACAGTCTAAATATATCCACTGACCACTTGAAAAAAATATGTTAAGTGGTGAAATGAGCTTAAAGGTGAAAGAGTTCAAGAAGGTCTAACTATGCAGTTTCCTGTTGACTGCGGTCATCTGTTCCCTTTCGGGAAGCTCAAAGACTGACCAAGCTGGAAGAGGCAGCATGCTTTCCCAATAAGGGTGCTACATTTCTGTGCACCAATAGTCAGAATCACATATTTAGTAGCAGGCAAGCAGCAGCAGGTGAATGACAGATAAGTTACTCTACCTAATTAGATTGAAATACCAGCACCTTTGCTGAATGCAAAATACAAAGGCGATCAGACTTGAGGCCTATTTTGTGCTTAAGGAAAATATTGTAATATGACATAGTAAAAATAATTCCATATTGTTGAAGCTTCTTGACTGAATTCCAAACTCTTTCATAAATGGTATGCTTGGACAGCTAGTGTGGTACAGTTCACCTCTGGGGTAAAATGTCAACTTTGCAAATCACAATATGAAATAACAGATGACAACTTAGATTTCTAATTTCAAAGTTTTGAGGAATGTGGCATTGGAGTCTGAGCCATTGGAATAGTGTCTTTTTAACAAGATATATAATTTGAAGTATTTTTTATGCAATTCAAATAGAGATTTTATTTCATTGATGCTATTTTTTTTACTAAGCAATGATAATATGCTATGGACTATACAGAATCAAACTTTCTCTCCTATGACCATGGCTCTCATCCTCTAAAAATCCCCTAACAGATCATCATGTCTTTCTGCTTTCCATTTACAACGTATACTCCTGACACTGATTTCTACATGTATAGGTGCCTAAGAAGGGCAATTCATAGTCAAGAGAATAAAATGTTTTGATTATATATTGCACATATAATCATATGAATTCTGAGTAATGTCTATCTTTGATAGGTATACTAGCTTTTAGGTTTTTCTTTTATTTTCCAAAAGGGACAAAGACAGTATTGTTCTCTTGGTTACAATTCTGGTAAATTTGAAGTGGATAGTATGAGGGAGAACAACCTCTTGAAAAAAATTTGGAGGATAGGGAAGAATGTGAAAGCTAGTAGACAGTAACAGCAAAGACTTTTAGGGAATACGAAAATTGCTGTTCCTCTAATCCATCTCTTAGAAAGGACCATATGGTATAGTCGGACTTACCTGATTAAGTTTTACATGGCACACTTGAGAGTGTCTAAACTCAGAAATGTTGTTAAAAACACTCAGCTTTTCAGAGGGAATGGAATTCACAGTGGAAAAAAAAGCAAATTGAAAAAATTTTATTTTAATAGCTGTCTACTCAATATAATTGCTTCTTTGAAAAAAAGTATTTTCTGATAAAAGTAGTACACAGTCATTGAAGAAAAACTGAAAGATACAGAAAAGTATAAAGAAAATAAAAATTACCAGAAGTAATTCTTTTTTATAACTTCTTTTAATCTGAGTCAATGGTTTGAGATCACCTATTCTAATACTGATATAAATATTTTAAAGAAATTGAACCTCAAAGGAATTAATCATCGACTTTAAGAGCTTTACGAACTAAAGACTATCCACAGAAAGGGGAGGCTTGCTAGTGTAGCACATTCTGACTTCATTCCCATGAGTCCCTAGGGAGTAATACAAGCACATAAAATGTGAACGGTAATATATGTATGCCACAAGCCCAGGGCAAAATAAGAACTGCAATGCTTTTCCTGTCAAATTACTCTCCTTGTTCTGTTCCCTTCTTTTCCAGAGTTAAAAAAAAAAAAAAAAAAAAAAGGAAAATGTGGACACGAAACCTTTCAAAGTATTAGTAATCCCCCCGCCCACATGACCAACATGCACATTATTAGCATAATGAGTAGGTAGCAGCAGAAATCCAACTTTAAGTCATTACAGTAGTCTATTCACTCTATCCCTGGTGCTTTAAACTACCAGGCCAGTTGAACCTGCCCTTTGACCTGCAAATTCTAATAGAATCAAGATGTCCCTAAAAGGGCTCTGCTGCGGCATTTGTGCTTCAGGAAATAGTAAGACCACCCCCTCTATCCCCTTCCCCCATCTGGGCAAATTTCAGAAACTGGAGGCAAACATCAAAGGCAAATGGAGCTCAAAATGCTTTTGAATAACATTCCTGAATCCTTGAGAACGCCACAACATTAGACTTCTATTGCTAGTAAATAAGAGACCGTAATTAGCGTTGTGATATGGTGGTTAAAAATCTGAATGAGTCCTAAGTATGTGTGTGTGTTTAACAGAAATGCAAGACAAAAAGAGGAGTATGAATGAAGGGCTGTTACCAAGGTTTATTATTCGCTCCTCCTCCAACTGAGTATGTCAAATTGAATGACTGTGTAATCATGTTCTATACATTCTATCATACTGAAAACATCTGGAAAAATACCAGATTAAAACTAGAACAAGATAAGTAGCTTTGGACATTTTAATGTCATGGACATGTAGGAATAGTTTAATTTACTCTAATTTTAAGATAAATCTGAAATCTAGATTAACTTACTGATGGACTAAATAAACCTTTGATTCTGCTACCTTCCTAGTTATTTAACCAATTAACTATCCAGAGTGAGTAGTAAACTACCAATATATCTCTTCTACTCTTCTATCTCTTTTCCTGAAGAAATCCTCTAATGACTAGATTCTTCAACTTCCCTTGCAGAGGTTTCAGAGACTATGGTAGATACACTACTTAAATAAACTCTGTGAAAACCATAGTCCATGGGAGAGCCTCTGTGGGTGGACCTCACTGAAATACCTGCCCTCGCAAACTTTGGTCCCTGTATATCTTATGTCCTCTGCAGGTCATGTTTATTTAGGTACCCAGAAATATCTCTTTAATGTAAAATGTCAACACTAACATTTTACATGTTAGTAACATAACAAATTACCCTTTTAATGTTAATAGAGCCATCATATTCCTGGATCCACAGGCTGACAACATTTAGTTTTTAATGTACCCACTGTTTTGTCTGTGCACGTCACTCCCACCCTTTTATCTTGGGCCTGCATTATTCTTAAAGCCTCTTCTCTGATTTCTCCATCATTCTATACTGTCCTACTTTTCCAAGGTCATCGTCATTAGGTCTCTTGCCATAGCAAATATTTTTGCCTAATATTCAGGATCACCTACAATTTTTTAACCCATTTCTTCCTTACTGTCTTCCAAGGACTCTCTGTCATAGAGCTGCTATGTGTTTTCACTTAGGTTTATGTTATGTCCTCTGCCTGAAATGCCTGTAGCTTTCTCTCCTTCAAAATCTGGCTACTCACTTAACTGCTAATTTCTCTCCATTCAGCATCTCCTTTCAGCACTTACATAGTTTGGATGATATTAACAGGCATTTGCTCTGTAAATGTTTTTTGATTCTTCTACATGGGTAGGGTCTGTTTCTCTGATTATAGTATGTTTATGATTTACCTCTTCAAAATTGATTAATGTTTCTGGTTTATTGGTCTGTTTATTAGCTCATTAACTTTTATCTTTTAGGTTTTTTTTAGTTGTGATAAAACACACATAAAATTTACCATAACCATTTATAAATGAACAGTTCAGTAAAGTACATTTAGATTGTTCTGCGACCAACCTCCAGAACTCTCTTCATCTTACAAAGGTGAAACTATACCAATAACAGTAACTCCTCTTTTCCCCTCCCCCAGCCTCTGGCAGTCATCATTTACTTTCTATCTCTATGAATGTGACTTCTGTAGGTGCCTCACATAAGTGAAATCAAACAGTATTTGTCTTTTTGTGACTGGCTTATTTCACTTAACATGATGTTTTCAAGGTTCATCCATGTAGCATGTGGCTGAATCTCCTTTTTCAAGGCTGAGTAATATTCCACCACACCCACATACCACATTTTGTTTATCCATTTATCCAACATGGACACTTGGGTTGTGTCTATCTTTCAGGTATTATGCTGCTATTTTTACATTTTAAAAAATGTCTTCCTTCGAGAGTCTTGGTTCCTAAACTTGAAAACTAAAAGCTTTCAAGTATTGTTCATGTTCTGCATTGCATTAGCCTAAACTGCTTAAGCTTTCTTGTTTTATTTTATTTAGGGCTGCAGTTACTCTATATACTCTATACTCAATACGCTGATATACTTTGCTAGTCTTCAATGTTTGCCCAAAGCCTGTGCTTAGGAATAGTTGGAATACAAACTCCACAAAGACAGGATCTTTGTCTGTTTTATTCTGTAATGAATTCCAAATGCTAAGAATAGTTCCCAGCACAGAGTAGGCTCATAATGAATGTATCTTGAACCAACTGCACCTCTGATTCTGACTTCACTTCTATCTGTTGTGGTGGTTCCCCCGCTGTTCAGTGTTTTCACCTATCCTGAAGCTGTATTTCACTGCACTTTTAAGGCATTTTTTTTTTTCCAGGCCAGTAGCGTCTAGGCAAGTGAGCAGAGCACGTAAGGAAGATAAACATAAACCACAACTAGAAAGAAACCATGAGCTTTGGGCAACTTACATTTCATTTAAAGAAAGAAAGAGCTGTGTTTTTCTCTAACTGAACACCTAGGTTCACTAGGTTCAATTCTATATGTCATAATTTAAGAGGGGGTGCACAAGTAGAAGGTATCAAAGGAAGATGACATAGTGGGATTATATAAGGCTATGTTAATCTAAAAAGATTTACTAACATAGCACAATCATTTCTACCAAAATTTTTAAGGTAGGTTTTGCAAAAACAGAACATTGAATCTGTGTTTGTCCAGAGGGCACAATTGTTACTAAAGCAGGGGAAGTCGCAAAAGAGAGAGATTTTGGTTTATAAAAGGAACATCTAGTGTATTAATATTTGTTAGTAAGTAGAGTTGGAAAGCTAAAAAATTATAGATCTTCCCATGACTAGGTGTTTAAACAGATTATCAGAGATATTGTGTAAGTAATTTTGTTTTCAGTGGTGAGACTGTCCTTTTCAACTCTAAGATTTTAATATAACTAATGAGATGAAACAATAAATGCTAAGTGCCAAATATACTGTATGGGCAGTAAATGCTGAGGTAGTACAGCAGAGAGAAATCACCTCAGGCTAAGGACGTGGGAACTGACATGGGCCCTATTTTGACAGAGAAATAAGAAAGACAGAGTGGCAAGTGTGAAAGCACCAGTCACATGTGAGGACACATCGTAGAACTGGATTAGAGAGTGTCTACAGGGACAGGAAATGGCAGAGAAGCTGAAGAGGCAGCTCTAAATCAGAGTAGAGATGGTCTGGAATGGTGGCCTAAGGAATAAACAGAATGTGAAATCCTTGAGGGTTTTAACCAGAACCCAGCAGGCAGAGGGTACACAAAAATGCTGAATGAGAAGTGATTTGATTTTGTACGTAATATAGAAATACCAAAAGTTTTAGAGAAGTAAAGCAAGGTCTTAGAAAGACTGAGTTGAAGGTAATGAGGAGAGATTAGAAGATTCTGCAAGGGGAAAGGCCAGGATGCTACTGCTAGAGATGTGTTAGAAGTAAAAATCTTATATTACAAAAACAGTTCCTAAAGAATGAAGAATAAAACGCTGCTGTCTGACTCTTGGATTCAAGAATTGCAGGTAGGACTCTAAATGAAAGACTGCTATGCTAGTCAATGAATATGCAACACAAAATAACTATCACATTTACGCTTAAATGCTACAAAGAAACTTTCAAAGGTCACCAAATACAGACTATTTCAGGGCATAGTTCCAACAGTGCACGCTGGGGTCCTGCCTAGCACAGCCCTCCTGCAGCACAATGGCAAGTCCTGTGCAAAGCACAATGTCCAAGATTTCTCACTTGCTGCTCATCTCATGTTTCTCTATCTCCTGAAACAAGGGAAAGGAACTGACCTACAGTGAGAAATACACTCATGGTTGGGCTTGGTGGCTCACACCTGTAATGGCAACAATTTGGGAGGCTGAGGCGGGTGGATCACTTGAGCCCAGGAGTTCGAGCCCAGCCTGCGCAACATGGTGGAACCTCATCTCTGCAAAAAATAAAAAAAACTAGCTGGGCCTGGTGGTGCATGCCTATAGTCCCAGCTACCTGGGGGACTGAGGTGGGAGCATCCTTTGAGCCCAGGAGGTCGAGGCTGCAGTGAGCCGTGATGGCACCACATTGCATTCCAGTCTAGGTGGCAGAGCAAGACCCTGTCTCTAGAAAAAAAAAAAAAAAAAAAAAAAAGGAAAGAAATACACTTACAAGGGAATGGGTAGAGAAGTTATCCCAATATGGACTGACTTCCATTTTTCACAAGTTCTTGAAAAAGATCAAAATTAACATTATAAAGGCAGAAACTGCTGGTGATTATAGCTCAGTAAATGACATTGATTGAACAAAATTGTAGGTGGAAAACTTGCGTTCAGTTTTTTCCTTCACCTTTTCTGAAAAATGAGCATGTTCATAAGATTATGGCAAGTTTAGAAGACTTAGTTTTACTGTGCTATTGAGACCTCTGCTATAAAGCCTCTACCTGCTTCTCAGATGGGCAAAAAACTCGACATCTGTATCTCTACTTGTCAAAAAACAAAAGTTTGTACATTCCAAATTTGTTTAAAAAATATAAAAATGAACTGTATTCTAATCCACAAGGATCGGAGGCAGATCAGTCGTTGCCAGGGACTGCAGTGGGAAATGGCGAGTGACCAGAAAGGGCAGACAGAAGCTCCTGGAAATGACTGTAGCTTGACAAACTCACCAAAATGTATGTCTAAAATGTTCGCACTTTATTGTATTTATATTATTCCTTAATCAAGTTACTTTAAGAACCATAAAATCTTCTGAATGAGGAATGTTCTCATATAGCAAACATGATAAGTATAAGCACGTTTTTTAACCTATAGTCAAATACAGATAACATAAAATTGACCATTTTAAACCATTTTAAAGTGTGTATTTCTGTGGCATTAAGCACACTGATACTGCTGTGCAACTGTCACCGCCATCCATATCCAAAGATTTTTCATTTTCCTGAAAAGAAACTCTACACCTATGAAAGGCTAACACCCTCCTCTGCCCCTTCCAGCCCTTGGCAGCCACGATTCTACTTTCTGTGTTTGAATCTGACTACTCCAGGTACCTCATATAAGTAGGATCACACAGCATTTGGCCTTTTGTATCTGGCTTATTTCACCCAGCATGATTCAAGCACAATGTATTTTTATGCTTCCAAATTTAAATAATGTGGAAGATACAAATTACCCTATGAATATTTTTTCCTCGAGTCCTCTTTTCCAGCTCTTCGAGAGAGAGAGAGACAGAGAGAGAGAGAGAGAGAGACAGAGAGAGAGAGACAGAGCTCTGAAGATCAACGGTTCTTATCGAGCCACTGCTGGACTAAGAAGGCAGAGCTGGCGAGTGCCAAGATCGGATGGACAGAGCAGATGAGAAAAGGTCTAGGGCAGAAGAACTCATAAGACCTGGTGAATGCTGGCAACTTTGCTGGAGTCCTGATGTCCTTTTTCATTAAGTGTAGTTAAAAATACACAACCACAGCTTCAGTGCTGTCAGACTGAATATGATGCAGAATCTCTGTGAATGACTTGTTTTTGGCCACTTAGTGTTAAATATCATTTATGGTGATACTGAAAATTTGTTCAAGAATGAGATATTTATAGGAATTCTAATTTCACATGCACACAATAGTGTGTCTTATCTTCTAGAGGGATGCAAGATAATGACACCTGAAGAAATACTAGCAACTAAATAAAACAACTTGGAGATAAAAGGTCTAAAAGCAAATAACGAACTGCATGGAAAAACAGAATGACTTTAAGAAGCATTGGAATCCAGGTGCTTTTCCAATGAATATTTTAAATAAAATTCAGCCCCATGGCTCTAAAGAAGGTCCCAGTGAACTCTGACATTCTTTCCACTCTTTCCCCCATACTTCATACAGAAAGTCAAGCTGCTAGTTTCATCCCATACTGTTGATGAGTTGATAGTAAGTAAAGGCCTTCCAAATATTACATCCTCAGTTTTTTAATGAATAATCACGGTCTTATAAATGTGGCCCAATGTTCCAGAGTTTTGCTTTCCTGGAGGCACTTTCATGAAAACCAACTTCATGAGAGATTTTCATTCCATATTCATGACGGTGGAATGCGAATTTAGGCTAAGTTTTTAGATATAGGTCTTAGTTTTAGTGCTCAAGATTAAGAAGGTAGCAGGGCTCCTGGTATTTAAGCACAGTTCTAGCTTCCCTTATGAAGGTGGCACCCAAAACTCATTTAATCAAATCATGCATTTCTACAAATTGTTTACTAGTTTAATAAAAACAGGCAATTTTTAATTTAATTTTTATTTTTTTATGTTTAATTATTATACTTTAAGTTTTAGGGTACATGTGCACAATGTGCATGTTTGTTACATATGTATACATGTGCCCTGTTGGTGTGCTGCACCCATTAACTCATCATTTAGCATTAGGTATATCTCCTAATGCTATCCCTCCTCCCTCCCCCCACCCCACAACAGTCCCCGGTGTGTGATGTTCCCCTTCCTGTGTCCATGAAAACAGGCAATTTTTTTTAGTCCAGAGACTGAAATAGCATATCCTCAGTTTCGTGGGTCTATCTTTGAGTATCTTCCATTCATCTTCCATGCCCACCTTTTTTTTTTTTTTTTTTTGAGACAGAGCCTCACTCCCATCACCCAGGCTGGAGTGCAGTGGTGAGATCATAGCCAACAACTGCAGCCTAGATTTCCCAGACTCTGGTGATTCTCCCACATCAGCATCCCAAGTAGCTGGGACTACATACCAAGTAGCTGGCATCACCATACCTAGCTTATTCTATTCTATTTATTTATTTTTATTAGAGAGGGGGTTTCACCATGTGGCCCAGGCTGCTCTCCTGGGCTCAAGTGATCCTCTCACTTTGGCCTCCCAAAGTGCTGGAATTACAGGTGTAAGCCACTGTACCCAGCCCTGTATTTCCTTAAACGTTACTTTAGCAAAAGTTATCTAGCTGCTTCCTTTATAAAATATACTTGTACTTATATTTGAAATGAAAGATATATTCTTCAGGGAATTAATTTTGGGAAGTTACACAAAAATTTATTCCAGTGATGCTGCCAAATTTCTCTTTAAGCTTCACAGTTTTATTGCATTATTTAAATATTTGGAATTATGACAAATACCCTTTTTATTAACTGAATTTTAATTTTGACACCAAGTCTTGTGCACAATGAATCAGAGTGATAGGTTTTGGATTACAGTGAAGTGTAAGTGCATATTTATTTTTAGGGGCATCCTGCAAACTGGCTCTGAAAGCAATTTCCAAGAAAAGGATCACAAATATATTTGAGCCATGACAGCCCCAATGAAGTAAGTGTAAAATCACCTATATGACTATTGTGCGACTCTATTGGATCCTAAGTTCCAACGTTCTTATTTTTTGATAGAAAGATTCTTCTACTTCATAGCCAAGCTTCATTTTCTTCATGACTAGAGAGCACTTCTGCTGAATGACATCCAGATCCCTGTTTATATTCTAAGCTTCTTTACTTTTGAATTATACTTAACAATGTCTGTCAATAGTAAAACAGACAACATAACTGAAATTTAAAAATCAGAAGAGAAATTAAGAAATTACAATAAGCCTCAGAATGTCTTCTTAAACAAACAAACAAAAAAGATGCCAGAGGAGAAGGGAGTACCTAGTTACGACAATGTCTGCTCATTTGGTATTTACTGTTTAGAATAAAATCCACTAAAAATTTTTAAGATTTACATTAATTTGCAAAATAATGGCACATAGTATCTTTCTTTAAAAAAAAAAGCCTGCATCTATAGAATTAGTTAACTATCAAATTGTATATAAAATGTATCTATATATTCTCCATGTTAGAAGACTCTAAAGATGACGTAACTCTTTTGTGATACACAAATATATACAGACCAATAGTCCTTTCAATATAATATGTAGGGAACTACAGTTTACGGTGAAACATTATAACAGAAAGGAAAACAACATCAATTCAGTGAGTGGGCCAAGGTTTGACTATTCCCTCCCAAACTCATGTTGAAATTTAACTGCCTTTGTAACAGTATTAATAGGTAGAACGCTTAGGGTATGCTAGGCCATGACCGCTGTGTCTTCATGAATGGATTAATGCCATTATTGTAAGGGTAGGTCTGTTAACGAGGAAGCGGGGTGTGGCCTCCTTTTACCTGCCTTCCGCCTTTCTCTTACCCTCTTTGCCCTTCCACCGTGGGATGACACAGCAAAAAGACCCTTGCCAGGTGTCGGTTCCTTGCTTTTGGACTTACCAGCTTCCAGAACCATAAGCCAAAATTTCTGTTCATTATAAATTACTCAGTCTGTGGTACTTTATTATTACAGCAATAAAATGAACTAAGACCATCTTAGACTGTTCCTTACAGTCTTAGTTCTAGTGAGTTGTCTCTATTTCTGTTGAGTGTAGAAGTGACTCCTGGATTCTACCTCATGTCTACCTATTTTGACAGAACTCGTAAAGAAAATATGTTTAATTTGACCTAAAATGATTGATTATCCAACCCCTCACCATGCTACAATTACTGATCCTCAGGGAGAAAGCCTCGACTGAGCCTACTTTTCCCTGAAGCTGTTATGCTTTTTCTTTCCCCACCTTGGTCAAAGTTTTGAGGGCTCCAATATAGTACTAATGACAATTTTGGATTCCTGACTTCAAGGCAGCAGAGCAAAGACCTATCAGTGACATTTTCCTCCAGAAAATTACTCCCAAACACCAGAATGAAAAAATGAAGCAAACTCTTATCTTTGTCGATGTAAGAAGATTTATGTCATGCCAAACTATAACGGTTGAAGTGAAAATGGATATGGAAATTCTAAATGATTTAGCATATGAAAATCAATCCAGAGTGCGAACCTACTACTTAGCTTCATCTCTTGAGGCTCAAGCTCAGCTTCCCCTCCTCCAACTTCATCCCCACATCTCCAGCACAGATCAGTGGATTTAAGACATAATTCAGTCTATGAGCGGGAAGCAGCTTTCCCCTGCAGAACCCAAGAAGGGCTCACAAATAGGTCAGCGGCTGTGGAGAGTTGTATAGCTTATTACATGGTATCAGATTTGCTTTACAATGGTGGCTCTCAAACATGAAAGAAATTATTCAAAATGGAAGTCTGTGCTCTACTCCAGACCTACTGAGTTTCTGGAATGGACATCTATACTTGAGATCCACTGTTTTAGAGGAAGACGAGCTGATTTAAAAGACCAACATTAAGGTATTACATACCTCTGATTCCCTACATCCTTGCCAAGACTGGATTTTTAGCATTTGTATGTACTTTCCTAATCCAATAAGTATATAAAAAGAATCTTTCAATTCCATAGTGAAAATGATCAAAGTAACTTTTGACTCTTAAATTCTCATGATATTGCAGGCACTCATAATGTTGATCATTATTGGACTTAGAAATATTATGCAGAGATGACTTCTATGGGTTGGTTCTATCTAATGTATTATTTGAAAAAAAAAAAAGTTTAGTGTTTTTTTTTTTTTTGAACAGACAAGGCCTTGCTATGTTGTCCGGGTTGGGGTGCAATGTTTTTTCACAGGCATGATCGCAGCTCACTGTAGCCTCAAACTGCTGGGCTCAAGCCATCCTCCCAAGAAGCTGGGACTACAGGCATGTACCACAAGAACATCCTATAATATATTCTTGGGCAAATCTCCTATTTTCCTGGCAAGGGCTATCACAAGACAGATAGGTGAATTTAGGATCTTCTGCTTTCTACATATCTGCCTTTAAAAATAGCTGGCAAGCCAAGGGAGTTTCTGTTAGGGATTTACTCAAATCCTATCAAAATCTCTACTGAATTATGTCTTAAACCCACTGATCTGCGCTGGAGATCTGGGGATGAAGTTGGAGGAGGGGAAGCTGAGCTTGAGCCTCAAGAGATGAAGCTAAGTAGTAGGTTCACAGTAACATCTGGAGATGGTCTGATAAAAAGATTTATATTGGCCTTTTCTCTCATTTTGTCTTTATTATTTTACAACAGTATGTCCTTTACGCTTCATGTTTTATAGTGTATGTAATATGAACAGAAAATTTCAGAATACAATCTTCCCATATGAAGATGTAGTCCCTTCAAACTAAGGTACACCTGTTGTTATATATGTCTACTTTTGGACTACACCATTTATCTTGTCTTCTTTCCTTAGGAAGTCTCTGTCTCCAAAAGTAAATAAAGTCTTCTTACATTGTCTCTCAGAACTCAAACTCCAGAATGCTTCTGCTTATTTAGATGTCTGTTTTAAGAATTATTGAATGCTTTCGGCAATTAATCTCTGCACTTTGTCACTGTCCCACTGTTTATTTAACCTTTCCCAGTTTTAGATGGATAGCATGTCCATACCAGCTGTCCACACTGTGCTACCGAGGGGGCTTGCTCGCCTTTCTTTAGCCTGTGCTGCATTCCACGTCTGTTTGTCATGACGTTTGCTAGAAGAATGCCAGCAGTGTCAGGGCACTCAGGTCTCCACCTCCAGCAAAATCAAGATCCAACTGTGTCTTGATCTCATAAAATAGCCAGCGTTACATAGAACATCTAATTTTGGGATTTGTGGTACACTTACAAAAAAAGTAGGAGCTGCTCCAATGCGTAAGTATCCGAGATATACTCCTATAGCTGTATAGGAAGCTTATGAAAGCTGTCAGGGATATATATGAGTGCATGCTGGGATGCTGAGAGAGTACTGAAGACATTGGGGCTACTGAGATCTTGGAGGTCACCAAAAACATTTGTTGGCCAAATGGATGAAAACAAACCCGGTAATTTATTACCTTCTTGCATTAATGATTCAACAATTTTATTATTCATCAGCTATCAATCTGTTGGCAAAAACTATAAGAGTCCCTTTTCTCCTACACAGGTTTGGAATGAGACACCTGGTATGTAAATTCTGTGGGAATGGGCAATGACTATGCCTGCATCAGGTAGATAAATTCTCATCAGCTGGGATGGTCCCATCTTTTCTGCATCCTCCTATAGGTTCTAGCTGCTTGCCAAATGCCAGACAGAATTTAAAAACAATGCTTACTACACCAATTTTTCCTTTTAATAAGGGGCATACGGTTAAAGTAGACATAAAAAGATGGGAAGCGTAGACTTTTAAAATGAAAGTGTTTTTGTTTTTAATTTGAAGGTTCTCTCCTTAGCTATGGCATTATTTTTATTAGGGAAAAATATGCTCAAAATAGTAAAGCAATAACCTTTACTCCCTACTGAGTCACACATCCTACTTCTCAAAGACACACACACACAAAAACAGCAACTGAAAATATTATTTCAAAGCAAGTTTTAGAATTTTATTATATATAAACTCAATTTTTTAAGTTTTAAACTTTTGCATATTTTAAAACAACAGCAGTAAAGATTTCAAAACTATAGAAATTGATACCTATTACTGTTTATATTTTGCATATGACCTCTGGATCTCTTCTTCCTCAACGGAATATAAATATATAAACACACACACACACACACACACACACACACACACTTTTTTTTTTTTTTGACAGTCTCACTTTGTCACCTAGGCAGGAGTGCAGTGGTGTGATCTCAGCTCACTGCAGCCTTGACCTCCTAGGCTCAAGCGATCCTCCCATCTCAGCCCTGCAAGTAGCTGGGACCACAGGCATGTGCCACCAGGCCTGGCTAATTTTTTGTGTGTGTAGAGACAGGGTTTCATCACGTTGCCCAGGCTGGTCTTGAATTCCTGAGCTCAAGCAATCCACCCACCTTGGCCTCCCAAAGTGCTAGGACTACAGGTGTAAGCCACCGCACCCAGCCAGGACCGAGTATTTTATCTCACTTAGAGCACCTCTATTTTACCTTACGTTAAAGCCATTTTTCCCATTTCTGAAGCTGGTTGACGGAATTAACTTCATCATGTCCACCCTCAATTCAGCTAATCTTTGACTCAGCTTTAGTGGTTCACTGGTGCCCACCTCGTAGAGTGAATTCAGTTTCCCAAAATACCATTCTGTCTGTGACCAGTTGGAGCTGACGATCAGAGCAAGAGGAATAAAGACAAGACGCTTTCTCTTGTTATTTACAGTCTGCTCCACAGGCCAAACTTTACCTCTGGCATACATAGCTATTCTCTAGGTCAGTATTTCTCAAAAGCACATTCCACAGAAGTACAGCAAGAGACAGTAACAAATAAGCATGACAAAAGATTTCCACGGTCAAATATGTTTGAGGAACACTGGTCATAACAGCACTGCTGCAGAACTTAGAAAAGCTTTTTATGGTGTAGGTTGCATATCTTTAATAGGGGGCTATATTTTAAAGCAGGAATCAGCAAGCTACTGCCACTCATGGTCAAAGCCAGCCCATGGCCCATGAGCAAAGAATGGCTTTTCCATTTTTAAATGGTTGAAAAAAAAGAAAATAATAATACTTTTGTAACCCCAAATAATATAGCATATAACATATAATAATTACATTTTGTGAAAATTATATGAAATTCAAAGTTTAGTGTCCACAAATAAAATTTTAGTGAACAAAACCTTGCTCATTTGCTTATATATTTTCTATGGCTACGCTGGTGCTACAAGAGATTTGAGTAGTGTGACAGAGACCAAATGGCCCACAGAGCCCAGTAAGTTTACAATCTGGCCCCTGAAAAAGTTCCAACCCTACCTATAAAGTATTTTCCAAACTTAACTGATCATGGAACCCCACCTTCTCTCTTTTCTGGGTGGAACATCACTTACCACCTTGAGGGATACTAGTACAAGAGAAAACAGTTTGGGAAGTGGTGATTTAAAGATAAATCAGTGGGCGGACTGCTGTAATCCCAGGATTTTGGGAGGCTGAGGTGGGCGGATCACCTGAGGTCAGTAGTTCCAGACCAGCATGGCCAACTTGGTGACACCCCGTCTCTACAAAAACACAAAAACTAGCCGGGCGCACTCCTGTAGTCTCAGCTACTTGGGAGGCTGAGGCAGGAAAATCAACTGAACCTAGAACGCGGAGGTTGCAGTGAGCCGACACTGCGCTTCGGCACTCCAGCCTGGATGACAGAGCAAGGCTCTGTTGCGCCCTGACCCAAGAAAAGGATAAATAAATGATTCTTCAAGAGTATGAATGAACTGGGTAAACACTCACTATAATTAGCATTGCCAGCATGATTACTATAGAGCCAGATATTCTACTAGGCACCTTCAACTAAGTTTTTTTTTTTTAAGATGGAGTTTCACTCTTGTCGCCCAGGCTGGAATGCAACGGGGCAATCTCGGCTCACTGAAACCCCTGCCTCCCAGGTTCAAATGATTCTCCTGCCTCAGCCTCCTGAGTAGCTGGTGTTACAGGTGCCTGCCACCATGCCCAGCTGGTTTTTCTAATTTTAGTAGACAGGGGTTTCACCGTGTCGGCTAGGCTGGTCTCGAACTCCTGACCTCAAGTGATTGGCCCACCTCGGCCTCCCAAAGTGCTGGGATTGCAGGCATGAGCCACCACACCTGGCCTTAACTAAGTAATTTAATCTTTACATCAACCTTATGAATCTGGGGAGATACCTGGTAGGCAGTTGTACTGACAGTCCTGCAATCAGGACCCGATTAAAGACTACGTGGGAATGATCAGCACTGAAAGTAATTAAAATCACAGGAGTACATGAGACCACCAAGATAAGACACGAGACCACCAAGATAAGAGGCGGGGCACACAGCACTGGTGGAAGAAGTCTATGAAGAACTGAGGGGGAATGGTCTTAGAGGAAAAAGAAAACAAAAAGAAGGTGGTCCCCTGGAAGCCAAAGATAAAGAAAGTTTCCAGAAATAAGAAGAGATAAAACATGTTAAAGATTCACAGGCAGGTCAAGATAAAGAATACAAAATTTCCATCGGATTTAGTTTTTCGAAAGTTACTACTTTGGAGGGTAGTTTCAGGGCTGGAGGCAGAAGCTATATTGCAATGGGCTGAGCAGTAAACAGCAGTAAACAAGTGGAAAGAGATCATAAATCAGTCTTTCAAGATCACACAAAACAAAACCAGAATCACAAACTCTTAGCATAACAAGAGACCTCACAGAACAGATCCATTCATGAAAATCACGGCTTGCTTGTGTTCCACACCACATGGCTGCCAAGTGGCCCCCCAGCCTATGTTTAAACACATTGAATGAGCTGGTGCCTATACCAGCTTTGACAACCTCTTAGGAAATTACTTATAGAACTGATCCCAAAAGCTCTCTGTTTTTAAGTTTTATTTATATTTTTTATTATCCTGCATAATTATTAAGACTGAAAGAGCTGTCTCTTTGTAACCCTAGTTCTATTCCTTTAAGCTCCATAAAAGAAATTCATTCTTTCAAATAACTGTCCTTAAAATATTTGAAAATGTTCTCCTGTCTCTTTAGCGTTAAAGCATTATTTGTAGGCCGGGCGCGGTGGCTCACGCCTGTAATCCCAGTACTTTGGGAGGCCGAGGCAGGCGGATCACGAGGTCAGGAGATCGAGACCATCCTGGCTAACACGGTGAAACCCCATCTCTACTACAAATACAAAAAATTAGCTGGGTGTGGTGGCGGGCGCCTGTAGTCCCAGCTACTCGGGAGGCTGAGGCAGGAGAATGGTGTGAACCCGGGAGGCGGAGCTTGCAGTGAGCAGAGATCACACCACTGCACTCCAGCCTGAGTGATAAAGCGAGACTCCATCTCAGAAAAAAAAAAAAAAAAAAGAAAAGAAAAGAAGACTTGATTGCTTCTCGTACCCAATAATTTTATCAAGGTGAGAGCTAAAAGATCTGACTGAATATACATGCCTAAATCACACTCATCTATATTTTTAAAAGCAAAAAGCCATCTCAAACTTAAAGTAGTCCTATTCTAGAGTAAATACACATTCCCTTACATAGGATATAATGAATATGTATTTGTATGTACTTTGAAAGAAACAAAAAGAGAAAAAGCAATAGAAAGAATAAAGTAAAACAAGTGCTACAGTCTCCGATAACAATCTCTCATTAAACACATGATTTTCATTCTCTCAAATGTCTGCGACCACTATGTGCATGGACAAGTGTAGTAGAGAAAACTGCATTAAGAGCTCAGACCGAAGGTCAATGAGGACAAGAAATTATTTGTGTGTGTGGGGGGTTTACTGACAGATCTCAATGTGATGTTTTCTGAATTAAGAAGATAAATTCTAAGAACATTCTAGCTATTATAATATAAAAATTCACCCTTCTATGAGAAAGGTAAGTATATATAAATACATAAACTATACATGATGACATTCAAACCATTTGCAGTTTGGCTCCAACCTAAATTTTCCAGCCTGATGGTCCAGTGATTTGGAAATTTCTCATATTCCCCCAATACATGCTGCCTTTCCCAGTGTCTTTTTACTCCTTTTCAATTAAAACGGCAGTCTCTTAAATCCCTTTTGCCCTTGCTGGTTCAGCTCAGTTCAGCACACATTTATTAAATGCCTTCTATGTGACACGGCTCACAAGGAACACTGAGAAAACTAGGATGGGTACTCAATCTTGAAATGCTATCCTGAGAAAGCTCCCTAAGCAACAGGAACAGGGTGATATGATGAAGGCTTGTGGTAGGAGGAGCCTGGTGAGCTCTAAGAGTCCTTGAGGCAATAAGAAGGTTAAGGCCTGGTGACTCTTGAAACTCTGGGGAGAATTGGGTATTTCAGAATGCTGTGCTGGGTTAAAGCTGGAGGCCTAATGGATCCTTGGGCCCTTCAAAGCAGTATATACTCAGCAGTGATTTACTTACCAACCGTTTAACCATTATTATAAATAATGTACCATTAATTTATAAATAATATGTGTTTAAATATTCAAATATTAAGAGAATGAGAAAATAAGACACAGAATGGGAGAAAATACTTGCAAAAGATACATTTGATAAAGGACTGTTATCCAAAATAATACAAAAGATACTTAAAATTCAACACTAAGAAAATAAATGATCTGATTAAAAAATGGGCCTTATGATACACTGCATGTATTAAAACATCACTATGTACCCCATAAATATGTACAATTATGTTGTATCAATTAAAAATTGAAAATATTATAAAAAACAAAAATAAAACAAGATAAAAGGAAGAAAATGCACCAGAGACCTTAACAGACACCTCACCAAGGAATATATACAGATGGCACATAAGCATACAAAAAGATGCTCCACATCATACGTAATCAGGAAATGCATATGAGAACAATGAGATACCACTACACACTTACCACAATGGACAAAATCCAGAACACACACTACCAGATGATGGCAAGAATGCTGAGCAACAGGAATTCTCATTCACCGCTGGTGGGAACGCAAAATGGTACAGCACTTTGGAAGACAGTTTGGCAGTTCTGTACACAACTAAACATACTCTTAAGATCTGGCCATCGCACTCCTTAGTATTTACTCAAAACATAGAAATTATTTGAAAAACATGGGCAACACTTTATAGAAATAAATCGAAGAGAAAATATCAGTGACAATAGGACTAGACTATATTTCAGAGCTATTCTTTAGATTTGTAAGCAGTAAATCAAAGACTGGATAAACACAGCACACAAAAAGTCCAAGGATATCACTATGGTGTGGATATGGTTTGTCTGTCCCCACGAAAACTCATGTTGAAATTTGATTCCCAGTATGATGGTGTTGGGAGGTGGGGCCTGATGGGAGGTGTTCAGGTCACAGGGGCATGAATCCTTCAGGAATGGCTTGGTGCTGATCTTGTGGTAGTGAGTGAGTTCCCACTCTGACAAGACTGCATTAGGTATTGCAGGGAACAGATTAGTTCCCAGGAGAGTGGGTTGTGATAAAGCCAGGATGGACCCTCAGGTTCTCCTGTTTGCATGTGTCCCCTTCCCCTTTGACCTTCTCTGCTGTTTTGTGACGCAGCATGAAAGCCCTTGCCAGAAGCCAGGGCCATGCCCTTGAACTTCTTAGCCCACAGAACCATGAGCTAAATAAACCTTGTTACATTATAAATTATCCAGGCGCAGATATTCTTTTATAACAACACACAACAGACTAAGACAGATACACTCTAAGGAGGATGAACTTAATTAGCTCTAGAACTGTAAGTCCCTATAAAACAGGAAGAAATCTTGTACACGACATGAGCTCCTGCTGGCTCTGTCCTACCTGACTTCACGGATTTATGGCAGTTTCCCAGTTAAAGGCCCATCCCATAGACCATGTGTGGCTTACATATTTGCCATTCCTACTGTGGTATGGCATAAATAAATCATGAGGCTTGGGTCAGTACAGCCAGCCTGTAAAGTGATTCATGGAGCCAGAAGTACCATCCCCTAGGACTGTGTACTTTATTACAGTAAACCTCAGAACAAGATACAATTTCCTGACTTAAGAAGCAGGCTTTAAATCAGGACACCTGGACAGCCTTGGAACAACTTAAAAAATACAATAGGTCTCAACCCACCACTGTGTCTCAGTGCTGGCCTCCGCCTGCCCCAGGCCTGTTCTTTTAACACTAGATACTAAATTCAGAATGAGTCCCTTCTGAGTCAATTACTGTGGTGAGAACAACAGAATAAACTGAACGCATCCCATCCTCTTATCTCCATTGTTTTCTGTTTTTCCCTGACTTCACTTACCCACTGAGGAAAATAACATCCCCCATGATGAATTTTTCCCTCATCCTTTAAAACTCATAAACCAGGAGGAGCCCCTTTTGGTGCCAAAAGAAGAAAGCACAACACTGTGAACCTGGTTTCCCTCCTCAATAAGGAACAGTAGAGTGGACCTGGAGACAAAGTTGTCAGAGCATTCTCTGCTTAGAGACCTAGGCTGCAGTCAGTGCTATTTTATGTAAATTACATGTACTTTAAACCAACACTGGCAAGAGTGCCATACTCTTGTTTAGGAAAGCTGGAAGTCTAACCAGTTGTAAAGGTTATGTGTTTGATGAACTCCTAAAAGTTTTTTAAGGTCTAAGTATAATCAAGCTATCCTTTTATGTTCTCAACTCTTTGAATAAAATGCTGGAAGCACCTAAAACGGCCAACACATTCCAAGGTATCAAAAATAACTTTTTTTTTTTTTTTTTTTTAGACGGTCTCACTCTGTCGTCCAGGTTGGAGTGCAGTGGCATGATCTCGGCTCACTGCAACCTCTGCCTCCCGGGTTCAAGCGATTCACCTGCCTCAGCCTCCCGAGTAGCTGGGACTACAGACGTATGGCACTATGCCTGGCTAATTTTTGTATTTTTTAGTAGAGAGGGTTTCACCATATTGGACAGGCTGGTGGTCTTGGACTCCTGATCTCATGATCTGCCCGCCTCGGCCTCCCAAAGTGCTGGGATTACAGGCGTGAGCCACTGTGCCCGGCCAAAAAGAACTCTTTTTAAGCCAAGATCTCGAACACTTTTTAGCTAGGACAAAAAGCTATTAATCCTAATCAATCTCACTTTACGGATTTACTGAAGCCTTGAAGCCAAAGGTCAGTCACATACTAACACTGTTTTATGCTTCTTCTTGTAGAAACCCTGGAGAAAAACAAGTGTTGGGACTCTGTTATAAACACGGAACTGACTCCAGTGTCGTCGTTTTCTTGGGGACAACTTAGGAAAATTTCTTTTCAATAGACGTCTACTTGTTGAATATGTTTTGAGGACATGTAGCCAACAACAGACACAAAAAAGACACAGTGCATTACTACATTCCTTTACAATAAGAACACGGGACAGGAGAAAATATGAAGTCTAGCTCAGCCTCTTCACACCTCCCCAAGTCATCAAAATGATTGGACTGTATAAGCACATGAGGTGTGCAGAAATACGAGCATGGCAATGGGAAGAAAAAGTATATTGCAAAAATCAAATCAGAAATATTTCAAGGCTTGAAGCTTTCCAGTGAATCATAAAACAGAGGAAGGAAATGAATATAGGAATGCTCAGCACTTACCAAAAAACCTACATTCCGGTGACCCGTGTATTTTAAGAGACACAGGTCTTTGTAAGTCCTGAGTAGGAAATCTTGTTGCATTATATTGTGAGACATTATACTTTTTTTTTTTTTTAGATGGAGTCTTCACTCTGTTGCCTGGGCTGGAGTGCAGTGGCACAATCTCGGCTCGCTGCAAGCTCTGCCTCCGAGGTTCAAGCAAATCTCCTGCCTCAGCCTCCCGAGTAATTGGGACTATGGGCGCCTGCCACCACGCCCAGCTAATTTTTGTATTTTTGGTAGAGACGGGGTTTCACCATGTTGGTTTTGGCCAGGATGGTCTCGAACTCCTGACCTCAAGTGATCTGCCCGCCTCGGCCTCCCAAAGTGCTGAGATGACAGGCGTGAGCCACTGCGCCTGGCTGGACATTATACATTTTTTCCCCTTAAGCTGATTCTTCATCATTGGCCATACAGGCAGTGTATGGTTCACTAAGTTTCCTAAAAAGAATTCAGTAACAAAAGTTCTTTAATGAATAAATATAAACACTTTTGGAAACAAGAGTAGCAGACATACTCTTTCTTAAAGACGTCTGGTTCACTTCTTATACCCGTATTTTGCTAGGAAAGAAATCGAAACCAGGAAGAGGCACTGGTAGATCATTTACACTGGTCACATAGTGGTTCCTTATTAGCAAATGCTACCAACCTTTGTAGCATGCCAGACAATGTAAATAAACACTGCAGACAACACATTGTAAAATGTACCACACTCTAGAGAATCAACTAAGTGGAGAGACATACAAGAAACCTGTGTTCATTTTCAATTATAATTTTTTTTTTCTTGAGACCGAGTCTAACTCTGTTGACCAGATTGGAGTGCAGTGGCGCCATCTCTGCTCACTGCAACCTCTGCCTCCCGGCTTCAAGCAATTCTCATGCTTCAGCCTCCTGAGTAGCTGGGACTATAGGCATGCGCCACCACCCCTGGCTAATTTTTGTATTTTTAGTAGAGACGGGGTTGCACCATGTTGGCCAGGCTGGTCTTAAACTCCTGACCTCAGGTGATCTGCCCGTCTCGGTCTCCCAAGTGCTGGGATTACAGGCTTGAGCAACTGTGCCCAGCCTTGTGTTCATTTTTGTAAGCCTTGAATTCTTAACCTGGGAGCAAAAAGGACAATTTATGTGGCTAGCATGAAAAGTGGTATCAATCACAAAATTTATACTGTATTTTCTTGGAAATACATCTTAAGAACCTTCAAAATAGACAATCCTGAGTTCTACAGATTTTCTCTATATAGAAATTACTACATCTTGAAAATTGCTGAGTATAGATTTTAAGTGTTATCACCATGAAAAATGACAAGCATGTGAGATAATGATATGTTAATTAGCTTGATTTAACAATTCCACAAAATATACATATTTCAAAACATCATGTTGTACATGATGGACATACACAATTTTTATTTGTCAGTTTAAAAAAACTAATTGTTTTAAAAATAAATTGCTGTACCATATTATCTCTACTTCCCTTTTCAGTTGATCTTAGCCAAATGGCCAAGAAGCGATCAACTTCCCTTTTCAAAGTAGTTAATTTTGATTAGGATGCATTTTACACTGACTAATAAGCATACCGTGAAACAGTAAAATACCTAAAATGTACGCTAGTATTTCAATGATGCATTTCAACGAAGGTCCATGTGAAAATTGCCAGGAGTGACTCTCGACAAAGATAAATAATCGTGTTTGTCTCAATTTTATTACCTTGTCACAATTCTAAATACCTTCTCTGGACTACAACATACCATCCTCAAAGGATCAAAACAAACAAAACCCAAAAAACCTGAAAACCATCATCTCTCTCTTTTTTTTTTTTTGAGACGGAGTCTCGCTCTGTCGCCCAGGCCGGACTGCGGACTGCAGTGGCGCAATCTCGGCTCACTGCAAGCTCCGCTTCCCGGGTTCACACCATTCTCCTGCCTCAGCCTCCCCAGTAGCTGGGACTACAGGCGCCCGCCACCGCGCCCGGCTAATTTTTTGTATTTTTAGTAGAGACGGGGTTTCACCTTGTTAGCCAGGATGGTCTCGATCTCCTGACCTCATGATCCACCCGCCTCGGCCTCCCAAAGTGCTGGGATTACAGGCGTGAGCCACCGCGCCCGGCCGAAAACCATCATCTCTTAAATAAACAAATGTCACAACACGCTGTTTCCTATACACTGGAATACCTGACTGATAGAGTCTATTTTTTCTATTAGGGTCAATCAGTTGTTCTCCTAGAAATGAAAGGTTTGTCAGTATTTTTGTGTTGGGCTGCAGGTAATAAAATCAACAAAAATTTTGGTGAAAAATAGTGTTGCTCTTTACCCTATTCTAAGCCCAGAAGCAATTCAGAAGTGAGGTGATAAAACTGTGAGAATTCCCAGTAATATCCCCAAATGTGGAGAAAAACAGATGGAAAAGGGTGGACTGGTGGTTTAAGAGATGAGTCAGGACAAAACATTTAACTATGGCAACCTCATAAAGGCAAGAAAAATTACTAGGATATGCTGTTTTCTAGCAATCTCTAAAGAATTTCACAGACGATCTGAACCTTCTCATGCTTACCAGGATGAATACAGGATATTTATCAAAATTTCAGGAAAAACAAACAAACAAACAAACAACAAAAACTTGAGTCCAGGCCTTCCACAAAGACAGTGGAGATCCAGCTGAGAATAGTCCTAGCTCCTCACATTTCCCAGGTTATAGAAAAGCAGGCTGAAGTCAATTCCTGGCCCTTCTGTTCTAACTCAGAGGGGCAACATCAGATGCAGTGATGGCAGGAAGAGAGCATCCGGGAACATTCATCCACTCTGCATTAGAAGAACACACCTAAGAATTTCGTAACTAGCTAAGTAATACTTCAAGTAGAATGGCAAATAAACACTATCAAGCATGCAAACATAAAACAAGAAAACCAGAATTCAGCATCAGTCTTTCCTGAAATAGTCAAGTGAAGATAAAATTAAATAAGCAAAACGATACAGCAAAAAATTCAGGGATAGGGAAAATGTGGCAAAAGGTGTTAAGTGCTGAATTTAACTCCCAGACTAAGTAGCCTGGGAGTTATAAAATAAGATGTAAATATTATAAACCTTGGTAAAGCTGATATAAAACTATATCATTAAAAACTGGTGAGAAGAAGTGATAATTTCTTCATCTTTTAGAGCATGGCATGAATTAATACTGATTAAAATAAAAATAAAAGATGCTGTTGTAAAACATAACCCCAATCTCTATCTCTTTTCTTAAACTTGGAAGGATGGCTTAGGAATTCTCCTTTATAGTAAAGAAATATTCTGGCCAGGCGTGGTGGCTCACGCCTGTAATCCCAGCACTTTGGGAGGCCGAGGCGGGCAGATCACGAGATCAGGAGATTGAGACCATCCTGGCTAACACGGTGAAATCCCATTTCTACTAAAAAATAGAACAAAAATTAGCCGGGTGTGGTGGTGGGCACCTGTAGTCCCAGCTACTCGGGAGGCTGAGGCAGGAGAATGGCGTGAACCCAGGAGGTGGAGCTTGCAGTGAGCCCAGATCACGCCACTGCACTCCAGCCTGGGCGACAGAGTGAGACTCCGTCTCAAAAAAAAAAAGAAGAAATATTCTACTGAAATTCTCTTTATTCTGCTAATGTCAAGTAAAATTAAATTCAATTTTTATTTAAAATGGCATGTTATATGTTAATTTTTTTCTATATGTGCATAGGAATATGACAGGAATCCTGCTTACCTACTACAAATAATGATTATTTTCTAGGCAATTGACTTGGGGGCTGTTTTTTTCTTTATTCTTTCTACTTTGTACTACTGCTTAAATTTATAAAAGAATAACAAATAAGTAAATCATATAAGTGACTGAAGGAGCACTAAAATACACAAGAAAAAGCATGTGTTCTGGAGCTGGACAGTGCCGCTTACTAGTTGTATGACCCTAGACAAGCAGCTTCCTGAACTTCCTTGATTTTAACTGTCAAATGGAAATATAAATGTGTAAACTTAACGGAGTTGTTATTAAGATTGAGATAGTGTAAAATAATAATTATACCTCTCTTACAGACAGGAATCTGGCACATGGCAGGCCCTTAACAAATGTTAGTTTTCCTAGAGAGCTCAGGTTCCAACAACAGAAAGAGAAAGAAAAAGTGGAATTACCACTCTGGGTTTTAGATTTCTTTTTAACTGTATCTTTTAACCTTTAGTCAAGAGTTAAATGAATACTTATTTTAGTTCCCAAGATTTGTGTGGCTGAGGATTGTCAGCTTTGTTAAAACACAGTGATCAAAAGGCACCGTCAGGGTTTCAGGGTTTCACAGCACAAGCCTTCATGTGGTTCCAGTCTCTCCTTTCCTCCTTCAGAGATCAACAGCTTCTTCACTCAATGCAAAGAGAACACTGTGTTAAAACCCCTCTTTCCCCCCTTTCTCCCACTGAGATGCTGACGGAATCTACTGCATACTCAAAGTACAGCTCATGATTAGCGAAGAAAAGCCACCGCCACAGAACCAGGCCAGGTATCTTTTAAAAATAAGTAAATAAATGACAGACCCCACCCCAACCCTGACTCCCCTCTTTGAGTCCCATAAAAGTATTGTTGTATAATCAGATGTTTTATTTATAAACAAAGATGAAAATGTTTTTACAGGCTGGGCGCGGTGGCTCACGCCTGTAATCCCAGCACTTTGGGAGGCCGAAGTGGGGGGATCACGAGGTCAGGAGATCGAGACCATCCTGGCTAACACGGTGAAACCCCGTCTCTACTAAAAATACAAAAAATTAGCCGGGTGCAGTGGTGGGTGCCTGTAGTCCCAGCTACACGGGACACTGAGGCAGGAGAATGGTGTGAACCTGAAAGGCGGAGCTTACAGTGAGCGGAGATCGCGCCACTGCACTCCAGCCTGGGTGACAGAGCAAGACTGTCTTAAAAAAAAAAAATGTTTTTACATATGAAATCTACAATTTAAACGATAAGCTTCAGAATATACCTTATTTCAGCATACTGGCAGGTAGTTTAGAAGCTTTAAAGGAAAGTCCTGCAGTCACTGGCATTATATGATGTGTTTAATCTTTCCTAGTAATATGAAGAATGAAAAAGCATCTAAGACTTGGGTGAGAAGTGAGACAGCGTAAGTGGCACAGATGTTCCGAAAGGATAGTTAAGTGAACGACTGATGAAAACACCGAGCCACTAACCACCACAGAACTCTCTAAAAATAACTCAATATCAATACTAAGATAACTAAACTCAAGTTACAAGAGAATCTGCTTCAGGGAAGAACAGACATACAGTTTTTGTACTAGATACGATATTCCTGGTGCAGCTCATAGGAATCTTTTGAATTAAAAGCAGCATGATGACTGTATGGGATAGTTTCATGCCAAAATAATCAGCGGAGCACTGGAACTGAAATATAAAGACTAACACCAAAGCTGCTAGAATTTGAATGACCCATGAACTAATTTAGCATTAGTGACACAGATAAAAGGGGGGAAAATACTAGTTGGGACGAATGGCACTCCCTTTTGAAGGATGAAGTCTATAATGGAAAAGAAATGGTCATTTGCTTATGATGCCTGTTTGCACAGGGCTCTGCTGGCCTCATGTTGCCTACATGAGAGATCCCCAGTAGAGCTGTAAAGCCTGCTTTAAGTCCAGGTGCTCTAACTCCTGTCTGTCAAAACAGGACTGTTTTCTTAATAAACATTTCAAAGCTCTCTAATGCCCGGACTGATTAGTTTAGGGGCTGGAAGGAGTTGTGAGGACCGCATGAGTGACAGGCAAAAAAGGCAGATAACATAGATACTGGTATTTATTTCATTAAGTGTGTTTAATAAATTTTGAGAGTGTTACTGTCTGCATTCATGTAATGGATTACAGGGTCAGCACGATCTTCCTGAAATATGGATTGGATCACATCACTTCCTTGCTATAGAATAGCAATTTAAATTAGTGGCATGGCATAGAAAGCCCTTCTAGCCTTTTCCTCAAAATTCTCCTCAAACATTCTTTGCTCTAGCAATACTAAATTTCTTATAGTTCCTCAAATACACATTAATATTAATATTTCATACCTCTGTGACTTTTCATCTGCTATTTTATCAACTAAGAATACGCGCAACGCTCTCTTCTCTGATTTATCCTTTAAGAGCTAGCTAAAAGACTAGGAGGGTCTGTACAATACCAGGCAGACATGGGATGATGTCCTCTCAGATTGAGTCTAGGTTCTACACTTAAATTCAGCACTTAGCACCTTTTGCCATGGTTTCTCTATCCCTGCATTTTTTGCTTTATCTTTTTTTTGTTTTTTTTTTTTTTGAGACAGAGTTTCGCTCTTTGTCGCCCAGGCTGGAGTGCGATGGCGCAATCTTGGCTCACTGCAACCTCTGCCTCCCAGGTTCAAGCGATTCTCCTGCCTCAGTTTCCCAAGTAGCTGGGATTACAGGCGTGTGCCACCATGCCCAGCTAATTTTTGTATTTTTTTAGTAGAGACGGGGTTTCACCATATTGGCCAGGCTGGTCTCAAACTCCTGACCTCAGGTGATCCACCAGCCTCGGCCTCCCAAAGTGCTGGGATTACAGGCGTGAGCCACCGCACCCGGCCCGCATTAACTTTTTGCTTACTGAATTTTATCTTTACTTGACTTTTTCAGGAAAAACTCTCTCTACAAGCTCCCACTGAAAGCTGTTCATACTTCCTTTATATTATTATAGTATATTATTAATATAATCTCCTGTTTTGTGTATTTCTCCATAGATTTGGACAGGTAAAAACCATCCCCTTTCATCTATGAATTCCCAGAAGAGAGTAGAAACTGTTTACCATTCAGTGAAATACAAAAAGAAATTCTTATTTTTCTTAAGTTCAAACGAAGTTTTGAATATCCATTCAAAGTGATTCAGCAAGAAACTGTCAACAGAATTTATGAAAAATATTCCAGGCTGATCCCAAAGCTTCAAGTTTCTTTTTTTAAAAATTATACTTTAAGTTCTAGGGTATGTGTACACAACAGGCAGGTTTCATACACAGGTATACATGTGCCATGTTGGTTTGCTGCACCCATCAACTCTTCATTTACATTAGTTATTTCTCCTAATGCTATCCCTCCCCCAACCCCCCACCCCATGACAGGCCCCAGTGTGTGATATTCCCCTCCCTGTGTCCATGTGTTCTCATTGTTCAATTCCCACCTATGAGTGAGAACATGCAGTGTTCGGTTTTCTGTCCTTGTGATAATTTGCTGAGAATGATGGTTCCAGCTTCATCCATGTGCCTGCAAAGGACATGAACTCATCCTTTTTTATGGCTGCATAGTATTCCATGATGTATATGTGCCACATTTTCTTAATCCAGTCTATCGTTGATGGACATTTGGGTTGGTTCCAAGTCTTTGCTATCGTGAATAGTGCCGAAATAAACATATGTGTGCATGTCTTTATAGTAGCATGATTTATAATCCTCAGGAGATCGAGACCATCTTGGTGAACATGGCGAAACCCTGTCTCTATTGAAAATACAAAACAGATTAGCCGGGCTTGGTGGCGTGCGCCTGTAGTCCCAGCTACTCAGGAGGCTGAGGCAGGAGAACTGCTTGAACCCAGGAGTCGGAGGCTGCAGTGAGCCGAGATTGCGCCACTGCACTCCAGCCTGGGCGACAGAGTAAGACTCTGCCTCAAAAAAAAAAAAAAAAAAAAAAAAAAAAAAAAAAAAAAAAAAGAAAAAGAAAAGAATAAGTGGACATTCAAGGAAAAATAGAAATGTTAATATTCTATGTTTTAAACCAATCTGTATTTATTCCTTTGGAAGAAGGTAGAATATACTGGCAATGTACCCCTTAGAATGAAAATAACAAGAACTGGAAAACACATCCTTAAAAGAGAGTACTAGGCTGGACACAGTGGCTCATGCCTGTAATCTCAGCACTTTGGGAGGCCAAGGGAGGAGGACTGCTTGAGCCCAGGAATTGGAAACGAGCCTCGGCAATATGGAGAGACTCTGTCTCTATATTAAAAAAGAGGGGAAGGGCACTAAAGCCTACTAAAAGCAGCCAGGTGGAACAGCTGCCAGCGAGAAACCGAGCTGACTGGCACAACAGACCTTCAGAGGGAAGGCAGTGAGAGTGGATGGAGGGAACACACAGAAGCAGGCTGAAAGGGGAGGATGCTGGGAACGCTGCACCGGGCTACTGCACACAGGGACTCGTTCCTAGCCCCCAACGACCCTGAGGGAATGAGCGAGTTGTACTCACGAAGAGTAATCTGTTCTTGCTACGGGCCTCTGGAATTCCAGCAGAAGATGACCCCTCATCTACCACAGACACCGATTTGGCAGGGAGAGCTGCTTAGAGAAGCAAGGGCAGCGCGTCAGCTGAGGTGGAACCCAGAGGGTTTGGTGTGGTAGAGTCTGTAGTGGAGCATGGCTAGGGAAGCCCATCTCCCTAGGCTTGACTTGCTCCCATAGGAGACTTTAGCCCCAGGGGAACAACTGGACCTAACCTCTGCAAGACCTGAACTCTGGAGGTCTTGCCCATCAGATGGGGCTGGTCCAACCTGAGCACCTCTTGGTCTGCTGGACTCTCTAGGGACCACAGCCTAGCTGTGCCTGCTTGCAGGATAGCCTTGGGTACCCCGGAGGCTGTCATTATAGCTCCTGTGCTGGGGAACTATGCCTGACTGGCAGAGAACTCAAGCAGGCTGGCCCCCACGGTCACACGCTGGCCACGCACCAGGCCTGCCTGCTTTCTCCACACATTACAGCTTCCCCCAGGCCTACAGCAAGCCTCCACATCTCTTTGCCAGCACATGTGTACGTGGACAGATTTTGCTTTCCTTGCCCTGCCAGTGTGCATGTGTGTGTGCACCCTACCACCTGTTCCCCTTCTGCTGGACCGTCACTGCAGTTGGAGCCTTGGTGAGCACAGAACCAGCCAGCCCTGCCCTTGTGCCAACACTGCCACAGGAGTGAAACCAGGCACAGAGGACAGCAGACCCTCCCCAACCCTGAGCAACCACCCCTGCCTGGGGCACACAGAGACCTGTCCCCACCAGTAACCCACATCCGTATTAACACAACCACCAGTGATATCACATGCACAGTCACCAGCAAGGGCTCTCTGGCCCCCCAGGCTGAGCTGCCTCTGCCACTGCAGTGAATGCCTACATGGGGGCAGGCACCCTGGCACCCCCTGGCACCTGCTAGCACCCTGTCACAGTTGTCCAGCTGAGCTGCCTCTGCCACTGCAGTGAATGCCTACATGGGGGCGGGCACCCGGGCACCTGCTAGCACCCTGTCACAGTTGTCCAGCTGAGCTGCCTCTGCCACTGCAGTGAATGCCTACATGGGGGCGGGCACCCTGGCACCTGCTAGCACCCCGTCACAGTTGTCCAGCTGAGCTGCCTCTGCCACTGCAGTGAATGCCTACATGGGGGCGGGCACCCTGGCACCTGCTAGCACCCTGTCACAGTCGTCCAGCTGAGCTGCCTCTGCCACTGCAGTGAATGCCTACATGGGGGCAGGCACCCTGGCACCTGCTAGCACCCTGTCACAGTCGTCCAGCTGAGCTGCCTCTGCCACTGCAGTGAATGCCTACATGGGGGCGGGCACCCTGGTACCTGCTAGCACCCTGTCACAGTCGTCCAGCTGAGCTGCCTCTGCCACTGCGGTGAATGCCTACATGGGGGCAGGCACCCTGGCACCTGCTAGCACCCTGTCACAGTTGTCCAGCGTGCACTCTGCTGCGCTGCTGCTGTTGCTGGCATGTGCAAATGAGGACGGATCCTGCTGCCGCCACACTATGAAGCACTTTGGCAGACACCACCCATTAGAGTGTAGTGACCAGTGATCGTGGAGCACTTCGGCCCCACCAGCACAGTGGACTCCTAACCTCAGAGGAGCCAGAGAACAAAGTCATTGCCCAATATAAGTCCCCCAAAGTTAGAGCACACAGTCTAGAAGATCAGAGCTGAGTGTTGGCCCCCTAAAGTCTTCCAGAAACAGTCAGTTGGCTGAATCCACCTTATACCACAATCAAACACTGAAGGTCATCAAATAGTGTAAAAGAAGAAGAAGAAAAAAAAAACTATCCAAAGGTCAGCAAGTTCAAAGATTGAACAAACATTACCCCAGAAAGATAAGAAAGAACCAATCCAAGAACTCTTGACAACTCAAAAAGCCAGAGTGCCTTCTTTCCTCAAAATGACTGCACCACCACTCCAGCAAGGGTTCTGAACCGGGTTGAGATGGCAGAAATGACAGAAACAGAAGGCAGAATATGGATAGGAATGCAGATCGTTGAGATGCAGGAGTATGCTGAAACAAAATCAAGGAAGCGAAGAATCACAGTACAACAATATAGGAGCTGACAGACAAAATAGCCAGCAAAGAAAAAACATGTAATCAACCTGACAGAGCTGAAAAACACACTATAAGAATTTCATAATGCAGTCACAAGTATTAACAGCAGAATAGACCAAGGTGAGGATAGTGTCTCAGAGCTTGAAGACTGACGTTTTGAAATAAGGAAGTCAGACAATAATAGAGAAAAGAGAGTATAAAGGAATAAACAAAACCTCCAAGAAATGTGGTATTATATAAAGAGACCAAATCTATGAATGACTGGTATCCCTGAAAGAGATGGGGAGAGCGTAAGCAACTGAAAACGTATTTCAGGATATCATCCATGAGAGCTTCCCAACCCTAGCTAGAGAGACTAATATGCAAATTCAAGAAATGCAGAGAACCCCAATGAGATCCTTCATGAGAAGAACATCCTCAAGACATAATCATAAGGTTCTTGAAAGTTAAGATGAAAGAAAAAAATGTTAAAGGCAGCTAGAGGGTAAGGTAAGGTCACCTACAAAGGCAAGTCCATCAGACTAACAGCGGACCTCTCAGCAGAAACCCTACAAGCCAGAAGAGATTGGGCACCAATAATCAACATTCTTAAAGAAATTCCAAGCCAGAATTTCATATCTGGACAAAATAACCTTCATAAGTGAGGGAAAAATCAGATCCTTTTCACACCAGCAAATGCTGAGGAAATTCATTACTATCAAACCTGCCTTACAAGAGCTCCTTAAGGAAGCACTAAATATGGAAAGGAAAGACCATTACCAGCCACTTCAAAAACGCATTTAAGTAAACACACTAGTGACACTATAAAGCAACCACACAAACAAGTCTGCATAATAACCAGCTAACATCATGATGACAGGTTCAGATCCACACATATCAGTACAAACCTTGAATGTAAATGGGCTAAATACCCCTATTAAAAGGCACCAAGCAACAAGCTAGATAAAGAACCAAGACCCACCAGTGTGCTATCTTCAAGAGGCCCATTTCGTATGCAATGACACCCACAGACTCAAAATAAATAAAGAAAAATCTACGAAGCAAACAGAAAAAAGCAGGATTACATCCTAATTTCAGAAAAAATAGACTTTAAACCAACAAAGATTAAAAAAAAAAAAGAAAAAGAAGAGCATTACTAAATAGTAAGGGGTTCAATGCAACAAGAAGAGCTAACTATCCTAAATATATATGCACCTGACACAGGAGCACCCGGATTCAGGAAGCAAGTTCTTAGAGACCTTCAGAGAGACTTAGACTCCCACACAATAACAGTGGGAGACTTCAATACCCCACTAACAGTATTAGATCAAAGATTAAGGCCAGGAGCAGTGGCTCATGCCTGTAATCCCAGCACTTTGGAAGGCTGAGGTGGGCAGATCACTTGAGGTTAGGAGTTTGAGATCAGCCTGGCCAACATGGCAAAACCCTGTTTCTACCAAAAATACAAAAACAAAACAAAACAGAACAAAATAGCCAGCATGCTCGTGCATGCCTGTAGTCCCAGCTACTGAGGAAGCTGAGGCAGGAGAATTGCTTGAACCCGTGAGGCGGAGGTTGCAGTGAGCCGAGACTGTATCACTGCACTCCAGCCTGGGCAATGGAGCAAGACTGTCTCAAAAAAAAAAAAAATTAATAAAGATATTCAGGACCTGAACTCAGCATAGGATCAAAGGGACTTGACAGGAATCTACAGAATTCTCCACCCAAAAGCAACAGAACATACATTCTCACCTTCGCATGGCACATACTCTAAAACTGACCACATAATTGGACAGAAAATACTCCTCAGTAAATGCAAAAGAACTGAAATAATAAACACTCTCTCAGACCGCAGCATGATCAAATTAGAAATCAAGACTAAGAATTTTGCTCGAAACCATACCATTATATGGAAATTGATCAACCTACTCCTGAATGACTTTTGCATAAATAATGAAACTAAGGCAGAAATCAAGAAGTTCTTTGAAACTAATGAGAACAAAGATACAACATACCAGAATCTCTGGGACACAGCTAAGACAATGTTAACAGGGACGTTCATATCATTAAATGTCCACATCAAAGAGTTAGAAAGATCTCAATATAACAACTTTACATCACAACTAAAAGAACTAGAGAACCGAGAGCAAACCAACCTCAAAGCCAGCAGAAGACAAGAAATAAAAATTAGAGGTGAACTGAGGGACACTGAGACATGAAAACCCATATAAAGGATCAATGAGTCCAGGAGTTTATTTTTTAAAAAAAAATTAATAAAATAAACTGCTAAATAGGCTAGTAAGAGAGAAAATCCAAACAAACACGATTAGAAATAACAAAAAGGATATTATTACCGAACCCACAGAAATACAAACAACCACTAGAGAATATATGAACAACTTTATGCATGTAAACTAGGAAATCTAGAAGAAAGGGATAAATTCCTGGACACATACACCCTCCCAAGACTGAACCAGGAAGAAACTGAATCCCTGAACAGGCCCATAATGAACTCTGAAATTGAGGAAGCCACAAATAGCCAACCAACCAACCAACCAACCAACCAACCAAATAAATAAACAGTAAATAAATAAGCCCAGTACCAGATAGAGTCACAGCTAAATTCTACCAGATGTACAAAGAAGGGCTGGTACCATTACCCCTGAAACTATTTCAAATAAATTGAGGAGGAGGGACTCCTCCCCAACTAATTCTACGAGGTCGGCATCATCCTGATATCAAAACCTGGCAGAGATAAAACAAAAAAAGAAAACTTCAGACCAATATCCTTGAGGAACGTCAATGCAAAATCCTCAACAAAATCCTGACAAACTGAATCCAGAAGCACATGAAAAGGCTTATCCACCAAGATCAAGTAGGCTTTGTCTCTACGATGCAAGGTTGGTTCAACATGCAAAAATCAATGTGATTCAGCACATAAACAGAACTAAAGACAAAAACTACAGGATTATCACAACAGATGCAGAAAGGGCTTTCGATAAAATTCAACATTGCTTCATGTTAAAAACTCTCAATAAACTACGTATTGAAGGAACATACCTCAAAATAATAAGAGCCACCTATGACAAATCCACAGCCAATATCATACTGAATAAACAAAAGCTGGAGGCATTCCCCTTGAAAAACTGGTGTAAGACAAGGATGCCCTCTCTCACCACTCCTATTCAACATAGTATTGAAGGTCCTGGACAGGGCAATCAGGCAAAAGAAAGAAATAAAGGGTATCCAAATGGGAAGAGAGGAAATTAAACTATCCCTGTTTGCAGATGACACAATCCTGTATCTAGAAAACCCCATCGTCTTGGTCCAAAATCTTCGTAAGGTGATAAAAAAACTTCAGCAAACTTTCAGGATACGAAATCAATATACAGATATCACTAGCATTCCTCTACACCAACAGTCAAGCCAAGAGCCAAATCAGGAATGTAATTCCATTTACACGTGCCTGAAAAAGTATAAAATACCTACGAATACAGCTAACCAAGCAGGTGAAAGATCTCTACAAGAAGAACTACAAAACACTGCTCAAAGAAATCAGAAATGACACAAACAAATGGAAAAACATTCCATGCTCATGGATAGGAAGAATCAATATCGTTTAATGGCCACACTGAACAAAGCAATTTATAGATTTAATGCTGTTCCTATCAAACTACCAATGACATTCTTCACAGAACTAGAAAACTATCTTAAAATTCATATGAAAACCAAAAAAGATCCCCAACAGCCAAGGCAATCCTACCCAAAAAGAATAAACCTGGAGGCATCACGCTACCTGACTTCAAACTATACTACAGGGCTACAGTAACCAAAACAGCCTGGTAACTGGTACAAAGACACATAGACCAATGGAACAGAAGAGAGAGCCCCAAAATAAGGTTGCACATCTAGAACTATCTGATCTTCAACAAACCTGACAAAAGCAAGCAATGAAGGAAAGGACTCCCTATTCACTAAATGATGCTGTGGTAACTGGCTAGCCATATGCAGAAGATTGAAACTGGATCCCTTCCTTACACCCTATACAAAAATTAATTCAAGATGGATTAAACACTTAAATGTAAAACCCAAAACTATAAAAAACCTGGAAGACAACCTAGTCAATACCAATCAGGACACAGGAATGGGCAAAGATTTTATAATGAGGATGCCAAAAGCAACTGCAACAAAAGCAAAAATTGATGAACAGGATCTATGTAAACTAGAGAGTTTCTGTACAGCAAAAGAAACTTTCAACAGTATACAACCTACAGAATGGGAGGAAATTTTTGCAAGGTATGCATGTGACAAAGGTCTAATATCCAGGATCCATAAAGAGCTTAAACAAGAAAAAAACAACCCCATTAAAAAGTGGGCAAAATACATAAACAGACGCTTTTCAAAAGAAGACATAACACGTGGCCAAGAAGCACATGAAAAAAGCTCAACATCAGGGATCATTAGAGAAAAAATTGAAACCACAATATTATCTCACACCAGTCAGAATGGCTATTATTAAAAAGTAAAAAAATAACAGATGCTGGCGAGGTTGTGGGAAAAGGAACCTGAACACTTATACATTGTTGGCGGGAGTGTAAATTAGTTCAACCATTGTGGAAGACAGCATGATGATTCCTCAAAGAACTAAAGACAGAAATACCATTTGACCCAGCAATCCCATTATTGTGTACATAATAAAAGGAATATAAATTGTTCTATTATAAAGACACATGCACGTGTATGTTCACTGCAGTGCTATTAACAATAGCAAAGATACAGAATCAACCTACATGCTCATCAATGATAGACTAAAGAAAATGTGGGGCCGGGTGCGGTGGCTCACGCCTGTAATCCCAGCACTTTGGGAGGCTGAGATGGGTGGATCATGAGGTCAGGAGATCGAGACCACCGTGGCCAACATGGTGAAACCCCGTCTCTACTAAAAATACAAAAATTAGCCAGGCATGGTGGCACGTGCCTGTAATCTGAGCTACTCGGGAGGCTGAGGCAGGAGAATCGCTTGAACCTGGGAGGCAGAGATTGCAGTGAGCCGACGTCGCGCCACTGCACTCCAGCCTGGCGACAGAGTGAGACTCCATCTCAAAAAAAAAAAAAAAAAAAAATGCGGTACATATACACCACGGAATACTATGCGGCCATAAATAAAGAATGAGATCATGTCCTTTGCAGGCACATGGATGGAGCTGGAGACCACTACCCTTAACAAACAACACAGGAACAGAAAACCAAATACCACATGTTCGCACTTGTAAGTGGTAGCTAAATGATGAGAACACGCGGACACATAGAGGGGAACAACAGCCACTGGCGCCTAATGGAGGAGGGGGGGTGAGAGGAGGACGAGGATCAGGACGAGGATCAGGACGAGGATCAGGACGAGGATCAGGACGAGGATCAGGACGAGGATCAGGACGAATTATAAAGTAACTAAAGGGTACCAGGCTTAATACCCGGGCGAGGAAATAATCTGTACAACAAACCTCCATGACCTAAGTTTACCTACATAACAAACCTGCACATGTACCCCTGTACTTAAAATAAAAGCTTTAAAACAAGTCTATTTTGAATAGCTGCAATGGTTTCCCCTCCTCACCTCCCTATGCTCTTACATAGGACATGCAGTTTATTATTTTCCCCACCTGTAACAAGTAAGCAGAGAAACCTGAAATGATCTTTTCTATGATACTAAATAAACTACTGAAATGATCCAGGACTGCTTATATCACAGTTGGTGCCCAGAATAAATCCTTTTTCTTCTTAAATTTGGGGGGTGCCTCCAACCTGACAGTGGATCCACACCATCCATCCTAAAGAGACGGCTACCAGTGGACAGGTTCTGCCGGTTATACAAAGCTGCTAGTCAGCTGTATCACCCAGAGCAGAGGCCTAGCAGGGAAGCAAACCTGCAAACACCACCAAAGGAATTTCAGTTTGGCCATGTGCCACAATCAATCTAGTTCTCCTTAAACATGAAGGGACAATGAAGAATTGACTAATACGTGAAAAACCTCTGAAATAAAAGAGAAGATACATGAGTTTAACAACTAAGGCTGTAGGAAACACAAATAATTCAGGAAGTAGAAGAACATTTTTTTAAAAGGTCTAATCAATTTCTTAAGAGAAATCCAAGAAGACGCTAAAGCTACAAAACAGATACAGCAGGCTATGAAAAAGAACATTCCAATTGTAAGAAAGTTAAAATGCTCTTTAGCAAAATAAAAAAATTCAAAAGTACTGTAAGATAAAGTCAAGGATATTTTGTTCCCCCAACCAAGAACTAAATGAAGAAAAGGAGATAAAAAATACAGAGTAAAAAATTTAAGAGAAATCTAAATCCAACAACTAGAAGTTTTAGAAGGTGAGAATAGTGAAAATGAAGGAAAGGAAATGACCAAAGAAGTAATACAAGAAGTTTTCTGAGCTTAAACAAAGGAAGAAAAAAAGAAGTCATAAATATATCCTGAAATCCAGGAGTCTTCAGATTCAAAGAAATACTTCTGGTTAAGATGGTTTGGTAAAGTCATGCTCTGAGATATAAAATACATAGCAATGACTATAAGGAGAGATCTAGAAAGCTACAGCTGGGCTCAAATACAACTTAAACGTATGTGTGGTGCATAAATGGAACAGAGCTGCAAAATACACCATGGCCTGCCAGGAATATGGATCCGAAAGCAGCCTCGGGGAGCTAGAACTCTCACTCCTCCTGGATGAGGGGGACTAACAACACTTTATAGAAGATACAGGCTCATCGCTTAACACCAGGAACTGCAATCGTGTACTCACCTCCTGTCCCAATGACTAATTATTTGTTAGGATCAGGGCATAACGAATCAAGCAGATGGATTCAAGAACAGAAACAGAACCAAGGTATCTACCGGCTCTGTGAGTGGGTCTCTGTGACAGCCCCACTATCTCCCTGGGTCAAGAACCACTACTTCACTGGAAATGCTCATGGTACCACTATCTGTAAGAGCCCCAAACTAAATGGGCTCTGTCTCCATCAACAGTGAATAAGTAAGTAGATGGATAACTGCTAGACAAATAAATATTGTATAGTCACCCAATATGATACCTTATGGGATAAGATTGAAAGAACTATTGGCTACATGTAAAAACATGAGTAAAACTCACAACACAGAGTGAAAGAACCCAGACACAAAAGAGTACTTATTTGATAACTCCATTTATATATAACACAAAACAGGTAAAATTAAAATATGCATTCAGAAGTCAGAATAGTGATTACTCAAGGGAGGTGTTACTCACTGGAGGGAAGCACAAAGAGGGCTTCTGGAGTATTGGGAATATTCTGTTTCTTGATTTGGGTGTCAGGTTACATAAATTTTTCAGACTGCAAAAATATAGTGAACTAAACTGACAGTACACATATTCTTTCAGAGGTATAGTATACACTCCAATAAAAAATTTAACAAATATGTGAGTAAAGTTACAGACAAAAACTAAATAAGCAGGGGACAGTACATTGAATGTAGCTGAAGACAGAATCAGTGAATTGAAAGACAGTACTAGCAATTTAGTCAAAACATGGAACATAAAGGATAAAAGACATAAAGAGATAAAAAAGAGAAGATAAATTAAGAGACATGTAAAAAAGACAAAGAGACTCTAAGTCTACTAGGAGTTGCAGAACAAAATATTAGAGAAAACAGTATTTGGGAGAATTGTTCATAATTTTCCAAAATAGAAGGACAAGATGAGTCTTCAACTTTAAGATATGGCTGCATGTCCTGTGTAAATGAATAAAAATAAAAATTCAACTGTCAGAAGTTAGGGAAGGGGAAGAGAGAAGAAGGGAGGGGAAGAAAAGTGGAAGGAAGAGTAGAGGTACTGATAACCTTATTTTACATGTCACTAGGCAGAGAGCCTGTGGGAAGATGATAAAGAGAAATTAAGAGTTTTAAGTGTATGATTTAAAGTTACAAAGGTAACGAAGAGGATTCATAAAATAATAATAATAATAATAATACAAAAACTGGGAGAAGGAGTGAGGGAAAACAGGCAGCAATTTAAGTAAGCTAAATACTGACTGTTGCAAGGAGTCAATAAAAAATAACATTATGAGTCTAAAGTTCTGAGTGATGATTGCTTCTCAGCCTTAGCTAAGAGCAAGTGCAAAGTTTTGAGTGAAGAAAGCTGAAAGGATCACTCACTCGAGGATGTGGAAAGGGGGACAGAAAAGGTAGATGTGTTGTTGCTTTTCCTTATAGGCCTTTCTGTGCTATCTGACTTTTCCCATTGTCGTGTATTATGTTGTTTATGCATTTCACAGAAGAAAATAAAATGTTGGTCCTGTAAAGGTGAACTTGTACTTCCTAGTTAAATAACAGATGATACTGGTTCTTAGCCATAAAACAAAGGATACTGCTTGAAACTTCAGGGTTGAATCCACTGCTGCTGGCTCTAGGGTTTAAATATTGCCATCTCAGCTTTTATAATTTACTTCCATTGGGAACTGTTAAACTATTCTCCAGAATCTTTTTAAAGGAGAAACCAAGCACACTAGAAAAGTGGGGTCAAAAGTCCTGGGAGCTTTTAGCTTAAATCATCTTTAACTCCTCCCTTTCCTTCAAATTCCACATATCCCTTTGTCATTAAATCTTCTGTTCATTCTACCTCCTCAATATTTCTTCATGGTCCACCTCTGACATAACCCTAATTCATAATTTCTTGCCTGAATTACTTTAACATCCACTTATTTTGGTATCTTATTCACATTTTCCCCTTCCCCAGCTAGGTAAGATCTAGAAGAGCAACATTAGATAGCAAAAGGAAACCAAAGTTACGGATCTGTTCCTTCTCATTTATTAGTATAATTGGGAAAATTACTCACTTTCCTCAACTATAAAACGAGTATAATGAAAGCAGCTTTCTCACAGGCTGCTCGTGAGGCTTTCAGAATATATACATGGAAAACGTAAAACAATATATTATTATTGTTGTAGTTATTGCCTCACTTTGCATCCCAAATAGGGATAGAAGGTCATTATTAATACGTGTGTAGTTGATTTTATTTAGGCTATTATAAAATTATTTTGAGATTATTAGATGAATCTATATTGAAAAATTTAGAAAAAAAAAACCTTTTCTAAGACTTTTCTTTCTTTTTTTTTTTTTTGATTCAGAGTCTTGCTCTGTCGCCCAAGCTGAAGTGCAGTGGCGTGATCTTGGCTCACTCCAACCTCCGCCTCTGGGGTTCAAGTGATTCTCCTGCCTCAGCCTCCCAAGTAGCTGGGATTACAGGCATGTGCCACCACGCCTGGCTAATTTTGTATTTTTTAGTAGAGATGGGGTTTCACTATGTTGGCCAGGTTGGTCTCAAAATCCTGACCTCAAGTGATCTGCCCGCCTCAGCCTCCCAAAGTGCTGGGATTACAGGCGTGAGCCACCGTGCCTGGTCGCTAAGGCTTTTTTTTTTTTTTTTTTAGTAACTTTTAAATAGACATTTATTTATTTGTCAAATCACCTCTAAAAAGTTCCAAGAATGAAAAAGACAAGGACCCTCCCTCCCCAAGAACAGAGGCTGTCTTATTCCAGATGATACTGCTAACACGTAGAACCGTGTCTAACACTGAATTAGATGCTCCTAATTCAACAGAAAACATGTACACAGATATTTTAATCCATGGTAAGAAAAAAAAGACAAAGCAATAGGAGAGGTTCAAAGCAAACGCAGAGAAAGAAATGACTTCCTCCTATAGCATCATTTGTCATGGAAGAAGTAGCATCTTAACTGAGGGAGAAAAGGGGAGGGGGGAGAAAGGAAAAAGGCAAGAGGGGGAAGCGAAAGAGAGAGAAAGGAGAAACGTGAGGTCACATGGGCGTGGCGTACAACAGGAGAAGTCAGATTATGGGGAACCTTCAACGTCAGGCTTCGGAGTCTGCATTTTATCCTGAAAGGATAAGAAGCCTTTGGAAAATTTTAAGAGGAAATAACATGACCATACACGTGTTTTCAAAAGTATTAAGGGCAGGTGCAGTGGCTCATGTCTGTAATCCCAGCACTTTGGGAGGCCATGGTAGGAGAACTACTTGAGCTCAGGGGTTTGAGACCAGCCTGGGCAACGAAGTGAGGCTTCACTTCTAACAAAAAAAAATTAAGCTGGACATCATGGCATGCATCTGTGGTCTCAGCTACTTGGGAGGCTGAGGCAGGAGGATTCCTTGAGCCTGGGAGGTTGAGGTTACAGTGACCAGTGATTATGCCAATGCACTCCAGCCTGGGTGACAGAATGAGACACCATCTCCAAAGGAAAAACAAACAAACAAACACAAACAAACAACCAAGTATTAACCTGGAAGAAGCAGAAGAAAAGGACTGGCAAAGGGTAAAATTAGTTACAAATTAGCTAAGATGCTGTTGCAAAAACAAAGTGATAAAATAGAATAATTCCTGTGAAGAGAGAAGCAAAATGATGTGGAGATATGTCTCAAAGGTTGAAAAAGCTATGAGAGGCAAGGGAAAAAAAGTTGTTAGGAACAATTTAATTAGTTTCTGGCTTGAACAACTGAGTAAACGACATTTCTTGATGATGAAGATACTGAGGAGCATATTTGTAAAAAAAAAAAATGATGAGATGATTTTAGGTATGTTGAGGTCGTTTATGGAATGTTCAAGCTGTCAGGTGCAGTTGGCAGTTGATAGGGGCCCAAAGTTGGGAACAGAGATATGGGCTAGAGTAAACCACTTGTGTATTTATTTGTACTTGGACGTCATGAGCATATATTAATAGCGGCTGATGCCACTGAACAGATAACATTACTTTGGAAAAAATATAGGGGAAGAAAGTATAGAAGAAGAGAAGGGAGCTAAAAGTGGACTCATAGAGACCATCAGTTGTAAGGGAGAGAAAAAGGGGACTTCTAGGGAATGGCTAAAGACACAGGAGGAAAACCAAGGAAAGTACTGAAACAACCCAAGATCAACTGTCATGTGCAGACAACGTGAAGAAGTTCCCACAGAAAAATTTATTTGGGGGCTACATATTGTTTAATGTTATATAATCATGGGAATAAAAGACCTCTAAATCCTACTGTAGGTAACTCTAAAATACTTGTGTAAATATATGTATATTTTGCTAAAAGTACGTTAAAAAAACTTCATTGTTAGAACATAAAGATATAAGACAAGACTCTGGGGGATGGATCCACAAGACACATAAAAATCACTCATGACTTTAATAGAAATGTCTAGTATTTTTCTTTTCCAGAGTGGGCCTCAAATCATAAAGAGGTTATACATTTGAATTAATTTGGTAATTTGTAAATTAGGACATGAGATTTAGAATCAAAACAAGGCCAGTAATGTGGTAGATGAAATAATGTTAAATTGGGTTAATTTTTAATATTAGGTATAAAAAGAGTTAAATTTAAAATCCCCAGCATTTATGAACCAATGACTATTAACGAGGTAACATGTTAAGACATAATTTGTCACAAACTGAAATACCTCAGTTCTAGTAGGATGTACATCAGCTTATTATACATTATCCACAGATTTTTGGCATTATTAAAAAAAAAACCCACAAACTGTCTATAATTGAGCCTGGAGTAATGTGACTACGTCACACACTATTTCAGAGAAAAACACGCAGAAACAGGGAGTTCTACTTTCTGTTGGCAATCTATAACCTTTCCAAGAGGGAGAAATAATAAGTTTAAAATGACTGACAACATTACCCTGTGAACTATTCATAAACAGGGAAACTAAAAAATATCAACTTTTCAACCTAAAACATTTGCCCTTACAAGCAATTTCTTTCAAAAACTCAAGGGAGACTTTTTGTCTCTACGTCTAAAATATCACCTTTCAAACACAAAGAATTATAGTACCTAGTCTGTTCTAAATTCTTCTTGCATATAGTCTTTCTGGCTTTGATAAAGAATGCTGGACAAGGTATAGCTGGAAAATGGTACTATCAGGCAGGATCAAAACTTAGTTTGCATCCTTTTTTGACACAGATGAATTGCTTTTCTGCTTCAAAGGGTGAGCTTTGTCATGAATGCCTTCGGCACTGTAGATTCATGATTATCCCAGTCTGACTAGAAGTTATCACTTGATAAGCAAAATAGGAGAAATAATGGGACTTAATGCAGTTCATAATTAAATCTAATTTGAGAGGTCAAGGTCTTGGGCCAGATTCTGACTTACCTTTTTAAATTAGTGGTCTTTGAGTAAAATGTCTTGATTCTAACACCTTGTTCACTTTACCAGTCTGCAAATCAGTAAAACGGTGAGGATTTTTCTACCTTACTTTTGGAAAATAAAGATTCAAAGATAAACTGGTGAAAGTTCCTGGCATTCTTTCATAAAAAGAAATCAAAACTTATTTCCAGGATGACGACTAACTTAGGCTCATTTTCTCCAAAGGAACAAGAAGTTTTTGAATCATGAACATCAAAGTAGAAGATTGGCAGTTTCATACCACAATCATATCCCTGAAACCAGTAAGGTTTATCTGACTTCAGCAAATATCCAACTAAAGAGACTGTATACAATGGTAACAATTGATCAAATAAAGAAATGAGTCACAACCAAAGATGCAAACAGGTTTGGAGAAGCAAAAAGGAATGAATAGACAAACGGGTGCATATCTTATATTATAAAAGAGAAAAGAGAAACTATACTCATGAAAGAAATGAGTCAAAACTATAGTCCTTAGATTACTCTTTAGATGTCTACAAATTTTTGTTTATTCTATTTGTCTTTCAAGAAAGAGGAATAAATGGCATGGTCAATTCTAAGAATTACAATCTGAAATATCTAATTTGAAAAGTGAATGGAATCAAAGAAAGTTAAAATATATATAAAATTGTCTTTATTGAACTGTCTGGTCAAACTTCTGTCCTTCTAATATTAAATTTATAAAGTTTTATGAAACATGCCTCATTCATATGTTTACCAATAAAATCAGTTGTCGTGGCTCCTAAGGACTGTTTTCTTACAGCAGAGAAAATGCCAGTTAAACAGGATAAAGAATAAAGCCAAACTCAATGGATACTTGGCACAATTAACAATGTTATCCAAACCTCTGGACACAAACTCTTAGCATTTTTTCAACCTCGAAACTGGTTAAAAATAGTGCACTATGGGTTCCTTGAAATTTATCATCAAGCGAAACTAAGCAAGAAAGGCCCTGACAATTCAGCAATACAGACTCCCAGAACATTGATACGTTTTATTACAGCTTAAAGACAGAGGGAAACATGGGTGGGAATAATAGAATTTTTAAAACTTCTCAAAGTCCATGTTCTGCCTAAAACCGAAAAAGGGAAGCTGAAGAGCTTCTTGAAGACTAAAGCCAAGTCTTTACATAAGGAACGCTGAGTCATCAACAATAATTCATTTTTTTTCTACAAACAGTTGATTATTTTTAAAGTTCAGAGACTTTAAAAACTCACTAATATTCTATGTTTAACACACTTCCAGTAATTAACTTAAAACATTTTGTACATTAAGTTGCCTCCTGTGTGGGCTACAAAATATATGTGTATGAGGGGCGACTGCCCATGTGAGGTGGGGATGAATGGACTTGAAAATACTTCATTCACTTTCATGATACCTGAAGAAAAACAGGCAGTGGAGGCCTAAACTGAATTTGGAAAAGGAAAGATTCACCAACATTCATAACTGGAAACAAAATTGGAAGATTTACCTTAGGTATACTCATTATCTCCAATTAAGTTTGAGACCGCTAAGCAACATTCTAGGAATCAAATAAACAGGAGTAGCAAATAATTCTGGAAGGTCTAATCTGTCATACCATATGTATTGGATAATAATTTTAATGGAAAGAAGGAAGAGTTATTTTAAAAAATGAACTTTATATTCAAGCCTTGTTTCGGATGCTCCCTCTCTGACTGGATTACCCCAGTGACCGTCTCTGAGACTGAGGCCTCTGGCTTGTTACGTTGAGAGAAATAAAATATATATTTGTCTTTGGTGTCCATGAATGATAAGTTACACTTCTGACATGCATCCAGCAAAGTCTACCTGTTAACCTCCTCGAAATGAATTCTATGAAAAAGCAAAAATCTTGGCAGGCTCCAAAGTGAGACATGCCTTCTGTCTGGGTTCTTTTCCCTCCCAGTTGCTCCTAGGGTAGACTTTGGAGTTCATTATCACCTCATCAGTAGGTCTGTCAGCTGCCAATGACGAGAGAAGACTAAGTCACTCACTAATTCCTGGCCTTTTTGCCTTCTCCAGAGCAAAAGCAAATCCAGAATAGACGGATACGTTTTAAACCCACTATATTCACTTGCTCATTGTAATTTATCAGATCAATTAACTTAACTCAGAATAGGAAATGACTGACATTAGATATTCCTCTAAAGGGGCACTGTTCAAATACTGTTCAAGAACATCAAGATATGAATTAGCAGGGAGACAAGACCAATGACCAATCTTTGATGTACTGCTAATAACAGGGAGGTGGGAGGGCAGGGGGTGGTTCAAATAGGATGACAAGGGTTCACAGCTTAGAAGGTAAAATAGCAGAGGCGAAATTCCGGTAAAACGGGTGAAGATGTTGGGAAGCAGCAACAATCAGCCATACAGCTTTCAAGGTAAGGAGTAGTTTCATGTTGCACATTTAAAAGAAAAAATTGAAAAGACAAGAACAATCATTCCTTCTAAGCAAAATATTTTCCTAATGCCTTTTCTATTTTGGAGTGTGGTTTCAAGTCTTTAATGTGGTCACAGTTAATTTTCTGCAACAAATTTGCTATACTTTACCTACCCATACTCAGAGAAAAAAACTTAAAAGAACAATGAGAAAACGAACTCTAGGTGTAATATGTAAGTGAATGTATTCTAGTTACGATTTGTGATTTCCTTGTACAAACATAGCATTTGAGTCTCAATATTCACAAAACTCATGGAGTAATAAATCTCTGTGGCCTGTTTCAAATGGTGTGGCAGTGTAAGAATTATAGACAGTGACCATTTCTTTATTCTGAAATATAATTTATATAGATACCACATGTGTACAGAAGTGCCCTGAAAAACTGCAATATGTAAATGTAAGAAGTTATTTTCCATGTTAACTAATATCTTACATTGGCTGTCAGGAAAGCTAATATTCAAAGTGAAGGCACAACAAATCACATGTAATTTTATATAACACAATACTTTTGGTTGTAGCCTTTTTTTTTCCCCATTACCAGCAAGCACCATACTTCAACTCATCAAGTGCGTTGACATTAAAATTAGAATTATTCGGGCTTTAGACATTGCACACTTACGTCCAAAATTATTTGTCAAATGTTGAATAGTCACATAATTAATTCCCCACAAAATATACAGTCTATACCAATTTGAGCCCTCTTTTATAAGACATAAGATTACAACATAATTTTTCCCATCATAGTGAGGAAACAGCTTGGCAATAAGAAGAGAGATGAAACAGAAAGTAGGTTTCCTAATTCCTAGACCAGTTTTCTTTTGTATCATCCACTGTCAGGGCATACAAACTCATATTAATCTTTAATCAACAAAACTAAGGAAAATCAGGTGTGAAAAAGGAAGTCAGAGATAATTTGAGATAACTGAATTAATCCAGCAAAATCAAGGATATTTTGGCTGTTCTAAAATGGACAAATTAAGGTCGCCAGGCTGGAGAACCAAGTTAAAAGTTTAGAAAATATAAGCAAGCTCAGAATGGAAAAATGATGACTGAGACAAGTTATGTCAGATTTCAATCAGAATAAAGAGCTTAGAATTGGAAAATTTTATCAGGTGAGAAAAGGTCAATCTAAAAGAAACAGCTGAGAATTATGGAATTATCATTATTAAAGATGTTTAGACTAGAACTCAACATACCCCTCTCTGGCATGGGTTTGTGTAATAAATGTTTACTTCTTAGCAATTTCTGTAAGTGCTAGATTTTATCAGGATTGAAGACAAACTGATAGTTGTTGCTCATTTTTTCTCATAGAAAATTGTACAAATGAAAGTAAATTACTATGGATGCTGCTTGGTATAATGGAAAGAATCTAGCTGTAATCAAAGTGATGGATCCAGTCTCAGTTCTATCACTAAATTGGCCTTTTGACTATGCACAGATCACTTAGCCATTCTGAGTATCAGTTTTCCTAAGAGAATGGAAAGGAAGAAGGAAAACCAGCATGTAGTGAGAGCCTACTATCTACTGTACATTCTCAGTTAGTAATACTCATTTTATGTTTACAGCATTCTTATGAATTAGTTATTATTATGCTCATTTTAAGTGATAAAACTTGGTTCAAAAAGACAAATTTGCCTAAGTATATAATAAGTATATAATCCTGCGTGAGCACGAGGACACTTATTCAATCTACTATCACAAACTTAAAAGCAGATGACTACTTATCAAAGCATCAAAACACAGAGGATGCCTTGATTAGTGGGTATAAAACATATTACCACTGCCGAACGTGGTATGGAAAGATGGAAAGCTTTTCATCTCTATTTCCTTATTTTTAAAATGAAGTAGTAAAAACTCCTTCCTGTATTCTAAAGATGTAATGCATTGATCCCCGTTTGTTCTTATAATCATTCCTTTCAAGGAATATGCTATGAACTTGGGAGTAACTTTGTCTTTTGCTTAATTTTATTAGCACAAAAGGAGATAAATGCTTCTCACAGTGTAGATGTGTACTGTGAATTCAATAAACTTATAGAAGAGATGTAGGAAATGGTTACGAAAGCCAAACATTGGTTTTATATTGAACACTCAAGTATTATTTATAAAGGCTTCTAAAGCAACTGCATGCTTTCCCAGTATATCACCTAAAGCCATGAGTAAGATACTCTATTTGAAGTGCCCAAAGAGAACATTCATCAGGAAGAGAACAAGCTTTAGAGGTCTCGAGTTTCTAGGAGTGAAGCCATTTTGCCTTTAAATTATACTCAGAAGTAAAACATAATTCAAAACAGAAGCTGCATTTTCCATGCTGACAACTCTATGTATAATTGATTAAATAAAAGCATCATTGACAAGTAGGCTCCGCATTGTATGAATACAACAGGCAATTGCTACCTTTACAAGAAATATCTGTGCCACATATGGCACAATATAGAGCAAAATATACACACACACACACACACGTATCATATGCTGGCCACAGTGTCACATAATTTCACATACAATTTTGCATTTAATTCTCATAATACTATCAAACAGGCATTTACTAGCTTCATTTACATACATGTGGAAACTGAGGCTCAGAGTAAATTAAATGTTTATGTCCTGTTGTGACCTAAGTCACAGTGTACCCTTAATTTTAGTTCTAACTTGAAACCTCATTTTCCCCCGCACTCGCCATGTTACCATGTGTGCCTGCACATGGATATTCTTATACCCTTCCCCTTGTAAACAAATGGTAGCATACTGTTTTACATCTTCCTTTTCCATTTAACACTATCAACTAGAGGCTGGGAGTGGTGGCTCATGCCTGTAATCCCAGTACTTTGGGAAGCTGAGGCAGGCGGATCACGAGGTCAGGAGATCAAGACCATCCTGGCTAACACGGTGAAACCCCGTCTCTACTAAAAATACAAAAAATTAGCTGGGCGTGGTGGCGGGCGCCTGTAGTCCCAGCTACTCGGGAGGCTGAGGCAGGAGAATGACGTGAACCCGGGAGGCAGAGCTTGCAGTGAGCCCAGATCGTGCCACTGCACTCCAGCCTGGGCGACAGAGTGAGATTCCGTCTCAAAAAAACAACAAAAACCAAAAAAACACTATCAACTAGAATTACAAATACATACTCCCTTTGTTACATTTTGGAATTTATCCTGCAGATATACTTGCATACATGTGAAATGACTTTTGTAATAAGGTTATTCTTATACTTATGAAAATTCTGCATTACAAATTTGTTAAAATTCTGTAGCATTGAATGTAATGGCAAACTGTTAGAAGTAACTTAAATGTTCATTAATGGAGGACTAATTAAATATAATACTATGGAATACTACTCTGCTGGAAAGAAAAGGGTGAGTAATGGTGTAGAAAGATATCTCAAATATAAAAGTCAGCAAAAATGTAAAAGATGGATAGTATCCACTACACCTAACAATTAAGGAGATGCACACTTTCATACACATTTGGGTGAGAGCACATGTGGGGTAGAGCCTTTTATAAGAGTGCTTGAGCAACAGTTTTCAAAATAAAATACGCCATTATGTTTTGACCCAGCAACTCCATTATCTATCCTAGAAAAATATGCTTACATATGTGAAAAGATGCAAGTATAATGATTTTCTTTACAGTATTATCTGCAATATTACACAACTGGAAATAACCTAAACAATCTTCAACCAAGAAAGGATGAAATAAATAATGCAGTATCTATACACTGGAACACAAAGCACTTGTTAAACAGAATGCAACAGATCTTTATGCTGACTTTAAAAAATAACCATGAATATTCTTCCACTGAAATATAAATTGCAGAACAATATATCTAACATTGTATATATAAAATCAGAAAAAAGGTAAAAATAAGAAGCCGCCCCCCTGCATACAAACACACACACAAGTATTCTATATGCTATTCCATTTCTATCATAGCTTTAGGTACTTTGAAAAGTTATTACAGGTAAGGGAAAAAAATACAGAATTTAAATATGCCAAGCACATTTTTGTGATGGTCCAAAACAATTACCAAAATTCTGAGGCTTTCATTTTCTAATGATGAACTCAATTCATGAATTTGTTTCAATAATGATACCAAAATGTAACATATATGAGCCTAAATGGAAAGACAAAATCTGAAATACATCATTACAATAAAGTCTTGCTAATAAAATAATCCAAGTGATATTTTAGTACTAAAATTTATGGGACTGACCAGCTATGCATGGATAATGGTTGTTTATTTACTTGAAAGAAAATAATAAATATCTCATATCATACCTAACAGTATCCTGCATATACAGAGAGCTTAGTACATAAATAGGAAAAAGCAATGTAAGAAACAGAAATTGTGTAATATAGAAACTCAAACTGAATCATGTGATAACAGGCACATGCTTTGGGGGTGAGTGAATGAGAATTTTTCTATTTGGTATACGAAGGAAAGCAGAAAGCTAACAAACAGAGGTAAATACTATCCTTAAAGCGAATATAAAAAATATACTCACATATAATAAGGGATGAATTAAAATCAAATTTTATTCTTAAAGTTTCACTCTTAGCAGAACTGGATAGTATCACTGTTGACTTTTAAAGCAATAAAACTGACGCTGACTTGAGATGAAGGGATGAAAAATGAAGAAAGTATCACTATAGAACATAAAATAGCAGAAAGCAAGCATCAGTTCAGAAGTCAGGAACATGGAATAAATAGGACAAAGTTCTGTGCTTTGTGAACCTTCCCCCTTTATTGAGGAATGGCATTTTCTGACACATAATTACTCCCACAGAGGAAATGCTTTTCCATAACCTCTTCTTCAAAATTACAAAGAGCTGAGAATTACACAGTAAATTTCTGGCAGTTAACTTGGAGAGACTGTTGCTTGGAGCTGCTGCACCCAAACACTGAGCTTCTCAGCAAACGGCCTGCTGCAGCCCGTAAACTGATCTCTGTGGAGGCCTCACCGAGAGACCCACACGCTCTGCAGCTCAGTGCCAACAGCCTTTCAATGCTCCAAAGCTTCACTTGCAACTCTGCATAAATTGCCAGTTTCTCTTGGCTCCAGAGACAGCTTCACCTGCAGGGTTTCACTTTTCTGTCTGACACCTTAATGTTGATTTTCCTACGCACTACAAAAGAGCCCTCTCCAGTGCTTCTCACACAATTACACAATCACTCTATTGTAAGTCAGAAGAGGATTAATGATTGAGTTTTATTTGATTATAGTCTTGATTAATCCTGACTTTGTTTAATTTGTGACCTTTGCTGGAATCCCAAGGGCTGGGAATTAGAAAATGCACACTGTACCACTGTACTCCGAACAGTTTGAGCTTGCCAATTTATTTCATGCCTCATTAGCCACAAAAGCTATAAAATTTTAGTCCAAAAACAGTTCCACATTTTTTCAGAGTACGGGTACAAAATTTTGTATGAGCTTTTCATTTTGATTTAAATACAGTAAGCCAATAATTAAGTCTACCCTAGTTATACCCATAGGGTTCTAATTCCAACTGGCAGGTATCTCAGCAAAATACCAAACCCCAGGCAAGTCACATCATGATGCAGCTGCCCTGATTTCCCAAGGCTCAGATTTAGTTTTTGTGAAGGGCAGAAAAAATAAAATCTGCTTTTAAAAAATCCTCCCAAATTACAATATTCCTTGATAAACAAATCTTAAAATAGATATCACATCATGGAAATTTTAGTTCTAACTTGAAAGCTCATATATACTTATTTACTATTTGAGAATAGTATTTGTAAATTTTTAGTTATTTACTATTTCAGGATTAGGTCTTTTAAAACATTTTTATAAATAATTTACAATATACACATGCTACATAAAATATTTACCTTTTAGAGTTCCCAGAATCAGCAAATTATTTATGAGAAACTATAGAAGAAGCCCCTTTATGTGACACTCAAGTCTGCTAGGTGATTAACTAAAATATTTCTTAAAGAATAAAGAAAGTATATAGAGAGTGTTTTGCTGCTTTGAAGCTGCTTTGCTGGTTTTTCATTTAGACGAGATCCAAAGATCACCATATAATCTGATGACTTAGGTTCAGTATTGTCTTTTTCACATCCTTTTCAGCTCTGGTTGTGTGAAAGTGGGGCTAGTCAGTATGCAGACATTTGAAATACAATGCCAATTTCAAACTGTGAGGTTTCAAAAAGTCTCCCAATATTCAGTAACTGTTAACCTAATTCAACAGCAGCAATTTTTTTTTGGATTTACTTTTTTTAAAATTATACTTTAAGTTCTGGGATACACGTGCAGAACGTGCAGGTTTGTTACATAGGTATACATGTGCCATGGTGGTTTGCTGCACCCATCAACCCATCATCTACATTAGGTATTTCTCCTAATGCTATCCCTTTCCTAGCCCCTGATCCCCCGACAGGCCGTGTGTGATGTTCCCCTCCCTGTGTCCATGTGTTCTCACGGTTCAGCTCCCACTTATGAGTGAGAACATGCGGTGTTTGGTTTTCTGTTCCTGTGTTAGTTTGCTGAGAATGATGGTTTCCAGCTTCATCCATGTCCCTGCAAAGGACATGAACTCATCCTTTTTTATGGCTGCATAGTATTCCATGGTGTATATGTTACACATTTTCTTTTTTTTTTTTTTTCGTTTTTGAGACAGAGTTTCTCTCTTGTTGCCCAGGGTGGAGTGCAATGGCATGACCTCGGCTCACTGCAACCTCTGCCTCCTGGATTCAAGCGATTCTCCTGTCTCAGCCTCCTGAGTAGCTGGGATTACAGGTGCCTGCCACTACACCCAGCTAATTTTTGGTATTTTTAGTAGAGATGGGGTTTCACCATGTTGGCCAGGCTGGTCTTGAACTCCTGACCTCAGGTGATCCACCCGCCTCGGCCTCCCAAAGTGCTGGGATTACAGGCATGAGCCGCCATGCCTGGCCACGTGCCACATTTTCTTTATCCAGTCTATCATTGATGGGCATTTGGTTTGGTTCCAAGTCTTTGCTATTGTGAACAGTGCTGCAATAAACATACGTGTGCATGTGTCTTTATAGCAGCATGATTTATAATCCTTTGGGTATATATCCAGTAATGGGATTGCTGGGTCAAATGGTATTTCTGGTTCTAGATCCTTGAGGAATCGCCACAGTGTCTTCCACAATGGTTGAACTAATTTACACTCCCACCAACAGTATAAAAGCGTTCCTATTTTTCCAAATCCTCTCCCGCATTAACAACAGCAATTTTGAAATGACTTACCTGCATCCCTTTTCCAAAACATTTTGCTTTATTTCACAGAGATATTTTTTCATATGAGTATGTCATTGGTTTCTTATAATAATAAAAATATATAATTAAAATATCAAGAATAGCTGGAATAAATAACTTTTCAGCAATAATACAACTAAACAGGTTAACAGAGCCATGCCTGGTATATGTGACAGTAATCTAGTAGCTTTTTCAGCATGCTCTGAGCAAAAATTGGCATGGTTAACAGAGAAAAGAAAGTCTCAACCTGACAAGTAGTTATGAATTAAGTGGAAGGTGGTTTAAAAAGCTTCTCATATATTTAATAGTGTTCACTGCTCAGTTAGCCTAAAAGTGCCCATTAGCTATAAAAAGATGTTTACCAGCCGGGCGCGGTGGCTCAAGCCAGTAATCCCAGCACTTTGGGAGGCCGAGGCGGGTGGATCACGAGGTCAGGAGATCAAGACCATCTGCCTAACACGGTGAAACCCCATTTCTACTAAAAATACAAAAAATTAGTCGGGCGTGATGGCATGCACCTGTAGTCCCAGCTGCTGGGGGAGGCTGAGGCAGGGGAATGGCTCACTGGAGGTGGAGCTTGCAGTGAGCCAAGGCTGCACCACTGCACTCCAGCCTGGGCGACAGAGTGAGACTCCGTCTCAAAAAAAAAAAATGTTTACCATTTCATACTGTAAATTCACGTTTCTAGAAATGATATTATTGTTATCAGTTTTGTAAAGTGATGAAACACCCATGATTCACTTCACTGTCTTTCTATGAACTCAATTATACCATCGGTCCCACCTTGTCTCTTCTTTCCTCTCTCTCGCTCTCTCTCTCTCTGGCTTTCTCTCTCTCTAATGTGCCATTCAGAAATAAAACTAGTAAAAAAATAAGTCTGAGAATAAATTTGGGAAGAGGCACAACTTCATGTTTTAAAATCCTGTAGATCCGCCCACCTCGGCCTCCAAAAGTGCGGATCCCCTGAGGTCAGGAGTTCGAGACCAGCCTGGCCAACATGGTGAAACCCCGTCTCTACTAAAAATACAAAAATTAGCTAGGCGTTGTGGCGGGCACCTGTAATCCCAGATACTTGGGAGGCTGAGGCAGGAGAATAGCTTGAACCTGGGAGGTGGAGGTTGCAGTGAGCCAAGATCACACCACTGCACTCTAGCCTGGGTGACAGAGCAAGGCTTCATCTCAAAAAAACAAAACAAAACAAAACAAAAAAACTGTAGAAAACTTCTGAATATGGGCTGGGCGCAGTGGCTCACTTCTATAATCCCAGCACTTTGGAAGGCCGAGGTGGGTGGATCACCTGACGTCAGGAGTTCAAGATCAGCCTGGACAACATGGTGAAATCCCACCTGTACTAAAAATACAATTAGCCAAATGTGGTGGTGCACACCTGTAGTCCCAGCTACTTGGCAGGCTGAGGAAGGAAAATTGCTTGAACCCGGGAGGCAGAGGTTGCAGTGAGCAGAGAGAGTGAGACTCCATTCTCAATAAATAAATAAACAAATAAATAAAAAAGAAAGAAAATTTACTGACTAAAATCCAATGAAGACAGAAGCAGAAGTCTTTATGGCATTAGACCATTTGGCAAGTTTCATTTGGAAATACTTCATTGACATAGTTAGAAAACTACTTCTGAAAGTTGGGAGAAGAGTTAGGAAGACTGGTTGTAGTAAAGATAGAGCCCAGAGGTAAAATAGACAAGACCAAAATGGACAGACAGATTGAAACAAAAATTAAGATATGAACAAAGAAATAATTTTTATTTTTAAAAGATTGCCATTATCTTCCTAATATAAGGTAAAACGAAAACATATTAAATGTTCATGGCTTAGATTTTCTAAAAGAAAAAAGCTTTGACAGTAAATTACATATTTACTTCTTAGAAAGCTTCACACAAATTACTACAGTAAAGAAAAAAACTGGCTGGAGTTAAAAATACCTTATGTCAATTTACCAGGGTCAATCATTGTGTGCTTGTCAAAAATTCAGGTAGGAAAGTTCCTCAAAGTAGAATTGCAGGGTCAAAAGTTTTTGCGCATTTTTTAAAACCTTTGATAAATACACCTAGTTGCCCTCGTTTACTACTTCAGACTATCTTTACACTCAAATACTTGTTTCTTTATATTCTTATTGCCACTGGGTATTACATCTCTGCTACTATGTTACATTTTTAGAAAGGAACTTTTTATTTAAATTTAATCTTCTTTTGTCATAAGTGAGGCTTAATATTTTCTTATAATTTTATTAGTCATCTGCGTGTATAGTTTTGTGAATTGCTTGATTATATTCTTTGCCTACTTTTCTATTATGATCAATGTTCTCATTTCATGGATGGAGAAACAGAGGCCCAGATAGGGTAAGTATTTTTCTTAAGGCTTTATAGTAAATGAATCACCTCTATGGAGTTAAAAATTTAAGGAACCTTCTCATCTTTCTAATACAATAGGAAATACTGATGAAGTAGACAGGATGTGGGTTAGCATGTCAGCAACATAGACTCACCATACCCTCCAGCCCATTATCACTACCACACACTTTAATTTAATTTAATTTATTATTATTATGTTTTTAGACAGAGTCTCACTCTGTTGCCCAGGCTGAAGTGCAATGGTGTGATCTGGGCTCACAGCAAACTCCGCCTTCCAGGTTCAAGCAATTCTCCTGCCTCAGCCTCCCGAGTAGCTGGGATTATAGGCACCTACCACCATGCCCGGCTGATTTTTGTATTATAGTAGAGACAGGGTTTCACCATGTTGGCCAGGCTGGTCTCGAACTCCCGACCTCAGGGGATCCGCCCAGCTTGGCCTCCAAAGTGTTGGGATTACAGGCATGAGCCACCGTACCCGGGCAAAAAAAAAAATTTTAGAATATTTAATACTTCCAGAAAAATACTGAAACGTCATAGGATAAATCAAAATGTTTTCGGTCTTTACATGTATTTTTTTCAATTTTTTGTACAATTTGATTTACATATGGGAGGTGATTAGCCTCTTTTTGGTGGTTGGTTAGTGCCTCTAAAGGTCTTATTCTAGCCTTGTAAGTCTATCTAGGATAGATAGAATTAAAGCAATATATGGAGTTATAACACGTTTCTGAACAGGAAAGTTGAATCTCTGTTTAATATCCATCCACTCCATCAACATCCTTTACTAACGGAATCTGGATTTTGCACTGGATAGTCACTGCCCAACTAAAACGTGATATTCCAGCCTCCTTTGCAGCCTGTTGTGTATAGAGGGTGGGCACGCTACAAAGTTCTGGCCAGTAAGAAGAAGAAATCTAGTGGGTGGGTCTTTGATATGGTGATTGTTGTTTAACCAGTTGGCACGTCCCTTTTCCCCCTTGTCTTTCTTCATATTCTGGAATATGTAGGAAAGGCTTCTGTATGCCACCATTTTGCAAGCAGGAGGAAGAAGGCCATATACTAAGGATAGCGGAAAAGAAAGAGCCCAGAACCATTGGTATCATGGAGCCACTGTAGCAGCCCCAAATTGCCTATTAATAGAATAAACCCTTATTCTATTAATCTTTTCTTATGGTTTTATTGCAATAGGAGCATCTTTTGGATGTTCATTAAAAATGAACTAAGAGAACCCTAAGTGATACTGCTGTAACCTGCCAAAAGTAATGATGGAGAGTTAAGAAGACTGGCTGCCAGGAATAACATGATAAATGTTACAGTGAAAGTGGCTGCAGGAGAGACAGAAGGGGACTTTAAAAGTAGAACTTTTAAAAACAAGCTCAACTCATGAAAGAAATGACCAACTCATAAATATAGTGGATGACTCAAGCCTAAAAATACATGTAATTTAACAGAAACAATTATCTTGGAAGTGAGGTAAGAATCAACCAAAGTCAATATATTAAATGTCTATATGTAAAAAAAACTGCTTTGGCCGGGTGTGGTGGTTCACGCCTGTGATACCAGCACTTTGGGAGGGCAAACTGGGCAGATCACTTGAGGTCAGGAGTTTGAGACGAGCCTGACCCACATGGTGAAACCTCGTCTCTACTAAAAATACACAAATTAGTCAGGCATGGTGGCAGGCACCTATAATCCCAACTACTCGGGAAACTGAGGCATGAGAATCACTCAAACCCGGGAGGTGGTTGCAGTGAGCCGAGATCCCGCCACTGCATTCCAGCCTGGGTGACAGAGGAAAAAAAAAATTGCTTTACTTCTCTGAGAAACAAATAATACAATGTCAAGGAGTCAGAGGTGCCATCAGTGGGTTAGGAGGACACAAGCAAACAGACTGACTCTGGCAACTGATTTTCTTTGATACCTTTACTGCTTAAAGCTAGAGGTCAAGCTCAAGGTACTGAAGAGACAGCAGCATAAACTTCAAAAGAAAAAGTCAATATGGGGTATGTGATCATACCACTGATTACACAGAGATGTCAGGAACTCCACTTACTCCTGTAGCTGTTGATGAAAAAATAGAAATAGTAGCTACAAGCAGCAGAAAATGTGTTTCTAGGAGAAGAAATTATGCTGTCCAACCCCTGCACTGAGATGCAAAAGACAAAATCATGTTCTTGAGGAAAAATGGGGACATAGTTTTCAAATAATAAACTATATATTGGGTAGCATAAGAAATAATTAGTTTAATTTTACATAGTGGAAATTCAATCATATAAAGTCAATGGGAAAGTTTTTATACTGCTCAAATTTTATCAAATTTCCTATCATCCAGCTGGTGAAAAGACTTAGTTTTGGCCACGTATCTCCATAGAAAAAAAGACAAAGCATGGCTACTTCAAGTGAAATAGCCAGAAAAATAACTGATAACTCTATGAGTAAAGCAATTGCATCTTTTTGAGGAATCAATAGAATAGTGCTTGCACATTTTATGCCAACTGGATCGGTACCATTTCCAAGAATTTCTGGTCTAAAATAAGTTGGTAGTTGCCTGATACACGAGAAAAACTATTACCACTTCACATACATAGAAAAAAAAGACTGTTTCAGATGCTCACGGGAAAAAAAGGTCCCCATTAATAGGACAACTATGTATTTAGGTTAGAAGTGACAATAAAAATTAGGTTAATAAATTATTTTCCTATAAATAAGAAAGATCAAAGGCATATCTCTCTTGCTATCTTAGGCATATAAAATCCTTTTTACTAATCAACTAAGGCTGATCTCATACCTCTAATCAACTAAGGCTGATCTCATACCTCTAACACTACTGAAGTTTGACAAAAACAAACATTGATAAATTTAATGTTGTATCAACAGAACAGGGGAGAGAAGTCAGTGGTCAATTTTTCTTGCCAAGTAGTTTTGTCTGTTTTACGGCTCTTAGAAATTCTAGGATGCCTAAGCCAGTGCAATTAAGTGACACAGGCAGAATTCAAACCCTGGTGTATCTGTTTTTAAAGTTTGTGCCAGAAAGGATACCTAACTACTAAAAGTTACAAAACATGAACTTGATTATGGACCTCCTGTATCCTTATAAAATGTTTCCTTTGTTAAGGTGATATTCTCATTCTTCACATTTCTGTGCCTATGTTTCTTGTCTCCCTCCCTTGTGAGTTATATCATTGGCAGATTTTGAAGAAAGAGGTGAACACACTCAGTTCAGCCCCTTCTGCTCTCCCCTCTTCAGACCTGGCTGCTTATGCAGAAGGTCCATCCTGTTCTACTCTCTGCCACGCAGTAAGAAGCCTGCAGTTATGCAGCTGTGCTGGTGGCAGGAGTGATATACTAGTGAAGCTACTTGGCTGCAAATATAAAGTCATGTTCTCTAATCAGCTTTGTCAGTAATGACGATAGTATTTTCATCTCCCTTATTTTGACTCCCGTTTACTACTCAACTGGATCCAGATTCAAGAGGATAAATACGGAAAATCTTTGGCAAGGGATACACAATCTATCTGCCCAAGAGCAGAAATTCAGAAAAGCCTTTTGACTGTATGCAGTACCCTTTAGAGCACAGAACTACTGCATCTCCCTAATTTCCCAAATGTTTTAGCCTCTGATTATTCATTGAGATTCTAGTAATAAAGCAGTAATTACTGATCAAGAACTGTTTAAATGGCCAGGCGCGGTGTGGCTCCTGCCTGTAATTCCAGCACTTTGGGAGGCCAAGGCAGGCAGATCACCTGAGGTCAGGAGTTCGAGACGAGCCTGGCCAACATGGTAAAACACCATCTCTACTAAAAATACAAAAAAATTAGATGGGCCTGTTGGCGCGCACCTGTATTCCCAGCTACTTGGGAGGCTGAGGAAGAGGCAGAGGTTGCAGTGAGCCGAGATCGTCCCATTGCACTCCAGTCTGGGAGATTAGAGCAAAACTGTTCCTCAAAATAAAATAAAATAAAATAAAATAAAATAAAAAAGAACTGTTTAAAGTGTTTTACATGTATTAACTTCCTTAAAATCCCCTCAGCACTAACACGGTGAAACCCCTTCTCTATTAAAAATACAAAAAATTAGCCAGGCATGGTGGCGGGTGCCTGTAGTCCCAGCTACTCAGGAGTCTGAGGCAGGAGAATGGCGTGAACCCGGGAGGCAGAGCTTGCAGCGAGCCAAGATCGCACCATTGCATTCCAGCCTGGGCGACAGCACGAGACTCTGTCTCAAAACAAAACAAAACAAAACAAAACAAAACAAAAGAAAACAAATCCCCTCAGCACTAGGTACTATTACAAATTACCACTCTATAGACGAGGAAACTGAGTAACTGAGAGGTTACATAACTTGCTTACAGTCACACAGACAGGAAATGGTGAAGGCCATTTTAAAGTCGTCAGTCTCTCGAGTCTGTGACCTTAACTAGTTTCCGTCAGTTCAGTAGGTCTTAAGGAGACATTAAAAAAAAAAAAAAAAAAAGTCAGAGTGCACATAATGAGAATACTGTTTTGTTAAATACTTATTTCACTATGTGTGTGTCTGTTAGAGCAAGAGTGAGAGATAACGAAGAGACAAAAAGGGAGAGAGAAGGGGGAAGGTACAGAATACTTTTCTTATTGGGGTCAGAGTAAAAAAATAGGCCATGCTGTCTCTCCACAGGTGGGTGAAGAAATTCATAATCATTCTGATAACAACCTAGTATATGATTTACTCACTTCCCCTATAGTCTGACATACTAATAATTATTCCTAAACTAAGATGTCATCAATACTTATTATTAGATAATCTTACTATCTACAATACTACCACAGTTCCCAAATTGTGCACTGCAGCACCCCAGGGAACTCACAGGGGTACTGCAGAGCATTTTAAATTTTGAGAAACACAGTGCTGTCAGACAGTGTGCAAATTACTAGCTTGTGGTATTTCACAGTTCAATACGACATCATGCAAAATTATTGTTCATGATATTCCATCTCTTCGAAATTGAGTTTTTGATGGTTGCGGTGTATCTTAGTCTATTCAAGCCGCTGTAACAAAATATCATAAACTAGGTAGCTTATAAACAACAAAAAATTACTTCTCACAGTTCCAGAGGCTGGAAAGCCTAAAATCAAAGTGCTGTAAGATTCAGTATCTGGTGACAGTCCGCTTTCTGGTTCACAGATGGCATCTACTCACAGCTTTTCTCACACAGTGGAAGGGGCAAATGAGTTCTCTGGGGTCTCTCCTACAAGGACACGAATCCCATTCATAAGAACTCCACCTTCAAGACCTAATCACTCCCAAAGGCTCCACACCTCCTAATATGATCACCTTGGGGTCAGAATCTCAACACATGAATTTTGGGGGGACATAACCATTCAGACCGCAGCACTGTGACTAAAAGCACAGCACAGTTCTGCACAGAAATTAGCGTGGAACAAGAAATGAAGTTGGCAGTGGCCAATCTGATTCCAAGGTTTAAAAAACTGTGCCATGCCCAACAATCACACATTTGATGAGTAAGTAATAAGAAATTAAAATATTTTCTTTCAATTTATTATTACTAATATGTCTATTATTTTTTGACATGATTACAAACTGTTGGAACACAACAAACTGTTAGGAACTGTTAAGTATTTATTTTGGTCTAAAAGTCACGAAAAATTTAGTGATTGTGCTAGAACCAAGTAATGTTGGGAACCTCTGTCCTACTGCCAAGAAACTGACTTCCTTTAAGAAAGCTGTAAGATAATGTCTACCATCAAGTTTGAAGAATTTTCAAGTATTCTTTCAATTTATGCATGCAGAACAACATAAGCTGCTTTAGTTTTTTATTGAAATGTCCTAATTTTAATATAACTGAATAAAAGCATTTTTTTTTTCTTTATCTCAGGTCTTTATTTGCTGCTAATCTGTTGCAATACTCTGGGATTCATAGGAAATTTGCCTGTGAAGTAACTGCTACCATTCATGCAAATAATAATAATAATAATAATAACAATAGTAACAGCTAAAGAAGAAACAGAACCTCACCTATGAACACATGACTGTTTGGCAGCCCACTGATTCTCCTCTCGCCTCTATCCCTGTCAGAGGTTAGGACACTGCCCTGTCTTAAGAGCTACACTACTAGTTTTCAAATAATAAAATGATGTCTTATATGCACAATGACCATTCACACAAATGTGACCTTTGAGGTTTATCTCCTGATGTTTTGAACTGTTGTCAGTATTCAGATGGGATTTACAATGAATCAAAGCTACTGCTGGTCACACTACATTACATCTACAATGGAGTGCAATGAGATACCATAATATTTTCATTTGGTACTTTTTATTAGCCTACAGTTCAGTTCAGTTCTAGTCAATGAAATACACAGTACTTTTTAGGTTGAAAGCCTCTATTTATAATACTGCTTTAAGAAGCTTAGATGGAGGAGGAATACCACAGAGGACATTGATCCTCTGACCTAAAAAGCAAGTTAAAAATGCTCAATTTTAAATAAAAAAATCTTGGGTAGCAAAAAGGAATCATCAACTTACCTAAACAGTGATTGGTGACTAACTAAAGGGGCGCTCGGGCATTAGTTTAAAGCAAAAACCAAACACAGCTCTGGAACCGTCTTAGGTTTTAAAAGTGAAAACAAGAATATAATTTTTAGCAGGACGCAGAAAGGATGCACCCACAGCTAAAAGTAGTAGGACAAGCAGCTGCAACAGAAAAACTCCTTCAAACCAATGACATCCAAGTTAACTGCAGAAAAGTCACTTCACTCAATTTCAGTGTGCAACTTCTATTTAATCCCAACTACTAATAAACAACAAACACCTCACCTAACATGTTTACAGGGCCTGTGGACTCATTATTCATACAACACCACAAAGTGGGCAGCAGGGAGTTGAAAAGAAAGAAAATTCATGCCAAGTCAACCCAGGGTCAAATCACCAAGAACTTATTTTACGCAATACTCATTAAACTCAGTTATTCTTTTACTTATTGGTCCAAAATTAAATGACCTGATTAGCTATCTTCAGGAAAAAAACAAAGTTGATTTATCTTTCCCTTTAAGACAATCAATCCAAAGAAACTGACAACAGCTGAGCTTTAGTAAAACAGGTATCTTCTTAGCGATCAAAGAGATGAGACACAAATGAACACTGACGTGTCATAAACAGTCTCTAGGGCCTCACTTGCTCCGGAGCCCGTCAGCACTTCCCAGGATGCCAGCTGGGAAGAAGAGGGCATGTGCCCACAGTATCTCCATCTGAAACCTCCCAACTACAACCATGCCAAAGATCACCTATTGTTTGCCTGTGATATATCCATAAAAGTTTATATACATAAACTTTGCAATTATTTGGGTACTTTCTAACAGATGAAATTACAATAAAATGAGTAATTAACTCACTGAAACATGTATAGATGTCTGGTCAAAAAACTGTCTGGGCCTGTCTAAAAAAAACAAAAAACAAAAAACAAAAAAAACCCAACTTTCTGATTAGGCCTCTTCTACAATTGGAAATTACTGACAGCTTCACACTATATTATTTCATAAAATAGGATTTCATCCCTAGCAAGCAGAGCTGCAGCATCTACTTAATAACATAACAATTTCATTCATCTCCCGATGTCTTAAATTGAAGCACTGAGGGGTTTAGCTACATGAACTCTGCCAATAAAATAAAACTACAACAAAAAAATCAGACCTAGAAATAAAAAGAAATGTTTTCCAATACAGTTTTACATGGAGAGATGGAAATACACAAGCACAGTGTGTCTGTCTTATCTCCACAGGAAATTAGCAACTGAACGTGGTTTACTCCTCCAATTTTCTACTTCAGTATTAACGGGTGGAGCAATTGCCACATGGAACAAGCCCCTTTAATACCACCTGGTCTACTTCCCAGCAGTAAGTTCCACTCCCAGGCCTGTCATGGCTCATTTAAATAGTACAGTATGCTCCCTCTGTAAGTCTGCTCCTAGAGCTTAGAGAATTTAAGATATAATGAGATACGAAGGTGTTTATCATGAGGTAGAATGGAACTCTGAGCCAAAGCAACAGGAGCTGGATGTCATGAGCAGGCTGAGAACCGAAGGTTTTTTTTTCTTTAAAGTATACTGGAAAAATAAACTATTCCAGAAGACACCATAAAGTTTGGGTAAAGGCAGAAGTTTTAAGCAGAAGTAACTCTTACAGAAACTCAGGAAACAAAATAAGATTTCAGAAATAGAGATGAAGAGCAGGAAGTACATCTTTCATCATTGCCTTCTGCTGCCTTTCCACAGAAAACTGTTGTTTAAGAGAGCTGTAATTCATCCCATCCCATAAGCAATGGCAAAAACTTTGCAACAGATATATATCTAAAAAGCAACAATCAAATCCATCTGATGGATTTTGAAGACTTCAGGAAGAAAAAGAATGATTACAAAAATAACAGTTGACAAAAATTAGGAGAGAAGGAGAAAAAAATCCTAACAGACTGAAAATAAATTAGCTTAAATTGGAACTTGTACTTGTGATAAATATTGTGAAGGAACCCAACATGACCCTCCCCTCTTGCTCCAAACTCATAAAAATAGTGCATAAAAAGAAAATAATAATTAGGTATTGAGCTTTAGCCAAAGCAGGAGAAGTGCTAATAACAAAGAATTCAGTTATAGCTGATGAGTTTAAGTGGAAATAACTTACGGGGGTGGGGCGAGGGAGCGGTAGGTTAAAAACTGGGTTATAAGCCTTAGGGAGGAGATCCCAGGACTGGGGCTCAGGAGGAGATGGAACTAACCTTTCTGCATAAAGTTAAAGAAAGTCACAAAGGTTGACTATCCCTGTAAAAATAGAGACCTTTAGAAAAACTTTACTTACTAGCCCAATGAAGCAACAAAGACTCTTAGGCTATGGGTAGGAAAAGAATTACTCATTAGAAATCACTGATGCATGAGAGACACACAGAATCCCAAGCACAGAAATTAACATAAAAACTGGTCCAGAAAGAGTGAGTGTACTAAGTCCCCAGAGAGAGAACCTGGACGCTGCTCTGAAGGAACAGGACTCCCAAGGAAAGTAGCTCCACAGAAGCACAGCTACCAAAGATTAGAAAACAAGTCCTCGTTTAAGAGTTACAACAAACAGGCCGGGAGCAGTGGCTCACGCCTGTAATCCCAGCACTTTGGGAGGCCAAGGTGGGTGGATCCGGAGATCGAGACCATCCTGGCCAACACGGTGAAACCCGTCTCTACTAAAAATACAAAAAATTAGCCGGGCGTGGGGGCGGGCGCCTGTAGTCCCAGCTACTCGGGAGGCTGAGGTAGGAGAATGGCGTCAACCCGGGAGGCGGAGCTTGCAGTGAGCCGAGATCACGCCACTGTACTCCAGCCCGGGCAGCAGAGCGAGACTCCGTCTCAAAAAAAAAAAAAAAAAAAAAAAAAAAAGAGTTACAACAAACAGAAGACTTCACATTGTAAAAACTCGAAATAATAGAACTGTGTTAAAGGGCCTTTAAATAAGCATAACAGAGGTTCTCCTAACAGAATGCCAATTATCAGACTCTCCAGATCAACCAATATTCTTTCTCCCTTCCAATAAATTGGCTGACACCCAGGCATATTGAAAGATAGCAACTCAGAGACAACCGAAGACTCTTTTGGCTGCTTAACCAGTTGTGCTTCCAACTGTTTTTCATGTATCTTGCCTTCGCAGAGTGCCTTAAAGACTATCTCTAAACCTCAGAGGTAGGTGCTGATTAGATTAGGCCAAGAACGATAATCCCACTTTCCCTCCTCAATGACTTGGCACGGGACTCTGTCTAGCCTAACAGATGTGAGTAAAAGTCTACTGTTGGGGGAGGCTGGATATCAGGACTTCTGAGAAACATTTTCATATATCTAAGGAAGAGACCTAGGAACACTCAAAAGGATGGCATCACTTGACACCAGCCTGAGGACAAAAATCAACAGTTCAATGCCAGTACATCTGGTCAGTGGATAGTTTTAAAATCTTGACTGTAGTGGTATTTACACCTCCTGTGTTTTCCTTTTATAGACTATGTTTTTTCACCACAATACAATAATACTGTGAACTCCACAACAAATACCTCTCTCCCAACTCCCAATTTTATGAAATGAAACCACCACACCCTAAATAGGTTAAAAAGAAACACTCAGGAATCCAGAGACTTCATCATACATGAGAAAAAAAAATCTAGATATATATCAAACCTTGGATATAGCTAATGGAATTCTTTTTTTTTTTTTTTCTGAGATGGAGTTTTGCTCTTGTTGCCCAGGCTGGAGTGCAATGGCGTGATCTTGGCTCACCATAACCTCTGCCCCCGGGTTCCAGCAATTCTCCTGCCTCAGCCTCTTGAGTAGCTGGGATTACAGGCATGCGCCACCACACCCAGCTAATTTTGTATTTTTAGTAGAGACAAGGTTTCTCCATGTTGGTCAGGCTGGTCTCAAACTCCCGACCTCAGGTGATGCCCCGCCTTGGCCTCCCAAAGTGCTGGGATTACAGACGTGAGCCACCACGCCTGGCCGATAGAATTATTTTTATTTATTTATTTTTTTTTTTGAGATGGACTCTTGCTCTGTCATGCAGGCTGGAGTGCAGTGGCGAGATCTCAGCTCACTGCACGCTCCGCCTCCTGGGTTCATGCCATTCTCCTGCCTCAGTCTCCCCAGCAGCTGGGACTACAGGTGCACGCCGCCACACCCAGCTAATTTTTTTTTGTATTTTTAGTAGAGACGGGGTTTCACCATGTTAGCCAGGATGGTCTCGATCTCCTGACCTTGTGATCCGCCTGCCTCGGCCTCCCAAAGTGCTGGGATTACAGGCGTGAGCCACGGCGCCCGGCCGGTAAAGCAGCATCAAGATTGAGAGGATTGACTCCAATTTTGAAAGAAGTTCTACTGTGGGTAAAATGCTTATCAAACAGCATCCCATGCTTCAGAAAAATCTTTTGTGAAAGGAAGAGTCCATTGATGTGGCAACTTTATTACTGTCTTATTTTAAGAAATTGCTACAGCTACCCGAACCTTCAGCAACCACCACTCTGCTCAGTCAGCAGCCATCAAGATAGAGGCAGGACCCTCCACCAGCAAAAAGATCATGACTCCCTGAAGGCTCAAGATGATCAGGAGAATTTTTTTTAAATAAAGCATTTTTAAAGTATGCACATTTTTTAAGACACAACGCTACTGCACATTTAACAGACTATAGCATAGTGTACATATAACTTTTTCTTTTCGAGACAAGATCTCACTTTATCACCCAGGCTGGAGTGCAGTGATGCGATTACAGCTCACTGCAGCCTTGACTTTCTGGGCTCAAGCAATCCTCCTGCCTCAGCCTCCCGAGTAGCTGGGACCACTGGTGTGTGCCACCATGCCCCGCTATTTATTTTCTTTTTTTGTAGCGACAGGTTCTATGTTGCCCAGGCTGGTCCTGAACTCCTGGGCTCAAGCAATCCACCTTCCATGGCCCCAAAGTGCTGGGATTACAGGCGTGACCCATTCCACCCTGCTTACATATAACTTTTATAAGCACTGGGAAACCAATAAATTTGCGTGACTCGCCTTATTACAATATGCACTTTATTTCAGTAGTCTGGAACAAAACTTGCAGTATCCCCAAACTATGCCTAAAATGCCCTAAACAACCATGTTTATGAATACATACGTTTTAGAATTTTCTTTTGAATTTTATGCTTTTTCCCTCCTTCTTTTCTTGCATTACTAGGATCTCCAATATAGTATTGAATAGGGGGATATAGACATTGTTATCTCTTTTGCAATCTCAGGGTTCAGCTTACATCATTAGGTATGATGTCAGCTGTAAATTTTTCATGATGCTCTTTACTAAGCTGAATTACCTTCTATCTCTAGTCAGCTAAGATATTTTATCATAAATGGGTGTTGCCTTTTATTAAAAGCCTTTCTGAATGTTCTCAGGTGACTAAATGATTTTTTTCTGTATTTTGTTCAGGTAGTGAGTTTAATTAATTCATTTTTGAATACTGAACAAACCTTACATTCTAGAAATAAGGCCAACCTGGTTGTGATATATTAGCTTTCTTATTTATATTGAATTCAAATTGCTAAGGTTTTGTTAGGGACTTTTATGTCAATGTTCATGAGTGACACTGATGTGTAATTTATTCTTTTGCAATGTCTTTGTCAAGTTTAGGCAGGAGGGTCACAATTCTAAGCTGACTTGGTAAGTATTTCTATAATACCTTCTTTATTTTGTGAATGAGTTTCTCTAAGACTGGTATTACATCTTGCTTAAACATTTGGTAGAATTCAACAGTAAAGCCATTGGGGCCTGGAGTTTTCTTTGTAGGAATGTTTTTGATTATAAATTCTATTTCTTTTTCTTTCTTTTTCTTAATTTTTAAGTTCAGGGGCACATGTGAAGGTTTGTTAAATAGGTAAACTTGTGTCACGAAGTCTTGTTGTACAGACTATTTCATCGCTCAGGTATTAGGTCTAGTACTCATTAGTCATTTTTCCTGATCCTCTCCCTTCTCCCACCCTCCACTCTCCACCCTCCAATAGACCTCAGAGTCTGTTGTTCCCCTCTATGGGTCCATGTGTTGCCATCATTTAGCTCCCCTTGTAAGAACATGTGGTATTTGGTTTTCTGTTCCTGCGTTAGTTTGCTAAGGATAATGACCTCTAGCTCCATCCATGTTCCTATAAAAGACATGATCCTGTTCGTTTTTATGGCTGCACAATATTCCATGGTGTATGGGCACTACATTTTCTTTATCCAGTCCACCACTGATGAGCATTTAGGTTGATTCCATGTCTTTGTTATTGAGAACAGTGCTGCAATGAACATATGTGTACATGTGTCTTGTTTTATTTCAAATAGCTTTTGGGGTTTAAGTGTTTTTTTGTTACAAGACTGAGTTATACAGTGGTGAATTCTAAGATTTTAGTGCACCCATCAACTGAGTACTATATACACGTGGTACCTAATATATAGATTTTTATCCATATCTTCCCTCCCCCACCCCCTCGGAGTCTCTAAAGTCGATTATATCACTCTGTATGCCTTTACATACTCATAGCTTAGCTCCCACTTATAAGTGAGAACATAAGGCTTTTGGTTTTTAACTCCTGTGTTACTTCACTTAGAATAATGGCCTCCAGCTCCATCCAAGTTGCTGCAAAAAACATTATTTCGTTACTTTTAACGGCTGAGTAATATTTCATGATGTATATATGATAGAACAATTGATATTCCTTTGGGTACATACCTAGTGATGGGATTGCTGGATCAAACTGTATTTGTTTTTAGGTCTTTGAGGAATCGCCACATCATCTTCCACAATGGTTGAACTAATTTATACTCCCACCGACAGTGTGTAAGAGTTCCTTTTTCTCTGCAACCTCACCAGCATCTGTTATTTGACTTTGTAATAACAGCCATTCCAACTAGCATGAGATGGTATCTCATTGTGGTTTTGATTTGCATTTTATCTAATAATCAGTGACTTTGAGCTTTTATTCATATGCTCATTAGCCACATGTATGTCTTCTTTTGAGAAGTGTCTGTTCACGCCCTTTGCCCATTTTTTAATGGGGTTGTTTTTTTCTTGTAAATTTGTTTAAATTCCCTACAGATGCTGGATATTAAACCTTTGTCACACAATTTGGAAAAATTATCTCCCATTCTGTAGGGTGTCTGTTTACTCTCTTGGTAGTTTCTTTTGCTGTCCAGAATCTCTATAGTTTAATTAGATCCCATTTGTCATTGTTTGTTTTTGTTGCAACAGCTTTTGGCGTCTTTGTCATGAAATCCTTGCCCGCGCCCATGGTATTGCCTAGGTTGTCTTCCAGGGTTTTTATAGTTTTGGGTTTTACATTTAAGTCTTTAATCCATTTTGAGTTGATTTTTGTATATGGTGTAAGGAAAGAGTCCAGTTTTAATCTTCTGCATATGGCTAGGCAGTTATCCCAGGACCATTTATTGAATAAGGAATCCTTTCCCCCATTGCTTGTTTTTGTCAGGTTGGTGGAAGAGCAGATAGTTGTAGGTGTACAGCCTTATTTCTGGGTTCTCTATTCTGTTCCTTTGCTCTGTGTGTCTGCTTTACTACCACTACCATGCTGTTTTGGTTACTGTAGTCCTGTAGTATAGTTTGAAGTTGGGTAGCATAATGCCTCCAGCTTTGTTCTTTTTGCTTAGGATTTCCTTGGCTATTTGGGCTCTTTTTTGGTTCCATATGACAAATTCAATTTCTTTAATAGATAAAGGCCTGCTCACTTTTCTATTCCTTCTTGAGCCAGTTTTAATAAATTGTATTTTTCAAAGACTTTGTCTATTAAATTTATTGGTATAAGTTTGCTCAAAATATTGTCTTATCTTTTTACGTGTCTTTAGAAACTGGAGTGATAACCCCTCTCTCGTTCCAGGTATTGGCAATTCATGTGCCTTCCTGTTTCCCTTGATCCATTTGGTAGGGACCTATCAATTTTTTTTTAATTCTTTAAAGAACCCGGTTATGAATTTTGTGAATTTTCTGTTGATTCTCTGTCTTCTATGTGTTTGATTTCTGTTATCTTTAATATTTCCGTTATCCTACTTACTGTGGTTTACTCTGCTTCTTTTTCTGGTACCTTAGTGTAGAAACTAAGATCAATGAATTTCAACTTTTCTTCTTTTCTAATACAGGTATATAAGGGTAAAAATTTCATTCTAACCACTTTTTCAACTGTGAAACACAAAACTTCACATTTGAATTTTCATTCAGTTCAAAACGAGTCCTAACATTCCTTCTTCTCTAAGCCATGGTATTTAGAATTATGTTATCTAATTTCCAAACATTTTCTAAGTATCTTATTAACTTCTAACTGAATTCTACTGTGGTTAGAGAACAACTTTAGCATATCTCAGTCTTCTGAAATTTACTGAGACTTACTTTTAAGGCCCAGCATATGGTCTGTATCTGTGAAACTTCCATATGCACTTAAAAAACATATATTTTCTTCAGTTGTTAGATGTAGTATTCTATAAATGTTAAATAAGTCAAGTTAATAGTCTTTAGATCTTCTATATTTCTGATTGCTTTTGTTTGTTTAGTAATTCTATCAGTTTCTAAGGAATAGAGGTCAAAATCCCCAGTAATGACTGGTGACCACAGATTTGTTTTACCTTTAGTTCTGTCGGTCTGTCCTTCATGAATTTTGAAGCTCTATTAGATATATATTTATTAGGATTATTATGTCATTTGGATGTGTTGTCCCCTTTATCTTTATTATATGGTCTTTTCTTATCTCTGGGAATACTCTTTGTCTGATATTAATATAGCTATGCCAGGTTTCTTAGGATTACTATTTCCAAGAAGTACCTTTTTCCGTTAATTCCAGCCAGTGTTTATGATAGTACAGGTCTTATGTACAGCATACAGTTGAGCCTTGCTTTTTTTTTTCTAATCTAGTATCTCTGTCCTTTACTTGGTGTGTTTACTATATTTCATTTTGCCATAAATATTGATATGGTTGAATTTATGTCATTCATTTGTTGTTTCTGTTCTTTATTTGTTGTTCCTTTTCTGCCTTTATTGGTTGGATAAATGAAACAATTTTTAGCATTGCATTTTATTTCCTCTGTTAGCTCTTCAGGTGCTTTTTCTTTGTTTGTTTGTTTTTTTTTTTTTTGTGACAGAGTCTCGTTCTGTCGTCCAGGCTGGAGTGCAGTGGCGCCATCTTGGCTCACTGCAACCTCTGCCTCCCAGGTTCAAGCAATTCTCCTGCCTCAGAATCCCGAGTAGCTGGGATAACAGACACCCGCCACCACACCCGGCTAGTTTTTGTATTTTTAGTAGAGATGGGGGTTTCACCACGTTGGCCAAGCTGGTCTCAAACTCCTGACCTCAAGTGATCCGTGCGCCTTGGGCTCCCAAAGTGCTGGGATTACAGGCCTGAGCCATGGTGCCTGGCCGCTCTTCAGGGTTTTTAAAATTTTTGTTGTTATTATTTTGGTAGTTGCTCTACAGCTAACAACATGCACCTTATCAAAGTCTATTTAGATTAGAAATTGTACTACTTCACATCGAACACTTCGTAATCTATCTTTCTTTCTCTCTTTCCTTTCTTCTTTTTTTTGTTAGAGACCAGGTTTTACTCTGTCAACCATGCTAGTGTGCAGTGGCACAAACAGAACTCAGTGTAAACTCAAAATCCTGGGCTCAAGTGATCCTCCAGTCTCAGCTTCCCAAAGCACTGGGATCACAGGCATGAGTCACCATGCCCAGCCAACAGTTCATATTTTCTACTTCACGAACGTAAGAACCTTACAATTCTACCTCCTAATATTTTGGGATACTGTTGTCCCATCTTTCACTTTTACACATATTATAAATGCCAACTCATCATGTTATTTTTGCTTTAAATGGTTAGTTGTCTTTTAAGGGAATTCTGAGAAGAAAAAATACATTTTCTATATGTATCAACTGATTTACCATGTCTGTGTTTTTTTTTTTTTTTTTGGCAGGGGGACAGAGTCTCACTCTATCACCCAGGCTGGAGTGCAGTGGTGTGATCTTGGCTTACTACAGCCTCCGTGTCCTGGGCCCAGGAATCCTCAGTCTCAGCCTCCCAAGTAATTGGAACAAGAGTATGAGCCACCATCCTCAGCTAATTTTTTTTTTTTTTTTTTTTTTGTAGAAACAGGGTTTCGTCATGTTGTCTAGGCTGGTCTCAGACTCCTGGACTCAAGTGATCCTCCCACCTTGGCCTCTCAAAGCGTTGAGATTACAGGCATGAGCCACAGTGCCCGGCCCATGTCTGGTGTTCTTCATTCCTTCCTGTAGATTCATGCTCCCATCTGGATTCATTTCCCTTCAGCTTGAAGAACACTCATTAGCATTTCTTCTAGAGTGCTTTCTAGAGATGAATTCTTTTCATATTTGTTTATATGAAATTGTCTTTATTTAATCCTAGTTTTTAAAGGATCTTTTTCTTTGCTTACAGAATTTTAGGCTAATTTTTTTTTTTTTTTTTAGTACCCTGAAAGAAGTTCCATTGTCTTCAGGTCCTCACTGTTTCTGATAAGGACTCAGCTATCATAGTTTCCCTTTATGCACTGTGCCTTTTTTCTTAGGCTGCTTTTATTTTTCTCTGCATATTTTGTTTCCAGCAACTGGACTATGGTATTTCTAGTTGTGATTTTTTTATTTTTTGTATTTATCCTGCTTGGTTTCACTTAGTTTCTGGGATTTGTAAATCAAAGATTCATGGTTTCAAATTAAATTATAGAAATATGTTGGCCATTTTTAAAAACTGTCTTTCATCTGCTTCATTCTCACTCTTTTATCCTTCTAGTGTTCCACATGTATGTTAACCCATTTGAAATTGTCCTACATGTCACTGAGGCTCTGTTCATTCGGTAAAAATCCTTTCACTCCCTGTTCTACAGATTGAATAATTTCAATTGATCTATTTTGAAGTTCACTGACTCTTTCTTTTGACAGCTCTAATTTTCCATTAAGACTATCCAATAGGCTGGGCACGGTGGCTGACGCCTGTAATCCCAGCACTTTGGGAGGCCAACCTGAGGTTGGGAGTTTGAGACCAGCCTGACCAACATGGAAAAACCTCGCCTCTACTAAAAATACAAAATTAGCTGGCTGTGATGGCGCATGCCTGTAATCCCAGCTACTCGGGAGGCTGAGGCAGGAGGATCGCCTGAACCCAGGAGGCGGAGGTTGCAGTGAGCCGAGATGGCGCCACTGCACTCCAGCCTGGGGGACAAGAGCGACACTCCATCTCAAAAAAAAAAAAAAAAAAAAAAAAAAAAAGACTATCCAATAAATGTTTCATTTCTATTTCAATTATCAAATTTCCATTTTCATTTTATGATTATTACTTTTTTGAGATAGGGTCTCATTTTGTTGCCCAGGCCGGAGTATGCTGGCACAATCAAAGTTCACTGCAGCCTCAATCTCCCAGGCTCAAGCAATCCTCTCACCTCACCCTCCCAAGTAGTTGGGACTATAGGTGTGCACCACCACACCTGGCTGGTATTTAAAAACATTTTTGTAGAGACAGGTTCTCACTATGTCAAATTTCCATTTTAAAATACTTTTCCTTTCTCTGTTGAGATTTCCTATCTATTCCATCATCAACATGACATTTTTCTTTAATTCTTTAATGTATAAGGGTGAATTTAGTTGTTTTTTTTTTTTTTTTCTGTTAAACCAAATAGGACTCCTCAGAGGTGATTTCTACTGCATGCTCTTTTCTGCTCTATAGATCATATGTTCCTGATTCTTTGCATGTCTGGTAATTAAAAGTTCAACATGGGATATATTGCAAATATGGTTCTGTTAATTTCTTCTGAGGAGCAGTGATTTTTATTCTAGTACATATAAGTCAGTTAATAGTTGACTCCTTGAACTTGTATAGGTTTGGATTTAACCTTTGGTATGCTGATCTGCTGAAAGCTCAGGATATTTCCCAGGCTTCTCTATCTCGGTGAGACTCATTGTCCAAATTTGGTCTACCCTGTAAGAATTAATTGGGGCCTTCTTTTACTAGTCTTAGCCTGGGTCTAGAGTAGGCCTTATATTAGAGCATGGTCCTTGTTCCTCAAACCTATCTTTTGTGTTATCTCAGCTAGATAACTGAAGTTAACAAGGATTTCTCCATGTTGACTGGGTTGGAACTCCAGATTCCCCACGGCTCTATCTCTAATATTACAATTCCACTCTCATTCTGTAGCATCTAATCTCTGGTAAGCCTTGGGCAGTCTCATTCAGTGAACACGTAGCCTAGTCCTCAGCCAGGAATCATGATACCTGGCTTCCAACTTCTCCTCAGTATACTGTGCTTGTATATGAATTACTTCCCTGATTTACACAGGACATTTACAACTACAGAATCAGGGGACCTCAGGAGGTCATCTGGCCAAAGTCCACAATTTTTAAATCGATGGGGGACCTTTCGAATCTGAGTGAGAAAACTGCAGACCTGAAAAGCTAAGTGATTTCTCCAGGTACGAACACAAAAGCACAAATTGGATTTTCAGTTGTAAATGTCATGCTTTGCAAGCACATTCAGCTTTACCAACTTCAACGTGCTTTTTTAAAATCTCATTTGATCCGTACAACAACTTCATGAGGTGGGTCTAAGTCTTACTATGCCTGCTTCACGGGTAAGCAAACTGGCCCAAAATGTAAGCAAATCCTTTGCTACACAGACCATCTTCTAATCCTCTTTCATTCAGTAACTTCTGGAAGAAAAGCTTATGATTAAATGGATAGATTACTATCTTTGACATCCATAGCTTGAGGGGAGTTTTACCTATTTGGAGAGTGAGTAGCTACCTATAAGGTACACTCTGGAGAACAATGAAAAAGATGGTCCTGAAAGGAAAATTAAAAAACAAAAAACATCAAAAATCCAAACAAAACCAAAAAAACCTGCCATACTGGTAAATTATATATCAGATTTTCTTCAACTGGGTATTGCAATTAGGTTAACGCATCAGGTTACCTACCTACAATAATTAACCTTTTAAATGATTCATTTATATTTAACAAAAGGGATGAGGGTTGATCCTATACCTCCAACAGAGAAAAAAAGAAAAGATAAGGAAAAAGTAGGACAATAATCTCACTTCCTTCCTTTTGTGAGGAGTAGATGACAGACAGTCTTAATTTCATCCCTACACAGGTAAGCACATTTTTACACGTGAACCATATATTGATAGAGAGAGAGAAAGAATTTTGAAAGCTGAAAACAAGAGGGACTTTCGGAGCCTTTATCTGAAAAGTTTAGTTCTTTATTTGTTACTTAGACCTTATTCCAGCCACTTGAGGCTTTTTACATAAGAAAATGATTAAAAAGCATGGATTTTTTTTTAAACATGGTTTCTTCTATTTGGAAGTTATGTCTGATCTTAAAAAGCTAAAATGTGGAATAAGTTTAAAATTTAAAGAAGGAGAAAGGCAAAGAACATTTAGGGTTATTTGTAATTTATTCCAATTCATGTCACAAGAAAGTAAAGAAATGTCTATAGGGTGGGCCGTATAAAAGCACTGAATATCAGGGCAGAAAAAAGGGAAGCAGAATGAGAGAGTTAAGCAAAACTGAGGAGGAGTCCCAAGGGATAGTTGATTGTAGATATAAACTTTGCTTCATAATTTTAACTAGTCCCAGACCCACCAATGCTATTTGTTTATAGCTATACTGTACAACATATTGTTTTCTTTTTCAAGTGTAAAATAATTTTATATTATGTGGGTTTCCTACATAACATTCAACCTCAGTATTCTAGCCCATTGTGAAAAATGCTTCCAAGTCCACTAAAAGTCCTTTATCATATGTCTACAGACTTAAAAAAAATGGCTTTTGGTGGAAGTATAAATAAATATGGCTTTGTGAAGAGTAAACATGCTCTTATGTAACTCAGAATGCATTTTCATTTTTATTTTCCCCCCTAAATTGTTACTAGGATATAATTTGGTTAACTATTTACAATTTTGTGGTTAATTTGGAACACCATGTCATAAATCCCTAATGAGATTTTTTTAGAATGTGAACAACCCCACAATTTTTTTTTTTTTTTTGAGACAGAGTTTCACTCTTGTTGCCCAGGCGGGAGTGCAATGGCACGATCTCGGCTCACTGCAACCTCCGCCTCCTGGGTTCAAGTGATTCTCCTGCCTCGGCCTCCTGAGTAGCTGGGATTACAGGCGCACGCCACCACGCCTGGCTAATTGTTGTTGTTGTTGTTGTTGTTGTTTGAGATGGAGTTTTGCTCTGTCGCCCAGGCTGGAGTGCAGTGGCACGATCTCAGCTCACTGCAAGCTCCGCCTCCTGGGTTGATGCTATTCTCCCGCCTCAGCCTCCCGAGTAGCTGGGACTACAGGCGCCCGCCACCACGCCTGGCTAATGTTTTGTATTTTTAGTAGAGACGGGGTTCACCGTGTTAGCCAGGATGGTCTCAATCTTCTGACCTCGTGATCTGCCCGCCTCAGCCTCCCAAAGTGCTGGGATTATAGGCATGAGCCACCGTGCCCAGCCATGCCTGGTTAATTTTTTTTTTTTTTTTTGAGATGGAGTCTTGCTCTGTCACCCAGGCTGGAGTGCAATGGTGCAATCTCAGCTCACTGCAACCTCCGCCTTCCAGGTTCAAGTGATTCTCCTGCCTCAGCCTCCAGAGTAGCTGGGATTACAGTGTGCGCCACCACACCCAGCTAATTTTTGTACTTTTAGTAGAGACGAGGGTTCACCATGTTGGCCAGGATGGTCTCAAACTCCTGACCTTGTGATCCACCAGCCTCGGCCTCCCAAAGTGCTGGGATTACAGGCGTGAGCCACCACGTCCAGCCAATTTTTTATATTTTCAGTAGAGACGGGGTTTCACCATGTTGGCCAGGCTGGTCTAGAACTCCTGACCTCAGGTGATCCACCCGCCTCGGCCTCCCAAAGTGTTGGGATTACAGGTGTGAACCACCGTGCCCGGCCTGTTAACAGCTCTCTTAATCACAATTGTACTCTACTTTTCTCTCCTAACAGTCAATAATTTTTTAAATGTCAGAATTTAGTACTGGACTCTTCTTAGGTACATATGAAAATTTATTCTCTGTTTGTGGGAGACCTTTTTTTGGCCAGAAAGCATCTCATGAGTATATAATTTAACACAGAGATATTTGGATTTCTCTGCCAGCTTTACTTGTTTCCAGAGAAGACCAGTCTTCTAAACATGTCTGTCTAGTCAGTTCAGGAGATTCTAATATTTTTCCTTTTTCACCTGTGTTGACATCATCTTTTAAATCATATTTATTTATTTTTTAAGCTCCCAATGAGTATAGTGATTTAACTTCTACTCGTTGGTTTCATTCTTTGAATGACTTACAACTAACTGCCTGCATATAGGAGGCTACCTATTGAATAGCTCTAAACTCTCAATGAAACCAAAGAGCTCTGCCACCCCTTCCCTGAACAAACCAGTTGTCAGGGCAGTCAAATTCACAGCTTAATAAAAATTTTATTAAAAATAAAAAATGGACTTGTAAAATTTATTCTGAATGCTAATGTAGGGTGGGCCTGCAGGAGGAGTTTGAATGCAGGGCAGTGTCGAATGAACTAGTTCATCTAGAATTCTTAACAGTGAACCTCATGACCTCAACTGATACTTAAAATTTATTACAGTTATTACAGTTGTTATTTTATTATTTTTCCCCTGCTCCCTTTTATCCTTTCTTTCTTAAGGGAAAAACGCTAACATAAAAGTGGAATAAAAAAGTAATGGTTAACAAAACCACAGCATAAGGAAGAGAAGACCCATTGTGGGATCTGCCAATTAAAACGTTCCTCCTCTCCAGGGCTGGCTATAACCAACGCAAATGTTTCCAATGCACCACTGGCAGGCTACCAAGTGAACCGTTTTACGTCTCCCCAAACTTACGGTCACCATTTATCTGTAACAGACGCTCAAAAATTACATTAATATATGCTAGGAATGGAAAATAGCTATTAAATCATTTCTCTTGGCTTGATGAAGTCAGGATTATTCCAGAAAACAAAGCTATTCTAGTGCTTTGCTGAAGAATTTTCTATGCAAATGGGCCAACTACCTTTTCCTGAGGGAAGACTCTGTCTTATTCTAGCTCCAGAGTCACACATACGCATGTTTCAGTCTCCCTGCACACTTCATTCCCCTCATATTTCTGCCTCTCAAGTTCTCTAGGTAGACTAAATCTTTTCACTTGTTCAATGATCAATAATTGAATAATTTAAACCTTTAAAATATGGTGGGTCCTGCAGTGACTACAGAGTGAAGAATCTAGTGTCATTGCCAACAGTCACAGGGAGGACTTTCCTTTCTCTACTTAAACCTGCAAGCTTTTTTCTGATGATGCTACTCGGAACTCTAACCTCTCTTAATTCTCCCCCTATGCCAATCCACTTCCGGCTTCACTTACACATTACTTCCAAGACATATCACTCATAATGCTTTTCTAAAAGGACAGAATCTCGTAGCCTTGCACTATAGCCCAAGAACGTGAAAGCACAGAGGACACCTCAACATTCTTGGGTTGCAGTCACAATATCACAATCATCATGTCCCATGAGAATTCATGCTAAGGTATTATGGCAAGATTCTGTACAGCTCTATTATTCAGGTATTCAAAGTTTACTGATAGTTCAAAGTAGCAGAAAAGTAAACTGATGTCAGTTTAAAGCACTAGTTGGAGTGAAAAAATTTTATTTTAGGCCAAAGACAGACTGTGCATTTATGCAGAGAAGAAGTGAGCAAGGGTCACGTGAGAAAGAACTGACAGTGAAAGGCTGCTGAGGCGGGGACTTGAAATCTGTGACAGAAAGAAGAATCTGGCCTTATGAAGGAGAAAAAAACCTATTCTCTGAGACAGAAAAGAAGACAACAAAAATAAAGATAACTGCTCACAGAACGAGGGTAACTGAGGGTAACTGAGGGATCCCAGGATAGACCTGGTTTCAGTAAAATAGCAGTAGGGTCTTTAGGTAAGGGGAAGGATTAGGAATGGTAAATGAGAGGGTACAACTGGATTTTCAAAAGACACATGTTTGTTTTAAACAGAAGGTCACTGAGAAGTAAAAGAAACATCTACTATGTATTAGCAGATGTATACATGCTTCACAACAGATTATGGTCTCAGCAACCTACAAAATGTGGGGGAAGCAGGAAAATGTGTATAGCAAAGCTCTGCTAAAAGTGACAATTTTCTAAAAATTGGCTTCCAGTGTGGCAAAATGGTAACTACTGAATCTTGGAGACAGGTATATGGGGGTTCATTCTCTCTACCTGTGTGTACCTTTGGAAATGTTTACAATAAAAAATGTGTTTAAAAATTGCCTAGTCTTCATACAACCTCAGAACCAACAGCCCTCTTCCCCAGTAAGCTCGCCATTTTGCCTGAACTTTCCAGAAGATTTTAGGAATTTCAGAGAGGTAATTACACACAGATATGTATAAGCCAGAGGATTTAAAAATCATTAAAGAGGAACCAAAAATATTTCTATTTGATCAGGATTTGTTCCACCTTTGACCAAATTTATTCTAGAGAGTGAGAAATACAAGTTAGCACTAAAATTAAGTAAGTGTATTGGGGTAAAACACAGAGCCAGAAGATGAATGCAGGGAGAAAAAGTATTTCCACTAAGCATATGCTTGAAGAATAAGACTACAAACACTTACTTCATCTCCAGAACTTCCTCTAAGTGTTTCCTTCTCTCTGCCCGAAGATTAGTCAAGTGAGTTTCCTTTTCTGCCAGAGACTGCTGGGTGGAGGACAGCTTTGCTTTCATGGATTCTAGTTCCTGCTTTACCTTCTCCATGGCCATCAGTAACTCCTCCACCTATCATAAATATGGGAAAGAGAACAACAGAGTGTCTTGATCAATCAGAGTCAGAGGACCTGGGTAACACGCAACTCCTGGGTCCAGAAAATTGAAGAGACGCAGGAACACATTGAAAATTCTGTACTCTTTCTGGATCAGTTATGTGTGTGTATATATCAAGAATCAATATAGCAGATAATAACATCCCTACAGTATAATTCTTTTCAGCTTAGGTCAGAAAGAACTTAATACATGCAAGGGCATACAAGTTATCAGTTTAAGAAGTCGCACGCTGCCACAGACAATACCTTTTAAGGAAGTTCTTTGGAAATGACCCAGAAATTTCCATGGAAATAATACAATACAAATATAAAAAAATATACAGAACGATTTTAGGAAATAAAAGACATAAACTTGGCAAATAACAGATTTCCTGTATACATAGACGAATAATTTTTAGTCCTCTAAACTAAAATTTTCCTATTTACATCATTAAGAAGAATTTCTTTTTAAAGAAACTGCTAGAATTCAATCAGACAATTTCTTGCTCTAAATCCAGGTAGGTAGGGTTTCTTTTTTAAGGAAGGCAGGAAGGAAATATAACCCTATATACCTATATAACTATACAGGCATATATATACCTATATACTACATAGGCAGTGTATATATATATATTATATATATACTATATATTATATAGGCAGGAAGGAAATATATCCCTATATACCTATATAGTTATGTGTGTGTGTGTGTGTGTGTGTGTGTGTGTGTGTGTGTGTGTGTGTACATACCAGATAGAAAGGAGACAGAATGCTTTAAAAATGACATGGGGAAAAAAAAAAAGCCTTGACAGCAACAGACCTGAAAAACAACAAACAAAAAGCCACCAGAGAAGACAGACAAAATGCTAAAACATAAGGAAAAGAAACTAAGAGAGCAAGGTAAGTACTTTATCAGTAATTTCCACTTATTCCAGGTGGCTACCAAATCAGAATTATTTAAATAAACTTGTTCATTTTAATTCAGAAGCAAATGTAATCAAACAGCCAACTGCATCAATTACAAGACTTTATGTTAGGTTGTTAATTGCCAAGAAATAATCTTGGTAATAACCAGTCTTTTCAGAAGTAGAAGGTAGGGCAGGTAGAGGTGGGGCATTTGCCATTCATTGACTCCTACATAAACCCCATTTGTGTGATACTAAAACAGAGAAACCTAGAGTCAAAAATCAGCATGACAAATCAAAGTTGTTTCACTGACCCTTGGAAATTAGTGCTTCCTACCTAAACAAAGTTTCCACGTTGATTGGTAACAGCTGTTAAACAATGATAGTAAGCAAATGCATTTAGTTTTTTTGGCACCTGAATTTTTTTATCCTTCCAGAAGTGAGCAAGTTAAATGTCTTCAGCTAACAGCATCCTCACAGTCCCAGTTGCCATAAGAATATATTGTTACGGCCGGGCGCTGTGGCTCGTGCCTGTAATCTCAGCACTTTGGGAGGCCAAGGCCGGTGGATCACCTGAGGTCAGGAGTTCGAGACTAGCCTGGCCAACATGGCAAAACCCTGTCTCTACTAAACAAACAAACAAACAAAAAAGAGAATATATTGCTATGTAATATACTGGGATATGTATTTGCATATCTGCAAGCTTTACATGAACATATACCATTGATTCCATTTTATCAGTTTAATTCATGTAAAATTTTATCTAAAACTGGGTACAAATAATACACCAAGCTATGTTTTTATAACATAAAATCAGTAATGGATAAGAACCATAATCTATACTGATCTACAGGTTCAACATAATCTCTATGAAAATCTGAGCTGTTGTCTTTTTCAAGATGTTTTTGGCTATTCTGGCTCCTTTTTATTTCCATGTGAATTTGAGAATCAGCTTGTCAATTTCTGCAAAAAAACTCAGAGCCAACCATGCTCACCCTCCATGTATGTGAACGAGAAATAAATGCTTGGTATTGTCTGTACCTTAGTCAGAATTCTCCAGAGAAACAGAGTGTATATGTGTAAATAAAGACTTATTATAAGAAACTGGCTCATGAATCACAAGATCTATAGGGTGAACTGGCAAGCTGGAGACCCAGGAAAGCCAGTGGCATAGTTCCAACCCAAATCCAAAGGCTTGAAAAGCCAGGAGAGCCAATGGTATAGCTCCAGTCTGAAGGCGAGCAGGCTCCAGACCCAGGAAGAGCCAGGGTTTCAGTCTGAGTCTGAATGAATGCAAGGAAAAGCTAATGTCCCAGTTCGAAGGCAGTCAGGCAGAGGGAATTCTCTCTCACTTGGGAAAGATCAGAGTTTTGTTCTACTCAGGCCTTTAACTGACTGGATAAGGCCCACCCACATCAGGGAGGGCAATCCACTATACTCAATTTTGCTGACTTAAATGTTAGTCTCATCCCCAAATACCCTCACAGAAACACCCAGAATACTGTCGGAGCAAGTATCCGGGCACCCCGTAGCCAGTCAAGTCAACATATAAAGTTAACCATCACAATATGCTACTGATATTTTGTGGTTGTTCGTTATACAATATCTGATTGATAAACTTTGTAAGAGTTTTAAAGTATTGCTTTTCATGTTTAGTCCTTAATCCATCTGGAATTCATTTTTGTATATGGTATGAGGCAGGGGTCTGATTTCATTTTTCCCCATATGGATAGCCAATGTGCAGTACCATTTATTTAAAAATCTATTCTATCTTAACCTTTGATATATATCAAGTATACTCACAAGCATGGATATTTCTGCACTTTCTATTATGATCCACTCTTTTGCCTAGTCCTGTACCAATACTACATTCATTATCTTAATTATTATCACTTTATAAGGCTTGATATCTAATAAGTCTCAGCTTGTTCTCTTCAAGAGCATCTTAGCTATTCTTGAACTTCTGCAAAAATATTTAGATTTTATCATATGCCAGGTACTGTTCTAGAACACGTAATGAACTAGATATATTTTTAGAACTTTAATATCTTTCATAAAGTTTAATAATTTTTCTCATTAAAATGTTAAACATCCTAATAATATTTATTCCTAGGTACTTTATATGCTTAATTTTCTAGTAAACAGTATCGTTTTTACAAAAAATGTAAATTTTCTGTTCAGTGCAGATTACGGAAATTGAATCTGTATCTAGCAGTCTTCTTAAATGCTCTTACTGACAGATTTTGAAGTTTACTATATAGACAAATATGGTAGTTTTCTTTCTTTTCTTGTAATTCTTATAATATTCACTTCTTTCACTTGCCATGCTGCATAATCTAGAATGACTACTACAACGCTGTACAGACATGGTGATAGCATGCATTCTATTTTATTCCTATCTTTAAAAAGAATCCTTTATAAGTTTTATCTACAAGTAGTGTAATTTTTAATAGATACCCTTTATTAAGTTAAGGAAATTCCCTTGTATTGCTAGGTAGTTAAGAATTTTTGAAAATTATAAATGAATGTTAAATTTTCTGCATTTCTTGAGATGAACACTTAACTTTTCTTCTATCATCTTTTACTGTGATGGATTATAGTAATTAGTTTTCTTTTTTTTTTTTTTTTTTGAGATGGAGTCTTGCCCTGTTGCCCAGGCTGGAGTGCAGTGGAGTGATCTCAGCTCACTGCAACCTCCATCTCCCCAGTTCAAGCAATTCTCCTGCCTCAGCTTCCCAAGTAGCTGAGATTACAGGTATGCACCACCACGTCTGGTTAATTTTTGTGTTTTTAGTAGAGACGGGGTTTTGCCACGTTGGCCAGGCTGGTCTTGAACTCCTGACTTCAAGTGATCCACCTGCCTTGGCCTCCCAAAGTGCTGGGACTCCATCTCTACAAAAAATTAACCACGCCTAGCCAGGATTACAGTAGTTTTCTACTGTTAAGCCAACCTTGAACTCTTGGAATAAAACTTGCTCATGCACATTTTTCTTTTTTGTGTACACTAATTTTGGATTGGTCTGATTATGTTTAGGAATTTTTCTACATGTTCAGGATTGAGACAGGCCTAAGCTTTTCTTTTCCTGTATTAACTTGTAAAGTTTTGATATAAAGTTATGTGAACCTTATTAAATATGTTGTTGAGTGATTGTTCCCTCTCTTTTATATTTCCAAATTGTGTCTGTAAGATTGAAATTATTTGCTCCTTGTATATTTGCCAAAAGTTACCAATATAAATCTCTGGGCTTGAAATTTGTAGGAAAAATTTTTATTACTGCCTCATTTTTCTCAGGTTTTCTTTTTCATATTTAGCTGGCTTTGCTAAGTTCAATTTTTCCTGGCATTTGGTCATTTAGTCTAAATTTTCAAATGTGCTGGCAAAGATATCTTTATATCTTTCTAGCACCTACAAGACTAGTAGTTGTGAACCCTCTATCATTCTAAAATAAATATTGTTCATTGTGCCATTTTTCTTTTTTCTTTTAGTCTCACCAAAGACCAGCTGACTTTCTTGGTGTTTTCAAAGAATGAATTTTGGGCTTTGTGGATTTGTTTTATAAAAGAGTGACAGGGATTTGGTTTCCCACTTGACTATCTTGGGCTGCCTTGATCTTTTCTTTTATCCTATGAAGATATAAAACCCAATGTTCAATAATTATCAAGTACTTATTTTTGAATTCCCTACCTGTTCATCCCCTGACCTGAGAATTTCTTACCTTTTTGCCAAGATATAAATGCAATTTTATTGACTATCTTCAATTGTTTCTGTGAAAGTTACTTCCCCAGCATCAAGTCTGTCATGTTTAAGGACACATTTTACCCTTCATTCAAAACTCTTACTTCCAAAGCAAACAAAAAAAAATTCGATTAAAATATGAGCAAAAGATCTCTATAGACATTTCTCAAAAGAAGACATAAAAATAAAGCCAAAAGTTATATGAAAAATGTTTGACATCACTAATCATCAAAGAAACGCAAACCAAAACCACAGTGAAGCTGGGAGTGGTGGCTCATGCCTGTAATTCCAGGAGGCCAAGGCAGGAGGAAGGGGTTTGAGGCCAGCCTAGGCCACAGAGTGAGACTTCATCTCTACAAAAAATTAGCCAGGCACGATAGTGCACACCTGTAGTCTCGGCCATTCTGGAGGGTTGCTTGAGCCCAGGAGTTTGCAGCTGCAGTGAGCTATGATCACACCACTGCGCTCCAGCCTGGGTAACAGAACAAGACACTGTCTCTCCCTCAAACCACTCCTAAAAAAACCCCACAATGAGATACTATCTCATCCCAGTTAAAATGGCTATTACCAAGAAAGCAGAAAATAACAAATGCTGGCAAGGATGCAGAGAAGGGAGAGCACTCATACACTGTTAGTGAGAATGTAAATTAGTACAGCAACTATGGAAAATAGTATGGTGTTTCCTTAAACAACTAAAAATAGAACTCTCTCATGATCCAGCAATCCCACTACTAGGTATATATCCAAAAGAAAGGAAATCAGTATATCAAATAGATATTTGCACTCCCATGTTTACTGTGGCACTGTTCACAATAGCCAAAATACGGAATCAACCTAAGTGTCCATCAGTGGATGAATGGATAAAATGTGGTATGTATACACACACACACACACACACACACACACACACACACACACACACGAATACTATTCAGCCATAAAAAGAATGAAATCCTGTCATTTGCAGCAACATGAATGGAACTGGAGAACATTATGTTAAGTGAAACAAGCCAGGCACGGAAAGACAGATGTTGCTTGTTCTCACTCACACGTGGGAGCTAGAAGAAATTTGATTTCATGGAGATAGTGAACAGAATGGTGGTTACCAGAGGCTGGGAAGGGTAGGAGGGAGAGGGGGATGAAGGGAGGTTGGTTAATGGGTACAAAAATACAGTTAGATAGAAGGAGTAAGTTGTAGTGTTCAATAGCACAGTAGGGAGACTATAGTTAAATCATTTATTGTGAATTTCAAAATAGCTAGAAGATTTGGAATGTTGCAACACAAGGAAATAATAGATGTTAGAAGTGATGGATACCCCAGTTACCCAGATTTGATCATTACACATTGTACACATATATCAAAATATCACATGTACCCCATAAATACGTACAACTATTACATATTGTTAAAAAATTTAAAAATCTCTACCTTTCAGATTTTTATCTGTTAGTAAAATCATTTTCTTAAAGATTGCTTAATTTTCCCATCCATTTGAGTGTGAGACCCTCAAAGTATTTCTGCCTCAGATTATACATATATCCAAGTAAGTTCTAAAGCATTTTAGTATTCAAGGCAAGAATGGTACCATACATTCCTGGTATTTCCAATCAATCATCTGATTTGCTCTCTGGCTCTAAGCCAGGGAAACAGTTTCAAAGTCAAATTTAATTACTTCATTTTCTGCTATGTTTCCACAATCCAGGAGAACACTTCCAGCTAGAATCACTTGGTTCCATTTCATGCCTACCACTGAGCAGTTGTACAGTATTGGGTACAGCCAGAGAAACGAGGGTAAAGACCGATGAGTAGAAGAAAAGAAGAGATAAATCCTATACTAAACAATGAAGAATTTATCCACACTTTAAAAATATACTCCAGGTCACAGCACAATTTTCAAAAGCAGACGTTTTAAAACACAGAAAAGCTCAGGCCAGAGCTGGGACTCAAATATGTAACTGCCTTCAGTAACATAATAAGCAGAAAGCACGGGGCCTGACAGTGTGCAGTGCCAGCAGGACCAGATGGTTTGCTTAAATCACAAGCTAATAAACTTTTGCTCAGAATAAGAAGGGAACAAATTATGACTTTACCACAGACCTATTTTCCTTAAGAAAGCAGCACAACAGGGGGCTTCAGAGGCTGGCAAAGCCCGCTTCTTCAAGTTTCCCACCTTCTTCTGTTCCACAACCAGGAGAAAAACACTTTTTGTAGTTTCCAAGATGCGTATGGAAAATCTTGTTATACTCTCTTGGGAGAGTAAAAGGCGTAAGTCTCCACAAGAAGAAAACAATTAGAAGAAAAAGGGAGTGGTACAAAAAGATTATCCAGAGGTTCAGCAGTCACCATGCAAGCCAGATTGTCACTTGAGAAGTCCACTGGTTTCCCTGACTAGAACAAAGTTCCAGATTAAAACCTACTGTTTTATAATTATGAAGAAAAAAAGGTAACAAGCTCTTGAGTGGAGGAGCATTTTTGAAGTATTAGTGAAAACATATATACACATATACCTACATACATAAATTCTATCATCCTTTCCTAGGAAATTCCTTTAGAGGATCTCACAACTATTGCTAATGAAAATTTGAATTTACATTTCCCAAGAGAGCTTTAGGCTATCATTTACACTAGAAATCTCTTTTTTCCAATACGTTCTTTTTGCCAACTCATGGTAATTCTTTGACAAGATATATACCGGCAGTACAGTATTTTATAACTATGGAATAACTATAGTTATTGCAATAATAATTACTTACATTATTTGTCTACTTTGAAGTACACTGTTCTAAGTGCTTTAGATGTATTGTCTCATTAAAGCCTCAAAATGATCCTATATGGTGGGTATAAAGTATTATTATCCTCATTTTTATGGCAAAAGAAACAGGGTTAGTGGGTTTAAGTGCCTTGTCCGAGGTCATACAGAGAAAGCAAAGCTAGGATTCCAAGCTGAGTAGTCCGACTCCATCCTGCTGTACACACTGAGCGCTGCTTTGCTACCATGTATCAGTGTTTACCAAAATCACCCACAATGGTATCTCATGAGTCACTCTGGGGAGTGTTCCCATTCCCACTCTTTTTAAAAGAGAGTGGAAACGTATCAGTGTGAAAGAAATGCTTCTTTTTCAAGCCATCTCAATTTTCCTTTTATTTAAAAAAAAAATCAACTCAGAAGGCTTAGGAAGATAAATCCCGTAATAAGCACTCATCACTCCTAAGTAGGGTTTGAAAAATAAGACACAATAAAATGTGGATGCACATTTTCAAAGCAAACATCCCCCTGCTGCTATGACCCTCAGTATCTTGCGTCACTGATGTTAGAAAGAGGCTAAGACGGGCCAGTGTTTCATCACTGCCAATTCTATTTAGGTGACTTTGACAGCACAGCATCAAAACTAAAAAATAAATACCTGAATTAATGCCCTGAAAACAAACTATCTTTTCAGCAGAATATTATTTCATTTTTTCTATTTTTAAGTCAGCCTACATCATGCTTTGACAGCAAAATATTATTTATCTCCCAAGATTTGCTTATTTCAGCAACAGATTGTAATGGAATCAATTAACACAAAAAATTAATGATCTACTGGGTACACATAAGCTCCTGGAAGAAGGGAGGACAGAAATAATCTAAGTAATAGATTGCATTTTCTTCCTCCAGCAGTAGTAACAAAGAAGATGTGGCAACCACCATTTTATGCTTTCTTCTGCATCTGGGTCTGAGAGCTCTTAATATTTCATTAGGGTTTGTGACAAATGTCTAATTTAGGAAATGAAATATGAATAGAGGTGGAATGACAAAGACCATCCCTAGAACTCTGAGCTCTGATAATTTCTCTTCTGAAAAGGCATTTTTTTTTTGCTTTGCTAGGGAGTTAACACAATAGAATAAAGCAAGTGTTGAATGGCTATATAATTTGTCCAGGTTTTGGAAAGAAATTTCCTTCTTAGTTTAAATAATCTGATCATCTCAAATGGAGAAAATATTTATTGCATTTTATTCGGAAAACAGCAAACAAAACAGACCATGTAGGGATTCAGCCCTTCTTCTAAGATCAAATGAAATAATGTGAGTAAAACAGACTCAAACACTTTCCTTAAGTTTTTAACAAAAATAAAAGTTCACTGCCATTTTAACTGGAAATTTTAATTCTTCTCATTTGCAATGGTGAAAAAAACCAAACTGCCACCTAGAAATAAATAAAGTTGACATTTCATTAATTAGACACACATTTTGTGGAGAAAATTTATTTCAACACAACCCTGGACAGTTGTTAGAAACACAATGTTGGCAAATAAAATGACACTTACTTGACCTTATCAAAAGTATACTATTAGCCAAGGGAGAAAAGTAAAAGGATGGGATTTTATGTCTGGTAACCCTAGGACACCAAGAGGGAAACTCATAAACATCACGTAAGTGCGTGTATAATATGTGTATGTATGTGCATATATGATACGTGTATGTTTGCGCATGTCTGGTGTGTGTGTGTGATTTTGGCCATAATAAGGCTCAACACTTGTATGCTGCCTTTGTAAGCGACTAAAACCCTTGCAAATACTTATCTCAATGTGAGGTGGTGAGTGGATACTTGTGGGGATAATAATTTCTTCCATCTAGGTGAGATTACAGATACTTGGAGAGATTACAAAACTTATGCCAAATCACTGTTAGTACACAGAACAAGGATTAGAATCCACGTCACTTGACTTCTAATCCGAAGCACTTTACATTAATTTTAATGCATCTTTATTCATTTATTAAAGAGGGTAGAGACAAGAGGAAGGGACAATTGAATGTCCAAATAGGGCTTGGGACATGACACACACAAAAACTATCTGTTGAATAGGATAAATCCCACCGTGCACATTTCTCCAGAAAAAAATATCTTTCATTGAAACATCCAGGAAGACACAGCCAAGGAGAATATAAACTGCATATAAAAATCAGCGGGAAGCCATCTGGCTCCCAAGGCTTTACTTTCAGCCGTATCTTGGATGACTGCTTCTATGATCAATAACTTGGTTTATCAAACTTCTCAGTAGGAGAAAAGAAATAAGAGCCAAACACCCCAAGAACTCATTACAAGCGAACGATATATCCCTTGGTATAGATCCACCACATAGACTCCAAGAGTGCTTCCTGCTACAGAAGTTGCTCTGCAGTTTAGATAGAGTATAGGGTATAAAAACATGTCTGGTCGGGCACGGTGGCTCACATCTGTCATCCCAGGACTTTGGGAGGCTGAGGAGGGTGGATCATGAGGTCAGGAGTTCGAGACCAGCCTGGCCAACATGGTGAAACCTCGTCTTTACTAAAAATACAAAAATTAGCTGGGCATGGTGGCGCACGCCTGTAGTCCCAGCTACTTGGGAAGCTGAGGCAGAAGAATTGCTTGAACCCGGGACGCGGAGGTTGCAGTGAGCCGAGATTGCACCACTGCAGTCCGCAGTCCGGCCTGGGCGACAGAGCGAGACTCCGTCTCAAAAAAAAATAAATAAATAAAATAAAATAAAATTAAAAAAAAAAAAAAGTCTGCTTTGAAAACCAGTATCCATAGACTTCTGGCAGTCATTTCTGGGGTTTAATTTTGGATGTGCCAAAGGTTTGTTTCCACTGGACTTAATTTTTTCACATCGCTCTAACTTTTGAAAACACAGATACAGTCCTTTTGCTGAATAAAATGAAAACTCGAGCCTAAATTTAAAGGCATAGATATTTCCTGGACTTCCAGGACAGTAATATCATGTACTACTTTGTCAAAAAAATTTTCTGGAGGTTTTTCTAGAGGAAGAAACTAAGATAACAACAACAAAAAAAGACAAATCCAAATGCATTACTTGAAGAGCGACTACTCATGTTTCTAGAGAATTTTTTGGTCATACTATGTCATGGGGTTATTTCCTGGGGGCTTCAGTTCTGCTTCAGAATTTCTTTAGTAGTTATCTACTGACCCCATCTGGTAAAATTATAGAGGAAGTTACAGTCGTTAAAGCTTCTGTCAACTCGATTTCTAAAAATTTTATGTAAAGAGATATTTTAAGAGAAATAAGAAAATAGGAGATCAGGGCAAATGAATCTAAAGATCTTTAGCTTTATCTTCCTATACACATAGGATGAGAGAGAAAACATACAATTAGGAAAAGGTCATGCCATTCACTTAGAAGGATTTTAAATTCCAACTAATTTACACTCCAAGTTCATGTTGAGTATAAAATCTCCACTTTTTTTTTACTGTTATATTATTTATAAAGTTTTCTGCTTTCTTTTTCAAGTATACTAAACATTACTCCATCTTTTAGGGCTATCCGTATTCTAAAAGAAAGAGTTCATGTTGCTGCCTTTTCCCTTGATTGTTAGCACTCTGACCTTTTATTAAGGGTTCTATTAAAACTCTAAGGCTTTTTTTATTGTTTAAGATAAACACAAGGTAATTATTTTAAAATTGTATTCAGCAGAAAGGGATGAATATAACTTTAAATATAGTACAAGGTAGCTTCAAACTTTAAGTACAGAGTTACTAAAAGTGGAGAAATGTCCGTTTTAACCATGAAATTTAATCTTATGATTAAAGATTTGTGTTGTTTTCTAATCTATCAATATTCAGAATCTGATTCCATTAAAAGGGCTAAAAATTACACGAAGAAATGGAAGGTTTTAAAAACACACTGAGTTTCATTTTCTTCCCTACTATTTCCAGATTTTTTAAGGTGGCTACAACAATACTATGAAATTTCAACTCTTTTTTTGGACATTCATTCTCTGAGACATTGAGTTTTTAAACCTCCTGTCATTAGAACATATCTGGGTAATTTCCATTAATAAATGGATCAAAATGCAGAGTGCTGGGTTGCCATTACTAGAGACTTTATCATTCCTCTAACTTAAGTCATTTCATACATCTTTCAAAGATCAAAAGAAGGAGAAGTCTAAACATGGAGATTTCTGGTAGGGCAGGGTACAGCCATTTAACAACTTCTTTCAACAAGCCAGAGATGGCAGAATTCTCTTTGAAGTGGCAGCCCTGTTGGCTTTTGAAGTCCCTTGTCAATTGCAGAATGGCTGTGGTGGGGTTTGTTTTGTAACCAGCTGTCACCATGAAGGCAGACATGACGTATTTCCAGCAGTCTCACTTCAGGGTCTGTCAAGTGACTGATTTCATAACCAGCCACCATAACAAAGGGGATTCAAACTCCTTGACAGCAGAGCGAGAGTCTACAGTGAAACCTACGAGGTTCCTCTTGACAGAATTTGATTGAAAGACTGAACTGATTACACAACGGCAAAGAGAAGATGATCGTGAACTGTCATATCTCTTAGGTACCTGAAACATTAAAAATATACTTTCTATATGCTTATCAATATCATGTTCCATAATAACATCTTACATTTTAAAAATGAAGTATCTTTGAACAACAGTATCTACAATCTGTGCATTGACCAAACATGATGAACTTCTGCAGAAACCAGTAAACTGCTTTACAAGCACCGTTTATGTTACCAACGTAACACTCTATTTTTTTTGTAAGACAGAATGATTCTACATAGTTCTGAATAACGTTTGTATCTGTAACACTTTTGGACTGCTTAGCTACTCATTTCAAGAATGTCTCACAGAAATCAGTTAAGACTTATAAGAGCAAGCAAAGAAAATGAATTTAGGATATGTTAAGAAGAGATTTCTGTAAACTATTAAATGTAACCCATTACAGCACTATATGAAATGAATCAGTCTTAATAATATTATGAACCTATTTCCAAGTCCGGGAAAGATGAGGCAAATCTTGAAAAACCTAATGTCAAATTTACCAGTGATGATCAGAAGCATCAGTCCCACTAAAAGGAAATAAAGTAGGATCAAAAAGATTTTCAAATGATTCTAATCAGTTTATACCTGCTCTGCAGAATGTTTTGAATTATTACATGTTTTCATAAACATGGTGGCCTGGTACTTCCGAGTGGAAGGCTCACTGCTACATAAGACTTTCAGCTAGTTCCCACTAGCTAAGAGGTCAACAACAGTGGGCCTACAATTTTGCACATTCACTTTTTGAGACATATAAGCCCTCTGTTTTGCCACTGAAGGACAGGTCAGGGATAATAATGATTTCTAAATTGTATTTTTCCACTCTGGCTACCATTCTTTAAAATCAAGCACAAAAATGTAAATAACTTTCACATAAATATCTATTCTAATTCTTTAAATCTACAATTCTGACACCTTTAAGTTCTTCTGTTCAGATGAAAAAGTAGTTTATCAAATCCAGTGGAAACGCAATTGCAACAAAGAAAACATTTCAAAACACTGTTTAGATAAGTATAAAAATATGATAAAATTACCATTAAATCCTAAATTGTTTAGTAAGTACAGTGATGCTGCAAACATTAAGTCAGGACAAAATTTCATTTATTCGCTCATAATTTAATTACTTAGTAAATATTCATTGAATGCCATTGTGTACCAGGTGCAATGGTAGACGCTGAGGATACAACAGTAAATAAGACACAGCTCCTGCCCTCAAGGAGCTTTCATTCTAGGAGACAAAATGGAGACAGTCTCTTAAAGCAATAGGTAGTAAATACGTAATAATAATGCAGTGTTATTAAAAAAAAAAAACAGGACTAAGTACAAGTGCAGTTGAAAAACATGAGAGGCTGGGCACAGTGGCTCACGCCAGTAATCCCAGCATTTGGGAGGCTGAGGTGGGCAGATCACCTGAGGTCAGGAGTTCGAGACCAGCCTGGTCAACATAGCGAAACCCCGTCTCTACTAAAAATAACAAAAAATTAGCTGGGCATGGTGGCGGGCGCCTGTAATCCCAGCTACTTGGGAGGCTGAGGCAGGGATAATTGCTTGAACCTGGGAGGCGGAGGTTGCAGTGAGCCGAGATCACGCCACTGCACTCCAGCCTGGGCAACAGAGAGAGACTCCATCTCAAAAAAAAAAAAAGAAAAAGAAAAAGAAAAACAAAAACATGAGAGAGACATGTAACTCAGACTTGGAAGGTCAGAAAAGGTTTTATGGAAGAAGTAGGATTTTTCCAGACAAGGGAATAAGGTAAGGTTGAAGAGATTGCTTCACTCAGAAGGAACATGTAGTTTAAGACATGTAAGCCCTTCTTTACTCTTCTGAAAAAGGACCCAACAAGAACTGGCACTTGTTTTCGACCTAGAAAACATTACATATATCTGAGAATCTGTTGTTTAACAACTGAATAATATTATAAAGAAAGAATGTACCAGAGTGACTGGCAGACAGTAGGTAATCAGTAAGTGTCAGTAAATCTACAAGAATTGTAGTTTGTATTAAGAATAAAAGGTACTCTGCCTTCTGACACAAGTGGAAGCCTGAGACCCTCACCAGAAGCAGATGCGGGCATCATGCTCCTTGTACAGTTTGTAGAACCATGGCCAAATAAACTCCTTTTCTTTATAAATTACCCAGCCTTAGGTAATTCCTTTATAGCAACACTAAATGGAATAAGACAACCATCCACTTAAAGATCCTCGTGATAAGAAGCGTAGAAATCAACCTTGCCACTTCCCTCTCCTCTCCCTCATCATCAACATGCAATTGACCAGCAAATCTTGCTGAGTTTATCTCCAAATAGACCTCTCCATCTCCTTTGCCATCACCCTACATGTCCTTGGATTATATGTTTTCCTAACATGTCCTCAGCCCTTTCTACCCTTACTCTCCTATTTATTCTTCATATAATTGCTGGAATACTCTATTTTTGAGATGGCGCAATCTGGACTCACTGCAACCTCTGCCTCCTGGGCTCAAGTGATTCTCCTGCCTCAGCCTCCTGAGTAGCTGGGACTACAGGCGTGCACCACCACGCCCAGCTAAATTTGGTATTTTTAGTAGAGACAAGGTTTCACCATGTTGGCCAGGCTGGTCTCAAACTCCTGACCTCAGGTGATCGACCTGCCTCAGCCTCCCAAAGTGCTGGCATTACAGGTATGAGCCACTGTGCCCAGCCTGGAATACTCTTTTTAAAACAGGAAATAAGTCTTACCGCTCTTCTGCTTAAAATTACTTAAAAGATAACCACTGTGGTTGAGATAAAACCTAAAATCATTAACATGACTATCCTATATATTCTGGTTTCTGCCTACCTCTCCAGTTTCATGCCACACCATCCATTCATTCACTCATTTATTCAATCACTCACCTACTATCCATAGAGCTACCGGCTCACTTTGACTTAGTACACTCCACGAACTCTGGTTTTCTTTTGATTTCCGAACTATGCCAAACTATTTCCATCATTAGGGTCTCCACACACGTGGTTCCTGCTGAAGTAAACTACCTGCCATTCTTAATTTCACTAATTCCTACTTACTTTTCATTTTCATTTCTCAATTTAAGTATCAATGTGTTAAGAGATGCCCTCCAGCTAGGCACGGTGGCTCATGCCTGTAATCCTAGCACCTTGGGAGGTCAAGGTGTGCGGATCACAAGTTCAGAAGTTCGAGACCAGCCTGAAAAACATGCTGGAATCCCATCTCTACTAAAAATACAAACATTAGCCGGGTGTGGTGATGCATGCCTGTAATCCCAGCTACCTGGGAGGCTGAAGCAGAAGAATTGCTTGAACCTGGGAGATGGAGGTTGCAGCAAGCCAAGACCGCACCACTGCACTCCAGCCTGGGCAACAGAGCAAGACTCTGTCTCAATAAATAAATAAATAAATAAATAAATAAAATAAAATAAAATAAAATAGACGAGATGCTTTCCCTGACCATTCACTCTAAATAAGGTCCCCTGTTACACACTTTTATAAAATACTATACTTTTTTTATTTGCATGGATCAAATTTTAAAGTATATGTTTATTTCTGTGATCAATCTCCCCTACTAACATATAAGCTCCATGAGGAAAAGGACCATACTCATTTGGTTCAGTAAAGTATTCTCAGTTTCTAGCACATAGGAGGATCTAGATAAACAATGAATGAACAGCGAAATGAATGGATGATACATAAACTTTTAACAATGCTGGGGTGGCATGTTCTCACTATGGACATCTAATGTAGATGACTCTCATTTCTGTAACTATTCCACTCCTTTTTCCTCCACTAATTCCATCACTCACGTCATAACTTTAAGCATCTACATGATGCTACCACACGAATGTGGAAGAAAACACTCACATGCAATTATAATATCCCTTGAAAGTGATCTAGTCTTCCACCATTATTTCTTAAAGGAAAAATTACTTTTGACAAACATGGTTTTATGTCACAAATGTTTTTCCAAAAACAAAAATTTAAAAAATGACCAACTATATCAGAAAATGCTTGTATTTGAATATCCTAGTGTCACAACTCTGTCAGGCTTAGGAGGAAAAACTAACTAGTATCTACTAACTATGTATATGTAGATAGATAGATATCCATGTATCTATCTGTCTGTCCATCTGACTGACCGACCATCCATCCATCCATCCACCCACCCATCTGTCCAACATACTATAGAGTTGAACTGTCCAATATAGTAGCCACTAGGCAGATATGGCCATTAAAATTTACTTAAAATTAAATAAAAGCAAAATATCAGTTTTTCAGGTGCTCTAGCCAAATTTTAAGTGTTCAACAGAAACGTGGCTAGAGGCTACCATCTTGGTAGAACAGACATAAAACATTACCACTGTTTTAGCAAGTTCTATTTGACAGTGCTGCTATAAAGACTACAGAGGTTTCAGAAGCCAATAAGCACTTGTGAAGAAAAATGTATACTTATAATATTCACTTTATGCCAAAAAAGTAACTTTTGTTTAGATTTCAAGTCCTTCTAATATTGAATAGTATTTAGAAACCGTATCTGACCACTACGAGTGAGCATTGCTACTAAGAAGATGATTTGTTTTCTAGGTATTTGCAGTACATAGGAAATGCATGTGTGACTGTTTAAGAGAAAAAAGTCATAAATTTAAACAAATGTTTCAAATTCCAATTTAAGATTACAAAGACTAAACCCTTAAAATATTTTTACGGTTTTAAAATTTCCGTATCTTCCTGCTTCTAGGAATAACATCTAAGGATAACGTTCTAAAACCAATGCTTAGTTTCAAATAATGCTAAGAAAGTATTTTTCCCCTCCCTCCCTTCCTTCTGGAAACTATAGAACATCTGGCTTAGTAAAACTGAAAGACAGCATTAGAACTGGATTTTATAGCATATATTTCTAGCAGTTTACTAAAGCTACTCAAGGTTTTTTTTTTTTTTTTTTTTTTTTTTAGACGGAGTCTCACTCTATCACTGAGGCTAGAGTGCAGTGGCATGATCTCAGCTCACTGCAACCTCTGCTGCCCGGGTTCAAGCAATTCTCCTGCTTCAGCCTCCCAAGTAGCTGGGATTATGGGCACCTAGCACTGCGCCCAGCTAATTTTTGTATTTTTAGTAGAGATGGGGCTTCACCATCTTGGCCAGGCTGGTCTTGAACTCTTGACCTCGTCATCCACCTGCCTCAGCCTCCCAAAGTGCTGGGATTACAGGTATAAGCCACAGCGCCCGGCCTACTCAAACTCTTTTTATGAGAAGACCATGGATGTAAAATAGGAAATAATGTACAGATTAAGAACCTGTATTGATCTAAGACAGACTCTCAGAGAATAAATAATCTGGTGATAAGAATAATGTCCATCTGATCAACATATTAGGTGACTGTGTTATTCTCAGTTGATGCAAATCTACAACTTCTAGAATATGAGACCAGATTGGGGAGAGGACAAGAATTTCCTTGAGTCACAGTATTAACACTTGACATATGTAAATTAGAATTTAACAGTAAGTTTGTCACTGCTGGTGCTGAATCAACCAGACAGGGTCTATAAATACGACATTTCTCTGGGGCCTTCAGCCAACCAGTGAGAGCAGTGCCTCCCCTTGGAACCACAGAGGGCAGTGGTGGTGACAACAGAAGTACCAATAGTGGTAGATGTTTACTATGGCTTTACCACGTGTCAGAATCTGTTAAAGGTGCTTTATACAGATACCATCTCTTTAATGTGGCAGATGTAGTAACTATTTCTTTTACAGCTCGGGGAACTGACCCACAAGTAACTTGCCCAAGGTCATAATTTCTAAGTGATGGGAGCCTAATTCCAACCAAGGTTTCTAACTCCAGAGTCCACCTTCTTCGCCATTATGGAATACAGCTTCCCTAAGGTTCTGGAACGACCTTTTGAACTGGAAAGCCACAGTGTAAAAATTTCTGTACCTAACCTATCACTTCTGCCTCTCTCAGACTCGACTTCCCTCACATTCAGTAAGCCTACTTTCAGCTTTGTAAGATTACAAAGAAGTCCTCTCAGATGAGATGAGCAAGCCTGGGGGAAAAACTGGTTGGAAGGTGAGAATCAAAAGATTGAACTTAGTTTCTGGTTGAGATATCAAGGAAATATTGGTGTAAAGATATGAAATGGGTTGTTGTCTATTTCATAACTTTGGATCTCAGAAGAGAAAACTTGGCTAAAAATATAAATTGTGCACGCATACAGTGCCAGCTATGTGGAAAGGTAGCTTGAGCCCAGGAGTTCGAGGCCATAGTGTGCTATAATCATGCCTGTAAATAGCTACTACAGTCCAGCCTGAACAACATATCGAGAACTCATCTCTAAATCAATAATAAAAATATCTGATAACAATTCTAAAACTGACGATAATGTAGCTAACATTTCTTTAATACCATGTCTTGCTTCTTATCCTCAAATTTTTCCCTCAGGCTTTCTCATCTCAAAAAATTATACCACTATTCTCCCAGTTGGCCAACCAGAAATCCAATGGCCATCTTTGTTTTCTCTTCTATCCTTTATCCATACATGTAATTCACCAAATCCTTTTAGCTCTATTTCCAAAAGACGTTTTAAATCTATCTATTTCTCTTTATCTCCACTGTCACTGTGGAATCTCTTCAGCTATTGCCTGATCTGCCCAACCTCTTGCATAGACCAAAAGTCTCTCTACACATTTTTGCTTCTATACCTCCTAAAAGAGTTTATACAACTATGATTTTTAAAATGTATCTTTTTATACTTCTTTTTTTCTGCTCACAAACATACTGAGACAGAATGATTTTAACTTGATATATAAATGTTTTACGTCGAAAATTTAAAGAGTTGCAAAGATCTAATTTCTTGGGTATTAAAGACTGTTTTTTAAAAAAGCATCACTTTTTTAAAGAAAAGGAAGTATCCAATAAAATACAAATACCATACTTGATATCCATCATCATCTATTCAAAAACCGTTAAGGACAAATTATTATTTACATTTTCCTTTTTCTCTTTGACCTTGTTTCCATTCTACTTCTCCTTAGAATTTTATACTAATGTAATTTACTTTGTGCTAGATGGCTTGCACAGATCCTGTCTTGTACTTTTCTCAATAAAAATATTTATATAAATTTAAATTTGATATTTTAATATTTTCCTGTGGTCATAACCCTTAAGAATTCTTGTGCACTGAGTTATGATTAGAATCACTAGTTATATAGTATCAATCAAAACCAATAGATATATTAAATATTATAAGAAAATTATTATTAAACATGAATACATTTTAATTAAAATGTATCTTATTAAACATATTATCTTAATGAGATTAATGGGACTTTTATACTTTTATTAGTTTAGATACCCCTTGTTAATATTACTATTAATAGAAAGATAAAGGTTCAGACCGGGCACAGTGGCTCACGCCTGTAATCCCAGCACTTTGGGAGGCAGAGGCGGGTGGGTCACCTGAGGTCAGGATTGAGACCAGCCTGGCCAACATGACGAAACCTCGTCTCTAATAAAAATGCAAAAAAATTAGCCAGGCGTGGTGGTGGGCACCTTTAGTCCCAGCTACTTGGGAGGCTGAGGCCCAAGAATCGCTTGAACCCGGGAGGTGGAGGTTGCAGTGAGCCAAGATCCCACCGCTGCACTCCAGTGTGGGTGAAGAAGTGAGACTCCATCTCAAAAAAAAAGGAAGATAAGGGTTCAGCATCAATTCTATCGGTATGTTTCACTTCTATAGATGTAAGCACTAAGAAACCTTCATCATATAAATGGATAGGAATGGAAGGAGTTTTGTTGTAGCAATATAACTCAACTCTTTGCATTCCTTCAGAATTACATACCCCAAACCAGATAGTAACGTGTCATCGAAAATTATTTATCATAATCTACCAACTGGCAACTTAATTAGGTTTTATTTCAATTCTGTTGAAAACAACCTGACGGACTCATCCATTATCTTAACACCAATATGCTGAATTGTCCCTTTGTTAACATTCCAAAGTTTTTTCACCTCTGAGGAATAGAGGATAGTAAGAGTCAGGAGAGTTGTCAAGTGAGGGGTGCAGAACCGTGAAGGGGAAAATGAAAAAGGAGAATCTGCACACCTTAGGTGCCTTTTGAGCAGATCAATTTCAGGGATACGTATGTTTAGAGGCTGAGAGCCTGTGCCCATGTGCCTTTTGGGAAAGTGTTCATGCACTTTCAGGTGTGTGCATACCTCAGTTAGAAGACATCCAGCCTAGGCTACTTTAATAGTCCATCTGATCCTCCCGCTTTCAATCTTACCCCCCTCTAATTCATCCTCCACCCAACACCCAGAATGATCTTTTAAAAACATCAATCAGATGATGTCACGCCCTCTTTAAAACTCTTTAATGGCTTCCATTCCTCTTATGGAATGGCCTTATATAAAAGGCCCTGCATAGCTTGCACTGTTCTTGCCCGCCAGTCATATTAGTCTTCCTTAGACACGTTCAGCTCTTCTCCACCTTATTACCATTATGATTGCTGCTTCTGTCCCACTTGTCACATGGTAAGCTTCTTAGCCTTCAAGGCCCAGGACAAAGCCGCTTTCACAGAGGACCCTCTCTGAGCACTTAATCTAAAATAGCTGCTAACCCTCCAACTTTCAAGAAATTATTGTGTATTTCTGAAAACCTGTTCCTTTGTCATAACTAGCAATTAAATGTTATCTGTTGGGTTAGTGTCTGTGTCCCTATCTGAACTGTAAGGTCTCAGGCATGAAATTACAGCTACTTTGTTTATCAGTATGTATTGTCCAGGACTACAACAGCACCCACTGAATAAGTTATAAAGATCTGTTGAATGAATAAATGAGCAAGTAAACTAATAATAACTATTGTTCTTTGTTCAAAGGTTCTCTACTTCCTTGAACATAAGCTTGAACATGCTTCATTCAGCATGATCTGACTGTGCACACCTGTACAAAGGATCTCCCTTACTCTCTCATCTTTTTCTCTTCTTTACATAGTTCTTGCCATTCCTATTTACACTCAACTGTAGCTACTAACCACAACTTGGTTTCCTAGACGCTTCTAGCTTTCACTTCTGCTCCCTCTACATGGAACATGTTGAACATCTTCCATTTCTTTGCCTAGTTCTTTCTTTCTTTCTTTTTTATATGGAGTCTCGCTCTGTCGCCCAGGCTGGAGTGCAGTGGCACGATCTCAGCTCACTGCAAACTCTGCCTCCCAGATTCACGCCATTCTCCTGCCTCAGCCTCCCGAGTAGCTGTGACTACAGGTACCCGCCACCACACCTGGCTAATTTTTTAATTCACACATAGAATCTCCTCCGGGAAGCCTTCTGCAGACCTCCCAAATCTGGATTTCAGGCTTGCCCCTCTTCCTCTGTTCCTAAAGCTCTGTATTAAGACCTCTACCATGGTAGTTGTCAAACAGAACCATAATTGTAAGTTCATCCTTCAGTCTTTCCCAATAAACTACAAGCTTCTTGAAGACAGAGGCTGTATCTATTACCTTTTCATTTTCAGTGCTTAATGTGGCATTTGGAAAAGCACAAGATTTTTTTAAATGTTAGCAGGGAAAAAGGTACAAGTGAAAGTATAATTTTATTTTCAGAGCAACACTGCCATTTAATAAACAATGAGGGAAATATAACTTAATATTCAGACCAGTAAAGAATTATGTTTATAAAAGTAAAGAATAAATTGCTAAAAGTAAAAAAGGCAATAAGAAAGACGAAGGAATACAATTATAGTTCTATTAGTGTACATTATCTTCTACAGACATACCCCTCTACCAGTTTTGCTTCTGTAGTGGCAACTGTTCATTCTGAAAATGAACTTGGGTATTCTGGTGATAACTGTTGCATAAATGACAGAGGAGATTTTCAGCCAATGAAGAACTTTATACATTAACAACAACAAAAAAATATGTAATCCTTAAAAATGCTCATTAATGTATCATTACCTAGCAAACCACAGATATAATCCTATAACCTTGAACATCAAGAATTTATACTTTATAAGCCAAATAATGTCAAAATGGCAATTTGAAAAAATATTACTGTTTATCACTGAATATCACTGTTAAAAATGGGGCTTTTAAAAGAACAACCAAATTCATATGTGCAAATATGTTGTTATTATTATTATTTTTAAAGACAGGGTCTCACTCTGTTGCCCAGACTGGGATGCAGTGGTACAATCATGGCTCACTGCAGCCTCAAACTCCTAGGCTCAGGTGATCCTCTCACCTCAGTCCCTCAAGTAGCTGGGAATATAGGCATACCCCCTCATGCCCGGCTAATTAATTTTTATTTTCTTGTAGAGACGAGGCCTCGCATTGTCGTACAGGTTGGTCTCTAACTCTTGGCTTCAAGCAATCCTCCAGCGTCTGCCTCCCAAAGTGCTGGGATCACAGGCATGAGCCACTGTATCCCGGCCCAGTGAAGATATTTAAATCACTCTTTTAAAATGTTAAAATTCAAAAATTTAAATTTCATAACATCATAGCTGAACTAAGCATACTGCTCCTTAGCCCCTGGCAATTCTGAGACTTGTTTAGGAGACCTTGTTTAAGAAAAGTGACACTCACATTCAATAAAGCACAAAACCCACCAAAAGTTAAACAGAGAAAGCTTCCAGAAATAGAATCCCCACGTGGAAAGGGACAAAGCAAAAGTAAAGGAGCTGTTGGGTTCTCCCCTGTGGGGATCATTCACTTCCATCTTCCAATTTGCTCACACAGGTTAGGGGGCACCTTCCTTCATTAGGTCATTACACAACTTCTCTAAATTTCTAGCATGGGCTCAGCGTGGGGCAGCATGTATTAGGAATAAATAAACTGTAAGGGGATCCCGTGAGAATAAAGAAAAGGCATCAAGAGATGTTTTCTTATGGGAGTTCTTCCTTGCTCGAACTTTGGAAGGTTCTACATCTTATTTTAATAAGAGCTATGGCTCCCATACAATTTTACTTTGCTCTTGGAGGAATTAAGAGATGTAGATATCCTACCTTTATCAGAAAAAGTCATTCTTTCCCAGAAGCTAAATTTAAGTGAGAAACAGGTAACTTTTGAATCTGAGAAAGATAATGTTCCTAAACAAAAAAGCCTCATTTAAGGCATTTCAAAAGAACATTTGTAGATTATCTCAGTACATATAATTAACGTACATAAGTAAAATTAATAGTAGAGCTAAAAGACAGGAAAAGATGGGCCAGGCACGGTGACTTACACCTGTAATCCCAGCACTTTCAGAGGCCGAGGCGGGCGGATCACTTGAGGTCAGGAGTTCGAGACCAGCCTGGCCAACATGGTGAAACCCCGTCTCTACTAAAAATACAAAAATTAGCTGGGCGTGGTGGCACATGCTTGTAGCCCCAGCTACTTGGGAGGCTGAGGCAGGAGAATGGCTTGAACCCTGGAGGCAGAGGTTGCAGTGAGCTGAGATCATGCCATTACACTCCAGCCCGGGCGACAGAGCAAGACTCCATCTCAAAAAAAAAAAAAAAAAAAAAAAAAAAAAAAGACAGGAAACGATAAAAATAATAATAAAAAATGGGAGAGGAGAGGACAGTAGATGAAGGTTGTAAGGCTTCAGAAGTATAAACATAAAAGCAATTTCTTCATACCTTGAACCACTTAAAGTTCAAATAACTGGTCTCATGCAATATTTCACGCAACAGCTTCAGATAGGCAGTGAGTAGCAGAAAGGTGGACAAGAAAACAGAAAAGGAAAAAAGCATACAATTAAAAGCAAAATACATACAGCCACTTTGGGAGACTGTTTGGCAGCTTTTTCCAAAACTCCTACCATATGATCTTACCACAGAATCCAGCAATCACACTCACAGTTATTTACCCAAATGAGCTGAAAACTTATATCCACACCAAAGTCTGCATGTGAATGTTTACAGCAGCTTTGTTCCTAAGTGCCAAAAACTGAATGGTACCAAGACGTCCTTCAACAGCTGAAGGAATGAACAAACTGCGGCATATCCATACAATGGAATATCATTCAGAGATAAAGAGAAATGAGCTATCAAGCCACAAAAAGAAGAACCTTAAATGCAGATGCTGAGTGAAAGAAGCCAATCTGAACATGCTACATACTATATGACTCCAACTACCAATAAAGAAAACGGCAAAACTACAGAGGCAGTAAAAAGATCACGGACTGGGGAGACGGGGAAGGAATAAATCGGTGGGGCATGATACTTTAAGGGCAGTGCAACTACTCTGTATAATACTGTAATGGCAGATGCATGTCATTATACATTTGGCAAAACTCACGGGACTGTGCGTCACGAAAAGTGAACCCTCAACTATGGACCACACAGTTAATAACAATGTATTAAAACTGGTTCATTAATTTTAACAAATACTACACTGGCGCAACATGTTAATAATAGGGGAAACTGAGGCAGAGAAAGGCGTAAATGGAAGCTCTTTGCACTTTCTGCTCAATTTTTCTGCAAACCTAAAAACTGCGAAGTCTATTAACCATAAATAAAACATACCCCTAAAGCATATTATAATCAGTTCACACAATAGCCTCAAAAAGGAAAATACATAACAGAAGTCTGTATCCCATAATGACATGATTATTAATTGCCAAAATCTCTGCATGATCTCTGATGTTTAATACTTGTCAATAAATAATGAGGCCAAAGCAGAAGAAAAATCTTTCTTTGAAAAATAAAGGAGAGAATATAAAAAGGGTAAAATCAAGATTAAAGGAAATTACTCTCCACCCTTGGGTGACACAATGGCTGTCACCATCCCTTCTCTGAAGCTCTCCACTAACCAAGCTCTATGTGACTGTGCATTAGGAATGTATTTGAAGAAAGAGTAGACAAGGTATTTATCTAGGAACAGGGCACTGAAAGGCACTCATTCTGCAAAAAGTTCATTCTCTCTCAGCTTTGCCAATGAGGTTGGTCTTTTTTTCTATACTTGACACAAAAGAAACCATATCTTTCTATCTCACACAGCTATGAAGGGACTCCCTGGGGCACATACTATGTCTGCCTTGGAAACATACCCTTCTTTACTATAGCTACCTTAACTCAAAATAACACCTTGGTCTGACCAAGGGGTTCCTAGAAAGATTCCTGCCACCCTCTCATTGAGTATTTTTTTCCTGTTTAACATTTATATTTCTCCCACAAAGAAATGGAAAGGAAACAACTACTGCAAAATTAAGTGTTATGAACCTCTGTGTCAGATAGATTTGAAATCTTTTTTTTTTTGTTTGAGACAGAGTCTCGCTCTGTCGCCCAGGCTGGAGTGCAGTGGTGCGATCTCGGCTCACTGCAAGCTCCGCCTCCCAGGTTCACGCCATTCTCCTGCCTCAGCCTCCCGAGTAGCTGGGACTACAGGCGCCCGCCACCACGCCCAGCTAATTTTTTGTATTTTTAGTAGAGACGGGGTTTCACCGTGTTAGCCAGGATGGTCTCGATCTCCTGACCTCAAGTGATCCGCCCGCCTCGGCCTCCCAAAGTGCTGGGATTACAGGCGTGAACCACCGCGCTCGGCCTAGGTTTGAAATCTTAAATCACATTCTCATAATGGGAGCTGGGATTATAACCTTCACTTGTTAAAACTATTTCTTCCATTCACTTTTCCCATCTGTAGTTATTCTTCCTAATGAAAAGTCAAAAGCAAGAGTCTGGAGATCTTAAAAGATGCAGGATATATGTAAAACAAGCATCACAAACTGCCACAGCAGAACTCTTCAGCAAGTCCCTCCGAGGCTGCTTATCTGGGACTCAAGTGCATGGTTTCTATGTCCTTCATACTCACTGTTAACCTTAACTTGTTACAACCTTAACTCTTCTCTTCAATGAGGCAGGGTATGAAATGAATAAAATATTAGCTATTTGAAATTAACGTTTTTCAGTCAGAAATGTTTGTATCTTTTTTTTTTTGGCCGGGCACAGTGGCTCACGCCTGTAATCCCAGCACTTTGGGAAGCCGGGGCAGGTGGATCACCTGAGGTCAGGAGTTCGAGACCAGCCTGGCCAACATGGTGAAACCCCAACTTTACTAAAAATACAAAAATTAGCTGGGCGTGCTGGCAGGCACCTGTAATCCCAGCTACTCGGGAGGTTGAGGCAGGAGAATCACTTGAACCCGGGAGGCAGAGGTTGCAGTGAGCTGAGATCACACCATCGCACTCCAGCCTGGGGGACAAGAGCAAGATTTTGTCTCAAAAAAATTAATAATAATAAAAGAAAAAAAAGAGAAACGTTCATGTTTTTTCTTTCCGTTTAAAAGCCAGGGTTGTGCCCAGTCTTGTAGCAGACAGACAAGCTCCATTTCATCTCGTCCAATACATTAGCACATGCTACATAAATATATATGGGATCAGACCTAAGTTATTAATGCAGGGACTTCTGTGTTAACATGAGTCAATTCTCATACAACTTTATTTCAATTCTTATTTAAGAAAGAGTAGACAAGGCATTTATCTAGGAACAGGGCACTGAAAGGCACTCATTCTGCAAAATGTTCATCAATTCTCTCTCAGCTTTGCTAATAAAGTTGGTCTTTCTTTCTATACTTGACACAAAAGAAACCACATCCTTGTATCTAATACCGCTATGAAGGAACTCCTTGGGACTTCTCCTCTATGAAGTGTTTTTGAAACCCTATAAACATACAATATGTATAGTTTACCTAAACTATACTGGTTGTGTGTTACCTTTTGGTTAACCAGCAGCATTGCTTGGAACTGTATAAAATAGCAGACCTGTTTTTCAGCATTGGTCCTGGCTGATTCCTCTTGTGCTAGCACCATTTCCCGCTCTGCAGTTATCTGTACACTTTCTCTTAGTGCTTCTTCCAGCTCTTCAATCCTGTCATCCTTCTTACGGAGACTGTCCTAGAAAATGATGGAAGACTAGGTGAAGTGGATTAATTACTTAACCCAGGGAGAGCCTATTTATTAAGAAAGGGCTGTTTGCTTATTAAATGTTCTTTCCATCAGAAGCAAATCCAGGTCAACAAGATATCGTCACAGAGGACACAATAAAGAAAGCAAGGAAAGGAAAGAAGGAGGCTGAAGAAGTATATCATTAACAGCAAAGGCTCAAGTTAGTTAAGCAAGACAAATGTGAGAAATTTGCTCTCTGTAACAGAGAGAACAAAACTGTGTTAGACAGCAGAGGTGGCAAGGGCTTGATTACTTAAAAGCACAAAGTTGTTTTTGAACTACTCTCTAAGCATAAAGCCAGCTTTGATGAGATAGTAATTCGACCGAATATCAAAACACTCTTTCCCTGCAGTTAAGCCTACATGAAAAAGTGCAGTAAGCAGCATCATCTTTCAGATGATATTCTTCATAGACAATTGTCAGCAAACGATTTCTTAAAAGACATTGAAAAGCAAGTGATGCATCCTAGTATTTCAAGAATGTATGGTTTTCTCATAATCTCATAGGAGAAAACCAAAAATGACAACTGGATATAAGTGACCGGTCTGGCTAAGAATGAGCAATTTTATCAGCCAACTAAGCAATTCCCAGCCCTGATGTTCTACACAAGTTTAAAACACAGCTTCCGGAGAGGTGAATGTTGATCTATCAGAAAGTCAAACAAAACCCTACAGAACGCTGAGTTCATGTAAGATAGGAGAGATCTTAAGAAGACAACATGAAGAAGAGTTCAAGTGGGATGGAGAACTGCAGTCATCAGGTTATTATAGGCACTTCCTTCTTTAACTTCTTATGAAACTAGAGGATTAAGAATAAAGTGCTTCCTTTTAAAAATACATAAAACAAAAGAGCAAGATTTGCTAAACCATTCTCCAATTTTCAGAGTACTCATATCAGGAAAAGATATCCAAGAATTTTTTATTTTATCTAAGAAACTCAATTATACCACAGCCCACTTTTGTAAGTCCTTTTTGACAACTGTACCTTCAAAAATCTAGAACTTGAAATCTGTCAAAGTTAAGTCAGATTTTTCTCCCCACTTTGGAAGAACAGCATCTATTATTTAACATTCTTCTTAATGAACAGTTGATAAATCTTTTCCTCTCTCGTTTTTCTAAATTTTAAAAAATGAGATTTAGAAAAAAATTCACATTTTGGTGCTGTACGTGATGTTCATGTTACAAGTTTTCATTCTTCTCAGAGAACTGTGTTTCTCCACAGTTATAAAATACTGTGATCTATTCCCATAAGTGAGGTTCTGTTTTATGTAGGGCAGTTTATCTGTATCAAACAAAACAAAACAAAACAAAACAAAAGAAAACAAACGTTGTTTGTTGAGCTCTTCCTTCCCTCTGTTGACTTGCCATGAGCAGCACAGTACAGTGGAGGGTTTTAAAGGGACGCCGCGCGCAGAGACAAGGAACGATGCCCGTCAAAACAAAGGCCAAGGTGGTTTCTTCAGAATCAAAGAAAACTAAACATAAAAGAAGGATTACGAACTAAGAGATGGATGCAATGATTAGTTCAGTCTTCTCAAACCCTCTAATGAATGAGAATGACTATTTTGGAGTAATGTGGGATTCTAAAATACAGATTGCTGTAAGTATAAAGAAGCATAAAGAAACATTATTAATACATAAAGTTGATAACGTTTCTCATTAGCAACTTACGGAAAACTCAGTATTATGTCTTTGTGCGGTCTATCCTATCCCACTCTTAAACTGTTTTTTGCAAGTCTCCTGAGAGGCTTCTATTATCTAAAATTGAGGCTCAAACAGTTAATTCCAAATAACTTCCCAGGAATCTATTTCAAGCAAACAACTTCACTTGTACATCTGCGTGGGGCAAAAATAGCTTTGTGGCTGTATCAATAAAAAACTTTTAGGGAGAAAATGATTAGTAATCTGTCACAATGCAGAGAATCAAGTTTCATAGTGTTTCATTATAAAACTCATGTCATGACTTTACCTGAAGCCGGCAGTGAAACCAGAGTGTACTCCATGAGCTCAGTGTTCACAGCCTTATTTAAAAAAGATTTCTGGAATTAATGACAAAGCCTGGTTCAAAATCTTTCTCGATAATAAGGATGAAAAACAAAAGCCAAGTGAAACTACAAATAAAAGGAAATGGCTGATAAGTAATATTTACGTGATATTATAAGTCACATAACATTTCGATGTAAAGCTAAGTATGGAAGCATTTGCTCTAACGCAACTGTATCAAACTAGGATAGTAAAATACAAGAGAAAGAAGACGGCAAATATCTCTCTCACCTTCATTTACAAAGTCCAGAATTACTTAATCTATCGAGTGGGTAAAATCTGGCACTAGTTTTAGTTTTGGAATTTTGAGAGCTCTGCTAAAATAAACCAAGAAGTTTCTCTTGTGTTGAACCACAGCTTGAATCTCCTATTTAATTTAATAAAATGTTGAGCCACTGTAAGAAATAAACAGGAAAGCCCTTGAGTCCTACAAATACCAGAGTATCAACAGCACTGCTAGGTAATATTTATAATCACTCTTTCTTGTCCTCGCTCTTGCAAAAAGATTAAATCCATCATTTGGTGCTTAGATGATAATATGAATACTCTTTCTGTAAAGTTTAGAACACTAGAGGAAAGAAAACATCTTGAAAACTTTTAGAAAGGCCAAAAATGATCACTTGTCAGATCAACAAATCAGAAGACACTGGAGTTTTTAAAGGCAACACAGGAAAGTAGAAGACAATTTGAGTAATGGTTTCAAAACTCTAAGGGAAAACAAATGATTACCAATCTAGAATTCTGTATCTAAACTACCAATCAAATATGGGAGTTGAATGCAAAATCCCCCCAAAAAAGTATCTCACTCAACGACTCTCTCAGGAAGCTACTACGGTATACTCTATGAAAATGAAGAGGTAAACCTGGAAAGAAGATGTGGGATCCAGAAAAAAGAGCTCTACCATAGGTGAGTGGTGAAGGGAACCACAAGCATGACACAACCTAGAGACTAACTACACACTACAGCAGAGAAAGGAAATGAATGTTTCCAAGAAAAACAGCAGATGTATGGATTATCCAAGGGCAATTAGTAAGGGATGATGTGTTTTTATAGTAGCAATGATATCAGGAGGAATTTTATGGGTGTAGAAAGGAATCTGGGAATAGATACCCAAGAAAGCAGGGCGTGGTGGCTCACGCCTGCAATCCCAGCACTTTGGGAGGCCAAGGCGGGTGGATCACGAGGTCAGGAGTTTGAGACCAGCCTGACCAACATGGTGAAACCCCGTCTCTACTGAAAATACAAAAAAATTAGCTGGGCGTTGTGGCGGGCGCCTGTAATCCCAGCTACTCAGGAGGTTGAGGCAGGAGAATCACTTGAACCAGGAGGTGGAGGTTGCAGTGAGCCAAGATCATGCCATTGCACTCCAGCCTGGGTAACAGAGTGAGACTCCGTCTCAAAAAAAAAAAAAAAAAAAAAGAAAGAAAGAAAGAGATACCCAAGACAGGAAAAACAAAAAGGAAAACTAAGGTACCCTAGGAAAGACCAAAATGTAAATCATAATATACTACGTGCCTCAGTTTTAAAAATGTAGACCTAGATATAATTATATTGGAAGGACAGAAAGAAGTAAGTGTGTGTGTTGGTTTGTGTAAAAACACTAATTCCTCATCATCTATGATAAGATGTCAACAGACAACGCCCAAATAAGAAAAATAATACAACAATAATATAAGAATGTCATTTGGAAAGATAAAAATAAACAACAGTAGAAACAACCAAAAGAGATGAAAGTGGTCATCTCAGAGGAAGAGGAATCAGAGTTAGAAAAGAATAAGAGAAGTGACTATTATTCTAAGACATGTAAGTATTATTTGTGTAAATAATATAAAATACATAGTTCTGATATAAAATCAAAAGAAAATTGAAAAATATGTTAAAAGAGTATCTTGCACTATGAAGAAATCAATAGGGATCTAAAGACCTTCTGGAAATAGTTACAAGTGTCATTGTTTAGATAACTGATATCTAAATATGTAAGTTAACTGTTTACTGTGAAAAGAGAAAAGCAGACCAGGCAAACACATCTTCAGGCAGTGCTCATGATCAGAAAAAAGAAAGGTAAAGAGAACAAAACATGTATGGATTATACATCATTGTGCTCTTCAGCTTTTTATTCAAAAGTCCTATGAATTTCTTCACGGCAATATTTTACAGAAGTGGGTCAGAATTATGATAAGAAATTCCTTTCAAGTCTTTTGATAACCATGGGATGTTCTAAATAACAACATTTTTTAAAAGGGACAATATTATCACAGTAAGTTCTTCCATAAATCCTGAAGATTCTGAAGATTTAAAAATCTCTAATCTGTCAATGCCAGACTTTGAGTTGAAGAAGTGACAGTTGTCACCAGCTTCCTTGAAAGTGAGTGAGCCAATAAGATGTCATATTAGACTTGAGAATCATGAAATGCAACAGACTTCACATACTTCTGCTCTGAGGACCACATCGATGAAGTAAGGGGATGTGCTAAAACCCCTGGAAAGTGCTTCCTGGTGGCCCAAGTGTAAGAGTGATTCTACCATGTGTAGCCTGAGGCTTGGAATACATGCTTTACATGCTAAAGTACATTTTCTCCTTCAAAAAGTCCATATTCACCAACCTTCATGATAAACTATGAGACAGTAAGAGCCATTCTGAGTCTGTAATGCTGAAGAAATCTACATATACTATGTACTATCCCTAATTCCTCCTATCCCTATATTCCTTAGGTTTGAAGGATCTGAAGCATCTGGAAATTAGGAAGTTGACTTACTGGAACTAAATGTAGCTAGAGATTAAGATAGGACATGCCACACTTAATTTGAGAAAATCATACCTGTTGTTTATAGGCATTCTTAATCTGCCGCTAGCTTAGAAGAAAATATTCTTCTTTAGCTAATATACTATTTGTACTGTCCAATGCAGAAGCCACTAGCAACAACTAGCTACTGGGTGATTAAACGTGGCTAGTCCAAACTGAGATGTGCTATAAACACACCTAAATTTCAAAAACTTAGTCTTAAAAAAAGGAGGTACAACACTTCTTTAATAATTTTCATATTGATTATATGTTGAAATAATATTTTGGATATATTTGATTAAAGAAAACATTATTAAAATTAATGTTTCCTTTTAGTTTTTTTAATGAGACTATTAGAAAATTCAAAATTATACGTGTGGCTCACATTGTATTTCTACTGGAGAATGTGGCACTAGTTAGAGCAGTTTTTTACATAGGAAATAAATCTATAAAAGGCTATATGACACATCATGTTTTACATACATTTGTAACTCTTTTCCCAGCTTACAGGCTGTCAGCAGACAAATATGAGTTATATAGGTAATAAACACCAACAAAAGCTCCAATGTTACCCAACCCTGATAATTACCATGGTGATAATATGAATAAAACAATTTAAAATAGCATTTATTACTCTAACAGAGAAAACCAAACTGTGGATTTAGAGGGGAAAAATCAGACTATGGTAGATCACCTTAATACTAAAAATATAAAATATCTGTAATCATTGTTCATTGTTGTATTAATGAGTTACTTCGAAACTTAGCAGCTTAAGAAAACAGTGAATACTGATTATCTCACACAGTTTGTGTGGGTCAAGAACTCAAAAGCAGCTTAGCTAAACAGTTCTGGTGCCAGGGTCTCTTATGAGGTGGTAGTCAAGATGTCAACCAGGATTCAGTCCTTTGCTTCCACTTACATGGCTGGCAAGGTGGTGCAGCTAGTGGCAAGAGGCCTCTGTTCCTCTCCACCGGGCTGCTTGAGTGTCATTACAACACGGAGGCTGGCTCTCACCAGGGCAAGTGATTCAGGAGTGCAAGGCAGTTGCATCAGTATCTTTTGTGATGTAGCTTCAGAAGCCGGCGCCATCACTTCTGCCTTCTTGTACGGTTCATACAGACCAATCCTGACAGGGTGCGGGAGAGGACTACACAAGGGCATGAACGCCAGGAGGTAAGGATGACTTGGAGTCAAACTGAAGGATGGGTATTATAGAACCTGAGGATGTAGCTCCAGTATAACAAAACTGGATTATCAATGAAGACAAAATTTCTTCTCCAAGAAAAATGCCTTTTAGGCTAACAGGACCTCAATTATAAAAACACAGCTGTTGGTATGAGACTATATTAAAATGGAACCCAAACATACCTAAAATATAAAGGCAGATATTATGGAGACTACAGAATTGAGATATGGCTCAGCATTTCACTGAATGTGAAACCAGCAAGATATGCATTATGTCAGGAATTATTCAGAATAAACTCTGCAAGTGATTTGAACTCTAATAAAATATTTTCTTGTGACTATGATTATAAATTAGAGTAATCCAACGTATTCATAAATAGTTCAACACCAAGAATACTCAGTGATAGGCCAATCATCAAAGTTCAGCTGAAAAAAAATTGGGCAAATGTTTTAAGAGATATACAATGGAGGTTTATCAATAAGCTTAGTCATCACATTTGAGTGAATCCTCACATTTGACTGTTTGGGGAATCAACTTTTTTTTTTTTTTTTTAGTCTGAGAACGAAATACTCAGAGTCTATTGGCCCCCACTGAATAAAGACCCTCTTTAAACTCCTGTTTCCTCATGAATTTTCATTATAACTGCTTCTAGTCTTAAAGTAGACAAGGGAAAAAGTTATAAAAAAAAAAAAAGGCAAAAACAGAGTCTAATTTTAAATTACAACTGTGTATTTCAAAATTGTTTTTAAAGAAGTAGATTTCATCAGAGTGAACAGGCAACCTACAGAATGGGAGAAAATTTTTGCAATCTATCCATCTGACAAAGGGCTAATATCCAGAATCTACAAAGAACTTAAACAAATTTACAAGAAAAAAGCAAACCCCATCAAAAAATGGGCAAAGGATATGAACAGACACTTCTCAAAAGGAGACATTTATGTAGCCAACAGACTTGAAAAATGCTCATCATCACTGGTCATTAGAGAAATGCAAATCAAAACCACAATGAGATACCATCTCACACCTGTTAGAATGGCGATCATTAAACTCACGCCTGTAATCCCAGCACTTTGGGAGGTTGAGGTGGGCGGATCACGAGGTCAGGAGATTGAGACCATCCTGGCTAACATGGTGAAACCCCGTCTCTACTAAAAAAAAATACAAAAAAAAATTAGCCAGGAGTGGTGGTGGGTGCCTGTAGTCCCAGCTACTCGGGAGGCTGAGGCAGGAGAATGGCGTGAACCCGGGAGGCAGAACTTGCAGTGAGCCGAGATCACGCCACTGCACTCCAGCCTGGGCAACAGAATGAGACTCCGTCTCAAAAAAAAAAAAAAAAAAAAAAAAAAAAAGGCCAGGAAGCAACAGATGCTGAAGAGGTTGTGGAAAAACAGGAATGCTTTTATACTGTTGGTGGGAGTGTAAATTAGTTCAACCATTGTGGAAGACAGTGTGGTGATTCCTCAAGGATCTAGAACTAGAAATACCATTTGACCCGGCAATCCCATTACTGGGTATATACCCCAAAGGATTATAAATCATTCTATAATAAAGATACATGCACACGAATGTTTATTGTGGCACGGTTCACAATAGCAACGACTTGGAACCAACCTAAATGTCCATCAGCGATAGACTGGATTAAGCAAATGTGGCACATATATACCATGGAATACTATGCAGCCATAAAGAAGGATAAGCTCATGTCCTTTGCAGGGACATGGATGAAGCTGGAAACCCTAATTCTCAGCAAACTAACACAAGAACAGAAAACCAAACACCGCATGTTCTCACTCATAAGTGGGAGTTGAACAATCAGAACACATGGACACAGGGAGGAGAACATCACACACTGGGGCCTGTTGGGGGGGTTTGGGGCTGGGGGAGGGATAACATTAGGAGAAAATAGCTAATGTAGGTGACAGGTTGATGGGTGCAGCAACTCACCATGGCACATGTATACCTATGTAACAAAACTGCACATTCTGCACATGAAACCCAGAACTTAAAGTATTAAAAAAAAAAAAAAAGTGGATTTGAGATGTTCTCACCACAAAGAAATGACAAGTATGTGAGGTGATGGATATGTTAATTAGCCTGATTTGATCATTCCACAATGTATACATGTATTCAAACATCACCATACATACGTACGATTATTATTTGTCAATTAAAAATTAAGCTTGTAATCCCAGCACTTTGGGAAGCCAAGGTGGGTGGATCACCTGAGGTCAGGAGTTCAAGACCAGCCTGGCCAACATGGTGAAACCACATCTCTACTAAAAATACAAAAATTATCCTGGGTGGTGATGCACACCGGTAATCCCAGCCACTCGGGAGGCTGAGGCAGGGAGAATTGCCTGAACCGGGGAGGCGGTGGTTGCAGTGAGCCAAGACTATGCCACCACACTCCAGCCTGGGAGAGGGAGTAAGACTTTGGCTCAAAAAAATATATAAAATAAAATAAAAATAAAATTTAAAAAAATTACAAAGGGGAATTATTAGGTTGGTGCCAAAGTAATTGTGGTTTTTGCCATTAACACAGGTACTGTTTGGAGATAAGCCATTTTATAGCACTCACTAATTAGAAAAAAGCATTAAATTGGCAGCCTAGGGGAATAAGACTAAGTAGAGAGAGAGTTTTATTCCATGCACCTGCCCTAACTTGGCTATTTTACTCTGCTTAAACAATTCAGGCAACCCAAAATTTAGAAATGTACTGTGTGTCACAGACATCTCACTTAATAGCTATCTAGAGATAGCAAAGGAACATGCTTTATCATTTTAAATAGTTCATATCACCTAAAATGAAAGCAGTATCTTTAGAGTTTTACTTCAACTGCTATTAACCACATTTGCACTCACCAAAACGAACCCAGACCATTTTTCCTACCATTGGATTATGTAACTGAAGCCTACTTTTGCCAGCCTCACATATTTGCTGAAATCAAATACGAATACTTCACTCACAGAGTACAGGGTTCACGGCAGGAGGTTTGTGTGACTACTTTGAGGGGTCTGGTAGAGGGAGAAGAAGGAAGACCTTTCAAAGAATCCCTCATCTCCTTAAAGAAGAAGACTCCTATATTCAAAGAGACTAGGGCAGAAGTTGGGACAGCCTAACTATAGCTTCACTCAGGCAGATTAACAGGGAGAGACTGGACTCTATAGCAACTCCCATGATACCACTCCCAATACATCTCTCAGAACTTTACTTCTTGATGTCAGCTCTGTCAACACCAAGCTACACATCACTGAGCTGTAAGACTCTACCCTCCACTGCCTTTTTTTTTCTTTGAGATGCAGTTTCCCTCTTGTTGCCCAGGCTGGAGTGCAATGGCGTGATCTCGGCTCACCACAACCTCCACCTCCTGGGTTCAAGCAATTCTCCTGCCTCGGCCTCCAGAGTAGCTGGGATTACAGGCATGCACCACCACGCCTGGCGAATTTTGTATTTTTCATAGAGATAAGGTTTCTACATGTTGGTCAGGCTAGTCTCGAACTCCTGACCTCAGGTGATCTGCCCGCCTCGGCTTCCCAAAGTGCTGGGATTACAGGTGTGAGCCACCACACCCAGCTAGCTGCCTTTCTTTCCAATCAAACATTCAATCAGAAAAGCAAAGGCAGAGGAGAAACTGCAATTAAAATTTAATTTGTTGTTCCCTCAAACATCTCCCTCAAAAATTGTTAACAAGGCCCTACAGTATAGTCACATAAAAAAGAGCTACTTGATGATGGTAGATCTCCCTAAGCTTTTGCCTTTTTCTGCAGCAGAAAGAAGGCCAATTCAGATTTCACAAAGATTATCCAAAGTAACAATCTCCCACATTCTCTCCTCCCTCTCCCAGCTCTCATTCTGACACGGTAATGGAAGTCATTTATTTGAATTAATAATAAGAGCTGCTTCCTTGGAAGTAAACACCACTTACCAGACAGACTTTAACCTGTTCTGAAAGATATTAATGTTAACTGTTATCCATTATCCTTAACGTAAAGAGACAGTAATTCTTTGTTACCTTCAACCCCACTGCTTATTCTGCCTCCCTCTTCCCCATCCCCTAAGCATATATACACATCCAGAAGATTTCATTAAAATCATTCAACATGTCAGAATTCATTTACCAACTTCTCAGATGCTTTGTGGGGAAAAAAATTGAAGCCAGATGCACTGATGAAGTGAAAGCTAGCACAACACAGAGACAGAATTTGGTTACACACCAACTACTTTAAGGCAATACTGTGGGTTAAAATTTAAAAATATTCTCTCCCTCCTTCTCCTTAAAACACCTCAAATGTCTCCCCTCAGTTAAGAGTGGTGCTCTGTTATAACCCCAATTGTTAAAAACCAAAGTCAAAACAAAAGCAGATGTATTTCATTAAATAAACAGAAAAGTACACATATAAAAATGATGCTTTATATCAATAAATTTTACAGAGCATAGAGTACAAATATCCCATACAGACTGGGAAGGGTCTCATCTTGAAAATCATGGTAGCTGAGTATGAGAAACTTGGGCAAGGACATGGAGTTTACCTAATCCTAGGACACTATAAATCTTTGATCTGTAATGCTTATAAAAAGAACAAGCATACCTTTTCAAAGTCTTTACCAAAAAATCCCAAAAATATCTTTTCCTTAAAATAACAGACAACTGATGTGGCCCATAAGAGGCTGACCTTTGCTTCTGAGGTCTTAGAAAATGGACTATTTGCATACCTGCTTCTGTTCTCTTAAAAAATAACAGGATTAGCATTCAGTGGCATAATAAGGCAACTATAACTAACAACACTTTGTTGTACATGTTAAAATACCTAAAAGAATAGAATTATAACGTTCCTAACACAGAGAAATGATAAATGCTTGAGGGGATGAGTACCCTAATTACCCAGATCTGATCATTACACATTACATGCTTGTATCAAAACATCATGTGTACCTCGTAAATATGTATAACTATTATGTATCCATTATAATTAAAAATAAAATTTAAGAAAAAAAAGAATCTCATTGGAGACTTTTCCTTCCAAATGCAAACCAAGAAGAGCTCACACAACACAAAGGAAAGGAGTAAACCATTCATTTCACTAAAGTGAGAACTTAGTAGTCCAGTTTTTAATAATTTTAGTGCCTAATGTAATTTTATTCATCATTTTATGGAGAGCACATTAGTCCTATCAATAAAGTCTTTCAATAAATTTCACTGCTATTAAATTGAACTGACATGTGGCCAGAGGGAAAAGTACTACAGAGTCCATTTCAAACACTGCAGAATTTTAAAAAGTAATGTTAAGCCGTGTTTTTGCTTTCTTTCTAAATGGTAAAAAGTGGCCCAGTTTGAGATAGGAGTTTTTAAAAGCTGCACACATAACCAACAATTTGTGTAGGTGCTTCACCTGCAGTAAAAGAGAATTTTCATGCGTAATTTCAGCAACTATCCACAGGGATGTAAAAACAGATGCTGATTTATATGCACACTTTTCCATTGTGATCCGTTACTCTAATATTCATTAAGAACACCATAAAAACTCACCTACGACAATATTCTATATAGAAAAAGCCCTGTTTTACTAAGAAAAAATTTTTATTAAAAAGGAAGAAATGATACAGGATTAAACATTTAAATAGGTGAAGGAAAAGTTCTAGAAACAGGAAATCAAAATTTATTTTTGCAAAAACAGGAACATTAATATATTAGATGTATCCAGCATGTGACAAATCACATACTATTTCTAGAAATAGTATTCCTAAAAAGATGTCAATCTTAATGTTTATAAAAGGCTTTCTTAAATAATTATCCCCCTGGCAAATCTAAAAATGAAGGATAAGTAGTGTTCATTCTCAGAAAGGAAAAAAAATCTCTTATCAAAATGAAGAAACTGTTTTTGTAGACAGAGTTAAATCAAATTACAGAGAAAAACACAAATGTTTCATTGACTATATATCTAAGAAGAGAATATGCTTAAATATATGTAAAGCTGATTTTCCCCGGCTCTATTTCCATTGTTTTCACTTTCTTTGAACTTTATTCTTAATATTCATTGGTTTCGGGAGAGCTGTCTCACAGCACCACAGCATTCCATTAATCTCTCTCACAACAACCTCTTTCAAGGTTAAATTCAGATACTTATCTTTGTTATAAAGGAAAACAAAGCCCCAAACCACTATTGATAGGAGCCTCCTTTCAGTCCACTCTACTTTGCATTATTAGGACGTGACTAAAACTTACAGCCTTGCTGAAAGGTGTATCTGAGTGTCACTGCTCAAAGAATTAATATTCTCAACTAAGGGAAGATGGCATTTCCTGTGTTAAAACATACAAGGCTCTTAAAGGATAGCCTACAGAATTTTAGAGAATATTTATTAGGATGCTGAATGGAATATCATTCAGTTCCAAAAAAATTATAACTAAATTAAATTTTATTATTTATAACTCAATAAGTACAGCTATAATTAATGAACCTATGCAAAACAGTGTTTAAGAAAAACTAAAAAGAAATTTTAAAGTAATTCTTCACTTATGGCAGATATAAACTAGCTGAGAAGGGAAAATTAAATGGGTTAAATCACACAGGGGCAATTATAAAACAATGTATTGAAAAGTATGTAAACAATAAAGCATGATTAAACATTCAGGCTAAGGAACAATGGATAAGGCAATAACAAGTCCAGGCAGAGTTCATCAACAAAAGTTAATTTGAAGGCAGAATCTTTATGTAGTAAAACTGGAAATCCACAGGAAAAAGATTCTGCAGAAGTAGAAGAGCATACATTAGGAAAACAACGTGTTATATTCAAAGAAACCAACACTGTCAGCTTGTGTAAAACAGAGAAGCCAAGCATCTGACCTCAAGATGAGGTTAAAACAGAGCTTGCTTTAATAGGAGGCTCCAAATGCCAGGTGCAATGATCTGAATCAGATCAGATCAGAATCAGAATCTGAATTTTGTGTGCTCCCAAAATTCAAACGTTGAAATCTAATCACCAATGTGATGGTATTAGGAGGTGGAGCTTTTGGGAGGTCATTAGGTCATGAGAGCAGAGCCCTCATGAATGGCATTAAATGCCCTTATAAAAGAGGCTGCAGAGAGCTGCCTTGCCCCTTCCACCATGTGAGGACACAACAAGAAGGTGCTACCTATGAACCAGAAAGTGGACCTGTACCAGACACCAAATCTGCTGGTTCCTTGATCTTGGACTTTCCAGGCACAGAACTGTGAGAAATAAATTTCTGTTGTTTATAAGCTAGCCAGTTTACAGTATTTCGCTATAGCAGCCCAAATAGACTAAGAGACCAGGCTAAGATGCATGTGACAGAACGTTCTTGACATCTATAGATACAATTAAAATCAATAAGCATTTATGAAGTACCAACTATATGTAAAATACCAAGACATGGTCCCCAAGCTCAAGTATGCAGAAGAACCAGCACACAATTAGCATATAATACAAAGTAATATAAAATAATCCCCAAATCAATGCAGAAACAAACTAATGAAATTACAACAGAAGGTATGATTAATTCCAACTGCGAGGATTTAGGCAGCTTCGCAAGAAAAAGCATCTGACCCTTAAAAGATGGGTAGGCTTTCAAGAGAAAGCTTTTTTTAATCCCCAATTCACCAACAGCCAAATCAGCTAAGACTATGCTTCTATATGTTTTATTTGAAAGGTTCTTGCTGTTGCTGGAATTTACCTAATTTCAGTTCTGCGTATAGCAATTACTATAATTGAAATTATTGTACTTGTATTATAACACATCTTTTGACAGCCAGCAGAAATAAAAAGTTATAATAAGTAATGTAAAGTATAATCCATGCATTTTGGAGGCTAAGGCAGAAGGACTGCTTGAGGCCAGGAGTTCAAGTCCAGACTGGGCAACACAGCAAGACTCAGTCTCTACTTAAAATAAGAAGAAAAAAAAAATTAGCCAGGTGTGGTGGCACACCCCTATAGTCCCAGATACTCCAGAGGCTGAGGCAGGAGAATCGCTTAAGTCCAGGAGTTTGAGGCTGCAGTGAACTATGATCATGCCACTGCACTGCAGCCTGAGTGACAGAGCGAGTCTGTCTCCAAAAATTTTTTTTTAAATATAAATAAAAACCTCTCTCCTCAATTCTCACAGAGCCCTTACCAGAATGTGAGCTTCTTAAGAGAAAGAAGCTTGTTTGTCTCGTGCAACATTACTGTTTCTAGCATAGAAAACTGCACAGCACACAAAGGTATGAAACAGTGAGCAAACACTTTTGTATGACTCTTGTCCCACTCCAATCATCCTCCAGATATTGCAAAAAACAGTATCCTGAAAATGCGAATCAGATCCTGTCAACTTTTCACGTAGACTGTTTCACTACTTGTAAAATCTAAACTTCTTTTCATGGCCTATAAGGTCCCTTTTGACCTGACCCTTACCTATTCTCTACTTTGAAAATGCCAAGCTTTTCACTGCCATATGGGTAACCTCAATTTTTTGTCTTCTCCACTTTTTATAAGGCTTTTTCAGATCTCAATATCCTTTGGGAGGACTCCTCTGATGTCACTACCTAAATTTGTTGCCCAAAATATTTCCCTCCCCCATCATCTATCACAGTGTCCTGTTTATTTCTTTGTAGTACTTACCCTGATTGATATTTACTTATTTGTTTAGTTTTATTGTTTTTCCATGAGACAATGTTCCAGAAGGGCGGAGAACATGTCTTTTCACTGCTGTATAACCAAAGATTAGCAACAGTGCCTGACACTTAGAAAGCATTCGATAAATTTATATTGAAAAAATGAAAGACATCTCAAGTATGTTTAAAAATGAGTAAAATTAAACCTTCTATACTTGAAGGATACAGACAGGTCAAGGTTCATCTCTAGGTCTAGGTATAACTCTACTGATAATAGCCATATTACATCATCATGGCTTGAGGATTTGAGTCTAATCTTTAGAACGATCAACTTGATTAGCTACATCCTTTTTATTTTTATTTTTTTGAGATGCAGTTTTGCTGTTGTTGCCCAGGCTAGAGTGCAGTTGCATGATCTCGGCTCACCGCAACCTCCACCTCCCAGGTTCAAGCGATTCTCCTGCCTCAGCCTCCTGAGTAGCTGGGATTACAGGCATGTGCCACCACACCCGGCTACTTTTCTATTTTTAGTGGAGATGGGGTTTCTCCATGTTGGTCATGCTGGTCTTGAACTCCTGACCTCAGGTGATCCACCCACCTCAGCCTCCCAAAGTACTGGGATTACAGGCATGAGCCACCGTGCCCGGCCTGATCAGCTACATTCCTAATTAAACTACGGGTTTACGAAGTCAACAATATGAGAACATAATATCTGCATTCCTAAATTCAGGAAAAATGCCTGAGCTAACTAACCTGTTATGTTAATTTTGGTAGTAAGACATTTTTAAATTCCAAAGCATACTTATTTCAAAGAGATGGCAAAGTGAACTGGGTGATTAAAAGTGCTGAGAAATATAGTGTCAATACATTTGTTAAATAAAACTTTTATTCTGAATTAATTATGAACATACAGAAAAGCTGCAAAAACAGAACAGTGCCCATCTGCTCCTTATACAGGCTCCTGTAATGTTTATGGTTTACATAACCATAGTAAGATGATCAAAACTGGGAAATTAACACTGGTACAATGCTATTTACCAACCTGAGAACCTTACTTTCATTGTTTTTCCACCAATGTCCTTTCATTGTTTTTCCACCAATGTCCTTTCTTTCCGGATTTTTTTTTTCTTTTTTTGAGACAGGGTCTCACTCTGTCTTGCAGGCTGAAGCGCAGTGGCGCAAACAGGGCTTACTGCAACCTCAAACTCCTGGGCTCACTGCAACCTCAAACTCCTGGGCTCACTGCAACCTCAAACTCCTGGGCTCACTGCAACCTCAAACTCCTGGGCTCACTGCAACCTCAAACTCCTGGGCTCAAGTGATCCTCCCTCTTCAGCCTCCCAAGTAGCTGGGACTATAGGTATGCACCACTATACCCAGCTAATTTTCTGTTCCTTTTCCTGAAATCTGCTTTAATCCAAGATCCCACAATTCATTTAGCTGACATTTCCCCTCGAATACATCTGTAACTGCTCAGTCTTTCCTTGTCTTTCATCATCTTGACATATTTAAAGTGTACTGCTCAGTTATGTCGTAAAATGTCCCAGAATTTGCATTTGTCTGGCATTTTCTCATTACTGGAATGAGGCTACACATTTTTGGAAAGAATAACACAGAAATGATATTGTGTCCCTCTCAGTGCCTTGTATCAAGGGGTTCATGAGGTCAATGTCTCTTTATTACTGGTAATGTTAACTCTAAACACTTTGTTAAGGTGTCCTGGTAGGTTTCTTCACTGAAAAGTTAGTCTTCTGTTAAAATAAATAAACACCTTAGAGAAAACATTTTGAGACTATGAAAGCCATGTTTAACCTCAAACTTTCACACACTAACTTTCACAACCATCAGTTTGTCTCATGGTGATTTTCTTTTGGTCTATTTCCATCTATACTTATTAACTGAAATTCTTCTATGAGAAAGAGCCGTCTGTCCATATGCCATTTATTTATGTATTTGATTACTTATTTATATCAGCATAAACTCATGGATATGTATTTCATTCACGATTAAAATACTATCTTTTTTTTTTCTTTTGCTCACGTTTCATTTCTTTTTTAAAACTGCCAGTCTCCTTTGTGTAGATTCACCATGGTGAATTTAAGCACTCTCCCACCTATAGGCAATTAGGTTTTCAAAATTTTGCAATTACGAATAATGTTATAAGTCACCTTGTACATATGTATTTTTATATTTTTGGACATGTATATGCATATAAATCTACGACATGGGATAGCTGGGTCAAAAGATCTGCACATGTATATCATATATAACCCATATAAAAAAATCACTTTGAGGCCTGGTGCAGTGGCTCACGCCTATAATCCCAGCACCCTGGGAGGCCAAGGTGAGAGCATCACTTGAGGCCAGGAGTTCGAGACCAGCCTGGGCAACATAGTTAAGACTCAGTCTCTATTTAAAAAAAGAAAAAAAAATCACTTTGGGAACTTTAATAATGTTTAAATGCAAAGAGGCTTCTGAGACCAAAAAGTATGAGATAAGTTACTATAAATCACAGTAATTAACTGTCCAAAACACAAAGGTAGAAATAGGATACAACTGAGTGGCACCATGACATCGTAAGGAAGAGTATTCATATCTAAGGCCATGATAAATGACAAAAAAGTGTTTAGAATCTCTGGGATCCTCAGATTCTCTTAGTTTTTCAGGTATCATTTTCATTTCACATGTAAGACAGTGTTTAATCCAATCAGAACATTTTTAATGTGTTGAACCAAAAACAAAAAGCAAAGTAACCACTTACTTCTAAACTCACTTTCTGCCAAAAGGAATTACTTTTGGTACTATCTGAAGTATTCAAAGAATGGAAAATTGAAAAGAAATGAATCATCTTTTCAGAGCACTTTCAATATAAATGTGGAATTCTGAATTAAATAAACACAGTACAAGGACAATAAAGGAATGGATGCTACATATAACTAATACAAATGAATCTCACAAATAATGATCAACAAAAGAAGTGACAAAAGAATAAATACAGTAATTCCATTTATTGAAGTACAAAATATACAAAACTAAATTATACTTTTTGATATATGTGCAGGTCATAAAGAAAAGCAAAGAAGAAGAAAAGTCAGAATAGTAATCTCTAGAGGAACAGAAGAGAAAAATGATAGCAAAGAAATACACATATGATTTCTGGGATGCCAACAATACTCCAATTTCTCGAGATGATCATGTTATAAGTATTCTTTACACGGCACATCTACATGTGCATGTGCATACTTTAAAAATGTATTTTATTTTTCAGAGTTAAAAAAGAGAAAAAATAGAAAAGTAGTACTACTGCTCTCTGGCAAACTGTAACTTCTACCTGGAACAGTGAAGCCAGTGATGAACTTAACATCACAAGTGGCAGTCGCTGAATAACAAAAAGTGAAAATGAACCCTGCAGGTCAAGTGTTAATCTTCACAAATAAAATAAATTTACTACGTGCTTTTTAACGTAACTAGCAAAACTGACCTTTGAATATCAAAACGGCATCTGATAAAGATTAAACATAAACTATTCAAAACATTAAGTATAAGGCCAGGTGTGCTGGTTCACACCTGTAATCCCAGCACTTGTAGAGGCCGAGGCAGGCAGATCACATGATGCTAGGACCAGCCTGGCCAACATGGTGAAACCCCGTCTCTAATAAAAACAGACACACAAAATTAGCCAGGCATGGTGGCACACGCCTGGAATCCCAGCTACTCGGGTGGCTGAGGCATGAGAATCACTTGAATCCGGTAGAAGGAGGCTGCAGTGAGCTGAGATCACACCACTGCACTCCTGCCTGGGTCATAGAGCAAGACCCTGTCTTAAAAACAAACAAACAAACAAACAAACAAACAAACAAACAAACCATTAAGTACAAAACACTTAATGAATATTTTAATACTAGAATTATTATACTTAACGTAGAAATACTAAAATAATTCCTTCAAAAAACAGAAATAAGGTAGTAGTGTTTCCCTTTACTTCTCCTATTTCATGAAAACATCAAGAGATCACCTAAATAGCCAGAAATTTAAAACACAAAACATTGTGATAAAAATGATTAAAATAAGAAGACATAATTAATTGCTATTCTACTATTCTATGACACACCAAAAATATAACCAGTCATTCGATTACGATTGTGTGACAATTATTAAATACTTCTAGAGTACCAAGTCTTCATTAACAATAATACAGAATACTTCAATCACGTGGTATATTAACTTCAATCTGGAATTATGTGCCCGAGAATGATGGTTATTGTGTATGTTATGTAAATTACTCACTCACCACAACTCTCCTAGCATTATTTCACATCAAATTAGAGTACGGTACCAGAAAACTATGTACCTAGGCGATATTACTGGGTACTGTGGCACTGCCACTACAGAGTTTTAACTTAACAGCTTTGGTCTTAGCTCTACATAGAAAAAAATATAAATATGGCCATACGTATTAGGTTTCCAAAGCTATTCATGAAAACTTCATCCACAGTAACACTTCGGATAAAGAACTGGCATTCAAAGTGTTTCTAAACGTGGTTTCAAACTTCAGCACTATTTGCAGTGTGGGCCGAGAAATTCTTTGCCGTGGGGGCTATCCGGAGAACTACAGGACGTTTAGCAGCACCCAGCACTCTACTCACTAGATGCCGGTAGCACCCCTCAAGTTGCAAATGTCCCCAGACAGTGCCAAAGATTCCTTAGCGCCAAAACTGAGCCTTACTTGAGAACCACTGCTCTAAATGAAGTAACACGAGGCAAATTTCTCACAAAATCCTACCGGAAAAATTAAAAGTTCTCTCCTAATGAAGTGAGTGCCTCCTTTTACAAGAAAATTATAGCATCTCTCACGTTTCATTACATCCCTACAGTAGGACCTCAGTATCTCTCACGTTTCATTACATCCCTACATAGCACCTCAGTATCTCTCACGTTTCATTACATCCCTACATAGCACCTCAGTATCTCTCACGTTTCATTACATCCCTACATAGCACCTCAGTATCTTCTGGGGATTGGTTCTAACACTCCCCTGGAATATGAAAATCCACAGATGCGCAAGTCCCTGATATAAAATGCTGTCGTATTTGCAGATAATCTATGCACATCTTCGCATATATTTTAAATCATCTCTCGATTTCTTTTTTTTTTTTCTTTTTTTTTTTTTGAGACGGAGTCTCGCTCTGTCGCCCAGGCCGGACTGCGGACTGCAGTGGCGCAATCTCAGCTCACTGCAAGCTCCGCTTCCCGGGTTCACGCCATTCTCCTGCCTCAGCCTCCCGAGTAGCTGGGACTACAGGCGCCCGCCACCGCGCCTGGCTAATTTTTTGTATTTTTAGTAGAGACGGGGTTTCACCTTGTTAGCCAGGATGGTCTCGATCTCCTGACCTCATGATCCACCCGCCTCGGCCTCCCAAAGTGCTGGGATTACAGGCGTGAGCCACCGCGCCCGGCCTCGATTTCTTCTAATACCCAATACAATGTAAACACTATGTAAATAGCTGTTACACTATATTATTTTCTATTTATTTTTTATTGTTGTATTATTCTGTTTTATTGGTGTTTTTTTCCATAATATTGTCAATCCACCGTTGGCTGAATCCAAAAATGCAGAACCTATGGATATGGAGGACCCACTGTACCTGTTATGTTACTACTACCTAGTCCAATCCTGTTAACATTTGCTCTTATAGAAGCTTTTACATGTATCATCTCATTAATGCTCACAACCTTTAGAGACAGGAGCTCTGTAAGGAATTTGACTCCGTTTTCATAAGAAGAAAGGTTATTTTATAGGTGAATACAATAAAGAGCATTTGCTAATACTTTTTTCATCTTTTTATGGCTTGAAGTTTCATTTGCCTTTTTCTTCTCTATTATCTACCACAAATCTTTAATAATTTGGTTGTAATCTGGATATTAGCTTTCTTTAGAAAATATTTTATATTCCTTAAATCTTTTTTAACATGATAAATAATAAACATAAATAGGAATAAAGAGGAATGAATTTAGTTCCTGGCTGGAGATGACTAAATAAATTACAAGTGATAATATTCTTTAAGTTATTAGTATAATTTAACAAACTAAAGACACTCAAATGATGTTTCAAAGGTTGTTGAAAAAACTGATAAATTTACCTAGAAAAAAAGTTTTGAGATAAAGTTAATGACGTTGAAGATGACCTACTGACTTTGTAAACAAAGGGCAAAAGAAATGCAAAAAGGCTGGGCTTACGCCTATAATCCCAGCACTTTGGGAGGCCGAGGTGGCTGAATCACCTGAGGTCAGGAGTTCCAGACCAGCCTGGCCAAAATGGTGAAACCCCGACTCTACTAAAAATTCAAAAAAATTAGCCAGGTGTGTAATCCCAGCTTCTCGGGAGGCTGAGGCAGGAGAATCACTTGAACCCAGGAGGTGAAGGTTGCAGCAAACCGAGATCACACCACTGCACTCCAGCCTTGGGGACAGGGCAAGAGACTCCATCACAAAAAAAAAAAAAAAAAAAAAAAAAAAGAAGAAGAAGAAATGCAAAAAATTGGATTAAAGACAAAACAATGAATCTAGAATGAAATGGAAACTTCTGTGTGATTATGTAGCATATGATTAGGTAGATTTAAAATTTTTTTAAAGAATACCTATTTACTAAGTGCTACCAGGAGAACTGGGTATCAGGGTAAAGAAAGAGTACTTTAAATCTATGTTTTGTAAGTTAAGTTAAATAAATTCCACATGCATTAAAGCAATGAACATTTACAAGAAACAAACACATACACACAGCTAAAGAACTAAAAGAAACTAGTATGCTTGACTCTGTTGCAAATGGATATTAAGTGAAAAAATTGCCTTGAAAGGACAAGATAAGCAATTTAAAAGATTTTTTTGAAAAGATGTTTAAACAACAAAATCTAATAAATTTCAAAAGAAAAATGACTGAAAAAGAAAAAATATGTAACAATCATCATTCCTCAATGTAATTCATAACATATCAATTCAAAGGAGGTGATATGAAAAGATTTTCATGATAGGTAGCAAATGTAATTAAAATTTGACACGGAAATTTCAGATAATAGATCATTACATGTGAAAAACGGACAGTGTCACTGAAGAAATGAAATATAACAACTTGAAGACGCCATTATATGTAAAATGAGCAAAAAATTAAATAGAACCAAAGTGGCTATAGGGAAAACAGAATGCCTGCAAACTGCTGGAAGTACTATAAATTAGTTCATCTTTGGTAACAAAAATTTAAGAAAAGCTACAACACTTCATATACTTTGAGTAAGTTTGCTCTGAGGAATAGCCAAAGGAAATCACCAAATTGGGTACAATTTATCTGTACAAATTTGCTCTGTGAAAATTGAAAATTAAGAAATGTCCAGAAAAAGAGGAACGTGTATAAAGCTACTGAACTCTGGATTCAACTGAAAATAGTAAGTACAAGCATCATTATGAAACACATAACTCATGGAAATGTTTAAATGATATAAAGTTTTTAAAAAGCAAAATACGGAAGAGTGTATATATATTAGTATTACAAATAAGTAAAATTAAAGTTTAAAAGAAAATGTAGAGGGATATAAACAAATATATATTATGGATTAATTTTTCTAGTATGTTAATTAAAATTTATAATTTTTAGACAAAAGCAAAGGTATACGACCAAAGCTATATGACCTTCAGTTTAAAAACAGAAGAAACCAACTCCATGAAATTCAAGCAAAGATATGAAAAAAGAGTTACTTGGAAAATACGGAAAATATTTCTCAAGTAAAGGGAAAACACAAATAAGGAGCTTGGCTAAGAAATGAACCCAGAGTCACAGGCTCCACTCCAGGGCTACGCAAATATGGTTAAAAAGCTAGTTTAGAACTGAAAGACACACTAAAGTCTAAGAGTGAAGTCTTATCTGTCTTAAGACTCATTTTACAGATACGAAAGTTTCAAGTGGTTAAGTGATATCTTTCTTTTCCAGCATTTTATTAGGGACAATTTCAAACATGCAAAAGTATAGGAAAGATAATATCATACACCCCATGTCACCACCACTCAGCTTCAATAAACTATCAAAAAATGGCCAATGTTTCCCCTACTACCATTGGAATTTTAAAAAGTAAATCCCAGTGTTAGGGCACTGGTGTCCCAGCAATCTCCAAATTATTTTTATAGTCTCACAATGAAGTTTCCGGATTTAAAAATACTTTGTTTTAAACAACTGTGCTCATTAGTCTTTCTTATGCTCAAACTGTCTATCCTAGGCCAGTGATAGCCCCTTCATTCTTGCTCCTCTGTCCATCCTTATATGACCCCAGTAGTCTTTGATAGGTTCTTAATTTTTCATATCGCATGATGCTATAGCGCAGTGATTTTTCAAAATGTGGTTCCTGGTCCAGGAATTTTATCATCACCCAGGAACTTATTAGAATGCAAATTCATGGGGCTTTCCCCAAACTTACTGAATCAAAACCCCTAGGGACAGGAGACAGCAATCTACTTTTCTAATAGCCCTCCATGTAACTCCAACGCACACAAGTTTGAGAACCACTAATTTAGGTTTGTCTTGTACATTTCTTGCTCTAATCCTGGAATGAGTAACTTCTCCAAGAATTCCTAACTTCTTTTATTTTCATTTAATTTATTTTAGAGACAGGGCCTTGCCCTGTCACATACGCTGGAGTATAGTGGCACAATCACAGCTCACTGCAACCCTGAACTCCTGGGATAAAGCAATTCTCCAGTCTCAGCCTCTACAGTAGCTGGGACCGTACGTGTACACCATCCTGCCAGGCTAATTTCTTAAATTTTTTTAGAGGCAGGGTCTATGTTGCTCAGGCTGGTCTTGAACTCTGGTCTCAAGTGATCCTTCATCTCACCTCCCGAGTCGCTAGGATTAGCATAAGCCACGATGGCCGGCTGTATTTCTTCATTATGTTGTTGTAAATGACAACGCAGTGGTGGGGAGTACCCCTAACACCCAGATTGCAATCTCTAAATATGATCCATAGGGCCAGGCACAGTGGCTCACGCCTATAGTCCTAGCACTTTGGGAGGCTGATGCAGGAGGTTCGTGTGGAGCCAGGAGTTCGAGAACAGCCTAAGGCAACATAGTGAGACTTTGTCTCTACAAAAAATTAAAAAATTACAAGCCTGCAGTCCCAGCTACTTGGGAGGCTGAGACAGGAGGATCACACAACTGCACTCCGGCCTAGGTGACAGAGTAAGACTGTCTGTCAAATAAGTAAATAAATAAATAAACAAACAGAAATATACTTAAGTAACTGAGTAGTTAGTAAAAGAACTGAGATCAGATCCTAAGTATCCTAACTTGTAGTCCAGTGCTCTTTTCACGGTATTTGAATGAATTACATCTCTGTGTAATTTGCACATGGCCATCAGCTATCTTTTTCATAACTTTGGTATCTATCATTTACTTAGACACCTTGGGGAAGCCAGTCATCCACTCTAAATTAGTTTTCCCTATAGGTAAAATATAAATAATATAATCTATCTTATTTATCTTTTAGTTTATATAAAAAGGAAATAAGAGATTACATATGAAAGCACTTTTGGTGTTATAACAACTGAGAGAAGATTAGAAGAGTATCTTTGGTTTATAGAGAGAGACTGCTAATAGAAAACATTAAATGATGAGCAGGGTAAGAAAGACAAATGAAACAGTTAAAGTGCTAACATAAAGAGAGGCTTGCCTTATCATAAAATAAATACTTTCTAGAATTAAACAACAATGTGGCCATAGTTCAAGAAGGGAGGTTAAACTGAAATCCTAGAAACAGACTCATCATTAATTTCATGAAATATAAAGACATCAATTCAAGTTTGTGAGCAATGAAATAATTCCCTATAAACATTCTTGTGAAGTTGTTAGCAATAAAGAAAAAATATCCTCACCACACAAATACCACAAAATGAATTAAAAAGTAAAGGCAAAAATATGAAAGCACAGAACAACTTAAAAGTATTTATGTGTAAATATATACTCTCAAAATGTGGATAAACTAAGCAAAAAATCCATGGGAGGAAAACCTAACAATGGAAGAGAGATTTAAATTACATTAACAAGCAAAAGAAAATTCAAGACTTGAAAAAACAATGTCATTGGTAATCAGAGAAATATAAATTAACACAGAATGAAATATTTACCACTCATCAGATTTGTATTTTGTTAAAAAAAAAAAAAAGGAGGAAGAACAGAAAGATGAGAAAACTGCCAATATTAACTGTTATTGGCAAGGATGAGGAAAAACGGGCATGCTGCTTTTTGCAAAATTTGGTGCATTTGAGGAAATTTATACTTTTTCTATAAACATAATCAGTAAAAGTTACATAAAAGAGGAATGAGAAAAAGAAGTAAAAAGTAGAGTCTTCTTCATATGTTAAAAGAATTTGTTGTAAAGCCTCAGAATGGCTTCTACATAGTAAACCCTCCAAATCTCTCCAGTAAAGATTGTAATTGCGGCATATACACAGTATCAGACCCAATTAGAAATTGTTAACTAGAGAAAAACAATCTGGCAGTGGCTTAGTCTTAGCATGGCTTTCAGAGACTCCAGCACATTTATGGTATTCTTCCCTATAATCTACACCTTCATTCTGAAGCATTATGATCAAGACAAAGAGGACAGTCTACAGATTCAGGAAGTCCCAGTTAAAATCATGGCTGAGCCATTTAGAAGCTGTGTGCATTTACGTAAGTAACACAATGTCTCTGAATCTATTTCCCCCGGTGCAAAATGTATACAATACCACCTGCTCCACTTGGATTACTGTGAAGGTTAGAACAAAATGAATGACCAGAGCCTAGTTTCAAATACTGAGGACCTAACTGGCACTTATAATATGGTAGCTGCTACTGCTGTTGTTGAGCCTGGTTTAATTAATCTGTGAATAATTAGGTTTAGGCATCAATTATCACTCCACTGAAGTGAAAAAATACAGTTTATATGTCACATTCTGTATGACTGTAAAATATTCTTACTAAACTGAATATTTAAAAAGAGGAAAGGAAGGAAAGATAGAGGGAGGTTAGAGAGGTAGAAGGAAAAGAGAAAGGAAGAATAGAAAAAAGGAAGAAAGACACAAACCAAGATTAGCAATCCATTTTAATGAATGGAACTGGCAAAGAGGTATACTGACAACCCTGAAGCCTAATATAACCCACTCATTAAACTGTCATTGAACTTACCAATTAAGTGTGATCAACTTGAAGCAAGATGAACTTTCTCCTATGCTGAGGTGTCCTCATAAAGCTGTGGAATAAAACTTGCATTTTCTACTTAAAGCCATTCCTTCATTGCTAAACAGTTGGTCTGAGAGGAAGGCAGCAAGCAGGGTTAGAAAGAGAAAAAAGAGGAGGATAAAGATGAAGAGAAAAACAACATGCGATTACGGATCAAATGTCTTCACCCGATCCTTTCAGATTCTCCTTGTGTTCTAACCTGTAGCTGCTGAGAGCTGTCGTTGAGATTGTCCTCCCGTCGTCGCGCCTCCTCTAACATTTGTGCACTCTTCTTTTTTTCCACCTGTTCCTTGTGCTTCAGATTTGCTACCTTCTTATTCTGGTCTTTCACTTGCCTAATGACAGAAGGAGAAAAATCAAGCTTTGCATATGTATGTATAGAAACAAATATGTTTATCTAGAGACTTACACCAGTGACAATAAGGAATGGCTGAAAACCAACGAATAAATACATGCTGCGAAATTTTTCAACAATTCCAAATTCGTTCCTCTCAATGGTAGCACATTCGTTTACAAAAATAAGTTTTCCCATAAAGAACATGTATTTCAGCATGTATTCTACGAAGAACAATGAAATCATAAAACAAAAGAAAGGCACGGGATCATTTGAAATGACTAAAAAGAAACCAAGTCAGAGATTTTGGAAATACGGAAGCAGTATTTTTGACATCGACGCACTGAAATATTAGAATGGCTGATAGAAAAAGAAAGCTTTGTAAAACAACTCTAATTTTACCATTATTAAATATTTCAAACATTCAATACACTGTATATAATGTAGATGTATATGAAAATAATGACATAAAAATCCATAAACCTAGCTTAAGAAATGGAACATCATATTTACTTCTGAAGCTCCCTATTGTGTCTCTCTCTACTATTGGTCTATCCTCCATTAATAAGAACAACCTATATCTCAAAATTTATGTTTAAAATCCCTTTGCTTTTATTATTGTTTTGCTACATATATATATATGAACTGTTCATTTATAGTTTACATGTTTTTGAGCTTTATAAAGATAAATAATTATTCATTTTTCTTTTTAGTACAGAATGATATTCAATATTATTCCCTTTCAATAGGTTTCGAGACTTAGACCATTCAGAGTGTAATGTATCTTTTAATCTTCTCCACTTTCACTGAGGTATGAAATAATATATGGCAATTACTTTAATCTACTCCCCAGAAGATGACAATTGCATTGTTTCCATCTTCTTGCCATTTTAAATAATGCTGCTAGGTGCACTCTGATATACCTGGGCAGGAATATCTCTAAGGTATAGGCCTAGGAACTGAATTGCTAGGAAATACAGTAGGTACACCTTATTTTATTTTATTTTCCAAGAAGCTATATTAATTTATACTCTTGCTAGCTGTGCACAACTGTTGGCCATTATACCTCTCCACATCCATTAATACATGGTACTGACTTTCTAAATGTTTCCAATAGGGTAGAAAAAAAATAGTACCTCATTATAGTTTTACAATGCATGTTTCTAACCACCTAGGCTGAATATCTTATCATACAGTATTTGGCCATTCCTGTTTCCACTTCTGTGAAATAGCTATTTGTGTCTTTCTCCACTTTTTAAATTAACATATCTTTTTCTTAATGACTTATAGGTATTCTTTATACATTATAGATAATAATACTTTATCCGTTATATGTTATGTAAGTATTTTCTTCTAGTCTATGATTTCTTTACATCTTTTCATCGATAGAATTCAATTTTATTTTTCTTCCGAGATGGGATCTCACTCAGTCGCCAAGGCTAGTGTGCAGTGGCACAATCTCCGCTCACTGCAGCCTTGACCCCCCAGGCTCAGGTGATTCTCCCACCTCAGCCTCCTGAACAGCTGGAATTACAGGCACATGCCACCACACCCAGCTAATTTGTAGTAGAGATGAGGTTTCACTATGTTGCCTATGCTGGTCTTGAACTCCTGGACTCAAGCAATCCACTGGCCTCTGCCTCCCAGTGTTGGGATTACAGGCATGAGTCACCATGTCCAGCCTAAAACTTTTAATTGTTTCAAATGTATCAATCTTCTCCTTTATAATATACAATTTTGTGACATTTCCACAAAATCTTGTCCATCAAAGTTCATAAAGATATTCCCCTAAAACGACGTTAACTTTGTCTTTCACGTTGCAGTCATTAATCCATCTGAAACCGAGGTTGCATATGTTATGAGGTAAAAACATACTTCCATTTTGGGGGGTTTGGTATAACATAATAATATTTCATTTTTTACATGTATTTATAATGAATTTTCCCAGGAATATTTACATGCATTGCCACTTCTGGTGTGTACAAAGTTTCTATATGCATGTGTACCTGTTTTGTGGCTATGTTTGTATATTTCTGTGCCAGATCTATACCACCTTAATTACTATACCTTTACAAAAAGTAATTAGCAAGGCAAGGCTCCCTACCTTTTTCTTCTTCAAAACTCTCTTGGCTGTTCTTGGCGCTTTACGCTTCTCATAGAAATTTCAGAACTAGCCCGTCAAGTTCCACCAAACCAACCAACCAACTACAGCAACAAAAAACCCAACAGCAGCCTCTGGGATTTTGATTCCAATCACATTGAAGCAATGTCAGTTTGGGAAAAACTTCATGCTTTTGGATCTTTCAATTCATTAACATACTACAGATGCTCCTCAACTTACCATTGGGCTATATCCCAATAAACCCACCATAAGTTGAAAATATCCTAAGTCCAAAATGCATTTAAAACACCTAATCTGGAAAGTAGCAGTTGTTTACTCTCCTGGTTGTGTGGCTAACTGGGATCTGTGGCTCACTGCCACTGTCCAGCATCACAAGAGAGTATCATATTACATACCAATAGCACAGGAAAAGATCAAAATTCAAAGTGTGGTTTTACTGAACGTGTATCACTTTTGCACTATCGTTAGGTTGAAAACTGGTCAGTGTGTTTATCTATTTGTTTAGGTCTCCTTAAAAGGCTAACAAAGCATTATATTTTCCTCCATAAAAAATGTGTATATATTTTATTTCTATGTACATTATACGTTTTGCCATCATTTAAAATTCCAGATATCATGTCATTATACCCTTATACATGCTTCCTGATGCATCTCCAAAAAAGAGCATGTTTAACAACGTAAATTGTAACAAAATTAACAATTCCTCAATATCAGTATAATATATAGTCCATATTCAAATTTCCCCATTTGAATCAAAGTTTATTTCTTACGGCTACTTTATTTGAATCAAAATACAAAAAACGCCCATACATTGTGCTTATTGTCAGATCCTTCAAATCCCTACTAATCTAGAGAAAAGTCTCTTACCTCCTCCAATGTACCCTTTTTGAATGCCAGTGATTTTTTTAAAAAGGAAATCAATTATTCCATACAACGACTCACATTCTGGATTGTATGTTTGCTTCTTCATGATGAAATTCAACTTGTTTCTCTATATCTCTTGCTTTTTGTTTGTTTTGATACTGAATATTAGCTTTAAAGACTTGAATATATTCAATTTTCATTTTTAGGTAAAAATAATAATTAATGGTGTTGTATAACTGACATTGCCTCACATCTGACAGCATATAATATAATGTCTGGTTTTCTTACTCTTTTTTTTTTTTTTTTTTTTTTTGAGACAGGGTCTCACTCTGTTGCCCAGGCTGGAGTGCAGTGGCGCAATGTTGGCTGACTGCAACCTCCACCTCTTGGGTTCAAGCCATTCTGGTGTCTCAGCCTCCCAAGTAGCTAGGATTACAGGCATGCAACACCACACCTGGCTAATTTTTGTATTTTTAGTAGAGAAGGGGTTTCACCATGTGGGCCAAGCTGGTCTCAAACTCCTGGCCTCAAGTGACCCACCCGCCTCAGCCTCCCAAAGTGCTGGGATTACAGGCATGAGCCACTGTGCCTGGTCCTTGGTTTTCTCACTCTTAAAGAGGCTAAGATTAACTAGTGCATCAAGGCAGTGACAGCCTGGTCTCTTCTGTGTGTAGAGTTCACCTTTTATCAACCTTTCACCTAATGGCTCCATGCACTAATGAACTTTTCCTGAATAAATTATTTTAGTAACTTTTTAAAATTACATTTTCTAGTGGCTATTTGCTGGCATATAAACAGGAACATGATTCCCCTATATGGGTATTCTATCTAGAAAACCTGTTAAACGCTCTTGCTAATTCTAATTATTTTTCTATTGTTTTTTTTTTATTTTTCCATGTATTCGGTTTACAGTTATATAACACATCACCGAAGTAAACCAATAAAGCCCTTATGACTGATCACAAAGGAATGGAGATACATGAAATGACTGATGGCATTAAAGATAATCATCCTAAAGAAGCTCAATGAGACTCAAGAGAACCCAGAAACAAAAATCAGGAAACTCAACAAAAATTAGGAAAACAATACATGAACAAAACAAACAGTTTAATAAAGGAATAGAAACTCTAAAGAACCAAACAGAAATCTTGAAACTGAAGAATACACTGACAACTGAAAAAAAAAATTAATAGCTTCAATAGGAAACTCAGTTATGCAGAAGAAAGCATCAGGGAACTCAAACACACATCGTTTAAAATTATCCAGTTAGAGAAACTAAAGAGAAAAGTGAATTAAAAACGACAAAAGCATACAGAAGCTCCGATGCAGCATTAAATGAATGAGCATGTGCATTACCAAGGTCCCAACAGGAGAATAGAAGAAATACCTAGCTCACGTAAATGAATGTCTGTTGCCTGAGAATCTCTCAAATCTTGAAAGAAATACAGACATCTAGATTCATGAAGCTCAAAAGCTCAAGTCAAAGAAAATTACACTGAAACACATTATAATTGAATTCTGAAAAATCAAAGGCAAAGAGGAAATTTTGAAAGCAGCAGGAGAAAAGCAACCTATAATACAAGGAAACCCGCAACACACATACACACCACCATTACCACCACCACCAAGGCAATCAGTGGATTTCTCAGCAGAAACCTTGCAGATCAGGAGGGAATGAGATGATATAGTCAAAGTGCTAATAGACAAAAACTGCCAGCCAAGAATATTATACATAAGAAAGTTGTTGCTGGGCACAGTGGTTCATGCCTGTAATCCCAGCACTTTAGGAGGCTGAGGTGGGTGGATCATGAGGTCAGGAGATCGAAGACTATCCTGGCTAACACAGTGAAACCCCATCTCTACTAAAAATACAAAAATTAGCTGGGCGTGGTGGCGGGCGCCTGTAGTCCCAGCTACTTGGGAGGCGGAGGCAGGAGAATCGCTAGAACCCGGGAGGCAGAGATTGCAGTGAGCCAAGAACATGCCACTGCACTCCTGCCTGGGCAACAGAGCGAGACTCCGTCTCAAAAAAAAAATTGCTTTACTTCTCTGAGAAACAAATAATACAATATCAAGGAGTCAGAGGTGCCATCAGAGGGAAAAAAAAAAAAAGTTGTTCTTCAGAAATAAAGATGAGATAAAGACATTTCCAGACAAACAAAAGCTGACAGAGTTCATCGCACTAGACCTGCCTTATAAGAAATGCTAAAGGGAGCTGAGTTGAAACTAAAGGACACTAAATAAAAACATGAAAACACATTAAAGTATAAAACTCACTGGTAAAAATAAATATACAGTCAAATTCAGAATACTGCAATGCTGTAATCGTGGTACATAAATCAATTTTAACTAGCATAAAAGTTAAAAGACAAAAGTATAAAAATAACTATAGCTACAATAATTTGTCAATGGGTACACAAATATAAAAAGATGTAAAGTGTGACATCAATAGCATAAACTGTGAAGGAGGGAGACATAAAATTGCAGAATTTTTGTAGGTAATTAAAGTTTAGTTATTACAACCTTAAAACAGCCTAAGATATCTTATGTAACCCTCATAGTAACCACAAAGAAAACTAACCTCCAGTAACATATAAAAGATAGAAAGGAATTAAGCATACAATTACAAAAAAAAAAATCAAATCAGAAAGGAAGGCAGCAAGAGAGAAAGGAACAAAGGACCTACAAAACAGAGAACAACAAAATGGCCTTAACTATCAATAATTACTTTAAATGGATTAAATTCTCCAATCAAAAGATACAGAGTGGCTAACAGACTTTTTTAAGTATCCAACAATATGTTGGCTACAAGAGACTCACTTTAGCTGTAAGGACACACACAGGCTGAAAACAAAAGGATAGAAAAAGATATTCCATGGAAATGGTAACCAAAAAAGAATAGAAATGGGCTTACTTATATCAGACACAATAGACTTTCAGTCACAAGAGACAAGGTTATTATACAACAATAAATGGGTCAATTCATCAAGAGAATATTACAATTGTAAATGTATTAATATATATGCATCCAACCTTAGAGCACCTAAAAATATAAAGCAAATACTAACAGAACTGAAGGGAGAAACAGACAGCAATACAATAACAAGAGAGGACTTTACTACCCCACTTTTAACAATGGATAGGTCAAACAGTCTGTCAATAAGAAAACATTAGACCTGAATAAGAGTATAGAGCAAATAACAGACTATATGAAACATCCATCCAACAGCAGCAGAAAACATATCCTTCTCAAGTACACATAGAGCATTCCCCAGAATATAACATATGTTAGGCCACAAAATTAAGTGTTAAATCCAACTATGTTAAAATCATATCAAGCATGTTTTTCAACTACAATGGTATAAAATTAGAAATCAATAATAGGAGGGAAATTTAAAAATTCACAAATACATGGAAAGTAAACAATATACTCCTGACAAAACCAATGGGTCAAAGAAGAAATCAAAAGGAGAGTCAAAAAGTCAGGCCAAGCGCGGTGGCTCACGCCTTTAATCCCAGCACTTTGGGAGACTGAGGTGGGCGGATCACTTGAGGTCAGGGGTTTGAGACTAGCCTGGCCAACATGGTGAAACCCCATCTGTATTAAGAATTAGCCAGGCGTGGTGGCACATGCCTGTAATCCCAGCTACTCAGGAGGCTGAGGCAGGAGAATCGCTTGAACCCGGGAGGCGGTGGTTGCAGTGAGCCAAGATTGTGCCATTGCACTCTAGCCTGGGTGACACAGTGAGACTCCAACTCAAAAAAAAAAAAAAAAAAAAGAGTCAAAAAGTATCTTCAGGCAAATAAAATGAAAACACAGCATTCTAAAACCTACAGAATACAGCAAAGCAGTTCAAAGAGACAAGTTTATGGCAATAAACTTTAAGAAAATAAAGATCTCAAACAACTTAACCTTACACCTCAAAAAAATAGAAAAAAGAACAACCTAAGCCCAAAGTTAGCTAAAGTAAGGAAATAATAAAGAAATAAATGGGAGACCAGAAAGAAAATTCTAAAAAATCAACATAATAGTTGTTTGTCAAAAGATAATCAAAATTGACAAGCTTTGAGCTAGAATAACTGAGAAAGAGAATTCAAATAAAGAAAATCAGACATGAAAGAGAAGACATTACAACTGATCCACAGGAGTACAAGGAGAATATTATGAAAATTAATACACCAACAACTTGGATAACCTAGAAGAAATGAATAAATTTCTAGAAACATATACCCTAAAGACTGAATCATTAAAACAACAACAACAACAAAATTGAAGACTTTTTTTTTAAAAGAGATTCATTCTTGCTTTGTTGTCCAGGCTGGGGCACAGTGACACCATCATAGTTCATCAAAATTCTGGGGTCAAAGGATCCTCCTGCCTCAGCCTCTCAAGTTGCTGCAACCACAGGCATGCACCGCTGCAACTAGTTAATTTTTTATTTTTTTGTAGAGACCAGTCTTGCTATGTTACCCAGTTTGGTCTCCAACTCCTGGTCTCAAGTGATCCTCCCACCTTGGCCTCCCAAAATGCTGGGATTACACACTGTACCTGGACAAGTGAAGACATATTAATAGCTGAACAGACCAATAACAAGAAAGAAGACTAAAGCAGTAGTCAAAAACCTCCCAACAAAGAAAAGCTGAGGACCAGATGGCTTCATAGCTGATTTCCACCAAACACTTAAGCACAAGCTAGTACCAATTCTTCTCAAATTCATCCAAAGAATTAAAGAGGCAGGAACACTTCCAAACTCATTTTAAAAGGCCAGTATTGCCCTTATACCAAGGCCAGATAAGGATACTATAAGAAAAGAAAATTACAGGTCAATAGTACTGATGAAACTAGACGCAAAACTTTCAACAAAATACTAGGAAACTGAATTCAACAGCACATTAAAAGGACCATTCACTATAATCAAGTGGTTATTTGCAAGGATAGTTCAAAATACACAAATTAATAAACGTCATACACCACACTAACAGAATGAACGATAAAAATCACACAATCATCTGAAAAAGTATTTGACAAAATTAAATATCCTTTCATGATAAAGACTCTCAATAAATTAGGTAAAGAAGGAATGTACCTCAACACAACAATAAAGGCCATATATGATTAGCCCACAGCCGATAAATCTAACGGTGAAAAGTTGAAAGCTTTTCCCCTAACATCAGGAACAAGAAAAGGGAGTCCACTCTCACCACCTCTTCAACAGAATATTCGAAGTCCTAGTCAATTAGGCAAGAAAAAGAACTAAATGGCACACAAACTGGAAAATACAAGATAAACTGTCTCTATTTGCAAATGACATGACCTCATACATAGAAAACCCTAAAGCCTGCATAAAAAAATTGTTAAAAACTATTATAGTAAGTTCAGTAAAGTTGCAGAATATAAAATATACAAAAATTAGTTGTATATTTTTGTATACAACTGGCTGAAAGATTTGTACACTAAAAACTAGAAGACAAAGGAATTGAAAAAGATACATACAAATGGAAAGATAATCTGTTCATGAATTGAAACAATTAATGTTGTTAAAATGTCCATACTACTCAAAGCAATCTATGGATTCAATGCAGCCTCTATCAAAATACCAATGGCATTGTTTCACAAAAACAGAAAAAAGAATCCTAAACTTCGTATGGAACCATAAAAGACCGTGAATAGCCAATTGTGAGTAAGAAGAACAAAGCTGGAGTCATCACACTTTCGGATTTCAAACTATGTTACAAATCTAAACACTATGGTACCAGCATGAAAACAGACATCTATACCAATGGAACAGAATAGAAAACCCAGAAATAAATGCATGCATTTACAGTTAATTGGTCTTTGATAAAGATGCCAAGAACACACATTGGGGAAAGTATAATCTCTTCAATAAATGGTGTTGGGGAAACTGGATATCTACATGCAGGAGAATGAAATTGGACCCTTATCCCTGACCATACACAGAAATTGACTCAAAATGGATTAGACTTAAACATAAGACCTAAAACTTTAAAACTAGTAGAAGAAAACACTGGGGAAAGAAAACTTCCTGATGTGGGTCTGCACAATGATTTTTTGGACATGACCCCAAAAGCACAGGCAACAAAAGCAAGAATAGACAAATGGGACTGCGTCAAACTAAAAGGCTTCTGCACAGCAATGCAAGCAATCAACAGAGTAAAGAGACAACTTAAAGAATGGGAAAAAATGCTTGCAAACCTATCTGATAAGGAGTTAATATTCAAAATGTCTAGATAACTCAATAGCAAGAAAACAACCTGATTTTAAAATGGGCAAAGGATCTGAATAGACATTTCTCGAAAGAAGACTTTAAATGGCCAAATGGTCACCAGGTATATGGAAAAATGCTCAACAGGCCAAAGGATAGCTAAATGTGAAAATACGCTCAACATCACAGGAAGATGCAAATCAAAACCACAATGAGATATCACCTCATACCAGTTAGAATGGATACTATGAAAAAGACAAAAGATAACAAGTATTGGCAAGGATGTGGAGAAAAGAGAATCCTGGTACACTGTTGGTGGGAGTGTAAACTGGCACAGCCATTATGGAAAACGGTAAGAAGGTTCCTCTAAACATTAGAAACAGAACTACCATATGACTCAGCAATGTCACTTCTGCTACACATCAAAAACAACTGAAATCAGGATCTGCACTCCCATATCACTGCAGTATTAGTCACGATAGCCAAAATGTGAAACAACATAAGTGTGCATCAGATGAATGGATAAAGAAAATGTGGCATATATAATCAAATGGAATATTTATCAGCCATAAAACAAAAAGGAGGCCAGGCACAGTGGCTCACGCCTGTAATCCCAACACTTTGGGAGGCCGAGGCAGGTGGATCACTTGAGGCCAGAAGTTTGAGGCCAGCCTGGCCAACATGGCGCAACCCCATCTCTACTAAAAACAGAAAAATTAGCCAGGCCTGGTGGTACACACCTGTAATCCCAGCTACTCAAGAGGCTGAGGCAGAAAAATTGCTTGAGCTCAGGAGGTGGAGGCTGCAGTGAGCCGAGACTACGCCACTGCACTCCAGCCTGGGTGACAGAGTGAGACTGTTTCGAAACAAGAACAAAAGGGAAATACTGCCACTTGTGATATGAATGAACCTAAAAACATCAAATTCACAGAACTCAGAGAAAGTAGAACGGTGGTTTCTAGAGGGTTGGGAAAGGGGGAGATCGTGGAAGATGTTTGTCAAAGGGCATAAACTTTCAGTTACAGAAGATGAGTAAGTTCTGAAGATCCAGTGTACAGCATGGTAGACTATAATTAATAATACTGTTCGGCGCACTTGAAATTTGCTAAGAGCAGATCTTAAGGGTTCTAACAACACACACAACAAGTGGTAACTATGTGAGGTGATAAAGGTGTTAATTAGCTTGATTGTGCTAATCCTTCACAATGTATACATGTATCAGATCATGTGGTACACCGTACTTAAATGCATGCTATTTTATCAATTTATAGCTCAATAAAGCTGGGAAAAATTATTCAAGATAAAATCATGAATTAATGACACAGATGATGAGATAATTCATTCTCCATTGAAAATGCACACTAAGAAGTTACATTTTAGATCTCCATTTTTGGCCATCTTCAATATCTACAGAAGAATTCAGCCACAGACAATATAATAAAATCAGTTATCACTAGAGGAAATAAAAAGAAAAATAATGTTTATATTTATTCTCCTTACTCTATAATTTTTTATTTCTCATTTTAACAATCTGATATCAATTATATTAACTAATGGAAAAAGCAGACTGGCTCCTGGCATTAGAGAAGACAAACAAATGGAGAAAAATTCTGTTTTTATGAATCAAATTGCTTTTTCTCAAAATTAAGTTCCTCCTAACATTCATTTACTAGATGCAAAAATTTTGCTCTGTTTTAAGAGAGAGAAAAAAATTTAAATGGTGCAGAAATTCCTTTCACCTTGCATTTGTGAATTATTCCAGATGGTGCTGGCAACCTTTAATGCCAATAGCAGTAGCCTGGTTATTTGGGGCATTATGACATGTGGAATAAATAACTGAATTAAAACTACTAGACTATGTTTTGGTTAGAAGGTAGATATTTAATCCAATCAAAGCCAATTTCATTCCTCAGCACTTTCCATCACAATTATATCGAAGAGTAAGTGATTTTAAAAATCCTACTTTACCTACAAATCATAAAACTAGGTTATGGTGTTTTTAGTCGTGTTTCAGAAAAAACAATTCAAGAAATTCATTACCCTCATCCTATCCAATCAACCACTCCGTGTGTGTGTGTGTGTGTGTGTGTGTGTGTGTGTGTGTGTGTGTAAGAGACAGCCTCATTTTGTTGTCCTGGCTGTAGTAGAGTGGCGTGATCATAGCTCACTACAGCCTTGAACTCCTGGGCTCAATTGATCCTCCTGCCTCAGCCTCCCAAGTAGCTGGGACTATAGGCACACATCACCATGCTCAGCTAATTTTTGTAGAGACAGCACCTTGCTATGTTGCCCAGGCTGGTCTTGAACTCCTGGCCCCAAGTGATCCTCTCGTCTCAGACTCCTGAGTTGCTGAGATTACAGGTGTGAGCATTCCACCTGGCTCACAGACATACTAATGACTACCTCCATCAACTCCAAAAAGACATAATAAAATGCTAACTAAGGAATACAGAGCATGATCCCAAATGTATGTATATACACACATATAATGAAGAATATTAAGATGGACAAATTAAGCATGTTTTTTTCTTTTTGTTTTTTGAAAATTCATTTTCTTTTCTTTTCTTTCTTTCTTTCTTTTTAGACAAGGTCTCACTTACTCACCTAGGCTAAACTGCAGTGGCACAATCATAGCTCATTTCCCAGGCTCAAATGATCGTCCTATGTCAGCCTCCCAAGTAGCCGGGACTATAGACGTATGCCACCATGCCTGGCTAATTTTGTTATTGCTGTTTATTTTTTGTAGAGATGAGGTCTCACTATGTTGCCCAGGCTGGTCTCAAACTCCTGGGCTTAAGCAATCCTCCAGCCTCAGCCTCCCAAAGTGCTGGGATCACAGGAGTGAGCTACAGCGCCCAGCCTATTTTTTTTTCTTTTTTATCATTTTTTTACAGTTTCTAAATTTTCTACTTCAGACATAAAATATTTTAAAATTTTCTTTAAAAGTTGTTTCTAAAAAGAGATATGGTTGTATCTCAAAATAGGTTGTTTGCCTATATCAGACTAGATATACAAAGTAGTACAGTATGGCACATTTTTTTGGTCTTTGATTCTTTTAAGTTTTTGGTCTTTGATTTTCTTAATCCATTTTCTTTTCATATTTTAAATCTCCTATCTTTAGTTTCACCACTATTATTTCTTCACCTTCACTCTATAGGCTAAAGGATGACTATCAAGATAAAATGGTTTTATCTATGATAGGCAACCAAGAAAAGTATAGAAAATTGTGAGACAATTAAATCAATCTCTTGCCTACCCCCACCTTCTCGTCCTGTGTATGCGTGTCTGTCTGTGTACGTGTGTGTGTGCATGCACATGGTTTTATGAATGTATGCATAGTTCTGAATTCATGAATTAACTGGAAAAGATGAAAACACACAATGATTTTCTTGCCTCATTATTATCCTTTTCAATACTGTTTCTCTGGGAAGAGATATAAGAGGGAGTATCATCTAAATATAAGTTAAAAGAGTAAAAGGAGGGTATTTCTGGAATGTATATTTAGGAAAAAACATTCTGAGACATAACAGAACTTGTGAAATGAGGAATTTCCTTCTTTTTCCTTATAAGTAGATTAACATCTAGTTTGATTTGAATCTAAATTCTCAAGAAAACCCAGATGTTAGTAAATTCCTATCGTGAGGTGCCATGGATTTAATGGTTTAGTAAATTTATTAAAACTCTCTCAACTGCTGTTTTGCCTGAACTAATCTGAATTTAATTCATAGTGAACATAGATGTTTTACCATTCTTCAAGCAGGAAGAGGACAAATTAGAGCAATTCATAAATAAATTAATGCTTTAAAATTAGATTCACAATTGCTAAGCTCCCAACTATTATAATAAACAGTGAAATGATGAATAAAAGATTTAACTCTCTCCACCAGCACACAGATGTAAGCAAACAAAAGTGTAAGAAGACAGAAAAACGAAGATGGGAAAGAAAATAGTAGTTGAATTTTTACTTGTCTCTGCCACCAGAAGTTTTACAAAATGTGGTCCACCATCTTGCTATCTAAAGTGTGATCCATGAACTTATATCATGAATATCACCTTAGTGTTTGGTAGAAACACCCAATCTCAGGTTGACGCCAGACCTATTAAATCAGAATCTGCACTTTAACGAGGTTCCCAGGGGATATGAATACACACTAAATGCACAATGTTAAGAAACAACAGTCAATGCAGACTATGCCAGGCAGGCTTTGCCCATATTTACTTTGTTATTGCTGCTCTAAGCCTCTGTCTCTTAAAATCCAAACTCAAATTTAGGTAAATCTATTAGATCACAACTATTATGGATGCTCCTAACTCCCATACCACTTTAACTGAATCTATCTTATGACATGTTGACTTGTTCTCCACATTAGGGAGGGAGTCTACATACCTGTTTTACTGTACTTTATGAACATGCCTTCCTAGAGGTTAAAGTCCTCCTCTGATATATTTTCAAAATCCACAATTCCTAGTACAGTTCCTTGTGGTTTATAGGTGCTCATTAAACATTTGTTGAACAAATGCGTAAAAAGGAAACTAATCATACCCTACTGACAAATCCACCCAAAACAAAACTCTGAGGGAAAATACAGTTTGTTTGAAGCTCTAAAACAATGGAATTACTAAAAAATAAATATCTTCCTTGTATCTTAAACACCTAGCAAAATTAATTGGTAAAGGAATTTTTATTATCTGTCTTTAACTTACTCCTTCCTATTAAGAAACTAACAACATTTGCCAGAGGCTACAATTCTACTGGCTGTTTTGCTTTACCAAAAAGGAAGTTACATATAGTTAGTGTTATACGTTACTATACCATAAAATCTCCCACACAAATTTAAGAAAAAATAGGATGCTTCTATTGTCAAATTAAAAAAAATATTATCAATCAAATTTCACTAAGGTATTTGTGTTTTCACTCAAGAAGAGAAGCTTAAGCTAGGGCTTAAATAGACAATAATTAAAAATAAAATGACATTGCTAAAGCACTGTGTATATTACATATAAACATCTATAATATTTATAAAATGTTACATATAGAGAATATGGGCCAGGTGTGGTGGCTCACGCCTGTAATCCCAGCACTTTGGGGGGACAAGATGGGTGGATCACTTGAGATCAGGAGTTTGAGACCAGCCTCAAAACCCCGTATCTGCCAAAAATACAAAAATTAGCTGGGCATGGTGGCACCTGTAATCCCAGCTACTCAGGAGTCTGAGGCACAAGAATTGCTTGAACCCAGGAAACGGAGGTTGCAGTGAGCCAAGATCGCGCCACTGCTCTCCAGTCTGGGTGACAGAGCGAGACCCTGTCTCCTCAAAAAAGAAAAAAAAAAAAAGAGAATATGTACACTCATAATAGTCCTACAGCACATGATGATAATGCTTTGGTCAATAATAGACTGCATCTTGTATGCAGATGCATATAAGATTATAATACTGGATTGTTACTGATGTTTACATGTTTAGGTACACAAATGCCACTGTGTAATGCTGCCTACAGTATTCAGTACGGTAACATGCTGTACAGGATTATAGCCTAGGAGCAACAGTCTATACCTTACAGCCTGGCTGTGCAGTAGGCTAGACCATCTATGTTTGTGTTAGTATACGCTATGATATTTGTACAATGATACCACATAGTGATGTTTCTCAGAACCTATCATCCCAATTATTCAATGACTCATGACTATATATATTGCACACGTGCACACACATACACACACTCTCTCTCATTTTACCTTCTTCCAAAGAGCTCCACTCACAGTTAACATAAAAATTAAGACATAAAATTTTATAATACTACTTAAATATCTAATTGTGCTTTAAAAAATACCTGCCCAAAGAGTAACCAAAAAACTAAAAATAAAATGCTAATAGTTTCACTTGTTATTTATCTAATTAAAATGCTTTTGACTATTTAAAAGCCATTTTAAATATGGGTTTTATTTTCACGGAACCATATTCCTAACTGTCTAAAGAAAACAAGTCATGATGAAAAGGAGAAAAGATATCAATACAGAACGTAAAAGTGTTAATTACTTGGAGTTTTACATAAACACTTTTAACTTCTGCAAAAATACTTTAAATGATCAATTCAACATTTTTTTAATCAGCAAGGAAACTGCAGGATAATTAGTCTCATCTTACATTTAGTGTCTTTTATTTCTATGCTTATTCTCACTACTACACTAATTTCTTTGAAGACAAGGACCCGATTTTATACAACTCCATAGATCTGAGATGAGGACTGTTTTATGGCAATTAATCAATGTTTACTGAAGTGTTTTGACTTTTTTTAATGCTGGTTCTCAAGATAACTTTAATCTATGACCATTAATTCAACAAATATTTAATAAAAGCTTCTATGGGCCAGGTGCTATCTTCGAAAATATGGCCGTGAACAAAACGGACAAAAATCTCAGCCCTCACTGAGTTTACTGTCCACTGGAAAGAAAGAGAACATAAGAAAAATACATGGTATGTCAGACAGTGATAAGTCCAATGGGAAAAATAAAAGAAGAAAGGAGATAAGGTGTGTAGGAATGGGTGGCGGGATTGGAATTTAAATTAAGTGCTCAGGAAAGGCTCCACTGCAAAGGCAACAGCTAAGCAAAGATGTGAAGGAAGTAAGGGAGTGAGCCTGAGTGTTCCTCACGAAGGAAACAGCAAATGCGAATGGGCACGAGGCCCAGGTGAAGCAGACAGATGCAGCAGGCCACTAATGAGGAAGGCAGGTAATGAGGGCCACCGCCTCCAGCAAGGGTTAGCAAACTTCCCTTGTAAAGGATCAGAGAGCAAATATTTCACATTTTGTGAATCATGTAAAATCTGTCTCATATATTTTTCTTTTTTGTTACCCTTGAAAAATGTAAAACCCATTCTTAGCTTGCAGGTTTTACAAAAATAGGTGCCAGATGAGCTGTAGTTTGCCAATCCCTGCTGAAGAGCTTTGCAGGTCACTGGAAAAGTCTTTTTCATTTGGAAGCAATTACTTGTTATCACAAAGTACAAAAGAATTGCTCAAAAACACAAATAAAAATAACAGTAACCTAATAAACATTCAAGTTTCTCTCAACTGATGTAAAGCCACATATTTGTCCATAATTTAAAACTAGCATGCATTCTCAACTGTCAACTTTTTCAGAAAAGAGCCAGCCCTCGCACATCTATTCAGCAAATATTTACTGAATGCCTGCCAAGAGTTAAATACAGCTAAGGAAGAAAAAAGAATACAATGTCCCCACCCTCAACAAACATATTGAACTTATTTTTAAAAGGGGGAGGCGGGAACATAAACTAACAAAAAAGTATGTCATAGCACAGTGACATGTGCTAAGAAAAAAATTAAAACAAGCAATGTAATGGAGACACTGGATGTGACAAACAGTGTATTTCAGCTACAATGGTCAGGGAAGAGACATATAATGATCTAGGAGAAGAGGCACAGAGAATCATAACTACAAAGGCTTTGAGGATAGAAAATGCTTAGCTTGTTTTAACAACAACAAAAAAGCTGATAGGTGGAGTATATGGAAGGGGAGGTTGTGGTGGGGTTACAGGGGTGGCAAGAAGCCATAGGATACAGAGCCTAAGCTGTGGAAGGAGCTTGGGTTTCACTGTGTATGATGGGAGAACACAGGAAGGTTTTAACCCAAGGGGTGACAATGTCTAAGAGTTCAGTTCAGGCCAGGTGCGGTGGCTCATGCCTGTACTCCCTGCTCTTTGGCAAAACCCTGTCTCTACAAAAAACACAAAAATTAGCCAGGCATGGTTGGTGTGCACCTGTAGTCCCAGCTACTTGGGAGGCTGAGGTGGGAGGATGGCTTGAGCCTGGGAGGCAGAGGTTGCAGTGAGCCGAGATTACGCCAGGCTACTCTAGCCCGGGTAACAGTGAGACCCTGTCTCAAAAAAGAAAAAAAAAAAAAGAGAGTTCAGTCTGATTGCTACAGAGATGGGACTAGTACAGAAGTGATATAGAAGCAGATAGCCATTGGAAAACAGCTGCAGTAATTTGAGCAACGGATAATGGTTCATAGAGAGAATCGAATGGAATCATTGAATTAAAGATACATTTTTGAGGTGTGATCGGGCTTACTAATAGATTTAACGTAGGGAGTAAGAAAAATCAAGGATTGCTTGGTGATTTATTGCCTGCACAATGAGTGAATGGTAGTACCATTTATTGAGGGTGGGAAACTGGGGAAGAAGAGGTTTTGAAAAAGGTGGGCCAGATCAAGAGATCTGTTCTGAGTAAAACTAAATTTGATATTTAACTAAAGACATTGTGTAGGTAATAAGTAGAGTATTCTGGAGCACCTTGTATATTATTAATTTGGTAGCTATTGCTGTGTTTTTGATAATGAATGCCTTAGACTTGAAGAAGTCTGAGGCCAGGCATGGTGGCTCATGCCTGTAATTCCAGCACTTTGGGAGGCCAAGGCGGGTGGATCACCTGAGGTCAGTAGTTCAAGACCAGCCTGGCCAATATGGTGAAATCCTGTCTCCACTAAAAATATAAAAATTAGCCAGGCGTGGTGGTGCATGCCTGTAATCCCAGCTACTCAGGAGGCTGAGGCAGGAGAATTGCTTGAACCTGGGAGGCAGAGGTTGCAGTGAGCTGAGATGGCACCATTACCCTCCAGCCTGGGCGACAGAGTGAGACTCCATCTCAAAAAAAAGAAAAGTCTGAGAATATATATATATATGTGTGTGTGTGTGTGTGTGTGTATATATATATATATGAGAATAGGACTGAGAGTGGAGCCTTTTAGAGGTCTAGAGGAAAGTGGCAGAATCAGAAACACCACAAAAGGAATGACAGGTGAAAGAGGGAGAAAATAAGGAGACACTGGTATCAGAGATACCAGAAGAAAACAGTGTTTCAAGGAAGGAAATGTGTAGAATGATGCTGAAAGGTAAAGTTAAGATGGGGCCATGGAAGTGATTTCTGTATTTGGTAACATGGATATTTATGATAACTTGACAAGAGCAGTTTCGTAAGACTACTAAAAATAGGAGCCTGATTAAACAAACTTGAAGAAAGGTAAGGAAAGGCAGATAGCAACTACAGTCAATTTTTTAAATAAGATTTGCTGAGAAGGGAAGAGAGAAACAGGGTGGCAACTAGAATAAGACATCACATCAAGAGAACGATTTTTTTTAAGACATTAAGTGGAACTCTAAAGGCAGGTTAGTACACTTGTGAACAAGGAGAAAGCAAAAATTTGAAAGGAGGGAGAAGGATAATGAGGGAGAAGCATCTTTAGGTTGGGCAACTGGGATAGGATTAACAGAAAAGGCAGCAGAGGTGAATTCAGGAATAGTGGCACTATTCAGGCAAAGGCTCCAGGTATAGATGCAAGTAGGCTGGTAGATTTGATGAGGAGACAAACTGGGTAGCATCCAATTATTTTAATTTTCTCAAAGAAATATCAAGTGAAGCCAGAAACTTTGAGTGGAGGCGAAGGATTTGCAGATTTGATAAGAGAACAGAATGATACAGTCACCTCTGAGGATGGGAAATCAAATCTAATAGTCCTCTTAATTAGGACTGCCTGCAGAATTAGGAGCAATTTGAGATCTGTGGCCATAAATTCAATGTGAGACCAGTCTGCAAAGCTTTGTGACTCTTCTTGCCCGGTAACATAAAGCTGCTCAGGGCAGAGGCAGTGTAGGAAGACACTTGCTTTAAATCAGGATTGAGGTTTTGCAAGCAAGTGTGACAAAAGAGAAAAGCAAGTAAGTCAAGGGGATTTAGAAGGGAGTAATTATACTGCTGGACCATGAAATCTGACCCGGGTAAGGAAGGAAGTGTGAGGCCATACGAGGTTCAAAACAAACAAAAAAAAGTAGTAGGTTGTTGTTTCAAGGTCCTAATTAGATGCAATAATTGGAGTGGAGACGAGAGTAAGTGAACTGGGAAGACAGGAGGTGTTGGCCAGAGCTGAATTGTATCTTTCAGTGTCACCATTCCAAGGTGGAGAATTCTGACGGGTAACAATCTGTTCCACATTTAGAGGCAGGTTTACTCTACCCAGAACAGCTACACAATGCCCTAAATCAGAGAAATGACACTGTCTAGGAATGGCAGCAGGCTAGAGGAAAAGCAAAGCAGAGAACCCATTCTCACATACCACAGCACAATTTATAGAGCTGTTTTTCCAAAAGAGTCATTGTCCATTTCCCAAACTGTGTAAAGATAAGAATCTAGTACTGCTGGTACAGTCAGAATCAATTTATAAAGTCTGATAAAACAGACCAAGGATATGACACAATGCTATGACTGTACTGTGCCAAGAAATCTGAAGGTGTGGCTGAGAAATAGAAAACCAAAGAAAACCCTGCCTTAAAACGCAGGCTTGGCTTTTTGGATCTATGACAGAATAAATATATTGTCAACTTTTTTCACTGTTTAAAAAAAGGAGGAGAGGGAATACTTTTATGTTGTTCACTTCTGGATTTCTTGCTGATTAATTCATAATGACAGAGGAAAGCACGGAGCACTTTTATGGAGCAAAGCACCCATTTCTGTTAAGCATTATCATAATTTTTATCACTGTATCAAACAAGACATACAACCTTACACTTCTAAGTAAAATGTTCATAGTAAGAGAAATAAGTGTATATAACCTCTTCCTCTACCTCTATTATTTTCTCCCTTAATTGTATTATTATTCTGCAACACTCCCACTTCATTTAATTTTCCTCTCCCTTTCATGTTTCTTGTTTATATGCCTCAGGCCTCACAGGATCAACCAGGGATTCAACCCTTCTTGGTAGAAGTCAGACATATAGTGGTTGCTAGCCCCATGACTCTGGAAAAGTAACGTACTAGTCTGAATAGACAATATGGCCTTTTATTTCCTATTAACTTGTTTCACTCTTCCCAGCTGAAAAGTGTTTTTGTACATATCATTCCATTTACTCCCCCCGCCCCCCACCCCCCATCCCTCCTCCCCGACCCCACCAAGGCTATGTCAATGATGAAAGTTGTGAATGCTACAGTTGAATTACACTGCACCAATAGCATATGAAAATGCATATGCAGGAATAATATGCCATCCGTATTTCTCCACCTGGTGATTTCACAGGGCTCAGCTTAAAAACTAATTTAATTTGGACATTTCACTCTAACATGCATAATACAGAAGTAACAGCTGGAGGCTAACTGTGGGAAATCAAGGCATAAAATCATTAATAAAAGCAGATCTATTAAGTAAATGATAGTAACACCTTTTTCTGTGCAAATAAATATTAGTGATCAGAAAATCTCATATGTAGTTTTCTCAATAAATGTTAGTTAAAATAAAATAAAAATCATTAAATCAAATGGGTAGAATACTATTAATCGCTAAAATATCCCAGTGAGATGGGAGAGAAGAATAAAGTTACGAGTTTCTGATTTCATTATTAAAGGATGCGCCTAGAGGAAAAGAACGGAAAGAAGGAAGGAGAGGGGGAGACCAAAAAAAAGGTAACTTGTAAATCTGAAAATTTGGGGACAATTTATTTTCATACAAAAACATTTACATTCCATTTCCAAATAGTCTTTAACCAATAAGATTCTGGTTTTATGTAAAACATGACTTAATTTACAAAGATTCCATATGCACACAATTGAATTATAAAAGTTGTTTATATTCCCACACTTTTTGCTTTTTTTGGATTCACACTAATTACGTAATAAAATCCATATTCCCTTAATTAGCACTAAAGGTCTTTAACAATAACCTATATTTTTAATATTCCCTCATGCAGTAAGCATGAGGAAAAGATTCTTTTGTTTTTTTGCCTTTTCAGATGTCTTCATGTCCCTGCCCTTTCCCTTACCCTGTCTTTGCCGAGCATAAGAGCATACATGCACTCATTCTGCAAGAAGAAGCTTAAATGGCAGTATCTTGGCAAAGCTTTCCAGCACTCCCCTAAACAGAACTGATTCCTTCATCTCCATGAGCTAAAGGGTCTGTATCTAGATGATAGTATAATATAGTATAATTATAAAAGAAAATATTTTCTAGATCCACTGATAAATTGTAATACTGTAAAAAATGCAAATATTAGATCTAGAGTTCCCAAATTGAATGCAATTCAAACCAAAAGACATAGTGCAAAGTACCAGTATTAATTGAATATGCTGTTAAATTGCTGCTCACAGTGCACTCATGGTACTTATTACTATTGTCCAAGTTGTTTTGTTTTGAGCTGTAAGATGATCCAACTGTCTCAGAAATTTTGTCAAATTACTTTTTAAAAAAAGTTTGCTGCTTATAGTACATTATGACATCATTTGAACTCTGCTTGGATAAAAAGCAACAGTATGGATTAGGCCCACCACTGTTCTTTTCTCATTGGCCCATGACAATTATAACAGTAATACCTGAAGACAATGAGATGATATCCATAAATATAAATGAAACTACATAGGGTATTTCATTGTAAGACAGTCACCCAGGTGATCCAGAATATGTATATAAACTTTTTTATTGTCATTGAAATGAAAATACAAAATCATAAAATTAACATGGTAACTTGTAAATCTCAGAATATGTTCAAGGTCTCCCAAGGGATGTGAGGAGACTCCTAACAGGAATACAAATGGTAGAGTGGTTAAAAGCAAAAGTTTTAAGGGCTAAAGAGCTCTAGGTTAAATGCTGGTTCACTATTCATTATCTATATGATCTTTAGCCTCTCTAAGCTTCAGAGTGTTCTTATCTTTTTTATTTATGACATGGGAATAATGCCCATCTCTTATAGAACTGTGAGAAGTAAATAAAATAATGCATGGAAAATGCTTAGCGTAAGATTTGGCACACTGCAAGAGGTTACTAACATATCCTTTTTCTCCTCACCCCAAACATATGTGTGTGTGTGTGTGTGTGTGTGTGTGTGTGTGTGTATGTATACACACACGCATATTTATGTTTTATATGTTAATATATAAATTTAAATATCTAAATTTGCCCTTTCATTAAGATCCAAACAAACATGGAATATGCTTCTTCTTCACTCTTTGAGGGGAGGCCGGGAGGCGGGGAGTGGAGGGAAGGAGGATACTATTGAAGTTATGTGTTATATGTTTATATCTAACTCTAGCGCTATGCTAAATATAATACCATAATAACCCTTACAAGTACTTATTATATACCAAGGACCTTAATGTTTATCACAGCATATTTATCATCTTATTCAAAATGTTTTATGAGGTTTTATTAACTCCACACTAAAAATGAAAAGAGCAAACCTTCAATAAAATTAAATCATTACCCAAAATCAGTTTTAAACATCCTAGAACTAGTACTCAAACTCAGGTCTGTCTGACTGTAACTACGATACTTTTAACCTCTCTACTATAGAAATTATAAGCAAATACTGTTTACCTGGGAGATCTCTGATACCAAATATGAAATGAAGATGGTGTACATAGTACATAAATCAGAAGGCAGAAACCCACTGCTCTACAGAGTTGTTACCTTACCAGGATTCTATTACCATGGTTAACAGCATGTATTCCTCTGTTCTTAGGAAATTTCATCTTTCAGTGTCTTTTTTCTTTCCAAAAGTGCAGCATATCCAATGATGTAAGTACCCTGGCATTCTCATATGGATTCATTTCCTTTTTTAAAAACTCAACTTTTCCTTATTTTTTTTCTTTTTTTTTGGAGACAGAGTCTCATTCTGTCACCAAGGCTGAGTGCAGTGGCGTGATCTCGGCTCACTGCAACCTCCGCCTCCTGGGTTCAAGTGACTCTTGTGCCTCTGCCTCCCGAGTAGCTGGGATTATAGGCATGCACCACCATGCGTGGCAATTTTTTTTTTTTTTTTTTGAGATGGAGTCTTGCTATGTCGCCTAGGGTGGAGTGCAGTGGCAGTGATCTCGGCTCACTGCAACCTCTGCCTCCTGGGTTCATGAGATTCTCCTGCCTCAGCCTCCCAAGTAGCTAAGACCACAGGTGCCCACCACCACAACCAGGCAGTTTCTGTATTTTTAGTAGAGATGGGGTTTCACCATGTTGGCCCTGCTAGTCTCAAACTCCTAAGCTTGAGTGATCCGCCCACCTCGACCTCCCAAAGTGCTGGCATTACAGGCATGAGCCACCGCACCCGGTCTTAAAACTCAACTCCTCTGAAAGCAAGTTTCGACTCTACAACAGTATTTCTACGCACTCTTCCTTTTCAAAGCTACCACTTTCTTCCCACTTGAAATGATGAGTATGACCAGATGAGTTTAGTTCTTCCACAGAATCTGTCTCTTCACTCACATTAGATGGTGAATGTGAAAGTGCACTTTAAGCTACTAGGTACTAAATAAATGTAAGACACTATGGGGTTTTTCCCTCTTTATGTGAATAGTCAAAATGGAAGCCAAAAGATTTAGGCAGAAAGAGTCAGGAAATAATTTTACATCTAGAAAAAAAATACCGGTAGGTCAGAAAACTAGACTAAATGCTAGGTTACAGGTAAAGGTGAAGAAGACTAACCTCACAAAGGGCAGAATCGGGATTACTAGACAACTAAAAAATAAGCTTTAGGCATTGCCCAGGAGAAAATAGGCTCTGGGATGTAAGAGGATCACATTTATCTAAGCTTTGACAGCCTGCTAAGTTTTTTACATATTCACTACTCATTAAATAGACAAATATTTCATTAAATACTACCATTATATATCAAACACTGAGGATACAATTTTGAGAAAGCCAGGTAGGAAGGGGTCCCCAGAGAAACTCCAGCCAGCGGTGCCCTGGGAGGAGAGCACACTGGGATGGAGCTACAGAAATCTGCACCTTGTGCAGCAGGGAGGAGCCTGGCCCCTCCTTTTCACGGGTGTAACCTGGGAGTCAATCTGCAAGGCGGGAAGCACTCTAGCAAGGAATCTGGCCTGCAGAGAGGCCCTGTTTCCCCCTTTTCCTTTTCACCCAATAAAACCCTGTCCTACTCAACGTTCGAATCGTACACAAGCCTAAATTTTCGTGGCTGTGTGACAAGGACCCCGTCTTTAGCTGAACTAAGAAAAATTCCTGCAACAATTTCATGAATAAAAATTGTTCGTGCTCTCAAATACTTCCCAGGCATCTAAGGAAATACAGTATATAACAAGTGCTATTAGAGTGGACAGGAAAGAGCCCTAAGCTAGTCTGGAGGTGGAGGTGGTGGTGATGATCAGGAAAGGCTTCCTGGAAAAACAGTATCTGAACTTTCCTAAGGGATTAAGTCCAAGTTACTAGGCAGGTGATCCAGTACTAGGCAGAGAAGAACTACGAACAAAAACCTGAGGAAAAGGAGAATGTGTTATCTTGGGGAAAACCTCATGGTTCAGAATGACTATAGCTTAAAGTTGGAGGAGAGAGTAGAGAAAAAGAAAGCTAAAGGTAAGCAAAGCCAAACAATTATATGCTAAGCAAGGAATGCGTAGCTTACCCAAAGTATATAGGACTTATATAAGGAAGTGATATAATCAGATTTCCCAAAATTTGGAACAAGCTGAAAGGGAAACATAATGAGAGTGGACAGGAGGAAGCATTAGATAGCTTTTGCAGTAATGTAGGAAAGAATCAACTTACTCTACTGTTGCATCAATAAACTAATAATGACAATAAGCAAGCTACTATGGTTTATATTTAATTGACCTCCTTAAATAAGGTAAAGAGCCTGTGGTGAATTTTCCTCTCACAACACATTGTATAGAACTGATTATGGCCGGACACAGAGGCTCACACCTGTAATCCCAGCACTTTGGGAGGCCAAGGATGGTGGATCACCTCAGATCAGGAGTTTAAGACCAGCCTGGCCAACATGACGAAACCATGTCTCTACTGAAAATACAAAAAAAAAAAAAAATTAGCTGGGCGTGGTGGTGAGTGCCTGTAATCCCAGCTACTAGAGAGGCTGAGGCAAAAGAATCACTTGAACCCTGGAGGCAGAGGTTGCAGTGAGCCAAGATTGCGCCATTGCACTCCAGCCTGGGTGACAAAAGCGAAACTCCATCTCAGAAAAAAGACAAAAAGTTCTGATTATATCCAAGTTATATCATTATGATCACTTCCCCAAGCCAATTGTTCCTTCTAGTTTTCTTGGAAAGTCATCTGCAAAGTACTTTCCTTTTAACATCTCAACTTAGGCCGGGCACGGTGGCTCACGCCTGTAATCCCAGCACTTTGGGAGGCCGAGGCGGGTGGATCACCTGAGATGGGAATTCGAGACCAGCCTGACCAACAATGGAGAAACCCTGTCTCTCCTAAAAATACAAAATTAGCCGGGCATGGGGGTGCACGCCTGTAATCCTAGCTACTCCAGAGGCTGAGGCAGGAGAATCGCTTGAAAACAGGAGGCGGAGGTTGCGGTAAGCCGAGATTGTGCCATTGCACTCCAGTCTGGGCAATAAGAGCGAAACTCTGTCTCAAAATATATATATATATATCAATTTAAAAGATTGCATTTGAAGGGGATTATTTTTCACTAACAGTTTCAAAATAGTTGTGTAACATACTTAAGTGATTTTTGAATATAGAAACTTACAATAACAAACATTGAAATTTGTAATACCTAGGCCAAACAGCTAGCTACATTTTTTTTTTTTTTTGAGACACAGTCTCACTCTGTTGCTAGGCATGGCACAATCTCAGCTCACTGCAACCTCTACCTCCCGGGTTCAAGAGACTCTCCTGCCTCAGCCTCCTGAGTAGCTGGGACTACAGGCGCATGCCACCACACCCAACTAATTTTTGTATTTTTTAGTAGAGACGGGGTTTCACCATGTTGGCCAGGCTGGTCTTTACCTCTTGACCTCGTGATCCATCTGCCTCGGCCTCCCAAAATGCTGGGATTACAGGCGTGAGCCACCATGCCCAGCCCTAGCTAAAGAATCTTAAAACTGTCTTTTGTAGCCATTGACAGCAACTATCCCAAACACACCAGAAAATAATAATAACAATCCCATATTAATGAAGGAAAGCGAAGTAAAGAAAAATTAAACACACATTTCCCTCCTGCCTATGACAGGAGTCAAGTTTCTGAATCCCATTACACTACACCTTAAAGATGAGATCTGCTTGCAAAAAGAACTAGTTTTGAGATCTTTGCTATCATGCTCAAACATTTGACAACCCAGACAAGAGCTGGAAGATTAAAACAAAAGAATACAACTTCACCAACAAAGAAAATGCCAACAGTGGATAAACACTGCAGCTTAAAAAGACCGTCTTAAAGACAGAGCAATCCTGACGTACACACAATTAAACCACATCACTTACAGGTCTGCCAGCTGCCAGTGAAGGCCACTGATTTCCTTGTCTGTTTCTCCCAAAGCACAATCTCAAATTCTGAGACCTCAAAGCCACATACATGGACAACAGAAACTAGAGGTTGGAAGGAAGGTTTCTGTGAAAGCATAAGCCATACCCAAGAAGCCAACTCAATAGTTCTGAAGTTTGTGACTCTTTTCTCCAGTTGCCTCACCCTAAATTTCTTGTCACTTTGTTCCACTGTTCAATATGCTTTTATACATTTAAAGCAACAAGGCAACAGGTGCCAGTGAAAACAGTGCTTTTGCTCTAACATCCTGAAATCTTAACCTGACTCTTGTACCCATGCCAATAGAAAACCTCAGACGTCCTTTAACAAAGGCAAAACGGTCACCTTGATATCCTAAACCCAAGGAAAGGTCGATTTTTATAACAAGTTCAAATATGAGCTAGTATAAATAAATCAACAGAGATATTGTTAAATGTTTGTGAATTTTTTAAAAAAGGAGAAAAATCTATTTGAAAAACGTTAACTCACTAAAATCTTGTGAGTCAAAGCACGCTCAACAGACCAACAGTATCAGTACCAACTGGGAGCTTTTCGAAAGGTAGAAAAATTCAGGCCCCAACCAAATCCATCAAATAAGAACTCTATTTTAACAAGCTCCCATCCAATTTGTATGACACTTAAGTTTGAGAAGCACTGTTCTAAAGGATCTTATAAAATAATCAAATTACCCAATATCTGAAATACAAGTTGCGTTATAGAGCATTTCTTGAGCAAGGCAGAAAATGTTGATAAATAGGACAACACAAATGAATGAACTAGTCCATACTATAGGAACATCTCATACAACAGGCTACAAATGGTGACAGACTAGCCAATCTCACCTAAGAATTAGAGCAAAAAAAAAAAAAAATGCTATGAAGAAATCCCAAACATTGCTACATGAAACCATAAGTTTGTTTAACTATGTGAATTCCAAATGTATTGATAATCATAGGGAACAATACATACCAATAGCCCCCTTGCAAATAAAGCCATCATGAGACTGCTTTAAAAACAGTTTATCACGCCTGTAATCCCAGCACTTTGGGAGGCCGAGGCGGGTGGATCATCTGAGGTCAGGAGTTCAAGACCAGCCTGAGCAACGTGGCGAAACCCTGTCTCTACTAAAAATACAAAAATTAGCTGGGCATGGTGGCACACCCCTGTAATCCCAGCTACTCAGAAGGCTGAGACAGGGGAATTGCCTGAACCTGGGAGGTAGAGGTTGCAGTGAGCTGAGATCACATCACTGCACTCCAGCCTGGGAGACAGGGCAAGACTCCACCTCAAAAAAAAAAAAAAAAAAAAAAAAAAAAATCAGCTGGGCGTGGTGGCAAGTGCCTGTAATCCCAGCTACTCGGGAGGCTAAGGCAGGAGAATCACTTGAACCCGAGAGGCGGAGGTTGCTTGAAAGCAGTGAGCTGAGATTGCGCCACTGCACTCCAGCCTGGGTAACAAGAGAAAGACTCATCTCAAAACAAAACAAAAAAACAATTTAATTGCTGATTGCAATATCATTATTTTATTCAGAATTAATCAATTTCCCATACAAGACAGGCTTAGTATAATCAAAAGAAGACACAACTGGAACACGCCAACAGCTGCCAAATAAGAGATAGAGCTGCATGCAGTTTCCACTCCAAGACCACACATTCTGCTTCTCTGGACACTGTGCAAACCAAATAATACAAGTAATCCAACCCTTCACCCCCATGCTCCAAGGATCTAAAAAGCATAAATTTAAAAAGGTATTACAACCTGCATGTCATCTCTAGATGTCACAAACACATAACAGAACAAGATATAGAGCAGGGGTGTCTAATCTTTTTACTTCCCTGGGCCACACTGGAAGAGTAAGAATTATCGGCCTACACATAAAATACACTAACACTAATAATAGTTGATGAGCTTAAAAACATGAAAAAAAGCTGATAATGTTTTAAGTAAGTTTACAAATTTGTGTTGGGCCATATTCAAAGCTGACCTGAGCTGCATGCAGGCCATGGGCTGTGGGCCATGGGTTGGACAAGCTTGATACAGAGGAAAGGAAAGTGTGAAGTAAACTTGAAATGAGACAAACTAGATTTGTACCCTAGATTCTGCCACTTAGTAGCTATGACCCGAAGTAAATCATCTCATCTCTGTAAAGTCAATTTTCTGATCTGTGAAACGGGAAAATGTCATCCAATTCATATAGTTGTTATGAGGTGAAGTGAGATAAAGAAGGTGATAGCATTTTTAACAGTGTCAAACTGTAATCAGAAATCAGACGTGTTTCTGTCGTTTTACTGAGATGGGGGGGTGGGTGCCAGAGTAAGTATGGCCCAATAGTTATTATAAGACATACTAAAAGATGATTTGTGGTTTATATGAAATTTAACTGGGCATCCATATTTTTATTTGCTAAATCTGGCAACTCTATAAAAACTCAAATTTTGGCCAACTTTAAAATTATTCTTTCTTCCCTTCTCTGTTGAATTTGCCATCTTCAGCTGATTTACAGAATTTGTGGTGATCTACAACCGTGGTGATCTACAATTGCTATCTAAAAAAACATTTACCATTTATCAATGCATGATAGCATAAAACTATCATTTTCAGTAGAAGAGTTAGGAAGATCAGCACAAGTCTGCATTCACGTATTTTTTTTCCCACCAATGAGTTATTCAAAAGAGTACACTACTACACCAGCAGATGTTATTTAACAGAGAAGATGTTACACTTGCTTGTGCAGACTATTACAAAAACACTAGGCACTATTATTTGAAAGAAAAATAATAAGAAATACGCTCTTGAACAATAGAGTTGCTTAAAAAAGCGAAAGGAATGAAAAGTGGAAGCTAAAAATGCAAATAATAACGATCATTCTCCTGGGTTATAAACTCTTGCCCATAAGTCAAACTCCTTGTAAATAGATTTTATGGGGTCAGAAATTTTCTAGGGCCTATAAAAAAAAGCTTTAGCTAAAAAAATAAGAAACTAACCCTTTCAAAAATACAATTACATCTATTTTTGTGAGTGATATATCTTATGATGAGGTTTTAGCAACTAGTATAGTGCCTTTTCTTAATGAAATCAGACAATAATGTAAAAAATCTTTTTAAAGTGTGTAATCAGAGAAATAACTATTTGAATTAGATTTTAGAAATTAATGTGAAATGTTTCCATCAAACTATATAAAAGAGACTATAACAATGGGATTTTTTGGGGGGCAAAGTATAAAAGTATTTTAACTTTTAACAACATAGGGACTCTGGTCTTAACCCTTTTATGCCTAGTGTTCTATTACTGGAATGCTAAGCTTGTGGTAGTTATTTATATCCTACTGCTCAAGGTCATCACGAAGCTCTGATTCTTCACACACAAAAAATGTGCAACCTCTGGTATAAATGGGTTAATGAAGTTGTTAGGAACTATCACACATATTCTAAACATTTGTTTTAAAAACAAGTCTACAGTGGTAACTGATAATTAAAACATAGATATTAATAATATTGAGCTCAATTTTAGACCTAAGTGTTAATGAGAATAGAGATGACATTTATAGCTCTCATCTCTGAATGACCGTTAGCCAAAAGAAGAATTCTGAACCAAATCATATATTTTCATCTATACATGGAATAATTTCTTTGTATTCACTCTCTGGTGCTAATGTCATTGAACAGGAAATAAAAAGATGTGTATGTCTGAAGATAGAAAATGTGAGTCTTCAGTCAGTATCACTCTAAATAAAATCTCACTACTCTGTACTGAATGCAAAGGAAGACAGAGGAGAGCAGGGCAGGGGAAGAAGACAAGGGAGAAGAGAGGAATAAAAATAAACCTCTGCAAAATAGAAATGTTTAGTGGAGACACTAAAATACAAATACTACAGCTAAGCATCACTATTAACACAAAACAAGTGGTTAAAATAAACATGGAAAGGTTAAGTATCTTGCCCAAGGTCATATAATGAAGTCACCCAAACAATCCAGTATCAAAGCAGTAATAAATTATACTCTCTTTATGACCTATTCAACTGGACTTGGCAAAACCACAATTAAAATGGTAAAATGTTTCTATCTAGAAAAAAAATACTGCACTAAATCATAATCTGGAATGAAGAGAGACTTTAAACTTTTGCATACTACAGCTAAGATGATCTTTGCCACTGAAAAAACAATGACTATTTTATTTTGTATTCCTTGGAAAATAAACTTATTTAGAAATAAGTATGATTTAATGGCATTTGCTGCTGGGTAAAAGTTAACTAAAATAAACCAGCTAACAATATTACAATTAATATAACCTGTAACTCAGTGAATTATGTATATACCAATGGCTTCACGGTCAAATTCTTCTGAAGCTTTTCCCAGGGTTTCATTTAGAGAGACTGAGAGCAAAACCAGTCGTGCAAAGGACTAACTATGGGACAAATGATAAAACTTCCCACTAAAATGAGTCAGCTTGAAGCTTAAGTTAGAGATGAAAGTTCTCTAAACACAAGGCAAAACACTTCATGAAATTTTTATACTAAAACTCAACTGCTTTCAGATTTTGCCACCTAATTGGAATTACTTAAGTGGTACCCATACTGTTCTACTACAATATGTGGAGAAAATGTTTAGATTAGAAACGGGAAAATCTATTTTTTAAATGCAGTATTTGTGTTTGCTATTTTTATTACAAACACTTTAAGATTCCTTCTGTAATGAATACAGCTTACTCAAAATGGGCAGGGGGCATAAATTTTTTTCAATTTATTTTCTTTTTTGGCGGGCTAACTCTTTTAACACTTATCCCAGTGTAACCCATATGCTAGCTGTTGAGTCAAAGAGGTGCTTTTATAAACAGCAAATATATATCTATATATATATATATACACACACACACACACAGATATATATATATATATACACACACACACATATATATAATCGCTATTATTATTAGGCAGCTGCTAGGTAAAACACATATGATATTAACAGGCTCATTTCTGAATCCTATCAGAAATCCTCACACTTTATATTGTCATGGCTCATATGCAAAATAAGTAACTTTTTAAATGCAGATTTTTGTTTTGTGCCGCTTCTCTCACTATTTACTTACTAATGAAGATGGGCAAGTTACTTAATGGTCTCTGCACTTGTGCTTTTTCAACTAAAAAATCAAAATAATAAATCTCTCTTCATAGTTGCTAAGATCAACTGAAACAAAATATGTTCCGCTACAGTGCCTCTGGCACATATAAATAGCAGTAATCGTTGCTGTTTTTGTTATCACTAGTTCTACCACCCAGCAGAGTCACAAAATGAAACCAAAATTTAAAGGATGTGGGTGTGTGTGTGTCTGAAAGTTCGTCTCAGTAAATAATTCAAGGTTTCTTCTATAAAGCTATAGGCAGTTGTGACTTTCCCTCCATCATTTTTGCGGCACTTTACCCCGTTTAATAGCCAGAATGTCTCCACTGAATGTTCAATTACATTAACACAATTCTTTTTCCCCTCCTCTTTCCTCGTAATGCTCTTTTCATCTCCACTTCTCTCTCAGTCAAAACCTGGCCATCTGGTTCTTGCTCTCTGACTACTCACACTACCTTTTCAAAGCACAAAAATCTGAACACACTCTTCTGATAAACCCAATACCCTTGACATTTTATCCTCACAGCTAGATTTCTAGATATCCCTCTCCTGAAATATGTTCAGTTCCCTGTAAGAATTCAAGACAATATTCGCAAACAACGCTCAATCACATCATCTTTGTTTTAGTGCAAGCATACTGACCTTGAGGTGAGACTGAAGGAAACAGGAAATCCAGGAAGAAAATGTGAAAAAGAAAGTTAGAAAGAATTAATAAGGACAATATTCAGAAATATTATTCATGGACATCATAAAATGCAGGATTAGAGAAGGGAAGGAGTCACAAATTCTATACAGTCACTAAAAAAGAATTATTTCAGATTTTCAACTCTCAACAAATTTACTTTCTTATTAGATTACACCATTGTATTTTAATGAAAGTTTCTCAAAAAAAAAAAAGTTGTCTAAAATTTACCATTTCCTGGGGCAGGAAAAAAAAAACAATTTCTTAAACACTAAGAAAAATAGAGAAGGTTAGCCATCTCATTCTCATTTAAGTAGTCAGAGTTGGCTTTAAGTAACTGCACAATTTTAGTCTGCTTAGTTTTATAGACACCCACCTTATAACTAACTACGCCTTAACCACCCCATTCCATTAAGAGAATCCAAGTTATCTAAAAGCAAAAGCAGAAAAACACAGCTTCTGTAGAATACAGAACTTTAATGTACTTGAAATAATTTTCTCAAATGTTAAAACATAATTTTCTCCTAATAACAACTAGTACTTCTCACTCCAAATCTACCACAATCCTCAAATGGTGCAATCTAAAAGCAATAATGAACAAGAATACACAGGCTTGTTTACATCAATTCAGTTCCAATGCTGCTTAGCAGTAGGAGATATAAAGCAGTCATGCTTAATATTCCTGCACAGCATGTAGCCCTTACAGTTCATTACTGTCTTTTACAACAACAAGCAGTTTTTCTCTTTTCAAAAAGTAATCAGTTTCACTGTAATTAGTATGATCCTCCAAATAGTTAGGGCTTCTAACGACCAGTATCATCTGGATTAGCTTCATGGTCTAAATTGTACCTTAAGAATCTGAAACAAAATATCTATTTCTTGAATGCAAGCACCATTTCCATTTATACTTTAATGTTTTCTAAGACTTAGTGATGTCTTGCAAAAGTATAATTCAGTACTTACAAGTTTTAAAAAGTCATTGTGAGAATAAAAACAGATAAGAAGGACAAGATTTGTTACCTTGTAACATGAAGAGATGAAAAACAGAAACAAAACGACTTGCTGGCAATCACATGGTGCCTGAGTGGCAGATACAGAATAAGAATGTAGCAGCCGGGCAGGCGCAGTGGCTCACGCCTGTAATCCCAGCACTTTGGGAGGCCGAGGCAAGCAGATCACCTGAGGTCAGGAGTTTGAGACCAGCCTAGCCAACACGGTGAAACCCCATCTCTACTAAAAATACAAAAATTAGCCAGGCGTGGTGGCACACGCCTGTAGTCCCAGGTACTCAGGAGGCTGAGGCACAAGAATCGGTTGAACCAGGGAGGTGGAGGCTGCAGTGAGCCGAGATTGTGCCACTGCACTCCAGCCTGGGCAACAGAGCAAGACTCCGTCTCAAAAAGAGTAAGAATGTAGGTCTGCTGACATCTCACCTGGGCATAATTTATCTGTTTTATGATGCTTCCTTAGGAGTCTATAAAACTCCATGAACGTTTAGCATCTATAACGCTGTGTAAAATGCAGACAATGTTCAAAGGCAGAAAGAAGCCGATCTCTAAATGATTGTTCCCAATGATCCTTCTATCTCATTGGTTGTGACACAGGAAGTCAAAATAATTTTAGATGAACAAGGACATTAACTGAGTCTTCTTTGTATGCAAGTTTTTACATAACACACGGGTAAATCCATGGGAAAAAATGGAATGCATTCCTGCCAGAGAGCAACTTTAATTATTAATTTAATTTTTACCTACTTTATTATTCATGAATCATATTTCACTTTAGCATCAAATTACAACTCTTTTTTTTTCCTTTTTGAGACAGGGTTTCACCTGTCACCTAGGCTAGAGTGCAGTGGCGCAATCTTGGCTCACTGCAAACTCTACTTCCCAGACTCAAGTGATCCTCCCACCTCAGCCTCCCAAATAGCTGGGACTATAGACAAACACCACCACAACTGGCTAATATTTGTATTTTTTGTAGAGACGAGGTTTCGCCACTTGCCTAAGCTGGTCTCGAACTCCTGGACTCAAGCAATCCACCCACTTTCACCTCCCAAAGTGCTAGGATTACAAGCATGAGCCACCACGTCCGGCTAAACTGTAACTCTTGGGAAATAACTTCAGGAGAAAAAATCTGTACATCGAATTATATGTAATCCTAATCTTTATACTTTTAGGTGAAACACTACAGTAGCCATTAAACACAGATTCCTGTAAGACCACAGTAACAAACTATAAGGTGCTGTGCCCACAGGAAACTTTGGGAAGATAACCTAACAGAACTGACTACAAAAAGCTTTGTAACTTACTCTCCTTTTAAAGGAAGTCTATGATATTCATCAAGGAGGAAGAAGAAAGAAACAAGCAGCTTCCCCAGAAAGCAAGCTGAAGCAAGCAGGATCAGATAAAGAACCAGTCATCTTCAGTTGTAATATGCTGGTATCTTTCTTTTCCTTTTCAGTTTTTTCATTTTTTAAACACAGACCATTCTCCCTCAAGCAAGAACACATATTATATAATTACTCTGAGCCACCATCCGCAGCCCCAGTCATCTCTCTTCCACTCTAACCACATTAAGAGCATATTCTCTGACACTATACTTCATGGATTGAAGATGCATATCCATAAATTTAAAAGTAAGAATATTTTTCTCTAAAGAGACACTTTCCTCATGAATTATATAGCAGTTTATGTCAATCTTGCATACGGCTTAATTTCTATATGGTAGATCTTTGAAGACACAGTAAATGACTATCAATTCAAAATTTAAGGAAAAATATTTACCAGAATAAAGACTAAATACCTAGGTTTACATTTCCGGGTTACACTATGCAACAGATGCCTGAATATAATGGGATACTAACATAAAGTAATATCATAAAGCCCATTTTGCCAAGGAGATGGTCCAAAAGAAACCGTTTTTGGTCAACCTAAATAAACAAACTCAGCATATAGGTAAACCCGTCAAATATCTAATTTACAATTTATACTAGTAAATACATTCACTTGGTTACTACACGTACATTTAAAATGAAATATATGACAAAATAATATTAATTTAGAAATACTACTTTCTCCTACTCCCACATTCAACAAAACAATTTTATTCACTCTTTGAATGCATTCTTAACATCAATTCACCAAGGATAGAAGACACATCATAGTAAAAAGTATTTTATATTACTGAGAAAGAAAAAAAGTTATACCAATTAGATTATACCATGCCATTTACTTGTACGTGTATCCCAATTTCAGAGATGTTAAAATACAAAAACAAGGTCAGAAATGGCATTTCATTGTGACAAAAAGGAGAAAGGGAAAGTTATCTACACTTTTGTTTAATCTACAAATCTAAAAGTAATTCAACTGAATTATATTAAATTGTATAAGAATATAGGCAGATGAATGTACTTACATTTTTACAGAAGGAAAAACGTGCAAATATATATGTATGCATATATAAACATGTACATGTGTAAACATACTATGTACATATAAAAGAAATATAAAAATATTTTCAATATAATATCAAGGTATGGGAGACTACTGAATCTCTCTTTTTAACTCCTAAAGGGTCTGAATATTATGGGCAATGGTAAGAAAAGGAAATGTGGGCCGGGTGCAGTGGCTCACGCCTGAAATCCCAGCACTTTGGGAGGCCGAGGCGGGCGGATCACGAGGTCAGGAGATCGAGACCATCCTGGCTAACACGGTGAAACCCCATCTCTACTAAAAATACAAAAAACTAGCCGGCTGTGGTGGCGGGCGCCTGTAGTCCCAGCTACTCAGGAGGGTGAGGCAGGAGAATGGTGTGAACCCGGGAGGCGGAGCTTGCAGTGAGCCGAGATCGTGCCACTGCACTCCAGCCTGGGCGACAGAGAGAGACTCCGCCTCAGAAAAAAAAAAAGAAAAGGAAATGTGAGATGATTAGATAGCAGAATGAGAAAAGAGTGCTACTTCTCTTTTATAACATATATACATTGGTCTCTCTAATGTACAGTCACAGGACAGAATGTGATAGTTACTACTGGAAAAGCACAAGTAAAGGAAAGAGAGATTACTAGCGAAAGGAGGTCAGTAAAGTTTTCTTTTTCAAAAAAAGTAACATTTAAAATAGGTCAGATTCCCACAAACAAATAAAGGGAACAAAACTTTCAGTCAAAGAGAAAAGAATAAGAAAAGACAGATAAGAAAAAAAGCATTCATCTTCAAAATTTGACTGCTATCAAGCCAAAAATTGGTAATATCATCCTATAAACTAGTTCAAGTTTGCCAACACATTTTAGAAGATTTATGAAAAATAAAAACCTCCATTTTCATTGTATAAAAATTTTAGAAACTAGTTGTGAAATCTTTAAAAGAAAATTTAAAAACTCAAAAGGCAATAATCTTTAGGCATTAAGTTGAAGCCTGGCAGCTATTTTCCCAAATGCCATCAGAAAAGTTCTCTTTCTCTTACACATACACATGTGCAAATAACACTCCCAGATTAAAAATCACTACTGGCATGATAGGAAAATGACCTCATTCATTCTTTGTGTTCCAAAAAAAAAAAAAGTTATGTAATCTGTTCATAGGATTTGGGCTAATCTTGTTGATTTTTGTTTTTAATCAAGGGTGTTCTTAGTATGCTCAGAATTTAGCCCAAATCCTATGAACAGATCACATAACTTTTTTTTTTTTTCTTTTCTGAGATGGGAGTTTCACTCTTGTTGCCCAGGCTGAAGTGCAATGGCACAGTATCAGCTCACTGCAACCTCTGCCTCCCAGGTTCAAGCAATTCTTGTGCCTCAGCCTACCAAATAGCTGGGATTACAGGTGCCTGCCACCATGCCCGGCTAATTTTTTTTTTCCTATTTTTTAGTAGAGACAGGGTTTCACCATGTTGGTCAGGCTGGTCTCGAACTCCTGACCTCAGGTGATCCACCCGCCTCAGCCTCCCAAAGTGCTGGGATTACAGGCGTGAACCACCGTGCCTGGCCATAACATTTTTTTTTTAACAAAGTCAGTTGTTTATAAATCAAAATATAACTCCCTTAAAAACAATACTATAAATACACACTAGGTTGTCTTGGTAGTCCACAAAATTAAAGTTTAATCATGATGTAAAAGCCAAGAGCTAATAGTTCCAGATGAGTGACATGGTTTGGCTCTATGTCCCCACCCAAATCTCATGTTGAACTGTGATCCCCAGTGTTGGAGGTGGGGCCTGGTGGGAAGTGACTGGATCATGACGGTGGTTTGTCCCCACCCAACTCTCATGTTGAATTGTGATCCCCAGTGTTGGAGGTGGGGCCTGGTGGGAAGTGACTGGATCATGACGGTGGTTTGTCCCCACCCAAATCTCATGTTGAATTGTGATCCCCAGTGTTGGAGGTGGGGCCTGGTGGGAAGTGACTGGGTCATGACGGTGGTTTGTCCCCACCCAAATCTCATGTTGAACTGTGATCCCCAGTGTTGGAGGTAGGGCCTGGTGGGAAGTGACTGGGTCATGACGGTGGTTTGTCCCCACCCAAATCTCATGTTGAACTGTGATCCCCAGTGTTGGAGGTGGGGCCTGGTGGGAAGTGACTGGATCATGACGGTGGTTTGTCATGGTTTAGCACCATCCCCCTAGTGCTGTCTTGTGACAGAGTTCTCACAAGATCTGGTTGTTTGAAAGTGTGTGGCACCTCCCCCTTTGCTGGCTCTCTCTCTCCTGCCGGCCATGTAAATGTGCCTGCTTCCCCTTCACCTTCTGCTATGACTGTAAGTTTCCTGAGGCTACTCCAGAAGCAGAAGCCTGTACAGCCCGCAGAAACATGAGCCAATTAAAACTATTTTCTTTATAAATTACCCAGTCTCAAGTATGTCTTTATAGCAGCATGAGAACGAACTAATACAATGAGGTATGGAAAAGATGGTTAGCAAAGAAGATAAAATTAACCACCACAAAATAGAAAAACAAAGTTACCTCCATCATAACTACTCACAAGGCTAGCCCTAAGAATTTTATGTATATACGAACAACAAAACTGATCTCCAGTTCTATCTTTCTCAGAATAATTGTAGCAGTGCAATATTTTGGTTTTCCCTCTGTATTCTGTATCTCTCTACTAGAGTTGGAGGACCTGAAATTAGTATTAATAGTTTAGGATCCAAAATTACTTATTAGCCTTCCAACCAAATAACCTCCCAAGCTACTATCATTTAATATTGGCTTCGAACATGGAAAGACCAAAGACTTAAGAGTCCAAATTTCAGGGCTGGCTGCAGTGGCTCACCTCTGTAATCGTATCACTTTGGGATGCAGAGGCAGATGGATCACTTGAGCCCAGGAGTTCGAGACCAGCCTAGGCTATCTGGCAAAAACCCATCTCTACAAAAAAAATACAAAAATTAGTTGGGCATGGTGGCATGCACCTCTAGTCTCAGCTACCCAGGAGGTTGAGGTGGGCGGATCACCTGAGCCCAAGAGGTTAAGGCTGCAGTGAGCCGTGATAGTGCCACTGCACTCCACCCTGGATGAGAGAGACCCTGCCTCAAAAAAAAAAAGCAACAAAAACAAAACAAAACAAAACAAAAAAAATAGTCCAAAGTTCAACAAGTCCTTTCTTTCTGATACTACTACATTCTGGGCACATGATAACTGGGATGACCAGCCTCTGTGGTATGTTAAGTGATACCTTCCAGTAGAGCTCAACCAGACCTTAAGGAACTAAAATTTCATCACTGGAATTTCTAGCTATTAGACAAGCTATAGATAAACGCCAATGCTAGCATAATCTATAAATGAAATGACAATAGCTTCTGTATTGATGGAGTCTTAGTCTCTTTGAGCCAGACGTATCCCTTAACTGAGTCCAGACTGAGAGAAGCATTAAAAAGCACATGTGTAGAAAAACTGGCCCCTAGCAGCAAAACAACCCACATGCCAGTTATGCAGTACCTGTCCTGTAAGTGGGCATTCCAGCATGTGGGAAAGACTCTGGCCTCAGTAAGATCCTCAAGTGAACAGACTCTGAATCATCTAGCTGTCTACAGCCTCCTCTTCTAGGAGGTGAGGTCATTAATGAAAACTGAACACCTGAAAAGGATTTCTTTTCAGGAAGGAGAGACAGACACTGGAATTGTTAGGCATGACTCTGCTACCTACTTATGTAATGCAGGACCAGTTGTTTAACCTCAAACATCTGTATAACAAAAATCTAGGCCAGGCACAATGGTTCATCCCTGTAACCCCAGCACTTTGGGAGGCCAAGGCAGGCGGATCACTTGAGGCCAGGAGTTCGAGACCATCCTGGTTAAGATGGTGAAACCCCATCTCTACTGAAAATACAAAAATTAGCTGGGCATGGTGGTGTATGCCTGTATTCCCAGCTACTCGGAAGGCTGACGCACAAGAATCGCTTGAGCCCGGGAGGTGGAGGTTGCAGTGAGCTGAGATCATACCATTGCACTCCAGCCTGGGTGACAGAGGGAAAATCTGTCTTAAAAAAAAAAAAAAAAAAAAAATATATATATATATATGTGTGTGTGTGTGTGTGTGTGTGTGTGTGTGTGTGTGTGTGTGTGTGTGTGTGTGTAGAGAGACAGAGAGAGACAGACAGACAGAGAGAGAGAGAGAGAGAGTGAGAGAGAGACAGACAGAGAGACAGACAGAGAGAGAGAGAGAGAGAGAGAGAAATAGCGTGCGCACATGCACCAGGTGTGGTGGCTCATGCCTGTAATCCCAGCACTTTGGGAGGCCAAGGGGATCACTTGAGCCCAGGAGTTCAAGACCAGCCTAGACAGCATAGTGAGGCACCAGCCCTACAAAAAAATTAAGCAGTTAGCTGGGCATGGTGGTGTGTGCCTGTGGTCCCACCTACTCAAGACACGGAGGTGGGAGGATCGCTTGAGGCTGGGAGGTCTAGGCTATAGTGAGCTGTCATCACGCCACTACACTCCAGCCTGAGCAACAGAGTGAGATTCTGTCAAAAAAAAAAAAAAAACCTACATAAGAAACCTTTCCAACACATACCCCCCCAACCCAAAAAGTCATGATGTAGACAGGGCAGCTAAAATGAACAAATATAACTAAACAAACTGCATTAAAATTTTTGGGTATCTTCCTTAGATTCAAAATACATCCCCCTTTAAAGTAGCTGCCTAGTCGGAGGCAAAAATCTGCTATATGTATTCCTCTCAAAAGACGAAAGGGTGAGATCTGTTCCAGGCATTTGGGTGGGGGATGAGGTGGAGGCAGAAACAAAGGAGAATAAAGAGGACTACAACAAAAGAAAAGTAGGACTGACACCTGAGTGGGCTGATTTGAAAAGAATGGCATAGAATAATCTATGACTGGTTTAACTATTACCTTCAAATTACCACCTTATTTTAAAAGAACCAAAATCAGCACAGTGAGGAAGTTATTCCTGATTTGGGGGAGTAATTAAAATACTAGGGAAATTATTTTTTGATTTGGAAGGTATGAGGTAGACAAAGAAACCCCAATTTGGTCAGGGCCCGTGTGTTGTCCCAGCTTTCAGCAGCATTGATCCTTATTTGACTTACCAAAAAACTTTAACTCTTTTCAAAATGATTGCTTCCATTACAAAAAAAGGGGGGGGGGGGCGGAAATAAGTACATAATTATATCCATTTGAATGCACTGGGTTGGAAGTAACGGAGAATCCTCATTCAAACTGGCTTAAACAATCAGAAATTGTCCTATCTCACATAACAAGCAGCACAGAGGCAGTTTCAGGAATAGTCCATTTCAGTTCCAACTCTGCTTTGCTGAGGTTTTGTTAACTGTCACTCTCTGGACGCTGGCTTCATCTTAGGTTGGCAGAAGTAGCTGCAGCAATTATGGGTATCACATCCCGACAAGATAATGTTCAGGAGAAAGGGGTCATCTTTCTTCTTGCAAGTCTGTCTTATAAGAAAATCATTCCCAGAAGCCTCCCTGTGGTTTTTCCTTCCAATCACTAATGCATATGTGCTCAATGCGAAACTAGTCACTAAGAAAGAGAATGCTATTATCCTGATTGGCTTTAAAAAATCTGAATCTACTTCTGGAGCTGAGGAAATAGGGAATTACACATACTTGTGGTTGTGTTAGAATGGGAAAGTAGAAAATTAAATGTTAAGGCAAAAGGGAGAAACTGAAGTTTAATGTATAAAATTAATTTTAAAAGTAGGTCTCAGATCTGCAGAGGCTGGGACTAGGGTTGGGAAGAGATTTGCTGTAAAGGGGCAAAAGGGAACTTTTGGGGATGAGGAAATGTTCTATATATCTTGATCATGGTGGTAGTCACATAAGTGTATAGATTTGTCAAAGCTCAAACAATCAGCTTAAAATGGGTGCATTTTATTGTATGTAAATTATGCCTCAAAGTTGTTGTGGTTTTTTTAGGGGCTTCTGCGGACTTCTTATAGAGCCCCTCCTTCAAATCGCTGCTCATATATCAATAACTTTATCAGACAGGTCTTTCTCGACTATCCCATAAATAATCACTTGGCTGAATTTCAAAACACACCCTGCCCCCCGCCCCCAAAAAATCTATATCCATTAAAATCCCGGTTCTTATATTCCCTCAAATCAGGAAATATAGTAAATCCACAATTCCTATTAATCTTTAGATCACACAATAATAGACTCTATTATTCTTTGGATCACTGAAAATTTCTAACTTTGATAAACCAAAGGCAACCTCTGTTATCTAAATTATATGAAAATCAGATGGTTGTCATTCTCTGAATACAAGTTTTGAATGGCATATTGAATCTAACAATCTCATACTAGAGTAAAATTGAGTATTTCTGCTGCAAACACTAAACTCTGTGAATCCATTAGTCATGGTATTAGAAAAAAGGTAACAAAGCACATTAAAAAGCAAAATTATAAGGCACAATACAATATACGGCACAGGGGACAATGTTCCCAGGGTGGTGCTATAACATGGGAACATTCAGCTAAGATGGACAGCGTGAGTGAAAAAGCAGACAGCAAGCAATCCTGTATCAGCCTCCAGTACGCTTCTAAGTACTTTATTTAATTTATTTTATTTTATTTTATTCATTTTTTGAGACAGAGTCTCGCTCTGTCACCCAGGCTGGAGGGCGATGGCATGATCTTGGCTCACTGCAACCTCCACCTCCTGAGTTCAAGCGATTCTCCTGCCTCAGCCTCCTGAGTAGCTGGGACTACAGGCATGTGCCATCATGCCTGGCTAATTTTTGTGTTTTTAGTAGAGACGGGGTTTCACCATGTTGGCCAGGCTGGTCTCAAACTCCTGACCTCAGGTGATCCGCCTGCCTCAGGCCTCTCAAAGTGCTGGGATTACAGGCGTGAGCCACTGCACCCAGCCACTCTAAGTATTTTAAACATGATAGCAAAGAAAAGCCTACTCACTATTAATCTAAATAGAAACTCTAATATGCTCATTTTAGGAGAGAAATTTGCAGTTACATTCAGGGTTCCTGAGGCTACTCTAAATTTATTTACTTATCTAACGACTTTTCAAGCTCTGGTTTGTTTGTTTATTTGTATACTATCCAGAACCATCAGATGATGACTTTTTTGAAATATTAACTTGTCTATGTTACAGTGCCCAGTTATTCCATCAAATATTAATCTAGATGGTGCTTGTGAAGGTAGTTTGCTGACATAATTAAAGCCTCTAATCAAATTAAGTAAAAAAGACTAACCTAGATAATCCCAATGGACATAAATGAATCCTTTGGAAAGATTTTAAAACAGGGCTGAGGTTTCCCAGGAGAGAAAAGGAATTCTGCCTGTGGACCACAGCTTTGGCTTGTGCCTGCAACAGGTTCCATCCTGCTCACGATCTTCTCTTCCTGATAGCCTGCCACAGGGATTTCAGTCTTGCTTAGCCAGCCCCACGATTTTACAAGACTATTCTCTGTAATAAATCTCTTAATATATGTAGGCATATATTAATATATATAAATATACGTATAAATCTCATAATATATGTATGCTTGTGTGTGTTTATATATGTGTGTATATATGTATTTATCTATCTCTATGTGTGTGTGTGTGTGTGTGTGTGTATCCTACTAATTCTGCTTCTCACTGAATTCCAACTAATATGCACCACAGTATGGAACATGAATTTAGAAGTACTACTTCTTAAGATTTAATTGGGGAAAATATTTTATATTTATAGATGTATTAATGGGCTTATCCAATCTTCTTTTTAAAATTGCAGTGGGTCAAGAGAGTAGGACAACACTAAATCATCTTCTGACAAGAACTCTTATTTTCTGTAACAGCCAACATGGGAAGGACCTATTTATTTATTTCTTTAGATCACAAAGAACAGGCCTGGGAATCCTTCATAATACAATCTGAACCATTTAATATTGGAGATCCTTTTATAAGAAGCACTATAAAATGCAAAGAATACTAAGGATTTTCTTGAGTTCAATTATTGTAACAGTCTCCTTTCATTTTTGCACTTAGTGGGTTGCTGAACACCCTTAAGAAATTAATTCTACATGCTGAATCTACAGTGTGGCACTACAGTTACATTAGTTGAGGAACTATTTAAAGAGTAAAACAAAGACTAAAGCAATCACAACTAGCAATATCAGAAGTTTACCAGAACGAACACAGACTGATTATATCAAAAAGTAGGGTACCTAAAGAGGTACAGTTCAACTTGACATATAATCAGCTGTTCTTTAACTCTGATCAAGCAAAATTCCAAACAAGCCCCAGCAGTAGCAAAAGCAGCAGTAGCAATTCACTCTAGTATAAGACTGTAACCTTACTTAATGCTCACTTTCCCAGGAAGTCCCAAACAAAACCCCCTGATGGTACAGGGACAGAAACCTGGCATGAAGGGTACAATTTGCACGAGACTGGCTTTCTGAGAAACAGCCATGGCCAAGGGGCAGAAGGAGCATATACATATAAACACACAGACGCCAAAAACCCCAATGGAACAGGACCATGGTAAGACAAAAAGAAAAATGAAGAATCTCAAATGATAAACTATAGGGAGACAGACACAGGCATAGGAAATAGTGGAATGGCAACATAGGAAGCAAATGATTAGTAAGAAACACAGCAGCCACACATATGCAAACGAGTACTAAATCTGGGAACAAGAGGTATAACATAATCCCAACTGTCTTTGACAAAGAATGCACTGATTATCTCCTAAAATAAGCAGAGCTCAGTTTATAAAAATGGCATTCAAGGGCATAAGTGAAACTAAAATCTACCTTAGTTTGTAAGCAAGTCATAATACTAAATATAACCACTTCTACTTAAGACATTGGGTCCAAATGGGGTAAAAGAATAAATCACCTAAGGGTAAGGAGTCTTCAAATAACAGTTGCCAGGAAGTCCAAAAGGAACATAACTAGCCTTGGCAGAACAGAAAGAAAATTGATCTGGAATTTACAAACCACATTCTACTAGCTCTGGCTCAACCACCACGTCACTTCAGCAATGACTTCTCTGGGCCTCAGTTTCCTCTTCCATAAAATGCCATGCTCGATCACTTTCACAAATTCCATGATTCTACTGTTTATTCAGCATCTTAAACTATGTTACCAAGTAGCAAACTACAAACCTGGTAGCAAAAGCTGAGTTATGAAAGCTGTTCCTTTTTTTTTTTTTTCCAGTAGCCAAGAAACTGTGCTGAATCCTAAAACGAAATTATAATGCAATAGGGCCAGAGGACAGAACTCTACAGTGCTTTTTCCAACTTTTATAAGAGTTACATTCTGTGGAAAGAGTAGATCATTTACAACTCTTTCTCAAAATGTGAGAAATACAGTGGCTAATAAAAGCTGCTATTTGGTGTGCTTTGGATATCAAGTACAGACTTAGTCCTATTTCTTACTCTCCTTCAGTTCACATCCATCTCCCAAAATCAATATTGGTGACAAAAATGAGTCAAAAACATTTTCAAGCAAGCTGCCTGAAATAGCAAGCAATAATTTCAAATGTAGATTTCTAATAAGAAATCAAACCATAAAATAAAACTTATTCAAGGAATTTCTTTTCTGAAATATATTTAGTGGGAAGTCACTAATCAATCAAAAGCACCGCATTTTTGTATCTATGCAGTACTGTTGCAGATTTCAAGCCTTTCCAAAAGCAAAGAGAGGCATGTATTCACGTAAGCACGTAATGGGTGAGGGGGTATATACACATGTGTACATGTGTGTGTTGTGGGGAAGGGTGCAGTGCAAAAATGAAGACATAAAAAATGTACATAATCTAATCTTGAGGCTATGGTAATTTTAAAATTCTGACTTAAAGAATTTTATCCATATATCTTATTCAGAACTGAACAAAATGAGTAGAGTTAATACCAAAATAAGAGGAAATAAGTGAGCAGGTAATCAGCCCGTGTTATTTACACTTTCAGTACAGTGAAGGAGAACTGTGAAGGTTAGACTTTATAGTTTTGGTTTCTTGAAAATTAAAATTCTATGACTATAGAATAGGAAAAAATAATACCTTCAGAGGACAGTATCAAGTCTACCACTAACCCCAAAACTTTAAAACTTAGTAAAAAATTTATGGAAGTACTCTAATACTTCTCAGCCTTCAAGATCATAAAAAAAAAAAAATTATTCTTAAGGATCAGTCCTCAAAAGGCCAAGTAGATTAGTGACCCCTTTCTGTCACTGTCAGTCTTTCTGGCTGTTCAGAATACAGGTAATTAACAAAGTTCTACCGGCAGAGTTGTTTCTGCACAGTTTTACATTTATGTTAAATATGTGGTGTAAAAGAAGAGGTCAAGAGGCACATGCTTGACCTTTAGCATAAAATAATAAGAAAACACACCAAAAAAATTATAGGAGACCTGTCTGCCTAGATCTGTTCAAACACAGAATATTTTGAAGAATTCCAAGTCAGAGACAGCTTCATAAAAAAACATATCCGTGGCTCCTAAATTGTCCTCAAAGTGTCTCTCCTCCTAATTTTGATCTAATGCACTGAAGTAACAGCGTGCTTTTCAACAATAAAAACTGTGAAAAGTCTAAAAATTTATAGCCCAACAGAGCATTAGCTCAACAACAAAGGTCTAAACTAGTGATAAAAGATTAACTCCTTTGCTTGAGGATCATTTGATCATTATATAGAGAAATTAAAAAGTAGACATTTGTCCTCTCTTGATTTGCCAGTAAAAAAAACTTTAATTTTAAATTAATGAATACTCTCTTTTTTGCCAATCAATTATGTTACAGCCCATAGCTTCCCAATTTATTCCCATTCTATGTTGCCTTTCAGACACCTCAACAAAGAACGTACAACTGACCTAGAAAAAAGGCAGCTAATACAGTAATAGCAAGAATTCGAGAACCTAAATTCAGAGTTAGATACACTGAAAAAGTATGTCCCCAAAAGCATACTTTTAAAACCATACTTTAACCTCATAAGCCCCAATCAGCTTCACTTTCTTACCTTTCCAACTCAGCTATCTTCTTATCTTTGTCATTCTTCTCATTTTCCACCTCCTTCAAGATTTCTAAGAGTCGATCAACTTCTGCCTGGGCCTTGCTAGATTCATCTTTGTACCTGGTGATCTCTCTCTCCAAGTGCTGTATTCGGTCACTCATCTCTGGACTGGCTCTGGCTTCCAATGCTGCCTCATGTGCCTACAAAGAAAAGCATTTCAATCCTATCAGATACACACAGGTGGCAATGGGCAAACCATGTCCCAAACAATGATTTATATTCCAATTTAAGTACAGAATTATCAAATATCTACCAGTTAGTTTGTAATTTATAAGGTTTTTATCTGCTTAAGTATTATATAGACAAATATTAGTAATAAATGGAGAATTATCTTAGGTTCCAAGTAGATTAGTTGTTTTAAATAACACATCTCTGAATATTATTAAATCAAACACCATCATAAGGCAAAAGATGCTTCAGAGTTTAGTGAGACAAACTAACAGTCATTGAACTGTTGTTATTGATCTCTCCAAGAGAATATCAAAAGGCAACACCAGGGACTCACTGCTGATCGTATAGCCGGACCAGTGCAGAGACCTAACTCCCACTAGACCCTAACTTCCATTTCCATTTCCTATATGCTGCTTTACCTAACACGTGTGACTCACATGGCCTTGGGCATCTAGAATCAAACAGATACTGGGAGTGTGATGCCATAAAAATGTGAGTCAGGTTAAGAAAACAGCTGCTACCATCACACAGGTACCTCCCTCATGCAAGGATTAGAGAATTTACAAAATAATATGGGACAAACAAATGAATTCAGAAATCGAGAACCACACTTAAGGATGGGCTCAGTGGCTTGAGCCTGTAATCCCAGCACTATAGGAGGCCCAAGCAGGGGGACTGCTTGCAGCCATAAGTTGAAGACCAGCCTGGGCAACACAGCAAGGCCCCATCTCTATTGGAAAAAAAAATTGTTTAAGAAAAATTTTTTTGAAAGAACCACACTAAGATCTGAGAAAAAAATTTTTATTCAGGATCCTACAAAAGTCAACTAATATTGTTAATGCATTTTGGAATACAAAACAGTTTCAATAATTAAAAACTAATTTTCAAGTCCCTAGCTGTCTTCTGGAATCTCTAAAGCCATGTATGTATAATGTGTTTAATGAGAAGACAAAAGCTTAGACGTTTTATTTTTTCTTATTCAATAGACAACAGAATATATTTAGTCCCTTAAAATGGTTTGAAAAAATATTAAAGGAGAAAATATATATTCTTAGGAAATATTTCAGAAAGCTCTGAAGCAAAGTACCTTGAGTAAATGAGAAATGTTTATATAATTGTATTAAACGCTTGGTGAAAGTAACAGCTATACTTTTAAGATAAGTCCTTTCCCAAGTTCATTTGTTTAAGGCTTCACATGTGTAGAAAAAAATCTTTTATGTCTTAAATATAGGCTTCCCTAACCCTTAACCTTGATACACATATGAAGTATATTTTAAGAAACAAAAATCATATAAGTTTGGAAGGTAAGATGAGAGCACTGTTCTGCACTGAATGTTGTCCAATGTCTAAAATCAGTTGTTTCACGTGGTTTCCCAGTTTTTGAGTTGTTAATTGTAGGAGGGAAATTCCTGTAGCAGTCAATCCTTCATGGGCAGGAGAAGGCTATAAATATATCTAATAGAAAAGGAGAGAGGGAAGAAGACCATAAGGAGTACCAAGATCAGGAGATATTTCAATAGAAAGCTGATCATATTACACATAAAGAGAGGGGACAACAAAGGCGAAGAGATTGAAGATGCAAACAAAAGCAGAAGTAACTGAGAAAATTCTTAGTATCTACGAAGAAAGAAGGTGACGAAATAGGCAATAGGAGGCAGCTTGATGTAGGGGCACAAAAGATGATTGTGTAAACAAAAGTGAAGGCCAGCTGGCATTTAACGTCACTGAGATAATTCTGATTTCTAATAATTTATTATAAATTATTTATTATAACTCCACAAATATAAATATAACTACTGCATATCAGCATTCTGGGCCTTCATACACGCTGGTGAGTCCTTACTTTGAGGTCTCAGCTTAGAAAGTGTCGCTTTTGTTAGGAGGTTCTCCATGACCTTGACCTAAGTTAGTTCTCCTTGATATAAGCTTCCCTCACACCATGTGATTTACTACAATTACCTTTTTAAGTGTCTATCTTCTTAATAGAGGCTATAAATTATATAAGTCAAGGGACAGGTCTGTCTTGTCCACCACTATATATCCTCAGTGCACAGTGTGGTAACTGACAGAGTAAAAACTCAATTATTTGTAGAAAAAATGAATATGCAAAAGCAGTGTGCTAGTTTCCATTTGATTTAAAACAGCCCATAGGCCTAAACGGTAGGAAAAGAAAAATGATTGGGAAGAAGAGAAATTAATCAGTAATTAAATATAAGTGCAAGATTAAATGTAGCTGGAATATTATTAAGAATATCAAATGAGGCCAGGTGCAGTGGTTCACGTCTCTAATCCCAGCACTTTGGGAGGCTAAGCTGGGAGAATTCCTTGAGCCCAGGAGTTCAAGACCTGCCAGGGAAACACAATGGGACCTCGCCTCTACAAAAAAAAATAAAATAATAATGATAAAGATAATAAAAGAATACTAAATGACAATCTTTAAAGACAAAATAAATCAAGCTAGGAAAAAAAAAATCAAAGATACTATAAACCTTCCCTTCCCTTATGACAACAAATTCTGTATCAGAGTAGTTTACATCTAAATTCTTGCTGAGTTAATTTGTACTTTAAAATAAAATTCCAAGAATTTTAAACCCCTTAAAGACCTTTACAACTTTATAAATTATAATACAAACTCAAAAAAAGGCATATTTTTCAAATCAGTGTTATAAACATCCCTTTAAAAGGGATTTCTAAGCCAGGTGCAGTGACTGGCTCACGCCTGTCACCCCATCACTTTGGGAGGCCGAGGTGGGTGGATCACCTGAGGCAAGGAGTTTAAGACCAGCCTGGCCAACATGGCAAAACCCCATCTCCACTAAGAGTACAAAAATTAGCCAGGGGTGGTGGTGCACACCTGTAATCCCAGCTACTTGGGAGGCTGTGGCACAAGAATTGCTTGAACCTGGGAGGTAGAGGCTGCAGTGAGTCGAGATTGTGCCACTGCACTCCAGCCTGGGCAACAGAGTGAGACTCTGTCACAAAAAAATAAATGAAGATAAAATGGATTTCTAAATTGTGGAATATGACATTTAATTCAAGATGTAAGCATTTCTTCTGTCCATAGTCACTTATCATGGTATCAATATGAAAGGTATTTTCTGGATGAAGGTGTTTAATTTCATGCCTTCATTTTCTTCTCCCCTTTCTTACCCATTAAGTTCTAACTATACGTTAACCTATGCTTTAAAAATGCAGATACTCCATACACCTTGCTTTTAGAATGTGAAAAGGTCAAGAACATTCAGAAGCAAAAGCTGCAAACTTTAGTGAAATAACAGTATTTGTATAAAATATCACCTTTGGACAAGAGAGGCTGACGTAACAGTGAATAATCCTCCTTAAAATACTGAGTTAAAGGTTAAGCTCTCCATCCACAGGCCTTGTTCTACTGAAAAACACCTACCTTTAACATTATTAAAACCTCAGTACTCATACACTGGAGGCAAAGATTTTGTTCCTTTGTATTTCATACATGTCATAGTAAAACACGTAAGATTACAAAACCATGCAGATAATCATATTCCCATAGAAATCAACATTTTCACCACATAACCTATTTAATGAGAGAGTAAAGACTAACACACGTTTTTTTCCTTATTCAATAAGCAACAAAACATATTTAGTCCCTTAAAATGGTTTCAAAAAATATTAAAGGGGAAAACACACATACTTAGGAAAGCTCTGATTCAAAGTACTTTGAGCAAAAGAGAAACATTTATGTAAATTTTGTTAAATGCTTTGTGGAAGCAATAGAGGTACTTTCGAGATTAAGTCCTCTACCAATTTCTTTTGTTTCAGGTTTCATCAGTTGTCAAAATTCAGTTACTAAGCATGGCCTTTACAAAAGACTCTATTGGCAGAAACATATTTTAATGTGTTAGCGAAACTGTACCCTAAACTGGTGTGGCTAAAAGCCACAACATGGTGGAAATAAAAGCAAAGAGAAGCAGTCCTGAATGAATTAACTCACTAGGAACAAAACAAGGTAAAAGCAGCAGAAATGCAAACAGTTTCCAAAGTCTCAGGAAAAATTTTGGTCTTAGAGAAGCCTTTCTATTTTGTAGTCACCTCAATATAAATTAAAAAAAAAAAAAAACAACCTAGAGTTCCTATTTCGGGAAGGGAGAGGTGAGAAGGTTAAGTATATTCATTTATCTATAGGGTGATAAAAATGTCATTCACACAAAAGTCAGAAAAGAAACTATCAACTGGGACTTTCTGGCAACACTTGGCTAGGTCACTCACTGGCTTGGATGAGTGGCTCCACACTATTCCAGGATGCCAAAGACAGTAAGAAGCATCAGGGAGAAAAGAAAGAAAGAAAAGTACAGAAAATGGTTTTAAGAGTAAGATAATCAAGGGAAACAAAATTAACGGTTTAAAAAAATGGTGAAAAAAAAACCTTCAATAAAAAAATCAGAGTATAGAAATAAATATTTCACTCTACAAGGGAAAAAAAAAAGCATTAAGCATTTTTAAAATTCTGATAACTCAAGGCTGAGCATAGTGGCCTTGCTCCCAGCAGTTTGGGAGGCCATGGCAGAAGGATCTCTTGAGGCAGGGGTTTGAGACCAGCCTAGGCAACATGGCAAGACCCCTCTATTTAAAAAAAAACAAAAGGCCAGGTGTGGTGGCTCATGCCTGTAATCCCAGCACTTTGGGAGGCTGAGGCGGGTGGATCATGAGGTCAGGAGTTTGAGACCAGCCTGGTCAAAATAGTGAAACCCCATCTCTACTAAAAATACAAAAATTAGCCGGGCACAGCGGCATGCGCCTATAAACCCAGCTACTCTGGAGGCTGAGGCAGGAGAATCACCTGAGACCGGGAGGCGGAGGTTGCAGTGAGCCGAGGTTGTGCCACTGCACTCCAACCTGGGCGACAGAGTGAGACTCTGTCTCAAAATTAACTTAGCCAGGTGTTGTGGCATGGGTCTGTAGTCCCAGCTCTTCAAGAGGATGAGGCAGGAAGATCACTTATACCTAGAAGTTTGAAGTCACAGTAAACTATGATTACGCCACTGCACTCCAGCCTGGACGACAGAGCAAGACCCTGTCTCTAAAAAACAAAGAAAAAAAGACAAAAAAATCTGATATCTCAAAAGTTGAGTTTCAATCCTTTCCTCAATAAATTCTGAGGATATTATCTCATGCTGAAGACATGGAATGCCAATATTCAGATACAGGATATACATTCTTAAGCTATAAATAGGTCAAAAATGACTCCAATTATCATTACCTCAAGACCAGTCATTTCCTACTCCAAACAAAACAGAGAAGAAATCTACTTTTAAAATTTCAATGATAAGCACAGGCTTTTGAAAAAATGTAAATTAGAACACTAATAATACAGTAATAGTTTCCAAGAAGAAAATACGCCAAATAGTCCTTCATGTAAATCTACACATAAGCTATAAACCAAAAAATAGACCCTAATGTAGAAGGTGAAGATAATAAAATTCTAGGCCCAATAAGTTGCTAAGAGAAATTAAAAATATAACAAATAAAAAAAACTTTCTGACAATATGTGCCCTGTCTTTAAAAAAAAAGCTAGGAAATTAACATTCTCCAAAATGAGATAAAATCTGAAACAGGATATTTAACAATTATTCTGAGTCTCAGACCTTACTACATATGTTAAATTAGAAAATATGCTCCCACTTATTCTTTTTTTTTTCTTTTTTTTTTTTTTTGTGAGATGGAGTCTTGCTCTGTCGCCCAGGCTGGAGTGCAGTGGCACGATCTTGGCTCAATGCAACCTCTGCCTCCTGGGTTCAAGTGATTCTCCTGCCTCAGCCTCCTGAGTAGCTAGGATTACAGGCCTGCGCCACCAAGCCTGGCTAATTTTTTTGTGTTTTTAGTAGAGATGGGGTTTCGCCATGTTGGTCAAGCTGGTCTCGAACTCCTGACCTCGTCATCTGCCCGCCTCGGCCTCCCAAAGTGCTGGGATTACAGGCATGAGCCACCGTTTTTTCTTTTTTTAAGAGATGGGGTCTCACTCTGTGGCACAGGCTGGTGTCCAACTCCTGATCAAGTAATCCTCCCACCTCAACCTCCCAAGGAGCTGGAATTACAGGCATGAGTTACCACACCTGGCAGAAGTCTGATTCTAATGGGAGAAAAATATCAGGTAACAGAGATTTTTACACTCTGGTCTCATATTTTACCCACAAGAGAGTTGCATATTTTAATCTTTCTCTGAACTGTCAATTTTTAAAGATTTGGGGATTATCTTGAATAAAATAAAGTAGGATAAGAATGCTAAGATAATTAATTCAGATATACATGGTATTTTAAAGTTTGGCGGATTATTATTCCATTGGTAAATTATTCCATATAAACATGCTAAGGTTATCTACTATGTTCTTATTTAAGGCAAAGCAAAAAAATGTGAAATTTTTTCTTTAACCTTTTTCAATTGTGATTCCATTTTCAGACACTCCTCCTTCTTCTGCTCCAAAGCAATCTCTAGTGTCTTAAGCCGTGAGTCCTTTTTCAGTCCTGAGGATGCCAGAGAAGAAGCATGCTCTTTCAGATCCAAAAGTGAAGCCTAAAAGAAGGAACACACATCTAGAATAAATAATTTTAAAAAAAATAGAGGTTTAAATTTTTAAATTTATCATGGTAGCTGTAATTTCCTTTCTATTACCAAATGCTGACATACTCCCATTACAAGGAAACTCATTCATGAAATATAAAACAATATTAGCTCTAGCTTTCAACTCTTAACAAATAAGATGGATTCTCAAGAAATACCCATTGAACAGTGATGTAAAGAGTTCTGTCAATACAAAATAAACCAAAGTAGATCAAGCTTTGTGAATGTAAGTAGTCAAACCTCAGTAGCTACGTTAACTTAAACAGAAAACATTTTTCGGCCAGATACCTGTAAACCCAGCATTTTGGGAGGCTGAGACAGGGGGATCACTTGAGGCCAGGAGTTCAAGACCAGCCTGGGCAACATAGCAAGACCCTGTCTTCACAAAAAAAAATTTTTTTAACTTAGCTGGGCATGGTAGTGCACACGTATAGTCCTAGCTACATGGAAGACTGAAATAGGAAGATCCCTTGGGCCCAGGAGTTCAAGACTGCAGTGAGCTATGATAATGCCACTGCACTCCAGCCTGGGCAACAGAGTGAGACACAGTCTCTTAAAAGAAAAAAAAAAAATCACATTTTTCCCTATTAAAAGAAAAATTCTATTAGGAATTTAAACTTCCATAACATTGCCTAAAGATATTAGAAAGAAAATCCACAGAAAGATGCTAAAGCTCATGCATTATCATCATCTGATTACATAGCATGAGGCATCTTTGCTATTTAGGTCATATTAACAGGATTCTCCAAAAACAAGACCAAAGTATATTAAGTCACCTAATTTAATAGCTGTTGTGTTCTTTGATAGTTGCTATACATAAAATTTCCTCCTTTTGCATATTCCTTTTATCTGTCAACTTTCTTATCTTTAGCACACTATTTCTCCAAATGTATCTGAGCTTCAGTTACTTTAGGTCTATAAAAATATTAGTAAGTAAAAAACCAACATAAAACAAAGTGAGTAATACTTAGAAAATGAATGAACCAATCCGCTATGTCTCTGCAAAGCTTTCTGAAATATTCCTTAAGGTATTCAACAAAAGCCTGCTAAAAGAATATTAAGAAAATTTTCCATCGAATACTTTTTTATATGCATTATGTAAACACCAACATACAGACACATGCAATGATTAAGCAAACAAACTAATTCCATTTTGGGGAGCTTAACCTCTTTCTCTGAAAGGTCGCCTTGCAACAGGCTGACTTTTTCCTTCAAGTCTTTAAGATCTTTTTTGTAGTTATCAATTTCCTCTTGCTTCTCTCGCTCATCTCTGTCCCTCTGCTCCTTTAAGCGTTCAATTGTCCGCTCCTGATGAGAGAATATATCAACATGTGAAGAAATTCCCTTTTGCACTTATATGACTGTAATTCTGCTTTTAGCAGAATTTCAAACTTCTATATTCAAAAGACAATGGTAAGTTTTTAAAGAATCCACTTTTTTTTTTTTTTTGAGACAGAGTTTCGCTCTTGTTGCCTAGGCTCGAGTGTAATGGCGTGATCTCGGCTCACCATAACCTCTGCCTCTCGGGTTCAAGCGATTCTCCTGCCTCAGCCTCCCAAGTAGCATGCCACCACGCCTGGCTAATTTTGTATTTTTAGTAGAGACAGGGTTTCTCCACGTTGGTCAGGCTGGTCTTGAACTCCTGACCTCAGATGATCCACCCGCCTCGGCCTCCCAAAGTGCTAAGACTACAGGTGTGAGTCATTGTGCCTGGCCAGAATACATTTTTTAAATAATTCATCCTTCTTATTCATCTTGCCATAACAAGGATGTAGGTTTATTCATTTGAATCCCAAGGTTTCTTTTCTTATAATCTCAACTAGTATTTGATATCACTAAAGTATTCTTTTGCAATATTTCCATTTATTCAATTTCCAGGTAACTAAAAGCTTATATATACACCCTAAGGACAATAACTAACAAATATTTCTTCTCTATATATTATTCACATGTTGCCCACAAGGCAATGGAAACAACTCACAACTCACACACCAAAAAAGGGGGGAATGGGAAAGATTTTGATATATTGAGCTTAAAATATAAAGGAAGGTAAAGAAAAGAGAAATCATCAAAACTTTCTGTCAACAGATACTCAAGAAGTTTGAAAATCAGAGCAATTTGGCCAGGTGCAGGGGCTCATGCCTGTAATCCCAACACTTTGGGAGGCCGAGGTGGGTGGATCACTTGAGGTCAGGAGTTCAAAACCAGTCTGGCCAACATGGCAAAACCCCGTCTCTACAAAAAATACAAAAAATTACTTGGGCATGGTGGCTCATGCTTGTAATCTCAGCTACTCGGGAGGCTGAGGCAGGAGAATCGCTTGAACCTGGGAGGTGGAATTTAGTGAGACAAGATCACGCCACTGCACTCCAGCCTGGGCACAGAGTGAGACTCCATCTAAAAAAAATGTTTCCCTTCACACTACGTATGTCAGCAATAGCACACAGCAGCTCTTTTCCCTTGTGCCCACAGGGATTTCTTTTGTATTCTATATCCAGTCTTAGATTAATGAGAAAGCAGAAAACGTGTGTGGAGAGTTGGGGCCAGCCACTCACTTTCTCTGCAAGGGCCTCCTCCAAAGTTGTCAAGGCAGTGTCAGTGTTGGTGGTGTCAGCCTGCAAGGATTTGACCCGTTCTTTCAAGCTGCTCATCTGCTTTTCCTTGTCTCTAAGCTGCTCTTGAAGATTTTCAATCTAAATGTACATAAATATTTAAGGGAAAAGAGAGGACATGTATAAAAAAACAATAGCACAATCAAAATCATTTCAATTTGAAAACAGATAGCTCAGGGTTGTCTGTGTGTGTGCATTCTGTAGAAATCATTTAATCCTAAGAGTTTCAGAATTACATGCAAAACCTTAAATTTGTAGGCAAATTAAATTTGTAGGAACTTGTAGGCAAAACAAAAAAAAGTACACATGTGTATGCGCGCGCGCACACGCGTGCGCGCACACACACACACACACACACACACACACATCCCTAACAAAATAAGAAAAGTAGCTAGCAGAAAAGATCCAGTATAGAGATGGCCATGTAGAGAGGAAAGCCATGAGGACTAGGATTACTTCTAAAATGACATTGTAAATGCCAAGAGGGATTTCTTCACAAAGAATAAAGGGAGGACAGAGGATAGAGCAGCTAAACAGTGAAAAAGACAAATCAGCTATATAAAGAAAAGACTGTGTTCTTAAAGGCTAGTGTTAGGTTAGTTTTACACCATCTTTTATCTAAGCAGCAAACATTTTCTTAGCCATTCATTCATACATACTTATATGCATTCATTTACTTATATCATCTTTTATCTAAGCAGCAAACATTTTTGTGGCCATTCATTCATATACACTTACATGCATTCATTTACTCAAAAAACGTTTGTTGAATTCTGTATTACATGCCAGACACTATGGATATGAAGAAAAATGAGGCCGGGCGCGGTGGCTCACGCCTGTAATCCCAGCACTTTGGGAGGCCGAGGCGGGCAGATCACGAGGTCAGGAGATCAAGACCATCCCAGCTAAAACGGTGAAACCCCGTCTCTACTAAAAATACAAAAAATTAGCCGGGCGTAGTGGCGGGCGCCTGTAGTCCCAGCTACTTGGGAGGCTGAGGCAGGAGAATGGCGTGAACCCGGGAGGCGGAGCCTGCAGTGAGCCGAGATCCCGCCACTGCACTCCAGCCTGGGCGACAGAGCGAGACTCCGTCTCAAAAAAAAAAAAAAAAAAAAAAAAAGAAAAATGAATAGACTCATTTTTATTCTACCATGAGATGGTAAGAAAATGCATCATTATACAGCTGAAGCCAAGCTATAAAACAGTTTGTGTGCCAACCTAAGGAGCACAGATTTTATTATAGAGAGATGGAAGCCCTTAGAGATTTTTAAGCACAGAAGTGGTCTGGCCAGTTCTGTACTTTAAATAAATAACAGTACCAGTGTTGGCAGTGTCAGCATGCAAGGATCTGATCTTTCAATGAAAACTTAAGAGGACTCGCATATAGACATGGAAAACCATTAGAGTTTGTATCAGTTCAGGTAAGATGATGGGGACTCAACATACTATGAGATAACACTGTGGAAATAGCATGTTATCACTCAAGTACAGCAAGCGGCATGTTATCACTCAAGTACAAGGAGACTCAAGTACAATAAAAATTATTATTCAAGTATAATTAAAAAATCAAGCAAACTATGAGGAAATTCTAAGGAGCTATCCTTAATAAGCTAAAGGAAAATTATAAATAAACCAACTACTCACAAAGTTTATTCATTCACTATATACACAGGAGTTCAAATTCCCACCATAGATCAGGCACTTTTCCAGTTGCTGAGGAAACAGAGTAATGAAAACAGACCAAATCCCTGCCTTCATGGAGCTTACATTCTAGTAAGGTAGACAAATGAATGATGGAGGGAGGGAATGAGTGACTGAACAAATGAATGAATCAACATAGTGTAGGGCAGAGATAAGTTCTATGGAGAGAAATGAAGCAGGAGAATATAATCACCATCTCCTCTTGAGCTGATACTAGAACTACCTGATTTTTCTACGTGGTTTTCAAAATGCAAGATAAACATTATCTCCTCTAGGAACAGTCTGTTGCCCTCACCCCCAAGAGAAAAACCTGATCATTGTCTGTACCCCAGTAATGATACATATACATGTATATATTATGTATAAATACACACTCCTCCATTCTTCCATGTATCTATATATTGATCACATATCTCCATTCCTCTATCTATCAATCATTATAGCACTGATTAGTGTATGAAACCATATGTAATCTTTGTTTTATACATGTCTCAAGTAGACATGGATCCTGCCCCTCCAGCTGTTTTGTACCTTCCTATACAGTACATCTCAGATCATAGTAAACATTAATCAATAAATGAATAAAATATAAGTTTGGACTTCCATAAACTATATTCAGGGATTCACAAAAACTCCTGCCAATAACGGAATTACAAAACAATCCTGGATCCAATTGTCAGGTAGTTTCTTACATTAATAAATTTAGTACAAGCTCTTTAAGGTACCTCTCTAGAGTCAAGAAGAACTCGACAGGCAGAACAAAAAAGCTAAGAAAGAGATTTGGTAAGTTTAGAATAGGGTATGTGAATATGCTGAAGCTTACATTTTCACTTGTTAACAAAGAGATAATCGTATGGGTGAACCACTGAATTGCCCAGTAAGAGACCAAAGCCTATTGTAAGAACTGAGTTCATCCGAGATGGAAAGCATTAGTCTTCCCTTGATTTAATCAGACACTACTATTGAAATCTCATACGGATCAACACTTAGGTCAACTCATAACCAGTAAAGAGAATTTTGCCACTCAAAAATTCAGTACTCCATATACGGGTATACCTGGATTTCTTACGCTTTGCTTTATTGCTCTTCACAGATACGGGTTTTTTACTAACTGAAGGTTTGTGGGAACCCTGCGTCGAGCAAGTCTATCGGCACTACTTTCCAAGAGCTTTCTAACTTGGTGTCTCTGTCACATTTTGGTAATTCCTGCAACATTTCTTTTTCACTATTATTGTATCAGTTACAGTGATCCGTGATCAGTGATCTCTGATGATACTATTGTAATTTATCTGGGGTGCCATGAACTCTGCCCGTATGAGATGGTGAACTTAAGAAATGTTGCATGTGTTCTGACTGTTCCACTGATCAATCATTCCCTCTTCTCTCTCCCTCTGTGTCAGCCTTCCTATTCCTTGAAACACAACTACATTGAAATTAGGCCAATTCATAACCCAACAATGGCCTCTAAATAGTCAGGGAGAAGGAAAAGTTGCACATCTCTCACTTTTAGTCAAAATTTAGAAATGATTAAGTCAAATGCTACATGCAGAGTTTGAAAAGTAAAAAAGATTAAGCTTAGTGAGGAAGGCATGTCAAAAGCCAAGACAGGCTGAAAGCTAGGCCTCTGGAACCAAACAGTCAAGTTACTGAAGGAAATCAAAAGTGCCACTCCGATGAACACACAAAAAAGAAATCAACCTTATTGCTGATATGGAAAAAGTTTGCTGGTTTGGATACAGGATCAAACCAGCCACAGCATGCCTCAAGCCAAAGCCTAATCCAGAACAAGGCCCTAACTCTCTTCATTTCAATGAAGATTGAGAGAGGTGAAGAAGCTAAAGGAGAAAAGTTTCAAGCTAGCAGAGGTTGGTCATGAGGTTTAAGGAAAGAAGCCGTCTCCATAATATAAAAGTGTAAAGTAAAGCAGCAAGTGCTGACGGAGAAGCTGCAGCATGTTATCCAGGTCTAGCTAAGACAATCAATGAAGATGGCTACAACAAACAATGAATTTTCAATGTATTTGGTTGGTGCAAAAGTAATGGCAGTTTTGCCATTGAAGTTACTTCTACACCAACCTAATAGATGAAACAGCCTTTTATTGGCAAAAGATGCCATCTAGTACTTTCATAGCTAGAGAGGATAAGTCAATGTCTGGCTTCAAAGCTTCAAACATTAGCCAGGTGTGGTGGTCCATGCCTGTAATCCCAGTTATTCACGAGGCTGAGATGGGAGAACTGCTTGAACCCAAAAGGCAGAGGTTGCAGTGAGCCAAGTTCATGTCACTGCACTCCAGCCTGGGCAACGAAGCGAGACTCTGTCTCAAAAAGGAAAAAAAAAGAAAAGAAAAAAAAAACAAAGAAAACAAAGCTTCAAAGAAGAGGATGACTCTCTTGTTAGGGGATAATGCAGCTGGTGACTGAAAGTTGAGGCCAGTGTTCATTTATCATTCTGAAAATCCTAGGGCCTGTGGAATTATGGTAAATCTACTCTGCCTATGCTTTATAAATGGAACAATGAAGCCTCTATCACAGCCCATCTGTTTACAACATGGTGTACTTGGTGTATTAAACCCACTGTGGAGACCTACTGCTCAGAAAAAAAGATTCCTTTCAAAATATTACTGCTCACTGACAATGCATCTGGTCACCCTAGAGCTCTGATAGAGAGGTACAAGGAGATTCATGTTTTTCTTATGCCTGCTAATATAACATCCATTCTGCACCTCATGGATCAAGGAGTCATTTTGATTTCTAGTCTTACTAGTTAAGAAATACATCTTGTAAGGCCATAGTTGGTGATTCCTCTGATGGATCTGGGCAAAGTAAATTGAAAACTTTTTGGAAAGGATTCACCATTCCTGATGTCATTAAAAACATTTGTGATTCACAATAGGAGGTCAAAATATCAACATTAACAGGAGATTGGGAGAAGTTGATTCCAATCCTCACGGATAACTTTGACAGGCTCAAGACTTCAGCAGAAGTAGTCACTAAAGATGTGGAAATAGCAAGAGAAACAGAATTAGAAGTGGAGCCTGACGCTGTGACTGAACTGCTGCAACTTCATGATAAAATCTGAACAGATGGGCCAGGCGCAGTGGCTCACACCTGTAATCGCAGCACTTTGGGAGGCCGAGGCAGGCAGATCACTTGAGGTCAGGAGTTCAAGACCAGCCTGGCCAACATGGAGAAACGCTGTCTCTACTGAAAATACAAAAAGTTAGCCAGGCGTGGTGGTGGGCACCTGTAACCCCAGCTACTCGGGAGGCTCAGGCAGAAGAATCACTTGAACCCAGGAGGCAGAGGTTGCAGTGAACCAAGATCACGCCATTGCACTCCAGCCCGGGCAACAATAGCAAAACTCCGTCTCAAAAAAAAAAAAAAATTGAACAGATGTGGAGCTGCTTCTTCTGAATGAGTAATAAGAGTGTTTTTTGTTGTTGCTTTTTTTTTTTGAGACAGAATCTACTCTTGGTGAAGATGATGTGAACATTGCTGAAATGACAACAAAATATGTAGAATATTAATAAACTTAGTTGATGAAGCAGTGCCACGGGTTGAGAGGATTGACTCTAATTTTGAAAGAAATTCTACTGTGGGTAAAATGCTATCAAATAGCACTGCAGGATTCAGAGAAATCTTTTTTGAAACGACGAGTCAATTGATGCAGCAAACTTCACTGATGTCTTACTTTAAGAAACTGCCACAGCCACCCCAACCTTCAGCAACTACCACCCTGATCAGTCAGCAGCCACCAACACAGAGGCAAGACACTCCACTAGCAAGAATATTACGAGTTGCTGAAGGCTCAGAAAATCATTAGCATATTTTGCAATAAAGTATTTTTAAATTAAATTATGTACATTTTTAGATATAATGCTATTGCATACTTAATAAACTACAATATAGTATAAACATAACTTTTTATATGCTCTGGGAAGCCAAAAAATTTGTGTGACTCGTTTTACTGTGGTGGTCTGGAACTGAATCTGCAATATCTCCGAGGTATACCTGTATATACAGAACACAATGCCTTGGTGTTTACATGTTTAACCAGCTGTGCAGGTCATTCCAGTTGCTAACATATAGGTCTTATACAAAGAAAAGCTATGGTCATGCTGTTGATTAGACTTTCCTGTCAAGAAAGGGCAATACAAGAAACATTATTTAAAATGAAATTTCACAGAACCAACCAAGTTTTACATACAAGAAGACAGATTTGTTTTATGAGCCTACCTAATATACAAACACCCCTTACATGCATAATAAGGATAATACCCTTCTTTCTACTCCATCATCTGCATCTAGGGAGAAATTCAGGAATTAAAATGTTAACAATTTCACTTTTATACCTGATATGTAGTTAAACTATTAAAGGAATCCATTATTCTTTGCTAGTAAACACTTCTGCTGATATACTCAGGTGCAGAAGCTGCTGAAACAGGTAAAATGCCGTCAGCAAGTTCTTGGCAAGTTACTTTCTTTTTCAATTACCCACTCTAGAGAGACTGACTGTTGAGTCGGAGTGAAAAGGGATGGCTATTCTCAGACTCTTATTTACTTCTAAAAGAGGAGAAACAAACATTTCATAGTGAAAGGATCTCACAAAATAAAAAAAGAACAGTGGACACTAAGATTACCTCCTCTGGGCAAGCTGCCATCAGTGAGGAAGACCTGAAATAGACACAGATAGGTGCAAACCAGCTGTGTAAGCACTGAACAAACCCGAAACACGCAGGGGGTGGGAGGTGGGTGTGTCGGGTGAAATGTGTGCCCATAAAAATACTTCTCTTTCCGTTTATCCAGCATCATGATGGCTAACAGCTGAGCCCCACTGAATGCAGCATCACAATGGATAACAGCTGAGCCCCCACTGAATCCAGCATCATGATGGGTAACAGCTGAGCCCCACTGAATGCAGCATCACAATGGATAACAGGTGAGTCCCACTGAATCCAGCATCATGATGGGTAACAGCTGAGCCCCACTGACTGCAGCATCACGATGGATAACAGCTGAGCCCTCACTCACTGAATTCAGCATCATGATGGGTAACAGCTGAGCCCCACTGAAGGCTCCCATGACATATCCTCACTTTCGTTGTGATCAAGGACCTCAGTTTATATGTGTCACTGACCAGCTGAAGAATGAATGTTACCACATTATTCTTGTCATTATTCTCTTCTTTTTCACCAAGCTAATGTTGAGGTTATAAATGCTGTTTACTCTGATAGTCCCATATCATATTATTTCAGTATGTATTATGCCATTTTTATAAAATATTCAGCAGAGAGTCTATTCTATACTAATTCAAGTACCCATAGGATCTGAAATATAAGATTTATAAGAAGCTTTGAACAGCCAAGAGAAAAACTGGATCCATTATGCACATACTAGAACATAAAGATAAAAATGATTGTTCAGAATCACGTTTAGCAGAAAAATACCCTTTTAAATATGCTCGGAATATCCAGTTTTTAAAAACTCTCCATTGTTTAGGACTATAAACCACAGAACCCCTAAAATAAAATAACAAGAACGACGATTCTAACAGTGGTGGTGGGGAGGTAGATTACAGAAGCAGCCAACACTTAAAAACATGCCAGGTACTGATGCAAGGACTTTATATGGAACAATGATTTAAGCATCACTACAGGCCTATGGGAAAATCACTAGGTAGTGTAGCTCCAGAATCTACTCTTAATTACCACCCTATAAATAATATGTTCTATGGTGAAAAACTGAAAAAGTAATCACATAAAGCATCTTTCCATAAATGATTTCTTATGATTATAGTGTTTATTAATATAGTATACCATTGCTACGATCATGTACTTAAAATGTACCCCCTACTGAAGCAAAGAATAAAACGAACCCCCAAAGAATGAGGTACCAAACCACTGCAAATGGAAAAGTACATCCTTCATGGATGAAACATACATCTAATCACCATACACTAAAGCTGCTGGGCAGAGCCAAAGATGCTTGACGTTAAGGATTTCAGGACCACGACGTTATTCAAATAATCTGTTTAGCCTAACTTTCAAGGTTAAAGGAAGCTAGTTTATTTACAGACAGACGGACCAAGGAGGACCTGACAATAAAACATTTAAAAGGTTTTTCTTCTGTTACATAAATTAGTTTTAAAATTGAAAATTAATAAAATAATTGTTACAGAAAAGGATACATTTTATAATCCCATGGGTTTTTTTTTTGTATAAACTCTCCCTGACATAGAAAGAAATCACTACCTATTAGCATATATTCAATTTCTGTACAAGCAAAATTTTGTAGTGATCAAAGGAACTGGCATTTATTCTACACATCTGTGCCGTCAATGATAATAGAAGGGGGGTGATACCCAACAGGTTTATATATACAGTTTACTATCATATATAATTATCATTATTGAGTAGTAAACTCAAGAAATACATATTTGTTTGTTCTGTTTTTGAGACAGGGTCTTGCTCTGTCACCAAGGCTGAAGTGTGACAGTGTAATCACTGCTCACTGCATCCTTGAACTCCTGAGCACGAGTAATCCTCCAGCCTCAGCCTCCGGAGTAGCTGAGACTACAAATGCATGCCACCACACCCAGCCGATTTTTAATTTTTGTAGAGATGAAGTACTGCAACATTGCCCAGGCTGGTCTCAAACTCCTGGCCTCAAGTGATCCTCCCACCTTGGCCTCTCAAAGCATTGGGATTACAGATGTGAGTCACTGTACCCAGCCCAAGGAAGAAACATTTTTAAATTAACTGTTTGGAGAAAGACGACGTTATTCCTTAAAATGACCTCTGTAATCATGGTACAGTTCTGTTTACTAGGGTGGAAAGAAACAGAAATAAAATGGTTATTTTATATAGAGGCTTTCTTGTCCTCATACAATTTTTATTTCAACAAGAAAGAAAAACTGATAAAATCAGAGGAAGTCTAATGCTGACTGCAAAGCTACAGAGTGAATTCATCAAATCTGCATACTAATTCCACATTGGCACAGATTTATTGACATCTTTTGTTTTGGCTTTTATCAGCCCTGCCCAGTTGTCAGGAGCTATCATGTTTCAGTCTGGGTGATTTATTTCCAGTCAAGTGGAACTGATTACTCTGCCTTTGAGGCCCAAATCACTGGGCAAACGCAGAAGAGACTTCCTCTAGGACACAGTTCTGAGGACAAGACAGCTCAAAACACTTCTTGCAGTCCCCTGGCTCACTTTAAATATCATTTAAGGGAAAGGAACATTTTTGAGGGTGCCTCCACAGCTCTTTTAAATAGCCATCAGCATCAAATTTATTGTATGAAATCAGTTATTCAAAAAGGCTCTGACCTTTACTTTCTTGGTTAATAATACCTTTCAGTATTGATGGCAGAAATACAGTCTGGATGAACTGGTCATAATCAGTTGGCAAAGAGGGATCTATAGTAATTAATAGTGAATTTTTCCTTTTCAGGTTCTAAGTCCCCTGATTTCTGGTCAACAGTTTGTCCACCATCAGACACTCGGACAAAATGTACAAACAAGGCAAAACTATAATTTACCAAAAAAAAAAAAAAAAAAAAAAAGAATGTTTTGCCCAGACTATTGCTGACATCTAAATTTTGCTTCTCCACTTGTTTCCAGCGATGAGAAGCTGCAAGACTGACAAAACCATAAGAAACTCTAAGCAATGTTTTAAATTCAATTTGGGTTTTTAAAAGTTTTCATATCAGTATTCTCAATTACTGCTTATGGTCCTCAATAAGCCCAGCAAAGATGTCGGGTAGCAAGTAACACTTCCTTGGTTGGGTTTCCCTGTCAGTTGTGTTGTTCTCTCATAGTACAGATCATGGAGTGAATTATTGCAATGAATGACTAGTTACGTGGCATTGAGCAAATTGCTTAATCTTTCTCATCACTTTAACTGTAAAACAAAAGACTAGTAACATCTCTTTCAATTATAAAATATAACAATATTCTTCTAAGGAAGATGAGAACATTTAAAAAGTAATAAACTTCACCAGAATACTACTATATTTTATCTTTAAAACTGTTCAAATTTAATTATACAGGAATGGTATAGCCCTTAAGAAAATATATTTTCAGAGTCCACTGCTCCAGGTAGATTTTATTAATTGCTGGTAGGAAAGAAAGTTCCTTGACAGATTTGCTCATGGTACAGATCATGGAACTAGGGGCCTCTCGCATTAGAACAACTGGATACAATGACACAAAAGCTGGTAAGACCAAAGGTCACTGCCAGTCAAGATCTGCCTGGTAGATAATTATGGAAAATAGCTCAAACCCTTCTTTTTCTATCTAGTCAGCATATATAAAAAATTGACAGACCTCCCTGTGCTAAAATTGCTCAAAAGACAAAGAGGGCACATAAATCCACAACGGCAATCCTTCTGTGGCAGTAGCAATGATGAGATTTCACTGAGGCCCTCAATTCACATCATCGATGTGAATGGCTTCCCTTGAAGTTGTTCAGTTACAGTGGCTGTCTAGGTAGCCTAGTCTCAGTTCACTACATTTTAGTGATGAGAGATCCAATATTTTTTTAAAAACTAAAGCAGGCACAAGAGGCTTAATTTTTTAAAAAAATCCATTGTATTGTAATAATTTAAAAATTGGGAATAATTAAACACTTAACAATAAAAGGCTAGCCAAATTAAATATGGTCTATCCACTGGATGGAAAGAATATTATACCATTACAATTCATATTCTTGAGAATTAAGGATACAAAAACTTGTTTATTATACACTATTACATGAATAAGACAGGTCACCAAAAAGTAAGTGTAATATTATACCAATTTCAAGTGAGGAGAAGTTTATTTTTACACAGATTTTTTTCTTTTTATAGCTTTTCCATACTTTTCATATATTTAGAATGGACATCTACAATTTTAATGATAATGCCAAAACCAAATATTTTCTAAATACAGTCCAAGAAATCTTAGCAAAAGGAGATTCTCTTATCATATTCACCTGCCAACATAGAAAACCTCTAGGGGTTTCTTTGGGGCATGTAAGCAACTGTATTATTTAACCCACACCTTTCACAAGTTCATAATGTGTAACCAAACAAACCAAGCTTTCAGAGATTTGGGGAGTCTTTCTTCAAAGAAAGACTGAGAGACACAAATAAATTCAAAGAAACCAAGACTCTGAAAAACTACTTGAATATAAGGTGTGAAGGAAATATGATGAGATGTTTCACTTATTTTTAATTTAAATTCAAGTTCATCTCATTGAATTTTTATTTTCGCCAGGTCTACTTTTATGGGTTGAAAGATGCTGACTTGCACTCATATCCTACCCTGTATTCTACCCAAGACTGGGTTTCCCGGAAAGCAGACCCTGAGACAGACATTATTATGCAAGAAGTTTATTAGACGGTGCTCTTTGGGATCGGAGTCAGTAGATAGGAGGAGAAAAATGAGGATTGTACAGAGGGAGCGATTCAGCTGCCACGAAGTCCCAAAGGATTCTGACAACCCCACGAGGAGCTCTGAAGCTGTTGTCCCAAGTAGGGGGAAGGAATTCAAACCATGGCACCTCATAAGGATCAATCACTGGATGTCCATGGGAGGGGGCTTGCCCTCGGGCAAGGTGGTGTCTTTAGCTAAGACAATCTCTAGGGAAAGTGGAGGGCTTTCTGTTGATAACACTTCCAGCGATCTGGGGAAATAAGTCCTTCAACAATCAGGAGAGACCTAGGTTGCATCGATCATCGCAGCATCCACCATACCCAACAGCTACACTCTTTCTAGTTAAATTATAATTAACATGAAATTGTAGTTGCCATGAATTTCTGTTGTATTTGAACCATACACATATTTTATGATTTTGTAAAACCTAGAAACCAGTGTATATCACCAACTTGGTTGTTCCATAGATGGTGAGTGTTTCTGATTATTTTTTTCTTCACCATGTCATGGTGAAAGGTGGGTGTTTTTAATCAGAAGTTCATGGATAAACTTTAAGGTGTATATTATATCTCAGTTCACACAAATGAACTATGCACACTTTTACCTGGAGAAAGCCCATAGCTTTCATCAGACTGTCAAAAGCATAAGAGAAGTTACAAATTATTAATCGGTGGCATTCTTTTCAAGAATCCAGAATGTTGTTTAAAATGACCCGTCACAGCCGGCACGATGGCTCACGCCTATAATCTCAGCACTTTGGGAGGCCGAGGCGGGCAGATCATCTGAGGTTAGGAGTTCAAGACCAGCCTGACCAACATGGCAAAACCCCATCTCTACTAAAAATACAAAAAAATTAGCCGGGTGTGGTGGTGGGCACCTGTAATCCCAGCTACTCGGGAGGCTGAGGCAGGAGAATTGCTTGAACCTGGGAGGCGATGGTTGCAGTGAGCTAAGATTGCGCCATTGCACTCCAGCCTAGGCGACAAAAGCAAGACTCCTCCTCCAAAAAAAAAAAAAAAAAAAAAGACCAGTCACTTCATTTAAAGTTGTTTGCTTAGCTGCTTTATAGAAGTGCCAAATTTGGCCAGTGCAGTGGCTCACACCTGTAATCCCAGCACTTCATAAGGCTGACGCGGGTAGATCACTTGATCCCAGGAGTTTGAGACTAGCCTAAGCAACATGGCGAAACCCATCTCTACTACAAAAACTATTAACAGTCAGCCAGGCATGGTGCTGTACAACTGTAGTCTTAGTTCCTTGCAGCACTGAGGTAGGAGGATCACCTGAGCCCAGGAAGTTGAGGCTGCAGTGAGCCACGATCGCACCACTACACGGCAGCCTGGGTGACAGAATGAGACCCTGTCTCAAAAAAAATAAAAATACCAAATTTGCTGTGTATAAGGCAGAGTTCAGCCTGAATGGGATGCAATGAAACAAATCCAAATGTCAGTTTCTTACCTATATGCACTGTATATAAGAAGCCCAAAGGCTGACGGGGCGCGGTGACTCACGCCTGCAATCCCAGCACTTGGGGAGGCCAAGGTGGGTGGATCACAAGGTCAGGAGATCGAGAGCATCCTGGCCAACATGCTGAAACCCCGTCTGCAGTAAAAATAAAAAATTAGCAGGGTGTGGTGGCGCGCGCCTGTAGTCCCGAGTACTAAGGAGGCTGAGGCAGGGGAACTGCTGGAACCCAGGAGGCGGAGGTTGCAGTGAGCTGAGATCACGCCACTGCACTCCAGCCTGGGCAACAGAGCGAGACTCCATCTCGGAAAAAAAAAAAAAAAGAAAAGAAAAAAGAAGCCCAAAGATCTTATAGAATTTTGCAAATTTTTCTCTGTAAAATTACATGATTTTTCTAATCTGAAAAACTCCTTTAGGAAAAAAAAATCATTAGGAGAAAAAATTGAGGAAGTCTGACAATTACAGGAAGATAAAACAGATAAAGAACAAAATAGATGTCTGATTCTTGAAGCTATTTTCTGGTTAGGATATACATACTGGTGTAGCAGGAAAAAGGAAGAGCATAAAAGGCTGCTTCATCAGAGTCTGATTTAATAACTTCTTCACGTGGTTAGTTACTTCAATTTCTCAACTAGAGTTGACAGATACCTGGGCATCTAACCAAACAGCCATTCCCACAGATGAGAATGCAATGTAAGAGAATTTATGTCAAGTTATAAGCAGTTTTTAAGCAGAAGAAAATATTGACTCTGCTTTAAAACTGCGACCAGGCACTTTTCCCTAAATCTTTTGTCTTTTTCTAGATATGTGTCTGTGTATTTACTACTCTGACAAGTTCCTGCTACAGGATCTCCTGAGAAACAACTAAGAACAATCTTTGTCAGAAGAGGGATCTGACCCTTCCTTATTGACTTGATAATTATCAATTTTCAAGTTTAAAATGTGTGCTCGGTCAAAACACTCAACTAGAACTTGCAAGACTCTGAGAACATTAATGTGGCGTATTAACAACAGATGAGAAACGACACAGATAAGCACAGATCCTCAAATTATTCACTAAGTTACTTAAAAGCCCAAAGAAATAATGTTTAATGAGTCAAAATTATTTCCATGATGTAAAAATATTACAATATAAGCCTTTGCATATGTCCATTTATATTACACCTTAGCACTTGAAAATTAAGCATTTATCCAAAGGCTATATTCTCTCAGGTCCACTTCTATTGTCTCCATAATAATGCTGATAGAACAAGTTTCTACATTCATCCAGCTGAAAAACACAAAGCTATTTAAAAACAAATCTATCTTTACCCAGGAATGCAAGGTTAGTTTCAAAATACAAAAATCAATCAATATAATGTACCACATTAACAGAATACAGGAGAAAAACCAAATGATCATCTCAATAGATACAGAAAAAGAATTTTATAAAATCCAACATCTTTTTATGATAAAAACATGCAACAAGCTAGGAATGGAAGGGAATTCTCAACCTGATAAACAGCATCTATGAAAAACCCACAGTCAACATCATACTTCAAGGTGAAGACTGAAAGCCTTCTGTATTTGTCCATTTTCATGCTGCTGATAAAGACATATCTGAGACTGGGAAGAAAAAGAGGTTTAATGGACTTACAGTTGCACATGAATAGGGAGGCCTCACAATCATGTTGGAAGGCAAGCCACCATGTGACTTGCTTGGAAGGCACAAGGCAAAGACAGAGAGAGCTTGTGCAGGGGAGCTTCTCTTTATAAAACCATCAGATCTCGTGAGACTTATTCACTATTGCAAGAACAGCACGAGAAAGACCCATCCCATGATGCAATTGCCTCCCACTGGGTCCCTCGCACAATACATGGGAACTGTGGTTATTACAATTCAAGATGAGATATGGGTGGGGACACAGCCAAACCACATCATTTCGACCCAGCCCCTCCCAAATCTCATGTCTTCACATTTCAAAACCAATATCCCCCAAAGCCTTAACTCATTTCAGCATTAGCTCAAAAGTTCACAGTCGAAGGTCTCATCCAGTATAGGCAAATCCATAGAGACAAAAAGGAGGTTACTGGTTGTCAGAGGATGAGGGGTTGTAATTGCCAGCAGGTGTGAGTTTCTTTCTGAAGTGATGAAAATTGGACAGTGATGATGGTTGCACAACATTGTAAATATTCTGAAAACCACTGAATCATATAGTTTAAAATGGTAAATTTTATGATCTGTGAATTCTAGCTCGATTGGAAAAAAAATTCCATCCAAATTAACCCCTCAGTGCTAGGTCAAAGCAATATCCATCAACGAATTGTGAAAACACTCTAAGTTCTGAGATGTATCTTGCTTTATCCCCCTCAAATAACACAAAACAGTTTAGCCATGTTTATTTCTTCTTAATGTTCTTAAAAATTCTCGCCAGGCGCGGTGGCTCATACCTGTAATCCCAGCACTTTGGGAGGCCGAGGTAATCCCAGCACTTTGGGAGGCCGAGGCGGGTGGATCATGAGGTCAGGAGATCAAGACCATCTTGGCTAACACGGTGAAACCCCGTCTCTACTAAAAATACAAAAAAATTCGCCGGGCATGGTGGCAGGCGCCTGTAGTCCCAGCTACTCGGGAGGCTGAGGCAGGAGAATGGCGTGAACCCGGGAGGCGGAACTTGCAGTGAGCCAAGATCGCGCCACTGCACTCCAGCCGGGGCAACAGAGCGAGACTCCATCTCAAAAAAAAAAAAAAATTCTCCTGCATTCTGTGTATCATCTATACACACCTCTATCTTCTAAAAGGCAGTCTTGTAGCAAGCACACTGGTTCTTGTTAGATCACTAATACACAAGAGTTTCCATCTAGACAGTCGTGCTTCTCACCCAAGGTGAATTGCCAAAATCAGTAAGTAGCATTAATTCACCTTCTGTTAGTCCTCTTCCTTTCCACATACCTTATTCTTCTGTACTTTCTTCCTATGAATTACATTTATACTCTGTGGTAATTCCTGAATTAGGTAAAACAACTCTTAAGTTGTTCAGAATTCTTTCTGGTTTGGAGTAGCTTGTTTGAAAGCAACAGATAACAGTAGAAACCCTAAAAATAACAGATTAAAACACTGAGCAGAACATGGAAATAGAAACATTCCACTTCCATTCTGGTTAATAAGGCTGCAATATCATAAGACAACAGAAAAGGGAGTAAGAATTTTATTGCCATACCGCACAAAAAAAACTCACTCTTTGATTTCCAACCCCTTATCCAATGTTTTATTCTACTGAAGTAGATATTTTCCAAAAATGGTCACAACAATGTCTTCCATCTCACATACTCTTCTGCCATGAACTCTACCCCTTCTCAGGAAGAAGGTGGAGCCCCATTCTTGACACCACCACCACCCTGCTTTAATAAGGACAGGTTCTGGCCAGGCACAGTGGCTCACGCCTGTAATCCCAGCACTTTGGGAGGCTGAGGTGGGCGGATCACGAGGTCAGGAGATCGAGACCATCCTGGCTAACACGGTGAAACCCTTCTCTACTAAAAATACAAAAAATTATCTGGGTGCGGTGGCGGGCGCCTGTAGTCAAGCTACTTGGGAGGCTGAGGCAGGAGAATGGTGTGAACCCGGGAGGCAGAGCTTGCAGTGAGCTGAGATAGCGCCACTGCACTCCAGGCTGGGCAACAGAGCGAGACTCCGTCTCAAAAATAAAATAACATAAAATAACATAAAATAAAATAACAAAATAAAATAACATAAAATAAAATAACAAAATAAAATAACATAAAATAACAACATAAAATAAAATAAAATAAAATAAAATAAAATAAAAAGGGCAGGTTCTGTGACTACTATGACCAACAGAATACAACAGAAGTGACCTGCCACTTCCAAGCCACTTTCAAGAATAACCCTTAACTGACCAAGCAGCTTCTGCTTCTAACATCTATAAATCTGGAAGCAGCTTCCACATTAGAAGTGTGACTACTTTCCCCATGCCACGAGGAACCCAAGGCACCTGCAGAAGCTGGGGCAAAAGACACCATGTAGGTCAGACATGGTGGCTGAGGCCCGTAATCCAGCACTTCAGGAGGCCATGACAGGCGGATCACTTGAAGCCAGGAGTTTGAGACTAGCCTGGCCAACATGGCAAAACCCCGTCTCTACTAAAAATAAAAAAATTAGCCAGGTGTGGTGCTGCATGCCTGTAATCCCAGCTACTAGGGAGGCTGAGGCATGAGAATTGCTTGAACCCAGGAGGTAGAGGTTGCAGTGAGCTGAGACTGTGCCACTGCACTCCAGCCTGGGTGACAGAGTGAGACTCTATCTCAAAAAATAAAAATAAAGAAAATAAAAATAAAAACCACCATGTAGACAGAGGCTAAGGAGCAAAGAGAATATATGCAAGTGAATAAGCCATCTTGGTAGGAGATCATCCAATCATAGACACTTCCAGGTGAAAATACACAAATCAAGAACAAACTACCTATGTGAGCCCTTCTGGAATTCCTGATTCACAAATAAATAAGCAAAATAAAATGGTTGTTTATGCCACTGCGTTTTAGGGCAGTTATCATGCAGCAATAGAGTTTGCTAGATCTATCACAATACATCCATTTTATTGTTGTTTTAATCACTTATATCTGAAGTTTATTATTTCTAGATTATCACAATGTAGGGATGAGGGGGTATTTTGTTATTTTGTAGTATTTTTTGGAGAGGAGTGTTCTGGAAGTGGAAGGAATACTGCTAAGGAACATATCATAATTAAAAGATTTACACTATAACAAGGTAAAAAAAATAACCTCCCTTTCTAAGAGAATAATTCTTCAATAATTATAAAATATCACTTGTATAGGATCAGCATCATTTAAAACCAGAAACCTGTTGACATACAGAAGTTAAATAATACTTTGCAAGTTAAACTCTCCACTTCCTTAAGGTTTACTTTTAAAAAGGGAGGGGAAAAAAAGTTGTATGAAGCAAATAAATTTACACAGAGTATATTTCCTTAGCTACCAGTAAAAATATAATCATCAAATCAAACTTCATTTACTGCGCATTGTTTTTGCAATAAAATGATATTTCAAGAGTTTAACTATACATATTCTCCATCAACAAAGAACTGCAAAGTGAGTTCTATTAGACAATTATAAGTAAAGGAAAGAAAACGAAAAAATTCTAATATCTAACTAAATTATGTTTCAGACGTAAAGTTCAATTAGGCCTGACACAGTCTTCTCTAAACTTAGCTTGCTTCACAGCTGGGTTAAGATTTAAAATAATAACATTCAGAAAATACAGGAATTGATCCTTATTAAAAATAAAAAGGCACAATTTTAAAAATAAAATATTTTCTCAGAATATATTAGTAAATATTGTCTTTAATTAAAAAAACAACAACCTTACTCTCCTGTCCGATTTTATGATATGGAAAAAGTGAACAAACTAACAACTGTCTTATCCAAGACTTCACAGAAAACAAACGGAACATACAAAGGACCTATTCTTTCTGACCTCCTACCCAAAACAAAATAGAAGAGACTTAAAGAACCAACTAGGACAAAAAAAAAAAACAAACCTAGGAAACTGGAGATGCAAGCAAAACGAAATAAACAGAAGTTACAGAAGCATGGAAGGGAATGTTGATAGCATCTGTGTAAGCAAATTAAACTCCAAGCTACATTATCATTTATAATCAATCAAGCAAGAAGCTGTACAATTTTAACACAGATTTTGAATGCAGCTCAGATTCAAATGCTCAATTACATTTTCCAGGTCAGTGATTTATTATAAAGATAAGAAATTTACTGTAACACAGAACTACTTTAAACCATAGGGGAGAACCCTGGGAAGGAGGAGCCCAATACTAATCCCATTGTACAGCACGCTTGGCCATCTGCTATTGTCTCGTTTCATTCTCTAAGCACTGGGTTACCCTAGTGCATACAAATATGTATACTACTTAGAAAGCAAGGAAGACTATGGGTGGACAGTGGTGGCCCAGACAGAACCAGAGACAGTCCACAGTATGTGACTAACTTATAACCCAGCGATTACCATAACTGCCATTGTGCTCAGAAGAAAAAATTTCTTTTAAGTATATCTAGATAAATGCCAAAATAACATAGTTTCTCAGTACTGCTCCCTAAATATTACAATATTTAAATATTACTTAAATATACAGTTATAATATTCATGAAAGAAATGATTAGAGAATGTAGACACCAAAGAACAAGAAAAGGATAAATGTAGTGTTACCATATTCTTCTTCCTTAGGGAACAAGTGTCTGAATCAAGAAGCAAAGTACAGAATTTAAGGCTTTTTTGTACAGAATTAAGGCATCTCTACAGGGATACCTAAAGTTCTACCTTAAAAGTTATACCACAATATCCCACTGAAGATAAATTTCTACAGTTTTTGATTGAAAATCTTCTGGGACAGAGGAGAAAAAAACTCAACTCAACTGCTTCCTAAATTAACAGGTCAATAAAGATGACTACATTCACTGTAATTTTTCTCATTAGGTAAAAATTGGGTATAATTTTGCCAGGGAGCAAGTGATTTCAGAGTTCGTAATGAGACAGAAACGGCATTCATATGCAGAGCTCTACCAGAAATTTTTAAGAGCGTATATTACGAATGTTTAAAAGCAGAAGTGAAATGCCAGGGCATGACACGGTGGAAAGGAACACCCCTCCTCGTTTTTATTGACACCACTCTCCAGGCTTAGATGCCCCCTTCTCCATCTACCTTGCAAACTTTCAAGACTCAGCTCCTAAGACTTCCTCAGACTCCTTTCATACAGGGCTAAATCTAAAATTCCTCGTTTTTTTGCCCCACCGTATACCATTCGTATCATAACCTTCTAACCTCCCATAATTCTGGGACTCCTGAGAGCAGAGACCACATCTATATGTCTTTGCCTAGCACATAGTGGAAAACACTATGCGGAATGAGGACGGTTTAGAAAGACTGGGAAGACTGGGAGACCCACAAGAACATAATTTTGACTGTACAACTACAAATGTACTCATTAAGGAAAAAGAAGAAGAAACAGCAAAGACTATTCCAGTGCATACATTGCTTAGAACGCTAGGAAAATATGTGTAGGTGGTGGTCCTGAGGTGGTTCACTATCAAGGTATCATCATTAGAAGGAATTTCAGGCTGGGCACAGTGGCTCATGCCTGTAATCTCAGCACTTTGGGAGGCCAAGGCAGGAGCATTGCTTAAGACCAGGAGTTTGGATACCAGCCTGGGCAACACAGTGAGACCTTGTCTCTACAAAAAGAAAAAGAAAATTTAAAGAAGAAGGAATTTTACAGGCTGATCTTAGATTTGATTTTTTTTTTGGCAGAGTCTTGTTCTTTCGCCCAGGCTGGAGTGCAGTGGTGTGATCTCAGCTAACTGCAACCTCCACCTCCTGGGTTCCAGAAATTCTACAGCCTCAGCCTCCCCAGTAGCTGGGATTACAGGTGGGCACCACCACGCCCAGCTAATTTTTTGTATTTTTAGTAGAGACAGGGTCAAGCTCCTGACCTCAGGTGATCCACCCTCCTCAGCCTCCCAAAACGCTGGGATTACAGGTGTAAGCCACCATGCTCACCTTGATCTTAGATTTTTAAGGGTCTTATTGAAGAACATACATGAAGGACAAATAGGAATATAGATTTATAAAAGTCTGGACCTGCAAACAAAGTGAGCTTACAAAAAAAAATTCTACAGGCAACAAAAAAAGCTTTTAGAATTGTTGTGATGGATATATCAATCTGATCAGCAGTTTCTTACAATGTATCACCTAAATCTTTTGGGGGCTTGTTCAACATTTTATTGTCTATACGAAAGTATACAGAGCACGTTTATAAATGGGTAGAAGGCATGAAATTGAAGGATTGACAATCCTTCAATCAAATCAAGGCTAAACAATTTGTTAGTCTAAACGATTTGTTAGTCAAATCAAGACTTGTCAGACTAAATTACTGTTAGACTAAACAATCAAATCAAGAGTCAAAAGATTCTCCATGATTCTAAATTCAGAGTAATTGGCTGAATGAAATTTAATGAGAATAAATTATGTTGATACCTCATATCCTGAGTATATACCACTTTACAGGTTCCAAGGTGCATGATTTCATACACATTACATCGTTAAACAAGAACATCCTTAAGTAGCTATTATATCCACTCTACAGATGAAGAAACTGAACGTTAGTGAGTTTCACTGAGTAGCCCACATTTCAGCTAAGGGCCGTGAACGGAACATGAATCCCATTTTAATCATCTCTCTTGCAATTAGATCCAAAATCCTAACTAAACAAGTCAAGATGGAAGAAAAATCAGTTTAGACACATAAAAGTCATCAGAAAAAATAACCAAAGCAAATAAGAACAATGAGGGGAATAAAAATACTTCACGTAGGATATTGAGATTTGGGGGCTGCCAAAGAGTAAGCTCCAAATATCTAAATATCATGCAGAAAAAAGATCTGACTTATTCACTATGGCCCCAAGTTAATCTCAATCAGCAAATACTCTAAGGCAGGGGTCCCCAACTCCTGGGCCATGGACCAGTGCCGGTCTGTGGCCTGTTAGGAACTGGGCCGCACAGCAGGAAGTAAGCGGTGAGACAAGTGAGCGTGACCACCTGAGCTCCACCTCCTGTCAGATCAGTGGCAGCATTAGATTCTCACAAGAGCGTGAATCCTACTGTCAAGTGTGCATTCGAGGGATCTAGGTGGCATGTTTCTTATGAGATCCTAATGCCTGATGATCTGACGTGGGACAGTTTCATCCCAAAACTGTCCCCTGCAGCATGGCCTGTGGAAAAATTGTATTCCACAAAATTGGTCCCTGGTGCCAAAGGCTCTAAGGAATCAATTCTGGTTAAACAAAATAGGGTCAAAACTGTCCAAAACTGATACATGCTACCTGAGAGGAAATCAATTCATTCATTATAGTTGAACATTTTTCTCATATTTATTTGCCATATGTACTTCCTCTTATTGAACATGTATAAATACTAAAATCAAGTATTAATCTCTGGGATAGAATAAAAAGGAGTACTATCAAGGAGAGATATGCCAATGAACTTCAACAATATTTGAAATGTTTACTTAACTTGAGTGATTATACTCAGTATATTATTCTCTATACATTTTTGTATCTCTGAAATGGTTTTTAAAATATAAAAAGATAACATAAACACATGGTCAACAAACAAGGAATTGGGATAGCACCCATAACCCTTCATACAAAACAATTCAAAGAAGTTCCTGGGCAACCAAAAATTAAAGTTTAAAACTTGGGAACAGCCAGGCGCGGTGGCTCACACCTGTAATCCCAGGACATTGGGAGGCCAAGGCAGGCAAATCACCTGAGGACGGGAGTTCGAGACCAGCCTGACCAACATGGAGAAACCCCATCTCTACTAAAACTATAAAAAAAAAAAAAAAAAGAAAAGAAAAATTAGCTGGGCATGGTGGCGCATGCCTGTAATCCCAGCTACCTGGGAGGCTGAGGCAGGAGAATCGCTTGAACCCAGGAGGCGAGGTTGCGGTGAGCCGAGATCATGCCACTGCACTCCAGCCTGGGCAACAAGAGCAAAACTCCTTCTCAAAAAAAAAATAAATAAAACAAAAAAACTGGGAACAGTTAAGCTGTTTTTAACGACTAGTTATGAGCATTAAATATACTGAAATTCAGAAATAAAAGCTAAATATGAATCATAATTACAGTAAGCAATGTTTCTCCTTTACAAAAAACAACACAATATAAAACTGAAAAGTACTATGAACTCAGCAAAATATAACAAAAGTTTACCAACTAAAATCAAGAAGGGGGATTGGTAATATAAATAAACTATTTTTAATAAAAAGTAGTCAATAAACATGGCTTCATTTTTAAACGTGTTAAATCAAGACACAGAAAGTTTTAAAATATTGTTTAAAGTAACAGATAATCACAGGAGAAACTAGGCACAAACTATAAACTCTGCCCACTCTACTGGACATATAGCAAAATTAGATAAAGTGACGGATTACACTTTAATTTTGCTATATGTCCACTTATAATGAATGAATTGATTTCCTCCCAGGTAGTGTGTTATCAGTTTTGGACAGTTTGACTCTCTTTAGAATTGACTCCTTAGAGTATCTGCTGATTGAGTTAATGTGGGGCCATATTGAACAAGTCTAATCTTTCTTCTGCATGATGGTTTTTTAGATATTTGGATCTTCACTTTATTAAAGCCAATGGTCAATTTTCATTTTTTGTAACTCATCAGCAGTATTTGAAAAATCTGATCATCCTCTCCTCTTTGAAACCCTTTCTTCACTTGACTTCTGAGATACCACATTCAATAAAAAAAGTAACAAGTTCATTTTTTGGAAGAGGAAAATTTGACAAAATCATACTAAAGTTCATCTGAAAAAGTAAATGAGTGAGAAGAGTGAGAAATTCCTGCAAAAATAAAATTAATATAGCAAAACAATCTACTAATCTGATAATTTATTTGTGGCATTTCAAATCAGAAGAGAAGGGGTGGATTATTTAACAAATACTATAATGACAACTGGCCAGCCACATGTAAAAACATAAAACTGAATCATTACGGCAATATATAAATTTTATAAACCAATTTTTAGATGTATAAAAAGAAACTTTAAAAGTACCAGAGAAAAGCATGTATGAATTATTTAATAACCTTGGCAAGGGCAGACTGCTTGAGCCCGGCAGTTCAAGGCCAGCCTGGGCCACATGGCAAAACCCTGTCTCTACAGAAAGCTAAAAAATTAGCTGGACATGGTGGTGTGTGCGGCTGTAGCCCAGCTACTCGAGAGTCTGAGGTGGAAGGTTGGCTTGGAGCCTGGGAGGTAGAGGTTGCAGTGGGCTGAGACTGAGACACTGCACTCCAGCCTGGGTGACAGAGTGAGTGAGAGCCTTTCTCAAAAAAATATAAAAATGAAAATGACTTTGGCATGTATAAGGACTTTCAAAGTGTGACCTAAAACTGAGAGGACATAAAGAAAAGTACTATTAAATTTGGTGACATAAACCCCCAAATAAATACATAAATGAAGTTAAAAACAAAAAACAAAAAACAGGAAAATGTATTTGTAAAACATAAAAGGAAATAGACCAATGTATTTACTAGAGGAAAAACTTCCTATAAATCAACAAGAAAAAATACATCATCAAACAGAAAAATATGGAAAAGAAATTAACATATACCTCCCAATTAAAACAAAACAAAAACCTATGAAAAAATGCTCAATGAGAACTCAACTTTAAATAAATACTAAGCAAGAAAAGAGACACTTCAGAATTGCCTACCAAGTCAGTGGAAATTTAAAAAGGTTTGATAACAAATGTTTAATGAAACTGTGCAAAAAAACATTCTCCGTGTAAATCAGTGGAAAACTCTTGGTGGATAATTAAACAGCTATCGACATTTTACACGCATACAATATCAACTCATGAATGAGACGGTTATGTCATTATGCGTTATACTACTATAATCAACAAGAGGTCAGGCGTGGTGGCTCACAAATGTAATCCCTGCACTTTGGGAGGCTGAGGTGAACAGATCATGAGGTCAGGAGTTCGAGACCAGGCTGGCCAACATGGTAAAATCCTCTCTACTAATAATACAAAAATTAGCCAGGTGTGGTGGTGCGCGCCTGTAATCCCAGCTACTCAGGGGGCTGAGGCAGGAGAGAACTGTTTGAACCTGGGAGGCAGAGGCCGTAGTGAGCTAAGATTGCACCACTGCACTCCAGCCTGGGCGACAGAGTGAGACTCTGTCTCAAAAAAATAAAATAAATAAAATAAAATAAGAAAAACCCCTATCTTCATCTACCTGTAAATCTTAGGTTAAATTTAGTTAAATTATGGTAGAAGTATGATTCAGAAAACCATGTAGATATTTTTTAAGATGAGATAAAGCTGTATATAAGATGATATTAAAATGTTTATTTTTAAATTAATAAAAAGTATGATTCCAGTTGTTTTTTAAAAGGTATATAACACATAAATGCTTGATATGCATAGAAACTTTATGAAACGGCACACAAAGAACTGTTAACAACAGTTAATAACCCTAAAGAACTGCACTGAGAGGAGCAAAGGATGGGAGAAGGAACTTTAATTTCACTCCATATGTTTTGGTAATTTTTATTTTTATTTATTTATTTTTTTTTTACCTTGAACACATATTACTCTCATACTGTTAATACAAGTCATTTTTTAAATCCTACATTGTCATTTCTCAGGGCTTTTAAAAAAATACTTATCAGCAGGGCGCGGTGGCTCACGCCTGTAATCCCAGCACTTTGGGAGGCTGAGGCAGGCAGATCACGAGGTCAGGAAATCGAGACCACCTAACATGGTGAAACCCCGTCTCTACTAAAAATACAAAAAATTAGCCGGGCGTGGTGGCACGTGCCTGTGGTCCCAGCTACTCAGGAAGCTGAGGCAGGAGAATGGTGTGAACCCAGGGAGGTGGAGCTTGCAGTGAGCCGAGATGGCGCCACTGCAATCCAGCCTGGGCGACAGAGCGAGACTCCGTCTCAAAAAAAAAAAAGGAAAGTTTAATTTTCTTTATCCATTCATTGGTTGATGGGCACTTAGGTTGATTCCATATCATAGATGTCTTTTTTTTCAGAATGACTTCTTTTCCTTTGGGTAGACTCCTAGTAGTGGGACTGCTGGATGAAATGATAAATCTTTTTTTTTTTTTTTTTTTTTTTTGAGATGAAGTCTCGCCCTGTGAGTGCAGTGGCACGATCCAGGCTCACTGCAACCTCTGCCTCCCAGGTCCAAGCAATTCTCGTGTCTCAGCCTCCCAAGTAGCTGAGACTACAGGCACGTACCAATATGCCCATCAGATTTTTTTATTTTTAGTAGATATGGGGTTTCGCCACGTTGGCCATGTTGCCAGGTTTGTCTTGAACTCCTGACCACAGGTGATCCATCTGCCTCGGCCTCCCTAAGTGCTGGGACTACAGGTGTGAGCCACTACGCCCAGCCTGAAATGATAAATGTACTTTTAGTTCTTTGAAAAATATCCATACAGTTTTCCATAAAGGTTGTACTAATTTACGTTTGCTCCAACAGTGTGTAAGAGTTCTCTTTTCACCACATCCATGATACCAGCTATTATTTTTTAACTTTTTAATAATAGCCCTTCTGGATGGGGTAGGGTGGTATCTCACTGTCATTTTAATTTGCATTTCCCTGATGATTAGTGATGCTGAGCATTTTTTCATACATTTTTGGGCATTTGTATATCTTCTTTTGAGAAATGTCTATTCATGCTATTTGCCCATTTTTTATGGGATTATTTTTTTTTCTTGTTGATTTAAGTTCCTTGTAGACTGTGGATATTAATATTTTGTTGAATATGATGCAAATATTTTCTCCCATTCTGTAGGTGGTCTATTTACTCTTTTGATTATTTATTTTGCTGTACAGAAGCTTTTTAGTTTAATTAAGTCCATTAAGTCCCATTTATTCATTTTTATTTTGTTGTGCTTTTGAGATCCTTGTCATAAATCCTTCGCCTGAGCCAATGTTCAGAGGAGTTTTCCCTGTGTTATCTTCCAGAATTTTTATGGTTTCGGGTCTTAGATTAAGTCTTTAATCCACCTAGGTTAATTTTTGTATATGGCAAGAGACAGAAAGTGTGTGTGTGTGTGTGTGTGTGTGTGTATAAACACACATGGGTATGTGTGTATATATATATACACACACACATATATATGCACGTGTGTGTGTATATATACATGTATATGTGTATATATACACATATACATATACATATACATATACATATACATATACATATACATACACACACACACCATGGAATACTACTCGGCCATGAAAAAAAGAATGAAATCATGTCTTTTGCAGCAACCTGGATGGAACTGGAGGCCATCATCCTAAGTGAAGTAACTCAGGAATGGAAAACCAAATACTGCATGTTCTCACTCATAAGAGGGAGGCAGTGCTGAGTACCCAAAGGCATACAGAGTGGTATAACGGACACTAGAGACTCAGAGCAGGGGGAGGCAGGCAGGGGAGAAATGAAAAATTACCTATTGAATACAATGTACATTATTCAGGTACACTTGGGAACTTCCCAAACTACTCCAAACGAATAAAGTTATTAATTAACAAAAAAAGAAATGGAGTATCCCAAAAGTGCAGGAAGGGAAAGGGCCAGGGGAAGGCGCAGGGCTGGGGCCTGTGATTATGTAGGCCAAAATCCGACCATGTGAAGAAAGGAGGGCCCAGGAGGGCAAGCCCAGCATTCCACACGCACGGCCAGGGAGGGGCTTCGAACACCTGCCCCGCTTGGCAAACTCACAGTGATCCGTTTGTTTTCCCTTCTCCGAGTTCATGCATTCTTCAAGCTTTGGTAACTGGAATGTTTGTCTTTTCAGGCTCAAAAACAGTCAGTAGAAAAGGAACCAAAATTAAGTACCAATCATATGTCAGGATTCACCTAGGAAAACTGTGAGCTGTTGACTGGACTGCTTCTCTGAATAAGCTGGTATTCCCTTTTGTCTCTAATTTTAAAAGCTCCCAGGCAGCAACCTGAAATCCACAATCTCTTTGGAATAGGATGGGAAATATTCTGAAGGCACAGTTAAACACGTATAAGTCTCAAGCCTTAAAAAGAGTCAAAATACCAAAGGCAAGAAATTGTGGAGCTTTGCCCACAGTGCTGTGATAACCTGCAATTGTCTAACATATTCAGCATGTGCCTATCAGAGTTCTAGAACAGAGAGACATCTTGGGATTAATCTGATTTGGGAAAAGCCTTTAACTGTAGCTAGGAGTCACCTCAGTGTTCTTCATGTAATCAAGCCTTGGAGATTTTCTGTTGTGGTTTGCTCTTCTGATGTACGGTTCCCAGAAGTAGGAAATGGAAAGATGACCTTTTACAGACAACTGTGAAAAGAGAAGCTATGACTGTGGAAGAGAAAGCTCCCTAGAATGTCCTCACAAAACCATCCAATGGAAGACATCCTCCAGGAGGCCTCCAACGGATCCCTCGATACTACAAAAATACCGGAGGCTTAGGAGCTGGGAACTTCCAGGGGCTAGAGATCTCTTGCTGTGGTCCTTTCCATCATCGCACTGACAACAGCTCTCTCCAACACCTTTCTGCTTACCACCATCTTCCTCACCAGGAAGCTATATACACCAGCCAACTATCTCACTGGCTCCTTGTTCATATCCATGAGCATCACATAGACCATCACACACACCTGGAAATTTGGCCAACTCCTGTGCAACATCTGGCTGTCTTCTAGCATCACGTGCTACATGGCCTCCAACCGATATTTCTGTCTGTTGCTCTGACCAGGTACTGGGCCATCACCAATGCCCTGTAGTATAGTAAATGGGCCATCTCAAATTGTATCTCTATCCCAGTGCTCTTCTCCTAGACCTCTTGCACCACCTACTCCACATGTAAGACCTTCTACATTTTGGTTGTGTTGTTCATCATCTTCACACATTGCCCAACAAGAACATCCAGAAGCCATCATCACAGCACCACTGCCCAGGTCATCACAGCTCACTCTTCTTCCTCAACCCCAGCCTCCATGAGAGGCAAAGGCGCTTAACTGGCTCTCCTCTGCTTGTTAATCACATGAAAATCAAGCATGCTTATAGTGTCCTAGTACAACAGGAAATTTACTTTCAAACAAGGAAAGCCACAGAAACCCTGGGGATCATTTTAGGGGCTTTTATCATCTGCTGGCTGCCTCTCTTTATTGTTTCTCTGCCAGCCAAGATACCACCATATTAAGACATCTTCATCTTGCTGAGCTTTTTTTTTTTTTTCTTTTTGATACCAAGTCTCACTCTTGTCTCCCAGGCTAGAATGCAATGGTACAATCTCAGCTCACTGCAACCTCCGCCTCCCAGGTTCAAGCAATTCTCCTGCCTCAGCCTCCCGAGTAGCTGGGATTACAGGCACCTGCCACTACTCCCAGCTAATTTTTTGTATTTTCAGTAGAGACAGGGTTTCACCATGTTGGCCACGCTGGTCTCGAACTCCTGACCTCACGTGATCCACCTGCCTCGGTCTCCCAAAGTGCTGGGATTACAGGCGTGGGCCACCGCGCCCAGCCTTGCTGAGCTATTTTTAAACTCCATCATCAATCCAGTGATGTACATTCTGTCTAATGAACAGTTTCACCAAGCATTTCAGAAAGTTGTCTTTTTTGCGGAAAGCCTCCTAGTCTTACTTGGTGGCTACTTGGTTATCTTTACCTGTTGTCTTCTGATCCACCAAGTTGGGCAGTTGTGTGAAATGAAACAGGACTGAAATTTGTCAACAGCGTTAGGTAGAAACATGGTTCACAGGGTTACCTGTTGATATAATTCACATAGAAAAGTGCCTGGCACTGAGAAAGAACCCTGGCTCAAAGGATGGTTTCCTGGTGTACCTAAGATTTGTATAAACCTCCAAGGAAAGCAGAGGAGAATAATGACCTGAATTGAAACAGAATTTAAGAGTTCAAATGGAGGGGTCCATTCCACATAACACTCTCCACTGGAATATAACAGGGATTTCTTGCATTGAGTCTTTCTTAGATCAAATCTGTCCTGGTTGTTCATGAGATATTCAATATTGGGGTGCACATGGTCTATGGTGACTTGGAGAGAGATCTGGAAGCCAGGGGCAAAGAAGACAAATAGAATTAGGTTGACTACTTTGTAGCCTTCCCTCTTCCCCAATAAATTCATACAACCTTAATGTTCCGAAGGTAAAATCCCTGATCTCCCCCACTGAAGTATTTATAGGTTTTGGGTCCACCAAGCTTTGAAAAGAATGCCATTCCAAATTTTTTATTTTTGAGCTCTCTCAAAATCACTGTTACTTTATTATTCTTAACCCTAATACACTGCCAAATTTGAATTGATTTTTTAAATGCACTTTTTGTTTAGAATAGTTTTGGATTTGCAGAGAGGTGAGGATGGTACAGAGAAGGTGATACAGAGAGTTCCTGGGAACCCAGAGGCCAGATTTCACACTGTTAACATCTTACATTAGTATGACACATTTGTCATAATTAATCAACACGGATACATTATTCTTAACAAGAGTCCGTGCTTTATTCGCATTTCCTTAGTTTCTGTCTGCTGCCATTTTTCTGTTCCAAGATATTGCCTGGGATATGTCATTACGTTTGGATGGCATGTCTCCTTGGCTCTTCTTGGCTGTGACAGTTTCTTGGACTTTCCTAGTTTTTGGAGGCTTGGCAGTTTTGAATACTACTAGTCAGTTGTTTGGTGGAATGTTTCTTAACTAGGATTTGTCTACTGTTTTGTTCATAATTGGACTGGGGTTGTGCATTTTGGGGAAGAGAACCACAGAGCTGAAGTATCATTGATCATATCAAGTACACATACTGTCAAAATGACTTATCATTGTTAACAATGACCCAATTATTTTTCATATTCCATTCTCATTAGGAATCTTAAGATGTTGACTCATCAAATAAAAAGCCTGAAATATCATGATTCAAAAATAAGCAATATAAATAATAAATAAAAATGGTAATACCTGCTCAAAACACATTAGACTAGCTATTTTTATTTGATCAATTTATATGTAATGGTTTGAAGATAAAAGAGTTGTAAATAACTTTGAATTCATCCTTTCCCTATGAATATGTTCTGCTTCTGGAAAATATTTTAGTTCTACTGTTCTATTTTTACTGCCATGGCTATCAGGAGAAGCCTCTGACTGCGGGAGAGAGGGTAGGGGGTTGTTGCTACCAGCTAATTCAGGGTTCAGTAGTAAACTATGAGATGGATAGTTTCCACATATAAGTATGCCTAAACTGCATCTGAGTTCCTTCAGTAGGAAAATGTCCTGTGCTGTCTGAGGGAACTGCTTCAAAGACTCTGTTTAAAGACAACACACAGAGTTATGAACATCTTATCCCATGCCAGAATGCTTTGCAATGTAAGCTACAGGAGAGTGCACTGTAAATCCCCCTAAGATATTCAAAACAACCTTCCCCTAAAGCAAAATCTTGATTCGATTCTTCTCAGTCTTGGTGATGGCCAAGGGACTATGGTCCCAGAGATTAGTTCAAGTAATATTAAGCAAGTGAAATTTTTCTATGTTGTATCCACCACCACCCATGTCATTCCTAATACCTCACAAAGCGGGCAAATGAATGAAAACTAAAGAATAATAATATTCAATCTGAAGTCTTGTTCAAGTAATACACTTTATCTCCATGACTTTTTGCCAGTCAATATCTATGTATTTGTCTCTATACATCATATTGGCTGAGTTTCAGAAATAAATGATAACAAAAAATGAAAAAAAGATGTCTGGCATGGTGGCTCATGCCTGTAATCGTAGCACTTTGGGAGGCCGAGGTGGGCAGATCACTTCAGTCCAGGAGTTCGAGACCAGCCTGGCCAACATGGTGAAACCCCATCTCTACAAAAAATACAAAAAATTAGCTGGGCATGGTGGCATGTGTCTGTAGTCCCAGCTACTCAAGAAGTGAGGTAGGAGGACTGCTTGAGCTCCAGACACAAGGGTTGCAGTGAGCCATAATTGCACCACTGCATTCCAGCCTGGGCAACACAGTGAGACCCTGTCTCAAAAACAAATCAACCAATATATATGTATATATGATACTGTATTAAAACTAAGTTTCAGCTGTAAGCACTAATCTTCTCTCAATGGTGCTACACAAAATTTCAAAAGTTTAAACAGTAAAACTATAGCTAGAATAATAAATGCTGTTTTGACCTTTGTTCTCTGGATGGAAATGTGGAAAAAGTTGTTACTCCTGCCTAAAAATACATAAAACTGCACGTTTTACCAAGAAAAAAAGATTACTTTAAAGTTATTTTTATATAATTTTTAAAAAATACATAGATCCCTTGAGAACTTTAAACTTCTCTAAACCTACGGTATTCATTTTATTTTTTATGGATACTAAATTTAAAGCTATCTCTATTTTATCAGCCAACAATGGTGCTGGAAATACATCACAAATGTTGATTCTGACCACCTTAATACAGTAACGTCAACAAAAAAAGTACACAGAATGGGAAGGATCTAAGCACTGAAAATAACAGGCATAAAGGTAATTGTCTACAAAGCAGTACTAGGCCAAACTTGGTGGCTCATGCCTGTGATCCCTGCACTTTGGGAGGCCGAGGCGGGAGGATCATCTGAGGTCAGAAGTTTGAGACCAGCCTGACCAACATGGCGAAATCCCGTCTCTACTAAAAATACAAAAATTAGCTGGGCGAGGTGGCAGGTGCCTGTAATCCCAGCTGCTCAGGAGGCTGAGGCAGGAGAATCACTTGAACCCGGGAGGCGGAGGTTGCAGGGAGCCAATATCACGCCACTGCACTCCGGCCTGGGTAACAGAGTGAGACTCAGTCTCAAAAAATAATTAATTAAATAAAATAAAAAAGAAGCACTAATAACATAAACCAATTTTGAAAACAGTTGTACTATCTGGTAAGTTTTAAGACACATAAAAGTTTGTAACATGATGAATTACTGGGGCAGTGTGGTGTACTAAGACAGCACAATTACTGATCCTCTGCTGCCTTCTGTGAAGGATGAAGAGGAAGGACAAAGAAAAAATATACAAGATTTGCATGATATGTGTGTGTGTGTGTCTGTCTCTCTCCTGTTGCCATGTAAGACGTGCCTTGCTTCCCCTTCACCTTCTGCCATGATTATAAGATTCCCAAAGCCTCCCTAGCGACTCAGATATGGAAATGTGAGTCAATTAAACCTCTTTTCTTCATAAATTACTTAGTCTCAGGTAGTATCTTTATAGCAGTGTGAAAATGGACTAATACAAAAACTTTTCTAAAAATTTTTACCTAGTTAAAAATAAGCAATGCGTTACTTCCAAACAACCTTTGAATTCTAACCAGTATATCTTTTCTTCCAGTAACATTAATCATCTAAGGCTTTTTTAGTAGCTTGCTGTCATGTTCTCATGATCTGAAAGGCAAAGTTTAATGACTGAAGACCCACGCAATCTTTCAACACTTTGGTTTTAAATGAAGTAATCCTTATAGAATGAGAGCAAAGAAAATAGGAGCTGAAAAACAAATGTTATAAAAGTAAAATATATGCCCCTAACACTTATGACCTAATGAAAGTGATAATCCATCATGTCACCAACATTTTGGGTATAATCAGCCTAGAGCAACAAACAGGCTGCTGGCACAGTGGTGAATCGAGTCTTTGTGCATCCAGATGCCTTCAGAAACTTGCACTGTATGAAATCAAATAATTAAATCACTCCCCTCCTCACAAACTCCACAACTGCAATAACCAGCGAAATTTTAAAAATTCGTATTTTACTAATAATATCCTACACTTAAAGAAAAGTTTAATAGGAAATGGAATCAAAAGGCTTACGCATTATTAATCATAGTAAAAATTACAAGTAACTTCTAATCCACTAAAAGTTGTCTGGTCATATTTCTTACCAACATGTTATTGTGCCTAATAAGAAGTAAATGTATGAGAAGCACAATGGGAGAAAAATATACAATGATCAAGTGCATGAGAAGTGAAAAATGTTTTGAAACTATTAAGTCTATTACTTGAAAATATTACTATTGAAAGATCAAAACTAATACCAATAAAATAAAATAAAAATCAGATGATCATCTCAATAGACCCCAAAAAAGCAGTTAACAAAATCCAGCATCCCTTTATGATTAAAACCCTCAGCAAAATTGGCATACAAGGGACATACCTTAAGCCATCTATGACAAAGCCACAGCCAACATTATGCTGAACGGGGGAAAGTTGAAAGCATTTCCCCTGAGAACTGGAACAAGATAAGGATGCCCACTTTCACCACTTCTATTCAACAGACCCAGCCATCCCATTACTGGGTATATACCCAAAGCATTATAAATCATGCTGCTGTAAAGACACATGCACACGTATGTTTATTGCGGCACTATTCACAATAGCAAAGACTTGGAATCAACCCAAATGTCCAACAACGATAGACTGGATTAAGAAAATGTGGCACATATACACCATGGAATACTATGCAGCCATAAAAAATGATGAGTTTGTGTCCTTTGTAAGGACATGGATGAAACTGGAAACCATCATTGTCAGCAAACTATCACAAGGACAAAAAACCAAACACTGCATGTTCTCACTCATAGGTGGGAATTCAACAATGAGAACATATGGACACAGGAAGGGGAACATCACACTCCGGGGACTGTTGTGGGGTGGGGGTTGGGGGAGGGATAGCATTAGGAGATATACCTAATGCTAAATGACGAGTTAATGGGTGCAGCACACCAACATGGCACATGCATACGTATGTAACAAACCTGCACATTGTGCACATGTACCCTAGAACTTACAGTATAATAATAAAATTTAAAAAAAAAAAAAACAGTACTGGAAGTCCTTGTCAGAGCAATCAAACAGGAGAAAGAAATCACGGACATCCAAATCAGTAAAGAGGAAGTCAAACTATCATTGTTTGCTGATGATAAGGTCATATAACTACAAAGCCCTAAAGACTCATCCAAAAGCTCCTAGATCTGATAAATGAATTCAGTAAAGTTTCAGGATACAAAATTAATGTACACAAATCAGCAGCACTACTACACATCAATAGTTACCAAGCTGAGAATCAAATCAAGAACTCAACCCCTTTTACAATAACTGCAAAAAAAAAAAAAAAAAAAAAAAAACCAGTAAAATACCTAAACAAGGAAATGAAAGACCTCTACAAGGAAAACTACAAAACTGCTGAAAGAAATCACAGATGACACAAACAAATGGAAACACATCCCATGCTCATGGATGGGTAGAATCAATATTGTGAAAATTACCACACTGCCAAAAGCAATCTACACACTCAATGAAATTGCCATCAAAATACCATCATCATTCTTCACAGAACTAGAAAAAACAATCCTAAAATTCATATGGAACCAAAAAAGAGCCTGCATAGCCAAGGCAAGACTAAGCAATAAGAACAAATGTGGAGGCATCACATTACTCAACTTCAAACTATACAAGGCTATAGTCGCCAAAACCAATCATGGTACTGGTATAAAAACAGGCACACAGACCAATGGAACAGAATAGAGAACCCAGAAATGAAGCCAGACACTTACTGCCAACTGATCTTTGACAAAGTAAACAAAAACATAAAGCAGGGAAATGACACCCTATTCAACAAATGGTGCTGGGATAACTGGCAAGCCACATGTGAAAAATGAAACCGGATCTTCATCTCTCACCTTATACAAAAATCAACTCAAGATGGCTCAAAGACTTAAATCTAAGACTTGAAACCATAAAAATTCTAGAAGATAACACTGGAAAAACTCTTCTAGATGTCAGCTTAGGCAAAGACTTCATGAACAAGAACCCAAAAGCAAATGCAACAAAAAGATAAATAGATGAGACTTAATTAAACTAAAAAGTTTCTGCACAGCAAAAGAAATAGTCAGAAGAGTAAACAGACAACCTACAGAATTGGAGAAAATATTCACAAACTATGCAACTGACAAAGGACTAATATCCAGAATCTACAAAGAATTCAAATCATCAAGTAAAAAACAAATAATCCCATCAAAAAGTGGGCTAAGGACATGAATAGACAATTCTCAAAAGAATAGACAGTTCTCAAAAGAAGATATACAAATGGCCAACAAACATACTAAAGCTCAACAAGGGCTGGGTGCGGTGGCTCACACCTGTAATCCCAGCACTTTGGGAGGCCGAGGCGGGTGGATCACCTGAGATCAGGAGTTCAAGACCAGCCTGGCCAACATGGTGAAACCCCGTCTCGACTAAAAATGCAAAAATTAGTGGGGCGTGGTGGCGAGCACCCGTAATCCCAGCTACTCAGGAGGCTGAGGTAGGAGAATTGCTTGAACCCGGGAGACGGAGGTTGCAGTGAGCCGAGATTGCACCACTTCACTCCAGCCTGGGCGGCAGAACAAGATTCCATCTCAAAAAAAAAAAGCTCTGCATCACTAATTATCAGTGAAATGCAAATCAAAACCACAATGCGATATAATTTAAAAATAAAAAAATAGATATTTGCATGGATGTGGTGAAAAGGGAACATTTTTACACTGCTGGTGGGAATGCAAACTAGCACAACCACTGTGGAAAACAGTATAGAGATTCCTTAACTAAAAGTGGACCTACCATTTGATCCAGCAATCCCACTACTGGTATCTACCCAGAGGAAAGGAAGGCATTATACGAAAAAGACACTTGCACAGGCATGTTTATAATAGCACATTCGCAATTCCAAAAAATATGGAACCAGCCCAAATGCCCACCAATCAACAAGTGGATAAAGAAAATGTGGTGTGTATATATATATATACGTATATATATACACGTATATATATATATATATATACCACAAAATTCTACTCAGCCATAAAAAGGAACGAAATAATGGCATTCGCAACAAGCTGGATGGAGTTGGAGACCATTATTCTAAGTGAAGTAACTCAGGAATGGAAAACCAAACATTGCATGTTCTCACTTACAAGTGGGAGCTAAGCTATGAGGATGCAAAGGCATAAGAAAGATACAGTGAACTTTGGGGAGTCAAGGGGAAGTGGGAATGGGTGAGGGATAAAAAGACTACACATTGGGTACAGTGTCCACTGTTCAGGTGATGGGTGCACCAACATCTCAAAAACCACCTCTCAAGAACTTATCCATGTCACCAAACACCACCTGTTCTCCAAAAACTACTGAAACAAAAAATAATAAAAAAAAGTTTAAGTTTTAATTCACTTTATTTAGATGGATACTTTCTTAATGTAGCTATCAATTCTAACACAAAAGCAAGCACTGTACTTTAGTGGGAGAGAGCTAAAAGCATTCTCATTCAGATCAGGTATAATGTGGAGATGTCCAGTATCATGTAGTGTGGTACACAGAAGTAGAAGGAGAAGGAAATGGGGCACATACATTAAAACTGAACACAGGAAGATAATTATTATTTAGAAATGATAACACTACATATTTGGAAAAGCCAAAAGAATAAACTAAAAAAAAATCCAAACCTTTAAGAGAATTCAGTATGATGACTAAGTACAAAACTGATATAGAGAAATCACAAGCCTTCATGTGCACAAAAAAAACAAGCAGTTAGAAGATGTAATGAAAAATATAACACTTTATAACAAAAAGAAAACCTAGGAAGAAGCTTAATAAATGTATAAAATCTATTATGAAGGAAACATTAAAACATTTCTGAGAAACAAAAAATGAATTCATGGAAAGATATACCCCATTCTTGTCAATTCTCTATAAATTAATAACTACAAATTTTATGTACTCCCAATAAAAAATGCAACAGAAAGAATTAAAGGCAGGAGATGATAAAAGCTGATTCTAAATTTCAAATGGAAAAATAGCCAAGAAAAAAAAAAAAGCTAGGGCACTTCTGAAAAAGAAACGTACCTTAGAAGGAATTAGCTATTAACATATATCACAAAAACACAAAAATTTAAACAATGTTACTGGATACAGACAGATCAATATCACTAGAAAATAAGAAATATTCTAAAATACAACTTTTGTAATATGTCACAAAATCCAGAAGCCTTAAAACATTCACTTTATTTAAGAAGTCTGAACACACACACACACACACACACACACACACACACACACACACACACACACACGAGTCAAAAGCCAAACAGAGCTAGGAGCAGTGGCCTTGGGAGGCTGAGATGGGAAGATGGCTTAGGGCCAGGAGTTTGAGACCAGCCTGGACAACATCTTTTTTATTTTTATTTTTTAAAAAAGGTGGGCTGGTGCAGTGGCTCACGCCTGTAATCCCAGTACTTCGGGAGGCCCAGGTGGGTGGCTCGCTTGAGGCCATGGACTTCAAAACCGGCCTGGCCAACATGGTGGTAAAACCCCGTTTCTACTAAAAATACAAAAAATTAACCAGATGTGGGGGCAGGCACCTGTAGTCCCAGCTACTTGGGAGGCTGAGACAGGGGAATCACTCGAACCCAGGAGGCAGAGGTTGCACTGAGCCGAGATCGTGCCTCTGCACTCCAGTCTGGGCGACAAAGTGAGACTCCATCTCAATAAATAAGCCAAACAAGAAGAAATGTTTAGAACTCACATCGGACAAAAGAACTAATTTTTAAATTGGGAAGAGATTTCTACAAATCAACTTTTAAAAAAGCAGGAAAGAACTCAAAACAAAAATGGGTAAAGCATATAAACAAATAATAGAAAATACAAAGGATGTTAAATATAAAAGTCTGTTCGACTTTACTTACAATGAAAGAACTCCAACTACACTGACATTGTTTGCTCACCTATCAGATTGCCAAAAAGTGAAAAAGCCTATTAACACACTCTGCAGACAAGTATGTGGGAATATAACACTTTCATCACGGATAGTAGAAATGAAACTTGGTACAGTCTCTTTAAGGTTACTTGGCAAAATCCATCAAAATTATAAATGCACATCCTTTCACTCAGCAGTTCAACTTTAAGGACTTTATCCTAGAAATATACTTGACTTGACATATGTATAAACTAAACATGTACAACATTTTTTACTATTAATCATTTTATGTAAAGGAAGAAATTTTTAGCAAAATTAATGTCCATCAGTAGAAATTTTGCTATAGTATATCCATACAATGCTGTTAGTAACAACAATGAAGAAACCCTTGGAAAGAATACCAAAATATATTAACTGAAAAAAGGGGAAATAACAAGCACTAAGGAACAGTAAGATTTGTATTGAAATAGACACACACACATTTTTTTTGCTCATATATGAATTATGTGTTGGTCTGGATGCTACTGGTCTCGGCTTAAAATTGTCATCTTATTAAACACATAAATGAAGTTGTACCATCCCAAGTCCATGTACTAAACCAATTTGGTACAGTTTCAATAAAAGACAGAAGGGGCAAAAGAATGTCAGTTCAAACACTTTGGCAATTTACAAGGCACTTTTGAGAAACAGCATGAAAAGCACTACTGGAAGATACTAACAGTGTTTAAATTTTTAAAAACTGAATATATAGAGCAGTCTTAACAATCTACCTACCGCAACAAGAGTTCCAAATTACTAATCACAAAAATATAAACTGAAAAATGAGCAAGAAACTCTGACAGCATTTAGAAATAACTTAGTGGTAGGAGTGAAGATGTATGAGGAATGGGCCACTGAACTCGAAACACCTGTACCTTACCTTCTTCTGAAGAACATTAACCTTCCGCTCCTTCACATCCAACATGTCCTTGAGGTCATGTATCTCTCCAGCTTGTGTCCCCTTCTCTTCAGCCATATCCTGAATTTGTTTTGTCTTTTTATTCAACATGGTTTCCTTCTCTTCCAAACGCAATCGGAGAGCATCCACCTAAGAATGTAGGAGTTTTACAAGTGATGAATTAAAAAGAAAAGAATGTAATTCCTTTCAAATAGATATGTTATAAAGGTTATAAAGAGGTTGAGTTTTGTTATTCTATAAAAGTAGTATTATCTACATCTATGTTTCTCTGGATTCAGAGTCCAGTGTGCTCACCGTTACACAATGGAATCTCTACAACTATGTTTCTCAAACTTCATGCACATCAGAATCATCTGGAGGGCTAAATCAAGCCCTTAGTCTCTGATTCAACAGGGTTGGGGTTCAAAATCAGTATTTCTAACAAGTTTCCAAGTGAAGCTACATTGCTTTAGAAAATCTAAAATGAGGAAAAGGGAAAAAAAGCATCACCAAGCATAACACTGGCTATATCAGATAATACAGTCTAGTCATAGGCTATGAGGCTTTTATGAAAAACAACCCCATAATGCACTTAGATATCCATACAAAGCAAAAGCAAAGGTCTACTTTTTAGACAGCAAGACTAACCAGCTAAAAAGTTTGGTAACTAGTTACCTTTATCCCTGAAGTTTAATGCCTTTCATTAGATATAACTTTAAAATAACAAGAAATCTAATGATACTTATTTTAAAATCCATTCAGAGAAAATTTTATTAAGCTTTTAGCACCCCACACATAGATTCAGTGCTGTTCAACAGGAAAATAATAAGTCATATTTTCAAGCCGAAAATTGTTAATAAGCTTTTTTACATTCTTTTTTCATTGTCATTTCAAACATATAACCCATATAAAAAACTATTAATGAGCTATTTTATATTTTTTCATACTAACTCTTTGATATCTAATGTATATTTCACCTTTATATCACATCTCAATTTGGGCTAGCCACATTGCAAGTACTTAATAGCCACAAATGGCTGGTGGCTACCAGACTGAACAGTGCAAATCTAAGAAATCAAGTATGGTTCTATGGTCTCTCATCTTTAACTTGTCTTATTTTTCCTATCTGAACGTGGATTAAACCACAAAGAAAATATGAATAATGTTTCACATTTAGGGTACATCAAAGCACTCAGGAAGATCTAATACAGGTTGACCATCCCCAAATCTGAAAATCCAAAATCCAAAATGCTCCAAACTCCAGAACTTTTTGAGCACTGACACGACACTTAAAGGAAATGCTCAATGGAACATTTTGGATTTTCGGATTAGGAATGCTCAACCAGTAAGCATAAGTATAATGCAAATATTCCCAAACTCAAACTCTGAAACACTTCTAGTCCCGTGCATTTTAGGTAAGGGATATCCAATGTGTAGTGTATCTAAACTACAAGGTATCTGAGAAGCAATACTGTGTGTGCGGTGGTACTTCCTGCTCAGTTAAGTAGTATGGAAAATTTCTTAACAAGACTAGTCTCATTGGAGACTGCTATAATAAGTACTTGCTACTACTGTAAGTACTTACAAATTATGTTGGACCATACTGGAAAGGAAAAACATGTAGATAAACCATAGTTCACTCTGCTAAACTACATTTCTACCAACTACTTCTACGCGACCAGTCTCACCAAGCCAGAAAGTAGGGAATAATCATTTGAGCTCCCATTTGTCATTATTCACCACAAGTTCTACCATGCTCCTTCAAGAGTCTTTCATCTGTAATTTACCTCTATTCTACTTTAATATACATAGTTAACCTAATTATAATCTGGAAAGATCTACCTGAGAACTTTCAAACTCTAAATTTTTTTTTCTGAATCACAAATACTGTTCTTTTCTTCCTCCTACACCTACTAAATCTACCCTTTGTCCATAGCATGACCTCTGATCTATCGTCCTTCTTTTTTTATCATTCGTCTCTATTCTGGTTTTTGTTTTGTTTTGTTTTCCTCCCAGCTTAAGCAATGATTTCAGTCTCATATCAACTCCTCAAAAAAAAAAAAATCATACCTGTTTTACTTTACTACTTTATTTCTGAATTAAACAGTTTTCTGGGCCTTCCTGCATGTGTTCATGTATATTTTTGTCACCATATACAGTAATCCCCCCTTGTCGTCGAAGAATATAATCCAAGACCCCCAGTGGATGCCTGAAACCACAGACAGTATCAAACCCTATACACACTATGCTTTTCCTCTATATACATACCTATTACATAATAACATTTAATTTACAAATTAGTCACAGTAAGAGATTAACAACAATAACTAGTAACAAAATAGAACAATTGTAACAATATGCCAGCATCATTACTCTTATGCTTTGGGGCCATTATTAAATAAAATAAGGGTTATGTGAACACAAGCACTGACACTGCAACAGTCGATCTAATAACGAGACAGCTACTAGTGACTAAGGGGCAGGTAGTGTGGGTACGTGGATACACTGGACAGAAGGAAGATTCACCTCCAGGGTGGAATACAGCAGAATGGCATAAGATTTCATCACACTACCTAAAAAAAAGCTTAACTTAAAATCTGGGAGCTGTTCTTTTCTGGAATTTTCCATTTAATATTTTCAGACCACAGGTGACCACAGGTAACAGAAACCAAGGAAAGCAAAAAAGCAGTTAAGGGAGGACTACTGTATATACATTAAAATCCTCACACTTCTGTTCTCAGGTATCGTATTTTCTTCCCTTGCATTCTCCCTGCAGGAAACTTCACACTCTCTCACGGCAATGTGGGAAACTGGGCCTCAGAGGAGATAGCAGGCCCAAGATCTCACAGCTACAAATAAGCAGAGATCTAAGATTACGTGGTCTTGCCTCCAGACCCCACACTCTTAACCACTAATTCTCTAACACCACCCTAACCCACAGGATCACAGCAGGGAATTCAAGGTCCTCCATGGTCAGACGGTCCCAATGTACCAGCACTGCCTAACCTTTGCCATATGCCTCCTTGCCCCACTTCCAGTGGCTCTCCATTGCAGCAGTACTGCCATTCTCTGAATAAATACTATACTTTCCTTCTTTCTTGTCATTGTTCACATTTTGTCCTATGCCTGTAATATCCTTAACCCTCTACCACTTAAAAAAAATCTGCCTACTGAACACATCTTTCAAGGTCCTTTTCCTATGCCACCATTTTAATAAATATTTTCCAAACCCCCAACAGACAAATACTATCTCCCTCATCCTTTCTCAGGGTATTTTGTAATAGAATTTAACACTTTTTTTTCTACTTATAGAACTTAATAACATCATTATACAGAACTTACCAATATTTCTATATATATTATATATAACATATATTATGTATTACATATTATATACAACTTACATATAACATATATTATATATTATATAACATATATTATATACAACATATGTATTATATACAACATATATTATATAATATATATCATATATTGTAATTATATTATATAATATATATCATATATTGTAATTATATTATACATGATATATATTATATAATATATATCATATATAATTATATATGATATATATTATATACAATTATATATATTATGTAAATAAATATAATTATATTATATATAATATGTATTAAATATAATTATATTATAATATGGATTATATATTATATATAATATAAAACAATATATAATTATATATAATTGTATTTTATATATAATTATATAATATATACATTTACACATTTATATATTAATATATATTATATATACTATATATGATAATATTATATCTAATTTATATAAATATATTATATATTATATAATATGTATTATATAATACATATAAATAATATACATAATATGTAACATATTATAAATTATATATATTTTTTGTTTTTTTGAGACAGTCTTGCTCTGTCGCCCAGGCTGGAGTGCAGTGGCGCAATCTCGGCTCACTGTAACCTCTGCCTCCTGGGTTCAAGAGATTCTCCTGCCTCAGCCTCCCTGGTAGCTGGGATTACAGGTGCATGCCACCATGCCCAGCTAATTTTTTTTGTATTTTTAGTAGAGACGGGGTTTCGCCATGTTGGCCAGGCTGGTCTCGAACTCCTGACCTCAGGTGATCTGCCTGCCTCGGCCTCCCAAAGTGCTGGGGTTACAGGCGTGAGCCACCGCTCCTGGCCCCTATTTTGCCCACCCTTTTATCCTCAGTAATCCTATCTCACTTAAAACATTTAGCACTGTAAAGTAGCTAACATTATCTCCCTATTTTAAAAGATGATAAAACTGTGACTCAGCGTAGTTAAATAGTTTACCTCATATTATATTAAAGAACTGGTAAGTAGAAGGACTATGGCCGGGCGTGGTGGCTCACACCTGTAATCCCAGCACTTTGGGAGGCCAGGATGGGCAGATCACAAGGTCAGGAGATAGAGACCATCCTGGCCAACATGGTGAAACCCCATCTCTACTAAAAATACAAAAATTAGCTTGGCGTGGTGGCGCTTGCCTATAATCCCAGCTACTCGGGAGGCTGAGGCAGGAGAATTGCTTGAACCAGGGATTCGGAGGTTGCAGCGAGCCGAGATGGTGCCACTGCACTCCAGCCTGCCAACAGAGTGAGACTCTGTCTCAAAAAAAAAAAAAAAAAGAAAAGAAAAAAAGAAAGAAAAAGAAAAAGAAAAAAGAACTGGTGAGTAGAAGGACTGGAACTCAAAGACTAGATATGACATCAAAGATTATAATCTGTTATCACATACCAAAGAATACCAGCATAAAGGAACACAGGTGAACACAGGCAGGCAGGGAAATCTCTCCTATGAACAGTATGTCAGAAGAGTCAGAAAAGTTTTCTAAAAGAATAAATGTCTGAATTGGTTTTTGAATAATGAAGAGAACATCACTAGATACAAAAGGGAAGGCAGAGAGAAATGCATGGATATCTAGGAAGAGGAAATAGAATACTTTAAAATCTAGAAACATGAAACAGCATGATATACTTGTAAATTCATTTGGTATTGCTTGGCATAAAGTAACAGAAGAAGGACAAGAGACAAGCCTGAAAAGATAGTAGATCATAAATCCTTGCCTGCTAAAATAAGAGGCTTAAATTTTATCCTACTTGCAAATGGAAGTCAGTGAAGATTTTTAAGCAGGAGAAAGTCATGGTATTTGTATATCGGAAAAGTTACACTGGGCTGGTTACTGGAGACACAAAGATAACTAAGATATTTCCTGTCTTCTGCTGAAGTTACAACCTAATGGAGAAGAATGTTGCCAAAATAGATCACATAAATATATTATAGAAAGTGCTGCAACAGAAGTGTAGAGAATATTTTCTAAAAGTACAGAAAAGAAGCACTCAGATTGCTTGGAGATACCTCAAAGCATGTAAAGATGAGCAGAAGATGGCTGGTGAGGAAGATAATGGAAGAACCTTTGAGCAGAGATACCACAAATAATGAAGATTAGAAAGGATGTTAACTTCTCAGAGAGCTATGAATAGAGAATTGCTAAAGCATAGAATAGGTGGTAAGTTATGTGAGGTGCAGCAGAAGACAAGGCCTTAGCCACGGAAAGCATCAGTGTCATGTCTAGGAGCTTGACTTTTATTGGTTGTATATAAGGGATAAAAGAGAGATAAGTCAAACATGGGTTCCCAGGTTTCTGATGAAGAAGACTAAATGGGTTTTAGCTTCGAGAGAGAATAAGAACCTTATTTTTGGTGTGTTATTTCTGACATGACATTATATCTTAACAGTCTCCCTGATAATACCTGAAATGCTTTGATAAAAACCTGAAAATACCTGATAATGACCTGAATATGAGCTAGAAATCCAGAAAAACCTAACTGTTTTACTCTCTTAGGACTGCCCTAACAAAGGACCACAAACCAGGTGGCTTTAAACAATAGATTTATTTTCCTCTCTCCAAGTTCTGGAGTTTAGAAGTCTGACATAAAGGTGTAGCAGGACCTTGCTCTCTATGAGGGCTCTGAGAAAGAGCCTTCCTTGCCTCTTGCTGTCTCCTGGCTCCTCGTCTTGTAGACGATGCATCACTCCAATCTCTGTTTCCACCTTCACTTCACCCTCTTCTTTGTATCTTTATATGTCCTCTCTCTTCTATAAGGACTCCAGTCATTGCATTTAGAGCCCACTCCATCATGATCTTATCTCAAACCTTAACTAATAATAGCTTCAAAGACCCTATTTCCAAATATGGTCACATTCTGAGTACCAGGTAGACACAGATTTATGGAGGATACTATTCAGCCCACCACACCTACTGCTACAAAACACCCAGAAATGCTAGGTAAAGCACAACAAACTTCTTTTCAAATTCATAGATCAGCATGCATATAAGCATATACAGAAGTGTACACATAGAGAAAGAGACAACATCACTAAAATGTTGAAAACAGAGACTAGAAGCCCGAAGTGGTAAGCTTATAACAGAAGTGACACCTGTCCTGCTTTTTCATTGACTTGTTTCCGTGACCTGGAGAACTGAGTTTGGAAGATGCCTCCAGTAACAGAAAATAAGATATCAGGGCAACACAAAGGTTAGGTTGGAACAGGAAGCAAAATCCCAAGCCCCCTTTGGGCAAGTACCCTGCTCTAGAGAAGCCTCAGGCACCCAAATGTTCTGAATGTTCCCTTCCATTACCATTCTCAGACCCTTTGGTCTCAGGACTCCTCAGCACTCTTAAAGATTACTGAGGACCGGCAGGGCACAGTGGCTTAGGCCTGTAATCCCAGCACTTTGGAAGACCAAGGTGGCCAGATCACCAGAGGTCGGGAGTTCAAGACCAGCCTGACCAACAGGGAGAAACCTTGTCTCTACTAAAAATACAAAATTAGTCAGGCATGGTAGCGCATGCCTGTAATCCCAGCTACTCAGGAGGCTGAGGCAGGAGAATCACTTGAACCCGGGAGGCGGAGGTTGCAGTGAGCTGAGATCACGCCATTGCACTCCAGCCTGGGCAACAAGAGCAAAACTATGTCTCAAAAAAAAAAAAAAAAAGTTACTGAGGACCCCCAATTATTGAGTTTTTATTTATGTGAGTTATATCTATCAATATTTGCTACACTCAAAATTAGGGCCAGGTGCGGTGGCTCACACCTGTAATCCCAACACTTTGGGAGGCTGAGGCAGAAGGATCACTTGAGGCCAAAAGTTCAAGACCTCCCTGGGCAACATAGCAAGACACTATCTCTACAAAAAAAAATTTTTTTTAATTAGCCAAGTGTGGTGGCACACACCTATAGTTCTAGCTACTCAGGGGGCTGAAGCAGGAAGATCGCTTGAGCCCAGGAGTTCAAGGCTGCAGTGAGCTATGATCACACCACTGTACTCCAGCCTTGGTAGCAAAGCAAGACACTGTATCTTTAAAAAAAAAAAAAAAATTAGAACAGCTTTTAAATAACAATAAACCCATTATGTTAATCAAAGTAACATTTTAATTTCAAAAACCTGTATTTTCCCCCTAAAATAGTAAGAAGAATATAATTGTTTTAAATTTTTGCAAATCTCTTTAATATAATCAAGGGGGAGGGGGTGCACGAGGAGACTAGCTTTAGAATAAATGCAATTTTGGTACCATCTAACAAAGCTTAAATGAAAGACCCAAAAGAATGAAACTATTTCCAAGTATTTTACCAGCATCACAAAACAAAGTTCAGTAATATTTACAGGAATACAAAATGCCTAGCACCCAACAAGGTAAAACTCACAATGCTTGGCATCCAACCCAAACTCACCAGACAAGCAAAGAAGCAGAAAAACACAACTCATAATACAAGGACAAAAAGCATTCAGTGAAAACTGAGATCAGAAATAACACAGATTACGGTATGATCTCACTTACATATGGAATCTGAATAAAGTTGAACTCAAAGAAACAGAGAAGAGAATGGTGGTTACCAGGGGCTGGGGATAGGAACAGGGAGAGGCATGGGGAGATGCTGATCAAAGGGTACAAACCCTCAGTTATAAAACGAGTAAGTTCTGGGGATCTAATATACAGCAGCGTGTAATTAATAATGCTGTATTATATACCTGAAATTTGCCAAGAGAGTAAAAATCACAACACTCCGCCATGCAAACAAAAAAAGGTCCAAAAGGGAAGTGTCAGAACAGACTGAATATTGATTCAGTTAAAAGAAAAGGATTGCAACCACAGAGTAAAGACCTTAGTGGAATATGAAATTCAACAACCAGGCTGCTCAAGATGCCAAAGAACCCACTGACCCTTATCCACTGGCATTCAGGCACAGCTCAAGCCAGCCAGTGTTGCTACTAATCCTATTTGACAGTGTCAGGTTTGGTTCCTATTAGCTGAACCCATTACAAGGCATCAGTCATGGCGAAGGTGCTTACTGAATCTGGTGACCCTTCTACACAGTTAAGGAGGTCAAAGCCTTAGAAAAGTATACATGTCAGAAATTTGAAAAATAAATAAATCACATAATCATTTGCATCTAATTACTACATGCTAATCTGTATTTTGTATACTATATATTAATCTACCACTACCTCTAACCAAAAGCAAAAAACAAAGCACCTCATTAAAAACAAACAAACAAAAAAAAACCGGCCAGGTGTGGTGGCTCACACCTGTAATCCCAGCACTTTGGGAGGCCGAGGTGGGTGGATCACTTGAGGTGAGGAGTTCAAGACCAGCCTGGCCAACAATGTGAAATCCCGTCTCTACTAAAAATACAGAAAAATTAGTCAGGCGTGGTGGTGCATGCCTGTAATCCCAGCTACTCGGGAGGCTGAAGCAGGAGAATCACTTGAACCTAGGAGGCGGAGGTTGCAGTGAGCCAAGATTGTGCCACTGCACTCCAGCCTGGGTGACAAGAGCGAAACTCCGTCTCAATTAAAAAAAAAAAAACCCACATTATTTTATCCTGTATGTCCTAAATACACAAATTCTTACTACAAAGGCAAAAAGCTTAGGCATTCAAACCTGAAGTCTCAACTGCCTAATTTTCTTGTCTCTCAGTTCTTCTAAGCATTAATTTCAGAAAAAAGCCTTTCCATCTGCGGGACATGGATCTGTATGTAGGAACACATCCCTCATCACTTCTAAGTGTTTTTCATTCTGATGGCACCACCATCACACAGGACAACATTTGTGAGACCCCACATTGCTGCCTCTTTATGAAAGGCACCCAGATGCCCAAGCTGCACTTTATATTGGATCCATGATTCAGTTAAGTGACCTGGAAACATGTCAATGCTGACCGGACATAAATACCCGCACGGCACTGAGAGAGTGTCAAGTATGAATTGGTGACCGAAAAAGGTGACTGAAAAGGGAAAGAATAAGAACTCTTGTTATAAACATACAAACCTTTAGTATAAGTGTGGCTGGAAACACAGGCTTTGATACAAAAAATATTTCATATAATAAATATTAGGAACAGAAACTGCCCGTCCATACCCCTAATTATTAAATGATCTTTTATTGACTAAGTATTCAATTCACATCACCTGTGTACACTTTGTCTTAGTCTGCTTTTTTGTGCAGTACAGAATTCAAATATGCTAGTCTGGAGATTTGAGATAAAAACCACCACAAAAACCACTTTGCTACTACCAGATTAATTGCTCTGAATTCTACACTGATCTTTTGGTTTGGAGTGAACTAAATTTGTAGTATAATTTTGCGTGAGGTCCATATTTTACAAACCACAAAAAACATATTCAGGAAAACCCCTCAAAGACCAGCAGGACACACACAGTCATTGCCCTGACACCAGTCCTGGCAGGAGGAATAAAACCTTGTTTATTCACACCAGCAGAGCTGCAGGAACAGCATTCGCCCAACTTGCCAAGTTTGTCTGTAGCAAACAGGTCATGCCAACTTCAATAAAAACAGAAGGCTTTTGTCTACAAGGTTTTCTCTACCAATGGAAGTGAACAGAAAATGGCTACCCTACTGTTTTGGCCTCTCACTTCTGATCAAAAAACAATTAATTCTGGCTGGGCGCGGTGGCTCACACCTGTAATCCCAGCACTTTGGGAGGCCAAGGGGGCGGATCACAAGGTCAGGAGATCGAGACCATCCTGGCTAACAGGGTGAAACCCCATCTCTACTAAAAAAAATACAAAAAAATTAGCTGGGTGTGGTGGTGGGCACCTGTAATCCCAGCTACTCGGGAGGCTAAGGCAGGAGAATGGTGCGAACCCGGGAGGTGGAGCTTGCAGTGTGCCAAGATTGTGCCACTGCACTCCAGCCTGGGTGACAGAGAGAGACTCTGCCTCAATTAAAAAAAACCAATTCTCTCAACGTACCTTAACTTTCCTTTGTTTTAAATCAATAAACAGATCTATCTAAAGGCAAATTAGTAGTAATAATTAGTTGCATGGATATGTGGCTTGTTTCCTATCATTCCCCTCTTGGCTTTGCCAACATGACACTTTTCCTTTCTAACTCTGTGATCACACCTTTTCAGTGTTCTCCATCCTCTGTCATTTCCTCCTCCTCACATCTCACTGCATGGAACCTCCTCTGGAGAAACTAATCCAATTCTAAGGCTTTCACCACCACCTCCACAGCTTCCAAATCTTTATTCCTGGCCCCAACTAGTTCTAAAAACCTAAAATTCTAATAACTTTTATTTAAACCACATCTTCCATTGATTAGTTTAGAATGAGACATTTTTAAGAATTCTTTATTTTAATGTATGTTAAATCTGACTGGTATCTATTATATTTTCTACAATTTTCCTGTATTCCACAGTACTTCATAAATTTTTTTAACAGTTAAATAACTGAATTTAAACTCCCAACTTTAAAGCTGAGAAAAATCAAGGCCCAAACTAATTAAGTAACTTGCTCAAGTCCACTCTAAATGATATATCCTATGACTGCATTTCCCATTGTTCCCACCTAGATGGGAGGCTGAATGCTACGTGAAGGGCACTGAGCCATGGGACTGACAGCATTACAGACCACACGGAAGTAAACTGTTTTAGAGTACTGTTTCAACAAACTGCAATTGTGCTCTGTTTGATACCCCATACTTGACAAAAAGATGAAAAGCTCAGATATCAAAATAGTCAAGGTAGAAATGAGTCATTCCACAGTACATAGTTTAAAAAAAAAAAAAGACTATACGTTTCGCAAATTTATATTCTGAAAAATTAATGTTGATACCTTCACTCATTTTCCCTTGAAAACTCATAGCAGACAAAGAAGACACAGTATTGGCTACACAAAGTATACTGCAATAAGTGCTATTCAGGTATGCAGCCCCAAGGAACTCTTGGCCTCTGCAAACCTGATAAAGCATGGCAGTCAGCCAACCTACTTTGACCCCTTAAGCCAACACATAACATAACACTTCCTCGTTCTGGTATCAGAACTAAGATCAACAAAGCCTTATAACTCTATGTGAAAACCCTCACAGAAAGGGAGAATTCCTTATAGCTTTCTCTATGTGAAAACCCTCCTGGGCTCAAGTGATCCTCCTGTCTCGGCCTTCCAAAGTGCTGGAATTATAGGCATGAGTCACTCTGCCTGGCCATTGCAGAGGTCTTTACGCTTTCTTACAATTTCTGTCTTCACACACCTTGAGCTTCATTTTCATTTTGCCACTGTAGAAATATATATTCCATTTATTTCATTCCTATGCTCTTGACAGGGAAGATAGAAACAATCTAGATGCAGAATTCCACCTGCTGTATTATTTAGCAACATTATACCAACAAGGAGAAGCAACAGACAAGCTCTTCCTTTTGTGATCTTTCTCTGAAATTCCTCACCTTTACTGAATAAACCTCAATTGATTTGCGAGTTTTGGCTGTAACGGCACTATTACTGTAAGGTCTATGCCATACTATTATATTGATATTAGATTAGTTTCTCCTGTTACATTAATGCCTTTTCATCTCCTGTTTTTTTTTCTTGCATCTCATTCTTTTCTTCTTTCTAACATACATCTTTTAACAGTTGTTTCCATAGGGATCCTGGGTAGTAAACTCTCATTTGTATTAATCTGAAAGTAAAAGTCTTTCTTCTATCTTTACTGAAGAATGATGAGAGTTCAGCTTGGTACAGAATTCTGAGTTGCCAATGTTTTTCACTAAACTTTGAAGATTTTACGCTACCATATTCTCACTACTGTTGTGGCAACTGAAAAGTCTGATGTTGGCCTAATTGTTAATCCTTTACACGTAATGTATTTTTTCTCCCCAGCAGGTTGTTTTCTTTTTTAGAGACAGGGTCTCGCTCTATTGCCCAAGCTGGAGTGCAGTGGCACAATCATAGCTCACTACTGCCCTGAAGCCCTTAGCTAAGGTCAAGGGATACTCTCGCCTTCGACTTCTGAGTAGCCAGGACTACATGTACACACCACACCTGGTAAGTTTTTTTTCTTGTTGTTGCCTGGTTAGTTTTTTGTTGTTGTTGTTAGTTTTGTTGTTGTTGTTGTTTGTGGAGACGCAGTCTCACTGTTGCCCCGGCTGGTCTCAAACTCCTGGTCTCAAGTGATCCTCCTACCTTGACCTCCACTAGGATTACAGGCGTGAGCCATCATGCCCAGTCTACCTGGCAGTATTTAAGATTAGTTTATCTATGGTTCCACTATGCTGTATGTAGGTGTAGATATTTTCCTGCTCAAGAATAATTTGTTCCTGAATTGAAGAATCCATTCCTATCATCAAAATCAGAAAAATTCTCAGCAATTCTCTCTTAAGATTGCCTCCCATTCTCTTTATCCACTCCTGAAACTCCTACATATAAGTTGGGCTCAATTTACATAGAGTTCTTTTTAATAATTTCTATCTTCCTATCTTTCCTATTGCTTGCTGGGTAATAGCTCATCAGATCTATGTTCCAATTCACTAACTGTTCCTGCAGCTCTCTATAATCTGCAACTACACTAATATACTGAGTTTTCCATTTTAGTTACTATATATTTCATGTCTAAAATCCTGTTTTGATCTTTTATAACCCGGTTGGTTTTATTTACAGTACCTTTGTTTTTTTCCTCGCGTTTTAAATCATTTCTTTATGCATTTATTAATTATAATAGCTAATATTTACTGAGTGTTACTACATAGATAATTAACATTTAATTCTCACAACATTATGGGGTAAGGCTATTATTCTTCTCACAGATGAGAAAACTGAGGCAAAAAAGTATACACTCATACAGCAAGTGGCAGACCCAAGATTCAAACACACTGTACTAAACAGCTAGTGCTAGCTGGGCACGGTGCCTCACGCCTGTAATCCTAACACTACGAGAGGCTGAGTTGGGAGGATCACTTGAGTCCAGGAGCTGAAGACCAGCATGGGCAACATAAGGAGGTTCTGTCTCTATAAAAATTAAAAATTAAGAAAATAAAAATTAAAAACCTAGTGCTACTTCAGCTTTTGCTCTCAATAGTCATGAAACAACATCCTAACAAGTCATATCTGATCATCCATTCTGGAGAGTGTGCCCATGCCTCTCAGTCCGTCCTTTAATCATTTAGTTTATACTCTCGTTCTATTATCCAGCGTTCCTAAGGGTCTGATCACTCCATTTGTTCTTACTCCCATTATTGGTTCAGGGGAGATTACAATCCACAAGTGATTAACTAATGTGGAATTGTAAATTCATTCTAAGCAATGCTTTTACCTGTGGGAATCTACACGTACTAGGTTGAGAGAATGTCCCTTCAGAGCAGTTATGTCTATTCAAACTCAAACCTGCATGATGAGAGACCTTTCTCCACAAAATCAAAGCCAAGGAGAATAAGTCAGTCTCTCATATTGCCATTAATACTGGTAGGAGGAATTTTTTTCTCGTCCGACCTTTCTCAGGATAGTACTAGATTTATGCGGAGGTCTTGGCTTCAGATCCCTATCTCACTTAGGACCAAGGTCTATCCGCTGTCCAAGTGTTATCGTTGATTCATGTGAAGTTCTACTCTTGTTTTGTTTTCCTCTTTTTCCATTTATGTCCAATACCCATCCCTCCTTCAATATGCAGCTATTCTAATATGTTTTAATATGTTCCTGAATATGTATCTTAGAAACACAGAGGGTGATTTTTATATTCATACATGTTTTCAATTTATATTAATGTTACATACCTCAACCTGTTTTTTACTTTTAAAAAACGGGATGGATGCTGTTTTTTAAACAACACACTACTTGTAACAAGTACTGTAAAGTGAGCCGAGACTGCGCCATCGCACTCAAGCCTGGGCAACAAGAGTAAAACTCCGTCTCAAAAAAAAAAAAAAGTAAACATAGATAGTACTTATATCTATCCCTGCTTCTGCATCACTGCTTTTGACTTTTGTACAGTATTCCATGGTACATATCCACAATACTTTATTTATCCAACCCCCTAGTAATAAACACTTATGCTGCTTTTAATTCCTTCTTCCCACAAATAATACTGTGGTGAACATCCTTATACATGTCCTTTTGTGGACCAGCAGGAAAGTTTTTCTGGGAAATATACCAAGGAATGGGATTACTGAAACCACCTACGTCATTTGTGTTACTGTTTGCCCAAATCCTCACAAGCACTGAATGTTATCTCACATTCTAATTTTTATCAATTTGATGAACAAAATATAGTATTTCATCATCTTTGAAATTTGCATTTCTTTATTTACTAGTAAGATTGATGATATCATGGCATAGTTGTTAACCACTTAGGTTTCTTTATCTGTTAATTGTCTATTCAAATCCTTCCCTCTCCCTATAGTCTCTATTGATTTTTGAGGTTTTTTTTTTTTTTTTTTTTTTTTTTTGAGACAGAATCTCACTCTGTCGCCAGGCTGGAGTGCAGTGGCATGATCTCAGCTCACTGCAACCTCCGCCTCCTGGGTTCAAGCAATTCTCCTGCCTCAGCCTCCTGAGTAGCTGGGACTACAGGCACGTGCCACCACGCCCAGCTAATTTTTTTATTTTTAGTAGAGACGGGGTTTCACCATGTTGGCCAGAATGGTGTCGATCTCTTGACCTCATGATCCGCCCGCTTCAGCCTCCCAAAGGGCTGGGATTACAGGCGTGAGCCACCACACCTAGCCTCAAGCATCTCTTTTTTATTCTTTATCTGAATCCTTACTATTTTAAGAGGCTCTAAAAAAACTCTTCTCCCAATCTCATCTGTTAGCTTTGCCAATGGTTTTCTTTCTTGAACAGAAATGCTTAAATTTGATGGAGACATTTAAGTTATCTTACCCAATATATTCCTACTAAACATTTTTATTGATTAGCTTTATAGTTTCTCTTTAACACTGAGGTCTTTAATCCATCTAGAGTTCACTGTTTCATCTAGCATGAAGTAGGTGGCCAACTTTATTCTCCATATGGTATGTCAGTTTTCTCATACTTGCTTAATTTTGCACTAGTTTATGACTGACTATCTCTCCACATAAATGTTTCTGATTTCACACTCCCTGTTCTTTTCATATCTGCTCCTTCCTGTGCTAGTTACCGCACTGTTCTGAGGTGCACTGTTTGGTTTCGTTTGGTTTATGACTCTGTATTTTCATGTCTCACAGGGCAGGGTTCTCCCATCTTCTCTTCTCTTTTTGTTTAATGTTAGAATAGCTTTATTCATCCATATACATTTTTAAAAATTTAATAGAGGTAAGATATACAGACATAAAATTTGCTATCTCAATCATTTTAAGTCTACAGTTCAGTAGTGTTGAGTATATTCACACTGTTGTGCAACCAATCTCCAGAACTCATTTCACCTTACAAAACTAAAATTCTATACCCATTAAACTCCACATTCTCTCCTTCCCAGCCGCTGGTAACCACCTTTCTACTTTCTGTCTCCATGAATTTGACTCTAGGTATGACAAGTGGAATCATATGTAGTATTTGTCTTTTTGTAACTCCTCCTTACAAAATTTAAAATAAAATGAATTCCTAAAAAATACTGTTTGTTTTTTTTGTTTGTTTTGTTTTGAGACGGAGTCTCGCTCTTGTCACCCAGACTGGAGTGCAGTGGTGCGATCTCAGCTCACTGTAACCTCCGCCTCCTGGGTTCAAGTGATTCTCCTGCCTCAGCCTTCCGAGTAGCTGAGATTACAGGTGCGCACCACCGTGCCCAGCTAATTTTGTATTTTTAGTAGAGACGGGTTTTCACTATGTTGGCCAGGCTGGTCTTGAACTCCTGACCTCAGATAATCCACCTGCCTCAGCCTCCCAAAGTGCTGGGATTATAGGCGTGAGCCACCGTGCCCGGCCGACTGCTTGGTGTTTTAATTGGAAATGCAGAAGAATATATACATTAACTTCAGGAAAACTGATATCCCTGCAGGATTAAATTATACCATCTATTGACATGGAGTATCTTTTAATTTATTTATTTTTCCTCATATCCTTGGGTAGAGTATTAGGCTTTCTTGTTTTTTCTTGGGGAGTGGGGAACAACTTGAGGATGAAAATGACTATTTTTAAATATTTGATAGAAAATATCAAATATTGGGCTGGGCGCGGTGGCTCATGCCTGTAATCCCAGCACTCTGGGAGGCCAAGGTGGGCAGATCATAAGGTCAGGAGATTGAGACCAGCCTGGCTAACACAGTGAAACCCCATTTCTACTAAAAATACAAAAAATTAGCTGGGCGTGGTGGCATGCACCTGTAGTCCCAGCTAGTTGGGAGGCTGGGACAGGAGAATCACATGAACTTGAGAGGTGGAGGTTGCAGTGAGCCAAGATTGTGCCACTGCACTCCGGCCTAGGCGAAAGAGCAAGAATCTGTCTCCAAAAAAAAAAAGAAAGAAAATATCAAATATTTTCTCCTCGAAAGCCATCTGGGCCTTAGGATTTGGGAGGGAAAAAGGGATGAGGTTGATTACCATTTCAATTTCTATAACGACTGTTGTTCATGTTTTCTCTTATCTCTTGAACTTCTTCTGTCATTTTATATTTTTCCAGAAACTTATTTCTTCTTGTTTTTCAAGCTTATTCGAATATAATTGTTTAGAGTTGTCTTATATTATTTTTAAACTCTGTAGTACTAGTAGTTACTTCTCCTTTATCATCTGTAAGAGCTGTTCCTGTCCTATTAACCTTTTTCAAATAACTACCTCTTGGTGTTGTTTTATTCTCTATTAATTTCTCACCTTATATTTATTATTCTTTATTGTTTTTGGATTAACTGTTTTTTCTAAGTTTCCTGATTTGAACACCTAGATTACTTGCTTTTCTTTCTTATTTTCTGATAAATATGTTAAAAACTAGCTATTTCCCTCTAAATACTGCTTTAGTTACACCCCACAGATTTTTTTCTAATTATGTTCCACAAATTTTTATATAGAGAGCTTTCACTGCCACTCATTTTTAAATGTTTATATTTTTCCTTTAACCCACAGGTCATTTTGGTAGTATGTTTCAAGATTATATACTTATTTTGGTTTTCTGCTGCTGTTCTTTACTACCTTTATTACTACTTTACTATCTTTACTCCTGATTTCTAATTTTGCTGCATTAGGAGTGCAAAGTCATGTGACTTTGACTCTTGGGAATTTTAAAGTTTCCTTTATGACCCAGTACATGGTTAGTTTTTACGACTGTTCAGTAAGTTCTTGAAAATATTGTTTATTCTCTATGTTAGGACAAAATTCTATATACACATCTATGAACTTGAGCTTGTTAATGTTATTAAAACTTTATGTTGATGCTTCTTTATTTGATCAAATTCTGACAGGAGCACATCCAAATGACCAACTACAATTGTTGATTTATCTGTTTCACCTCATTGCTGCTATATATACATTTATTTGTTTACTTATAGACAGAATCTTGCGCTGTCACCCAGGGGTATGATCTTAGCTCACTGCAACCTCTACCTCCTGGGTTCAAGCAATTCTCCTGCCTCAGGCTCTCAAGTAGCTGAAAACTACAGGTGCGTGCCACCACGCCCAGCTCATTTTTGTATTTTCAGTAGAGACAGGGTTTCACTATGTTGGCCAGGCTGGTCTCGAACTCCTGAACTCAGGTGATCCACCCGCCTCAGCCTCCCAAAGTGCTGGGATTACAGGCGTGGGCTGCCGCGCCCGGCCCGCTTTATGTATTTAAATGCCATGCTGTTAGGTGCATCGATCGGCACGGTTATATTTTCTTGATCTACTGTTTCTTTTATCAGCATATAACATTGCTCTGTGTGCCTTAAAAGATAATTTAATCAATATTAAAATAAATCATATTTGGGAAGGCCTATTTTCCTGATATAACTTTTATTTTTAAATTTTTTTCTATCTCTGTATTTTTAACTTTGCTGTTACTTTTTGTCTGTTTAACTCTTGTTGACAGTATCTTTCTGTATCTTTTTAGCCCAACTGAGATTTATATTTTCATTTTGATCTAAGTACTTATTTGTATTTATTGACTTTCCCATGATTTGTACTTATCTCAGCCTTCTTTTTCATGGTGTCCACATGCTATCACATTTCTTTCTCTCCCCTCCCCATTCTTCTCTATTCTCCACTGGGTAAACTGGGTTTTACTCTGACGGTTTGAAACTTATACATTCCATTTTGATTTTTCTAGCGTATTAAGAGCCATACTTATGCTTGTATTTTCTTAAGCTTATCATTATCTTCTTAAGTAACTGTATTTTCTTAAGCTTATCATTATCTTCTTAAGTAACTTAATGTAACTTCTTAAGCTTATCAGTATCTACATCTTCCCACAAACAAGACATTACCCCATCACCACCGTAAGCAGTGCCATCTCACCAGCTGGAGCTGGGGGAGTGGTTGTGGCAGGAAGCAAGCCTCCCAGATCAGAACGCCTCTGGCATGATCATCTGTACCGCTGCTAGAACAAATGCTCTGCCCCAGGTATAGAGAGGATGCTGAAAGGGGAAGGAGCACTCCAAAGCCAGTCTACCTTCACAAGCAGACTTGAATATCATACCAGTGTCACCCTGCAGCACCCACCCCCAACCCCTACCCCATAACTCAACAACCCACATACAACAGTGAGAGAAACACACTCATCTGAAAAAGATTCTAAGCCCTATCTCTTTTCATAGCACCCAGTCCTCTTTTACTCTGAGCAGCTGTTTCAGAGATTTAGATAGATATATACAGATATATCAATAGGCAGAGATAGAGATAGAGATAGAGATAGAGATAGAGATAGAGACACAGATAGAGATAGAGATAGAGACACAGATAGAGATAGAGATAGAGATAGAGACACAGATAGAGATAGAGATAGAGACACAGATAGAGATAGAGATAGAGATAGAGACACAGATAGAGATAGAGATAGAGATAGAGATAGAGATAGAGACACAGATAGAGATAGAGATAGAGATAGAGATAGAGACACAGATAGAGATAGAGATAGAGATAGAGACACAGATAGAGATAGAGATAGAGATAGAGATAGAGACACAGATAGAGATAGAGATAGAGATAGAGACACAGATAGAGATAGAGATAGAGATAGAGATAGAGACACAGATAGAGATAGAGATAGAGATAGAGACACAGATAGAGATAGAGATAGAGATAGAGATAGAGACACAGATAGAGATAGAGATAGAGATAGAGATAGAGACACAGATAGAGATAGAGATAGAGATAGAGATAGAGACACAGATAGAGATAGAGATAGAGATAGAGATAGAGATAGAGACACAGATAGAGATAGAGATAGAGATAGAGATAGAGACACAGATAGAGATAGAGATATAGAGATAGAGATAGAGATAGATAGATAGAGATAGAGATAGATAGAGATAGAGATAGAGATAGATAGAGATAGAGATAGAGATAGAGATAGAGACACAGATAGAGATAGAGATAGAGATAGAGATAGAGATAGATAGAGACACAGATAGAGATAGAGATAGAGATAGAGATAGAGATAGAGATAGAGACACAGATAGAGATAGAGATAGAGATAGAGATAGAGATAGAGATAGATAGAGATAGAGACACAGATAGAGATAGAGATAGAGATAGAGATAGAGATAGAGATAGATAGAGATAGAGATAGATAGAGATAGAGATAGAGATAGATAGAGATAGAGATAGAGATAGAGATAGAGACACAGATAGAGATAGAGATAGAGATAGAGATAGATAGAGATAGAGATAGAGATAGAGATAGAGATAGAGATCATCAGCCTTTGTTTCATTTGCCACTGTATCCCCAGTGCTCAGAAGGGTTCTCAGCAGGTACTCCCAAAACCGTGTTGAATGAAGAGATCAATCAATACATCTTTCTCTTCTTTCACAATCTCGTCACAAAAGATGCCTATCTCTTTCTGAGGCTATGTAATTCCATCAACCTAAATCCTTTTCTCCTCTCTACCAACATGAATTGTTTCTTCTTCTCCCCATCTTTCTTTGTGGCTAGTCCTCAACCTACCAATCAAACAAGAGTCATGGTCGTCTATGCACATCATAATTAGCGAAGTCAGAAATGATGAATTCCAGTCCCAAAACTAATACCAAGTAGTTGTATAGGCCTTCAGCATGTCACTATATTCTCTCTGCACAGGGAGGAATTGCAGCGTTATGATCAAGAACGCAAGTTTGCGGGTTTGAATCGATCGGGCACTAGGTCATGTAACCTCAGTCTCTCTAAGTTTTAACTCCCCATCTGTAAAATGTTACAACAATTCTTATTTCTTAGAAGGTTACTCTAAGAATTAACTGGGAAAATGAAAGTATACAAACCCTCCATGGTACAAGACTCAGGTTAGATATTATCATACATATTCTTTAAATTACGGAAAGACTGGATGATCTCTAAAAATGCCCTCTAGTTCTAAGAATGTATTACTAACTCTTAGTATGCTGAAGAAGTCAGAACTGGGCTGGGACTGCAAGCAGAGGGTGCACGTCAAACAACAGCATCCTAGCTCTAGTGCCTAGTGCCAAAACATCCTAGAGCAAGGGCAGGTCCTCACCTTGTGCTAGATGCTGATCTCCTGAGCACCTCCGAAAAAAAGAACCACTTCCTCTTACTATTACTAAGATATAGATTATATTCCTTACCTATAATAAACAGAATTCCAAAACACAATTTCCTGGAGAAGGGGAAAAACCTGTACTACTTTGAAGCAGTAAGGTGTACATTATTTTGGCTTATTGATACAATCAGCTCTGCTCTGCACATTGAGAATTCATCCTGAAAATACATTTAATGGTAGGTCCCTAGTATAGCATCACAATTTTGGAACAAGAAAAGAACTTTAATTCTTGAGAATACTGTAAATGATATATCAAAAGTCCCAGTGTTACTAGTGAGAGTAGCCTCAAGTGCCAGTCAAAAGTGGTATGCTAATAAGCAGTTCACAAAATTCTCAATTATAAAAGCAAAACAACAATAATTATCTTGTCTAACCCATGCCATTACTATGAAGAGCAAATAAAACAATAAAGATCAAATCAAATCAAAGTGCTATAAACTGTAAGGTGTTTCGAAATTTTTTAACCCACTGAATTTAAATTTCCCTCCATGGCTGGACACAGTGGCTCCTGCCTATAATTCTTGTGCTTTGGGGGCTGAGGCAGGAGGACTGCTTGAAGCCAGGAGTTCAAGAACATCCTGGGCAACATAGTGAGACCCTGTCTCTACAAAAAATACAAATTAAAAAATCAGCCAGGAGAGGTGGCCTGCATCTGTAGTCCTAGCTACTCAAGATGCTGAAGTGGGAGGATCACCTGAGCCCAGAAGTTCAAGGTTACAGTGAGCTATGATCAAGGCACTGCACTACAGCCTGAATGACAAAGTGAAACCTTGTCGCAAAAAAAAAATAATAAATTAATAAAAAAATGTCCCTCCATATTCAGATGAGAACAGAATTAAACACCTAGTCATAAAAACCTTAGGAAGTTGTTATTATCATTATCCTCATTTTATAGATGAGGAAATGGAGGCTTAAAGAAGTAAAGTAACTCCTGAATGGATGCGGTGGCTCACACCTGTAATCCCAGCACTTTGGGTGGCTGAGGAGGACAGATCACCTGAGGTCGGGAGTTCGAGACCAGCCTGACCAACAGGGAGAAACCCCATCTCTACTAAAAATACAGAATTAGCCAGGTGTGGTGGCACATGCCTATAATCCCAGCTACTCGGGAGGCTGTGGCAGGAGAATCGCTTGAACCCAGGAGGCGAGGTTGTGGTGAGCCAAGATTGTGCTATTGCACTCCAGCCTGGGCAACAAGAGCAAAACTCCATCTCACACACACACACACACACACACACACACACACACACACACACACACACACACACACAAAGAAGAAGTAAAGTAACTCCTCTAAGGTCACACAACTAGTAAAGGTAGAGGGCTGGTTTTCAAGCCTATGTCTGACACCAAAGACCATGCTTTTAACCACTATATTACTAAATCCAGACCACCTCTGTGAAAGTCATCAGATTAAAAGAGATGGTTACAAAACGGGAGCGATTCCATATATACTGTACCTTGTATAACACCAGAGGGCCTTAGTCCATGTACCCTGAATAGGGAAAAAAAAAACAAAAAAAACAAAACAAAACAAAAAACAAACAGATCTTTTCACATGTAACTGTTTTCCTTAAAGGATTTTTAAAATTTTTTAAACTCCAGGCTAGGCACAGTGGCTCACGCCTGTAATCCGAGCACTTTGGGAGGCAGAGGCAGGAGGATTGCTTGAGCTCAGGAGTCCCAGACCAGCCTAGGCAACACAGTGAGACTCTGTCTCTGCAAAAAGTTTTAAAAATTAGCCAGGTGTGGTGGCACATGCCTATAAGTCTTGGCTACTCAGGAGGCTGAGGCAGGAGAAGCGTTTGATCCCAGGAGTTCCAGGCTGCAATGAGCTATTAATATAATCATGCCACTGCACTCCAGCTTGGGTGACAGAGTAAGATTCTATCTCTAAAAATAAAAATGAAAGAAAAACTCCATGCTCCATGTTCTTTTTTCATATATACTTAATTTAGTAATCCGAGTGTTAGATCGAAGTCTGGGATAGCTGCAGAAAAGATGAAATCAACTAAGAGCAAATTATAGAAACACATGAAAACTTTCAAAGAGCTGGTATAAACTGCCTTTTACTGGGCTCTAACACTGGCAAGTTACATTGGAAAAGGTGACTCTTGTCAAGTGCCACCAGAGTAATTTTTTAAGCAATGCTAATAAATAGACATATTACATTCTTAAAATCATCCCAAATTCCAAAGAAAGTTAGCTTTCATTCTTTTATCTTTTATGATGAGATGGTTCTATTTGCGCAGTGGCCCTAGTAACTTACAGAAATAATCACTGAGACTCAGCTACTCCTGCAATGGCTAAAAACTAAAAACCATTCATGAATGACAATAAATACAATCTATTCTCTATGGTACAAGAAACCAATCACAAGCCCATCTGGGTGAGACCTGGCTAATAAGAATATTATTTGAGGGGGGTACAAAGAGAAGCATGGATTGCCAAGGGGGAAAAGTCATTTATTAGACTGTGACAAGCTTTTAAATGTTTGCATTATCATTAACCAACTGCTTGGTTCTCTGGTTTGTACACCTGCCACCTCCATCCAAAGCTATTACAGTAGCAAACTTGGAAGTGCGGCTGACCTCTAGAACACTGGCACCCTCTTCTGACCCTTTTGCTGTATTGCATGCACTCAAGCTACTGAAGTGAAAAACGATTAATAAAGCTATTACATTTTAAAATAACTTAAAGAGTGTAATTGGATTGTTTGTAACTCAAAGGATACACGATTGAGGGGATGGATACCGCCATTCTCCATAATTTATTTTCACATTGTATGCCTGTATTAAATATCTCACATACCCCATAAATATATATACCTACTATGCACCCACAAAAAATTTTTAAAATAAAGCTATAAATGAATAACTTTGCAGGTAACATTATCTAGATGATTTCATATTTATAATTCCCTGAATAAACCTAAGTTTAGCTTAATAAAAGTAAGAAAATGCAGATCATCTAAATACTATGTTCTCTTAACATCTCAACAGTATATGCATTAGTTGATTTTATTAGAAGAATTATAAAATGATAACAATGACGAATGTACAAAGACTTTACTATGTGCCAGACACTGGCAGTAAATAAACGAGTTTAATTCTAACAACAAACTTATGAGTTAAGCACTACTATTCTCTTCACCTTACAGACGTGAAAAGTGAAGTGTAAGGAAGTTGAATACGTTCCCAGGATCACGCGACTCATAGTAAGTGGTAAAGATGGAAGTCCAAACTCAGTAAACATGACTCTAGAGCCAAAGCCTTAGCCACTACTGCATCTCATGATTTTATACCCAAATATCTCTGTGAGGTAGAATGGAGCTGACATCATAACAAAATGAAACATAACTAAAATAGAAAAAGTGTAAGTTATAAGAAAAATGACAAACATGTCAGCTAAAATCTCCCATTTTTAACAAAGCCCCAAATTGTACAGATAAAAATATTACATGAAACAGTTTAGGTTCCTTCTTCATTCTTCCTTATTGGAAGATTCTTGTCTTCTAAGACTATGAGGTTTTTATTCTTTCTTTTCCTCCTCATTCCTTTTTTCCACCAAATTATGTTCTTATTTTTCTTTAAAGAAAAAAAGCTAATCTACATCATATGCTTTATGTTTCTTCTATAAAGCAAAACTACTTATCTATTCTTAAATTATCTATTTCACTGCAACCTTTAAAAAATATTTATATTAAGACAGTAAATCCACATGGTATCATCAACTCTTTCTCTTCGATCATTGAAAGTAAGATAGATAAGAATCGATCTGGGATTATTTAGCAAATACACTAAATATCTATCTGAAGTCATATACCTATCTGAAGATGGTGGATACCTAACTGAAGTCATAGCCAATAGTCTAGATCATCTTCCAAGATTTTGAAAAACACTGCCCGGGCATGGTGGCTCATGCCTGTAATCCCAGCACTTTGGGAGGCAGAGGCGGGCGGATCAAGAGGTCAGGAGTTCGAGACCAGCCTGGCCAATATGGTGAAACCCCATCTCCACTAAAAATACAAAAATTAGCCAGGCTTGGTGGCATGCGCCTATAATCCCAGCTACTCAGGAGGCTGAGGCAGGAGAATCACCTGAATCCAGGAGGCGGAGGTAGTGGTGAGCCAAGATCACGCCAAGCCAAGATCACACCACTGCACTCCAGCCTGGGCAACAGAGCGAGAGGCCATCTCAAAAAAAAAAAAAAAATTCTAAAAACACTAACTTTATTTTCAAACAGGATATGAAGACACATTGTCTAATAATCTGTGGTTTAAAATTAGACTATCTAGAACTTTAACAGATTCCAGTTTCCTATATACAGTTATTCATAATATCACAACTTAAAGACACTTAAATGTACTCCAAACACAGTGTAACCAAGCTCATTGTCATTCATGACTAGAAAATTCACCAGGGGTTGAACTGAAGCTTCTAAATCAATGATTTCTCTTTTACAATTATCCTTTTATTTTTAATACTGTCAGAGTATACTTTGAAGTACAGACTTGGCAAAAGTTTAAAGAATTAAAAACATAAACTGCACCTGTTTTAACTTGTTAGATCTAAGAACAACTGAAATAAGATGGTTACATTTTAGCACAGTGACTGATCACGCTGCTGAAGAATTAATCATAACATTACTCATATTTCCCAATTCTAAACATAACAAAAACAGCACAGGTAACGCTTATGAAAAGGTGCCAAGAAACCAACTCCCCACAAATCCCAGAATTGTTTCTACCTCAGTCTGCAGGATGGCAGCCCTCTGCTCCTTAGCAGTCAAGGACTCCTTCAACACTTCAATGTGCTGTTTACTATCTGAGAACTGGTTTGTGAGTGTTTCTAGCTTTGTCTGCAGGGCGAGTAGTTCTGTGTCCTTTCTGGACAGCTCCTGTTTCACCTGGCCAATCTAGAAAAGAAGTAAAACACTTTAAGGAAAAAAGAAATAAAACAAACACCTCTTATCTGTATCTTTCACAGATCTGAGTCACAAAATATGAAACTAAATGCAGCACGAACTGTGTGATAGGTCATATTCATCTTTTTGCATGACATAACCTTGGATCTCCCCAACCCTGAGCCAAAAAAAACCACTAAACTTATTCAACCAATAGGGAAATGTCCAGTTTTCATTTATTGTGTCTTCTAAATATTCTTTGAAACCTCTTAGAAAGGGAATGGAGGGAAAGGAAATTCCAATTCAATTAGATGACTATGAGACAGCAGTAAGCAACTGAACACCACTGTACTGATGAAATGGTTTTCATTTTTCTAGGTGAGACCTCTTCAGAACATGATGGATCAAATGCAGGATGAGTGCAGATATAACAAAAAAGGTTTTAGAAACCTCCTAGTACTATTTAAAATTCAAAATCTGCTGCTGTTGTGCTAATTTTTCACTGTTATCTTTTTCATTCTCAAAAGTTTGCATAAAATTCTTATCTTAAAAAGCCACTTTTAATGTTATACATAACATGGTTTTGTAAAATCCTATAATTTGATGTTATGTGTATTGATTAATTTCTCTCTTAACATTGAAAGTATTTTCTTTCTAACACCTTCTTTACATTCCTGTTTTCTAAGAATTTTAAAAATAGTTTTTTACCCTAAATGGAAGCCATGTAAACAGAAATTACATCTCCTTTTAAATTATGTCTACCACCTAACAAGGAACTAAAAAAGATACTAATTATTGGAAGTATACATTTGACAAGTCAGTAATTTCGGTGTCACTGATGAAACAAAAAGTTATCTTTTCATTTTCAAAAACTTGAATGTATCTAAAGTATTGTAATTGTAATAATCTTAGGTATAAGGGATAAAGCTTTTGAGAACAATTTCCCATGAAGAAATAAATTTCACATTAATTAAAATTAGACCTTTGAGGAACACCAAAAATAAATTTCCAATTTAGCCTTCTGTTTCAAAAAAGATTAAGTATTTTTCTCATATGCATAAAATCTCTTTTTAGAGATATAGTTATTCATTCATTCAACAAATATTTCTGTATGCTTATTGTATACAAAGTACCTGAGGATACTAAAAACATCAGTGGAAGATAATTTTAAACGGTGGCTATATTCATCCTGCAAAATAGTATGTACCCAAGAGTTAGCACACACTGTAACAACGTGGAGTCTTTTATGATATCCCTTCACCAATAAAAACAACCCATTAACACTATTCCATTCCCTAACACACTGATTGTAACAAAAACACATTTGTTGTATGAATGAATATTTTGGGGGATGTTCAAAGTGTTACCATTTTCTCAGCTAAAGAACTATGACTAAGATTATTCAAATTTCCAGCTACCTCCAATCACGTGGTCAAAAATAAATATAAAAATCTGTTTCGTCATCATCTGCATTATTAAGTAAGCTTCAAATAATGCTATATTGACCTTAAAGACTAAGAAAGAAAAGAAAATATTTTAAATGAAAAGCAGGGTTTAGGCCGGGTGCAGTGGCTCACGCCTGTAATCATTGCACTTTGGAAGGCCGAGGCGGGTGGATCACAAGGTCAGGAGATCAAGACCATCCTGGCCAACATAGTGAAACCCATCTCTACTAAAAATACAAAAATCAGCTGGGCATGGTGGCGCATGCCTGTAATCCCAGCTACTCAGGAGGCTGAGGCAGGAGAATCGCTTGAACCAGGGAGTCAGAGGTTGCAGTGAGCCGAGATCTCGCCACTGCACTCCAGCCTGGCGACAGAGAAAGACTCTGTCTCAAAAAAATAAAGAAAAAGAAAAAAAGAAAAGAAAAGCAGAGTTTAGAAGCACAAATTTTCCTTAAAGACTGAGAAGGGAAGACATTATAAAGGGGAAGCAAATATAATACAAAGCTTAGGAGCACAAGGCTTTGCAGACATTCACCTATCAGAACTAAGCTAGCTATGTGTCCCTGAATAATTACTTTCCTAATCAGTTTCCTAATTAGTAATAAGGAGAAATTATACGAATGCCACTGTACTGTTTATGGATTCAGTAAAATAAAGCGTGAAATGTGCTTAGCCTGTTGTCTGACTCAATGCAGAAATTACTAATAGTAGCTATTTTAAAAAGGAAGTTATTGATCAACCTTCCCTCTAGCCAATATATGGTTTCCATAAACCAAATTAGACCCTTTCCACCAAAATATTTCCCTTTTTAATATATACTATAAAGTGGACCATAAATAGCAAATCTACAAAAGTAGCCCAAGTTTGGTTTTTTAAATGCTGTATTTTTTTATTCCAGTCTTAGCCACAATTATTTTCAGAAGCAGTTTTTGCTGACACTTTGACAAATGTGTGCACAGCCTAGTATAGGTCAGTAAAGAACTTGTAAGCAGTATGTGGAAGAAGACTGCCTGTATAAAACCAAATCCTGCCTCTTACTAGCTGTGTTTTCCTAGGCACCATTCTGTTACCTCAGTTTCCTCGTCTATAATTTGGAGTTGATAATATGTCTAACTCAGCACGTTATAAAATGTTTACAGTAAGTGTGCAAGTGTTAGCTACTTTATTATTCAGCCATCCCTCGGTATCCATGGGTCCATGGGGGACTGGTTCCAAGACACACCTTGGATACCAAAATTAATGAAGGCTGAAGTCCCTGATATAAAATGATGTAGAATTTGCATATAACCTATGCACATCCTCCAGTATAGTTTAAATCATCTCTAGATTACTTGTAATACGTAATACAATGTAAATATTTACAATGTAAATAGTTGTCATACTGTATTGCTTAGGGAATAATGACATGGGAAAAAAGCCTGTACATGTTCAGCACAGACACAACATCCATTTTTTTACCCTGAAAATAAAAAACAGTTGGTTAAACACACAGATGCAAATCCACAGATATGGAGGGCCAACTGTATTTATTTTATTATTATGTTCTGAATTGAAATTTTAAGTTCATTAGAATATTGAACTAGATTTAGATACCTGAAATAAGTCTCTTAGTAATTTCAATTTACTAGATAAATACTTTCTATACATCTGTCCTAAAGAAAGTAACATTTGTGGCAAAATCACTCACTGGAGACTTAAAGATAATGTCTACATAAGGTAAAGCACTTTGCTCAAGAGTTTCAAATTCAAATAAACTCTAGGTGATAGGCCTAGAACAACTGCATATATTCTTGTACCTAGGAAGAAAAGAAGGCCGCCATTCATATAAACCAACAATAAAGGGTTGAGAAAGAAACAGGCTTTGAAATACCATCCACAGAGTGACAAAAGCAACAATAAAGTACCAGGTACAAGGCTTCCAGAACACGTGAAGGCTCACTGCACACAAAGTGACATGTGGGTCAAACTAGTGAACAGGAGTCAGTTAAAGAGCAGAGCAGGCTGGTTAGTGCTAGTAATGGGCAAAGCTGCCAACCATAGAGAATGAAAGGGTAAGCCACCCAGAAGCCATAGAGCTAGCAGGGTCCCACTGTGGGACCACTGCACACAAAGAGGTAAATCTTACGGCAAAGACCTCAGCCTGAAGACCAGCCGCTTTCTTTTTCAGCTCCTCCCATTGAGCCTCTTTCGAACTTAGTTCCTCCTTCAGTTGTTCTACCTGTCACGACATTATTATTCTTTTTCACTTATGTGTCAACTTAGGTCTTCTTCTTGTCTACTTTTGAGGCAGAATGGTAACTAGAAATAACAATAACTTATATAATACAATCAAATCTGTTCCCCTCATTCCCTCTTCAAAGAGCCATAGGTAGTTTCTAAGTTCACAGGTTTTTTCCCCCCACAGTGGACTGGAATGTGCTAATCAACAAATGAAAAACATAAACACAGAGATCATACGGCACTATGTCTTGTTCTCAAATCAGGGTGAAAAATCCAAACTAATAGAAAGTTGGTTATGTGAGGCCAGGCGCAGCAGCTCACACCTATGATTATATCCCAGCACCGTGGGAGGCCAAGGCAGGAGGATCACTTGAGGTCAGGAGTTCGAGACCTGCCTGGCCATCATAGTGAAACCCGTCTCTACTAAAACTACAAAAATTAACTGGGCATGGTGGTGGGCGCCTGTAATCCCAGCTACTCAGCAGACTGAAGCTTGAACCCTGGAGACGGAGGCTGCAGTGAACCGAGATCACGCCACTGCACTCCAGCCTGGTCGACAAAGCATACCTCCGACTCAAAAAAAAAGAAAAAGAAAAAAAAAAAAAGTTGGGTATGTGAGTTTTTAATTTCTAAAACTGAAATGAAAGTAGTAGAAATAATTAATAATAGAGTCTGGAGGTAGCAGAGGAATATTCTGTAGACTTATATGCCAGGTATGGGCACCATGGCAAGAAGCCAGAAACTGGAGGGGAAGTGATGTTATCATTCCTTCACACTACTGGGATGTTGCGGGTTTCATTTCTAAGAACCTGGAGAATACAACTGGGAAATAAAGGGGGAAAACACTTATTTTCTGGCTTAAACTTTATAATTACAATCATAATGTTTAATGAAACCACAACAAAACTGGTAAATTGATAATTGTGATAAACTAAATCCTCCAACTTGCCTAAATAGTTTACAGAATCAAACTAAATGACTTTGGATACAAGGAAGGAACATTGTGACTGATGATAAACACAGACTGATAGGTCTTGGTGGTATCAATCTTTGTCATATTACGCCTGAAGTGCACATGGGAAGCAATAAACCTGACAGCAAGTGGATCTTCCCCACAGGATAGGGCAAAGAAAGGGCTTTCCGTTACAGAACTGTATTTGGAGGGGAAACGTAACTTCATTTCACCCATTTCATTAAAAAGCCTCTTAGGGCTGGGCACGGTGGCTCACGTCTGTAATCCCAGCACTTTGGGAGATTGAAGTGGGTGGATCACCTGAGGTCAGGAGTTCAAGACCAGCCAGGCCAACAAGGTGAAACCCCATCTCTACAAAAAATACAAAAAATTAGCCAGGTGTGGTGGTACGCACCTGTAATCCCAGCTACTTGGGAGGCTGAGGCAGGAAAATCACTTGAACATGGAGGCAGAGGCTGCAGTGAGCTGAGATCACACCACTGCACTCCAGCCTGGGTGACAAGAGCGAAACTCCATCTCAAGCCTCTTAGGGTTTTGACTTTTTAAATAATTCACAAGAGGTAAAGAACCTGATGTTTCATATAGTGAGAAAAACTCATCTGGAAGTTTTTCGGAAGTACTAATAGATATGAAAACTTAAACCATGACAATACATATGTAGCCTCATACAGAGAATTGTCTTTATAAGTAAAAACTTGTAGTAACTATCTATGTCAGTAATTCTGACTTTAATTCTGGAGAAGTTTCATTTGAAAGAACTATGCTAAAAGTATTCTTCCCTGAAACCTGATAAAAGAGTGTAAAATACGGCTTTATCATCACTAGAGAAGTAAAAAATATGCATCAATTTTTCAAACTCCTTTTAAGAATCAAAAGTCTCACATGCCATTACCTTATTTTTCATAAATTTAGAATGGCTCCGATACACTTCCATTTGCTTCATTTCTTCTTCCCTTTCCTCAGTACTCAAAGCACCATTCGATTTCAGCATCTGAATTTCCTCTTCCAGGTCTCGAAGCCCACGCTCCATAGAGGAAATTTTTGAATCCTGAAGACAATGGAAGATTTAGTGATTGAAGTATTCACAAAAACCCAGAAAAGCTGAATAACATGATATTTAAAGAAGTTACATTTAATAAAGATAGACAAATATACAGAAAAAATGCTGTCTGGCAATTGGTGCCTTGCTTCCTTTTTTTGAGACAGAGTCTGTCGCCCAGGCTCTAGTGCAGTGACGCAATCTTAGCTCACTGCAACCTCTGCCTCTGGGTTCAAGCAGTTCTCCTGCCTCAGCCTCCCAAGTAGCTGGGATTACAAGTGTACGCTACCATGCCCAGCTAATTTTTGTATTTTTAGTAGAGACAGGGTTTTGCCATGTTGGCCAGGCTGGTCTCGAACTCCTGACCTCACGTGATACACCTGTCTTGGCCTCCAAAAGTGGTGGGCTTATGGGCGTGAGCCACCATGCCCAGCCAGTGCCTTCCTTCTAAAATACGTCCTTTACAGCCATTTGAGTGGGAGGAGAAGCACTCATATCCACAGTATGATTTTTCTTCTATGGCTGCCTCCAGCTCTGCACCCTTTAAATTAAAGTTGAAAATAATTACTAAATTACTGAAGAAGTAAATGCAATGAAAAACTGGTTAAAATTTCTTTGCATCAGAAATTACAAATTTCTGGTGAAAAAAATTTCCAATATTAATAGTAAAGCCTTTTCTAGTTCTAGTATTTTATCATTTTACTTGGTGACCCCTAAAAAACATATTATGCCCCAAAGGAGGGGAAAAAAGTAAGAGGGTTTCAAAGATTTATACAGTAACGTGTACAGCTATATGTGCAATAATAAAAATTACATAACATCCCACTGCAGAAAAATGGGGGAATAATTAAGTTATTTATCATGTTAGCAATCCTTATTGTCTGTACTTCATACATTTAAAATAATTCTTAATTTTTAAAAATCACTGTCCTTATAAACCATCATCTCTACCACAAATATCACCTTCCAACAGAACATTATTTCATATTCGATCTCTTGATTTTGTTTGTCGCAGTACCTAGTTTCTCCCCAGGCTACTTTACATGTCATGAATTACAGAAAGACTCCTACATGGAATGAATAGTTTTATGTATCTGTAGCTGCAGGTGCTTACTCACCAAAGAAATAGAGACCTTAAAGAGCATAAATTAAGTATAGCTTAGCTTTATTTCACTTGGAGTTTTAGATAAACCATTCCTTTGGAAGCTATTTTGAAATTAACTCCTTTTCTACTTTACCTCAATAATTTCTTGATTAAGTCTCCTTTATTCTCAGAGCATAAAGATGAGAGAGATTAAGGCTTTATATCGAGAAAACTACACCTAGCTATTTTCAGGTTCAAGGGAGGGGAGGAGAGGATGTATTCCTCTGTCTTGCTCATCACGTGACCTTTAAAAATATCACAATGAAAACTGTCTTTTATAAATTCATTCAAATTAAACTTAAAATGTACCTGTTCAAAATCCATTGTACTGAATTAATACAATCAGAGTCATTCTATACCTAAACCAGGATTTTTATTTACTCATGTGGAATGACTGACCCATAAAAAGTACTACTTCAATTGCACTACCTGAAAATTCACTTTTAAGATTGCTATAAAATTTCTCTGGAAATATCAGAACACAGCACCTTAAAAAAGACTAAAATACTAGGCATAAGCATATGACTAGCCTACAAATGAAAGAAAGTGAAAGTTAAAGGTAAGTTCTCCTCTGTCATCAGCCTGAGTGGTAATGAAACTGGACCAGCTGAAAGAGGGAAGTGTATCTCCAGCAGCACTGGGGCTCCACTCAAGACAATTTAGTCCCAGGTAAGAACTCCAACTCTGTACATCACATGGCAGCCGGAACCTGTACAGAGCCTCTAGAAAGTCTCTACAAGGCCCTTAAAAATATAATCTAACTTCTCCCCTACCCTAAACACAGACAAAGGCAGCTTTTGACAAATTAGCACCCTCACTACCAAATCATGAGCCATAAAACCTTCTTCCCAAAAAGGGATCATGACTCCAGCTCTGAAAACCAGGAGGCAGGTACTGACTGACCAGAAGAAGAACCTACCAAGGAAATCAGGCCAGAAAATTAAGGCCTGATACTCTCAACTAGTTCTAGCACCAACCCAACGGGTACCAATGCTGGGTTTAAGGAAAGTCATTCCAACCAGGTTTCTTATTCCTAGAATGTGTAATATTTAAATAAAAAAATTCCTTTTCACTTTACTACTCTGTACTTCCCCAGCCCCAGCCCTTCCATCATTAACCAACCAATCCCACTGGACTTACTGAAATCCTCTGCTCTTTGTCAAATTCCCCAAATTCTCAACCTTTTTCCCATGAACTCTCTCCAGTGAAGGTCAATAACACCCCAACACCACAAAGGAGCAGGGGAAAGGGTTGACATTCTCCCAGTTCTTCAAGGCTGTTTCCCTTTATGGAAAGCTCATACTCCTTTTCACCCTACCCTCCCCATTGCTGCCATCCAGGGACTTCTCCATCACTCCTGCCCATTTTTGGAAGTCTTTGGCACCTGGCTTACAATATCCCCTTCAATCACCACTCTTGCCATAATCCGAGGATTGCAATGTCAGAATTCTTTGACGCCCTTAATTGCAATGATCTCATCCTCCAGTCCATTTGGGTGATCCAGTTTATAGGACTGATGGATCCTATCATCATCCAGAACTCTCTTCCCCTGGCCTGTCATACCCTCACTCTGATTATTTCCTGTTCAACCTCACAGAGAATTCCACTTTCCTAACTTTTACATTTTCTCCCAACCTGTCAGTCCACCTGAATTTTACTCTTTCCAGATCCAGGGTACAGTCCAGGACCAACGTCCAAACTACTCTGTCATCATCACCCTCAATTCATTTGCATCCCAATCACTCGCTCTGCTTTATCTATCCCAGCAAAACTCTAACCCTAGAGCAGTACAGTCATTCTTCCCTGTTCCTCCACTGGTAAAGGAAAAACAAACAAACAAACAAACAAAAAAATAGTAGAGAAAGGGGAGGAAGAGAAAGAGAAGAAGAGGAACAAAGAAGGAAAGGCTGGAATGAGGGAAAATGGTGGGAGAAGGGATAAGAAGAGGAAAGAGAGGAAGAAGAGGCGAAAGAGGAGAGGGCAAAGAAAATTGCATCACCTTCAAGATTACTGGGCTCTTTTACTTCAATCACCTTTCTTCCCTATTTTCCCTAAAGACTACACTAGATTTTCATAATTCTCTGAAGCTCATTCCACATTCTCAGCAACACAGCTATTTCTGTTGTGATTTCAGCATCACATCCTCTTGACCCCACTGGGCCACCAGAATCTTTCTCCTTCTTAGCAGAATGGCTGAAGGTTCACACAACTTAAAATGCATCCATTGCCACCAAGTAATACTATTACTCGTCCTCATTCTGTCAAAAGGCAGTTAAACAAATCATTTTGTGGACATAGGTACATTCATGTGTTTTATTCTTAGGTGTTAACAAGGGATCAGGAAATAACACAACAAACTTGTGGTGAATGTGGAAAGGGTAAAACCATGCAACTGAACGATTCTAAAGGCCCTTTACAAGATTATACTCAAGACTACCAATTAACTACAAAGAACCCAGAATCCACTAATTCGGAATTTGTTTGGTAAATCCTTTCCCCACCGAGAATAAAGATGTATACGATATAAAGTTTTAAGAGGAAATCATCCAAATTAAGACAACAGTTCCCATAACTACTTCAGAAGTATCTATTTACATAAAATTATTTATATACCATTGACTAAATATTCTTGTCATATCAACAAATATTAAATGAAGGCCCACAATGCAAAACACAGTATTGAGCTTTCTAGAGGATATGAAGAAGTAGTTGTGGGGGGAGGTCCCTAACTACATGAACTTTTATGAGAAAGAACAGATTGTGAACAAAAATAACAGCTGCAACAGCTAGTATGGATTGAATGTTTACTATGCGCTAGGTCCTGTTCAAAGTGTTTTTACATGTTTTAACTAATTTAAACCTCAAAACGACCCACTGGATGAGTACTATTACTATCACCATTTGTTGATAAAGAAACTGAGGCATAGGTAATTTGCTCCATATCTTACAGTTGGTTAAGTGAAGCGAGATTTTGAATCCAGGGAGTTTAACTTAGAAAGCAAGCTCTTAATCACTATACTGAACAGCCTAAAGATTTCTAAATATTCATTAACTTAAGGCAGAGGTTTTCAAAGGATGGTCTATGGAACTCTCAGGGTACCCTCAACCCTTTCACAAAGTATGCATGATCAAAACTATTTTCACAATAATACCATGATGTCACTTGACTTTTCCACTGTCTGCACTAAAGATATACAGCAATGATGGGCAAAACTGCTAGTGCCTTAGCACAAATCAAGGCAATGGCATCAAACCATACTTGTAGTCATTATATTAATATTTGTCACGTCAAGTACTTGTAGGAAAAAAATGAAAAATAAGAAATAAAATTTTTAAAAGACTACTTCATTTAATACCGCCCTTGAAGAAGCAGTAAAAAGTATTACTTTTAATAAATCTTGGCCAGGTGCGGTGGCTCACACCTGTAATCCCAGCACTTTGGGAGGCCGAGGCGGGCGGATAACGAGGTCAGGAGATGGAGACCATCCTGGCTAACACGGTGAAACCCCATCTCTACTAAAAATACAAAAAATTAGCTGGGCGTGGTGGCAGGCGCCTGTGGTCCCAGCTACTTGGGAGGCTGAGGCAGGAGAATGGCGTGAACCCGGGAGACGGAGCTTGCAGTGAGCCAAGATCACGCCACTGCACTCCAGCCTAGGCGACAGAGCGAGACTCCATCTCAAAAAATAAAAATAAAAAATAATAAAAAAAAATCTCAACTCTGGAGTACACATACTTTTAATATTGTGTGTGACAAATGGAATGAAGCTGCGTACTGAAATACGATGGCTGTCCCTAAGCACAGGACTCGTGTTGCTTTGAGTTGTAAACTGAATTCAGTATTTTCTTCACGGAACACTATTTTTACTTGAAAGAAAACTGACAAGCTATGGTTACCCAGACTTGGTATCTGGCAGACATTTTCTTAAAATGAAGGAAGTGAGTCTGTCATTTTAAGAGAATAAAGGGGTCCTGAGACCAAGACATCTGCGAATAGCTGATTTAAAGAAATTCTGTTCAACTCTTTTTGGTCCAATTTGAATTATGGTCTACAAGTAAAAGGAAATAAAACTGAAATTCTTTTAAGATGTCATTTTCATTGATTCTCACTCTTAATCTCCAAATAAGTGAAATACTATTACATGCCATTTCCTAACACTCACACATGGAAGTTTTTGATCACTTAAAAGTATAAGGTAATTCATAAGATTCTTTACTAGATTCTCACTTACCTTCATCTCAATAACAGTTTGCAGAGCTTTTGTTTTGGCAGAATCAGGAGCATTCTCAAACCTTCGATGCATCTCCTGTAGAAAAGAGGCAGAAAGAGATTCAGTGCTCTCCTGTTCACCCTCATTTTTTTCAAAGAGGAGTGAGAGCCGATGTATGCAAAAGATCACTACAGCCTTATGAGACAATGACCCCTTCTGTGTTACCAACCTTTCCCTGTGAATCAGGGAATCCACAGACTGCATTCAGGCTCACTCAACCATGCAGGCATAGGAGGATCCCTATCTCTGAACACCTAGTTATTTAAAATCAGTCACACAGACACGAGCTACCATAACAGCTGAAACTACGATTTCACATCCTCAGGTTGTGTGTCAATCTTCCACATAACTCCGGGAAATATAATCAGAATTCCAAATGATCCAAAATGGGGATTAGAAATGCTCCCTTTTAAAAGGAGAAATAAATACCATCACAATCAGTCTGCATTGCTGACTGCAGCTGTGGAAAGCAATCTGTGTTGACAACATCCTTTCCACGGCATCCACCCCCAGAATAACCACCACCTGGTTACCTACGATGAAGCTCGCTCTCTAGTGGTGCTACAGTTAGGAAGAAAAACATGACACTGTTGAACAAGTTTCCTAAGTAGTTCAGGTTCAGAAAATGTCAGAAAAACATAGCTTTTTTTTTTTTTTTTACCCAAATTTTACTGAGTTCAGGATAGAAAAGGAAGGAAGGGATATCAGAGCCTTCCAGGTTACCAAACCACTTCAGTGATTTTCTTGTCAGACTCTGTGAATGTCTCTAAATAAATCAGTCAGTACTTCCAAGTACCCTGGGGACAGGCTCTTGGGAATCCAGGGAATACAGAGATGAATGCTTTCTGCTGCCTCTCTCCCTACTTCCAGCTTTAACTATCCACCTAGTCATCTCACTTTCATGTCCAACAAACATTTCAAACTCTACATGCTCAAAACTCAACTCCTGACCAAGCGTGATGACTCATACCTGTAATCCCAGCACTTTGGGAGGCCAAGGCAGGAGGGTCACTTTGGCCCAGGGGTTCGAGACCAGCCTGGGCAACATGGCAAGATGTCATCTCTACTCCTGATGGTGCCCCCAAACCTGCTCCATCCTTCCTGTTACTCAGGCCACAAACCTATGAGTCTTCTTAATGCCTTCCTTTCGCTCTCAAGCCGCAGTCAGGAAATCCAGTTAGCTCTAGCTTCAAAACATACCCAAAATCCAAGCACTTCTTGCCATCTCCACGGCCACCACCTGGAATGAACCACTAAACAAAAATATACCTTTTAATCCATAACAACCTTCTAACTGAGCTCTGCTTTATCTTGCTCCACTACAGTGTTTTCTTAATGGAGCACTTCAAGTGACCCTTGTAAACATAAAGTTGTCCTTGTCAGTCCTCTGCTGAAAACCCTGTCATGGCTCCCCATTCGACTCCAACTAGAGCCCAAGTCCTCTCGGCAGCCTGCAAAGGCCTCATCTCATCGCTCTTCCCTGGGTCTCCATGCTTTAGCCACTATGGACTCCTTGCTGCTCCTCAAATATGCTAAGCATGCTCCTGATCCTTAAGCCCTTTGCACAAGCTGCTAGGGGAAGACTTCACTTCTTTCCAGTCTTGGCTCAAATGCCTCTTTTGTGTTAGTATTAGGTTTAGTTGTTGTGATAATGCCATTGTCGCTATGCAAGAAAATGTCCATATATTTTAGAGACGCATATTAAAGTCTGCAGAGGAAAATGACGTCATGCCAGGGATTGGCTTTAAAATCTTTGGTAAAGAAAAGAGGAAAAAGAAAAAAGAATACATGGAGGAAGTGTGGCAAAATTTTCGAAACTGGTGTATCTGAGTGATGAGCATGTGGAGATTCATCATGCAGTTCTTACTGCTTTTGTGTAGGCTTGAAATTTTTCATAACAAAATGAATGTTCAACGTTTTCAGTATAATCTACACCTTATTTTAAAATTTAACACAGCCAAAAAAGAACGCATGTGTCCTTCCCCTTTACTTCGCTCTACTTTTTCCTGTGTATAGCACTTACCCTCTAACATATTTTATGATTTATTATGTTTACTTATTATTCTCTACGAGAATGTACGCTCCACAAAAGCTAAGATCTTTGTTTCATTCATTCACTGATGGATCCAAAGCACCTACAACAGTAGCTGCCACACTGGTAAGCGCTTAATAGACATTTAAGGAATGAATACTGAATGAATGAAATGGCTACCAAACGTTCAAGAATTAGCTAGAAAGGAAATATTTTAGTCCCTTCCTACTCCTGTGCTGAATTTTGTACACCTCCTATTTCTCATACAGCATGCTACACAGCTTACATAGCTCCATGAGCACTTACCCCATTGTATTAGCAATAGTTTTTCTTCTCTAACATACCATACTGTGAACTCTTTTAGAAACTGTCTTCTGTATTCCTCAGGCACTGTCTGATATGTAAGCAGTCGTTAAAAATTACTTCTCCTCTCTATCTGTTCCTCTTTTGTTAGATGAAGGAATGAATGATGAATGAATGATCAGCCAGTTTCTATCCTCACCTCTCCACTGAACCATACGATCTAAAATAGCAAATAAAAAACCTCCTTGTTTCTAAACCTAATAGTTATTGTCAGTTCACCTCCTTTGCAAACTCTAGCTGGTACCAGAAAAAAAAAAATTTAAGTTAAAGAAGGAACGTCTTTAAAATTTTCAACCGGCTTCCATTAAAGAATTATCCTAGCTCTAAACTCCACCCTTTTCCTTTCCTACCTGCAGACATTTTCTAAATTCCTGTCCTTGGAACATCTGGATTCTATAGCCTGAATCCAAAGCCTTCACTAATCCACAGAGTAACTTTATGCGAATTAGAAAAAAAGCAACCCTTCTTGGGTAGATGCAACATCACCATGAAGCACAGGCTGAATTTTAGGGCCTACGGGCTCCATCAGCAGGAAGCTCTTGTTTGGTGAACAACCCGTACAAATAACCATCCAAAATAGCCCTTCCCTAATCCTATGGTTTCAACTATTACCTTTACACGTATACCCCACAAAATCTATTTATCTCGCACCGTGGCAGGCATTCATCACTCTTCCTCGCCGTGTGATATCTGAATTCCTTAGCATGTGTGGGAACTCCACATTTAAAGGCAGAGTCTACCTCCCACAACAGAAATTGAAAATGCCACATACTTGTTGCCCAGCCTTTCTTGTGATTAAAGCCCAGGTACATGACCTAATCACCTCAATCAGACACATTCGTCATGTACTTTGAAACAGAATCTTGTGACATGAAGAAGCCGGGACATGAATATTTACAGACAATTCCAGCAGTGGGTGGCAGAGGCAGCAGCTACCTCAGGCTTCCAGACACACCAACAGCAGAGGCTCCAGTGGTGGTGAGCAGTGTCAGTGATGTCGGCGTAACACACTCACATGCCTGTGCCACGCAGCACTGTCATCACTAAAGCAATATAGAAGTGTGATTGATTCGAGGCATTATTCTTGTCTATATAACTTCGGAGCCCAGTTCTCTAGTCCTCCCAGAGGCTCTGGGACCTATGTATTTATCCCATTTATGCACTCCAGGAACTAAGTTTTGGAGATATAATAATGAGAAATAACATATTTGGTCCCTTTTATCATGGAAGCTTTAATAGGAAAAATAGAGTTTAATCAAATAATCATCTATGCAATTCATCAGGGTCACTGACGACCTCCACATTGCTAGCACCCATGATGCATCCTTAGTCACTGTACCTGACCAGCAGCATTTTACCCAACTGCTCAATCCCTCTTCCTTATTCTACTCTCTTTCCTTGGCTTTCAAGGTATGGCACCCTAAGCTTTTCCTCCTATCTTACCCTAAGCTTTTCTTCCCAACTCCTCAGGAGTGTCCCAAGCATCAGTCCTTTGTAGGCTTCTCTTTTCCACCTATACTCATTCCCTTGGTATTTACCGTTCAGTATCATGCACATACTGATAACTCCCAAATGTTTACCTCCTACTGAAATCCATACTCGTATGTACCTTTACTTTCCTGGAGTATCAAATATCTGCCCCACTGTTAACACATCTGCAAGTGACCTCCTGGCCTTCCCCTCTAAACTTGCTTCACTCATCCTGCCTTGATTCATGGTATGCATCCAGCCAGTTGTTCAAGCCAAAAACATAGGAGTCTCTTTTTTTCTTACACCTATATCCAACTCATCAGGAAATCCTGCTCTTCCCATTTTCAAAATATATCCTGAAACTTACCACCTCCACCATCACACTGCTCTAAGCCACCATTATCTTTTGCCTGGATTACACCAACAGTCTCCCAAATCTATCTCACCATTCACAATAGAGCATCTAGAGTGATCTTTTTAAAGCAGAAGTCAAAATATGCTTGCAATTATCAAAAGCTTCTCGTTTTACTCACAGTAAAAGTCACAGTCCTTATGCTGACCTAGAAGGCTCTACATGATCCGGCCCTGTTACCTCTCTGGCCTCATCTCTTATACTCCTCTCTCTCATCCAGTCGGCTCCAGCCAGACTCACCTCTTTGCTTTTCCTCAACATGTCAGTCACCCTCTTGACTTAAGGCCTTTCACTCACTGCTCCCTTTGACAGGCTCTCTCCTTCCCTTAACTGTTGAAGTCTGTTCAAAAGTCAAAGTCTCGGCTGGGAGCGGTGGTTCATGCCTGTAATCCCAGCACTTTGGGAGGCCGAGGCGGGTGGATCACGAGGTCAGGAGTTCAAGACCAGCCTGGCCAACATGGTAAAATCTTATCTCTACTAAAAATACAAAAAAATTAGCTGGGCCTGGTGGTGCGCACCTGCAATCCCAGCTACTGGGGAGGCTGAGGCAGGAGAATGGCTTGAACCCAGGAGGTGGAGGTTGCAGTGAGCCGAGATGGTGCCACTGCAGTCCAGCCTGGGTGACAGAGCAAGACTCTGTCAAAAAAAAAAAAAAAAAAAAAAAAAAAAAAAATCAAAGTCTCAAGCAGGCTCATCCTTATTACCCCATTTTCACTTATGATTTGACTCTAATATACATCCCCAATCTCCCTAACCAAGATCTACTTTTTTCTTGGTATTTATAACTGTTTGTTTATTGTTTGTCTCTCCTATCCCAGGAATTTTTCTTTTTTATTCTCTGATGTATATCAGCACCCAGAACAATACACAGTACAATGATAGTACTCAAATATTTGTCAAATGAATGAAAATACTTTTTAAGTAACTGTATAATTCATATGTAAAAAGTGTTATAAAGAAAATATCCACAATACTGTAAGAGAGTAATTAGGAGATCCTGACGTAGTCTTGGGATCTTGTAAAGTTTCCTAAGGAACACCTGAGAGCTGAAGGATGAACAGGAGTTAGAGTGGGCAAAGTGCAACCATAAAAAGGGAGGGGAAAGATGATCTCACAGGTATGTTTTCGGCCAACTAAAATCCAGAGAATGACACATGGGAGTTGAGAATCTGAAACTGCCCACACACCACTGCAGAGTCTCTGTGAACTCCAAGGTGTTCAAATGCCTGCCCTGAAGACAGCTGGTCCACACCTGCTATCTCTCCTTCTTCCTCTCCCTCTCCCATTCACTCTTTTTATTTTAATTAATTTTAAAATATTTCAGACATACAAGATTCCCTTTACCTCATAAAAGCAGCCTAATCTGGCTTGTTTCTCTACCCCTCCATTGAAACAACTCATCAAGACCACCAACGAATTCTAAGTTACCAACTCTAACAAACACATTTCTGTCCTCATCTCCCTGGAACTCTCAGAAGCATTCAAAGCAACGGCCCAATCCCTCCTAGACACTTGTTTTCTCTTGACTATTAGGACATCACACTCTCCTGTTTTTAGTTCTCACTCTCCAGTTGCACTTTCTCTGTTTCCTTCACAGGTTCTTCCTTCTAAATCAGACCTCCAGGTCTAAATTAGACCAGTGACCAGGTGATCAGTTCTAACCTTTTTCTCTTTTCCATCTAAACTCTTTAATCTACTACATGGTTTAAAATACAACGGAAATGCTGATGAATTTCTAGGCCTGCCCTCTGCTCTGATTTCAGGACTCATACATCCAACTGCCCATTTGGCATCTCTATTTAGATGTCTAACAGGCAACTCACACTTATTTTATCAAAAAAAATTCTTGATTTCCTCTTCTTCAATCTCACCCATCATCTGGTGACTCTGATGAGAGATGAGTCTTCTCTGTCTCATTAAATGGCACTGCCATTCCAGTGGCTCAAGCCAAACACCAAAGCTCTCCTTTTTCTCCTCCTGATATTCATTTCCCACAACCAAGTCAACAGCAGGTCCTAACTGTTCTAGTGCGGAAGTATTTCTTGAGTCTAACCATTTCACCCCATTTCCAGTCTAGTTTGCAACAGCCTCTAGTTAGCTTTCTTCCACCTCCTTTGTCTATTTTCAAGAGAGCACCAGGGTGATCTTGATAAAATATCCACAAATCATGGCATTAATCTGCTTTAAATCTTTCAATAAATTTACCATTATACTTCTCACTTTGACCATAAGGTGAGATGGGCCTTCCTGTCATAAACTATCATAAAATTAAACAAAATGCATGAAATAACTGTTTTCAGACCCTGGATAACAAGCAATACAGGACTATGATCCTTGAGAGAAAATAAACAAGGTGATGGCCCAGATATGTCTAGTATGGGGCGTAGGGAGGGAAAGCCCAAACAAAGAACAGCAGTCTTGCAAAGCTCCAAAGACAGTTTAATGAGTAAGGTTCCCATTAATCTGCAAAACTTTGCGGAGCAAAATACCAGAGGTCCGGGCACCATGGCTCACGCCTGTAATCCCAGCACTTTGGGAGGCCAAGGCGGGCAGATCACTTGAGGCCAGGAGTTCAAGACCAGCCTGGCAAACATGGCAAAACCCCGTCTCTTCCAAAAATACAAAAAGTAGCTGAGCATGGTGGGGGGCACCTGCAATCCCAGCTACTCGGGAGGCTGAGGAAGGAGAATCGCTTGAACCTGGGGGGCAGAGGTTACAGTCAGCCGAGATCGCGACATTGCACTCCAGCTTGGGCAACAGAGTGAGACTCTGTCTCAAAAAAAAAAAAAAAAATTAAAAATTAAAAACAAAACACAGAGAAGGGAGCTTACCAGAAAAGCAGCACTGTCTAACCTGACAAGGGTCCCCTTGAGTCTTTGGCCAAATACTAAGCTGTGCATGTATAGGGCAAGCTGCCACAAAATAAGATCAAGAGCTACTGGAGAAAGAGCAACTATCAGAGAGCCATGAGTTGAGTAACTACCTGAACCCCATAGGGCTGGGAAAAATTCAAGTTCCAAATAGTGGGGAGAACAGCAGAGGCATTTAGTAGAGACACTAAAAGGTCAAGCTTAGGAGTAGAGCTGATGTAGCCTAGAGAAAAGGCTATTCTAAACCAGGCCTAACAGAGTTTAAAAGCAAGTCTTGAAAGGATCAAGTTAATCCCCAAGTAAATTAACTCTTGCCAGACAAAACAACCCTTCATTAAGGAAGGTACCAAAATCCAGATACTCAATCACCTTGTGTCCAAAATGTCCATCATACCACAAATTCTATACACACGAAGTAGGAAAATATGACCTACAACCAGGAGAGAAGTCATTCCACTGAAATAAACATGGATATTACAAAGATGATGGAATTGTCATTCCAGCTAATAAGCCAAGAAATGCTCCAACTGCACGAGAAAAAAAAGGAGGAATTAAGGGCAAATCGGTAATTAAGAGATTTAAAGCATATTTTTGAAAAACAGACAAAACAAAGACATAATTCTTAGGGATGATACCTAGGAATGATATTAATTTAACATATAATACAAGATAACAATACTATGATAGTAAGGATCAGATGTGATAAGTATAATAAGCAAAGGCATGATAACTATAAAACCCAGAACACTGGTTACTTTTAGAGGGAAGGGAGAGTTCTGGCTGGGTTGGTTCACGTACAGGACTTCTGGGTGGCTGTGAAAGTTCTATTTCTAGACCTAGGTAGTGGTTATGAGGGTGCTTACTTTATAATTTACTTAACTATACACCTGTTTTATTCTATTTCTTACATGCATTCCATATTGTATCAAAAAAGAGTTTTTAAAATCTCTTAAAATTATTTGTTTTCTTCCATCCCAACACCTAACACATTAATTAGTTTAGGCCATAATAATCTCTCACCTGCCTTAAAACGACAAACTCGTCAGCCTCCTCCCAGCCTAGTTTGTCCATGTTGAATCTGTTCTGCACACTACAAGGTGATTGACTGGGCACACGGTAGATATTTAACAGTATTTGTTCAATAAATGAGTGTCGAACTTTAAATTGTCTGAGTAAAAATAAAATGAACTCTGCTAACTGTAAACAATCTTCATTTATTAACAAAATTTTATAACCTATACTTTACAACATTTTTATTTGGTATTTCTGTATCTACTTGAAAATATTAAAACTGCATTTTTTAAAAAATAACACACAATTTAGATTTTCAACTTATTTCATCTGATTTCTCCTCTTGAGCATCACCTAATTCCTAAAGAAAACCGAAAAATCCATTTGAATAAAAAGTCCTGACTGGGTGCAGTGGCTCATGCCTGTAATCCAAACACTTTGGGAAACCAAGGCAGGCAGATCACTTGAGCTCAGTAGTTCGAGACCAGCCTGGGCAACACGGTGAATCCCCATCTCTATGAAAAACACATAAAACTAGCTGGGTGTGGTGGTGCTCATGTGTAGTCCCAGCCACTTGCGGGGGCTGAGGCAGGAGGACTGCTTGAGCCTGGGAGGTGGAGGCCGCAATGAGCCAAGATCACGCCACTGCACTCTAGGTGACAAAGTCAGACCCTATCTCAAAAAAAAAAAAAAAAAATCCTTCCCTGCGTACAATAAAGAATTGGGGTGTATTTTAAACCATCCATAGGCATAAAGCTTTTCTACAAAGACGTTTTAAAACCCATTGCTCAAAACAAACTCCCATTCAGAAGCCTGCACCTTACAGTTCACTATGAACACATCTTCCAGTCAGTGAGCTCATAAGCTCCCCTTTCCCACCAAGCACATCAAGCCTATGCCTCCCGCATTGTCAATAGAGAGAGAAGACTGGAAATAGAAGTACTATTCAAAGAAGTGTAAGAAGTAGAATATGCTATTTGGTCACTTTATTTCACTCCTTTTTGGCTGAAAATTTTCATTTGAAAAAATTAGAGGTAGAAGTATCTGAATCTTGTTATATAGTCTATTTGTCTTTTTTTGTCTTAGTCCATTTAATGTTGCTATAATATACTTTCAAATGTGGTAGACCATAAAAAATATGTTCATTTTCTCTCCTTAAATAACTAAAGAATAATGACTAATTTATATTTAGAAAATAAACAAGTTAGAAACAATTTTTTTTTTTTTTTTGGTGCAGTGGCACAATCTCGGCTCACTGCAACCTCCACCTCCCGAGTTCAAGCGATTCTCCTGCCTCAGCCTCCCAAATAGCTAGGACCGCAGGCATGCACCACCATGCCTGGCTAATATTTGTATTTTTAGTAGAGACGGCATTTCAGCATGTTGGCCAGGCTGATCTTGAACTCCTGACCTCAAGTGATCTGCCCACCTAAGCCTCCCAAAGTGCTGGGATTACAGGTATGAGCCACCACGCCTGAGAAACAAAATTTAATAATTCTCCTTTTCCCTAGTTGTTTCTTTGTAAAAGTAAGTCAACTTTTACTTGCACACCTGAGAGAAAGAAGTATGTGTGACTAAAAAGTAAAACTTAGGTCTGAAAATTTTTTTTCAAGTTTCAAGTCTTAGCCCTCAGCACCCTTGGTTCAAGGATAGAAGCTCCACATTGTTCGGGAAGTCCCTTCACAGATTCAATTTCTGAATTTATCATACTGACAACACAGCGGAGACAGAAATAAAAAAGAAGGGAGGGTAAATGGAAAGAACTGTTACCACTTTTTCGTATCTTAACTTGCCCAGTGTCACACACCATTGTACCTGAACCCATTACCATCTCTGGTAATAGTAGTGTGCTCAGAAAATGTCACCTTGTCAAAATGGAAATGAAGGACAAATGATGTAATTTAAAAAGGAGAGGAAGGGCCAGGCACGGTGGCTCACGTCCGTAATCCTAGCATTTGGGAAGCCAAGACCAGCGAATCACTTGAGGTCAGGAGTTCGAGACCAGCCTGACCAATACAGTGAAACCCCATTTCTACTAAAAATACAAAATTAGCCCAGGTGTGGTGGCACACGTCTGTAATCCCAGCTATTTGGGAGGCTGAGGCAGGAGAATCACTTGAACCCAGGTGGCGGAGGTTGAGGTGAGCTGAGATCGCACCACTGCACTCCAGCCTGGGCGATAGAGCGAGACTCTGTTGCCAAAAAAAAAAAAGAGAGAGAAGGAATAACTTAAATAAATAAGGTATGCAACTGTTCTCATCTTCCAAAATTGCTACAAAAGACAAACTAAGAATTTCTTTTTCTTTTTTGGCCGGGTGTGGTGGCTCATGCCTGTTGTCCCAGCACTTTGGGAGGCCGAGCCGGGAGGATCACTTGAGGTCAAGAGTTTGAGACCAGCCTGGCCAACAAGGTGAAACCTCATCTCTATTAAAAATACAAAAATTAGCCAGGCATGGTGGCAGGCACCTGTAGTCCCAGCTACTCAGGAGGCCGAGGCAGAAGAATTGCTTGAACCCGGGACGCGGAGGTTGCGGTGAGCTGAGATTGCACCACTGCACCCCAGCCTGGGCGACAGAGCCACACTATGTCTCAAAAAAAAAAAAAATTTCTTTTTAAATTCCTATTCATTTTCTATGTTTTTCTATATATATATATATATATATATATATAGAAAAATATATATATTTATATAGAAAAATATACATTTATATATAGAAAAATATATATTTATATATAAATAAATACACATAAACATATATATATGTTTCTTTTTTTCTTTAATCTCCTCTGCTTATACCTTCTATCTGCCAGTAATACTGACAAACTGACAAGCAGTCCTCAGATATGCTAGTTAGATTCAGAATTCCCTAGCCTAGAACATATTCAAATATTAGCACTTTTAACCTCAAAGATTTTTGCAAACCTAACACGATAGCAGTTGTACTAATACGGTTTGTTGATTAAAATACAGACAAAAAACTAGTAGGCTGCAATAATGTTTTAAAACAAAGTTGTATTTTATTAATCACAATAGCATACCAGCATTTAAGTAAGTAGGAGCACATACTGAAATATATTATTTAGTTGGCCTATAGACAATGTTTGGTATGCATATGGATTGAAGACCCAAAAATTCCACAGCCAACTTAGGTATCCTCTGCTAGCGGACTGAAAACCAAAGTTGGGGCCTCAAATGTTGGTGTATAACAGAATCACCTGTCAAGCCCTCAGCACTAACCAAGTCTTGCCTGTAATTCAGCATTTGTCCAAGAGATGTCCCCACTCTTCTAACAGTCAAATGAAAGGAGCTACAGCGAAATAATACAAAAGCTAAGAATAAGCGGTCAAACAACAATGTGATTTGAGTACAAACAGAAAATACAATGCTTCATTGAAATCTTACTTTTTACCTCTCGGCTTTTGGGGGGGAGAATTATTTACCTGCCAGCTACAAAATCATGTTAATAAAGAAAACGTAAAACTAATTACAAATGTTACTACTAATAGCTACAAATGCCATTTTAATGCTATCTTATTTCATCAAATCTAAGATGCCACTGATTATAAGACACACCACTGTTGTACATGCTGAAAAGAAATAGTGGAAATGCCTCCAAATAAATCATGACACAAAACTTTATCATAAATTTAGGGTTTTGTTTGTTTGTTTTTGAGGCAGAGTGTCACTCTGCACGCTGGAGTGCAGTGGTGCAATCCTGGCTCACTGCAACCTCCGCCTCCTGGGTTGAAGCAATTACCATGTGCCAGCCTCACAAAGAGCTGGGATTACAGGCGTGCACCACCACACTCAGCTAATTTTTGTATTTTTAGTAGAGACAGGGTTTTGCCATATTGCCCAGGCTGGTCTCGAACTCCTGGCCTCAGGCGATCCGCCCGCCTTGGCCTCCCAAAGTGCTGGGATTACAGACGTGAGCCATTGCACCCGCCCTAGAATTTTTACTTAATACTGATTGCAAGAGTTAGTTTTTTTAAACTTATTTAAACAGAGTTTAATCACATACCATCATAAACTGTTTTCATAACTTTCTCCATACCGGGTAATTTTGTTTCAATGCTGATTCACAGAATATTTATGCAGAAACACTGAACAACAAAGTTAACATGGGAAATGCCAACAATGCTCATACCTCAGCTGAAATGATGACAAAATGAATGGACATGATTATATTTGTGAATACACGGGCAAACAAATATACCAGGACTGCTGCTTTGCTGATATAGACTGTTAACATGACACCAAGTGTTAACACTTAACTCAATTTCATTGTTAAAACAGGGAAAGTTGTGACTTTTAGAATTGATTAAATGTGGGCCGGGCGCGGTGGCTCACGCCTATAATCCCAGCATATTAGGAGGCCGAGGCGGGCGGATCACGAGGTCAGGAGTTCAAGACCAGCCTGACCAACATGGTGAAACCTCGTCTCTACTAAAAACAGAAAAATTAGCTGGGCCTGGTGATGGGTGCCTGTAATCCCAGCTACTCGGGAGGCTGAAGCAGGAGAATCGCTTGAACCCAGGGGGCGCAGGTTGCAGTGAGCCGAGATCGCACCATTGCACTCCAGCCTGGGCAACAGAGCGAGACTCCGTCTCAAAAAAAAAAAAAAAGAATTGATTAAATGCCACTTTTTTTTAAAAGATGGACAATAATTCAATAACTAATGAAATTTCTGGATACCCTAGCATTGCCAGCCCATAATTCTTTGTGCTGCTTCCTGATACGCTAGTGATATTCTGTACATCTCCAGCAATCATTTCAAGTCCCCATTCCCCTAATCTAGATTACAGCAGTTAAATTCCTTACTATACTCCCTTGTTCACTCTTCTCTCCTTCCTCCATTTATTCTCAGCACAACCAGAGTAAATTTTAAAAGCAAATCAGATTGTGTCACTCCCTTGATTCAACGGTGGAATGGTTTTCTCTCCCATTTTGAATAAAATGGTTGCATTATCTGCAAGGATCATAAAGGCAGGTACTTTTTCTCAAAGACAGCATGGATTTGTTTGCTGCTATATCCTTAGTGCTGTGCGCATGGTTGGTGTCCAGTAAATACGTGATAAGTGAATCTGACTCTGGCCACCTCTCCAATTTCGCATCTCATTAAGTCTTCCCCTTATACAGTATATTCTTGCCCTCCAGCCTCCCTCCTGTTTCCTCAAAACTCCTTCCTATGAGGTCTTTAAAACTGTTAATGCTTCTTCATGAAATTATTTTACTTGGCAAAGCTGGCTTCTTCTCTTCAGATCTCCACTGAAAGGGTACCTACTAAAGGACACTTACCCTGTTATAAAATCCCCTTCCCAACTTAATTAGCACTCCACCCAGAAAGTCTTTCTGAACAGTGCTGATGCACAGCATTCCATCCTTGTAAGATAAAAAAAGAAACAAATAATGAAGGAATCTATAAATAATAAAAATGGGGCTGGGTGCAGTAGCTTACGCCTGTAATCCCAGCACTCTGGGAGGCCGAGTCAGGCAGATCACCTGAGGTCAGGAGTTTGAGACCAGCCTGGCCAACATGGCGAAACCCCATCTCTACTAAAAATACAAAAATTAGCTTGTGCACGCCTGTTGTCCCAGCTACTCAGGAAGCTGAGGCAGGAGAATAGCTTGAACCCGGGAGGTGGAGGTTACAATGAGCCAAGATTGCGCCACTGCACTCCAGCCTGGGACAGAGCAAAGCTCTGTCACAAATGATAATAATAATAATAATAATAATAATAATAATAATAATAATAATAACAACAACAACAACAACAACAATAATAATAATAATGGGCCAGGCATAGGCATATTGCCTGTAATCTCAGCACTTTCAACAACAACAATAATAATAATAATGGGCCAGGCACAGGCATATTGCCTGTAATCTCAGCACTTTCAACAACAACAATAATAATAATAATGGGCCAGGCATAGGCATATTGCCTGTAATCTCAGCACTTTCAACAACAACAATAATAATAATAATGGGCCAGGCATAGGCATATTGCCTGTAATCTCAGCACTTTCAACAACAACAATAATAATAATAATGGGCCAGGCATAGGCATATTGCCTGTAATCTCAGCACTTTCAACAACAACAATAATAATAATAATGGGCCAGGCATAGGCATATTGCCTGTAATCTCAGCACTTTCAACAACAACAATAATAATAATAACGGGCCAGGCATAGGCATATTGCCTGTAATCTCAGCACTTTCAACAACAACAACAATAATAATAATGGGCCAGGCATAGGCATATTGCCTGTAATCTCAGCACTTTCAACAACAACAATAATAATAATAACGGGCCAGGCATAGGCATATTGCCTGTAATCTCAGCACTTTCAACAACAACAATAATAATAATAACGGGCCAGGCATAGGCATATTGCCTGTAATCTCAGCACTTTCAACAACAACAATAATAATAATAATGGGCCAGGCATAGGCATATTGCCTGTAATCTCAGCACTTTCAACAACAACAATAATAATAATAATGGGCCAGGCATAGGCATATTGCCTGTAATCTCAGCACTTTCAACAACAACAATAATAATAATAATGGGCCAGGCATAGGCATATTGCCTGTAATCTCAGCACTTTCAACAACAACAATAATAATAATAATGGGCCAGGCATAGGCATATTGCCTGTAATCTCAGCACTTTCAACAACAACAATAATAATAATAATGGGCCAGGCATAGGCATATTGCCTGTAATCTCAGCACTTTCAACAACAACAATAATAATAATAATGGGCCAGGCATAGGCATATTGCCTGTAATCTCAGCACTTTCAACAACAACAATAATAATAATAACGGGCCAGGCATAGGCATATTGCCTGTAATCTCAGCACTTTCAACAACAACAACAATAATAATAATGGGCCAGGCATAGGCATATTGCCTGTAATCTCAGCACTTTCAACAACAACAATAATAATAATAATGGGCCAGGCATAGGCATATTGCCTGTAATCTCAGCACTTTCAACAACAACAATAATAATAATAACGGGCCAGGCATAGGCATATTGCCTGTAATCTCAGCACTTTCAACAACAACAATAATAATAATAACGGGCCAGGCATAGGCATATTGCCTGTAATCTCAGCACTTTCAACAACAACAATAATAATAATAACGGGCCAGGCATAGGCATATTGCCTGTAATCTCAGCACTTTCAACAACAACAATAATAATAATAATGGGCCAGGCATAGGCATATTGCCTGTAATCTCAGCACTTTCAACAACAACAATAATAATAATAATGGGCCAGGCATAGGCATATTGCCTGTAATCTCAGCACTTTCAACAACAACAATAATAATAATAATGGGCCAGGCATAGGCATATTGCCTGTAATCTCAGCACTTTCAACAACAACAATAATAATAATAATGGGCCAGGCATAGGCATATTGCCTGTAATCTCAGCACTTTCAACAACAACAATAATAATAATAATGGGCCAGGCATAGGCATATTGCCTGTAATCTCAGCACTTTCAACAACAACAATAATAATAATAATAATGGGCCAGGCATAGGCATATTGCCTGTAATCTCAGCACTTTCAACAACAACAATAATAATAATAATGGGCCAGGCATAGGCATATTGCCTGTAATCTCAGCACTTTCAACAACAACAATAATAATAATAATGGGCCAGGCATAGGCATATTGCCTGTAATCTCAGCACTTTCAACAACAACAATAATAATAATAACGGGCCAGGCATAGGCATATTGCCTGTAATCTCAGCACTTTCAACAACAACAATAATAATAATAACGGGCCAGGCATAGGCATATTGCCTGTAATCTCAGCACTTTCAACAACAACAATAATAATAATAACGGGCCAGGCATAGGCATATTGCCTGTAATCTCAGCACTTTCAACAACAACAATAATAATAATAACGGGCCAGGCATAGGCATATTGCCTGTAATCTCAGCACTTTCAACAACAACAATAATAATAATAACGGGCCAGGCATAGGCATATTGCCTGTAATCTCAGCACTTTCAACAACAACAATAATAATAATAACGGGCCAGGCATAGGCATATTGCCTGTAATCTCAGCACTTTCAACAACAACAATAATAATAATAACGGGCCAGGCATAGGCATATTGCCTGTAATCTCAGCACTTTCAACAACAACAATAATAATAATAATGGGCCAGGCATAGGCATATTGCCTGTAATCTCAGCACTTTCAACAACAACAATAATAATAATAATGGGCCAGGCATAGGCATATTGCCTGTAATCTCAGCACTTTCAACAACAACAATAATAATAATAATGGGCCAGGCATAGGCATATTGCCTGTAATCTCAGCACTTTCAACAACAACAATAATAATAATAATGGGCCAGGCATAGGCATATTGCCTGTAATCTCAGCACTTTCAACAACAACAATAATAATAATAATGGGCCAGGCATAGGCATATTGCCTGTAATCTCAGCACTTTCAACAACAACAATAATAATAATAATGGGCCAGGCATAGGCATATTGCCTGTAATCTCAGCACTTTCAACAACAACAACAATAATAATAACGGGCCAGGCATAGGCATATTGCCTGTAATCTCAGCACTTTCAACAACAACAACAATAATAATAATGGGCCAGGCATAGGCATATTGCCTGTAATCTCAGCACTTTCAACAACAACAATAATAATAATAACGGGCCAGGCATAGGCATATTGCCTGTAATCTCAGCACTTTCAACAACAACAATAATAATAATAACGGGCCAGGCATAGGCATATTGCCTGTAATCTCAGCACTTTCAACAACAACAACAATAATAATAATAATGGGCCAGGCATAGGCATATTGCCTGTAATCTCAGCACTTTCAACAACAACAATAATAATAATAATGGGCCAGGCATAGGCATATTGCCTGTAATCTCAGCACTTTCAACAACAACAATAATAATAATAATGGGCCAGGCATAGGCATATTGCCTGTAATCTCAGCACTTTCAACAACAACAATAATAATAATAATGGGCCAGGCATAGGCATATTGCCTGTAATCTCAGCACTTTCAACAACAACAATAATAATAATAACGGGCCAGGCATAGGCATATTGCCTGTAATCTCAGCACTTTCAACAACAACAACAATAATAATAATGGGCCAGGCATAGGCATATTGCCTGTAATCTCAGCACTTTCAACAACAACAATAATAATAATAACGGGCCAGGCATAGGCATATTGCCTGTAATCTCAGCACTTTCAACAACAACAATAATAATAATAACGGGCCAGGCATAGGCATATTGCCTGTAATCTCAGCACTTTCAACAACAACAATAATAATAATAATGGGCCAGGCATAGGCATATTGCCTGTAATCTCAGCACTTTCAACAACAACAATAATAATAATAATGGGCCAGGCATAGGCATATTGCCTGTAATCTCAGCACTTTCAACAACAACAATAATAATAATAATGGGCCAGGCATAGGCATATTGCCTGTAATCTCAGCACTTTCAACAACAACAATAATAATAATAATGGGCCAGGCATAGGCATATTGCCTGTAATCTCAGCACTTTCAACAACAACAATAATAATAATAATGGGCCAGGCATAGGCATATTGCCTGTAATCTCAGCACTTTCAACAACAACAATAATAATAATAATAATGGGCCAGGCATAGGCATATTGCCTGTAATCTCAGCACTTTCAACAACAACAATAATAATAATAATGGGCCAGGCATAGGCATATTGCCTGTAATCTCAGCACTTTCAACAACAACAATAATAATAATAATGGGCCAGGCATAGGCATATTGCCTGTAATCTCAGCACTTTCAACAACAACAATAATAATAATAATGGGCCAGGCATAGGCATATTGCCTGTAATCTCAGCACTTTCAACAACAACAATAATAATAATAATGGGCCAGGCATAGGCATATTGCCTGTAATCTCAGCACTTTCAACAACAACAATAATAATAATAATGGGCCAGGCATAGGCATATTGCCTGTAATCTCAGCACTTTCAACAACAACAATAATAATAATAACGGGCCAGGCATAGGCATATTGCCTGTAATCTCAGCACTTTCAACAACAACAATAATAATAATAATGGGCCAGGCATAGGCATATTGCCTGTAATCTCAGCACTTTCAACAACAACAATAATAATAATAACGGGCCAGGCATAGGCATATTGCCTGTAATCTCAGCACTTTCAACAACAACAATAATAATAATAACGGGCCAGGCATAGGCATATTGCCTGTAATCTCAGCACTTTCAACAACAACAATAATAATAATAACGGGCCAGGCATAGGCATATTGCCTGTAATCTCAGCACTTTCAACAACAACAATAATAATAATAATGGGCCAGGCATAGGCATATTGCCTGTAATCTCAGCACTTTCAACAACAACAATAATAATAATAATGGGCCAGGCATAGGCATATTGCCTGTAATCTCAGCACTTTCAACAACAACAATAATAATAATAATGGGCCAGGCATAGGCATATTGCCTGTAATCTCAGCACTTTCAACAACAACAATAATAATAATAATGGGCCAGGCATAGGCATATTGCCTGTAATCTCAGCACTTTCAACAACAACAATAATAATAATAATGGGCCAGGCATAGGCATATTGCCTGTAATCTCAGCACTTTCAACAACAACAATAATAATAATAATGGGCCAGGCATAGGCATATTGCCTGTAATCTCAGCACTTTCAACAACAACAACAATAATAATAATAATGGGCCAGGCATAGGCATATTGCCTGTAATCTCAGCACTTTCAACAACAACAACAATAATAATAATAATGGGCCAGGCATAGGCATATTGCCTGTAATCTCAGCACTTTCAACAACAACAAACAACAATAATAATAATGGGCCAGGCATAGGCATATTGCCTGTAATCTCAGCACTTTCAACAACAACAACAATAATAATAATAATGGGCCAGGCATAGGCATATTGCCTGTAATCTCAGCACTTTCAACAACAACAACAATAATAATAATAACGGGCCAGGCATAGGCATATTGCCTGTAATCTCAGCACTTTCAACAACAACAACAATAATAATAATAATAATGGGCCAGGCATAGGCATATTGCCTGTAATCTCAGCACTTTCAACAACAACAATAATAATAATAATGGGCCAGGCATAGGCATATTGCCTGTAATCTCAGCACTTTCAACAACAACAACAATAATAATAATAATGGGCCAGGCATAGGCATATTGCCTGTAATCTCAGCACTTTCAACAACAACAACAATAATAATAATAACGGGCCAGGCATAGGCATATTGCCTGTAATCGCAGCACTTTCAACAACAACAATAATAATAATAATGGGCCAGGCATAGGCATATTGCCTGTAATCTCAGCACTTTCAACAACAACAACAATAATAATAATAATGGGCCAGGCATAGGCATATTGCCTGTAATCTCAGCACTTTCAACAACAACAACAATAATAATAATAATGGGCCAGGCATAGGCATATTGCCTGTAATCTCAGCACTTTCAACAACAACAACAACAATAATAATAATGGGCCAGGCATAGGCATATTGCCTGTAATGTCAGCACTTTCAGAAGCCAAGGAGGGAGGATTGCTTGAGGCCAGGAGTTCAAGACCAGCCTAGGCAACATAGGGAGACTCTGTCTCTACAAAATTTTTTTTTTAATTTAAAAATTAACAATGCATGGTGGCATGCACCTGTAGACCTACCTACTAGGGAGGCTAAGGCAGAAGGCTCACCTAAGCCCAGGATTTCAAGGCTGCAGTGAGCCATGATCATGCCACTGCACTCCAGCCTGAGTGACAGAGTGAGACCCTATCTCTAAAAATAAAAACAATAAAAATTTAAAATAAAAAAAAAATGACTGGAAGCATATACATAAGTTAATAATTACTACTAGGTAACAATACTTTGAGTTATAAGTTTTTGTTAATCTATTTCCCAATTTTACTACAATGGATTTCCAGTGTAATAACATCATGTTTTTAAAAAACAATGATGTTCTACTTCAAAAATAAAAATGCCCTCACTGTTAAAAAAGATTTCAGACTTTTTACAAAAGGAAAAATTATAGAACAACCTACAAATTTAGAAGTATTTTTAAAAATTATTATTTTGCTGCTTTGGGAATACGCCATTTTTTAAACCTCCTTCCTCACATTTTATTTAAAAAGGAATTATTCAGACTCATACTAACACAGATTAGGGATTTATTTTCCCCTGCCCAAAAGTGAAAATTACCTGAAGTCCAACTATATATAGAAAAGTTATTATGGCTATTAATTTTTTAATTCAATATAAGATGGTTTCTTCCTTTACGCCTTCTTAAAATGATACATTATTTAGAAAAGTAAAAAATTATCAGTAGTCACCTAGGTCAGCTAAAAATAAGTAACACTGTGTCTCTACATCACTCTCTCCAGCTATGCCTCCATGGCAGCCAATGATTTTTATCACGTATCTTTTACAGCAAGGCAACAGTTTCCATGGAAACCACAGGGCAAATATCCATTATTGCTGCCAAGGACTTTTATAAGCACACATAAGCTGAGATAACCGCTTACTCTCTTTTACTAATATTTTTAAATTAAGCAATGGTTAGCTATTCTGATTCTGGTTTTGTTGTGTTTGTTGTCTCTATGAACAGATCTAGAGATGAGTGAAAAATCAAGGAATTTTTTACCCCTTTAGCAACAAATGAACTCTCAAAATCAGGGGAGCAGGAGAGAAAAGACCCAGAAAGTCACTGAGCCAGCATACATACCAGACAATGTCATCCCATACAACAGGGCAAATCAGAACAGAAATCAGTGACGCACTTAAATACAAAGGATGAAATTCTCTTCCACCAGCACGGCAGAGCACGTAGATTCACTGGGGCCAAGATGCTGATTAATCAGTGAAAAAAAAGATAACCAACAAATCATAAAACTAAAAAAGTAGTCACATACCTCTCTCAACATACTGTTCTCTTTTTCCTTCTGCTCCAAAAGGCTTTCTAGGTGATGAACGTGCATCTCTGCCTCTGCCAGTCGTCTTGTTCTCTCATGGTCTTCCTCGGTAGCCTTGGCAGAAAGTCCTTTGCTCTGCAACATTTCCAGAAGCTTCTTAATGGATTCATCCCGAGCATTTAGGGTCTGCTTTTGAGTCTCAATACGCAGCTCCATTTCCTCCAATGTCTTTCGAAGAAGAAACAGCTCTTTGGCCTGCCGCTCATGCTCAGCATGAAGCCTCTGAAAGTTCTCCTCTGTCAGCTCTGCTACACAAGGTTCGCCAGTCCTGCTGCTACTATCCTGCTGAAACAGCTGATTCAGGTCCCTCTGGATCCGCAATTCATCCTGGAGAGCCTGGATTGTCATCTGCATGTGCTAGAACCAAGACAAAAAGAAAACCCCCAAATCAGCTTTCCTCCTCAAGTAGCAAATCAGAGCAGCCTGCAGGAATCAAAAATAGCTACAAGAAATCTGCATCTAGCAAATTAGGATTCACCTTATTCTGTTTTACAGGTCCTTAAAAAATGATTGAGATAATATGCAAAATGTCAGTAATTTAACTTCAGTTTATTCTCAACAGGAAGCAAAATAAGTATGGCACTCACTCCTCACTTTGCATAAACTACAATAAAGACACTGTTCAAAATTAATAGAAGATATTAACACGGAAACTAAATTTGAGGGAATGTGGGAAATGGGAAATCTACAGGAATATGAATACATTCTTTCAAAAAATTTCATCAAAACAGCCGGGCGTGGTGGCTCACACCTGTGTAATTCCAGCACTTTGGGAGGCCAAGGTGGGCAAATCAGCTGAGGTCAGGAGTTCAAGACCAGTCTGACCAATATGATGAAACCCTGTCTCTACTAAAATACAAAAGTTAGCCGGGCGTGGTGGCGTGTGCCTGTAATCTGAGCTACTCGGGAGGCTGAGACAGGAGAATCGCTTGAACTTGAGAGGTGGGAATTGCAGTGAGCCAAGACTGCACTCATTGCACTCCAGCCTGGGCAACAAGAGTGAAACTCTGTCTTAAAAAAAAAAAAAAAAAAAAAATTTTTTTTTTTCATCAAAAAATACAAAGGATGGCCAGGCGCGGGGGCTCACACCTATAATCCCAGCACTTTGGGAGGCCGAGGCAGGCGGATCACCAGGAGTTCAAGACCAGCCTGGCCAACATGATAAAACCCCATCTCTACTAAAAATACAAAAATTGGCCAGGCACGGTGGTTCACGCCTGTAATCCTAGCACTTTGGGAGGCCGAGTCGGGCACATCACGAGGTCAGGAGTTCAAGACCAGCCTGGCCAACGTGGTAAAACCCCGTCTCCACTAAAAATAGAAAAATTAGCCAGGCATGGTGGCACGAACCTGTAATCCCAGCTACTCAGGAGGCTGAGGCAGAAGAATTGCTTGAACTGGGAGGTGGAGTTTGCAGTAAGCCAAGATCACACCACTGCACTCCAGCCTGGGTGACAGAGCAAGGCTCCGTGTCAAAACAAACAAACAAACAAGCAAAACCGAAGGACAGCGAAATACAAAATGACTTTTAAGTATTATAAACATTAAATAATAAATATTAACATTTAACAAGTAGTTTGTATATGCCAGATTGTACCACACATTTTTTATGTTATTTAATCTTCATTATGACACATGGACTCTTTTTTTATTTTACTGTAGTAAAAACCCTTAACATGACATCTACTTTCCTAACAACTTTTAAGTGTACAATGCATTACTGCTGACTACAGGTACAATGTTATACATCAAATCTGTAGAGTTTATTCATCTCAACCAAAAGTTTATATTCCTGTTGATTAGTAACTCTCCATTTCCCCCTACCCCCGGCAACTACCATTACACACTTTGATTCTGTGAATTTGACTATTTTAGATACCCAACACATGTACTATTATTTAATTTTATAAATGAGGGCACGAGGCTTAGAGAGGTTTAAGCACTTGTCCAAGATCACAGAGTAAGTGATAGAGCTGGCATTCAAAGCAATCCTTGCAGCCCACTAAAACTAGAACCAAGAAAAAAAGAAAACTCCAAATCAGCTTTCCTCCTCTAGTAGCAAAAACAGAGCAGATTGCAGAAATCAAAACTGGTAATACCCAAAGATAATAATATAGCAAAGTTTTTTTAAGTTAGAATATGCAAAGCTTTTTATACAGGGGACGGTAACAACATGGGTGGCTAATTAAATAAAGGTGTTAATGCAGATGAACTACTAAAATGTTTGAGAGGGTAGATCTTTAGCTTCTATCCCTAAAGAAGGTACACGAACCTTTAATCTGAATGGTTATGTAAATTCCAGCACATTATACAATGAATTCCAAAAGGCTGTGACATCAAAAATCTTATTTTTAGGAATGAAGAAGCAACAATAAAAGATCATTCCTTGTATTCAAGGCCTAAGCAGTGTACCATACTGGGAAGAACACGAAACTGTGATGAGAAAACATGAGTTTCAGTTCTGACTCTCACGCTGACTAGTTATGACATTTAGACATGTCACCATCTTTCTGGGTTTCAGATCCCTCATACTTTAAATAAGGGTATAAATACCTGCATTATCCATTGAAAAAATCTTTTTTTTTTTTTGGAAATAAGGTGGCTGCTCTATTAGTTCGTTTTCACGCTGCTGATAAAGACATACCCAAAACTGGAAACAAAAAGAGGTTTAATTGGACTTACAGATCCACGTGGCTAAGGAAGCCTCAGAATCACGGTATGAGGCAAAAGGCACTTGTTTAATTGGACTTACAGTTCCACATGGCTGAGGAAGCCTCAGAATCACGGTATGAGGCAAAAGGCACTTCTTACATGGCGGCAGCAAGAGAAAATCAGGAAGAAGCAAAAGCGGAACCCCCTGATAAACCCATCAGATCTCGTGAGACTTACTCACTATCACGAGAATAGCATGGGAAAGACTGGCCCCCATGATTCAATTACCTCCTCCTATGGCCCTCCCACAACATGTGGGAATTCTGAGAGATACAATTCCAGTTGAGATTTGAATGGAGACACAGCCAAACCATATCACCTGCTAATGATTTTCAGCCTTAAAAAGGAAAGAAATTCTTACACATGCTACAACACAGATGAACCTTCAAGACGTTGTGCTAAGTGAAATAAGCCAATCACAAAAAGACAAACACTATATGTATCCATTGACATGAGGTATCTAGAGCAGTCGAATTGATAAAGAAGGAACTAGAACAGTGGTTGCCAGGACATAGGAGTGGGACAGAACGAGGAGTTATTGTTTAATGGGTATACAGTTTCAGTCTGTCAAGATGAAAAGAGTTCTGGAGATAGATGGGATATACTGAATGCCACTAAACTGTACACTTCGAAATGGTTAAGATGGTAAATTTTATGTTATATATATTTTACCATAATAAAAAAATTGGTTGGAGAGAAGATGTTGGTCATAAAATTCCACTTACGGATATTTTAGGTTAGTTCTCATTTTTCACTATTGTAAGATGCACCTTCACATATGTATCTTTACACATGAATCCACATTTTTCTTGGGAACTCTCAAAGATGGAATTGCTGGATCACAAAGTATGTACAATTGTAATTCTGATACATATTACAAATCATTTCTATATGTATCTTTGTATATCAACTTTTGTCATATTACAAATCATTTCTATCTGTATCTCTGTATATCGACTTTTGTCATATTACAAATCATTTCTATCTGTATCTCTGTATATCGACTTTTGTCATATTACAAATCATTTCTATCTGTATCTCTGTATATCGACTTTTGTCATATTACAAATCATTTCTGTCTATATCTCTGTATATCGACTTTTGTCATATTACAAATCATTTCTATCTGTATCTCTGTATATCGACTTTTGTCATATTACAAATCATTTCTATCTGTATCTCTGTATATCGACTTTTGTCATATTACAAATCATTTCTATCTGTATCTCTGTATATCGACTTTTGTCATATTACAAATCATTTCTATCTGTATCTCTGTATATCGACTTTTGTCATATTACAAATCATTTCTATCTGTATCTCTGTATATCGACTTTTGTCATATTACAAATCATTTCTATCTGTATCTCTGTATATCGACTTTTGTCATATTACAAATCATTTCTATCTGTATCTCTGTATATCGACTTTTGTCATATTACAAATCATTTCTATCTGTATCTCTGTATATCGACTTTTGTCATATTACAAATCATTTCTATCTGTATCTCTGTATATCGACTTGTCGTATTACAAATCATTTCTATCTGTATCTCTGTATATCGACTTTTGTCTTATTACAAATCATTTCTATCTGTATCTCTGTATATCGACTTTTGTCATATTACAAATCATTTCTATCTGTATCTCTGTATATCGACTTGTCATATTACAAATCATTTCTATATGTATCTCTGTATATCGACTTTTGTCATATTACAAATCATTTCTATATGTATCTCTGTATATCGACTTTTGTCATATTACAAATCATTTCTATCTGTATCTCTGTATATCGACTTGTCATATTACAAATCATTTCTATCTGTATCTTTGTATATTGACTTTTGTCATATTACAAATCATTTCTATCTGTATCTTTGTATATCGACTTTTATCATATTACAAATCATTTCTATCTGTATCTTTGTATATCGACTTTTGTCATATTACAAATCATTTCTATATGTATCTTTGTATATCGACTTTTGTCATATTACAAATCATTTCTATCTGTGTCTTTGTATATCAACTTTTGTGACTCCTCTCTCCTTGTTCTTTGCCCATTTTGTTATTGAACATTTTTTCTTAATCCATTTTAAGAGCTCTTCATATTAGGAAAATAACCTTTCACCTGCTGTGTATGTTACAAATATTTTTCCAAGTCTGCCATTTTTCTTTTAACATTGTTTATGATGACTTTTAATAGATATTTTCTTTTTTAATACAAAGACAATGACATTTTCCTTTATCATTTCCGGTTTGGGTATTATGCTTTTAGCAAGCAGTGAGCTTTCAATTCTGGTAGTCTTCAAACACTTGAAAAGCACTGCTATTTCTTTCGAAGAATAAACTCACCAAAAAAAAAAAAATCAGGAATTTAAATTCATGAATATAAATTTTAAAATGCATTTCACTACCAGCATCATCTTTTAAAGATTAACAGTTGCTGGAGTTCAAAAGACCTTCAATAAAAAGATGTATCAAAATGCTAATTCTCTGAAGCCTAGTTTCTTTCCCTTGGAAGTCAAAAAAAATCCTGACACTCCTGAGTGAATATATCCCAAAGGGAAATACCAGAAGTGAAATTCAACAGGGAAGCTGATTTCTAGGTATGACTGTTCCTCCTTTTCTGACCATTCGTCATCAATTCATTCAAGTCAGGAGAAATATATGTTGGCTACAGTTAACAGTTTCACATACGCTTTGGCACATATGGCTAAATGTAGCATGGCAATTACTATTTTGGTAAAGAAAGAAAACATTAACTACTAGTGTGTCTGGTTCTTCAGCTCCGCCTGCACCCATTTTACTATAGTATAAAAATAAAACAATGCTCTGACTTGGTAGCCTAGAAGTCTATACAGCAGTTTTCTCCACTAAAATATAAACCAACATTTCCTCTTTTGGCTACAATCAGGCTAGCTTTATTTTATAAAAATTCCTGCCAACTCCTTTAGAAGAAGGAAAAAAGCAGACTACAAGCAAGGCTACTCTTTCTCCAGCATATTCATACAGAAGATAAAATGGGCATATTCACACATCACAGACATCTATAATGATCAACCAAAAACAGATACATTGAGTTTAAGGAAAGATCGAGTTGTAAGATAATACTAGAATGTCTATTTGGGAAGTCTGTTCCCGACACACTGCAAAATGATCTCACACTCCAAATTTTATAGCAACACTCACTAGTCTACTTCTCACTCTAACACTCAGCTTGATTTTGAAAGGCTGGGAAAGTATTTGTCTAAAATTTACTCCAGGGACTGTACTATTATTACACCAAGCTATATCTCAATGAAATGGTAGGATATTGTGAACAACAATAATGAAAATTCTTAACTATCTGACAGGGCCTATGACTTTTATTACAACAATTAGATATCTGCAAAAACAATGACAGATCACAACTACTATTCATATATTTTAGATAAATATCAGAAGCTCTTCTGAGGCAGAACTTCCAACAAATAAACTGTCATTAGTTTCTTAGAACAAGAGTACACTTTGATCCCGTTTATTCTCATTCCTAAAATAACAGAACTATGTAGTCTAGAGATATTTTTAGAGAAAAAAAATTATGGACACGTGAAATGGTCATGATTACAAACAAAATATATCACAGAGAACTCAGTACACTGTTTATCAAGAAGATCAGAGTCAGAGAAAACACCAGTATTGTACCCTTTTACAAATGTTAAATTAAGAACATTTTTTTCTGAAACATATAAATACATGTATTAAATAAACTTTATTAATGTAACACGCAAAAGAGTTTTAAAGAATTCTTAAGTCAACCAAGTCAAGCTTCCGGTTTGGTTGGGCTATCTGATGTTCCCGTCTGTGCTGCCCAGGGCTGTATGCTTATCCACAGAATAGCACTTCTAAGACTGATCTGCAATTTAATTCTTTGTATTTATCATCAATAAACTTTCTAGGACTTAGGAATGTCATCTTTTTACCCTGTCATAAATTTTTTATGAAAAACTGACAAAAATTAAATGTTGAGAAATTATGTTGAAAGTAAATGGCTACTGTATATTAGCCGCATTGCAAGTATCTGGGAAGTTATACCTCTTCCTTAAAAAAATAATGCAGCCAATTACTCTTATTCTAAAAAAATCACTCATGCCTATAATCCCAGCACTTTGGGAAGCCAAGGCAGGCGGATCACAAGGTCAGGAGTTCAAGATCAGCCTGACCACCATGGTGAAACCCCGTTTCTACCAAAAATACAGGAATTAGCCAGGCATGGTGGTGCGCGCCTGTAAACCCAGCTACTCAGGGGGCTGAGGCAGGAGAATTGCTAGAACCGGGGAGGCAGAGGTTGCAGTGAGCTGAGATCCTGCCACTGCACTCCAGCCTGGGCGACAGAGTGAGACTCCATCTCCAAAAAAAAAAAAAAGAAAAAGAAAAAAAAAATCAGTTCTACACCAACCAATACAAGTAATTCTTAAATCCCAACTGGCCAAAATACAAACCACAGTCCTAATAAAAATGTTAATTATATGCTCTAGGTTTATTCAATATTTGACCTGAAGCAAAAAGAAGCATTTTCAGATAATCAACAGTCAACAAGAATCTTTCATAGTTGTACTATACGAAGCACAGCAAAAGTACAGGATAAAGTTCTTATCCAAAAATAAAGCTCACAAATGGGTAAAACATAAGAGTTATAACCTATTACAAATTTTAAATTAACAACAATATTCAAGAAAGACAAAAGGAACACAGATAAAGCATTTATTTTACATGCAATATATTCAAATGAAGCTTAGAACCTATAAGATCACTATGAGCTAAACTCATAAAACTTTAATATATCTCTATGAAAACAAAGTACAGTTGACCCTTGTACCACACAGGTTTGAACTTTGAGGGTCTGCTGACACATGGATTTTCTTCTGCCTCTGCCAAATCTGAGACAGCAATACCAATCCCTTTTCTTCTTCCTCTTCCTCAGCCTACTCAAAACAAAAATGATGAGGATGAAGATCTTCGTGATGGTCCACTTCTACTTAATGAATAGTAAGTGTATTTTCTCTTCCTTGTGATTTTCTTTTTTTTTCTTTTCCCCCGAGACAGTCTTGCTCTGTTTCCAAGAGATGGAGTGCAATGGAGTGCACTTTTGTTGCCCAGGCTGGAGTGCAATGGCACAATCTCAGCTCACTGCAACCTCCGCCTCCCAGGTTCAAACGATTCTCCTGCCTCTGCCTCCAGAGTAGCAGGGATTACAGGTGAGCACCACCACGCCTGGCTAATGTTTGTATTTTTAGTAGAGACGGGGTTTCACCATATTGGCCGGGATGGTCTTGATCTCTTAACCGTGTGATCCACCAGCCTCGGCCTCCCAAAGAGCTGGGATTACAGGCATGAGGCACCACACCCAGACAATTTTCTTAATAACATTTTCTTTTCTCTAGCTTGCTTTAAAGAATGCAGTATATACATAAAATACATGTTAACATATAACATACAAAATATGTGTTAATCAACTATGTTATCAGGCCCCTGGTCAACAGTAGGCTATTAATAGTTAAATTTGGGGGGTGTCAAAACTTATACACAGATATAACCCCACTTTGTACAAACGTCAACTGAATTCTAATTTCCATAATTTTAAAAGAAGAAACATTTTAAAAGAAGAAACTAATTTAATGAGTCTGAACCACAGAGAATGAGACAGGGGAAGAGCCTCCAAGGTAATTTACTCCTCCTTATTGTTAGTTTAGTATTCTTTGAGTTAATGACAGAGATTTATTTCCTGTACAGCAAAGCACACTGAAAGCCCTCAAATATTAAACCAAATCAAAGTTTTCAGACTAATCTAAACACAAGCAGGAGACTCACCAAAATGCAAAAAAGACCCGCACTAGAACTCAAAGGGATGGATTAAATTGTTTAACATTCTCACCCATTATTTGGAGCTTACTAACCAAAGTTATTTTCCTCTAAAAAAAGATGTCAGAGTCAAGAAAATGAATGAGCAATTACACTAGAATTCTAACAACTACTCTCTGCCTCTGAATCCAGGAAAAATAAGATCATCTATCTTTTTGCTCTGCGAATGCTGTACATAAATCTAAGTAGCAAGATAATGGCTGGAAAACATCAAAATTTGGACAACAGGTTTATTTCAGCAATAAACATAATCCATCTTTATGCTACCACAACCCAGAATAGAAGTTAAAGAATAAATGAAAATGTGGTCGGGTGCAGTGGCTCATGCCTGTAATCCCAGCACTCTGGGAGGCCAAAGTGGGTAGATCACTTGGGGTGGGGGAGTTTGAGACCAGTTTGACCAACATGGTGAAACCCCATCTCTAAAACTACGAACCTTAGCTGGACATGGTGGCATCCTATAATCCCAGCTATTCGGGAGGCTGAGGCAGGAAAATCGCTTGCACCCAGGAGTTGGAGGATGCCAAGATCACGCCACTGCACTCCAGCCTGGGTGACAGAGCAAAGCTCTGTCTCGGAAAAAAAAGAAAAAGGAATAAATGAAAACACTATCAAAATGGGTAAGTCCTACTGTCATAAATGCATTCTATATACACCACATGACGTTTCAGTCAACAAGAGACTGCATGTATCATGGTGGTCCCATAACATTACAATGGAGCTAAAAAATTCCTATCACAGGCCAGGCATGGTGGCTCACACCTGTAATCCCAGCACTTTGGAAGGCAGAGGCGGGCAGATCACGAGGTCAAGAGATCAAGACCATCCTGGCCATCATGGTGAAAGCCGTCTCTACTAAAAATGCAAAAATTAGCTGGGTGTAGTGGTGCGTGCCTGTAATCCCAGCTACTCAGGAGGCTAAGGCAGGAGAATCGCTTATCCGGGAGGCGGAGGTTGCAGTGAGTGGAGATCATGCCACTGCACTCCAGCCTAGCGACACAGCAAGACTCCGTCTCGGGTGGGAGGGTGGGGAATTCCTATCACATTGGTCATAGCCATCATAATGTTGTAACACATGCCTTACCCATGTGTTTGCAATGATGTTAGTGTAAATAAACCTAATGCGTTGACAGTCATATAAAAGTGTGGTACATACAATTATATACAGTACATAATACTTGATAATGATAATAAATGACTATGTTACGGGTTTTTGTTGTTAGCTGTTTTTATTTCCAAGTCCCTTCTGTTTTGAGACAGAGTCTCGCTCTGTCGCCCAGGCTGGAATGCAGTGGTGTGATCTCGGCTCACTGCAACCTCCGCCTTCAGAGTTCAAGCCATTCTCGTGCCTCAGCCTCCCAAGTGGCTGGGATTACAGGTGTACGCCACCACCCCCTAATTTTTGTATTTTTAGTAGAGATGGAGTTTTGCCATGCTGGCCAGGCTGGTCTCAAACTCCTGACCTCAGGTTATCCGCCCACCTTGGTGCTGGATTCAGGTATGAGGCACCTCATCTCCTAGACAGTAGCATTTTATTGGTCTTATATCTTGTGTATATTTTCCACACATTGCTGAAAAAAACATTTTTTTAAATTTTTTTTTGAGAAGGAGTCTTGCTCTGTCGCTAGGCTGGAGTGCAGTGGCGTGATCTCAGCTCACTGCAACCTCCGTCTTCTGGGTTCAAGCCATTCTCCTGCCTCAGCCTCCCAAGTAGCTGGGACTACAAGTGCACAGCCACCATGCCTAGCTAATTTTTGTATTTTTAGTAGAGACGAGGTTTCACCATATTGGCCAGGATGGTCTCGATCTCTTGACCTCATGATCTACCCGCTTCAGCCTCCCAAAGTGCTGGGATTACAGGCATGAGCCACCGCACCTGGCCTGAAAATTTATTTTTAAAGTATTTATTGGCTGGACACAGTGGCTCACGCCTGTAATCCCAGCACTTAGGGAGGGCAAGGCACGCAGATCATGTGAGGTCAGGAGTTAGAGACCAGCATAGCCAACATGGTAAAACCCCATCTCTACTAAAAATACAAAAATTAGCTGGGCATGGTGGTGCATGCCTGTAATCCCAGCTACTAGGGAAGCTGAGGCACGAGAACTGCTTGAACCCAGGAAGCAGAGCTTGCAGTGAGCCGAGATCGCACCACTGCACTCCAGCCAGGGTGACAGTGCGAGACTCTGTCTCAAAAATAAAAGTAAAAATTAAAATTAAAACACAGAAAGGACTTGGAAATAAAAACAACAACAAAAATGATAAAACTTGCATAGAGAAGACCATACATTTTTCTTGAAGCAAAACACTGCAGTATAAACATTTGTACACAAACCCTTAATATTTTCCATGACAATCATCAAATAAGATGCGTCTGAGACTCTTTTGCACATGTGTTTGTAAAGACATTAAGCAGATAAAAGAGCTCCTCAAGAAAATTAATGAAGAAAATTTTTGAGAAATTAATGCAGAGAAAGGCAATCAATGTAGGTAGTAAACATTACAAAAGATTACTTCATGTTTTCGTATTTGAAAGGAAAATAAATTTGCTCTTCCTTCATAAATTTTCCTTCATATTTAAAAGGAAAATAAATTTGCTTCCTTGGTTATCTGCCAATTCTATCACACAAACCCCAATAAATATATTTGTTGGCATTATTTCCAGACAGACATTTAATTCCTGCATGCATACTGCAGAGCTTTCACACACCAAGTTATATTTGCAATTCAAATGCTTAGGTCTATGATCACAAAAGCTTTCATATCACTTCAGCTGACTTTACACTTTTTTGTTTTTTTTTTTGAGACAGAGTCTTGCTCTGCTGCCCAGGCTGGAGTGTAGTGGCGCAATCTTGGCTCATTGCAACCTCCACCTCCCAGGTTCAAGCGATTCTCATACCTCAGCCTCCCAAGTAGCCGAGATTACAGGTGCCCGCCACCAAGCCTAGCTAGTTTTTGTATTTTTAGTAGAGACAGGGTTTCTCCATGTTGGCCAGGCTGGTCTCAAACTCCTGACCTCAGGTGATCTGCCAGCCTCGGCCTCCCAAAGTGCTGGGATTAAAGGTGTGAGCCACTGTGCCCAGCCTCAGACTTTATACTTTTAAGGGAAAGATATTTGGATGGTTATCTTAGGAAGTACTAATGATAAAACTTTAAATTCACAAATTAGACTTCAAAATTTTTAATTTCTGCTTATCAAAAGAGAACATTGTATCATATGGAAAGAGTGATGAGGAAAAATTTTAAAAAGAAAGAGACCACTATAAAAATAAAATTGGCATGCCACATATAACTGTTAAAGGACTTGTATCCAGAATATATAAACTACTTCTACAACTCAATTAAAAAAAAAAAACTTTTTAAAAGTGGGTAGAAGACTTAGATACTTCAAAAAGAAAAATACATTCCTGGGGAAGATGAACGTTCTTCTAAGGACAATAAGCAATTGAACTAACTAACCAATAAGCAAACGAAAAAGTGACTAGTATCTTTAGTAACTGGGGAAATGCAAATCAAAACCACAATAAGATATCACTACACACCCACTAGAATGGCTAAAATTTAGACAATTAACAATACCAAATGCTGGCAAGGATGGAAGCAGCCAGAAGCAACACTGAAAACTGCTCTGGTAGTTTCTCACGAAGTGAAGTATGCACCACCCTAGGACCCAGGAATTCCACCCTTAGGTATCACCCCAAGAGAAATGAAAACATGTACCAATAAACACAACCATATAAAAATGTTTACAGTGGTTTTATCTATAAGAGCCAAAAACTGGAAACAACACAAATGTCCATCAACAGAAGATTGGATAAACTGATAGTACCACATTCACACAATGGAGTGTTACTCAGTATATAAAAGGATAACTATGGATACATGCAACAACATGGATAAATGTAAAAAACAACACACTGAGCAACAAAAGCCAGACACAACAGGGTACAGACTGTATGATTCCATTTAAATGAAGTTCGAGAACACGTAAAATTAAAGTGAAAGGAATCAGAACACTACCTGTGCTGCGGGGCAGGGATGATGCGAACTGGGGAGAGATGCAAGGGAACTTTGTGGGATGATGGAAATGTTCTGTATCTTGACAGAATTGTGGATTACACGGGTGTTGGCATTTGTCAAAACTCATGGAAACAAGATACTTAAGGTGTGTGCATTTCACTGTATGGAAACTATATCTCAACCAAAATATGTTTTGAAAAGAAGTAAAAGGTCTAAGGTTTAAAAAGGGAAAATAAATAAATATTCAAGAGAATCTCTTAACAAGTAGGAATGACTTGGATTAGAAGAAGGAAGAGTAGACCAGGCACAGTGGCTCACACCTATAATCCCAGCACTTTGAGAAGCCGAGGAGGAAGGACTGCTTGAGCCCAGGAGTTCAAGACCAGCCTGGGCAACACAGACACTGTCTCTACAAAAAAATTAAAAAAATTAGCTGGGCACAGTGGCATGCATCTATAGTCCCAGATACTCAGGAGGTTTCCCTGAGCCCAGGAGTCTGAGGCTGCAGTGAACCATGATCATGCCACTATACTCCAGCCTGGGCGGCAGAGTGAGACCCTGCCTCCAAAAAAAAAAGAAAAGAAAAAAAGAAAGTAAGAAAAAAAGAAGGGATGATAATTTAAATGATTTTAAAGAACACTTCCAGTTCTGACATGCTTTGTAGCATACTCTTATTGCCTAACTCAATGTAACCTTACATTCTTAAGGTAAAACAGAAGGTTTAAAAGCTGAAGTTTGAGGTTATAAAGACACATTCAAACATACAACAAAGTAAGAAAACCACTACCAATAATTTGCCTTATTTGCTTCAGAGCTCTCTCTCTCTCTCTCACTGTTGCTTATTTAACAATTCACATAAATGATGTCATTTGCACAAGGTTATCTCTGCAACTTCCTTTTGTTACTTAACATAATATGCTTCAGATTTATCCACATCGATACATGTAGCTCGATTTCATTCATTTTATGAACTTTATAATATGGGTTCACAATTCTTTTTCCAAAAATCTAAAATCCAAAAAGCTCTTAAGTTTTCCCATAACCTAATTAAAAAATGTAATTAACCCAAATAGTATGAAGCCATTTAAAATCTATTTATCCCACTTAATATGAATATTCATAAATTTTGCTACAGAAAAATTAGTATGTTTGATTATGAGGTGTTTCCCAAATCCCAATGGGAGTGTTATACAATAAATGGTATACATACCGAATTACCTTTAAAGTTTAAAAATTTCTAAATTCCAAAATACATCTGCCCTAAGTATTCTGGAGATAAGGATTGTTTACTTGAATTCCACTATACGAATAATATCAATGTATCCATTCACTTACTGAGGAACAGTTAAGTATTTTTGTACTTATTCACTATTATAATAAATACACCTCCATCTATCTAGATCCTATCTAGATCACCATTATAATAAATTACACCTCCATCTATATAGATCCTTGAGCACATGGGTAAAAGTTTCTCTCAAGAAGACACAGAAATAGAACCGCTGGGTAGCAGAGTGTGCCTCCAACTTTACCAGTCATTTAAACTTGCTACTTTTCCATTTTATATACAGCTAAGTACACCATGCAGATGATAAAAGGAGTCAGATATCCAGCCTGGAATGCTTCTATCTAAGGAACCTTGATATCTAATCATATAGCACTAACTTTTGGTATAAATGATCAAACTGCTATTTCATAAAAACAAAACAAAAAAACCCCACAAATGATTGTGCATTCAAGTCCATCAATAAGGAATAGAGGTACAGCATTTTCAAAGAAAGCTGTGAATTACAAAGCTGTCTTAGCAGAACCCTCACTTCATTCTGAGACAGGAGAAATATTTTTAAAATTACATCTATGGAATATTAAATAAATCTACCTCTCAATATAAGACCTTATGTTTCTCCATTTAAACAAACAACCATTCGCCAAAAAAGAAATAACCTTTTGTGTCTTAATGTGCCACTTACTGCCATTTTCAAGACAGTTTAGCTTACTTAAGAAGGTATACATAAAGACACCATCTTCACGCTCTACGTATGCAGAGACTATGCAATGCTCCAATGAGAACACAGTGTAAGAAGGCGAAAGTTCCCTGTTGAAAAAAAATTAGTCTGCTAATTGGATCATTCTTAGACAAAAGAACCAAATTGATAAGCAATCGGGCATAAGAGGAGAAATCAATAAATTTACCTTGCTAGTATATTTTGAGGTTTTGTTCACTTAAAAAACAAAATTATCAATAAAATCAGAGCTTCAAGGGTATGAAATGCAATTAATTTTCATTTTTTCAAGGGCTTTTAACATCATTTTACTGTTAGAGGGATAAAAATTATTCACAAAAAAATGCTAAGCATCAGTAAAGAATCAGGTATCCCTGAGTGACTACTTTTTTTTTTAATTCCTAAAGGGAAAAGTAATTATTTTTGTATGTAATAAATAAGAAAGGGCCAGAAGAGAAACTTGATTCTTGTGTCTTTTAAGCCTTCAGGTTCCTTATCTCCAAGATAATTTCATACGGATCTTTGAGATCAAAATTTTGGCACCTTAGTGTACAATTACAGTATTTGGCATTTTGTAGGGATTCTCAGGTAAAGATGAAAAACTTGAACATCTCTCTCCAAAACTTAGAGTCTTAATTAAGATCTCAGCATCGCCGGGCGCGGTGGCTCACGCCTGTAATCCCAGTACTTTGGGAGGCCGAGGTGGGCAGATCACAAAGTCAGGAGTTCGAGACCAGCCTGGCCAAGATGGAGAAAACCCATCTCTACTAAAAATACAAAAATTAGCTGGGCTTGGTGGTGGGCGCCTATAGTCCCAGCTACTTGGGAGGCTGAGGCAGGAGAATCACTTGAACTCGGGAGGTGGATGCTGCAGTGAGCTGAGATCGCGCCACTGCACTCCAGCCTGGGCGACAGAGCGACTCTGTCTCAGAAGGAAAAAAAAAAAAAAAAAAAGCAGTGGCTAAAATGAAATACAGTAAAATTGGCAAACTACACTGGACACACACACAGTTTTGTTCTAAATATATTTTTTACAATATAAATTAGCTCATACATGATCATGATAAATAGAGAACTATCATTATAACAAAGCTGTGCTGATTCATATGTACCTTTTCCTAGGCAAGAGAACTACAAAGACAGGCAGAATTGCAGCCTTCAGCAGGAAAGGAAAATGCCCTCTGCTTGGCTGCTGAATAAATAGTGATCCTTTCAGCTCTATTTTGAGAAAACTAAAACAGAGCACCTGTATCCAGGGCTCCCTTCCTACAGGGGCACACCCCTGAGCACTCATGGCCCTCTGCTCAAGACAGGCTGCACTTTTTCCTGCGCTCAGAGATCCACTTCCATCAGCAATTTCTCAGCACTGTAAGCAAGCATTTCTACTAAATTACTTCGGTGAGTTTTGAATATATGTTGAAGCATTCTCTGGCTACTATCACCTGGCATCCTAGTGCTATCCAAGTAATCTCCTGAGGTACCATTTATTAACATTACTTCTGTTTGTGTTATGATTACAAAGTTACATATATTTAGAATACTCTTCCCCAAACCCTAACTTTCCAATAGTAAAATTTTATAGAACCTGATGCTTTTCATCGGATAGCAGAAACACTGGCATTTTACACTAAAAACTTTTCAAACTGGCTTGTTAAAAAATGAGTTGTAAAAACAATTTAGTGGTTGCCAATCTTTTTTCATTAAAAGAAAATAAAACTTAAAACATCTAACATCGTCCATAGAGCAAGTATTATATCATAAAACTTATGTTTTGGCCGGGCACAGAGGCTCACACCTGTAATTCCAACACTTTGGGAGGTGGAGGCAGGCAGATTGCTTGAGCCCAAGAGTTCGAGACCAGTCTGCGCAACATGGCAAAACCCCGTCTCTATAAAAAATACAAAAACTAGCTGGGTGTGGTGGCACATGCCTATAGTTCCATATTTTCAACTACAAAACTTAAAACTGAAAGATAAAATACCAAACTCAAATAAACATAAGTTCGTAATAAGATCCTTCTTGCTAATTTTTTTTTTTTTTTTTTGAGACAGAGTCTCGCTCTGTTGCCCAGGCTGGACTACAATGGCGCAATCTCAGCTCACTGCAACTTCCACCTCCCAGCGTCAAGCAATTCTCCTGCCTCAGCCTCCTGAATAGTTGGGATTACAGGCACCTACCACCACACCCGGATAATTTTTCTATTTTTAGTAGAGATGAGGTTTCACCATGTTGGCCAGGCTGGTCTCAAACTCCTGACCTCACGTGATCCACCTGCCTCAGTCTCCCAAAGTGCTGGGATTACAGGCGTGAGCCACCGCACCCAGCCTCTAGGTGATAATTTTCAAAGTATCAAACTCATTCAACAAATCTGTGTTTATGACTTAAGACGCTCTCAACATAGCCAGAGCAACATAAGTACCATGGGTGCCCCCTACCGTCCAGTCCCTGATTAAATTTCAAGGGCTCACTTGATTTGATAAACAAGGTGTAAAGCAGTTTAAAGCCATTATTTTAAACTACTAATATAGTTCTTTGTTCTTCCTAATCTATCTTGCAATGCTGACATAAGGCTTAGAATCAATATATGTGAAGGCTCCAGCTCCCGGTAAATCCTCAACACAGGGCAATTATATTAATCGCCATAGCGAATATTTGTTTTAATTTATGACTGTTCATAAAACTTTTAAAAAATAATGTATTGAGGTGTAGTTCATATAACATAAAATTAACCATTTTAAAGTGAACAATTCAGTAACATTTAGTACGTTCACAGTGTTCCGCAATGACTGCCTCTACCTAGTTCCATAATATTTCCATCACTCCAAAGTTAAAACTCCTTACCCAGCAGTTTCTTCCCATTCCTCATTCTTCCCAGCCTCTGGCAACCACCAATTAGCATTCTACATCTGTAGATTTATCTACAAAATATATTACATATACACGGAACCATACAATAAGTGATCTTTTGTATCTGGCTCCTTTCAGTCAGGATAAAGTTTTGGAGGTATATCCACACTGCAGCATGTATCAGAACTTCATTCCTTTTCATGGCTGAATACTACTCTATTGTACGGCCAAAGCACGTTATCCAGCCAATACTGTAGATATACCTGCAGGAAAAAGTATTTCTGCACAAAAGCTGCTCCATAAAATTGGAAGGAGCAGCTGCTGCACCAGATGCACAGATGCCAAAGTAGACACAAGAAACATAAAAAAGCAAGGGAAATACAACACCTCAAAAGAAACTCAATTAATTCTCTAGGAAGAAATCCGTCCCCCCCCGCCCCAAAAAAAGAAATCTCTGAAATGCCTGAAAAAAATGAAAAATAATGATCTTAAGGAAACTCAGCAATATACAAACACACACACACACACACACACACACACACACACACACACAAACGGTACAAAGAAATAGGAAAACAATTCATCAGTGAAAAATTCAACAAGGAGATATATATCAAACAAACAAACAAATTGTGAAATTAAAGAATTCAATGAGTGAAATAAAAAATAGAATAGACTACATCAAGCGGATTTTCTGAACTTGAAGACAGGTCTTTTGCAAAATCTCAGACAGGGCTGGGCGCGGTGGCTCACACCTGTAATCCCAGCACTTTGGGAGGCCGAGGTGAGCAGATTACCTGAGGTCAGGAGTTTGAGACCAGCCTGGCCATCATGGTGAAACCCTCCCTCTACTAAAAATACAAAAATTAGTTGGGTGTGATGGTGCACACCTGTAATCCCAGCTACTCAGGAGGCTGAGGCAGCAGAATCACTTGAACCCAGGAGGCGGAGGTTGCAGTAAGCCAAGATCGTGCCACTGCACTCCAGCCTGGGCAACAGAGCGAGACTCTGCCTCAAAAAAAGAAAAAGAAAAAAAAAGAAAAAACTCAGAAGAAAAAGAAGAGAGGATAAAAAAGAATAAAGCCCACATGGCATATGGGACACCATTAAGTGAACAACTACTTGCACTTTGGGAATTTCAGAAGAGATGGTAAATGGCATAGACAACCTGTTTAATGAAATAATAGCGGAAAACTTCCGAAGTCTCAGCAGAGATACAGGCATATATCCCTCGAATCTTTGGTATTCACAGATCCCAAAACATATTCAGCCCAAAGAAAGTCCTCTCTAAGGTACATTATTGCCAAGTTGTCAAAAGTAAATGATAAAAACAGAATTCTACACTGAACACGGTGGCTAACTCCTGCAATCCCAATGCTTTGGGAGGCCAGGCGGGAGGATTCTTTGAGGCCAGGAGTTTGACACAAGCCTGGGCAACATAGCAAGACCCTATCTATACAAAAAATGTAAAAAGTAGCCAGGGATGGCCAATCTTTTAGCTGTAGTCCTAGCTATTCAAGAAGCTGAGGCAAGATCACTTGAACACAGGAGTTCAAGGCTGCAGTGAGCTATGACTGAACCATCACACACCAGCCTGGGCAATGGAGCAAGACCCTATCTCTAAAAATAATAATAATCACAGTAATAAAAAAGAATATTCTGAAAACAGCAAGAGAATACTCAGGAGGCTGAGTGGGTAGGATTGCTTGAGGCCAAGAGTTGGAGGGCTGTCGTGAGACATGATTGTGCCTGTGACTAGCCACTGCAATCCAGCCTGGGAAACAGAATAATGTCTCTCAAAAAAAAAAAAAAAGTTTTTTAAACAGCAAGAGAAAATCCTCAAGTCACATGTATGGGAATCTCCATCAGACTAATGGCAGATTTCTCAGCAGAAACTTTACAAGTCAGGAGAGAATGAAATGATATATTCAAACTGCTGAATGAAGGGGGTGGGGAGCAAAAAAATTGTTAGCCAAGAATACTATACCCAGCAAAGCTATCTTTCAGAAATGAAGGAGAAATAAAGTCTTTCACAGACAAATGAAAACTGAAAAAATTCACCACTAAACCAGCCATACAAAATGCTGAAGAGAGTCTTACATCTGGAAGGGAAAGAATAATATGTATCATCACGAAAACACATAAAAGTATAAAATTCACTGGCAAAGCAAATATACAAATGAGAAAGAGAAACTAGTCAAATGTTATCACTACAGAATACCACCAAACAGCAAGGATAAACAATGAGAGGAAAAAAGGAACATAGGATATACAAAGCAATCAGAAAACAACAAAATGACAGGAGTAAGCCTTCACATATCAAGAACAATCTTGAATGTACATGGTTTAAATTCCCCAATTAAAAGATATAGGCTGAATGAGTGGATTTTTTTTTAAAAAAAGACTCAACTATATGCTGTCTACAAGAAACTCACTTCACATGTAAAAACACACATAGAAAATGAAGGAATAAGCCAGGTGCGGTGGCTCACACCTGTAATCCCAGCACTTTGGGAGGCCAAGGCAGGTAGATCACCTGAAGTCAGCAGTTCGAGACCAGCCTAGCCAAAATGGTGAAAACCCCGTCTCTACTAAAAATACAAAAATTAGCCAGGCGTGGTGGCACATGCCTGTAATCCCAGATACCCAGGAGGCTGAGGCAGGGGCATCACTGGAACCCAGGAGGTGGAGGATGCAGTGAAGCAAGATCATGCCACCACACTACAGCCTGGGCGACAGAGCAATATTCCATCTCAAAAACTAAATAAATAAATACATACATACATACATGCAAAAAATCAGCCAGGCGTGGTGGCACATGCTTGTAATCCCCAGCTACTTGGGAGGCTAAGGCAGGAGAACTGCTTGAACCCGGGAGGCAGAGATTGCAGTGAGCCAAGATCATGCTACTACAGTCACTCCAGCCTGGGCAACAAGGGTGAAACTCCGTCTCAAAAAAAAAGAAAATGAAGGAATGGAAAAAGATACTCCACATAAATGGAAACCAGACGCATGAAGGAGTAGCTATATTTATATCAAACAAAATAGACTTTCAAGTCAAAAAACATAAAAAGGGACATTATATAATGATAAAGGGATCAATTCAGCAAAAGGACGTAACAACTATAAACACATATGCACCTAACACCAAAGCACCCAGCTATAAAGCAAATATTATTAGAGCTAGAGACATAGATCCCAATATAAGAATAATTGCGGACTTCACCACCCCACTTTCACCACTGAACAGATCATCTAGACAGAAAATCAACAAAGAAACACTGGTCTTCAGTGGAACTATGGACCAAATGGAACTAACAGGCATTCATAGAACATTCCATGCAACAGCTACAGAATATACATTCTCCTCATCAGCACATGGAACATTCTCTAGGATAAACCATATGTTAGGCCACGAAACAAGTCTCAACAAATTTTGTAAAACTAAAATCATATCAAGTATCTTCCCAGACCACAGTGGGATAAAACTAGACATCAAAAACAAGAACTTTGGAAACTAAACACCTGAAAAACCACTGGGTCTATGGAGAAATTTAAAAGGAATTCAAAAGATTTGTTGGAAAAAAAACCGAAATAGAAACACAACATAATGACAAGGTGTGGTGGCTCATGCCTGAAATCCCAGCACTTTGGGAGACTGAGGCACGCAGATGGCTTGAGCTCAGGAGTTCGACACCAGCCTGGGCAACATGGCAAAACCCCGTCTTCATTTTCAAAAAAAGAAAAGAAAAGGCCGGGCGCATTGGCTCACACCTGTAATCCCAGCACTTCGGGGGCCGAGGCGGGCAGATCACGAGGTCTGGAGATCAAGACCATCCTGGCTAACACGGTGAAACCCTGTCTCTACTAAAAATATAAAAAATTAGCCAGGCGTGCTGGTGGGTGCCTGTAGTCCCAGCTACTAGGGAGGCTGAGGTGGGAGTGAACCCGGGAGGCAGAGCTTGCAGTGAGCCGAGATCATGCCACTGCACTCCAGCCTGGGTGACAGAGCAAGACTCCGTCTCAAAAAAAAAAAAAAAAAAAGAAGAAAAGAAGAAAAAAAAACACAACATACCAAAACCTCTGGGAAACAGCAAAAGCAGTACAAAGAGGGGGGTTTACAGCAATAAATACTTATATCAAAAAAGAAGACAGATTTTAAATAAACAACCTAGCAATGCATCTCAAGGAACCTGAAAGGCAAGAACAAACCAAACTCAAAATTAGTGTAAGAAATAAAGACCAGAGCAGAAATAAGCAAAATAGAAACCAGAGAGAGAGAAAGAGAAAGCAAGAGATGGAGATATGGAGATATGGGGGGGGAGAGAGAGATTCAATTAGATTAGATAATTAGAGAGAGACACATATAAAACATCAATGAAACAAGAACTTGTTTTGGGGATTGTTCTTGTTGTTGTTGCTGCTGTTTCTGAGACAGGGTCTTGCTCTGTCACCCCGGCTGGAGTGCAGTGGTGCAATCTCAACTCACTGCAACCTATGCCTCCCAGGTTCAAGTGATTCTCATGCCTCAGCCTCCCAAGTAACTGTGATTACTGGCATACACCACCACGCCCAGCAACTTTTTTTTTTTTTTTTTTATAGTAGAGACAGGGTTTCACCATCTTGCCCAGGCTGATCTCGAACTCCTGGGCTCAAGTGATCTGCGGACTCAGCCTACCAGTGTGCTGGGATTACAGGCATGGCCCACTACGCCCAGCCAGAAACTTGGTTTTTTGAAAAGATAAGCAAAATCCACAAACCATTAGCTAGACTAAGAAGAGAGAAGACTCAAACAAAATCTGAAATGAAAAAGGAAACCACAGAAATACAAAGAATCATTAGACGCCATTATGAACAACTATACACCAACAAATTGGAAAACCTAGAAGGAATGGATAAATTCCTGGATATATAGAACTTGCCAAGATCGGACCAGGAAGAAGCAGTGATATAGTGTACTATACCCAAATCTCAACATGAATTGTATCTCCAAGAATTCCCACATGTGGCCAGGCGTGGTGGCTCACGCCTGTAATCCCAGCACTTTGGGGGGCCCGAGGCAGGTGGATCACGCGGTCAGGAGATCGAGATCATCCTGGCTAACACGGTGAAACCTCGTTCTACTAAAAATGCAAAAAAAATTAGCCAGGCGTGGTGGTGGGCACCTGTAGTCCCAGCTACTCAGGAGGCTGAGGCAGGAGAATGGCGTGAACCCAGGAGGCAGAGCTTGCAGTGAGCCGAGATCGCACCACTGCACTCCAGCCTGGGCAACAAAGCGAGACTCCGTCTCAAAAAAAAAAAAAAAAAAATTTCCCACGTTATGTGAAGGACCCAAGGGAAGGTAACTGAATCATGGGGCCAGTCTTTCCCATGCTATTCTTGTGATAGTGAATAAGTCTCATGAGATCTGATGGGTTTATCAGGGGTTTCCGCTTTTGCTTCTTCCTCATTTTTCTCTTGCCGCCTCAATGTAAGAAGTGCCTTTTCATATACACCATGGAATACTATGCAGCCGTAAAAAATGATGAGTTCATGTCCTTTGTAGGGACATGGATGCAACTGGAAACCATCATTCTCAGTAAACTATCACAAGGACAAAAAACCAAACACCGCATGTTCTCACTCATAGATGGGAATTGAACAATGAGAACACATGGACACAGGAAGGGGAACATCACACTCTGGGGACTGTTGTGGGGTGGGGGAAGGGGGGAGGGTTAGCATTAGGAGATATACCTAATGCTAAATGACGAGTTAATGGGTGCAGCACACCAGCATGGCACATGTATACATATGTAACTAACCTGCACATTGTGCACATGTACCCTAAAACTTAAAGTATAATAGTAAAAAAAAAAGAAGTGGCCTTTGCCTCCCACCATGATTCTGAGGCCTCCCCAGCCATGTGGAACTATAAGTCCAATTAAACCTCTTTTTCTCTCCAGTCTCAGTATGTCTTCATCAGCCAGCATGAAAACAGACTAATACAAGTAGTAAACCTGAACAGAACAACACCAAGTAACAAGACTGAATCAATTTTAATAAAAAGTCTCTCAACAAAGGAAACCCTGGATCAGATAGCTTTAATGCTAAATTCTACAAAACTTTTAAAGAACTAACACCAATTCTTCTCAAACTATTCCCAAAAGCTGAAGAGGGGTAATTCTTTGTAACTTACTCTATAGGGCCAGCCAGCATTACCTTGATGCGAAAACCAGACAAGGGTACAGAAACAACAAAAACTATGGTCAATATCCCTGATGAACACAGATGCAAAAATCCTCAACAACATACTAGCAAACAAAATCCAACAGCACATTCAAAAGACAATACACCAAGACAAAGTGGGATTTATCCCAGGGATGCAAGGATGGTTCAACATACACAAAACGATAAATGTAATATAGCACATCAACAGCATGAATGACAAAATCCATATGATTATCTCAATAGATGCAGAAAAAAACATTGGATAAAATTCAACATACCTTCCTGATAAAAACTCTCAATAAACTAGGCAATAAAGGAACATACCTCAACATAATCAAGGCCACATATGACAAAGTGACAGCTAACATCACACTTAATAGGGAAAAGCTGAATGCATTTCCTCTAAGAACTAGAACCAGACAAGTATGCCAACTTTTCACCATTCTTACTCAACATAGTACTGGAAGTCCCAGCCAGAGCACTTAGGCTAGAGAAAAAAATAAAGGGCATCCAGATTGCAAAAGAGGCAGTCAAATGTCCCTGTTTGCAGACAACATGTTCTTATATCTAGAAAAACCTAAAGACTCCATCAAAACAATCTTAGAACTTATAAACAAATTCACTAAAGTTGCAGGATAAAAAATCAACATATAAAAATCAGTAGCATTTCCATACACCAATAACAAACCAGCTAAAAAAGTAACCAAGAATGCAATCCCATTTACAATAAGCTACAACAACAAACTCTAAGAATAAATTGAACCAAGAAGGTGAAAGAGCTCTACAATGAAAATTACAAAATACTGATAAAAGAAATTGAAGAGGACACAAAAAAAATTGGAAAGACATCCCATGTTCATGGATAGGAAGAATGCTGTTAAAATGACCACTGTCATCCCAGCTACATGGGAGGCTGATGTGGGAGAATCATTTGAGCCCAAGAGTTTGAGGTTTCAGTGAGCTATGATCATACTACTACACTGTAGCTGGGATGAGAGAGCAAGACCTCGTCTCTTAAAAAAAAAAAAAAAAAACATACTTTCCAAAGCAAACTATAGATTCAATGCAATCCATATCAAAATATCAATGATATTCTTCAGAGAAATAAAAAAACAATTCTCAAGTTTATATGGAACCAGAAAGACCCTGAATAGCCAAAGCAATAATGAACAAAAAAGAACAAAGCAGAAGACATCACACTATGTGACTTCAAAATACACTACAAAGCTATAGTAACCAAAACAGCATGGTGCTGGTATAAAAACAGACACATAGACCAATAGGACAGAACAGAGAACCTAGAAATAAATCCACATATTTACAGCCAACTGATTTTCAACAAAAGAGCCAAAACCATACTTTGGGAAAAGGACGCCCTCTTCAATAGATAGTACTGGGAAAACTGGATATCCACATGCAGAAAAATTAAATTAGACCCCTACCTTTTACCAAACGCAATAGTCAACTCAAAACTGATTAAAGACTTAAATGTAAGACCTGAAACTATTCATATAAAACTATTAGAAAAAAAAATGTAGGGGAAACACTTGAGGACACTGGTCTAGGAAAAGACTTTCTTGGTAAGGTTTCAAAAGCACTGGTGAGAAAACCAAAATAGACAAATGGGACTATAACAAACTTAAAAAGCTTCTGCACAGCAAAGGAAACAATCAACAGAGTGAAGAGACAATCTGCAGAATGAGAGAAAACATCTGCAAACTATGCATCCGAGAAGGGACTAATATCCAGAATATAAAATGAATTCAAACAACTCAACAGCAAAAACAAACAAAAAAACAAAAACAAAACAAAACAAAAAAAACCTAATCTGATTTTAAAATGGGCAAAGGATCTAAATAGTCTAGATCTAAGGATCTAAATAATCTAATAATCCTACACACCTGAGAAAAATCACTAAAAAAAAATTTTAGGCCGGGTGCGGTGGCTCACGCTTGTAATCCCAGTACTTTGGGAGGCCGAGGCAGGTGGATCACGAGGTCAGAATATCGAGAGCATCCTGGCAAATATGGTGAAACCCCACCTCTACTAAAAATACCAAAATTAGCTGGGCGTGGTGGCAAGTGCCTGTAATCCCAGCTACTAAGGAGGCTGAGGCAGGGGAATCGCTTGAACCCGGGAAGCAGAGGTTGCAGTGAGCCGAAATCAAGCCACTGCACTTCAGCCTGGCAACGTAGCAAGACTCCACCTCAAGGAAAAAAAAAAAAAAAAAAAAAAAAACCATGCGCATCCTTCAAAACAGTTTTGCTATGCTGATATTCACCTTTTTAAAAAAAAAGTACAATAAAAGTCATAATTAATGCTTACTGCAGGCCAGCCCCTGTTCTATTTTTATTTTCATTTATATTTTAAACAGACAGTTCTCAAAAGAAGATATACAGGCTGGGCGCAGTGGCTCATGCCTGTAAGCCCAGCGCTTTCCAGGAGGCCAAGGAAGATGGACTGCTTGAGGCCAGGAGTTTGAGACCACCCTGGCCAACAGGGCGAAACCCAGTCTCTACTAAAAACACAAAAATTAGCTAGGTGTGGTGATGTACGCCTGTAATCCCAGCTACTCAGGAGGCTGAGGCAGGAGAATCACTTGAGCCCTGGAGGCGGTGGTTGCAGTGAGCCGAGAGATCGCGCTGACAAAGTGAGAGACTGTCTCAAAAAAAACAAAACAAACAAACAAAAAAACACTAAAAATAAAACAAGCATATGATCCATGGTATTTCTGCCATGTTTGCCATGTTTCCTATGCTAAATTATGAACAGCTTCAAGATAAAATAACATCACCTATGTAGACCATTCAATATCATTCAAATATTTACTAATTTCCTGGCAACAAATTCTAGATTTTGTTGTATCATTGATACAGGAGGTAGAAAGAAATTATTTACGCAGATAATAAGGGCAATAGAGTCCTCGGCGTAATTTCCCCTTTTAACAAAAAGCAGCCCCAAAAGAATTTCTTTTCTAACAAAGAGCAGCCTGAAAAATCATGCTGCAAACATAAAAAAGCAAGCTGGAAGCTTGCATGGGTGAATGTCAGCAGCTATGCTAACAGAAAACGGCTACCTGGGGGCCAGGTATGTTCAACATGGAGGCTTCACCTTCCCTTTTCTTTGTCACCACATGTATAGTAAAGAAACAGACACTGCGCTGGGCAGACAGAGAAGCCATCTGCATAATAAAAGATTAGGGTGGGGGTGGCCAGATTTTTGCACCCTAGGCAAATGGAACACCTAGCCCTAACCAGTTTTCCAGAATGGCACACCTGGTCCAACCAATCTTTCATGCCCTATGTAAATCATGACACCACCTCCTCAAGCTTATCTATAAAACCCCTTGCATTCCACCGCAGAACCAGGACCAGCCTCTCCAGGACCCATCTCTGTCGCAGAGAGCTCTTCTCTTTCTTTTGCCTATTAAACTTCCACTCTGAACCTCACTCTTTGTGTGTCTGCGTCCTAGTTTTCCATGGCCGTGAGACAACAAATCTTGGGTATCAATGACAGACAACGACACTTCTTCATAAGGATTCATATAAATATTCAGACTAAATCTTATTCTTCATTATCTTCTACTTTATTACACTAGAAACGTGTTCATTACGGGGGAAAAAGGAATTACAGATAAAAAGAAAAATTAATAATCCTATGAATCTGAGAAAAATCACAAAAAAAATTTTATGGATATCCTTTAAAACAGTTTTTCTCTGCTGACATTCACCTTTTTTTTAAAAAAAAAAAAAGGCTACAATAAAAGTAACAATTAATGTTTTCCACAGGCCAGACCATGTTCTATTTTTATTTTTATTTTCATTTATTTTATTTTATTTTTTAGAGACAGGGGTCTCATTATGTTGCCCAGGCTGGTCTCAAATTCCTGGGCTCAAGCAATTCTCCCGCCATGGGCCTCCCAAAGTGCTGGGATTACAGACATGAGCCACCCACGCCCAGCCAGCTCCTTTTCTGAATGCTTTATGCATTCTAACTCATTTAAAGTTTACATCTCACCCATGATGTACCATTATTTTCATTTTACAAAAAAGGAAACAAATAATAAAATCTACCTGTCCCTAGGTCAGTTGAAGTGGCAGAACCATCCAGCAGTCTGACTCCGTAGCTTGCGCTTTTTACACTATGCTGCTCCAAAGATTGATCATTGTATACATACATATATACACTATATATACATGTATTTCCCCTAAAATATTATGAGCATCTTCCTATTCCAAACATTTTTTTAAATGCTGAGATTGTGGGAAATTCATTACATAATTTAAGATATACTAATTGTGTAAGCCTATATATCAAATACCACATTTAAAGAAATCCTTAACAGGCCAAGTATGGTGGTTCACGCCTGTAATCCCAGCACCTTGGGAGGCTGAGGTGGGCAGATCATTTGAGGTCAGGAGTTCGAGACCAGCCTGGGCAACATGGCAAAACCCCATCTCTACTAAAAATACAAAAATTAGCCGGGTGTAGTGGCACATGACTGTAGTCCCAGCTACTGGGGAGGCTGAGGCACAAGAATTGCTTGAAGCCGGGAAGCAGAGGTTGCAGTGAACAGAGATCGCGCCACTGCACTCCAGCCTGGGTGATAGAGTGAGACTCTGTCAAAGAAAAGAAAGGAAAGAAGAAAGAAAAAGGAAAGAAAAAAGGAAAGGAAAGGAAATCCTTAACATTAAACATCTCTCTTACATGAATAAGTTGCACCTTAATGAGGAAACAGTTCATTCTTTTTTTGTTTTGTTTTGTTTTGTTTTAGGTAGGGGTCTCCTGTCACCAAGGCTGGAGTGTAGAGGCACTGCTCACAGCAGCCTGGAACTTCTAGCTTAAGTGATTTTACTCTTAAGAATAATTCCATTCTTGAAGCTAATGTGGGCCAGAATACTCTAGAATTCTGCTCCTCCAGAAATTCATGTTTATAAAATCACACACGGTATACATATTTCATGTTAACATTATTCTAAACTCAAATGCATATTTCTCTTTCTTTCTACCCTGCCCCCTTTTGAAAAAAATCTCTCAAAGTACACAGCATACTACTGGGCATTCACAGTAGGCACTCAATAAATATGTATTGACAGACTGATTAGACAATGCTTTGTTAAAGCAGAGAATGTGTAGAAACAAAGGTCACCTTGTGCGAGTGAATGCAGCCAGACCTCCCTTCTCTCATTGGGAAACCATACAGATACTCACAAAGCATGCCATCCCAGATAATGCACAGTGACATGCCAGGAGAAAAACAGCTAACACTGCCATCCGTTTTGCCTAAATGCTGAACTCTGCCTGCAGCACTGTCTAAGGTCAGTTAAATATATCTAGTAGCCAAACAGGCAAGGGACAAACTAGGTAAATTTTTTAAAAAGAGCCGGGGGTGCGGTAGGGAAGAATCCTAGTGAAATGTAAGTATGTTAAAACAAAAATCTTAAAGGAATCCCAATACACAGTTCCTAAACAAGGGCAATTGCTCTGTGATATTCATCATACTACATAATATACCCAGGCCCTGGGAAAGCACTGGCCTTAGAATGGCCCTCTACGAAGAAGAAAGTTATTGATTAGGCTTTAATTTGAATGTCTGGCAAATCCTCATGAATCCAGAATTGTGATAGTACAAACTTTGAATACATGATTTTTACAGCACGTAACAGTCAAGATGATTTTCTCTTTGTTAGTTTTGGAATTCTTATCCACAAATATAGGAAATCCAGTTATAAAAATAATAACCTCTCTTTTTTTCTGAATCTAGAAGATCAGGACAATACAAATAACATAGGTAGCATGCTTTTTTTGATATACTGGTCCTAATTACTGCAAACACTTGAAAGATAAGCACAGACCACCCAAAAGGTCAAGGCTAGCTTAAAGATCACACTCTCATCTGCAAGACAAAACAGAGGTGGTTTCCAGGGAAAAGAGACCAAGCTCCCAGACTTTTTGAAAACTGAAGCAAACATACCATAATTTGCAAAGTATTTGCTTTCATCTGTCTTCTACTACCTGCATATATTATATGAGCTGTAAAAACAAGCTGGCCTCCCTGTTAAAGGAAACATGGGAAGGACTCTTTTCTTAAAGTTTAGTTAATGAGTGAAGATAAAGAGTTCTAGCAAGAGGGAACAAATAGTCCAAGAAGGAAGCAAATAGAAGAGTCTAGAAAGACTAAATAGAAAATAAACAAGTGTGTCAAGAGAATAATTTCATGAAAAATAAATAGGAGGGAGGACAATTGAAGCTATACAAGGATTTTCATGAGACAGTTAAGTCCATACTTTCCAAAGCCCTTGCTTCGAAGAATGGTGAGGAGGATTTATAGAAGCTAGCAAGTTCAGGGAATCCTAGCATTAGCTCCACGATGAAAAAATACATACACTCTTCATGAGAATATAAAAACAGCATTATTTCTACCTGACAAAACTAACCTGGCTGGGGTGGGGTGATCTCCTCCTGAATGAAGCACATATTTAATGCATAACGAAAAGCTAGGCAAGACTAACGAAAGCTACTTGAATTGTTCCATAGTCAAGTTGACAGTCCTGAATGTAAACTCAATGTTTGCTGAATAAATAATACCCATTAATACTTTTTCCCTCTTGATCTATATCAAGCATAGGGGAAACAAGTCATTTTAGAATTGAACAAGCGTTTTAGAATTGAAAATAGTATTTTCACAACACTTTTAAATTTTTTATACCATACATAACAGTTTACCCTTCCCCTCCCAAGTTTCTAGATATAGAAATAAATTCAACTTATTAATTCCATGAACTATTCAAATAAACTATTCAAACAGAAAAACAGGATAAAATGATTGCAGCTGACAATTTTTTTTTTTTTCGAGACATAGTTTCACTCTTGTTGCCCAGACTGGAGTGCAACGGCACCATCTTGGCTCACGGCAACCTCCACCTCCTGGGTTCAAGAAATTCTCCTGCCTCAGCCTCCTGAGTAGCTGGGATTGCAGGCGCCTGCCACCATGTCCGGCTAATTTTTGTATTTTTAGTGGAGACGGGGTTTCACCATGTTGGCCAGGCTGATCTTGAACTCCCGACCTCAGGTGATCCGCCCTCCTCCGCCTCCCAAAATGCTGGGACTATAGGCATGAGCCACCGCGCCTGTCCGACAATTTCATTTTCAGATACGTAATACTTTTTAATGTTTTTTCTCAGATGGAGTATACAATCTAGACTGTACTGTTTTTCTTTGCTTTTCTCATTTGGTTGCCTAAAAGACTGATGAAACAAGTTAATGGAGCACTATTTTCTCTTCGGTGTTATAGCTTAACCTAAAGAGCACTTATCTCAAGCCCAGAAAAGTTGTATTTTTTTATTCCTTGTACTCAAAAGTGTGAAATAAAACACAGCGGTTTATTATCACCAAAAAGGCAATATTTATTCATAATTAATATTTATCCACACACCCATTAACATTTACTAATTCTAGGTGATGGAAACACAGGTTTGTGTTTACGTAATTATTTTTAAAGTTCACTGGATATATATAAAATACACAGAGACAATAAATGTCAGGCTAATGTCCTAAAGTTTTCAGCTTGGTTAACTAGATGAGTGTTTCAAGTGTTGTTCCCTGACCAGCAGCAGAAGCATCACCTGGGAAATTAAATCTTGTGCCCCACCCCAGACCTACTCGATCAGAAATTCTGAGGATGAGTCCCAGCAATCTGTGTTTTAACAAACCCTCCAGTTAATTCTGATGCACACTTACGTTTGGGGACTAGCTGACAATTTAAAAGCTCTTGCTATTCATCAAGAACAGAAAACAAGAGAAGCAGGCAGGAGCAGAGGCGATCATAAGGACACGGTGCCTTAGTGCTTTATTAATTCACACTATTCATCAAGAACAGAAAACAAGAGAAGCAGGCAGGAGCAGAGGCGATCATAAGGACACGGTGCCTTAGTGCTTTATTAATTCACGCTATTCATCAAGAACAGAAAACAAGAGAAGCAGGCAGGAGCAGAGGCGATCATAAGGACACGGTGCCTTAGTGCTTTATTAATTCACCTTCTTTTCCTCTCCCCCTGCCCACATCCCCCAGGTGGTCACTGTGGTGTTTTTCATTCTTGTTATAAGAGACAGGGTCTCGCTCTGTCACCCAGGCTGGAGTGCAGTGACAGGATCAGGACTCACTGCAGCCTCAACCTCCTGGACTCCAGCAATCCTCCCACCTTAGCCTCCTGAGTAGCTGGGATTTGCAGGCACCTACCACTGTACCTGTCTAATTTTTCTTCTGCCCTTTTTTTTTTTTTTTTTTTTTTTTTGGGGTAGAGACGAGGCCTTGCTATGTAGCCCTTGCTGGTCTCAAACTCCTCGCCTCAAGTGATCCTCCTGCCTCGGCCTCCCAAACCACTGGGATTACAGGCATGAGCCACCATGCCCAGCCAGTCTTCTTTATTTCTAATTATACCGAGATAAGTGTATTTTAGTATTCATGAATTTATGCTTCTTAGTCTAACTGCATTATATGCTTTTTAACCTCTAAATCCTCAACCCAGAATATACATTACGATTACCTTAGGAGAGTGTTTTAAAAATCCTGATGTCCAGGTTGTAGCCCACACCAATTAAATCGGGGGATGGGGGCTGACCAAAAGTATTTTAAAAATGCCCCAGATTCCAAGTGTGCAACAGTAGCTGAAAATCATGCAATCTAAGTGAAACTTTTTGTCTCTAGTTCAATATTTCTCCAAGTATGATGACAAAACTATCTGTATCAGAATCGCTAGTAGTTCCCAAAATGATATTAAAAATAATCTTCAGAGTGGTACATATATGACTTTTTTTTTTGAGACTGAGTCTCACTCTGTTGCCAGGCTGGAGTGCAGTGGCACAATCTCGGCTCACTGCAACTTCCGCCTCCCGGGTTCAAGCGATTCTCCTGCCTCAGCCTCTCTAGTAGCTGGGACTACAGGAACGCGCCACCACGCTCAGCTAATTTTTGCATTTTTTTGTAGAGATGGGGTTTCACCATGTTGGCCAGGATGGTCTCGATTCCTTCACCTCGTGATCAACCCGCCTCGGCCTCCCAAAGTGCTCGGCCTGACCTTTTTCTTAATAGTTATGTATTTACACTTTCATTTTTTATTTTTTGGCAAATGTTTTCCACGTGTAGTAGTGACAGTTTCATTTTAAAATAAGATTCAGTTTTTTAAAATGAGTCAATTTTTTAAATTACTAAATAAATAGAACAAAGAATAGGGAAAACACTGAATAGATGGTAAGCAAACAAAAAAGGTTCAGTTAACCTTCACAAATACAGATTCCTGAGCCTTCCCCCAGCAGTCCTAAACCAGAAACTTTGGGAGGGATCCAGAAATTTTAACAAGTGCTCACAGGTGATTCACATATAGTAAAGCTCATAGTGCTGTAATAAAGAAAATGCTCTAATAAAGAAAAATTGAGCCTTCTGCCACTAAGCAAAGAACAAGTTTGGGTGTAAAAGGGAACCTCTCATTCTATCCTGTTTGCTACCACCACTTCCCTGTCTCACACCTCCTGGGTCAGGAAGAAGTACAGTTTCTGCTTCAAGTCTTAGATCTTATCCTGACGTCCTGTTCCATCCTTTCTTTTTTGGCCAAGTCCCAAAATCCAGGGCTGATCATTTTGCTCTCTTCTCAGCCCTCTCGTTCTCCTTAATGCCATCACAGAACGGGTATCCCCACCCCAGGAGGTTGTGGAACAACCTCTTGTCCCACATCCATTTGCTTTTCCAGCTACCCTCTGAAGGCAATTCTTTTAAAATGTCATTGGCCGGGCGCAGTGGCTCACGCCTGTAATCCCAGCACTTTGGGAGGCCGAGGCGGGCGGATCACCTGAGGTCAGGAGTTTGAGACCAGCCTGGCCAACATGGTAAAACCCTGTCTCTACTAAAAATACAAAATTAGCCGGGCATGGTGGCACATGCCTGTAAATCAGGAGGCTGAGACAGGAGAATCGCTTGAACCCGGGAGGTGGAGGTTGCAGTGAGCTGAGATCGTACCATTGCACTCCAGCCTGGGCAACAAGAGTGAGACTCCATCTTAAAAAAAAAAAAAAAAAAAAAAGATCACAAAACACTGGTAAATCATCCGATGTTACTTGTCATTTGTCCTTTCAAATTCCAATGATAACCAACCTCTATCCATTCAAACTGCAAATTGTTTATATATTGTGGCATGGTTAGAAAATCCCCTCACTAGACTGAGGATGGCAAATACATTTCAGTTCACACTACCAACTCTTATCCATTTGTAGTAGCCAGTGGTTCTCAACCAACCTTGACTTCACATTAGAATGACCTGGGGAGATTTTTTAAATCTCCACAGCAAGACCACCCCCAAGCCCAATCAAATCAAATTATCTGAGGGTTTGGGTGAGACTCAGGCATCAGGTTTTGGTTTGTTTGTTTTTTAAGTTTCTCAGTGATACCAATATGCAGCCAAGGTTGAGAATCACTGATCTGGGTTCAGCTAGAGATGTTGTCAAGAGAGATTTAGAGATGATCTGCCATGAGCAGGCAACGTTTTTGCCAATCCTGCACTATTCACTCAGGCAAGTACAGCAGACTCTGACAGAACAGTGACTTCTGAGGACAGAAATGTCAAATTCCAGTATCAATGACGGTAATGCGCAAATATTTGTTTACATTTATCTTGGGGTGTTTCTTGACAAAAACATAAAAAAACAATTTGCTTACTCTGGCCTGCCAGGTTTTTTTAAAAAACCAAACACCATACTTCCAAATATGCACAGTAGCTTTATGAAATTAAGCTGTCTCAGATACTTATAATTTTCAAGAAGGCCTAAGATGGTGAAATTTATAACTTATTTAGCTGAATCTACTCAAGGGGAGATCCGAAGCAAGAGAGTTAAAATAGACAAACACTACTGTCTATAGGTACCACAAAGCATATGCAATCACAAGTTCAATACCACACATCACAAACAATTCCAACTGTTTCTGTGATCAGAAGTCTCTGTGATACAGATCCCTTTCGTAATTATATTATACTAGTGCAATTAGAGCTACTCATTCAATGTCTTGCACAGACTATAAATCTTTGAGTATGTGAAATTCAGATTTAAAAATCTATTTTGTAATAAATTTGCCACCAAAAAATTTTTATAATACAACATTAAGGGAAAAGCATATTCTAAAAAGTAATAAAATTTAGCTTTACTCTTGATGTGACAGAGAAATAATGTTTAATTTTAGGAAGCACAATTTTTCTAATAAATGAACACTTGGCACAAAGTATCGCAATTGTATCCACTTCCTGCCATAAATGCCAGCAGCAAGTACCTCCTGTTTCAAGATCCTCTGAAGCCAATGAGTGGGCAGAACACAACCAGAGCCAAAATGGGGAACACATGGTATTCGCTCTTTGAAAAAAATCAGCAGTGGATTACAACCAGGAGGGGAAGCCATCTGTCACAAGAAAAAGAGGTGGCAGGAGCTGTAACATGCCATCTCAACCTGCACAGTCACATTTTAGATTTTAACCCTTGTAATGAACGATAGGTTTCAAAATTATGAGTGTCAAGGTTATGGATGGAATGGGAAGAGGAAGAAAAACCACTAACACTGTAATTCTACTAATACCATAACCCTATCCCATACTGGGAAGAGCAACAACATAGCAGCAAACAGAAACCAAACAAATGCAAAAACATCACAAACGAGTCAACACTTTGAGAAAGTCAACGCCCTCTAGTATGGGAAGTGCTGGCCGCTGTTACCTGCATTACCTGCATCTAGCCTGAGAACATTTTGCCCAAAACTTCAAAATGAACAAAGGAAGGCGACTTCCACAATTTAAAGATGAAAGCGAACTACAAGTCAAAAATCAACCTTAACCACTGTCTCAATTCCCCCTACCCTTTACCCACCCTAATTCACCCTCCATCACCTTGAATAAGGTAAAATCATAGAACAATTAAATAGATTGAAAAAAAGAATCTTACTAAAGTGTCAGTCCTATCTTCTCTGTGGTCTTAAACCCATTAAAACCCGTTTTAGACACATATAACAGGTTTCTAACCTTCAGAGGAGCACAAAACTAACATTAGTTACTGTCATTTTTAAATCCAGAATATAGTGAGGTTTAACTAAGAAAAAGTGTAGCCACTAAACTTCTATTTATTTAAATCAGCATTTTATACTGCCATTACAATGTAGGAACACTGTTTGTAAACACATTATTTGAGAAATCAGAAGTGGTCACACTAATTCTAGTTTATTCACTTACTTGTCAATATTCTTTCATTCAACCAGTTCTTGAAACCTTACCTCCTCCACCCAAAGCCATCTCTAAAACGAAAATAGTGATTTCCCCTTGAATAGATTCAGCCAAAAATCCAACTACTGGTAATGTAATTCTTCTTTCGGGCTTTGGCATACAATGGCTTTTTTTGGGGGGTGGGGGGTAGAATATATATAGACATTAAAAAAGCCATTTAACAATTTTTAATTAAAATATTTCTGTATGTGTCAATAAATGTTTTATTTTTAAATTAAATCAATGACGGGGGGCTTATGCCTTATGCTCCTTAAGAACAACACGATAAATATTTATGATAGAGAAACAGTTACCCTCCACCAAGTTAATAGTGTAATTTATTATTCTAATTATACCAAAAATGAACTCAATAGTTCAGAAATAACAGATTTATTTGTTCAAAAGTTCAATAAGTAGGACATCAATAAGTAGGACATTTCAATCAACAGACCTCTGGGGAAAATCCACTGGGTCACATAAAAATACACCAAATGTTCATGCATCATGAAGTAATTAATGCTGAATTCTTCATTCAACTACTCAGTGATAACACTTCAGGCAACTATAGAATAAGGCTACTTTCCTCTTTTCCTAAAACAACTACGGCAAATGTGAAGGGTGCGTCACATCCTGAAGTCTCTGATTTCCTTCTCTGCTAGCCAAGTGCAGTGATGAAGCATGTACCGTGGAGTGGCACCATCTAGGCAGAAGGCTGCCTCTGCCACCTAACAGCCATGTGACCTTGGGCAACTTACTCTCAGCCTCAGTTTCCACTTCAATAAACAGTACCTACCTCATAAAATTGTTATGATGGTTAATAACATAGAGCACATAAAACAGGGCCTGTTTCTTAGTAAACACTACACAAGTGTTAGCTATTATTATTTACTCTGTTATCCAAACAAAGTATTGAAAAACTTTGTAAAAGGCCAGAGAGTAGACACTGTATTTCAGGTCTAGTAAGTCATATAGACTCTATCACAACTACTCTATCTACCACTGGTGTGAAAGCAGCCATATATAATACAAAAATAAACATAGCTGTGTCCCAATAAAACTTTATTTATGCACACTGAATTTTGAATTTCATATAATTTTCACATATCACAATATATTAATTTTTTAATCATTTAAAAATGTAAAAGCCATTCTTTGCTTATAGGATGTACAACTCCTGTAGGAAGGATTTGGCTATAATGTGGTGTTCCCTATTATAAACTAATGTTTCTCAAAGCCAGTCCATGACCAAGTTGCCTTAATAAAACTGTCACTACAAAGTTAAAATCTGTATTTTCTTGAAAGAACTGTCTCTTATTGTGGAATGATGCACAATTCCTTTGGTGTTAGATTGACCTTCCCCTTATAAAACAACAGTAATACTATGTAGTCATGTATCACTTTTTAATTGTTTTTATTTGACAATCCTATGCCAGTCTCCCCCACTTTTTTTCTGTTATTTATATTTTATTTTGCTAGTGTGCAAAATGCAAGTCTGGGAATCATTACTCTACTGCTTCCTGCCTAATCAAAACAAGAAAAGTACTGATGTATGTCATTTACACCTGCTGATGTTGACTGATTATTTAAAGTAATCAAATTATATTTATCATCTTCTCAACTGATCACCTATTATCTCTTTTCTCTACCCCTTCTCTCAATGTTAACCCCTTCTCAGGAGCCTTTGGATCCTATGATACACCTATTCTTGTATTTCCTCCTCCAACAAAACACAGAGGAATTTTAATGCCATCTTTTACATTTAATAAATGACTGAATATTAATTTTTCAATAAATATTTTAAACTAGTATGTACACTTCATTCATTTGTCCTTAGTCAAAAACACAATGACATTTGGCTTTGTAGCCAGACGGACCAATATCTGTCACTTGCTAGATGTGAAACCTGAACAAATTCCTCTCTTAATTTTCAATTTCCTCACCTATAAATGAGGACAACATTGCTTACCTACAGAACTGTTAGTAAGGATTAGAAGCAATGTATATGAAAGCATCTAGGATGGTATCTATAAATGTTCTATAATAATTACTAGCATCTATAAGAGTCTAGATATATTAGCATCTATATCTACAATAGATATTAACCCCTTCACTAGTTCTCTATCATAGGTACTCAGAGATGCCTTTGATAACAGCATCACAGTAAGACATCATTTTCACTGACAAATCTATTACACTATTTTTTAAAGGATACAACAGCAAATGATACATAAAAACCAAAGGGAACCTCAGATGTAATGCTACAATTTTAATGTCAGTGGAGTAAATAATAGGGAAATTGTGAGCAAAGTATACCTTTTAGTGACATACACTTATCATGTAAGAATTTAAAAAGCACAGTACAGGACCACAGTACAAAAATTAATAATTTAAAATAAGCAGAATAAGAAAATTTAAGCATTCTATGTTGCCCATTCAAGAGAAATCTCCACTGCCTTGTTAAGTCATCTTCATACAAAAGCACGTATTTTAAATTATTTGTGGAGAGTTTTGGGCCCAACTAACCAACAAGGAACCCCTTACCAAAGAAAGAAAATAGAGCAATAAAAAATTCATTTCCAGCAATACTACATTCCTTTTGGGAAAGCACTCCATAATTCATGGATGAGTCATTGTGGAAATAAAAATGTTAAATAATGAATATGACTGTAACTGAAAATCCTGAGAGCTAATTACTCTACTCAAAGTTCCTGATAACTCCTACAGGAATATTAAGGCTGGGCTGGTAGTGATTAGTTATCCAAATGAAACTTATTATCCACTGTGACCCACTTTCTAAAAAAATTTTATAGGTCCCATGCTACTGTTTGCCTCTGGTAGCAGATCATGAAAGGTATATTTCATACTTCAAAATATATTATAAAATGTATTTGTATTTAAGAAATGTTTGACTTAATTTTAATTCAACTTTTATCTGCATACCTATTATGTCAGGTAGTCTTGTCCATAATTTATAAATATTATCTTCTTTAATCTCACTTAAATATTCCAACAACAATACAAGTATTATGATCCCCATTTGTCAACTGATGAAATTCACATGAAGGCTCTTTGCCCTTTAGATGTAAACACTGATTTTCTCCCATCTACCTTGAAAAGAACTTCATTAGTCATGTATTTCTCCTTCCCAGAAGCACTCAACTTGGTCATATGAATCAGTTTTGAATTTGGGCATTATGATCAAAGTGAACAGACTCTTAGAGAATTCCACTAGGATAACTGACAAAAACAAAATCAAGTAATTTCAGAAGAAAGACTCTAAAGATCACCTAGTCCAACTCTATGGGTTTTAAAGATGAGGAAACTGGCATTCAAAACGCTTAAATACTGCCATGGCTACACACCTGGCAAAGCCAGGATCAGAACTAGAATGCAGCTCTCCTGATTCAGTGTTCCATCTATGACACCAGTGAATTTCAGGCTTATCAGACTTAATACTCTCCCATTTTATAACAAACATTTTGTAAATATGCCCTTCACTATCCTGAAATGCACAGATAATAAGCCCACTCCCACATACGGTTTCAAAAAAAAATTATATAATGCTGTATGAAGGAAAAATGAAAAGAAAGAATTTATAATAAAATAGTATGTATGTTAACATGTAAATGCCAGGGCACAACTACACCAAAAGACTATGCAAACAGAAGCTAAAGAGACAGTAGCATTAGCAACAATGCAATGTTGCTGTTGAAGTGCTTTTCCAAAATGGCAAAAGTTCTAGGTAAAGTTACAAACAAAACGAAGTATAATCTTCTATCAACTTCGTCCTCAGTCAAACAATGCTAATGCACTTACACACATTTATTTAGTTATAGGATCTTGGCTCAAATGACTATAAGCAGATTTTTTTCACCTATCAAATTCCTAGCAAGACATATGAAAATCATATGGTATGAGGGAAAGCTTTTCAGTATGCAGACCTGTCCTAAGCAGTGAGGGGAATGTGGTAACTTTAAGACCTCTCCACCCTAAATCCTAGAAACACCTTCTGCCCCCAGTTATTCTAACAGCCAGTGTTCCCACAACTTTCCAACAATTGAGACCCAATACACTATCCCTTTAAAATAAGTATCTTTCATCAGAAATACCAAGAGAAATCCAAAAATTTATCTGCTACCATTTAAGTAAATAACCTTTTACCTGCTTCATCTCTTGAAAATACTCTGTACAGGCCGGGCGCAGTGGCTCATGCCTGTAATCTCAGCACTTTGGGAGGCCAAGGCAGGCAGATCACAAGGTCAGGAGTTCGAGACCAGCCTGACCAATATGGTGAAACCCTGTCTCTACTAAAAAATACAAAAATTAGCCAGGCGTGGTAGCAGGCGTCTGTAGTCCCTGCTACTTGGGAGACTGAGGTAGGAGAATCGCTTAGACCCGGGAGGCAAAGGTTGCAATCAGCCAAGATCGCGCCACTGCACTCCAGCCTGGGCGAGAGAGCAAGGCTCTGTCTAAAAAAAAAAAAAAGAAAAGAAAAGAAAAGAAAAAGAAAGAAAAAGAAGATACTCTGTACCATAGATAACATGTTTTCATAGAAAAATAAGAAATAGACCCTCCTAAAATTACAAGACAGGAAAGACTGGAAACACTCATTACAATATGCTTCTCTCCTAAGAATGTAGTACCTACTTTAAGTTCCTATGCCCAGGAAGAGGAGTCATGTGAAAAGAAGAAATTACTTATTATGCAGGCTATCAAATCCATGAAAGATAATCAAAAGAACATTTTTTGAATGTATTCTCCCAATTTTTCAAATTTTAAGTCCTATAAAACAAACTTAGTTCCCAAAAATGCTTCTTTGAAATACAACAAATGCTGTAGGTTTATCACATAAATACAATGCAACTGGGTTTAAAAAAAAAAAAATTAAAAATACTAGGCCGAGTGCGGTGGCTCACACCTGTAATCCCAGCACTTTGGGAGGCCAAGGTGGGTGGATCACTTGGGTTCAGGAGTTTGAGACCTGGCATAGTGAAACCCTGTCTCTACTAAAAATTCCAAAATTAGGTGAGCATAGTGGCAGGTGCCTGTAATCCCAGCTACTCTGGAGGCTGAAGCAAGAGAACCGGTTGAACCCGGGAGGTGGAGGTTACAGTGAGCCAAGATCGTGTCACTGCACTCCATCTGGGCAACAGAGCTAAACTCCATTTCAAAAAAAGAAAAAAAAAAAAAAAAAACAGGCCGGGCGCAATGGCTCACATCTGTAATCCCAGCACTTCGGGAAGCTGAGGCGGGCAGATCACCAGGTCTGGAGGTTAAGACCATCCTAGCTAACACGGTGAAACCCCGTCTCTACTAAAAATACAAAAAAATAGCTGGGCGCGGTGGTAGGTGCCTGTAGTCCCAGCTACTCGGGAGGCTGAGGCAGGAGAATGGCGTGAACCTGGGAAGCGGAGCGTGCAATGAGCGGAGATCACACCACTGCACACTCCAGCCTGGGCAACAGAGCCAGACTCTAGTACTGGTAGGCCAGATGCAGTGGCTCACACCTGTAATGCCAGCACTTTGGGAGGCCAAGGCGGGTGGATCATCTGAGGTCTGGAGATTGAGACCAGCCTGGCCACCATGGCAACACCCCGTCTCTACTAAAAATACAAAAATTAGCTGGGTGTGATGGCGCAGGCCTGTTGGTTAGCCAACTACAATATAAGGGCTTCCTTAAGACAGCCCACCCAAAGAACCTCTCTAAGGGTCAAGAAATACATGCTATCAACAACAAATCAACAAAGTTACCATTCCTCACCATTACTCACAGCATTTTCCCATTGCTCACTGTTACTAAAGAACAGTGTAACTTCCTAACCCTTGACCAAGAAGCCAGATACTTGTTAATCCATGTTGATGTCACAGGTCATAATATTTTATTACAATACTGAACAAGTAACAGAGATCTCAGCTAAAGAGTGACCTAGTGAGCACTCTAGTGGCAGCCTCTTACAAGAGGCAGAAGACCCACATAAGGCCTTTAGATTTGTAGTCCTCCTTTCCTTAGAGAGACATGCAAAACTAGGCTGGGTACGGTGGCTCACGCCTGTAATCCCAGCACTTTGGGAGGCTGAGGCAGGTGGATCACCTGAGGTCAGGAGTTCCAGACCAGCCTGGCCAACATGGCAAAACCCTGTCTCTACTAAAAATACAAAAGTAGCCAGGCATGGTGGCAGATGCCTGTAGTCCCACCTACTTGGGAGGCTGAGGCAGGAGAATCACTTGAACCCGGGAGGCGGAGGCTGCAGTGAGCCAAGATCATGCCACTGCACTCCAGTCTAGGAAACAGTGCAAAGGCTCTGTCTCAAAAAAAAAAAAAAAGAAAGAGAGACTTGCAAAACTGTTTTTCATTTTAAAACGTTACTTATGATAACATTTATTAGGTTTATTGTTTCTAAATGTACTAATAAATATTATTTTTTTATTTTAGTATCTAATATGACAAATATTGGTAGATATAACCTACATAAACAAAAGCTGCTTGGGGTCCTTAATAATTTTTACAATATACAGAGGTCCTGTGGCCAACAAGTTTAAGAATTACTGCTACAGAGGACTCTTCAAGTATCTGAGGATCATTTAAGATCAGAGCAGTTATCTCAGGATGACTTCAAAGCTACACAGATCTTTGCATACCACATTCTCTGAAAGTACATAAGCTACCAGCCACCGGTAAGAGATGGTACACTGTGTACATTAAGGCTGAACTATCTCACTTTCTCGGCCTATACAGTCACCACATATGAAATTAAGCAAGTGTCACTGCAATCCAGTATTAGGAAGGAAAGCCTATTACGTAGAAAAGACTGGCAAAATAAAGGGGGAAAGGGTTCAGTAAGTATTGTTAATATATGGAAAAATCAAAGGAAAAGATCTACGTTAAAGACTAACTTTCCAAATCTGGAAAGAAAAATGAGTATTTTTAGGCCGGGCACGGTGGCTCACGCCTGTAAACCCAGCACTTTGGGAGGCCTAGGTGGGCGGATCACGAGGTCAGGAGATGGAGACCATCCCGGCTAACACGGTGAAATCCCGTCTCCACTAAAAATACAAAAAATTAGCCGGGCATGGTGGTGGGTGCCTGTAGTCTCAGCTACTCGGGAGGCTGAGGCAGGAGAATGACATGAACTCGGGAGGCGGAGTATTGCGCCACTGCACTCCAGCCTGGTTGACAGAGCGAGACTCCGTCTCAAAAAAAAAAAAAAAGAAAAAAGAAAAAAAGAAAAAGAAAAATGAGTATTTTTAGAAATGTGTATGGTAGCACAAAAACAGTTCATAAAAGCATTTCTAATCTTGTCCATAAGGGAAGAAAAGAACATTTTCAAAAACAAAATTTATCATTTCCTCACTGAAAGCACATTTTTTGTAATATTTCTCTTTTTCCCAAAGTCACTCCTAATTTATCACAACAGAGGTAGGTACATGATCTCCAATAAACTTGTTGTTAACTAAAACAAAATAAGGGACATCTAATAGTAGAAGTTTGTAAAAAAATCATAAATCAGTATTAACTTTAATAAATAATAACTTTCAGGAATTGAGAGAATCACTCAAGGTATCTGCTGTCAAACAAAAATACCACAATAAAGACAGAGAACCAAAACACAAATCGAGCTGGATGAGAACATATATATAAAACTGTATCTTCTAATGGCTTCTCCCTCTCCACTTCTTACTCCCATAAGCAGAGGCATGTAGCTGATACTGAATTAACTAGAAAAGTGAGTTCCCCAACATTAACAAGCACACCTTTATAACATCTATATGCATGTACCTGAGGTCACAGTCATTAGTCTCTTATCTCCAAATTCTTATGAAAAACTTTTATTCAAATAATTAAAACCAAATTCATCATTCCTTACTCTAAATTTAGTTCCACTTTCTAATCCATTTCCGTTGTTAATCGTAGGGAAAAGAGTTCCCCAATCTCAATACCATGGTTCACTGTATTCTTCTCTCTTGCCGTCTATATCCAAATATTTCTTTTCTTTCTTTTTTTTTTTGACAGACTCTTGCTCTGTCACCCAGGTGGAAGTGCAGTAGTGCACTCACAGCTCACTGCAGCTTCCACCTCCTGCGGTCAAACTATCCTCCTGCCCTAGCCTCCCAAGTAGCTGGGGCTACAGGCACATACCACCATGCCAGCTAATTTTTTATTTATTTATTTATTTATTTTTATTTTTTTTTTTTTTTGAGACAACGTCTCGCTCTGTCACCCAGGGCTGGAGTGCAGTGGTGCGATTTCGGCTGACTGCAAACTCCGCCTCCCGGGTTCACGCCATTCTCCTGCCTCAGCCTCCCGAGTAGCTGGGACTACAGGCGCCCACCACCACGCCCAGCTAATTTTTTTGTATTTTTAGTAGAGACAGGGTTTCACCATGTTAGCCAGGATGGTCTCGATCTCCTGACCTCGTGATCCGCCAGCCTCGGCCTCCCAAAGTGCTGGGATTACAGGCGTGAGCCACCGTGCCTGGCCCTAATTTTGTTTTTTAAGAGATGGGGTCTCACTATTTTGCCGAGGCTGGTCTTGAACTCCTGGGCTCAAGTAACCTGCCCACCTTGGCCTCCCAAAGTGCTGGGACTACAGGCACGAGCCATCGTTCCCTGCCTATATCCAAATATTTCTTTGAAAATCTCATGGATGTGCACCTTCTTCTCCATTCCTATTACCCTGTTTAATCCAGGTCTTCTACAAGAAACTCATTTCCTTTCCCCACCTTTTCTTCAATCCACTCTGCTGACAGCAGTAAAAGCTGCTCCTGAACAGTATTTTTTATTACATCATTTATGCCCTCGTTCAAGAACTCCCTAGGGCAACTTACTATTACTTTCTTCAAAATCTTCATTGAGTAAATCAGATTAGGAAAGAAAAGGCTGGGCACAGTGGCTCACGCCTGTAATCTTAGCACTTTGGGAGGCCGAAGCAGGTAGATCACCAGGTCAGGAATTCAAGACCAGTCTGGCCAAGATGGTGAAACCCTGTCTCTACTAAAAATACAAAAATTAGCAGGGCATGGTGGCGTGTGCCTGTAATCCCAGCTGCTTGGGAGGCTGAGGCAGAGAACTGCTTGAACCTGGGAGGCGGAGGTTGCAGTGAGCCGAGATCCCACCACTGCACTCCAGCCTGGGCAACAGAGCGAGACTCCGTCTCAAAAAAAAAAAGAAAAAACTATACTTTAAAGGGTGAATTCAATTATATCTCAACAAAATTGTCATAAAAGAAGGAAAGGAGATGGGGAGGGAGAAAAAGGACAAAAGGACCTGGGAGGATGGGGTAAACTCCCTAAATGTTTCTCCACAAAGTACCACTTGATGCCATACCCCCTTGGGCGTTGTGAAGAGTTCAATGACTTAGGGCACCCACGCAGCTGTCAGAAGGCAATCTGACCTCCCAGTGACCACTTCTAGTGATGATGAAGCATTACTTTGTGAAACTGTTCTTTCATCAAATGGAAATAGTTTTTTTCTTTTTCTTTTTTTTTTTTTGAGACGGAGTCTTGCTCTGTCGCCCAGGCTGGAGTGCAGTGGCGCAATCTCGGGCTCACTGCAAGAGCCGCCTCCCGGGTTCACGCTATTCTCCTGCCTCAGCCTCCCGAGTAGCTGGGACTATAGGTGCCCGCCACCAAGCCCAGCTAATTTTTTGCATTTTTAGTAGAGACAGGGTTTCACCATGTTAGCCAGGATGCTCTGGATCTCCTGACCTCATGATCTGCCCGCCTCGGCCTCCCAAAGTGCTGGGCTTACAAACGTGAGCCACTGCGCCAGGCCGGATATAGCTTTTTTCAAAAATCCATTCCTCCTTGCAGCCAAAATTTAAAACCTTAATATTTGTGCTCATTTTTCCAGTGTTTGTTCTCCAAAAACAATACTAACAAAGAAAGAAAAAAGGAAAAATCTCCTTCAACATGGCTGTCCACCAAATACTTAAGAGTATAATTAAAATGTTGCAAGTCTTCTCTTCTTGAGTTCCTTCAGCCATTTCTTATAAAGTATGGTTTCTAAGCACCTCCTATACTCTTCTGGGCATAACAGTGCACTCATAACAGATGGCAAGTTCCAGAGGGTGGTACGGTTTTAAATGTTAAAAAATGAAACTATGACCTCCACTGATTAACATTAATGTAACTAAAAACTAAACCCATTTTCTGATTTCTTTTGCACAATAAAGAGGACCCCCAAATTATATTTAAGATGCTATCTGCAAATTTGCTGTAAATTAGCAAATCTCTAAAAACAATTTTATTTCACTGAGATGAGATCACACACTACACTGCACTATGAGATCCAAAAAGACAGAGGAAAATAAAAAGTGAGAGAGAAACTGCAATTATCTGGCAAACTCTGCCCTTATTTCTTCATATAAGCCCTATCTCATATTTGTGCAACATTTTTATTAGCTCTGCTTAATTATTTTTCATACTTCACTACATTCCAGATAAGCAAACTTACCAACTGTAAAAGAAGCAAATTTCCCACACTGATTTAAATACCTTCACCTATGATCAAGACCTGATAAATGCATAGTTCAAATTTCTGTAAGCCATACATGTACAAATTTTGCTTCTCGAAATGATTGTTAACTCCCCAAAAGGAACATTATCCATTTTACATTTGATTTCATTTTCTCATGGCACTCTGCATAGTGCCTTTAACACATTCCCCTTCTGAAACAACAAAAAAGATTAAACTTATCTGGGCAATAAACAAGGATACCAATTTATCTACATCTCCTTGTTAAAACAGAATTATCAAAAAGAAAATTAAAACAATAATCTAAGACATAGATCCCAAATTTTAAGATCAGACTTTAAATGACAGTGAAACAACTAGCAACCTCATGACAAAGTTTATTTAAGGCCAGGAGCAGTGGCTCACACCTGTAATCCCAACACTTTGGGAGGCCGAGGTTGACAGATCACCTGAGGCCAGGAGTTTGAGACCAGCCTGCCCAACATGGCGAAACACCATCTCTACTAAAAATACAAAAAATTAGCCGGGCGTGGTGGCGTGCACCTGCAGTTCCAGCTACTCAGGAGGCTGAGGCAGGAGAATCACTTGAACCTGGGAGGTGGAGGCTGCACTGAGCCGAGATCGCACCATTGCACTCCAGGCTGGGCAACAAGAGCAAAACTCTGTCTCAAAAAAAAAAAAAAAAAGTTTATTTAATGGCAAATAATAATGGCTTTTATCATGCGGCAAATCAAGATACAACCTAAAATTATATAAATGTTAATAGTCAAAAGTCTCCAAATAATGAGAAAAAAAAATGACAAAGAATTACACAAGGTTATCTTTTTGCAGTTCTGAACTAGAAATTCTCGATTCCTAAGTAAATGAGCAACATAAAAATCAGACTCCAAAAAGAGAAGAAACACAACACACAAGGCAAAAAACATTAAATTCACCTGCCGTCCTATAATATTAAACAGTATTTTGTTCATGAAATATTTCAATGACAGTGCTTTAAATAAACATTTTTAAAATAAGCTTCCAACTAAATTTAACATACAGAATTATTTCAAGGCATAATTTAAAAAGTATGATGATAATCTGGTTAAATGCTGTTTAGAATTTAAAAAAAAAATCATCCAAAGTATTTTTTTTTTTCTGAGACGGAGTCATGCTCTGTCTCCCAGGCTGGAGTGCAGTGGTGCGATCTCAGCTCACTGCAAGCTCCGCCTCTCGGGTTCACGCCATTCTCCTGCCTCAGCCTCCCGAGTAGCTGGGACTACAGGTGCCCGCCACCACACTCAGCTAATTTTTTGTATTTTTAGTAGAGACGGGGTTTCACCGTGTTAGCCAGGATGGTCTCGATCTCCTGACCTCGTGATCCGCCCACCTCAGCCTCCCAAAGTGCTGGGATTATAGGCATGAGCCACTGAGCCCGGCCCCATCCAAAGTCTTAGTAGCTCTGCAGTTCCACCAAGCTCACAGCTAGATTTTCATTCTTTGTCAAACATACACCAAAAACCTTCCTGACTCCCAATTTTAAAAAAGAAAAAGAAAAAGCCTTCCCTGTTACATACTATTCTAACTCTCCAACCAGCAGTATTTGAAAGTTCAGTAACAAAAGGATGAGACATAAAAATTGCTGAGTATTTATATCAGAAACATCTTCTAAAAGAACTCCATAATAAAGAACCACACATATCAAGTAATTCTAAGCAAATGCGTCTTTACATCTAATAGGATCCTAGAACAAGATCTCTATGGTCCAATCAGATCCAATATTTAGAATGGACCTAAATCCCCAGTCTCAAACTGAAATGGGGAAACCATTTAATTACTGTAAATCCTATTAAACCAATCTTCTTTATCAAGTGGAAGATGCCTGACCTCTGAGGGCTATGGAGGGTATAATGAATGCAGAGTTTAATTAGGCCCCACTGCTGGCTGACTATAATCTATTAATTAGCATTCTCTGTCTCTGTATCTCATTGCAGTGTTTCACTTTACTTTAAAATTGCACCCTTCGTTTTTTGGACCAAAGTTATACAATTTTAGGATTGTGTAGTAATTACAGTGGGTATACGGAGAATGCATCGCTGCCAGCACTGGTGTTTAATTAGGGCAAGGGGTGGAATCTAGATAAGGCGGTGTTCACCATTCTTCAGCACATATGGGTTTTTTGGCATGAAAATCCTGTGGACTGTTTCACTGGAACTGAAGTATTCAGAAGATTCAAATATTTTGTCTTTGAATGCAGACTGATACTTAGAAAGGATATTACGTATTTTCCACACAGCTTCTGAAGTACAGGCATAAACAATTGCTTCAATTATTCCAAAATGAACAAGTACGCCAATAACTTTTTTCATTAAAATTGACATTTCTGAGTCACTTCATAATAAAAACTATCTTAGTGAGGGGCATAGTTTCAGCATCATCAACAAGGTATAACGGTGACTAGCTAATTCCAGGTATAATGGTGATAAATCCAGTAACTTCAAATCTACTCTAAATTTGATACACACACACACGTATAATCTGACACACACATATACTGTCAATCCATTCTTGAAAAGTAGAGCCTTTAAAAAGAAGTGTTTATTCACATGCAATTTTTCCACAATATTTCTTAATTATTTTAAATTTTTATTTATTTTTTTATTTATTTTTAAGAGACAAGGTCTCACTATGTTGCCCAGGCTGGACTCAAACTCCTGGACTCGAGGGATTCTCCTGCCTCAGCCTCCTGAGTAGCTAAGACTACATGCATATATTACCATACCCAGCTCACAATATTTCTTATAATAAAAAATTATGTCTCAGCCACTTTTCAATTAAATCAAACTGTGATTTTTTATTAACAATACATTTGAAATTGTATAATATTCAAATATGATACACTATGATAATTATCTAAATACATATAAAGAATCTCATATTTGGGCACTAGTATACACCATTACATACTCCAAATTTACCAATCTCATTTTTACCAAGAAAAAGAAAAAGAACCCAATACAACCCCTAAAAATACAGATACAGTTTCCAAGACCTAGGTTATATTGATACTTAACCACAAAACTAAAGAAAGCAAACTCATTTTTTTCTCCTGATATTTACAATTCAATACCAAACTATAAAAACAGAATTTAAGCTGGGCATGGTGACTCATGCCTGTAATCCCAACACTTTGGGAGGTTGAGGCGGGCAGATCACCTGAGGTCAGGAGTTCGAGACCAGCCTGGCCAAAATGGCAAAATCCCGTCTCTACTAAAATACAAAAAATTAGCCAGGCGTGGTGGCACATGCCTGAAATCCCAGCTACTTGGGAGGCTGAGGCAGGAGAATCGCTTGAACTCAGGAGGCGGAGGTTGCAGTGAGCTGAGATCGTGTCACTGCACTCCAGCTGGCGACAGAGCAAGACTCCGTCTCAAAAAAAAAAATACAAAAATTAGCCGGGCATGGTGGCACACGCCTGTAATCCTGGCCACTCGGGAGGGTGAGGCAGAAGAATCGCTTGAACCCGGGAGGCAGAGCTTCCAGTAAGCCGAGATTGTGCCATTGCGCTCCAGCCTGGGCAACACTGAGACTCCAGCTCAAAAAAAAAAAAAGGCTGGGTGCGGTGGCTCATGACTGTGATCCCAACACTTTGGGAGGCCAAGGCAGGTGGATTACCTGAGGTTGAGAGTTCAAGACCAGTCTGGTCAATGTGGTGAAACTCGTCTCTACTAAAAATACAAAAAATTGGCCAGGCACGGTGGCTCATACCTATAATCCCAGCACTTTGGGAGGCTGAGGTGGGCGGATCATGAGGTCAGGAAATTGAGACCATCCTGGCTAACACAGTGAAACTCCATCTCTACTGAAAATACAAAAAATTAGCTGGGCGTGGTGGCAGGCGCCTGTAGTCCCAGCTACTCAGGAGGCTGAGGCAGGAGAATGGCATTAACCCGGGAGGTGGAGCTTGCAGTGAGCCGAGATCACGCCACCACACTCCAGCCTGAGCAACAGAGCGAGACTCTTGTTTCAAAAAAAAAAAAAATTAGCCAGGCATGGTGGCACACACCTGTAATCCCAGCTACTCCAGAGGCTGAGACAGGAGAGTCACTTGAACCCTGGAGATGGAGGTTGCAGTGAGCCAAGGTTACGCCACTGCACTCCAGCCTGGGTGACATAGAGAGGCTCTGTCTCAAAACAACAACAATTAAAAAAAAAAACCTGAGAATGTACTATCATTTTATATTTAGGAATTATTCTTTTTGGTGTTGTACTTCAACTGACAAATTCAACTAATTTACTTGGTAGTGCAATGCAAATTAAAAACTAAAGTCAGTATTGTACTGACAACTCAAAAATGTCAACTGAAGAAAATGTACTTCTCTGCTCTGCTGTCATATATCATTTGAACATTTATCTGGTGCATCAATGATTCACAAGGTGAAGAGACATCAAAATCACCTGGAGGGCTCTTTGTAACTAAACATATCTAAAATTTTAAACACCCTTTTCCCCTACACATGCCCCATCCACTGAGGGTCCCTGTCACAGTTAATGATCATTACGAACAAGAGTAGGTCACATCCCTGAGATATAAAGTGGTAGAATAAAGGATGAGACACACTGAGCAAATGGTCCCTTGTTTCTTTTCCTTTCATGGTTGAGCTCAAAAGTGCCACAACAGAACCATCACAAATTGACAAACAGGCAACAGACAAGTTTAAGACTTAGATTTACACCCGGCGCAGTGGCTCCTGCCTATAATCCCAGCACTTTGGGAGGCCAAGGCAGGCGGATCACGAGGTCAGGAGTTCAAGACCAGCCTGGCCAACATGGTGAAACCTCATCTTTACTAAAATACAAAAATTAGCCAGGTGTGGTGGGGGGCACCTGTAATCCCAGCTACTAAGGAGGCTGAGGCAGGAGAACTGCTTGAACCAGGACCCAGGAGGCAGAGGTTGCAGTGAGCCAAGATCGCATCGCTGCACTCCAGCCTGGGCTACAGAGCGAGACTCCATCTCAAAAAAAAAAAAAAAAGAATTAGATTAGATTTACTAAATTCTAAAGATCCCAAGAGTGGTTTCTCATCAGAACCACCAGAGAAGCTTGTTCGAAACATAAGTTCCTGGACCCCATCTCCAGAGATTGTACTTAGCTGGTATGAAGGGAGGCCTGGCAATCTATGTTTTAACCAAATATGCCTGTTGATGCTGATGTTTCTGAGCCAGCATTTAAGAACCCTGTCCTTAATTTTAGACCCCATCAGTGGGGTCTATTTTAGCTTTTTTTCTTTCTTTACACATTCTTAAAGTCTTAATGACTCAAACTCAAAGAACTTTCTAAGGAATATTTTTTAAAGGACAATTTCTCTTCTTTAAAGAAGCTAAGTCTCTAAGAAAGAGATTTAAGTATATTAAAACATTCAAATTTTGAGTAGTGACAACTTAATAATTGATTAAAAAGTAAAAGCAAAGTAGTTTGAAGTTATAATGTATCTGAGAAAGAATAAAATTATCATAATTTCTAATTACTTAGAAATCTGATTCAAATGAATTCAAGGTTTTTAATTTGCGTTGTACTACCAAGTAAATCTGAAGAATTTTGGCCCTGTGATATTAACTAGAATAGATACAATAGAATGGTAGGAGGCATTAAAAATAACGATTTAGATATATATTAGAGGCCTCTAATATACAGTAGAAATGTTGTTAGCTAAAAGAAGGTCACAGCATAATACCAACAGTATTCCATTCAGGTAAATCCGTTACGTGTATATGCATAGAGATATTTCAGTAAAGAGAAATGTCAAAATGTTAACAGTGGAATAGCAAAGTTGTCAGTAGATGGGAGGATCTGGAATATATTTTGCTTTCATATCTATGCTTTTCTGTTTTATATTTATGAACAGAAAAATTGAGCTATTTTTATAGCTGAAAATGTGTCTGGAGCTTTAACATACAAAATGTAATGTAACTAGAGATCTTCAAGTAGCCAAAACAGTAGATCTGAATATCTGGACTGCATAATAGTAAGAATGGTAAGACAATCAACCGAAATCTTAAATTAGATTTACAGTCATATGTTGCTTAATGACAGAGATATGTTCTGAGAAAGGCGATTTCATCACTGTGCAAAGATCATCAAGTGGACTTATACAAATCCACCTGGTACGGCCTACCACACACCTAGGATATAGGATATAGCCTACTGCTTCTAGGCTACAAACCTGTACAGCATGTTACTGTATTGAATACTGTAGGCAACTGTAACACAATGGTAAATATCTGTGTATCTAAACACATCTAAGCATAGAAAAGATACAGTGAAAACACTGTATTATAATCTTTGTTTTTTGTTTTGTTTTTAGAGACAGGGTCTCACTCTCACCCAGGCTGGAGTACAGTGGCCCAATCTCGGCTGACTGTGGCCTCGACCTCCCAGGCTCAGGTGATCCTCCTGCCTCAGTCTCCCAAGTAGTACAGGCGTCCATCACAAAACCCTGCTAATTTTTTTTCTATTTTTTTGCAAAGACAGGGTTTCACCATTTTGCCCAGGCTAGTCTCAAACTCCTGGCCTTAACCAATCCGCACCCTCTCAGCCTCACAAAGTGCTGGGAGTACAGGTGCGAGCTACCACACCTGGCTAACACTATATTGTAATCTTATGGGACCACAGTGATACATGAGGTCCATCATTGACCTAAACATCTTTGTGTGGCAGATGACTTCTTCATCAGAGACACAGATCATTTCTGATTGCTTCTTTACTTCTTAGTATCATTTAAGAACACTGCAGAAATTGATATCAGTTGCTTTCTTTATAATTTTTATTAACCTAATCCAAAAATAAAGTGTAATACCAACAATGAGGTAGCTAATTACATATTCTCCTTTAAGAGTATAAGACAGCTTTTTTAAGGAGGAAAAAAACTCAAGCTTGCAAGTTTAAGAAAACTTCTAAAAGTACAGACAACTTGGGCCATGGGGGAAAAAAATGTGAAAAGAGAAAAATTCTAAAAGTCTTTTAAACAAAAAGTATGGGCCTGGCGGTGGCTCGCGCCTATAATCCCAGCACTTCGGGAGGCCAAGGCAGGTGGACCACCTGAGGTCAGGAGTTTGAGACCAGCCTGGCCAACACGGTGAAACCCCGTCTCTACTAAAAATACAAATATTAGCCAGGCGTGGTGGCGGGCACCTGTAATCCCAGCTACTCAGGAGGCTGAGACAGGAGAATCACTTGAACCTGGGAGGTGGAGGTTGCAGCGAACTGAGATTGCGTCACTGTACTTCAGCCTGGGAGACAGAGCAAGACTCCGTCTCAAAAAAAAAAAAAAAAAAAAAGTATGTTTAACATTTTAACTAGTAGAGCCTGAATATGATTTGTTCACATCTTTGGAGTCATCAGCTTCCTCACTGAATGTGGCATGGCTATCATCAAACATCAACTATAACCTGGAGGAGCACAGAAAAATAAGTGAATATTTCCTGTAGCTAATGTGACAGCACTTAGCTCTCAAATTGCAAAGCCCATAATTATAATGCCCAGTCATCTCATTTATTTTCTACAAGTAAACAATCACACCAAGTTGCCTTTCCTCCACCTTAAATGTAAAGAATTACAGAACGAAAAGCTACAAAAGCATCCTGAAGTTAAACTTCCATGAATGGCAACAAAAAGAACAGGTACTTATTGTTTGTACTTAATAAATACATCATCAACATTAACTTTTTTTTCTTTTTTGAGACAGAGTCTCACTCCAGACTGGAGTGCAGTGGCGGGATCTCAGCTCACTGCAACCTCCGCCTCCCAGGTTTACGTGATTCTCCTGCCTCAGCCTCCTTAGAAGCTGGGATTACAGGCACACGCCATCACACCTGGCTAATTTTTGTATTTTTAGTAGAGTCAGGGTTTCACCACGTCGCCAGGCTGGTCTCGAACTCCTGACCTCAATGATCCGCCCACCTCGGCCTCCCAAGTGCTGGGATTACAGGTGTGAGCCATTGCACCCGGCCAACATTAACTTTTTAAAAGTAATTTCTGTTCTCAGCTGACAACACTGACTTATCCTGTGATAGTCATTTTGTTTTGTTTTTAAGAATGACTTTTTGACATTATGACAAATCTTAATGGTATACCTTACATTTAAGTTACCTACTCTAAAATACATTTGGTAATAGATATTAGAGAGTGTGGCAAAATTATACTCTCAGAAGAATTGGAAAAAAAAAAAAAAGATAACATATGCTGAAAGGAAAGACACGAAGAGAAAGAGAAACCAGAGAAAAGAACCAAGCAAGAATGGGAGCAAGGAGACATGGGCAGCTAGAAGAAAACAGGGTACAGGACCAAATTTGGAAAGGGCTGAGAAATGGAGGACACAAAACAGTAAAATCAATAGGAAAAAGGAAGATACATATACTACGAAGGGAAAAATCTAGGAAAGGGGAAAAAAAGGCTATTTCATTTATATACATGAATTCAGCCAATAAAGGTAAACACACGTAGAACTTACCTGGTTTTCCTCCTGTACAACTCTGTACTGTTCCTTCCAAATGGTGATTTTGGAAGCTTCATCTTTTCTCAGGGCTCGTTCCTTCTTCAGCTCTGGGCTCCAGAAGGTCTTGATGCTATTCATTGAAGAACTCAATTTGCTCTCCTTTACTTCCACATCCTTCCGCAAGAGATCATTTTCTCTTAATACTTCCTTCAGCTGTGTCTGCAGATCCATGATTGTGTTATCTCTCGCCTGACGAAGGGAGTGAGGTACAGTGGATGCCATACTCACAGGAGGGAGGTGATGCTCTCCAAATGCTATGGTGTCACTAGCAACCCCACTGCTAGCTATATTGGGGCTACTACCCATAGCAGTCATCCGAACACCGTAAGGCAGACGTCCCCCAGAACGGCCAAGTGTCATGGTGCTTTTAGGTGTTTCTGAACCCACATTTTCATGGTCACTTAGATACATAGGGCCAGAGGTGGCATAGGCAGCATTTAAAGATTGTATATTTTCCATTGAAAGGGTTTTCCCACTGCCACCTCCAACACTGCTTCCCGAACTCCCTCCCGTACTGTTGGTTCGACGGTGACCCAAGCGAGGGGAACGTGGAAGCCTGGGTGAACGCCCAGGGCTCTGGCTGCTCGGCTCCACCTTCCCAACAGAGCGGGCACTTCCATACATGGTTGCAAGGTCAGGAAAGGTGTGAGCAGAAAATCAACAACAACAACAACAAAAATGGGAACCTTGTGAGGTGTCTCTATGGCTACAAGTTGGTTTAAGGTTAATCAGAAGAAGGTCCCCAGCTGTCCAATCTTGAAGAAGTATCTTACACCATATCTGTAATGAAAAGATCACACATTAAATCCTCCAATAATAAATATTTCCCTTCTCAGAGACTTTCCATTACCCCCACTTAAAGAAGATCTAGCCCTTCTACCATGTATGTACTCACGCATTCAGAATGTGATTACAGCATAATGTACTCATAGTAAACAATATTTTAGAGATATTTTAGATGTCTCAAAACTGAACGCTGAAAACATACCATGCAACTGGAAAACAAACAAAAAAAGTGCCAAGTGCAATGGCTCATGCCTATAATCCCAGCGCTCTGGGAGGCCAAGGTAGGAAGATCGCTTGAGGCCAGGAGTTCAAGACCAACCTGGGATACATAGCAAGACCCTGTCTACAAAAAAGAAAAAGAAAAAAAAACAAGAAGTATAAAGATTGACAAGGAAAAGATTAAACTCAATGTCTGAATATCTGACTTGCTAACTGAAAACCCAAGATAATCAACTGACAAGTTATTAGAATAACAGAACTCAACAAACTGGTCAAACTCAATATCAATATATAAGTATCAATGTATACATCAGTAGTAACAACTAGAAAATGCAGTTTTTAATTTAAAGGAAATTTTAAATCCCATTCACAACAGCAACAAAACCATAAAAGTACTTTGATGTAAATCAACAGAAATGTGCAAGAATTTTGGGGGAAAAAAACTATAACATTTTACTGAAAGACATGAAAGAACACCTAAACAAAGTTATCTGTGTTCATGGATGAGAAGACAAACACTGCTAAGATTTAGTTCTTCCCCAACTACTTAGCACAATCCCAGTGAAAAATCTCTACAGGATTTTGCTAACCAGCTATAGATCCCTTCCTTTCACAGGTGTTGAAGGATTTTTCAAGTAACTCAACAAGCTGACTCTAAAATTCAAATGGAGAGTAAAGATACAAGAGTAACCAAACAATTTAAAATAGATGAACAAGGAAGGAAGACAGCCCTCAACAGCAACATAAATTACAAATCCATAATTCTTCATTTGTACTGCAAAAATCCAAAAACCTCTGAAAATAAGATTTTCCTTTTAACTCATCTAGCAGCAAACCTTGACCTGATCTGAGCTTACTTACTGTTTATATGTATCCCACATAGTGTGACTTCATATATTTCATTAAGAAAACAATGTGTGTGATTACTGGATACTACATAATGTCCACTAAGTATTACTGGAAAAAATTCCTGACAACAAAACCACATCTGACCTGCAAGGTTTCTTACAAAGTATTGTAGCCTTGTAAAACTATAATAACGAAAACTGTATAGTACTAGCCCAAGAACAGGGTCTAAATTATATATGGGAATTTAATATATGTTAAAAGTAACGTTTCCAAACAGTGAGTGATATGGTTTGGCTGTGTCCCCACTCAAATCTCACCTTGAATTGCAATCATCTTCATGTATCAAGGGTGGGGCCAGGTGTACTTAACTGAATCATGGGCGCAGTTTCCCCTCTACTGTTCTGGTGGTAGTGAGTGCGTCTCATGGGATCTGATAGTTTTATAAATTGGAGTTCCCCTGCACAAGTTCTCTTGCCTGTCGCCATGTAAGACATAATTTTGCTCCTCATTCGCCTTCTGCCATGATTGTGAGGTCTCCCCAGCCATGTGGAACTGAGAGTCCATTAAACCTCTTTCCTGGCAGGGTGCAGTGGCTTACATCTGTAATTCCAGCAATTTGGGAGACCAAGGCGGGTGGATCACCTGACATCAAGAGTTCGAGACCAGCCTGACCAACACGGCAAAACCCAATCTCACTAAAAGTACAAAAATTAACCAAGCATGGTGGCAGGTGCCTGTAATCCCAGCCACTCAGGAGGCTGAGGCATAAGAAGCTTGAACCCAGGCGGCAGACATTGCAGTGAGCCGAGATCGCGCCACTGCACTCCAGCCTGGGTGACAAGAGCGAGACTCCGTCTCAAAAAAAAAAAAAAAAAAAAACTTTCCTTTTTAAATTACCTAGTCTCGGGTATGTCTGTATTAGCAACATGAGAACAGACTAATACAGTGAGGAAATGAAAAATCACTCAATAAATGAAGTTTAAATACTTGTTGCTCTTTGAGAAACATAACGTATACTCGTCTTCACATAGTACACCAAAATAAATTCCATATACATTAAAGATATAAATTTTTTAAGCCATTAAAAGTACTAGAAGAAAATTTTGAAGAATATCCTTGTGAACTTGAGTTAGGAAAAGGCTTCTTAAATAAAAAACCAGAAGCAAAAACCATAAAGAAAAACAACCAACACACTTAATTATGTCAAAATGACAAAGTATTATACCAAAAAATGCTGTAAATAAAATTAAAAGATAAACCAAAAGCTAGGTGAAAAATACAGTGAACATAAGTATAATGATCTGTAAACAGAGTATGTAAAGAATTCCTACACGGGAAATGCCAATTTTGAAACAGCGATAATTAGAGGGAAGGAAACTTGTGTTATAAAGGGGAAAAATGTTTGTGGAGGCTTTAGCTCAACTTAGAAAGCTTTACACTCAAACTACCATAAAGCACCTGAATTTTTTTTTCAAAAAAGAAAACATGTTCATACTCTACAAGTATAACTAAAACAAATTTTAAAACCACAGGCAGTTGTCCCTTGGTATCTGCTGGGGACTGGCTCCAGTAGAACGTATCCAGATATCCAAGACTGCCCCAGACAACAAAAATCCCAGGATGCTCAAGTCCCTGATTCAAAATGACACAGTAATTGCATAAAACCTATGGATATCCTCCAGCATACTTTAAATCATCTCTAAATTACTTATAATACTTAATAAAATGTAGATGCTATGTAAATCGTTGTTATACTTATTGTGTTTTTTATTTGTATTATTTTTCCATGTTGTATTATTTTTTCCCAAGTATTTTCTTTTTTTTTTTTTTTCCACTTTTTTTTTCAAGGTGACTTTAAGATTCTTTCCCAAATATTTTTGGTCCACAGGTGGTTTGAGCTGTGGATGCAGAACCCACTAAACTATAGCTATCAACTTTATAGACTTCTTTCAAAGACAATATAGATCTAAACTAGATCTCTCTGATTTCCTAGCATCATTTCAAAGCATTGGCTTAGGTCAAGTAACAACAGGCTTCAGCATATTAAACAATATTTTCCCAAAATCCATTGTTATGTAAATTGATTCTTATAAGTGTTTCTTCATTGAAAACAGTACCAAGTAAATCATATTGTCAAAAATGAGATTCTAAAGACAGTATCTATTCTGGTCAAACAGGTTAAAAGTCCTCAAAAATGTGAACACACAGGTGGTTTGAAATAACAGGCAGGTGGTTTCAAACCTGTGGGGGGAGCGGGGTGGAGAGGCGGGAGATGTTTTGTGTTTTTGTTTGTTGAGACAAGGTCTCCTCTGTCACCCAGGCTGGAGTGCAGTGGTACAATCACAGCTCACCGTGGCCTCAACCTCCCAGGCTCAAGCACTTCTCCCACCTCAGCCACCCGAGTAGCTGAGACTACAGGCGAGCATCAGCACACCCAGCTAATTTTTGTATTTTTGGTAGAGGTGGGGTTTCACCATGTTGCCCAGTCTGGTCTCGAACTCCTGGGCCCAACGGATTCGCCTGCCTCAGCCTCCCAAAGTACTGGGATTACAGGCGTGAGCCACCGTGCCCAGCTGATGGTACTTTCTTACAGCAGCCCTATCAAATTTACGTATCTCATCTCCTACATAAGAGAGAAACAAAGAAATCAAACAGGAACTATCTCAACTTTCTCTCTCCACATGTTCATTGACAGCAACAACCATCCTTAACTTCCTCTATTCTGATGGAAGTGGGCTACAGCTAATCCTTCCACAGGGTACTTTAGTCCCCATTCCCTCTGGCTTCTCCAGAGAAACCTTAGTTAATGAACACTTTTCCTCTCTAATGCCTTTTTAACTTCTGTCTATAATACATCTTGTTTCTTAAGCACTCCCAATTTTTTGACACTCTCCTCTCTTGGTTTCTTTATATCATATGCTCTTTTCTTCTAACCCTCCTCCTTCTTTGTTCGTTCCTCCCTTAAATGTTTCTGATCTTCATCCCTATGTTATTCTCACACTACAATATCATCCTTAAGAAATCCTTTCTCCCTGCCTCCACCAGCTTAAAATAACATATGTACAACAAAGACTCCAAATTCACTACTTCTCCAGTACTTTTTTACTTCTCCTTTGAGAATCAAAACTATGTATCCCACTTCTGGACATCTTCACTTATACTCCTCACATGCACCTCAAATACACCATGCCCCCAAACTGAACTCCGTATCAAGGTCTCCCCATTCCAAAACCAAACCTGCTGCTGCAGGGGAAAAAAAAAAAATCAAAAAAAGAACATGGTAGTGGACAACATCTATTCACATGAATAACATCAGCTGCTCAAGCCAGAGCCTGAGAGTCCTCCCAAAATCTTCATACTCCATATACACACATATTATCAAAACAATACAATTCCTGTTGCTTTGATTTCTAGGTACCTCTTAAATTGATCCTCTTCCTCCATTCCCACAATTATTACCTTGGTTTATGCCATCCTATCCTACCTGAATTAAAACAACTTTCTAACCTGACTGCCTGCCTCTAGCCTCAGAGTCCTGTATTAGTCCATTCTCAAGCTCTATGTAGAACTACCCATAAGACTGGGTAATTTATAAAAGAAAGAGGTTTAATTGACTCACAGTTCTGCAGGGCTGGGGAGGCCTCAAGAAGCTTACAATCATGGCAGAAGGGGAAGCAAACACATCCTTCTTCACATGGCGGCAGGAAGAAGTGCCAAGCAAAGGGGGAAGAGCCCCTTACAAAACCATCAGATCTAGGCTGGGCGCGGTGGCTAACGCCTGTAATCCCAACACTTTGGGAGGCCAAGGTCAGTGGATCACTTGAGGTCAGGAGTTCAAGACCAGCCTGGCCAACATGGTGAAACCCTATCTCTACTAAAAATACAAATATTACCCAGACGTGCTCACTTGAACCCAGGAGGCAAAGGTTTCAGTGACCCAAGATTATGCCACTGCACTCAAGCCTGGGTGACAGAGCAAGACTCTGTCTCAAAAAAGAAAAAATAAAATCGATCTCGTGAGCACTCACTATCAGAACAGCATGGGGTAACCGACCCCACGATTCAGCTACCACCAGGTCCCTCCACAACATGTAGGGATTATGGGAACTACAATTCAAGATGAGATTGCTGGGGACACAGCCAAACGGTAACAGTCCCCAGTCAGTGTTTTTCAAACTTAGAATTATGACCCAATAGTAGGTTGTGAAATCAGCTTGATAAGCTGCAACCAAGCTTGTTTTCTTGTTTGTTTTAAATGAAATAAAATCACTACATACCCTGAGCCAGAATCACCCAACACACTCTTCATGAAATCTGAGATGTTTGTTTTTCAAATCCAGTAAGTTCTGAAGTAATTGTAATGCAACAAGAGATAACAGTATTGTTTTCTGCAATGTTTCAGGTGTGCATATGCATGCACATGTGCATACTGGATCACAATATAAAATGTACTTCTTGGCCAGGCACAATAGCCTGTGCCTGTAATCCCAGCACTTTGGGAGACCAAGGAAGTAGGATTGCTTGAGTCCAGGAATTCAAGACCAGCCTGGACAACATAGCAAGATCCTATCTATAGGAGAATAGAGATAGGATCTCTAAAATAAACAGATAAATAGAACAGAAAATAAAATGTATAGCTTATTTTCACAGTGTATCACACTAAAGTAAACATAAGTAATGTTGAGAACTGTGAAGGAACTAGGATTTTATTTAACCCTACTTACAGGTTAATACATTAGCCTATGACCATTTCATGGATACTGACAGAATACATGAGTCTCCTGGGTCAAACACAAAGAACTTTTATTACTCACAGCGCAGCAAGCATGAACATGTTTGCACTGTCTCCCTGTTATCCCCAAGTCCCATAAGGTGACATGGAGGGGCTCAGATGGATGCTACACAGGCAGTGGGTTTGCATCACAGCTAAGGAACATTGGGCTTAGGGAATCCACCACTTTTTTTTTTTTTTTTTGAGACGGAGTCTTGTTCTGTCGCCCAGGCTGGAGTGCAGTGGTGCGATCTGGGCTCACTGCAAGCTCCGCCTCCCGGGTTCATGCCATTCTTCTGCCTCAGCCTCCCGAGTAGCTGGGACTACAGGTGCGTGCCACCACGCCCGGCTAATTTTTTGTATTTTTAGTAGATACGGGGTTTCACCATGTTAGCCAGGATGGTCTCGATCTCCTGACCGCCCACCTCGGCCTCCCAAAGTGCTGGGATTACAGGCATGAGCCACCGCGCCCGGCCGGAATCCACCACTTTTATAGTAAGTAGTAAGTAGGCCTGCTCTTTGTCCCAATGGAAGACATTACCTCCTCCCGCAAAGTGGCCCGCTGCAAACACAATCCTGAAAAATGGCCTGGCCTAGGAACAGTCAAGGCCTTGCTTGCATTCCTGGCACACTCAACAGGGTGTATATGAAATAAGAGTCTCGGCTGGATGCAGTGGCTCATGCCTGTAACCCCAGCACTTTGGGAGGCTGAGACAGGCAGATCACTTGAGGTCAGGAGTTTGAGACCAGTTTGGCCAACATGGTGAAACCCCGTCTCTACTAAAAATACAAAAATTAGCCAGGCATGGTGGCCATGTGCCTGTAATCCCAGCTACTCAGGAGGCTGAGGCAGAAGAATCGCTTGAACCCGGGAGGTGGAGGCTGCAGTGAGCCCAGACTGCGCCACTGCACTCCTGCCTGGGTGAAAGAGCAGGACTCCATCTCAAACAAAAGAAATAAGAAGCTCATGGAAGATTCATTCTCCTGACAATTATTTGTGGTAGTTTTAAAGTATGTTCATAAATTATTTAATGCTCCTCCCTTCAAGAGGGAGACTAAATTTCCTCTCCTTGAGTGTGGACTGGACTTAATGACTTGCTTCCAATGATGTACTTTCATGACTAACTCTTAAAAGACACTGGGGCTTCTGTCTTCGTCACTCTCTCAAATCACTCTCTCTCAGGAATCCAGCTGCCATGTCGTGAGGATACTCAAACTTCAAACTACCCTGTGAAGAGAGTCACATATTCAGAAACTGAGGTCTCCTGCCAACAGCCACGTGAGATAGCTTCAAAGATCCTCCAATCCCAGTCAAGAATTGAAATGAGTGTAAACTCAGCAGTCAACATCTTGACTGCAACCTCACTAGATACCCTGAGTCAGAATCACCCAATACATACTCTTCATAAAATCTGAGATGTTTGTTTCTTTTTGTTTTGTTTTGTTGAGAAGGAGTCTCACTCTGTTGCCCAAGCTGGAGTGCAGTAGCACAATCTTGGCTCACTGCAACCTCCGTCTCCCAGGTTCAAGCGATTCTCCTGCCTCAGCCTCCCAAGTAGCTGGGATTACAGGCATGTGCCACCAGGCCCTGCTAATTTCTGTATTTTTAGTAGAGATGGGGTTTCGCCATATTGGCCAGGCTGGTCTCAAACTCCTGATATCAGGCGATCCATCTGCCTTGGTCTCTCAAAGTGCTGGGGTTACAAGCATGAGCCACTGTGTCCAGCCAGATGTTCTTTAAATCCAGTAAGTTTTGAAGTAATTTGTAAAGCAGCAAGAGATAATACAGTCTTGTTTTCTGCGATGTTTAAAGTGCGCATATTGGATCACAATATGAAATGTCCTTCTTGGCCTGACACAGTGGCCCATGCCTGTAATCCTAGCACTTTGGGAGACAAGGCAGGAGAATTGCTTGAGTCTAGGAGTTCAAGACCAGCCTGGACAACACGGCAAGATCCTATCTCTGCAAAAAAAATTTAAAAATAAAAAAAAAAATAGCCCAGCATAGTGGCTCATGCCTGCAGTCCCAGCTACTCAGGAAGCTGAGGCAGGAAGATTGCTTGAACCCAAGAGTTCATGGCTACAGTGAGCCATGATAGTGCCACTGCACTACAGCGAGCCACGATAGTTCCACTGCACTACAGCGTGGATGACATGGCAAGACCCTGTCTCAAAAAAGCAAAAATAAATGTGATTCTTTTTATAGGTTCTAAACAATTCTCAACACCAGTGCCATAATGATCTTCTAATATGATTCTCCAGATGGGTAAGGGATTCCAGGGGTGCTCAAGACCCCCTTGCAGGAGGTCCATGAGGGCAAAACTATTTCCATAAAAGGATGATGTCATTGGCCTTTTTCACCGTGATTCTCTCACAAGTGCATGATAGTGTTTTCCAGAGCTACATGACATGTGATAATATCCCACTGACAGCTAATGGAATGTGTGCTTGTGTATTCTCACATTTTAAAAATGTCTTGGCTGGGCACGGTGGCTCATACCTATAACCCCAGCACTTCGGGAACCCGAGGCAGGATGATCACTTGAGCTAAGGAGTTCAAGACTGGCCTGGGCAACATGGCAAAATCCCGTTTCTACTAAAAATACAAAAAATTAGCTGGGCCAGGTGGTATACACCTGTAATCCCAACTACTTGGGAGGCTGAGGTGGGAAGGTAACTTCAGCCCAAGAGGCGGAGGTTGCAGTGAGCAGAGATCATGCCACTGCACTCCAGCCTGGGAGACAGAGCCAGACGTTGTCTCAAAAAATATTTTTTTTTAATCTGAATTCCTTGGTAGTGCATATGAGATTTTTCATCATTTGGCCCTGCCTATCTCTCTGAAACTACTACTTATCCACTGTCCTTCTCCACGTGACAACCATAATCAGGTCTATGCAATTCCCTGAAATACCAAGCTGTCTCTGGTTTCCATGACCTTCTTCTGCCCCATCAACTGGCTAACTACTGCTCATTTTTCCAAACTAAGTTCAACAGTCACAATCCTACACAAACCTTCATGCCCCTCAGTCTAATTTAGGTGCTCCTCTGAGGTAACCAGGGGCTTTTAAAATAATGTAATTATTGTTTTAGTTAATCACCTCCTTAAAAGTAAAGGAATGTCTTACTCCATCTCCAAAACCTAGCACAGTGTCTAATACAAATCAAGCAGGCAGTAAGTGTTTGCCAACGCCACAATTAACCTAAATCCACGTAAAAACCATTAGATAGTTCATATACATTTAAAAAGCAGTACTAATCTTGAATGTAGTTTATGGAACCTGCAACTAAATGTAATCTAAAACAAATATAATGAAAGCAATTTTTAACATTTTCCTCAAGTTAAGAAAGTTTTCTCTATCTTTAAACAGTATCCAAATTTTATGAATTAGGCTGGGTGTGGTGGCTCACGCCTGTAACCCCAGCACTTTGGGAGGCCGAGGCAGGCGGATCACTTGAGGTCAGGAGTTCGAGACCAGCCTGGCCAACATGGCGAAACCCCGTCTCTACTAAAAATACAAAAATTAGCCAGGCATGGTGGCGCACACCTGTACTCCCAGCAGCTCCACAGGCTGAGGGAGGAGAATCAACTTGGAGAATCGCTTGAAGCCGGGAGGTGGAAGTTGCAGTGAGCTGAGACCATGCCACTGCACTCCAGCCTGGGCAACAGAGTGAGACTCTGAATAAAAATAAATAAATAAAACAAATTCCATGAACTGACAACCTCCTTCTGTACATGTCTTGCAATTTACTTTTGTCATCTATCCCCTGAAAATAATTAACTAAATGGGCAAGATTTCAATTTTTTAAAAAACTGTTCTTCCTGCATTAATAAGAATACAAACTTCTGTAGCTAAATCTTAATTCCAAGAAGATGGCATAAGCTCAAAAACAGACTAATGCCTCTCATCTAAGAAAGAAATTAAAAATTCACATACACACAGAGCAATCACACGCAGAAAATATGTCTGTGGGGACAAATGGGTTCTCAATACTAAAAAAATCTCTATTAAACTCTATGTCAGAGACCTACCAAGCTAAAGATGTACCAAGCACTTAAGATGAATTTTGTACCCTATATTTTGAGTTTTTTAAAAATACCAGATGGGCTGGGCATGGTGGCTCACGCCTGTAATCCTAGCACTTTGGGAGGCTGAGGCGGGCAGATCACCTGAGACCAGGAGCTCGAGGCCAGCCTGGCCAATATGGTGAAACTCCATCTCTACGAAAAATACAAAAATTAGCGGGGTGTGATAGCGCACGCCTCTAGTCCCAGCTACTTGGGAGGCTGAGGCATGAGAATCGCTTGAACCCGGGAGGTGGAGGTTGCAGTGAGCAGATACTGTGCCACTGTACTCCAAGCCTAGGTGACAGAGCAAGACACCGTCTCAAAAAAAAAAAAAAAAAAAATACCAGAACAACATTTAAATCTCTGCAAGCTTTCCAGGATTTACATTTAGAGAAATTTCCTAAAATCTAATTCTGAGAAGAATATTACCAGAAATCTGGCTTATCTTAAATTATGTGTTTATTAACAATACAGTTTCACTATCAATTCACTACTATTCACATCACAAAGCCTGTCAGAAAAAAACACAAAGAATATTCAGGACGAGCATGGTGGGTCATGCCTGTAATCCCAGCACTTTGGGAGGCTGAGGCGGGTGGATCACCTGAGGTCAGGAGTTTGAGATCAGCCTGACCAGCATGGTGAAACCCCGTCTCTACTAAAAATACAAAAATTAGCTGGGCGTGGTGGCACATACCTGTAACCCCAGCTACTCAGGAGGCTGAGGCAGGAGAATCACTTGAACCCAGGATGTGGAGGCTGCAGTGAGCCGAGATCATGCCACTGCACTCCAGCCTGGGTGACAGAGCAAGATTCCATCTCAAAAAAATAATAAATAAAAATATTCAAAAATTCCAGAATCATTTTTCCCTAAGAAAAGCACTGAAGCCGGGCACGGTGGCTCACGCCTATAATCCCAATAATTTGGGAGGCCAAGGCAGGCAGATCACTTGAGGTCAGGAGTTTGAGACCAGCCTGGCTAACATGGTGAAGCCCCATCTCTACTAATAATACAAAACTTAGCCAGGCATGGTGGTACACGCCTGTAAACCCAGCTACTTGGGAGGCTGAGGCAGGAGAATTGCCTGAACCCAGGAGGCGGAGGTTGCAGTGAGCCGAGATCGAGATCGCACCACTGCACTCCAGCCTGGGTGACAGAGTGAAACAGTGTATCCAAAAAAATCAAAAAAAAAAAAAAAAAGAAAAGAAAAGCACTGATCCCAATGGTTATATACATACTGTGAGAGAAAAACAGCCCCAGTCTCGCCTCACCCCACAGAAATCCATTATACTCAGAAGTCTAAAAATAAAAATACTTCTACCCACAATGATTATATGTTAGCCTTTAATTCTCACTCTTCCCACAAATAGCTACGAGCATAACATGCAACTGCAGACAGCAATCTCTCACTCTCCTCATAGATTAGAAAAATAATAATAGCTCTTTATGAACTGAGTCTCCAAAGGAACACCAAATATCATTAAGACAAATGAAAGCAAAAAAATTCTTTAATAGCAACACAGCAGTTTACTTCAAACTAACTATAATGGACTAGGCTAACACAGATGTGCTATATTTGTAAGTTGAACCAGAAAATGTAATATACCACCCATTAGCTATTTAAATAATTATATGTGAAATTCTGACATAAATCTCAAAATCACTAGTCCAACCTGATGTAATATACCACCCATTAGCTATTTAAATAATTATATGTGAAATTCTGACATAAATCTCAAAATTACTAGTCCAACCTGATGTAATATACCACCCATTAGCTATTTAAATAATTATATGTGAAATTCTGACATAAATCTCAAAATTACTAGTCCAACCTGATGTAATATACCACCCATTAGCTATTTAAATATTATATGTGAAATTCTGACATAAATCTCAAAATTACTAGTCCAACCTGATGTAACCTGATGTAATATACCACCCATTAGCTATTTAAATAATTATATGTGAAATTCTCACATAAATCTCAAAATTACTAGTACAACCTGATGTAATGGGGTTATGCTCATCAACGAGTCAAATATTTTTAATACTGTATTTCAACATGTTTAAAGATCCTGTTCATTTTCTTAAAGGGTTATAAATATTACTAGGGACGAGAAATATGCTGCTATCCTAGGCTCCCTGTGAAAAGATGAACAATAAACCAAAAATTTAAAATCCCACTGAGGTACAATTTGGCACAATCTATCAAAATTTAAAATGTGCACATTGTTGAACTAGAAGTTTCACTTTAAAAAATATTCTCCATAAAATATATTTTCACAGGTTCAAGGACATAATGTGCAATGATATTCAATTATTGCATTGTTTGTACCAGCAAGGAGACCGCTTAAATTTCCAAAGAGATTAGTTGAATAAATTTATGTATCTCTCAACTACAAAAGACAATGCTGCTGTTTAAAAAAAATTTCTTTCAGGCAATCCTAATTTAAAAAAAAGAAAAGAAAAACAATGGCCAGGCATGGTGGCTCATACTTGTAATCCCAGCACTTTAAAAGGCTGAGGTGGGCAGATCACTTGAGGTCAGGAGTTCAAGACCAGCCTGGACAACATGGTGAATTCCTGTCTCTACCAAAATACAAAACTTACCTGGGCAAGGTGGTGTGTGCCTGTAGTACCAGTTACTCAGGTGAGAGGATTGCCTGAACTCCGGAGGCAGAGGTTGCAGTGAGCCAAGATCATGCCACTGCACTCCAGCCTGGGCAACAGAGCAAGACTGTCTCAAAAAAAAAAAAAGAAAGAAAAAGAGGCAGGGCACAGTAGGTCATGCCTGTAATCCCAACACTTTGGGAGGCCAAGGAGGGCAGATCACTTGAGATCAGGAGTTCGGGACCAGCCTAGCCAACATGGTGAAACCCCATCTCTACTAAAAATACAAAAATTAGCCAGGCATGGTGGCGCACACCTGTGATCCCAGCTACTTGGGAGGCTGAGGCAGGAGAATCACTTCAACCTGGGAGACGGAGGTTGCAGTGAGCTGAGATTGCACCACTGCACTCCAGCCTGGGTGACAGTGAGATTTCATTTCAAAAAAAGGAAAAAGAAACAAAAACAAAAAAAAATTAAGTAAATATCTATATCTAAGATATAGATCTGACATGCAAAAACATATTGTGAAGTGGGAAAAAAACCAGGTTACAGAAGAATGCTTACGAGGCAATCTCATTTGTGTACAAAGGATATATACACGTATGTTTGTATATACACAGAAATGATTTGTACGGTAAAAGCCTATTTCTGAAAGACCAGATGGAATCACCTTTTTCCTTACTTACATACTTTTCTTCTCTGTTCCATTTTCTTTTTATAGTGAGTGTGTATTACTTTACTTTTTTTGGCCTGGTGTGGTGGCTCAGGCCTGTAATCCCAACACTTTGAGAGGCCAAGATGGGTGGATCTCCTGAGCTCAGGAGTTCGAGACCAGCCTGGGCAACATGGTGAAACCCCGTCTCTACCAAAAATACCAACATTAGCCAGGCATGATGGCACACGCCTATGATCTCAGCTACTCAGGAGGCTGAGTCATAAGAATTGCTTGAACTCCAGAGGCAGAGGCTACAGTGAGCCAAGAACACACCACTGCATCCCAGCATGGGAAACAGAGTGAAACCCTGTCTCAAAAACAAACAAAAAAAAAAACTTACATTTTTTTAAGTCTCATTATAAACTACAGGTTTAAATAAAGACCTCCACAACCATTCGGCACTAATTTACACAGCAATTAATGGGCTAGGCATAGACAGATTGCTAATATCTCTGTAAGTAGCAGGAAGTTTAAAAAAAAAAAAAATCACCAGGCACATGGCTTATGCCTATAATCCCAACACTTCGGGAAGCCAAGGCGAAAGGATCACTTCAGATCAGCCTGGGCAACACGGCAAGACCTCGTCTCCACAAAAAACTTTTTTTTTAATTAGCCAGGTGTGGTGGCACACATCTTTAGCCCTAGCTACTTGGGAGGCTGTAGCAGTAAGACAGCTTGAGCCCAGGAGTTCAAGGCTGCAGCGACCTATGATCACATCACTATACTCCAGCCTGGGTGACAAAGGAAGACAGACAGACCCAAAGACAGACAGACAGAAAGACAGAAAGAAAATAAATCTACAAGTTAATGAAGGCACAGATTTCTCTGCCTCTACACTCAGCATGTAACTAAAATGTATTAAGTCTGCTAACACTACGCATCTAGTTGTATAACCTTAATCTGATTCTCCAATACTGACTAGAGACTAAAACTACACGACAGTGTGGCTAAAGCAGCACTGTTTCAGAGCATACCTATCTGAAAGGCCACCTCTGCTTGGAGCAGCAATGACACATCAATTGTAAACGAGCAATCTTAACACTTGTCAGTTACTATTTCGCCTTTTTTTAATGGAAGGGTAACTCAGTTTACAATCAAGTTAACTGCAGTTTTTAATAATTCTTATCAATTAATCAAGTTAATTATAAGTTCTCTCAAAGTTCTCATCATGACAAATATTTTGTCAAGCTAGATACTTAGAAATAAACACAAGGTTGTTAATCATAGTTGTTCTCCAGTTGTAACAGCAATCTGCGCCACTTAGTTGAAACAAGTCAAGTTCTAGGTTGTGTAGCCTTCCCCAACGACTCTAGTGCTCACTGATAACCTGATTTCATAAAATCCTAAAATATTAAATTGTTTGGACATAAAATTATGTTACCTTGCATTTTATACATCTCATACTACATCGTGATCAGCTCAACACAAAGTTCAACAAATTCTACCAGTGATTAAGCTGAACAAAGTAAAACAGATGTACCTGTTCACAAACGTCTATTCACAAGACTGAATAACAAAAATGTCTAAAAATCCAAAAATTTATAACTAATATGATAGTAAAACCAGACCTGGACTGGGTCAGTAATCCCAAAGTGTTTAATGAAGAAATTAGGGACCATTCCCAAAACATACTTGAAAAGTTAGCTTATATATAATATATGCATGTCATCTCTCTAAAAATCTGAAAAAAATTCTGAATTCTGGTCCAAAAGATCTTGGACGCAGACCTGAATTAATGGTTAAGATTAAATATCAGCCGGGAGCAGTGGCTCACGCCTGTAATCCCAACACTTCAGGAGGCCAAGGCAGGCAGACCACGAGGTCAGGAGATCGAGACCATCCTTGCCAACATGGTGAAACCCCGTCTCTACTAAAAATACAATTAGCTGGGCCTGTAGTCCCAGCTACTTGGGAGGCTGAGGCAGAAGAATAGCTTGAACCCAGGAGGTGGAGGTTGCAGGGAGCCAAGATCACGCCACAACACTCCAGCCTGTTGACAGAGCAAGACTCTGTCTCAAAAAAAAAAAAAAAAAAAAGATTAAATATCCACATCACTGTTGGTAAATACAGACATTTATAATCAGGAAGAGCTGCACAGGAATTTTAAGTCTGTGACTGTTTATTTCTTAAGCTAGGTGGTAGATACACAGATATTAATTACATCATTCTCTGTATCTTTTTGCATGTCTGAAGCATATCATAAGTTTAAAAGGGTTTAAGTGAAAAATTATAGGAACCCAGTAAGTATTTGTTTCTTCCCAAAAATAATAAAAGTATCTGAGAAGCAGCAAGTTTGAAAATGGTTACAGTAAGGGTCTTAAAAACATATCTTTTGATCCAGTAATTCTATGAACAGGAAAAACCAATCTACTCAAATGATCCAAAATGTAGAGAAAAGTTTATAAAGATACACCAGCTTTATTAGTACTCACTTCATTGAGAAATGTTTAAGTGAAATCTTTATGACTTAACATGAAGCCTACAAAAACCATTTACAAACCAATGTCTGCCATTTAAAAAACGTTTATAACACAATAATGAAAAAGGATATGCTTTTTTTTTTTTCAGAGTCTCACTCTGTCACCCATGCTGGAGTGCAGTGGGGTGATCTCCGCTCATTGCAACCTCTGCCTCTTGGGTTCAAGCAATTCTCATGCCTCAGCCTCCCAAGCAGCTGGGACTACAGGCATTTGCAACCATATCCAGTTAATTTTTGCATTTTTAGGGGAGACAGGGTTTCACCATGTTAGCTAGGCTAACCAGCCAGGCTGGTCTTGAACTACTGACCTCAGGTGATCCGCCCAACTTGACCTTCCAAACTGCTAGGATTACAGGCATGAGCCACTGTGCCCAGCCTTCAAGAATATATTTTAATCTACAGTATACTCTCAATTTTGCAAATATAAGCACAGCCAAAAGATGAGCTGAAACCTAGTTTTTTCCTAATAGTTGTCAAAATTTTCCAAACAGGTAAACACTACTTATTTAAAAAGGAAAATGTTGGCCAAACAAGGTGGCTCACACCTGTAATCCTGGCACTTTGGGAGGCCAAGGTAGACAGATCGCTTGAGCCTAGGAGTTTGAGACCAATCTGGGCAATACGGAGAGACCCTGTCTCTACAAAAAAATTTTTTTAATTAGCCGGGCATGGTGGTGCATGCCTGTAGTCCCAGCTACTTGGGAGCTGAGGTAGGAGGATAGCTTGAGCCCAAAAGGTCAAGGCTGCTGTGAGAGTGAGCGGTGATGGCAACACTGCACTCCAGCCTGGGTGACGGAGTGAGACCTTGTCTCAAAAAACAAAAAAAGGAAAAATGTTAAGAAGACTTAAACAGAAACAAAAGGAGAGCCACTGTAATTCCAGGGTGAACACTTCATCCTTTTGTACCTAGTCTCAAAGTCATTTTCAACACAGCACTTGCAGTTGCTATCACCAAATGCAGTTGGCACATATAAAATTTTTCATTATTTCCAATAATACGGATGTAAAATGCCTAATATTATTTCAGACCTGAGTGGGTCTACTGAAACTACCACAAATAAGGCAGTAAGGTTTCCTAGTACACACTGTGTATATAACGCATGGGTACGCATTATAAACATGTTTCTGGTCTTCTCCAAGAAACGGGTGGAATGGCACACTGCCAGAAGATGAGACTTAAGAAAAAGACCTCAGAAAAGAATTTGCAGAGCATCAAAAATCATATAGCCAGCCGGGTTCGGTAATCCCAGCACTTTCGGAGGCCAAGAAGGACGGATCACCTGAGGTCAGGAGTTCAAGGCCAGCCTGGCCAACATGGTAAAAACCCATTTCTAATAATAATAAAAAAAAATTAGCCAGGTGTGCTGGTACACACCTGTAATGCCAGCTACTCAGGAGGCTGAGGCAGGAGAATCACTTGAACCTGGGAGGTGGAGGTTGCAGTGAGATGAGATCATGCCATTGCACTACAGCCTGGGCAACAAGAATGAAACTCTCTGTCAAAAAAAAAAAAAAAAATCATATTTCCTTTCTCTTTTTTTTTTTTTTGGAGACAGAGTCTTCCTCTGTCACCCAGGCTGGAATGCAGTGGCATGATCTCGGCTCACTGCAACCTCTCCTCCCGGGTTCAAGCGATTCTCCTGCCTCAGCTTCCCAAATAGCTGGGATTACAGGCACCCGCCACCACGCCCAGCTAATTTTTGTATTTTTAGTAGAGATGAGTTTTTACCATGTTGGCCAGGCTGGTCTCGAACTCCTGACCTCAAGTGATCTGCCCACCTCAGCCTCCCAAATTGCTGGGATTACAGGCATGAGCCATGGCACCCAGCCAATATTTCCTTTCTCTTCGACCTGGAAAAGTCCATTTTCCTCCCCTCGGTTACCACGCTTCTCTGAATAAACTCTACCAAGGCAGTTTTTTAAATAGTAATTCTTTATATGTGTACTCACTAAGGTAGAATTACAGACTCAAATTCTGCAGATTTAGCCTGGAGAAATCATAAATTTAGAAGTATCCAAAGAGATTCAAGCAGAATTCAGTGGTTCCTGAAATAACTGAAAAAAGGAGTTATACCATCATGCATTTTAAAGTTTCCAGAAGAGATTTGTATTGCAGAATCTACTTAAATGAAACTTTATAACAAAAATATCATATTACATTGCATATTTATAAAAATCAAACCTTTTACATCACCATATAAAGCATTTAACACAGTATCTAGTTTATAATGAACACTCATCAATATTAATATTTTAAGATAAACAGTTTTTCATATTTTAAAGTTTCTGAATTGGGATGCAGCTTATAATTAACATGTATAACTAAATTATGTTTCTTTTTTTCTAAAAAGAATGAATTATTAAGTTGATAGTACACCTCACCAAAAAGAAATGGCAACTTAAAAGTAAAGAAATACGTATTATATGCAGTGAACACTTGTCACAATATTTCATTTAATCCCAACAGCAAACCCCTTTCAAGGAGAAAGATTGTATTAGGCCCAGTAAGTTGCCCAAGATCACACAGCTCTATCAAACTCTAAAGTCAAAATCTTGGCTGGGCGCGGTGGCTCACGCCTGTAATCCCAGCACTTTGGGAGGCCGAGGTGGGCGGATCACGAGGTCAGGAGATCAAGACCATCCTGGCTAACACGGTGAAACCCTGTCTCTACTAAAAATACAAAAAATTAGCCGGGCGTGGTGGCGGGCACCTGTAGTCCCAGCTACTCGGGAGGCTGAGGCAGGAGAATGGCGTGAACCCGGGAGGCGGAGCTTGCAGTGAGCCGAGATAGTGCCGCTGCACTCCAGCCTGGGCGACAGAGAGAGACTCTGTCTCAAAAAAAAAAAAAAATCTTTACCACCACAAGATACTGCATATTCATCTACTATTATACTCTCACCAAGATGCTTTTATCGATTTTGTTTTAAATGGAGCACCAAGGTTAAAATTAGTTTGCTCAAAGTCACAAACTTCTTTTTTTAAATCCCCATGTTCCTCACAGCTCCTCCCTTCTAACTTCTGTCTTGCTACCTCTTTCCTAAACTCCAGACCTGAATTTCCAACCATCCAGTGAGCAGTTATTCCAGAGCTGTGTTGTCCAATATGGTAGCCACTAGCCATATGCAGCTGCTGAGTGCTGAGCACTTGAAAGGTGGCTAGTGAGACCGAGGAACTGAATTTTTATTCTTATTTCACGGGAATTGAAACTTTAAAAACCGATACTTAATTCCATTACTGGAAAAGTTTTAAGCATGTTTGGAATAACCTGGGCATATAAATCTACTTTTTCAACTGTAAATTTTATGATTTACAGATATAAATACAGATGAAATATTTCTGATAAAACTAAGCATTTGAAAATAACGAAAGAACAAAAAAATTAGTATTTCAATTAAGATATACTATGAAAGTATACAATTGATTTCAAAGAGCTAGTATTAAAAAATAATGTGGCCGGGCATGGTGGCTCACACCTGTAATCCCAGCACTTTGGGAGGCTGAAGCGGATGGATCACTTGAGCCCAGGAGTTCGAGACCAGCCTGGGCAACATAGCAAGAGCCTGTCTCAAAAAAATTAAAAAAAATTATGTAAATAGATCAATAATTTTTAAATGTTTTAATGTGTTGTAAATCATATTTTGGACATACTGTGTTAAATAAGTTATAAAATCCAATTGTTTCTTTTTACTCTTTAATGTGGCTACTAAAAATTTTTTAATTACATATGTGGCTCATATTTCTAATAAACAGCGCTTTCTGGCAGCTACTGTTGTCCCACCACAACCATCAATAGCTCGATGAATGACATCACCATCTCTCTAGCTCAGTGCCGTCCAAAAGAACCTTCTCTGATTACAGAAACGTCCTATACCTGATGACTGGGTGATGGTGGTTGACAGTAGTGAACGGTATCTAGCAGAATCCCTGGGTAACAATATCACACAACAGAATACTGTGGAACCAAAGTTCTTAGGAGACGAGAGAAAACCACCTGTTATTCTGACTCTCCTCTGGCGGGGAAAAGAAAGTAGAAACCAAAAACTGCAGACCACTGCTGTCCCACTGAACCTTCTGTAACAGAAATGTTCTATATCTGCACTGTCCAATACAGAGGCCACCAGTCCCATACTGCTGTTAAACACATGTAGCCAGATATTATTTTCTGCTTGAATCTCTGTGCATACTCTTGAATTTATAACTTCATAGTACTCTGGATGAAATTTACAGAATTTAAGAGTCTGTAATTCTATATTTGTGTGGCTAGTGCAACTGAATAACTGCATTTTAAATCTTATTTTATTTAAATTAGTTTAGACATACCTTAATGGCCATACATGGCTAGTGGCTACTGTACCCAATAGCACTGTTCCTAGCCTAGGGGTTCCATCTGAAAGTCTGGGAGTCACTTTAGTCTTCTTCCTCCCCATCAACTAACTGTCCTTTCCCCACAAAGTGTGTACACACACACACACACACACACACACACAGAGAGAGAGAGAGAGAGAGAGAGAATTACCCAGTGAGAGAGAGAGAAAGAGAGAGAGAGAGAGAGAGAGAGAGAGAGAGAATGAATTACCCAGTCCTGTTAAAGCTTTTAACTCTGTACGCGTCTCTATCCCCACTGTCACTACTTTAGTTTTTAGGCTTTAGTGGGAACAGGTCCACAGCCTCCTAGTTGGCTTCCTCACATAGCCTCCTCTTAACCATTTGTTGTAAAATACAAATATACTCCTGTTATTTCCTTTACTCAAAAGTCTCCAAAGTCTTGCCATTGCTCCAAGGTAAAAGTCAGATTTTAACAGGGTTTACAAAGCCCTTCATGATCCAAACCCAATTTCAAGCCTCTTTGGCCACTCCTTAAACCTTCTAGTTCTTGCACGTATCAATAACACTTATCACACTCTACTGTAATTGCCTGTTTACTGTCTCCCTCCCTGGTCACCAGCATCCTGAGGGCGGAGACAGTGCCTCAAACACTGTACTGCCAAGATGGAACACAATACAGAGTCATATATATACACACTATACTATATATACACTATATACTATACACCATATATATACTATATTATATATACTATATACACATATATATTGTATATTAGATTTTCCATATTTTTTGAATGAGGAACGAGAAAAAGAAAAAAGGAAATACATATGTACTCTTGAACAACTATAAAAATGAAAAATTTATAAAGCAGACATTTTTGCTATACTATTTACAAGAATTGTTTCCTAGGGCTTTCGGAGGCCAAGACAGAAGATCACTTGAGGCCAAAGAGTTCAAGACCAGCCTGGACTGCAAGACCCTGTCTCTAATAAAAAAAGAAAAGGCCAGATACAGTGATACATGCCTGCAATACCAACACTTTGGGAGGCCAAGGTGAGGGGATCACTTGAGCCCAGGGTTTTGAGACCAACTTGGGCAACACGGCAAAACCCCATCTCTTAAAAACAAAACAAAAAAAATTACAAAAATGAGCTGGGCATGGTGGCACGCCCCTGTAGTCCCAGCTATGCAGGAGGCAAGGTGGGTAGATCACTTAGGAGTGGAAGGTCAAGACTACAGTGAGCTGAAATTGCGCCTAGGTGACAGAGTAACACTCTGTCTCAAAAACAAAAAAAAATTTGCCAGGCATGCTGGCGCATGCCTACAGTCCCAGCTACTTGGAAGGTTGAAGCAGAAGGATTGATTAAGCCTAAGAATTCGAGGCTGCAATGAGCTCCAGCCTGAGCGAGAAAAATCTGTCTCAAAAAATAGTAATAATACTGGCCAGGTGCAGTGGTTCATGCCTGTAATCCCAGCACTTTGGGAGGCCGAGGCGGGTGGATCACCTGAGGTCAGGAGTTCAAGACCAGCCTGGCCAAGATGGTGAAACCCCGTCTCTACTAAAAATACAAAAATGAGCCAGGTGTGGTGGCAGGCGCCTGTATTCCCAGCTACTTGGGAGGCTGAGGCAGAGAATTGCTTGAACCCGGGAAGCAGAGGTTGCAGTGAGCCAAGATCATGCCACTGCACTCCAGCCTGGGCGATAGAGCGAGACTCTGTCTCAAAAAAAAAAAAAAGTAATAAGAATTTTAATATAAACTGTTAAGAATCTCAAAAAAAAAGTAATAATAATAAGAATTTTAATATAAACTGTTAAGAATCAAAACCTAATTCTGAACTTTGGAAGGAAATCCTGATTGATGATTTAAAATATACATGTATATACTTGCTGTACAGAAGAAATATAATATCATTATACTTTACCTGCATTTGTCAAGTTCAAACTTAACAAATAATTTATGCCCATTTTCAATTAATTTATTTTAAAAATAACAGGAAACCAGATAAGAACTGCTGCTCTACAAAAATTATCAGGCCCAAAGCATAAGAATAAACAATCACATTATTCAGAATGGATTCAGAAACTTGGCAATACTATAAAATTGACTACAGTAACCACCAGAAAAATCACATGAAATAGCCAATAATTATCTACCTTCAGTAACTTTTTCTGTTTAATAACTTTATATCTAAATGCAAGGGAGAATAACGTCAAGCAAAGGTTCAGCCTAAATTTCATATAAAAGTTTAGAAAAGGGGCCAGGTATGGTGTCTCATGCCTGTAATCCCAACACTCGGAGGCCAAGGTGGGTAGATGACTTAAGCTCAGGAATTTGAGACCAGCCTGGGCAACATGGCAAAACCCCATCTCTACAAAAAATTAGCTGGGTGTGGTGGTGCACTCCTGCAGTCCCAGCTACTCGAAGGCTGATGCAAGAGGATCGCTTGAGCCTGGGAGGTCGAGGCTGTAGTAAGCCATGATAGCACTGCCGCACTCCAGCCTGGGTGACAGAGTGAAACCCCAGGTGAAAATAAATAAAGATTTCTTTAAAAATGTTTAAAGTTTAGAAAAGGGATGGGAACTAATTTGAAGTACTCAAAATTACTTGCCTTTAATGAAAGTAAAGTGAATACTACCATGAAGGTAGAAAAGTCACCTACGTGGCATCTGAAGATGTAAAACATGGCTTCTTCTTACTTCAGAAGAAACCCCTATGAGTCTCTGGGACCATTAATAACTTCTTAATGATGAATCAGAAGTTAAATACGGTCTTTCTTCCTTGAAAAGTTCAGCAACCTGAATTCTATACCTGAATTCTATATGAACAATGAGAAAAAAAAAATTTATACACACACACACACACACACACACACACACACACACACACACAGAAAAAGGCAGGCAGCCAGAGAAAAGAAAGTCATCAACAGCAATTTTTTTTCAAGTAAGTAAAATCTTTCAAAGGAAAAAAATGCTTAGAAATGTGTTAACCAGCTGAGCATGGTGGCTCACACCTGTAATCCCAGCACTTTGGGGGGCCAAGGCGGTTGGATCACAAGGTCAGGAGTTTGAGACCAGCCTGGCCAACACGGTGAAACCCCATCTCTGCTAAAAATACAAAAATCAGCTGGGTGTGGTGGTGGGCACCTGTAATCCCAGCTACTTGGGAGGCTGAGGCAGGAGAATTGTCTGAACCCAGGAGGCGGAGGTTGCAGTGAGCCGAGATCACGTCACTGCACTCCAGCCTGGGCGAGAGGGCAAGACTCCGTCTCAAAAAAAAAAAAAAAAAAAAAAAGAGAAAGAAAAAAAGAAAGAAATTTATTAACCAGCAGAAATGAATTTTTAAATCCATGTAACTGGCCATAATAATGGGTTGAAAGGGGGGGAAGCATCCAATAGATACGAAACACACTGGACACATTTTAACATTTACTAATGAATAAAAATCTAGGTATAGGAGGAAACTTTCTTAATCTAATAAAGGACATGTGCAAAAGCAACTATAACAAACATCTGTAGGGAAACAGTTCCACCATGGTGTTCTGGTGACCTGCAGCTTATCTGAGTCTTGGAGGAATGCCCTGTGATCCTCCCATAACAGGAGATGGTGGAAGGCCTATATGGAGCTCTCCCAGGTCACCTCTTCCCTATCTTCCTTAGAAGCTGCCATGAGACAGTTTCTCATGGCATCCTGGGTTCTGACAAGGCATTGAACCTTCAGCCCTGCCTAACTTAGAACAGCGCTGTAGAATACAAAACCACTTAGCAGCAGCCTAGAATAGGCTCCTCATCAACAGAGTATCCCCCAGCTCACACTGCAGGCATCAGCCCCTTTTGTTGTGGTGTTATCCTTTTTGGTATGTGGGACAAAGATCACAGGGAGCAGGAACCTTTGGCTTATTCTTCTTTCTGCCGACTATGTAACAGATAAACTGTCTGAGTCTAAAGAGGCTCTCTGTGTCTTTGCCAGTCAAATCAGACAGGCAAGGTCTTAGCCTTGCCTTGTCTTGTGTAAGTGTGCTTGACAACATCATGCCTAACAATGAAAAGTTGAAAGATTTCCCTTTGAGATGGGAAAAGACAATGACGTCTCCTATCTCTATTCAACAACATGCCAGAAATCCCAGCCAGTGAAGAAAAGAAAAAGGTGTAAGAATTGCGAAGAAAAACAGAAAACAGTAATTATTCACAAATGATATGGTTATGTAAGTTGGAAAGCCAAAAGAATCTACAGATAAAATTATTATAAGGCTTGATTAGCAAAATACAGAGTCAGCACTCAAAATTCAGTTTTATTTCAATATACCAACAAGTAATGGAAAATAACATTGATCTTAGAATTCTATTTATAATACCATCAGATACTAGGACTAAATTTAACAAAAGATGTGTAATACTGCACAGAAAACTATAAAACATTACTGAGATATATGAAATACAACATAAATAACAGGGATATCATATTGAATTAGTCAAAGATTCCTCATTACAAAAAAGTAATTCTACCCAAATTAATCTACAAATCCAATTAAAGTCCAATTAGGGTCCTAACACATTTCTTTTCTCTTTTTTTTTTTGAGTCTTTTTTTTTTTTTTTTTTGCATTTTTCATAGAGATAGGGTTTCACTATGTTGCCCAGGCTGGTCTCGAACTCCTGGACTCAAGCAATCCACCCTCCTCAGCATCCCAAAGTGTTGGGATTACAGGCATGAGCCACGGTGCCTGGCCTCCTTAAGAAGTCTTAAATGGCAAGCCACAGAGTAAGGTGGAAATATTTGCAACACAAATAACCAAAGAAGGGGTCATATCCAAAATATATAAGGAACTCCTATAATAAGAAAAAAAAGATAAAATTGGGCAAGACATGTGAATAAGCATTTCACAAAAGGTTTCCTAAGTAACCAACATAAAATTATTCAACCTCATTAGTAATAAGTGAAATGCAGATTAAAACCAAGAGATACTACTACAAATCCACCAGAACGGCTAAAGTTAATAATAGTGACAATACTAAGTATTGGCAAAGATATGGAACAAAATGAACTCTCAAACACTCTTTGGGGCATGTAATTTGTAGAACCACAAAGAAGGAATACTGTTTGGCAATTATCTAAAATTCTACATATGCATATCCTATGACCCAGGACTTTCACTCCTGGCCAAATACACAAAAGAATTACATACACATATGCACTAAAAGACTTGCACAAGGCAAGGTGCAGTGGCTCACACCTGTAGTCCCAGCACTTTGGGAGACCAAGGCAGGCAGATTACTTGAGCTCAGGAGTTCAAGACCAGCCTGAGCAGCATAGTAAAACTCCATCTCTACAAAAAAGTACCAAAAAAAAAAAAAAAATTAGCCAAGCATGGTGGTATGCACCTGTAGTCCCAGTTACTTGGGAGGCCGAGGTGGGAGGATCACTTGAGCCCAGAAGGTCAAGGCTGCAGTGAGCCATGATCACAACACTTCACTCCAGTCTGGGCGACAGAGTGAAACTGTCTCAAAAAAAAAAAAAAAAAAAAAAAAAAAAAAAAAGCCGGGCATGGTGGCTCACACCTGTGATCCCAGCACTTTGAGAGGCTGAGGCAGGTGGATCATTTGAAGCCAGGAGTTCCAGACCAGCCTGGTCAACATGGCAAACACCCATCTCTACTTAAAATACAAAAAAACAGCTGGGTGTGATGGTGGGCACCTGTAATCCCAGCTACTCGGGAGGCTGGGGCAGGAGAATCACTTGAACCCAGGAGACGGTGGTTGCAGTAAGCAGAGATTGCGCCACTGCACTCCAGCCTGGGCAACAGAGCGAGACTCCGTCTCAGGAAAAAAAAAAAAAAAAAAAAAAGACTTTACAAGAATAGTCATAGTGGCATAATCCATAATAGCCCAAAACTAGAAACAACCTAAATATCCATCAATAATACAATAAACTGTAGTATATTTATACAATGGAATACTATTTAGCAATGAAAATGAACGAACAGCTACATACAAATCTAAATCTTACAAACAAAATGTTGAGTCAAAGCCAGACATGAATACATACAATATGATTCCATGCATATAAAGATGCAAAACAATCAAAACTAAGCCAAAACTAAAAAGGTCTACACACACAAAAAAAGAAGGTGATTCTCCTACAATCAGGACAGAGATTACCTTTATGAGAGAAGGACTGGGTTGTGATTGGGAAGCTTCAAGGAAAGCTTGTGGAATGTCAGTAAGGTCCTAGTGCTTGACCTACATCATGGTTATACAAGTGTCTGATTCATAAATTGTAAAGCTTTACTTTTGTTTTACATACTTTTCTACATATGTGTTACATTCAAGACGGGCTTCAAGGCCGGACACAGTGGCTCATGCCTGTAATCCCAGCATTTTGGGAGGCCAAGACAGGAGGATCATTTGAAGCTATGAATTCGATGCCAGCCTAGACAAAAAACCAAAACTCAATATCCACAAAAATAAGTTTTAAAATTAGCCAGGCAAGGTGGCAAGCACCGGCAGTGTGGCTCACGCCTGTAATCCCAGCACTTTGGGAGGCCGAGGTGAGCAGATCACCTGAGGTCAGGAGTTTGAGACCAGCCTAGCCAACATGGTGAAACTCCATCTCTACTAAAAACAAAAATTAGCCAGGCGTGGTTGCCCATACCTGTAATCTCAGCTACTTGGGAGGCTGAGGCAGGAGAATCGCTTGAACCTGGGAGGTGCCGTGAGACGAGATCGCATCACTGCACTCCAGTCTGGGCAAAACTCCATCTCAAAAAAACAAACAAACAAAAAAGTTAATTAAAAATAAATAAATACACAAATAATGGCTTCAAGAAAGAATTCCTTCAAAAGGTAAGTTATATTCCTACAGTAAAATTATGTTTAAGGTCTGAATTTTATTTCTTGAGAAGTTTTTACAATTTCAGACACTTAATTTTTTTTGTTTTAAGACAGAATCTTGCTCTGTCACCAGGCTGGGTGCAATGGCGTGATTTTGGCTCACTGCAACCTGTGCGTCCCAGGTTCAAGCGATTCTCTCACCTCAGCTTCCCAAATAGCTAGGACTACAGGCACACACCACCACACCCAGCTAATTTTTGTATTTTTAGTAGAGACGGGGTTTCACCATGTTGGCCAGGATGGCAGAGACACTTAATTTAAGTTCACACAAATTTTCATCCCAAAATTTTCATCCCATTGGGTTATTTTTTTTTTTTTTTCTGAGACAGGGTCTCGCTCTGTCATCCAGACTGGAGTGCAGTGGTGTAATCCCAGTTCACTGCAACCTCCGCCTCCAGGGTTCAAGGAATTCTCATGCCTCAGCCTCCAGAGTGGCTGTGATTACAGGCGTGCACCACCACACCCAGCTAATTTTTTTATTTTTTAGTAGAGATGGGGTTTCGCCACGTTGCTCAGGCTGGTCTTGAACTCCTGGCCTCAAGTGATCCACCCACCTCAGTCTGCCAAAGTGCTAGGATTACAGGCGTGAGCCACTGTGCCTGGCCTGATTATCTTATTTCCATGCAAAAGGGCTTCCAAACATAAATGCATTAACAATGAGAAAAAATGAAACTAATATATACAAAAGGGCTGTCACATAAAAATTATCTATTCATCACTTAGCACACCATAATAAAGTTAAAAAGAATACAGGTGTTTAGTTTCATTCTTTGGTGAACAACTAAAAATGACTGTTCAAGAGTTGCCACCTTTCTGAAGCACAGCCCTGATCATGCATCTCCTACTCAGAAATCTTCAATAGCTACACACGCAGTATCTCAAGATTGGAAGGAATCTTAAAAATCACCTAGCGGGCTGGGCACAGTGGCTCACGCCTGTAATCCCAGCACTCTGGGAGGCCAAGACAGGCGGATCACCTGAGGTCAGGAGTTTGAGACCAGCCTGACCAACATGGAGAAATCCCGTCTCTACTAAAAATACAAAATTAGCTGGCCGTGGTGGTGCACGCCTATAATCCCATCTACTCGGGAGGCTGAGGCAGGGGAATCGTTTGAACCCGGGAGGCGGAGGTTGCACCATTGCACTCCAGCCTGGCGACAGAGTGAAACTCCATCTCAAAAAAAAAAAAAAAAAAAAATCACCTAGCACCAGGTTCAATGCTTGCAACCTGGCAGAGGATGCACTACCTCATAGAAACATTCACACCATCACTGAACAGCCATGGCTCTAGAAAAATAAAAAGCAATAGTAAAATGGAAGGTGGAGGAGAGGGAGAAATCAAGAACACCACACACATTTCCGGCTTAAGCACCCAGTGGTGTCATTTAACAAATTAAGAAACACCAGAGGAAGTGTAGGAATCATACATTCCGTTCTGGATGTGTTCGGTTTAAGGGGCATCCAAATGGAAACATTCAGTAGCAATTCGATAGAGTGGTCCTCAGACTCAGGAGAGAGGTAAAAACTGAAGACATAAAAATGAATACTCAGCACACAGATGAAAAATGAAATAGAAAGCGATGAGAAAGCCCAAAGAAATTCAAACATTTAATAAATGAGCACAGAAAGACTCAAAAGGTGACTGAGAGGCCAGGCACGGTGGCTCACGCCTATAATCCCAACACTTTGGGAGGCCAAGGCAGACAGATCACCTGAGGCCAGGAGTTCGAGACCAGCCTGGCCAACATGGTGAAACCCCATCTCTACTAAAAATACAAAAATTAGCTGGGTGTGGTGGTGCACACCTGTAATCCCAGCTACTCAAGAGGCTAAGGCAGGAGAATCACTTGAACCCAGGAGGCGGAGGTTGCAGTGAGCCAAGATTGTGCCACTGCACCCCAGCCTGGGCGATAGAGCAAGACTCTGCCTCAAAAAAAAAAAAAAAAAAAAAAAAGTGACAGAGAAAGAGCCCAGAGAACCAGCAAGAAAAACAGAAAAGTGCTCTGAAGACCTCAAGAGAAGAGAGAGCTTTACAAAGGAAGGAGGGGTATCCGCTCTGTCAAATGCTGCTGTGGTAGACAGTCCTGAAATGGCTATGAGTGATCTCTGCCTCCCAGCATTCATGCAATTGTGAAATCCTGCCTTGAGTGCACTGGACCTAGTGACTGGCTGATAACAGAATACAACAAAAGTGATACCACATCACTTCCAAGATAAGGTTACAAAAAGATTCTGGCTAATATCTGTCCTCTTTTGAAGACAGAAGCACTGAGATATCATATTTTAAGTAGTCGTACGCAGAAACCCAAATGGCAAGGGACTCACCTCTCCAGCAAGCAGCCAACAAGGACCTCAGGCCTGCCAATTGCCGCATGAGTGAGCTTGGAAACAGCCTCCCCAAGTAGCGCTTTGAGATGACTGCAGCCTTGTGAGAGACCCTGAATCATAGGTGCCAACTGCACCCACATTCCTGATCTACAAAATCTGTGAAACAATAAATGTTTCTTAAGTTAGGGGGTAATTTGTTATATAGCCAATAGAAACTAGCACAGCTGCTAAGAGGTTAAATAAGAACAGGATAGTAAAATAGACATTGGCTATTTTCATACATATTTTCACTAGCTATTTTCAGTTTCACTGAAATAATGGCGATAGAAACAAGACAGAAATAGGTTGAGAAGTCACAGGTGAAGAAATGGAGATACACAGCAAATGCAGAAAACTCTTAAGTGTGTAAAGCAGAGAGCAACTTAGAGCAATAAAGTATAAATCTGGAGTTTTTTATTAAGATGAAGAGACATTTTAAAGTTTAAATGATGATAACAAGCCAATAGGGTGGAAAAATACACTCTCATGGAACTTCATTCTTTTATCAAGAAACTCCTCTAAAAGTCTTCAACTTCCTTGGGAAATGTTCTTGCTACCTCTCTGCCTTAACTGAAAGCTGACTTTCCAATCAGGACACCTCTTCTCATATAGTCCTTTTAAGTGAAAGCTACTCAGTCTCTTCCACTCCACACCCAATACTGGGAAATGAGGCTGGTACCTTCCTTCCTGCCAGTGCCAGTTCCAGACCACTATTCCCAAACCCTTACGTAAAATCTTAGTCTAATTCTCATGCTATTCAGCAGCACAGTCTTCAACCTCTACCTCTTCACTATCAGCTAATGACCACCTGGACATCCCCCATACTCAGTAAGGATATGCTGGCAACTAGTTCACAGCTGCCATTATCCTCTATGCCACCAGTCTTGCTACCATCCTGTGTCATTTCAATAAATGTATGGATGAGTCTAACACCAAGTTCCTCAAACCCAAGATCCTCAACAAGCACCTCTTTATTTCCTGGGTATTCAACTTGTGAATTCACATTATTATGCTAGCATCCATTCATTCATCAAGTATTTAATAAGTATCTAATAGATAGTTCCTGTCCTCAAGAAATCTAGGACACATATGTTCGTACTTTCCACAAAGACGACATGAAAAAGCCTAGCTGACGTATACATAAATTCCAACTACTGCATTTCCTTTATTTATCAGTCAAGTAACCAAGTCAATTCTAGGCAACTACTGTCTGATGTGACTTAGTGAATCCATGTTTGATCCTAGCAGTCACTATTTCCCTTGACAGGCTTCTAAAACTATCTTTTAAATAAGCTATTCTAAAATAGTGCCTGGGCAACATAATGACGCCTTGTCTCTCTACAAATTTTTTTTAATTAGCCAGGCATGGTGGCACATGGCTACAGTCCCAGCTACTCTGGAGGCTGAGGTGGGAAGATCGCTTGAGCCCAGGAATTCAAGGTTGCAGTAAGCTATAACCGCACCATCGCATTTCAGACTGAGTAACAGACCAAGACCCTTCTCAAAAAGTATAAAATATTGCCAGTGTTCAGTGTCAGAGTGGAAGATAAAATGTTTCTTATATGTATGCAATTTTAGAATAGGTAATGTCCTATTACACAAAATTTCACTGGCTAAAAAGAAAAAACAAGAAACTGCAAACAGTGATTGCCTTCAGAAAGAACTAGATGGGATAGGAGAGACTTTTAACTGTGTATTCTCTTATACCTTCTAATTTAGTACATATATTACCTATTTCTTAAAATAAGTGTACATAAAATTAACAACAACAATAAGAAGTCATGTGCCTTTCCTTAGCACTCCCAGGTTGCCTATTTTGTTCTGAAAAGAATGATTTTTTTTAATTTACAGATGGGGTCTCACTATGTAGCCCAGGCTGGAGTGCAGTGGCTATACACATATGCAATCATAGCACACTACAGCCTTGATCTCCTGGACTCAAGCAATCCTCCTGCCTCAGCCTCCAGAGCAGCTGGAACTACAGGCATGTGACACTGTGCCTGGCTGAAATATTTCTTAAAAATCTACCCGGAGAATGAGGCCAGGTGTGGTCGCTTATGCCTGTAATCCCAGCACTCTGAGAGGCCAAGGCGCGCGGATCATGAGGTCAGGAGATCAAGACCATCCTGGCTAACACAGTGAAACACTGTCTCTACTAAAAATACAAAAAAAAAAAAAAAAAAAAAAAAAAGCCAGGCATGGTGGCGGGCACCTGTAGTCCCAGCTACTCCGGAGGCTGAGGCAGAATGGTGTGAACCCAGGAGGCGGAGATTGCAGTGAGCCGAGATTGCGCCACTGCACTCCAGCCTGGGCAACAAAGAGAGACTCCATCTCAAAAAAAAAAACAAAAAAAACAGAGAAGTAAAAAACTAAAAGACTCTTACATTTGTCTCATCTATCTCACACTAAAACTTATTTAGTCATTTCCCTGTTATTAGACATCATAATCAAGCAGAATTCTCTCTTACTCAACATTCTGACACAACTTTAAACAATGACACCGCTGACCGTTCCCTCCTTCTTGAAAGCTTCCTTTCCTTCACTTCTAGAATATCATACTCCCCTGGTTTCCCTCCTAACTCAATGATTTCTTATCACTCTCCTTTACTGGTTCCTCTTGATTTCCCCTCACGTATCTAGAAGGTAAGTTCCATGAAGGTGAAAACTTTTGTCAGGTTTATATCCCCAATGCCTAAAAAGGTACCTAGAAGAACCATACTCACTAAGTAACTTATGAATGAATAAGTGAATGAATCAGTCCCCTAGGCTCAGATGTTTGGATCTCTTCTCCACCAAAATTCACTCCCCTGATGATCTCACCTATCTCATAATCATAAATACTACAAAGAAGCTGAAAACAGCCACATTTCTCACTCTTCCTGGACATCACCCTGAACTTCTGGTTTCTCCACAAACATGCTCCATGAATTACCATCTCCAATTCAGTTACTGGCAACTTTATTCTTCCAGTTATTCAGGCCAAAAACCTTATTCTTTATTCTTCTGTTTGGCCCACATCCCGCAAACAACCACCAACAAATTCTATAGGTCTACCCTCAAAATACATACAAAATCCAACCCCTCCTCCCCATTTCACCTTGGTCAGAGATACCCTCACCTGGAACAATACAGCATAAGCTCCTGACTACTGCCCGTACTTTTATTTATTTATTATTTATTTGAGATAGCCTTCCCTCACTCTGTCGCCCAGGCTGGAGTGCAACGACGGAATGACAGCTCACTGCAACCTCGAACCCCTAGGTTCAAGTGATCCTCCTGCCTCAGTCTCCTGAGTAGCTGAGACTATAGGCACATACTGCCATGCTAATTTTTTTTTTTTTTTTTGAGACAGAGTCTTGCTCTGTCACCCAGGCTGGAGTGCAATAGCACGATCTCCACTCACTGCAACCTCCGCCTCCTGGGTTCAAGAGATTTTCCTGCCTTAGCCTTGCGAGTAGCCAGGATTCCAGGCACGCGCCACCACCCCCAGCTAATTGTTTGTATTTTCAGTAGAGACGGGGTTTCACCATGCTGGCCAGGCTGGTCTCGAACCCCTGACCTCATGATCCGCCCGCCTTGGCCTCCCAAAGTGCTGGGATTACAGGCGTGAGCCACCGCACCCGGCCTAATTTTTTTATTTTTGTAGAGACATGGTCTCGCTATGTTGCCCAGCCATCCTCCCACCTCGGCCTCCCAAAGTGCTGGGAGAACTGTTCACTACTATGATACCAGCATCTAGAATATGTGGTACATAATATGTATTTAATATATACTTATTAAGTAAAAATAGTATACACAGTTAAACTTCAAATGATGTTAGTGAACCAGCTAATTATGTGCCCAAACTGTTCTAAATACATGAATTAATTCATTTGACCAGCTTAAGAGGTTAGGTACTACTGTTATTATTTCTATTTTGCAGATGAAGAAATTAAGGTACAGGTTAAGGTTAGGAAATAAACAACATTAAGCAGTTTGCCCTACATCATACCATGGCAAAGCCAGGATTTGAACTCAGGCACTCTGACCCCAGAACCCAAACTCTAGTACACTGAAAGACTTGGTGAGCAACAGATTTCAATTACATTCCACACACAAAAAATAAATAAGAAAAAAAAACAAATTATATTCCACATAATCTGTATGCTAAGTTTATTTTACTATATGTCTCTGAAAACTGATAATCAATGTACTACTGATTCTTAAACCAAAATACTTCATTTCTTGATCTTTTTCCATTAATGTTTCTGATGAAATATGTGTAAAATACACATTTAACAACTCTCATACTTCTAAATGTAAACATAGTGTAAAACCGAGCAGCTGTTGCTATGAAAACCTTCACTTTTTTTTTTTTTTTTTTTTTTTTTTTTTGAGACGGAGTTTTGCCGTGACTCAGGCTGGAGTGCAGTGGTGCAATCTCGGCTCACTGCAAGCTCCACCTCCCAGGTTCAAGCAATTCTCCTGCCTCAGCTTCCTGAGTAGCTGGGGTTACAGGTGTGCACCACCACACCCAGCCAATTTTTATTTTTATTTTTTGAGATGGAATCTCGCTCTGTAGCCCAGACTGGAGTGCAGTGGCATGATCTCGGCTCACTGCAGCCTCTGCCTCCCAGGCTCAAGCAATTCTTCTGCCTCAGCCTCCTGAGTAGCTGGGATTACAGGCATGTGCCACCACGCCCAGCTAATTCTTATATTTTTAGTAGAGACAGGGTTTCACCATGTTGGCCAGGCTAGTCTCGAACTCCTGACCTCATGATCCGCCTGCCTCGGCCTCCCAAAGTGCTGGGATTACAGGCATGAGCCACGGCGCCCGGCCAAGAACCTTCACTTTTAAGTTTGCAGTATTAATGTTGAATTAACAGACTGGCATACTTATCTATGACACAGGTAATGAAGGAAAAAAAACACCTCAGTAGACTCAACAAGGATATCACAAGTAATGACTAGCAAGCAACATTTTTTGAAAAATAAAATGTAGGCATAATTTCAGGCACAAGAAATGCTAAACGAAATAGCTTACTTTTACCTTAAGACTTTCCCCAAATTATGTGATTTCATTCCTACAAGGACAAGAATCACAGCTTACTACCAGCCATGCAAATGTCATTTTAGGAGTACACACAAGTTTTACCCAGTATCTTAGTTCACATTTGTCCCAATTAATTAAGTCTATGTATAATTTAAAAGCGAAAACTAGATATGTCAATTTTGTTTTCCTTCTAACTAATCCAAAGTCAAAACTGTTCACTTTACCAAATGAATTAACTGAATACAGTTAATTAAATCTTTTATTTATAATTAAAAATTGGAACACACACTTTCTCACTTAATACCTATTATGTCCTGTTTCCCATACCTCTCTATAAAGTAGAAGTATTTGCTGGAAGACAATAATCTGCTCATTAAGTAGGCACTTAGAAAAAGCAACGATCTGCAACTACTGAAATTCTTATCTGTATATTTCTCTTTTGGGTTACAAGAAAGCACTTCTCTGGCTATTTTCCCAAATAAACTAGGCAAGCCTTGGGAAAGTCACTGCTTAAATCCCACTTTCTGACAGCTTCTCTTCCTCCATAAATGAATTATTGAGAGCCATGTCTACTTCCATCCATTACATAATACATGTCCATCATGGGACCTGTTTTCTGAACAAGAAATAGCTTAAATGACACTAACTGATAAGTAGGGCCAGAGAATACTGTAATCTAACAGGGAGCAAGAATCCAGAAAAGAAGATTCTGATTTACAGTGCTAAGTTGTGAAAGAGTGATGTGAAGAACATTGAACACTGCTTACTCTAATATTTCCATACAAAGTGACACACCTGCCCCCAAAATGTTTTTAAAGCACTTGACTCCAAGAACATTTCTCAGAAATTGAGGAGCCTACCAAAAAAAAAGAGTTCCATTTCATTTTAAAGTGTTTTAATAAAGACTGCAAGAAACATAACTGCAAATGAGAAATAAAATTTCAACAATTTAGCACTGAACACAAAATGTCTAAAAGTCAAGGTGTACTGAGCAAGCAACACGCTATAAAAGACGGTTGTACTTTAAAACATTTAAGCATTTTTCATATAATTAGCTCCAACAGAACTATTCCAATTGTTCACTTTATCCACCCAAAGCAGTCAACCACAACCACCTGCAACTATTATTCAGCAATGTGCCTTCCAAAGCAACCACCTGAGTTTGGGGCCTTCTCTCAAGGGGCCAGGATAAAGCCTGTAAAAGGGTGGTATAAAGAGATCTTTTAGGCATTGGGGGGAAAAAAAACTGGAAGACACCACCTTGAAGGAGCTAAGCGTAATGCGACCCAAATGGTGGCTGCCGGAACGAAGTTGTCTAAACCGAAGATCTCCCTCTTCTTCGGTGTAAAACTTTCAGATACATCCACGCTCACAATTTACCTGAGCCAAAGTAAGGGGATTCTCTTCCCTCTCCGACCCCCCACCCACCCCGCCAGAAGAAAAAGAATCGAACCCTAAAGTAGAAACGTGAGATCTAGTGCAATAAAATAGGTTCTGCAACTGCCTCAAAGGCAACATGCACAGCTCATCGTCCTTTTGAAATACACTTCATCTTTTATCTCACCATTTCATCGAAAAGAAAAGAATCATCTTCAGCATTTTACATCACTCACCTAACCCAAAGATCCACCCTGACCGCACCCCAACCTCATGGCTCCCCAATTTCTCCGTCTCCCCACTACCTCGTCCGCGGCTTCACTAGTCCTAAGCCTCCCCCCCTCCGCTCCCCAAGTGCCCAGAGCCCCAGTCCCCACTCCCCCACCTCCCGCCCCAGGATCCCCACATCTACCGCCTCGGCTCCCGCCCGATCCCGGAGCCCGGCTGGGTGGAGCCCGCGGGTGGGCGCCGGTGGTCTGGGTGGGGCCCGCCCCTCCCCACCCCCCGGGCTGCCGAGGAGGGGGAGGGGGTCGCGAAGCCTCACCTACAGCTCCGCCCCTCCCCGGGGGCGCGTTGCCCTGCCCAGCCCAGCCCGGGCCGTGAGCAAGAAGCTGGGTAGGAAAGGCGAAAGCCTCAGCACTAGCGACAGGGGGGAAGCTCTGGGTCCCGCGCGACTTCCGCGCTGTCGCCGCCGCCGCGGCCGTCTCACCGTCCTCAGGGCTGCCGCTACTGCTGCTGCTGCCGCCCAGGCACCGCCGCCGCCGCCACTACCGCCGCCGCCGCCGCCACAGCACGGCCCAGGCGCCCGCGACGTCACCGCGCCCCGCCCCCTGCGCGAGACACCTAGCCCCGCCCCCAGCCCCGCCGCGGGGCGCAGCGCGCCTCCCCGGGCTCCCGGCTCGGCTGCCTCCCTTTCCCTCAGCCTCCCGGGAGCGTGACGCGGCGGCCCGGGGGCCTCCGGGCGCCTTCCGGGGCACGCGGGTGAGGAACTGGGAAGCGGGGGAAATCGGCGCCACGGCGGTCGATTAGCACCGAAACAGAGTGATGGGCGCGGAGCGTCCCTGCACACACACACACACTCACACACACACACACACGACCCCTGCGGCCACGGGAGGGGAGAGCCGGGGTCGGCTCCGCGAGCGCAGGGTGGCGCTTGTCTCCTCCTGCTTGCCGTAGGAAGTGGACGCTGGAAGCCCGAGGAGCCGCTTCGTGTCTTCCCAAACCTAAGCGGCGCCCCACCCCCTACTTCTCGTGGCCCGTTACGCCCGGGGCAGCCAAGCGCCGCGGGAGCAGCGCCGGGATCGACCCTGGCTGCTGGGGGGACGCTTTGTCCCAAGAAAGCTGGTTTTTTGCCCCTTAGCTTCGTGGAACGCGGCCGCGAAATTAGTGGTCTTCTGACCTGAGACTCGCGGGGCTGCGCACACGGGCATCGCCGAGGACCCCAGCAATGGACGTCGTGTCTGTGGTGATCCCGCCAGGACGCGGGGAGCGTGGGCGGAAATTAGTGTCCACGTTCCGACCCTGCGCTGTGCCAAACGCTGCTTCGGGAGCTGTTTATTTAGCCTCCGACAGCTAAGCGAATCGGCGGGCGGCTGGGGCCTGGTGCAACCCGATTTTCTCGTGCAGACTCGCAGCCGGCTTTGGTTTTGTTTTTTGTTTTTTGTTTTTTTTTTGGAGCCATGCAGAGGGTAGCTACAGCCATTAATTTAAGGATGTAGATAAGCTATCTCTAAACCAAGAAAGTAAGAATGGTGTGAATTATATTTATTCCCAGCCTTCCAGTGTTTATTAAAATAATTTTCGGTGTCCTTGAGAGGAGTTAAAAGCCATCATTTTACTCCTGCTTACCTCCGCCACCGTAATTAACCACTTTATACTGCCTCATAATCCCATTAACAAATTGCAGTCGCTCCTCAGCCTTCACATTCATTCACTCACCAGTTTCTACTGTTTCATCCTGCCCGGACTCTTAACTGTTCCCTCCCAGGATCGACATGCACTTGGATCATTGCAGTTTCTGGGCCTGCTGTCATCTCCCCCTTCAGTACTTCCCACATATGACTACCAACTGTTAGACGATGTGCTGCTGCCAGACCAGCCTTTCATTTCTTGGACATCCGGCTATTTACCCAGGAAAAGTCATCCTTTGACTATTTTTCATGACCTTTCTCATCTGACTCGTGATCTGCCCATCTTGTTACTCCCTAGCAGTGTGGTAAGGTAAGAGAAAATTCAACTAGGAGTCAATAGATATTTCTGTTCTCATTCTCCCACTGTCTACTTGTGTGGCCTCAGGCAATTCATTCTACTTGTGGTCTTACTTAACTGTAAAGTGAGGTTTGAAGTAGGTGTCTGAGATACATCATGTCCTTAAAATATGTGGATCTGGAGAATTAAGTTGCTAAGCGCTATGTTATACACGGAAATACTGTCCTAACACAGATTCAGATTTTTGTTTTTTATTTTTTGCCACCACACTGGCAAAAAATATTATTTCCTGCCCTGCTCCAGTTATCTTTTTTAAAACCTACGTTTAGGATTTTTGATTAAAGCTAGCTAACCGAGCACATGTATTTACTGTCTCTTCTTCCTGAGACCCCATAAAATGATGATAAATAAAAGTGATACAAAATAGAAAATGAGAAGGGGGACATCGGAAGATAATTTTTTTTTATTTGACATGCAAAAAGTAAGTGTGGTCTGACAAAATAAAATGGAGAAAAGCATAATGTAGAATGGGTGTAGAGGGTGCTGTAGAAAGGAAGGGGACCTGTCAGCCCAGAAGTGCTTTAGGGAGACGGAGATTTGGAGATAACTACCAGACAGAGCAAGAGTGAGAAGCAGAGTTGAGACCAGGGAGACTAAATAAAGGTCTATATAAGGAAGAGCAGAACCCTCCCTATATCTCAGATACAATATCTAGGCATTTATCCAGGCTAAAATTAAGCACTCTGATAATCTGGGGAGATTTGGGTTAACTGAGTATTGAAGGGCCTAAGAGTAAAGTATTCTTTATTCTAGCACAATAGCTGGTTTCCTACCCACCCACTTTAAAGTGTAGTTGGGCAAGTTGGCAGGAACTTCCTGCTATGGTTTGGATATGGTTTTTTTGTCTCTACCAAATCTCATGTTGAAATTTGATTCCCAGTGTGATAGTATTGGGAGGTGGGTCCTGATGGGAGGTGTTTGGGTCATGGGGGCAGATTCTTCATGAAGGACGTGGTGTCATTCTTACAGTAGTGAGTTCTCACACTTGCGAAACTATGTTGGTTATCAGGAGAATGGATTTGTTCCTTGGAGAGTGGTTTGTTGTAAAGCCAGGACTCACCTCGGGTTTGATTTCTCTTTGCATGTGCACAGACACTTTTCCTTGACCTTCTCCGCCATGTCTTGATGCAGCACAAAAACCCTCACCAGAACTGAGCAGATGCTAGTGCCTTGCTTCCTGTACAGCCTGCAGAATTGTGAGCTAAACAAACCCGTTTTCTTTATAAATTACCCAGCTGCAGGCATGCCTTTATAGCAACATAAAATAGACTAAGACACCTCCCAAGTTCACAAGACTCCCCATCAGCATTCCAACTGCCTCATACGTATGAACAGACAACTAAGTGTTATTAGGTATTTAAGAAAAGTCTCCAACATGGACTGTGGGGGCAGATAAACAGAAACTTCAGAGAATTTAGAAAGGAAAACCTAATTAGTATACTAGGATACTCAGATGAAGTAACAATCCAAGGTTTAAAAATAGATCTTGAAATTTAAAATAAATTGCCAAATTATAAATTCAATTAAAATATTGAAAGATAAAGTCACTGAACTTTTAAAGAAAATAGAAGAAGCCTGGGCAACATAATGAGACCCCATCTCTTTAAAAATGTTTTAAAACTTAGCCAGGTATGGTGATGCGCACCTGTGTTCCTAGCTATTCAGGAGGCTGAGGTGTAAGTATTACCTCATCCTGGGAGGTCAACGGAGCAGTGAGCCAGGATGGTGGTGCTGCACCCCAGCCTGGGTGACAGAGCAAGATACCTTACTTCAAAAAAGAAAAGAAAATAGGGCTGGGTGCAGTGGCTCGCGCCTGTAATCCCAACACTTTAGGAAGCTGCACCCCAGTCTGGGTGACAGAGCAAGAGACCTTATTTCAAAAAAGAAAAAAGAAAATAGGGCCGGGTGCAGTGGCTTGCGCCTATAATCCCAACACTTTAGGAGGCCAAGGCAGGCAGATCGTTTGAGCCCAGGAGTTTAAGACCAGCCTGGGCAACATGGCAAAACCCTTTTTCTACAAAAAAATACAAAAATAAGTCAAGTATGGTGGCATATGCCTGTAATCCCAGCTACTCAGGTGGCTGAGGTGGGAGGATAGCTTAAGCCCAGGAGGCAGAGGTTGCAGTGAACTGAAATAACACCACTGCACTCCAGCCTGGGCAACAGAGCCAGATCCTGTCTCAGGAAAAAAAAAAAAAAGAAAACAATAAATATACAAAGGGGTGGAAATTGTGAGAGAAAATAAGATAAAGAATTAGTTCAACAGGACTAATATTATGTGAAAAAGAGAAAACAAAGTTAATGAAGGACAGAAAATTATTGAAAAAATAATGCAAGACAATTTCCTAGAACTGAAAGAATCCACTAGTGCAGAACCAAAAGAAAAAAAAAATTCAACCATGTGAAATGTTTGAACTCTAAATATAAAGAAGATTCTAAGTTTCCAAAGAGGAAAAAAAGGAGCCCATAAAAGGACAAAAATCAAACTGGCGGGCTGGGCACGGTGGCTCACACCTGTAATCCCAGCACTTTGAGAGGCTGAGGCGGGTGGATCACGATGTCAGGAGTTTGAGACCAGCCTGGCCAACATGGTGAAACCTCGTCTCTACTAAAAATACAAAAATTAGCCAGGCATGATGGCGGGCACCTGTAATCCCAACTACTCAGGAGGCCGAGGCAGGAGAATTGCTTGAATCCGGGAGGCAGAGGTTGCAGTCAGCCGAGATTGTGCCATTGCGCTCCAGCCTGGGCAGTGAGCAAAACTCCATCTCAAAAAATAAAAATAAATTTTAAAAAAGAGTTACTTAAATGTGTGCTCAAGCAAAATGAGGGAGAAATCAGGGTATCTGACAACATCCAGTAATCACTAGATCCAATTCAGGAAAACAGTAAAGGGAAGTCCCAGGAACTTAGTTAGATTGGAACAGAAGGGTAGGAGTTCTGGGAGAGAAAACGCCCGGAAAAGAGAGAATTAAACAGAATAATCAGTTACTATGATAAAAAAAAAAAAAAAAAGCTTAGAAGATGCTGCTTTTAGGGGTTTCAACTTTTACACCCAACCTATTAATGAAGCATAGTCTTGCTATCGTTAAAACAGTTTAGGCTCAGTAGGTCACATCTGTAATCCCAGCACTTCTGGAGGCTGAGACAAGAAGATCGCTTGAGGACAGGAGTCAGAGACCACCCCAGACAACACAGCGAGACCCTGTCTCTACAAAAAAATTTTAAAAATTAGCCGGGAATGGTGGCACACACCTGCAGTTCTTAGCTACTTGGGAGGCTAAGGCAGGAGGATCCCTTGAGCCCAGGAGTTCAAGGCTGCAGTGCACTATAATGGTACCACTCTCCAGCCTGGGCAACAGGGTGAGACCCTGTCTCAAAAATAAAAACAAAAGCAGGCTGGATGTGGTAGTTCACTCCTGTAATCCCAGCACTTTGGGAAACTGAGGCAGAAGGATTGCTTCAGCCCAGGAGTTCAAAGCCAACCTGGGCAACATAACGAGACCCTGTCTCTATTTTAAAAACAAGGCCAGGTGCGGCGGCTCACACCTGTAATCCCAGCACTTTGGGAGGCCGAGGCAGGTGGATCACCTGAGGTCGGGAGTTCAAGACCAGCCTGACCAACATGGAAAAACCCCATCTCTACTAAAAATACAAAATTAGCCAGACATGGTGGCACATGCCTGTAATTCCAGCTACTCAGGAGGCTGAGGCAGGAGAATCACTTGAACCTGGGAGGCAGAGGTTGCAGTGAGCTGAGATTGCGCCATTGCACTCCATCCTGGGCAACAAGAGTGAAACTCTGTCTCAAAAAAAAAAAAAGGCCAGGTGCGTTAGCTCATACCTATAATCCAGCACTTTGGGAGGCCAAGGCGGGTGGATCACCAGGTTAGGAGTTCGAGACCAGCCTGCGCAAGATGGTGGAATACTAAAATACAAAAATTACAAAAATTAGTTGGGCGTGGTGGTGGGCGCCTGTAATCCCAACTACTCGGGAGGCTGAGGCAGGAGAATCGCTTGAACCTGGGAGCCGGAGGTTGCAATGAGCAAGACTCCGTCTCAAAATAAATAAATAAATAAATGTTTTTTAAAAAAAGTGGTGCTTGAACAATTGAATATCACATGCAAAAGAATGAAGTTGAACCCATACCTCACATATATGAAAATTAGTTCAAAATGAATCAAAGACCTAAGTGTAAAGCTTAAGCTAAAATACTCATAGAAGAAAATATAGGTATAAATCTTCATGGCTTTGGATTAGGCAATAGTTTCTTAGCTGTGAGACCAAAGGACAAGTAACAAAAGAAAAAAATTGAGACCAGGTGCAGTGGCTTTATGCCTGTAATCTCAGCACTTTGGTGGGGCCAAGGCAGGAGGGTCACTTGAGCCAAGGAGTTCAAGACCAGCCTGGGCAACATAAAGAGACCCCCATGTCTGCAAAAAATTTGAAAGATTAGCTGGGTGTGTTGGCATGCACCCATAGTCCCAGCTACTTGTGAGGCTGAGACAGAAGGATTCCTCGAACCCAGGAGATCAAGGCTGTGGTGAACCATGATTGTGCCACTGTACTTTAGCCTAGGTGACAGACCAATATCCTGTCTCCAAAAAAATAAAATTAATTGGACTTCATCAAAATATAAAACTTTTGTATTGGCCAGGCATGGTGGCTCACGCCTGTAATCCCAGCACTTTGGGGGGCCGAGGCAGGCGGATCACAAGGTCAGGAGATCGAGACCATCCTGGCTAATACTGTGAAACCCTGTCTGTACTAAAAATACAAAAAATTAGCCTGGTGTGGACAGGCGCGGTGGCTCACGCCTATAATCCCAGCACTTTGGGAGACTGAGGCGGGCAGATCACAAGGTCAGGAGATTGAGACCATCCTGGCTAACACGGTGAAACTCCATCTCTACTGAAGAATACAAAAAATTAGCCGGGCATGGTGGCGGGCGCCTGTAGTCCTAGCTACTTGGGAGGCTGAGGCAGGAGAATGGCGTGAAGCCGGGAGGCGGAGCTTGCAGTGAGCCGAGATCACGCCACTGCACTCCAGCCTGGGCGACAGAGCAAGACTCCATCTCAAAAAAAAAAAAAAGTCTTTTGTATTATTCAGCCTTAAAAAGGAAGGAAATTCTGACATATGCTACACTGTGGATGAACCTTAAAGACCTTACACTAAGTAAAATAAGCCAATCATAAAAGTATAGATCTTATATGATTACATTCATATGAGGTACCTAAAGTAGTCAAATTTATAGAGACAGGGCCAGGCACGGTGGCTCACATGCATATAATCCTAGCACTTTGGGAGCCTGAGGCAGGTGGATCACCTGAGGTCAGGAGTTCGAGACCAACCTGGCCAATATGGCGAAATCCCATCTCTACTAACAATACAAAAAAATTAGCTGGGTGTGGTGGCAGGCACCTAGAATCCCAGCTATTCGGGAGGATGAGGCAGGAAAATCGCTTGAACCCGGGAGGCGGAGGTTGCAGTGAGCCGAGATTGCATGACTTCACTCCAGCCTGGGCAAAAGGGCGAAACTCTGTCTCAAAAAGAAAAAAATTCATAGAGACAGAAAGCGTAATGGTGGCTGCCAGAGGACAGAGGGAGGGGGAAGAGGGAGTGTTTAATGGGTATAGAGTTTCCGTTTGGGAAGAAGAAACATTTCTGGAGAAGATAAGGGTGATGTCTGCAGATCATTGTGAATGTACTTAATGCCACAGAACTATACACTGAAAAATAGTTAAAATAGTAAAGTGTTATGTTACTTACATTTTACCACAATAAATAAATATTTTAAAACTTATGTGCATCCATTACACTGTTAAAGACTGAAGTATATTCCTCCAAAATTCATATGTTGAAGCCCTAACTCCCAGTGTGACTATATTTGGAGATGAGGCCCTGAAGAGATAATGAAGGTTAAATAAGTCATAAGAATGGTATCTAACCCAGTAGGACTGGTGTCCTTATAAGAAGAGGAAGAGATACCAGTGACAAACATCAGAGAAAAGGTCCTGTGCAGATCCAAGAAGATGCAGCCGGCCGCGTGCGGTGGCTCATGCCTGTAATCCCAGCACTTTGGGAGGCCAAGGCAGGTGGACCACCTGAGGTCAGGAGTTGGAGACCAGCCTGGCCAACATGGAGAAACCCTGTCTCTACTAAAAATACAAAAATTAGCTGGGCATGGTGGCGGGCACCTGTAATCCTAGCTACTTGAGAGGCTGGGGCAGGAGAATCATCACTTGAATCTGGGAGGCAGAGGTTGCAGTGAGCTGAGATCACGCCATTGCTCTCCAGTCTGGGCAACAAGGGATGCTCCGTCTCAAAAAAAAAAAAAAAAAAAAAAAAATCTTCAGGAAAAAACAACCTGCTGACACCTTGATCTTGGACTTCCAGATTCCAAAATTATGGCAAATAAATTTCTGTTGCTTAAACCACCCAAACTGTATTATTTTATTATGGTATCCCTAGCAGAATAATGTAGACTTTTATGCCAAGAAGTGGAGTGCTGCTGTAATAAATACTTTATAAATGTGGAAGTAACTCAGGAACTGGATAATGGGTAGAGAGTGAACGAGTTTTGAGGTGCGTGCTGGAAAAAGCCTGATTGAGCCGTGTGCAGCTGCTCACACCTGTAATCTCAGCACTTCGGGAGGCTGAGGCGGGCGGATCACTTGAGATCAAGAGTTCGAGACCAGCCTGGCCAACGTGGTGAAACCTTGTCTTCACTAAAAATACAAAAATTAGCCAGGCCTGGTGGCACACGCCTGTAACCCCAACTACTGGGGAGGCTGAGGCAAGAGAATCGCTTGAACCCGGGAGGTGGAGGTTGCAGTGAGCCAAGATCATGCTACTGCACTCCAGCCTGCTTGACGGAGTGAGACTCTGTCTCAAAACAGAACAAAAATTAGCAGGCATCGTGGTGCGCACCTGTAGTCCTAGCTACTCAGGGCAGGGGCGGGCGGGGGTGTGGGGCTGAGGTGGGAAGATCACTTGAGCCTGGGAGGTCGAGGCTGCAATGAGCCGTGATCCCACCACTGCGCTCCAGCCTATGTGACAGAACAAGACCCTGTCCCCCCCGCCAAAAAAAAAAAAAAAAAAAAGTCTAGATTGTCTTGAAGAGATTGTTGGTAGGAGTAAGGAATAAAGGTGATTCTGGGGAGGTCTCAGACGGAAATTAGGAACATATTATCGGAAAGTGCGGGAAAGGCCATCCTTTCTTCCACAAAGAATTTGGCCAAATGGTGTTCTAGTGTTTTGTGGAAAGTGCAGGTTCAAAGTGATAAATTTGGTTATTTAGCTGAGGAGATTTCTAACCAAACTGTTGAAGGTATGGCCTAGCTTCTTTTGGTTGCTTTAGTAAAATGTGGGAAGAAAGATAAACTGAGGGAATTATTAAGCAAAAACAAAACTTGAAGATTTGAAAAATTCTCAGTATTTCATAGAGATTATAGGTGCAATTTACAAATTTATTCAGCTTTCTCAGCGCAAGCCAGGAAGAGAGATGAGATTATACCAGCATAAACACTGTCATCTTGGACTAAAGGGGACACAGGACAGAAGGAAAGAAGGCTGTCGTAATTCTGGGATCCTAAAGGATGAGGCAACAGAGTTATCTGGCTGTGAACACATGTTACCCTTTAAGAAAAGGGAAGACTGATCCCAAAGGAGATTCAGTTAGCAACAAGGCTGCCATTCGAACTGCAGGCCCAGAAGATACAGGTCTGGGGAGCTAAGATGTCTCCTCAGTTCCAGAAAGTCAAGCTGCTGCCATCCAGTGCCTCAGAGGCATGGCTGCTACCCAGGACCAATAGGGCCAACGTGGTGATGCTGCCTCCCCCGTGGCCCTAGAAGGCAAGCCTGCTAATCCACTGGGCCAGGAGGGCAGAGCGTCAAGCCAAAGACAATTATTCTTCAGCCTTAAAGTTCAACAGAATTTGCCTTGCTAGGTTTTATTTTATTTTATTTTATTTTATTTTATTTTATTTATTTATTTATTGAGACAGAGTCTCACTCATTCTGTCGCCCAGGCTAGAGTGCAGTGGCTCAGTTTCAGCTCACTTCAACCTTCACCTCCTGGGCTCGAGCGATTATCCTGCCTCAGCCTCCTGAGTAGCTGGGATTACAGGCGCGCACCACCACGCCTGGCTAAAGTCTTACTAGGTTTTGAATTTGCTTGGGACCCATGTCCCCATGTCCCTGTCTTCTTTCCATTTTTTGCCTTTGGAATGGGAATGTCTGTTCTATGCTTGTCCCACTATTATACTCAGGAAGTACATAACTGGCCTGGTTTCATACATTCACAGTCAGAAAGGAACTTTGCCGCAGAATGACTCATATCTCAAGTATCACCCACACCTGATTTGGATAATATTTATTTTGGGTTTTTATTATTGTTGTGGTGGTGGTTGTGGTTGTTGTTGTTTTGAGATAGGGTTGCACTCTGTCACCCAGGCTGGAGTGCAGTGGCACAATCTTGGCTCACTAGAACCTCCGCCTCCCTGGCTCAAGTGATCCTCCCACCTCAGCTTCCCAAGTAGCTGGGACTACAGCCACTTGCCCCCACATCTGGCTAATTTTTTTTTTTTTTTGGTAGAGACGGGGGTTTCACCATGTTGCCCAGGCTGGTCTTGAACTGCTGACCTCAAGCTATCTGCCCACCTCAGCCTCCCAAAATGCTGAGATTACAGGTGTGAGCTACCACACCTGGCTATGATTTAGATGATATTTAAATGAGCCTTTGGACTTAGAGTTGATGCTGAAATGAGGTAAGACTTTTGCGGCTGTTGGGATCAGGATAAATGCATTTTATATGTGAGAAGGACATGAACTTTGGGGGTCCAGAGGACAGAATATTATGGATTGAATTGTATTCCCCCAAAACTCATGTTGAAGTCCTAATCCCCAGTGAGGTCATACCCAGTCTGTGGTATTTTGTTATGGCAGCCCTAGCCAAGTAATACAGACACTGTCAAGAAAGTGAAAAGGCACCCAGGCGCGGTGGCATGGTGGTGCATGCCTGTAATCCTAGCTACTCAAGAGGCTGAGGCAGGAGGCCTGAACCCAGGAGGCGGCGGTTGCAGTGAGCTGAGATCGTGGCACTGCACTCCAGCCTGGGCAACAGAGCAAGACTCTGTCTCAGAAAAAAAAAAAAAAGAAAGAAAGAGGCTGGGTGCAGTGGCTCATGCCTGTAATCCCAGCACTTTGGGAGGCTGAGACAGGCGGATCACTTGAGGTCAGGAGTTCGAGACCAGCCTGGCCAACATGGTGCAACCTCGTCTCTACTAAAAATACAAAAATTAGCCGGGCATGGTGGCAGGCACCTGTAATCCCAGCTACTCGGGAGGCTGAGGCAGGAGAATAGCTTGAACCCGGGAGGCAGAGGTTGCAGTGGGCCAAGATCGCACCATTGTACTCCAGCCTGGGGGACAAGAGTGAGACTTCGTCTCAAAAAAAAAAAAAAAGGAAAGACAACACAATAGGAGACATTTTGCAAATCACATATCCGATATTTTTTTTTCTAGCCTATATAAATAACTCTCTTCCCTCCCCTTCCACCCCCCGCTGGCCAAGATGGAGTCTCACTCTGTCGCCCAGGCTGGAGTGCAGTGGCACAATCTCAGCTCACTGCAACCTCCGCCTCGCAGGTTCAAGCAATTTTCCTGGCCTTAGCCTCCCGAGTAGATGGGATTACAGGTGCCCACCACCACGCCCAGCAAATTTTCGTATTTTTAATAGAGACGGGGTTTCATCGGCACGATCTCGGCCCATTGCAAGCTCTGCCTCCCAGGTTCATGCCATTCTCCTGCCTCGGCCTCCCGAGTAGCTGGGACTACAGGTGCCTGCCACCACGCCTGGCTAATTTTTTGTATTTTTAGTAGAGATGGGGTTTCACCGTGTTAGCCAGGATGGTCTCGATCTGCTGACCTCGTGATCCGCCTGCCTCAGCCTCCCAAAGTGCTGGGATTACAGGCAGGAGCCACCGCACCCGGCCAAGAGCTGCCATAATAAAATACTGCAAAGTGGGTGGCTTAAATAACAGAAATTTATTTTCTCACAGCTTTAGAGGCTAGAAGTCCAAGATCAAGGTGCTGGAAATTTGGTTTATTGTGAGGCCTCTCTTCCTGATTGCAGACAGCCATCTTCTCACTGTGTCCTCACATGGCATATTCTCTGTGTATGCACACACACACACACACGCACAGAGAGAGAGAGAGAGACGGCACATGTGGTCTGGTGTCTCTTCTGACAAGGACACTAGTCTTATCTGTTAAGAGCCCCATTCTTACGTCCTCAATTAACCTTTTTTTTTTCTTTTCGTGAGACAGAGTCTCACTGTTGCCCAGGCTGGAGTGCAGTGGCATGATTTTGGCTCACTGCAACCTCCACCTCCCAGGTTCAAGCGATTCTTATGCCTCAGCCTCCCAAGTAGCTGGGATTAGAGGCGTGTATCACCACGCCATGCTAAATCTTTGTATGTTTAGTAGAGACGGGGTTTCGCCTTGTTGCCCTGGTTGTTCTTGAACTCCTAAGCTCAGACAGTCCACCCACCTCGGCCTCCCACAGTGCTAGGATTACAGGCGTGAGCCACCATGCCTGGCCGCATCATTTAACCTTACTTACCTCTTTAAAGGCCCTTCTCCAAATACAGGCACATTGGGGGTTAGGGCTAAAATCTATAAATTTGGGGTGAGCACAATTTCAGTTCATAACAATTACCTGTGGGGGTGGGTGGAATTGATGGGAATGGTAATGAGATTTCCCTGAGCACACCTTTTTTTTTAAAGTTTTACATTTTGAATCATATACATGGCTTATATCTATATCTATCTGTCTGTCTGTCTATCTATCTATCTATCTATCTATCTACCTATCATCTACTTTTTTTTTAAGAGACGGAGTCTCTGTCACCCAGGCTGGAGTGCAGTGGTGCAATCTCAGCTCACTGCAACCTCTGCCTCCTGGGTTCAAGCAATTCTCCTGCCTCAGCCTCCCGAGTAGTTTGGATTACAGGTGTGCACCACCGCCTCCTGGGTTCCAGTAATTCTCCTGCCTCAGCCTCCCGAGTAGCTGGGACTACAGGTGCACGCCGCCATGCCCAGCTAATTTCTTTTGTATTTTAGTGGAGACGGGGTTTCACTGTGTTGCCCAGACTGGTCTCAAACTCCTGAGCTCAGGCAATCTGTCCACCTTGGACTCCCAAAATGCTAGGATTACGGGCCTGAGCCACCTCACCCGGCCAGTTTATATATTTTTAAGAACTTAATTCAAAAATGATGAAGCAAATGAACCTAGTTATATAAAATTGACACTATAGCCACACTGAAAAAATTTTAATTCAAGTTACATTTGAACATAGTATTCTGACTGCACATCCTTAATTGTATGTAGTTTAAGAACTACAAACGGCCGGGCGTGGTGGCTCACGCCTGTAATCCCAGCACTGTGGGAGGCCAAGGCGGGCAGATCACGAGGTCAGGAGTTCGAGACCAGCCTGACCAACATGGTGAAACCCTGTGTCTACTAAAAATACAAAAAAAAAAGAAAAATTAGCCGGGCATGGTGGCATTATCTAAATGTCTTTGGAAAGATAGTCCAGAACGAAAGGACAGTTGGTGCCTCTACTCAAAGGGATTGAAGAAACATGAGACCATGGAAAACTGTATCTCAGTAGCCAGTCTGTGGGACATTCTATAAGACAACTGGCCTGGAATCATTAAAAATATCAATCAGTGTCAATGTCACTGTCATTGTAGCAAATGTTGTCAGTGTTCTGCCCATATTCACTCAACTTGATCATTTCAATGTCCCATTCACAGCTGATGTCCCACTCATAGGTTTTGCATTTCTTTGCTCAAGGGCTTAAACCCATGTCTAAGGCAGAGAATTAATACCCTCCCAGGGGGCAACCCTCAATTAGTGACTGATAAAAGTCAGTGTATAAATATTCCAGCTCCCTCACCCTCTGAGTGAGATAACTCTGAAATATATGGTTACACTAGTTCCCTGAGCTCCCCAACATTCCCAAAGCAGTGTTCAGTGGTGACTGGCTTGATAACACACGCTATTGTCTGCTTTCTTTCCCTGTCTCACTTCCCCGTTACCTACTGGTGTTGTTAGAGTGGGTAGATAGGCAGATAGGAGCAGGGCAGGATAGGGTCCCAAAGAATGTCAGACAACTATCAGGTGACTGCCAGGCAAATGTCAGGCAGCTGGTCAAAGGGGAGGGGAAATTTTCCTAATAAACAGGAGACATCTTGGGCTTGTGGGCAACAACTTCTTGGTAAGAACTTGAAATGGTGGAGTTTGACCTTCCTCAGGGGACATGGCCAGGCAAGCATGGTAAGGTGCAAAATGGCAGCGTTTGACCCATATGTGACCTTCCTCTGGGGGCACTAGACCAATAAGGGAAAATTGCCCTAAGAGAGCATGCACGTAACTTCAGTATGGCACATGTGCCCCTCCCAGATACTAGCAAGACATTGCACATGCAGCAATTAGCCAACAGCCTGCCAAGGGGGAGGGACAAGAGGAAGAGACGGGAAAAGTCAGAAAATAGCAAATCTGCGAGTCCTGAGCCAGCAATCAGGCAGAGTACTGAATTTTTGAGTTGCCTGCTTGGTTCCTTACATGTGTGCTTTTATTTGCTTCAGTGAATTCTTGTTTCTGCCTTAAATCTACTTCTGTCTCAGCCAAATTCATTCTCCCAAGAAGACAAGGATCGAGGACTGTGGAGCCAACTCAGACTCGCCACGGCTAACAATGTTTCCTGGGATCGCCTCCCAAATAAACTGCTTGTACTTGAACCCTTGTCTCAGAGTTGACTACTGGAAGAACCCCAGATAAGACAATCTGCGAGTAGACATGTCAGATAATGCAGTTAGATATGAATCTGGAATTCAGAGGAGAGGCTCATGCAATTTGCAAGTCATCATCAAAAAGATGTCATTTGTTCTGTTTGTCTACTGCAGGAAGACAGATTACCCTAAAATTTAGTGGCTGAAAACAACTCTATTTTATCGTAGCTTACAATTTTGTGGATTGGGAATTAGAGCCTGTCTCATCTGGGCAACTCTTCTGTTCCCCATGGCATCACCTGAGGTCACTCCATGGTATTCAGCTACCAGACGAACTCATCTGGAGTATCCAAGTATTCATTCACGCTCATATCTGGCACCTTGGCAGGGATGACTGGAAGCCTGGGCTCAGCTGGGACTGCTGACCATAGTACCTACAAATGGCCTCTTCAGCATGGCTTCTTAAATGGCTGCTCGGAGCTACCAAGAGACAGGAAGTAGAAGCTGCTAGTTTCTTAAGACCCAGAAATGGTACAATTTCATTCCTGCCATTGGTCAAAGCAGTCACAGAGCCTTCCAAGAGGAAACACAGACCCTCACTTCTCACTGGGAAGTATGTCAAAGAGTTTGGGGCTTTTTTTTTGAGAAGGAGTCTTGCTCTGTCGCCCAGGCTGGAGTGCAGTGGCAAGATCTCGGCTCACTGCAACCTCTGCCTCCCGAATTCAAGCAATTCTCCTGCTTTGGCCTCCCAAGTAGCTGGGATTACAGGCATGCGCCACCACACCCGGCTAATTTTTTTGTATTTTTAGTGGAGACGGGGTTTCACCATATGGGCCAGGCTGGTCTCGAACTCCTGACCTTGTGATTCACCTGCCTCAGCCTCCCAAAGTGCTGGGATTACAGACGTAAGCCACTGCGCCCAGCCCTGGGGCTGTCTTTAATCCACTACAACATTGCAAAGCTGTGAGCCAGGATGAGAACGCCAGAGGTATGAATGTGGATTAAAAGTCCAAGCACTGAAACTTTCAATGTTTAGAGACCAGTGAGAGAAAGAACCAGCAACAGAGACTCAGAACTATATCATATTCTGCTGATAAGCCAATAAGATGATAATGATAACTAAGAATTGACATTGGCTTTAGTGATGTAGACATAATTGGGGACCTTGACAAGAGCAGTTTACTGGGGGTGGTTGAGTTGAAACTTTGATTGTTTCAAGAGAGAATGGAATGAGTGGAAAGATAGTTTGTGAGTGCTAGCAATTATTCAGAGAATTTCTGCTATAAATGGGAGCAGGAGGATGTATCAGGAGCTAATGGGAGAAATGAGGTCAACATTATTTCCTATGTAGCTTTCTCTTATGCCCAAATTCCACTGGATATCATCCACTTCTGGTTACTTCTGGTTTGGGATGTATAGGTGAAGGAATAGTTTTGGATCCTCCTTTATTACCTGTTTTATTTGCATAATTGGACAATAACTAAACTTGCTTTAAATATCTCTTAAAGCATTTTAAATTCAAATTTGGAGAGAGGAATATGAGAGTGGTTTTTGGTCATTGTTTAGCCATATACAATATTGTCTTACCTTCTGCATTTGAAGTTTTTGATACCTGATAAATGTTTGTATTGTGTAGTTGAACAAGAATTTGCCACATGAAGGTTTACAGTTGTAGTTTTATGTTAAGTTCTTTACAGTAGTCCCCTCTCATCTTTATCCCCCACTTGGAACTATCTACAGTAGTTCCAGGACCCCCCTCCCAGTGGATGATTGAAACCATGGATAGTACCAAACCCTATATACATATTATGTTTTTCCTATACATACATACCTATGATGTTTAATTTCTAAATTAGGCGGAGTAAGAGATGAACAACAACTAATAATGTAATAGAACAGTTGTAACAATATACTATAATAAGAGCTACATGAATGTGGTTTCTCCCTCTCAAAATGTGTTACTGTACTCACCTATCTTTGGTCCATGGTTGTCTGTGGGTGACTGAAACTGCATATAAGGCAGGGGACTACTGTAACCACAGGTGTTGGAAGGCAGCATAGCAGAGTAGTTAGGGTCAGGACTGCGGAGGAAGACTGCCTAGGTTCATATTATGATGTAAACTCTCCATGCCTCACTTTTCTTATCTAATGCGGAGATAATAATAGTAACTCATTTGTAAAGTTATTATAAGTATTAAATGAGAAAATACATGTAAGACACTTAGAGTATCACAGGTCATCACTTACTTAGTATGTAGTAAGTATTTGATGAGGTTAGTTACTATTCTTATTGAGCAGTGAATCAGTTAGGAATGCTTTCGGCTGCAAGGAGGAGAATACTGATTTACAGTGGCCTCAGTGAGAAGCCTGCATTTCTCTCACAGAGCAGGCACTGCAGAGGTAGGCAGCTGCTAAAACAGGTTCCTTTCTACAGCTCCAGGGGTCTGAGTTGGCCACTCTTCAGTTCCCTCGGACCTCCCCTGTTGTTTGCCACACCACCAATCATCACATTCTCAAAGGCATTCAAGGCAGAAAGCTGGGAACAAGGAAGGGCGGAGAGTTTCTCTTCAGGAGCCTCCCTCTTACTAGAGAAGAAAAAAACCTGCCTTTTATGGGTTCTTTTGTCTTGTTTTTCATGACTGTCTTCATTTGAGAAAGTCCTCAGGCCAAGAAATGGAGGTGCTGGCAGTTGGAGATCAGGCTGTCCATAGCACACTGATGTGGCACAGGCAAGGAATATGGCTGAGGCACCAATTTGCTGCTACTGCTGTCTAACAGGCATTGGAAGTCTTATGTGTTCAAAAATAAACTTCTGATTTCTACTCCCAAACCTGCTCTTCCCACATCTTCCCCGTCTCAGTAGGTGGCAGCTCTATTTGTCCGGTTACTGAGACCAAATATTAGAGTCCTCCTTAATTTCCTCTCTCTCATGCTTCACATTCAGTTTATTAATAAATCCTGTTGACAGCCTGGGCAATATGGCAAGAATCCATCTCACAAAATAAATAAATAAGCCAGGTGTGGTGGTACGTGCCTGTGGTCCCCGGTTACTCGAGAAGCTGAGGCTGAGGATCAGTTGAGCCCAGGAGTTGAGGCTACAGATAGCTATGATCACACCACTGCACTCCAGCCTGGGCATCAGTGAGAGCACATTTCTTAAAAAAAAAAAAAAAAAAAAAAGAAGGACTGGGCGTGGTGGCTCATGCCTGTAATCCGAACATTTTGGGAGGCCGAGGCGGGCAGATCACTTGAGCCCAGGAGTTTGAGACCAGTCTGCACAATATGGTGAGACCCCTGTCTCTACAAAAAATACAAAATTTAGCTGGGCATGGTGGCACATGCCTGTAGTCCCAGCTACTCGGGAGGCTGGGGCAGGAGGATCTCTTGAGCCAGGGAGTTGGAGATTGCAGTGAGCCAAGATCACACCACTGCACTCCAGCCTGCGCAACAGAGCCAGACTGTGTTTAAAAAAAAAAAAATCCTGTCAGATCTACCTTTAGATTATGTCCAGAATTCAACCACTTTCATCATCTGTATCATTACTACACTGACCCAATCCACCAACATTTCTTGCCTGTATTATTTAAAATTTCTGGCCAGGTGTGGTGGCTCACACCTGTAATCCCAGCACTTTGGGAGGCCCAGGAGGGTGGATCACGAGGTCAGGAGATCGAGACCATCCTGGCTAACATGATGAAACCCCGTCTCTACTAAAAATACAAAAACTTAGCCGGGTGTGGTGGCGGGCGCCTGTAGTCCCAGCTACTTGGGAGGCTGAGGCAGGAGAATGGTGTCAACCCGGGAGGGGGAGCTTGCAGTGAGCCGAGATCGCGCCACTGCACTCCAGCCTGGGCGACAGAGCGAGACTCCGTCTCAAAAAAAGAAAAGAAAAGTTTCCTAACTGGTTTTTGTGTTTTCTTCCCCTTTCCCCCCATGATTTAAAAGCTAGGTTATATTCTGTCACTTTCTTGCACAAAATTCTCCAATGACTTCCAGTCTCACTCGGAGTAAAATCCAAATTCTTAGGATGGCCTATAATGTCCTACAAAATTTGCCCCCTCATTGACTCTTTGACCTCATCTGCTAGTCTCCTAGCTCATTCTGCTCCAGTTGCCCCAATTTCCCTACTGTTCCCCCAACCATGCCAGGTGTGCCCCCACCTCAAGAGCGGCCCTTTTTTTTTTTTTTTTTTTTTTTGAGACGGAGTCTCGCTCTGTCGCCCAGGCTGGAGTGCAGTGGTGCTATCTCAGCTCACTGCAACCTCGGCCTCCTGGGTTCACGCCATTCTCCTGCCTCAGCCTACCGAGTAGCTGGGACTACAGGCGTCCGCCACCACGCCCGGCTAATTTTTTGTATATTTAGTAGAGACGGGGTTTCACCGTGTTAGCCAGGATGGTCTCGATCTCCTGACCTCGTGATCCGCCCTCCTCGGCCTCCCAAAGTGCTGGGATTACAGGCGTGAGCCACCACGCCTGGCCTAAGAGCGACCCTTCTAATGGGCACAGTTTTCTGCCAGGTTGCCTCAAGGCTTGCTTCCTTACTTCCTTCAGGTCTCACATGTCACCATGCCTGAGCCTTCCCTGGTGCCCCTATGTGAAACAGCCATTTTCTCATGCACTTTCTGTCCCCATATCCTGTTTTATTTTTCTCCACCTGATATACTATATGTGTATTTATATATATATGTGTGTGTGTACTATGCTTGCTTATCTTCAGTCTCCCCCACTGAAATGTAAGTTCCATGAGAGAAGACTTTCTTGTATTACCTGTTTCACCCCTAGTGCTTGGAACGTAATAGGCACTTGAAGAGCATTTCCTGAATGTATACATAAACAAGCAATATTGCATGTTAGCGTTGCCTCAAGATTTGTGCTTATTCCTCCCATATTTTGTGATTAATTCCCCTCTACCTACTCCCAAAATGAGATTATTAAATCAAAAGGTAAAGGTACTTTGGGAGGCCGAGGCGGGCGGATCACGAGGTCAGGAGATCGAGACCATCCTGGCTAACACGGTGAAACCCCGTCTCTACTAAAAATACAAAAAATTAGCCAGCCAAGGCAGCGGGTGCCTGTAGTCCCAGCTACTCGGGAGGCTGAGGCAGGAGAATGGCGTGAACCCCGGGGGGCGGAGCCTGCAGTGAGCCGAGATCGCGCCACTGCACTCCAGCCTGGGCGACAGCGAGACTCCGTCTCAAAAAAAAAAAATTCCAAATAGCTTTCAAAAACAAAGCAATTATGTGGAGAGTATCATACGAGTTATACGTTCTTGTTAGGCATTGTACTTTTAAACTTTTTCACAAATTTTATAGAAAAGACTAGCAAAATTTATTATCTTTCCATATTTATTTACAACCAATAATAGTAGTTTTGAATAAATAATTAATTTTTTAAAGTATTTAAAAAACGGAAATCTTGACCAAAGGCTTTCTCAGGTTTATTCACCTTTTTGGCTGTGATCTGACCATGGCTGCCTGTAACCAAAGGTGAACTTACTAACCCCGCTCTGCACACTGCTGCTTATTTTCCTCCGTTAAGTGCAATACCTGCCTCCCCAGTTCACGATTCTAAGTCCTATATATTAGCTTATCTTTATATCTTAGTTATATAATTCTCACACTAGAGGAAAAGGCAGTCTTTTCTGGCTCAATGACTATGTCTTTAAAAAAAAAAATACCATGCCCTTCCCCACAATGTTTTCAGTATCCTATAATAATATGAAACAAAACAAAAGGTTGATTAAAGGAACGTACATATTGGTTGCATCATAGTCACCCCAAGGGAAATATTAGGCCCCAATGGAAGTAAAGACATATAGGTTCCTTTTCTTCTCCAACCAAAGGAGCTTGCTGCTCAGAGTTCAAAATCTATATTTTGCATATAGATTATCTATATTTTATCTTTGCATATGCAATGATAAAATTCCATGGAAAAAAATGGTGACATATGCACATAAATCCACTTCTATATACATACATTTTGACTCTTAGAAACAGCTACTATATAACACAATCAAGTATCGATTTATTTCCTGTCTCTCTCTCTCTACGTATATATTTGGTTCAAAATATATGTATTTGGTTCAAAGTCTCAGCAAGGGATGTACCTGGCTTTGGTTATTGATGAGAAGAGTAATTAATAGAACATTCCCTTTGCTGTGATACCCTACCCAAAATAGCTCGGTTGTTGGTTCACTTTCTTCAGATACCTCCTTGTCTCATGGACCGCCTACTTACTCCCAAATGCCATTCTGAACAACCATTTGTAACCACCTCCTCCCAAATGCCCTCTCCCAACTGCCTTTCTAAATCAATGTTTCACTGTCCTAATTTCTTACTGTTCTTTGCAGTTGTCATTTTAACCTAAGAGCTAATTATCTTTGCCAAACACCATTCCTAATAGGCCAAACTTTCAAACTGAAAAAAGAATCTTAGGAAGTCTTTTGGTAAAAATAAATGTTCCCTTATTTTTGGTTATTAGTATTTTGTTTTTTATTTTAAACTATGGATAGCTTCTTGACTGCCTAAGATTGTGCTACATAAATATCCAGTAACCACCCTAATCAGCAAAATGAGATAATAAAACAATCCCAAAAGGAATGTGAGTAGGACTAAATTATGACTTTTTTTTTTTTTTTTTTTTTTTGAGATGATGTCTTGTTCTGTTGCCCAGGCTGGAGTGCAGTAGTGCCATCTCAACTTACTGCAGCCTTCACCTCCTGGGTTCAGGTGATTCTCCTGCCTCAGCACCCCCCTGCCCCACCCAGGTAGCTGGGATCACAGGCACCTGCCACCACACCCGGCTAATTTTTGTATTTTTAGTAGAGACAGGGTTTCGCATGTTGGACAGGCTGGTCTCGAACTCCTGACCTCAGGTGATCCACCACCTCCGCCTCCCAAAGTGCTGGGATTATAGGCATGAGTCACCGCGCCCAGCCCTAAATTATATCACCAGAAATGGAGTGGGATATATGAAGACAATGTGTCTCACTTCACACTGACGCAAAGTCTGTCAACAGAACAGAAGCAAGAATTCCTGAATTAAGTTATCACCAGTATATATGGAATGCTGTCTGATAAACCTCTTTACATAGTTTCTTCATTTTACTTTTCCCAGATTTTGTACTTCACTCTTAATATCGTATACACATACTAAAATCTTTTTTTTTTTTTAAGAGTCAGGGTCTTGCTCTGTCACCCAGGCTGGAGTGCAGTGGTGTGATCATAGCTCACTGTAGCCTCAACTCCTGGGCTCAAGATATCCTCCCACCTCAGCCTCCCAAGTAGCTGGGACTACAGGAGCATGACAGCATGCCCGGCTAATTTTTAAATTTTATTTTTGTAGAGACAGGGGCTCCCTGTGTTGCCCAGGCTGGTCTCAAACTTCTGGGCTCAAGTGATCCTCCTGCCTCAGCCTCCCAAGGTGTTGGAATTACAGGCTTGAGCCACCATGCCCAGCTTAAAATTCTTGTAATGAGAACAACTATGGTCAAATGTAATAAATTGTGATTATATATATAATAAAATAAGTAAAATGTCTATTTCATATAATTTATATGACAAATATAATACAATTAGTGCAGCCCCACCAAAGTCTCATCTAAATAAAATTATTGACTATTATACTTTTGGTATGAATCAGTTCTCATTGTGAGAATGTTAAATAATTCTTTGACTGGTGTTCCTGGGATGCAAATATATGTAGTTGTTCCTCAGTATCTGTGGTGGATTGGTTCCAGCACCCCCTTTCAAAACCAAAATCTGCAGATACAGTTGCTGATATGAAATGGCATAGTATTTGCATATAAACTACGTACATCCTCCTGTATACTTTAAATCACCTCTAGATTATTGTAATATCTAATACAAAGTAAATGCTACGTATATTGTTATACTGTATTGTTTAGGGAATAATGCCAAGAAAAAACAGTCTATACATGTTCAGTACAGATGCAGCCATCCATTTTCTTGTCCAAATATTTTTTATCTCCAGTTGGTTGAATCCATTGATGCAGAAACCACGGATACGGAGAGCTGACTCTGTGTGTGTGTGTGTATACTCACCAATTCTTTATTTATTCAACAAATATTTATTGAATTTCTACTATGTGTGAAGCATAGTTCACGATCCTGGGGATATAGTAGACAAGCTCCTTGCCTTATTGAGCTCACATTCTTATGGGGAAGGGCAGGTTCAGGGCCTTCTCAGATCTTTGCTGGGCATGCACACAGCCCTATGCATATGCTGCTTTGTGGATTCCCACAATGAGTTGAAGCTTTTCAAAGCTCCTAGGGACGTACCATTCTCTGGCTTTTCCTTTTGAGCTTTAGGTTAGCCTTTTGTTTGCCCTAATATCACCCACTACTCAGGCAGGAATGAAGTCAAACAATTGTCTTGAAATATTTTCAATAAATGCCTCTGGAGAAAAGGGTTTTTATTTTTTTAGCCCTGGATAAGATCCTGGTTAGGTTAAATAAAGGCAGCCTTGCAAGTGGGGTCTTCCCGGGAAGCACCAGACAGACAAATAACTACAGTACCATGAGAATGAAGCTTTGAAGGTGCTCTAACCCCATTCTGCCTTATCTAGTGGCTGCCAGGTTCCTGGGGTCACCAGGATTGTGGACTGTTGGCTTCCAAGGCTGCCAGGGAGCTGGAGAAAGGGGGATGGAAATAGGATAGTTAAAATGCCACAAACCTCTTTGTTTTTACTAAGATTCAACCATTTGTCTTGATAAATGCCTCCCAGATTGCTGCAAGCAAGCCTTTGGTTAATTTCCAGAGTTCTGATAAACTTAATACTATCAATTTTTGTCAGTTTTGTACTTGCTTTTATGGAGGAAAGAATTGTGGGAGTTTCTTTGTCATTTTCACTGCTAACACTCATAGGGATGAATCTTACAAACTTAATGTCATGGAATGAAATGGGAAAGGCATAAAATAGTACATAGGGCATAATTCCATGAATATAAAGCTCAAAAATAGGCCAGACACAGTGGCTCACACCAGTAATCCCAGCACTTTGGGAGGCCGAGGTGGGAGGACAGCTTGAGCCCAGGCTGGAGAGCAGAGGTGCGATCTCGGCTCACTGCAACCTCCCCCTCCTGGGCTCAGGTGATCCTCCCACCCCAGCCTCTCAAATAGCTGGGACTACAGACGTGTACCACCACACCCAGCCACAAAAAGTTTTTTTAATTAGCTGAGCATGGTGGCCTGCATCTGTAGTCACAGCTACTCAAGAGGTTGAGGAGGGAGGATCGTTGGAGCCAGGGAAGTCGAGGCTTCAGTGAACTTTGGTCGCGCCACTGAACTTCGGCCTGGGTGACAGAGACCCTGTCACACACCCACAAAAGTTCAAAAACAGGTAAAACTAAATGACATAGGCAGGGATGTGCATATAGGTGATAAAATGCTAAAGAAAATGAAGAACACAATAACCGTAAAATCCAGGATGGTGCTTCTTGAGAATTGGGAAGGGGTACCCACTAGCCACCTAGTGAGCTAGGTGATGGTTACGTGGGCAGTAATTTCACACCTATTTGTTAAATTGTACTTATATGTTTTGTGAACTTTTTTTTTTTTTTTGAGACAAGGTCTTGCTCTGTCACCCAGGCTGGATGAGTGCAGTGGTACAATCTCAGCTCACTACAACCTCCGTCTCCTGGGCTCAAGCGATCCTCCCACCTCAGCCTCCCAAATAGCTGTGACTACAGGCAGGCGCCACCATGCCCAGCTAATTTTTATATTTTCAGTAGAAACGGGGTTTCACCATGTTGGCCAGGCTGGTCTGGAACTCCCTACCTTAAATGATCTGCCCACCTCGGCCTTCCAAAGTGCTGGGATTATAGGCATGAGCCACTGTGTCCAGACCACATTTCTTTATGTGTATTATATTTCACAATAAAACATTTTAAAATTAAATAGATACTTCATTTATAATTTGCACCAAGCAGGAAGTGAACACATTCCACCCACACAGAACTCAGTTGTATGCCATCATATTTAACTACAGCACAGGGAAAAATAAGGAAGTGTAGCCAAAATAGATTTTTTTTTTTACCTTGTGACGCAACAGTAAAATAGATGTTATAATATCTACGCGTTCAAAGGAGAGCCTCGCCGGCCTTATTTAAAGGCTATTTATTTTTATTAATGTCTAACATACTTGGTCTTCTGTTTCCTCAGTAGACAGTAAACTCCTCAATATTATTTGAGCTCCTAGGACAGATCCGTGTCTGTTTTGCTTACAATAGCATCTCTAGCACTTAGCCGATTGTAAGTGCTCCATAATCATTAAATCAAGAATGACTGACAGCAAATTAGGAAAAAAGGGAAAAAGTTGATGTAAGCAAGTGCACTGACTGTAAGTCAGGAATGGAAAAAAAAAAGCCAATAGAAGGCGAAAACAAACAGAAAACCATGAGCATTAGAATGGAGTAACGGCTTAAACAAGTTATCTTTTCTCATATAAAAAAATGGAGGTGGCATGGCAGACTTTTGTATTATCAGGAGCCCAGGCTCCCATCTTTCTGCTTGACCATCCTCAGTTCATGGTTTCTAGTCTCGAGGTCACCTCAGGGTCCAAGATGGCCATGAATATTCCATTATTATATCCAGGAATAAGGAAGTCAAGTAAAGGGGAGCACAACATATTAAGGTGATTTCCAGAAGTTCCATACAACACCCCTATTTACATATTGGGCCCATCGCGGTGGCTCACGCATGTAATCCCAGCACTTAGGGAGGCTGGAGTGGGAGGATCTCTTGAGGCCAGGAGTTCAAGACCAGTCTGGACAACATAACAAGACCTCAACTCTACTAAAAAATTTTTAAAAATTAACCAGTTGTGGTGGCACATGCCCGTCCAGAGGCTGAGTTGGGAGGATGGCTTGAGCCCAGGAGGTTGAGGCTGCAGTGAGCCATGATCGTGCCACTGCACTCCAGCCTGGGTGACAGAGGGAGATCCTGACTCAAAAAACAAACAGCCAGGCACAGTGGTTCATGCCTGTAATCCCAGCACTTTGGGAGGCCAAGGCGGGAGGATCATGAGGTCAGCAGTTCGAGATCAGCCTGGCCAACAGGCGAAACCCTGTCTCTACTAAAAATACAAAAATTAGCCAGGTGTGGTGGTGCATATGTGTAATCCCAGCTACTTAGGAGGCTGAGGCATGAAAAATCACTTGAACCTGGAAGGCGGAGGTTGCAGTGTTCTGAGATCGAGACAGTGCACTCCAGCCTAGGCAATAGAGTGAGACTCTGTCTTGAAAAAAAAACCAAGCAAACAAACAACAACTACAAAAATAAAAAAACCCCAAATACATCTTATTGGCCAGAACATAGTCACCTGTTCAAATGTAAATATAAGGAAAGTAGGGAAATACAGTCTCTTATCAGGGCAGCTAATACTGGGGATTCTGTTCACTAGGGAGGAGGACAGATCAGATTTGGTAGGCAGCATTAGCAGGGAGGAGGACAGATGAGATTTGGCGGGCAACATTAGCCTCTGCCACAGGGAGAATTTGATCAGAAGCAAATAGATGAACCTGTACGCATCAAGAGGTTCTGAGTACAGCATAACTCTAATACATAACAATACAAAGCAGTCGTACTTGTTAATAATGCAAATTCTGAGACATCAAGAAAAATATTAAATTACATGTACCAATCTTCTGTAAAGAAAGCAAAGATGTGGCCGGGCACAGTGGCTCACGCCTGTAATCCCAGCACTTTGGGAGTCGAGGTGGGCGGATCACCAAGTCAGGAGATCAAGACCAACCTGGCCAACATGGAGAAACCCCATCTCTACTAAAAATACAAAAATTAGCCGGGCGTGGTGGTGCGCACCTGTACTCCTAGCTACTTGGGAGGCTGAGGCAGGAGAATCGCTTGAACCCAGGAGGCAGAGGTTGCAGTGAGCCAAGATGGCGCCATTGCACTCCAGCCTAGGCAAGAGAGTGAGACTCCGTCTAAAAACAAAACATCAAAAAGGAAGGAAGGAAGGCAGGCAGGCGGGCAGGCAAAGATGAGTATAATACATTTTCTGAAGAAGTGTATCCAAAATATTGAATATTGAAAACTTAGAGCACATAGAGGCTGGGGAGGTAGGCCACATCTGTAGCCCCAGCACGTTGGGAGTCCCAGGCAGGAGGAACACTTGAGCCCAGGAATTTGAGACCAGCCTGGGCAACATAAGGAGACATCATTTCTATAAACATAAAAAAATTAGCTGGGCGTAGTGCATGCGCCTGTGGTTCCAGCTTTTTGGGAAGCTGAGGTGAGAGGATCTCTTGAGTTCAGAAGGTTGAAGCTGCAGTGAGCTGTGACTGTGCCACTGCACTCCAGCCTGGGCAGCAGAGCCGCTATTGTCTGTCATCCAGGTTTTGCAGTAGGAATCTGATTGTTTTTTTTGTGTTGTTGTTGTTTTGAGATGGAGCGCAGTGGCACGATCTCAGATCACCGCCACCTCCACTTCCTGGGTTCAAGTGATTCTCCTACCTCAGCCTCCTGAGTAGCTGGGATTACAGGCACACACCACCACACCTGGCTAATTTTTGTATTTTTAGTAGGGACAGGGTTTCGCCACATTGGCCTGGCTGGTCTCAAACTCCTGACCTCAGGTGATCTGCCTGACTCGGCCTCCCAAAGTGCTGAGATTACAGGCATAAGCCACCACCCCCAGCATAATTAGTCTTCTTGTTTAACATCTTTCCCCCCACCTTTCTTTTCAACATAGCAGCCAGCAAAATCCTCTTAAAACTTACATAGATAAACATCACTCTTCTGCTCAAAACCCCTCAGTGGCCTTCCTTCTCAGAGTAAAACCAAAGTCACATCGCCTAAATGCCTTGTCTGAACCCCAAACCTTCCTGATCTCACCTGTGCTTGCCTCCTGGTGCCTTTGACTCAAGCCATTTCCTACTCATGTTGTACCTCCGACACTCCAGACGTGCTCCATGCTGTTCCCTCTGTCTGGAACACTCTTCCCCCCTTGCACTGTGCCCTTCTCACTCATTTCATTCAGTTATTTGCAAATGTCACCTGATCAGAGAGGCCTTCCCTAAGCAATCGCTCCATTTGAAAGAGTACCGCTGCCCTCGTCACTCTAGTTCTGCTGCATTTTTCTTTTCTTTCTTTTTTTTTTTACTTGCCGATAATTTTATTGCTTACGTAGAACATCCAAGAGTATTTAATGATAAATAGAACCCCCAAAGTTTCAGACAATTATTTGGTACATAATCCATACATAAAAATGAGTTGCCTTCCTCTATGCCAGAAGCCAACAGTTAGAATATATAATTTTATAAAAATTCTATTTATAGTATCAACAAAAATTTTTAAATTCCTGATAGAAAATATAAAGACATGTAAAGTATTCATAAAGAAAATTATAAATCCTTATTGAAAGGAATCAGTGGAAAGCTATACCATATTTATGGATGGGATAATTAAAAATCATTAATTTGATATCCTGCATTTTTCTTTATAGCATTTACTTCTACCAGCCACACTCTAAATTTGTTTACTTGCTTATCATGTCTATCATGTCTCTGTCTCCTGGAATATAAGCTCCAAGCCGGGAACTTGTTTTGTTTCTTGCTCTATTCTCAGTTCCTAGATCAGTACCTTTCACATGGGAGTGGATTAATAAATATTTATTTAATGAAGGATGAATGAACGAATGAATGAGAGGTATTAACACTGTTTACTCTGCTACAGGAGTCCTTGGCTAAAAAGATTGAGAATCAGTAAGCTATAGAACACTCTATGCAAAACGAAAACCACCCATACTTTTCACATGGAAGCATAAGACAGTTTTAACTAAATAAATGAAAACTTTTCTTCAAAAAAAAAAATTACTCTTCTACTTTTGTTTCAGTATTTCATTTACACTCCTTAAATCTAGTAAGAATTAGGCAGCCAGGCACAGTGGCTCATACCTGTAATCCCACCACTCTGGGAGACCAAGGCAGAAGGATTGTTTGAAGCCAAGAGTTCAAGACTATCCTGGGCAACATGGCAAAACGTCATCTCTATAAAAAGTGTAAAAAATTCCAACAGAGTTAAAATGTAAAAGTGAAAAGTATAAAAAAATTAGGCATGGTGGCACATGCCTGTGATCCCAGCTACTCAGGAGGCTGAGGTGGGAGGATGGCTAGAGCCAGGGAGGTAGAAGTTGCAGGAAACTGAGTCATGCCACTGCACTCCAGCCTGGGTGACAGAGCCAGACCCTGCCTCAGGAAAATAAATAAATAGATAGATAAATAAATAAATAAGGCATGCAAACATACTCAAATATCTGTCTTAAAAAATGTCTTCCTTGGGCCAGGTGCAGTGGCTCACGCCTGTAATCCCAGCACTTTGGGAGGCCGAGGCGGGTGGATCACAAGGTCAGGAGATCGAGACCATCCTGCCTAACAAGATGAAACCCTATCTCTACTAAAAATACAAAAAAAAAAAAAATTAGCCAGGCGTGGTGGCGGGCACCTGTAGTCCCAGCTACTCGGGAGGCTGAGGCAGGAGAATGGTGTGAACCTGGGAGCGGAGCTTGCAGTGAGCCGAGATCAGGCCACTGCACTCCAGCCTGGGCGACAGAGCAAGACTCCGTCTCAAAAAAAAAAAAAAAGGAAAGAAAGCGTGGCAGATGGGGCCACCTCTAACTCCTCATTGTGCATTCTCTCGATTCTACTCATGCTTCCAGGAAACTGCTCTTATTAGAATTGGTAAGATAATCTTGTTCCTTACTGGTGGTCACTTCTCCATCTTTATTTTCCCTGCCTCTTGTCAATGTCCTACACAGTAGACCATTTATCTTACTTGAAACATTTTCTTCTCTCTGCTTCTGGAGTAAAATACTGTAGTAGTTTGCTAGGGCTGCCATAACTAAATACTACAGACTGGGTGGCTTTAAGAACAGAAATTTGTTCTAAAGGCTAGAGTCTAAGATCAAGGTGTCAGCAGGTTTGGTTTCTCCTGAGGCATCTCTCCTTGGCTTACAGATGGCCACCTTCTCACATGGCTTCTCACGTGGCTTCTCACATGGCTTTTCCACTGTGTGAGCACATCCCTCTAGTGTCTCTCTCTCTCTCTTTTTTCTTTCTTTTTTAGATACAGGGTCTCACTCTGTCATCCAGGCTGCAGTGCAGTGGATTGATCTTGGCTTACTGCAACCTCTGCCTCCTAGGCTCAACCGAGTCTACTGCTCCAACCTCCCGAGTAGCTGGGATTACAGGTGCATGCCACCAAACCCTGCTAATTTTTTTGTATTTTTAGTAAAGACAGAGTTTCGCTATGTGGGCCATGCTGGTCTCGAACTCCTGGCAACAAGTAATCTACCCACCTCAGCCTCCCAAAGTGCTGGGAATACAGGCATGAGCCACCACCGTGCCCAGCCATAGTGTCTCTCTTTGTGACAAAATTTCCTCCTCCTTTAAGGACACCAGTCAGGTTAGATTAGGGCCCACCCTAATGCTTCATTTCAACATTTCAACTTAATTATGGCTTCAAATGCTCTATTTCCAAATATGGTCACATTCTGAGGTATTGGACATTAGGGGTTCAACACATGAATTTGGGAGGAACATAATTCAGCCCATAACAAGTAACTTCCTGGCTTTCTTCTTTACCTCACTGGCCCTTTTTTTTTTTTTTTTTTTTTTTGAGATGGAGTCTCACTCTGTCACCCAGGCTGGAGTGCAATGGCACTATCTCGGCTCACTGCAACCTCTGCCTCCCAGGTTCAAGCGATTCTCCTGCCTCAGCCTCCCAAGTAGCTGGGATTACAGGCGCCTGCCACCACGCCCAGCTAATTTTTGTACTTTTAGTACGGGGTTTCACCATATTGGCCAGGCTGGTCACTCCTGACCTCAGGTGATCGGCCCGCCTCTGCCTCCCAAAGTGCTGGGATTACAGGTGTGAGCCACTGCACCCGGCCCCTCTTTTTCAATTTTCTTTGCTTATTTCTTCTCTGTCTTGCCTCTATGTGTTGGAGTGCTCAGGACTCAGTGTTGGGGCTCCTTCTCTTTATACTTTACTCTTACCTACTCCCATGGCTTCAGATAGTATCTGTGTACCAATGACTTCTTTATGTATATTTCTAGCTCTGCTCTGCTCTATGTCCTGACTTCTGATTCACATATTAAGTTGACATTTTCATCTGGATGCCTAACAGGTAACATATTAACATATTTGAAACAGAACTTTGGTTGGGTAAGGTGGCTCACATCTATAATCCCAACACTTTGGGAGGCTAAGAAGGGGGGCATCGCTTGAGGTCAAGAGTTCAAGACCAGCCTGGGCAACATAGCAAGACCCTGTCTTTACAAACAACAACAACAACAAAAATAGGGTGTGGTGGCATGTGCCTATAGTCCCAGCTACTCAGAAGGCTGAGGTAGGAGGATTGCTTGAGCCCAGGAGTTTGAGGCTGCAGTTTGCTATGATCGAGTGCAGCTCCAGCCTGGGTGTCAGAACAAGCAAACAAATCCAAGAAAATCAGACCTCTCCATTTCTTCTAAACCTGCTCCTGCCTCTGTCTTTCCTACTTCAGTAAATAACACCAACATTTACTCGGTTACTCAAGTGAAAAACCCAGGTATTATCCTTGATTCCTTTCTTTACCACCATTATCCAAACTATGGTCAAGTCCAACAGTTTGGATCCTCTATAGATTCTCTGTGAACACATTTTCCATATCTGTTATTTTCTTTCCAACTTCACTAAGCTACCATCTCTCAGCTCCTAGCTGGTGCCCCTGCATCCACACATTTCCCTACAATCCATTCTCCGTACAACAACCAGAGTGATGTTTCTATTCAGATCAGGGCATTTCCCTGCTTGAAATCTCGAAAGTGCCCTTGGTCCTTTATGGATGGTCCACCTTATAGGGGTCCCATAAACTTAAACCCCCAAATCTTTACCCTGGCTTATAAGGCCTGTGCCCTCCCTCCCTACATCTTGTACAAATCTCCCTTTGACCCATTACCGAAACTCCTTCCCACCTCTGGACCTTTGTATTTGCTGTGCCCAGTGTTAAAATAATTGAATTTGGAGAACATCAGGCTGAAACAGCTTCAGGGCCATGGGTTTCTCAGTAAGCAAACTAAAGCCCATGTAAAGGGTGAAACTTCAGCTTAACCACCCAGAAGCCAGCAACCAACCCTAACTAGGGACTTTACTGATCAGAAACTTCCAACTCACCTTTAACTAGAGACTTTCCAATGTAACCAATCAAATATGTTGTCTTTGTCTTGCTTCTGAGAACACCTTATGAAGGTTTTGCTCTTGCACATTTCCCTAGTGGAGCACTGGACTTCTTGGATTCTGGTGCCCCCTGATTCATGAACCACTGTCTGCTGAAATACACTTTTGAAAATTTAAATGTACGAAGTTTATCTCAACATCCGCCAGAACTGCTCTTCCCCCAGCCTTAGCCATGATTGGCTTTTTCTTGTCACGCAGTTATCGACATAAAGTCATTGTCGAACATCTCATTTAACGTCACCATAACCTGTGACCTGCTATTTTATTGTAAGCTCCGTGACAGTATAGACTTTATCTCCTTCATTCACAAATGTATTCTTAGTGCTTAGAACAATGCTCACTCCTGATAGGGGCTAATAAATATGCATTAAGTGAATAAAATTATAGATTTAACCATAATAAGGTAGTATAGCTAAGAGGCACTGCAATCAGCCTTGGATTTGAGAGTCCCTAACCTTGCCAATTACTTCACATCTCTAAAATGCAGTTTTCTAACTGTGAAATAGAGATGATACTAGTGCCGGTTCTTAGAATCCTTTTGAGAACTAAATGAGATAATGCATAGGAAGCCCTCAGCACTCGGTTGAGTAAACAGTTAATCTTAGCATTATTCTTACTTTTTTAGAACTCTCCTGTGAAAGTATTAAGTCATATGCCTAAATGCACCTTTCTCTGGTGGGCGGAGTGACAGCGCCTGGATCAGTAGTACAGCTGCTATCACACAATAGCCAAGGACAGGAAACAGAAAGAATACTTTATCCCCTGAGGATCGCAGGGGAATTCAAAGACACACAATGTTATGACTAAATTTGGAAGCTGGCCGAGTTACTAATACCACCATAGGGTGCTTGAGGAAAATGCCCCCAACCTCCTCAAGCCAGCCTCCATCCTAGCTGAGTGCCCCACCCACCGCCACTTGTAGAAGGGCCTCTGAATCGCCACACGCACCCTGCAGGACCCAGATCCTTCCCATTTCAGCCTGTGTTCCACGTGAAGCACACCATAGGCTGCCAGACACTTCATTGCCTGGCCCAGACCATCAGTATTCTGTGGCCAGCAGCATTTTCCAAAAATGGCTGTAACAACAGCACTGGTTCTGCATGTTCTTCTTTCACATGACTTCAACAGTCTCCCAGTGAGAGGTGAGGCTATGTTTTCTTCTCAGGCTAGGTCATAAAAGGCAATGCAGGCTGGGTGGGCACAGTGGCTCATGCCTGTAATCCCAGCACAATGGAAGGCCAAGGCGGGTGGATCACTTGAGGTCAGGAGTTCGAGACCAGCCTGGCCAACATGGTGAAACCCCGTCTCTACTAAAAATACAAAAATTAACCGGGTATGGTGGCGAGCGCTTATAATCCCAGCTACTTGGGAGGCTGAGGCAGGAGAATGGCTTGAACCCAGGAGGCCGAGTTTGCAGTGAGCCAAGATCTGGCCATTGCACTCCAGCCTGGGCGACAAAAGCGAAACCCTGTCTCAAAAAATAAAATAAAATAGAAGGCAATACAGCTTTCTGACATTCTCCCGGAATGCTCACTCTTAGAACTCAGTCATGCACCCTGAGAAATCCCGTCTGCGGAGAGGCCCACATGGAGAGGAGCCCCATGTTCCTCCCAGCCCCGGAGCCCCCTTACCTCTGGGCTGGGAGCAGCACCTCCTTGCTGGCCACGCGAGTGAGCCATCCTGAAGAACAGATCCTGCAGCCCCCAGTCAAGCCACTGGCTCTTGCCACAGGTGCAGGGGCGAGACCGCCCTGGTGAGCACTGCCCACAACGAGATTCAGCAAAACAAATGATGATTCCATCTCCAGAAAAATATTCCTGGTAACAAAGTAGGAAATTAATATGCGTAAAGCCCATTTTGGCTAATGCCTAAGCCAAATGGCAATTCTTTTTTTGTTTTTTATTATTTATTTATTTTTGAGATAGGGCCTCACTCTATTGCCCAGGCTGGAGTGCAGTGGCGCGATCTCCACTCACTGCAACCTCCGCCTCCTGGGCTCAAGTGATTCTTGTGCTTCAGCCTCCAAAGTAGCTGGGACCACAGGTGTGTGCCACCACAGCCAGCTAAAATTGTTTTGTATTTTTAGCAGAGATGGGTTCTCACTATGTTGCCCAGGATGATCTCGAACTCCTGGACTCAAGTGATTGACCCGCCTTGGCCTCCCAAACTGCTGAGATTACAGGCATGAGCCACCGTGCCCATACAAAATGACAATTCTTTTTTTTTTTTTTTTTTTTTTTTGAGACGAAGTTTTACTCTTGTTGCCTAGGCTGGAGCGCAATGGCATGATCTTGGGTCACTGCAACCTCCTCCGCCTCCCGGGCTTAAGCGATTCTCCTGCCTCAGCCTCCCGAGTAGTTGGGATTACAGGCGCCCACCACCACGCCCAGCTAATTGTTTTTTTGTATTTTTAGTAGAGACGGGGTTTCACCATGTTGGCCAGGCTAGTCTCGAACTCCTGACCTCAGATGATCCACCTGCCTCGGCCTCCCAAAGTGCTGGGAATATAGGCATGAGCCACTGCACCCAGCCTCAAAATGGTAATTCTTAATAAGTGAAAATTTTATTTCCTTCTTTTCTTATTTGGCTTTTTTAAACAACTGAAATCTGAAGGTAGTTGGCCCAGATAAGGACTTTTGTCTGCATGGAATTTTTATGCTTCTCTCCTTTTATCAGGTGGGTTCATTGTAAGGTGTGGAAGTGAAAAAGAATGCAATTAACATTACAGAAACATCTATTAAATGTCAGATATTGTGTGCTTTATATCTCATCTAATAACTATAATCTTATAACTCATCTAATCTTCCCACAACTCTAACTAGTAGATGTTATTTATTCTCACTTTAAGAATATGGAAATGGGGCCAGGCGCGGTGGCTCACGCCTGTAATCCCAGCACTTTGGGAGGCCGAGGTAGGCAGATAACCTGAGGTCAGGAGTTCAAGACCAGCCTGGCCAACATGGTGAAACCCTGTCTCTACTAAAAATACAAAAATTAGCCAGGTGTGGTGGCGGGTGCCTATAATCCCAGCTACTTGGGAGGCTGAGGCAGGAAGATCGCTTGAGCCCGGGAGACGGAGGTTGCAGTGAGCCAATATCACACCACTGCACTCCAGCCTGAGTCAAGCAGCAAGATTCTGTCTCAAAACAAAACAAAACAGAATGTGTTTAGCTATAAGTAACAGAAAACCCAATCAACAGTGTTTTCATCCATAAGGATATTTACTGTTAACAAAAGGATTAGAAATAAGAGATTCCAGAATTTGCACTGTGGTTCCTATCAGGAGTAGCTATACAATTTGTGGGGCCCAATGCAAAATAATAAAACAGGGCCCCTTGTTAAAAATGATTAATAACTTATAGCAGCATAGAACATTGAACCAAGCACAGGGTTGTTCTAAGTGCTGAGGCCTATACGACAGGTTCAGAGGCTGAACCTGGTTCTAACGACGTCAGAATTATGGGTTGGCTTCTGAAATTTTCTTGTCCCTGCTTATTGCGTTGGAAGATGGCTGTCGTAGTGCTAAACAGAAGAGGATGAACAAAAAAGTTCCCAGAAGACTTCCACTTGCATTCTATTGGCCAGAGCTGAGTCATGTGGCTGCCCCTTGTTCAAGGGAGTATAGGAAGGGGAGTAGCAGGCAAAGGGAAGTAAATTGCTACAATGAACTTAGATCAATCCAGATTTAAGCTCTACAGAAGAGTACATTGGGCTGGGCAGCCAACATGGTGAAACCCTCTCTCTACTAAAAATGCAAAAATTAGCCGGGCATGGTGGCGCATGCCTGTAATCCCAGCTACTAGGGAGGCTAAGGCAGGAGAATTGCTTGAACCTGGGAGGTGGTGGTTGCAGTGAGCCGAGATGGTGCCACTGCACTCCAGCCTGGGCGCAACAGAGCAAGACTCCATCTCAAAAAAAAACAAAAAAAACAAAAATGCCCAGGTGCAGTGGCTCACACCTGTAACCCCAGCACTTTGGGAGACCGAGGCAGGCGGATCACAAGGTCAGGAGCTCGAGACCAGCCTGGCCAATATGGTGAACCCCGTCTCTAACAAAAATACAAAAAATTAGCTGGGCGTGGTGGCGTGTGCCTGTAGTCCCAGTTACTCGGGAGGCTGAGGCTGGAGAACTGCTTGAACCTGGGAGGCAGAGGTTGCAGTGAGTTGAGATTGCGCCACTGCACTATGGCCTGGGCGACAGAGTGAGACTCCGTCTCAAAAAAAAAAAAAGAAAGAAGAAGAAGAACAGTACGTTGCTGTCCCAAATCAGGGTTCTGTTAGCAAGATAATGGGTTGGGGTCATGGCCATTGACTAAGCATCACTGTATCTTCTACAGATATCTTTACACAGTCGGCACACACTAAACCTTCCTATATCCTGTGGTTCATTCAAATTGGATTATACTGTAAACATACTCTTAATTTCTTGCCCTTGCATTCTTACTTATGCTTTGTCCTCTATTTAGAAGTCATCATACATAGGATTTTGTATGCATATAAATCTTACCCATACTTGGCAGTCTATTGAAAATGTCATTTCTGTCATGAAGAATTATGTGGTTCCCCCAATAGGGTGCAATTGTCCCACCTCTTAAATCCTTAAGAATACTTACCTTTAAATTCTAATTAATGTGTTTATTTACCTTATCACCCCTGTAGTGAATATTGTTTTGTCTGCCTAGCACTTAGTAAGGCATCTTGCTAATTGGGCCATAATAATGGGCATGCAACCCAATCCAGTGAGTCAGAGTCTTTCTCTGTAATTTTTCAAATTGGATCTAGGGAAAAGAATCCCCTTTCCTCACTGGTCACAGAATTAAAAAGTTGCATAACTGGAATGCTTTAGATATGTCCCTAATGTATCCCTAACCAATGCCATGTATCAAGGAAAATTCTAAATGAAAGATCCAATTAAAAAGAGTACTCTATCAAGGCTTAATTTAGAATTTTGATAGAAAAATGTAAGTCAGTATTTTTGCAACCTACAACCAGAAAGAGATTTTAAATACAATTTTAAAAGGATTAATCAATAAGGAAAAATATCTATGACTGTTATTACATTTTTTGGGGGGTGGGGGATGAAGTCTTGCTCTGTCGCCCAAGCTGTAGTGCAGCAGCACGATCTCAGCTCAATGCAACCTCCACCACCCGGGTTCAAGCAAGTCTCATGCCTCTCAGCCTCCCGAGTAGCTGGGATTACAGGTGCGTGTCACCACACCTGGCTAATTTTTGTATTTTTTGTAGAGACAGGGTTTTGTCATGTTGGCCAGGCTGGTCTCAAACTCCTGACCTCAAGTGATCCACCCACCTCGGCCTCCCAAAGTGCTGGGATTACAGGCGTGAGCCACCGCGCCCAGCCTGTTATTGTAAAAAATTTAAGGATTTCTGTTTAGGAAATGACACTATGGACAAAGTTAATAAGCAGCTAACAGAGTAAGAGAAGATATTTACAAAGTCAAAATCTGACAAGAGATTAATATCTAGAATTTCAAAGAATACCTTCACATCAACAAGAAAAAGGTAATGACTACATACAGAAATGGGTGAATGATATGAACAGCCAATTAAAAAACCAGAAAACCAAAAACTGAGCATGCACAGGAAGTGCTTAAAATCATTAGTAATCAGAAATATAATTTTTTTAAAAAAGATAACATTTCACACTCATTACACTGCCGAAAGTTGTGAATCAGCATGATGTCAAGAATTGGCAGGGGTGTGGACATACAGGAACCCTCATGCAAGGGCGGTGGAGAGCAAGCTGTCATTACTCAGGCAAATAAAATAGACGTCTGTCACCCAACGGTTCCACTGCTGTGTGTACGGAACGCTCTCACACAGTTTATAAAGGAACATGTAGGAATATGTTCACTGTAGTATTATTTATGATGTTCACAGTGGGGAAGGTAGATGGGCGAAATATGGTGGATGTACACCATGGGAAATGCTGTGGCAGGCAGGCACGATGGATTAGAAATCACATTGTGTTAGTTTCCTAAAGCCATTGTAACAAATTACCACAACTGGGTGGCTTAAAACATCAGAAATTTAGCTTCTCTCAGTTCTTGAGGCTCTAAGTCCCAGATTAAAGAACTTGGCACGGCCATGTTATGAAGTAAATAATACTACAGTGGATATGTTCATGTATGTCCCTTCGTAAATTGTATGAGGACTTTTTGTACACAGGAGTGGAATCACTGGGTCGTAGACATACACTTTATTTGACTAAGTAATGACAGCTTGCTCTCACAGCAGGGGAGGATACTTCCTTGCCTCTTCCAGTTTCCGGTGGCCTCATGTTCTTTGGCTTCTGGCATAATGACTGCAATCTCTGCCTCCATCTTCAGAGGGCTGCCTTCCTTCTGTCTTTGTCTCTGTTTTCTTATTTTTATTTTTATTTTTTTTGAGACTGAGTCTCACTCTGTCGCTCAGGCTGGAGTGCAATGGCACAATCTTGGCTCACTGCAACCTCCACTTCCGGGTTCAAACAATTCTCTTGCCTCAGCCTCCCGAGTAGCTGAGATTAAAGGTATGTGCCACCATCCCCAGCTAATGTTTGTATTTTTAGTAAAGACGGGGTTTCAACATGCTGGCCAGGGTGGTCTCAAACTCCTGACCTCAAGTGATCCGCCCCCCTCCCAAAGTGCTGGGATTACAGGTGTGAGCCACCTGGCCCGGGCGTCTCCCTTCCCTCCCTCCCCCTCCCCTCCCCCTCTCCCCCCTCCCCTCCCTTCCCCTTCCCCTTTTCCCTTCCCCCTTCCCCTCCCCTCCCCTCCCCTTCCCCTCCCTTCCCTTCTCTTCCGTTCCCTTTCTTTTGAGACAGAGTTTTGTTCTTGTCGCCCAGGCTCAAGTGCAATGACTATATCTCGGCTCACTGCAAACTCCACCTTCCAGGTTCAAGCAATTCTCCTGCCTCAGCCTCCCAAGTAGCTGGGATTACAGGCACCCACCACCATGCCCAGCTAATTTTTGTATTTTTAGTAGAGACGGGGTTTTACCGTGTTGGCCAGGCTGATCTCGAACTGGCCAGGCTGGTCAAGGCGATCCTCTCGTCTTGACCTCCCAAAGTGTTGGGAGGTGTGAGGCACCGAACCCAGCCTGTTTTCTTATAACAGCAATTATATTGAAGAGGGTCTATCCTGAATTGAGTATGACCTCATCCTACTTGATTACATCTACAAAGACCCCTCTCTAATTAAGGTCACATTCACAAGTACTGGAGGTTATAATTTCTACCTGTCTTTTTGAGGAACACAATTCAACCCACAACAAAGAATAGCAGGAACTATTTTTAAAATGTAGTTTTTAGAGCTGAGCATGGTGGTGAGCACCTGTAGTCCCAGCTACTCAGGAGGCTGAGGCAGGAGGATTGCTTGAGCCCTGGAGTTTAAGACAAGCCTGAGAAACATAGTAAGAACCCCTCTCTAAAAAAAATTTTTTTAATTAGCCAGGCATAGTGTCATGCACCTGCAGTTCCAGCACTTTGGGAGGCCAAGGTGGGAGAATTGCTTGAGGCTAGGAGTTCAAGACCAGCCTGAGCAACATAGCAAGACCCTGCCTCCACCAAAAAAATGTTTTTTTACTTAGCTGGGCATGTAGCCTCTGTAATCCTAGCTACTTAGGAGACTGAAGCAGGAGGATCACTTGAGCCCAGGCATTTGAGGTTATAGCGAGCTATGACCGTGCCACTGCACCATAGCCTGGGCAGCAGAGTGAGGTGCTGTCTCTTAGAAAAAAAAGTTTTTCATAAAAAAAAAGAAAACAATATAATATATACAATAACATGCAGGTAGGTAACTTTAAAATACATTTACCCCAAAAATTATGTTTCAGAATTTATAAAATTCAGCTAAAGGAGTTCTTAGAGGAAAATTTATAGTTTAATAGTTTAAATGCCTTTACTTAAAACAAAAAAAGGTTAAAATCATAAGAAACAAAAAGAAAGAAAAGTAAAGTAAACCTAAAGTGAGCAGAAGAAAGGAAGTGATGAAGATAACAATGAAAATCAGTGAAACAAACAAATGGAAAAACAATTGTAGTAATTAATAAAACCATGAGCTGGTTCTTTGAAAAGACAGGTAAAATTAATAAACATCTAGCTGGACTAGTGAAAAAAGGAGAGGACACAAATTACCAAAATCAGAAATGAAAGGACACAACAAAGAAAACAACAGAGTGAGAGAAAATATTTGCAAACCATATATCCAATAAGGGGTTACTATCCTATTCTAAATATGTGAAGAAAGCAAACAACTCATAGCAAAATCAGATCACACGACTAAAAAGGGGGCAAAGGGCACCAGGTGCACTGGTTTACACCTGTAATCCCAGTGCTTTGGAAGGCTGAGACAGGAGAATTGCTTGAGGCCAGGAGTTGTGAAAAGCCTGGACAACATAGAAAGACCTTGTCTCTACAAAAAAATTTTAGATTAGCCAGGTGTGGTGACATATGCTTGTAGTCCCAGCTACCTGGGAAGCTGAGGTGGGAGGATCACTTGAGCCCAGGAGTTAGAGGTTGCAGTGAGCCATGATTGCAGCACTGCAGTACAGTCTGGGCAACAGCTTGATAGCTTGAGACCCTGACTCTTTAAAAAAAAAATCATTTATCAAAAGATGACATACAAATGATCAACAGGTTCATAAAAATGCTCAATATTGGCTGGGCACAGTGGCTCACACCTGTAATCCCAGCACTTTGGGAGGCTGAGGTGAGCAGATCACCTGAGGTTGGGAGTTCGAGACCAGCCTGACCAACATGGAGAAACCCTGTCTCTACTAAAAATTCCCCAGAGGCTGGGGAATAAGGGGCTGGGGGAGATAATGGGGAGATGAAGATGTTGGTCTCAGGGTACAAAGTTAACAGTTAAACAGGAGGAATACAATTTTGAGATTTATTGCACAGCATAGTGACTATAGTTAATAATAATTTATTGTATATTTCAAAATTTCTAAGAGAGTAAGTTGAAAATATCTCGCCACAAAAAGAATGATAAGTGGGCTAGGTGCAGTGGCTCATACCTGTAATCCTAGCACTTTGGGAGGCTGAGGCAAGAGGATCACTTGAGGCGAGGAGTTCAAGACCAGCCTGGGCAACATAGCAAGACCCTGTCGCTACAAAAACTTTTTTTTTTTTTTTTGAGACGGAGCCTCGCTCTGTCGCCCAGGCTGGAGTGCAGTGGGGCGATCTCGGCTCACTGCAGGCTCCGTCCCCCGGGGTTCACGCCATTCTCCTACCTCAGCCTCCCGAGTAGCTGGGACTACAGGCGCCCGCCACCACGCCCGGCTAATTTTTTGTATTTTTAGTAGAGACAGGGTTTCGCCATGTTGCCCAGGCTGGTCTCGAACTCCTGACCTCGTGATCAGCCCGCCTCGGCGTCCCAAAGTGGTGGGATTACAGGCCTGAGCCACCACGCCCGGCCCCAGGGGACATTCTAGAGGGGACTTCGCCCCCCAAGCCGCACTTCTCCATTTCCCTGCGGTCGTCGCTAACCGAAGGCGCCATCCGGTGACGACTGGATGTGCGCGGCGGTGGTGAGAGGCCGCGAGAACCACCAGGTCCACCGCTGCCTCGGCCCGGGCGGAATCTGGGAAGGTCTCTGACAACCATTCATCCTCAGATTTTCCCAATTGTGCATGGGTGGGCGGGCCCCGCATCCTAATGGGCACTGGGCATGTGAAGTGTGAACCACCCGGGCCTAACTAGCCGCTGAAGGCCTGACGAAACCGCCAGGCCCACCAGGGGGCAGCAGAGATCCGACGGCCGCGGACCGAGGGAAGCTGGCGGGAAGTAGGAGGCAGAGGGCGCGCAGGGAAGCGGCAGGGCGAGCGGCTCAGAACGTAAAAGCCAGCACCGCGCCTCCAGGTTGCTTTACGGCTGCCGCAGAAGGCTTTGCGGCTCTTTTCCCCTCCGACTTGATTTACGGTTCCTTCTCTGGTCTGTGTTTTTTTTTTTCCCCCTCCGGCGCTGGGCGTGGGTTCGGACCTTCTTCCCAGAGACGCTCGCGCACCCTTCCCATTCTCCTCTGCGCGGCCTCCATCTAAGATCTCTTCCCCTTGTCCATAGCCTAGATCGAGCTCCCTGTGTGCACCGCGCGCTGCCCGAGGCGCGTAAGTGGGGGAGGAGAGCGGCTTCCCCCGGGGTGGTTCTAGCCGTGGGTGTGGAGCGTGGGAAGGCTCAGCTTCCGGGTCGAGAACCTGGGGCTGCGGTGGACCTGATCCTGAGGTCTCAGCGTAGAGATGCTGAGTCCAGAGGCCTGTTCTAGTTCACCAGTGCAGTGAGGGGCTCAGTATCCGGGCCTCCCGAGAGGTGGGTAGGAAGGCGGGGTACAGGAAACTTGGCACCAACGCGCCGGGACCCCACCGCGGTGCGGACAGCCAGGTGTCCGTGGTGGCGCTTCCTTGGAGATGCTGCCTGCAGACAGGCGTGGGGAATCTGAAGTTTGTGTTAATAGCTAAACGAAGTTGAGTTGCAGGGAGCGGGGGACGCTGGGAAGAAATGATTGATTTAAAAGGAATTTGACGCCGGGCATGGTGGCGGCATGCCCCCATGTTCCCTGGAGGTCAAGCCTGCAGTGAGCCGAGATCGCACCCGTACCACGACACTCCGTCCCGGGCGACAGAGCGAGACCCTGTCACGGGGGAAAAAATAAAAATAAAAATTTGACGCTCACTTTAGCTGAGTATTGAGCCTTGTTATAACATTGAGATAGAGGTCTGGCGCGGCGTCTCACACCTGTAATCCCAGAACTTTGGAAGGCCGATGCGGGAGGATCGCTTGAGGCCAGGAGTTCTACGCCAGCCTGGCTAACATAGCGAAACCCCGTCTCTACTAAAAATACAAAACTAGGCAGGCCTGGTGGCGGGCGCCTGTAATCCCCGCTACTCGGGAGGCGGAGGCATGAGAATCGCTTGAACCCAGTAGGCAGGTGTGCCGGTAAGCCGACATCGCACCACTGCACTCCAGCCTGGGGGACAGAGCGAGAATCCATCCAAAAAAAAAAAAGTTATAATTCACGTACAATTAAATTCACTCCCTTTTTTAAAAAAAAGTGGAGACATAGTCTCGCTCTGTTGCCCAGGCTGGAGTACAGTGGCGCCGTCTCGGCTCACTGCAACGTCCGCCTCCTGGGTTCAAGCGATTCTTTGCTTCAGCCTCTCAAGTAGCTGGAATTACAGGCGCATACCACCACACCCAGCTACTTTGTATTTTTCACCATGTTGGTTAGGCTGGTCTCGAACTCCTCGCCCTTCCAAAGTTCAGGGATTACAGGTGTGAGCCACCACACCCAGTCTAAATTCACCCTTTTAAAGTGTGCAATTCAGTGGTTTTAATATATTCACAAGGTTGTGCAATCACCACTATTATCTAATTCCAGAACATTTTTATCATCCCTAAAAGAAACCTTAAAACCATTAGCAGACACCCATTATTTCCTCCTACTCCCAGCAGCACTAATCTATGAATTTACCCATTCTCAGTACTGTATTATACAATATTTGTTCTTTTGTGTTTGGTTTATTTCACTTCATGATTCAAAGTCCATCTATGTTGTATGTAGCATGTATCAACTTCATTTTTTAAATAACTGAATTATTTATTGTGTGGATATACCACATTTTGTTTCTCCATTTTTGATGGATACTGGTGATTTTCTAGGCTTTCTAGGTCTAGTCCTCCACAGAACTCGCAGTCTGAGGCACAGACATTTAAAACTTAAGTTTTTGGAAACTAGCATTTAACTCTTGGGTTGGGTCAGGTAATTCAGTGGCCTCAGGTCTGGTATCGTTTAGGGCAGTTTTTTTTTTGTTTTTTTTTTTTTTTTGAGATGAAGTTTCACTCTTGTTGCCCAGGGTGGAGTGCAATGGCGTATCTGGGCTCACTGCAACCTCACCTCCTGGGTTCAAGCGCTTCTCCTATCTCAGCCTCCTCGGTAACTGGGCTTACAGGCGCATGCCACTATGCCCGGCTAATTTTTGGTATTTTTAGTAGAGACAGGGTTTCACCATGTTGGCCATGCTGGTCTCGAACTCCTGACCTCAGGTGATCCACCCATCTCGGCCTCCCAAAGTGCTGGGATTACAGGTGTGAGCCACCGCGCCTGGGTGGGAGTTTTGTTTTTTTGTTTGTCTGTTGTTTTTTGGGGGGACAGAGTTTCTCTCAGCCTCCTCGGTAACTGGGCTTACAGGCGCATGCCACTATGCCAGGCTAATTTTTGGTATTTTTAGTAGAGACAGGGTTTCACCGTGTTGGCAATGCTGGTCTCAAACTCCTGACCTCAGGTGATCCACCCGCCTCGGCCTCCCAAAGTGCTGGGATTACAGGTGTGAGCCACCACACCTGGGCGGGAGTTTTGTTTTTTTGTTTGTCTGTTGTTTTTTTGGGGGGACAGAGTTTCGCTCTTGTTGCCCAGGCTGGACTGCAGTGGCGAGATCTTGACTCACTGCCACTTCTGCCTCCTGGATTCAAGCGATTCTCCTGCCTCAGCCTCCCGAGTAGCTGGGATTACAGGTGTGCACCACCACACCCGGCTAATTTTGTATTTTTAGTAGAGAAGGGGTTTCTCCATGTTGGTTACGCTGGTCTCGAACTCCCTACCTCAGGTGATCCTCCCGCCTTGGCCTCCCAAAGTGTTGGGATTACAGGCGTGAGCCACTGCGCCCCTCTGGGAGTGTTTTTTAAAGTGTTCTATTCTCAGTTCACCACTTACCAGGCCGTTAATTATCGTGGTATCAAGCAGAGAAATGTTTGTGTGCTGGTCTTCTCAGGGAGGCAGAAACCGTCAGAGATTGCTGTTGTGTAATGTACACCAAAACGTGTTATCTTGTAGTATAAACGGTGTAGTTGGAGATGAGTGTATGAAAAATGTAACTGAGCTAGCTGTGGGAGAGACTAGTTGTGAAAAATTTTGAGTCACCCACTGTATGCTTTCCCAGCTATGTTCAAATAAGGTGACACTCTGCCTTCCTGTTTCAGCTCTAAAACTGTTCATAAGTGTTATTTTGGCTGTATACGTAGTGCCATGTTTTTTTGTATTTTTGTGCTTTTGGTGATTTTGCTGTTTATAGGGGCCTCCAAGAATAGAAGTGCTGTCTAGCATTTCCAAGTTGAAGGCTGTGATATATCTTATAGAGAAAAGATAAGCTTTTAGATTAGCTTTGTTCAGGCATCACTTTTGTTGTTGGCTGTGAGTTCATGTTACTGCATCAACAATATATATTAAATAAGATATCTTTAAACAGAAGCACACATAAAACAAGGTTATGTATTGGCCTGTTGAGTAACCCTGTATTTCCCCTGGGAGCAGTGGCTCAGTATTTGCTAGTTCAGTGTTCATGATGGCTTTACAGGACATAACTACCCTGAATAATGAGAACTGACTGTCTCAGTAGTGCTTCAAGGGCAGAAAGCCTAGTGGATATTTTTCCATCTCTGCAGCTTTTAGCATTTCTTCACTCAAGGCACTCATTTTTAATATTGAACTGGCAGTTTTGATGTGGAGAGAAGCTAAAATAAGGCTAAAATGCTCTTCATACTATGTGCTGAGTGGGGACTGTGCTGAGTGTTGGGGATTCAGTGATTAGTGTATGGCCCCGCAGTTCTCTAATGGCTGAGTGTGGGAGTGCAGAGAAATGATCAGTGTGAGGGAATTAATCCTATGTTCCCACCGTGTTTTTTTGTTTTTTTTGAGACGGAGTTTCACTCTTGTCGCCCAGGCTGGAGTGCGGTGGCGTGATCTCGGCTCACTGCAACCTCCGTCTCCCAGGTTCAAGCGATTCTCCTGCCTCAACCTCCCGAGTAGCTGGGATTACAGGTACCCGCCACCGTGCCCAGCTAATTTTTGTATTTTTAGTAGAGACGGAGTTTCACCATGTTGGCCGGGCTGGTCTCGAACTCCTGACCTCATGATCTGCCTGCCTCGGCCTCCCAAAGTGCTGGGATTACTGGGTTCCCACAAATTTTAAGACTTACTTCAGGCCAGGTGTGGTGGCTTATGCCTGTAATCCCAGCATTTTGGGAGGCCGAGGTGGGCAGATCACCTGAGGTCAGGAGTTCGAGACCAGCCTGGCCAACATGGTGAAACCCCTGCCTCTACTAAAAGTACAGAAAATTAGCTGGGTGTGGTCGCGCATGCCTGTAGTTCCAGCTACTCAGGAGGCTGAGGCACCAGAATCACTTGAACCTGGGAGGTGGAGGTTGCAGTGAGCTGAGATTGCGCCACTGTACTCCAGCCTGGGCAACAGAGTGTCTCCCCCTCAAAAAAAAAAAGACATACTTCAGAGTGTGGTGAGCTGCATAAGGCTTTAGAGGTAATGACATTTTGAGATTTCAATTAAAAATTTTTTTTCTACTTTTTTTTTTTGAGACAGAGTCTCACTCTTGCTCAGGCTAGAGTGCAGTGGTGCGATCTTGGCTCACTGCAACCTTCGCCTCCTGGATTCAAGCGATTCTTGTGCCTTAGCCTCCTGAGGAGCTGAGATTACAGGCACCTGCCACCATGCCCAGCTAATTTTTGTATCTTTAGTAGAGAAGAGGTTTCATCATGTTAGCCGGGCTGGTCTTGAACTCCTGACCTCAGGTGATCTGTCTGCATTGGCCTTCCAAAGTGCTGAGATTACAGATGTGAGCCACCGTGCCTGGCCACTTTTTTTCTACTTTTGCTAATTTTTTTAAAGTTTCATGAACATTATAGTACTGTGTTCATAAATGAAAATAAAAGAAACTTGCTCCAGTCTTGTTCATCAAGCCGTTCTTGACCTTCACAGTCAGAATCTCACCCATCACCTTGTCACATCTCCCTCTTGATCTGTATATCCAGAGTCCACCTGACATGCTTCTTCAGCCCTCCACATATAATAAGAAATGGTTTTGTGAGCCGAGATTGTGCCATTGCACTGCAGCTTGGGCAACAGTGTGAGACTCCTCAAAAAAAAAAAAAAAGAAAGAAAAATGCTTTTAGGTGATAAGGAAATGGAGAAGAATAAAACATCTTTGCCAGTCTTTACCTTTTTAATATCTTGAATTCATGATTTCTTGCCATAGCCACTATCCTAGTCCAGGCTCTCTCCCTTCTACCCCTGAGTTTTTTTTTTTTTTTTTTTTACCATGTTTTTATTTCCTCTGGGAAAACACCTATCAGAATTTTGGGATCATATGACAGATACATATTTAATTTCTTTCTTTCTTTTTTGAGACAGGGTCTTCCTCTGTTGCCCAGGCTGGAGTGTAGTGGTATGATCATGGCTCACTGCAGCCTTGACCCCTTCCTCGCCCCCGCTCAAGTGATCCTCCCACCACAGCTTCCTGAGTAGCTGGGACTGCCGGCATGCTCCACCATGCCCGACTAACGTTTTGCTGCTTGTAGAGACAGCCATGTTCCCTAGGCTTGTCTTGAACTCCTGAGCCTCAAGCGATCCTTCCACTTCAGCCTCAAGTGCTGGGATTACAGGCGTGAGCCACCACTCCTGGCTACTTAATTTCTTTCTTTCTTTTTTTTTGAGACAGTCTCGTTCTGTCACCCAGGCTGGAGTGCAGTGGGGTGATCTCTTCTCACTGCAGCCTCTACCTTCCAGGCTGAAGCAAGCCTTCCACCTCAGCCCCCTGAGTAGCTAGGACTACGGGAACATTCCACCAGGCCCAGCTAATTTTTGTATTTTTTGTAGAGATGGAGTTTCATGATGTTGGCCAGGCTGGTCTTGAACTCCTCACCTCATGCAATCCGCCTGCCTCAGCCTCCCAAAGTGCTGGGATTACAGGTGTGAGCAACTGCACCCAGCGGGCCCCGCCCAGACCTATTTTCAAAATTAGAAAACCGTGAGGCTTCTGGAAGAAGATGAGAAGAATATCTTCATGACCTGAGTGTGTGCAAAGGTTTCTTAGGGCTCAGGATGCCAGAGTCACTTAAAAAAGCAAAAAAAACCCAAAAAAAAAACCACACACACAAAGATAAATATGATTGATTACATCAAAATGTAATCACAGACTACTCTAAGAAAATGAATGGGGAAACACAGGGACCTATTTGACAAAAGACTGATATTCAAGATAAATAAAGAACTAATAGGCCAGGCGCGGTGGCTCACGTCTGTAATCCTGGCACTTTGGGAGGCCGAGGCGGGGGGATCACTTGAGCTCAGGAGTTCGAGACCAGCCTGAGCAATATAGTGAAACCCCATCTCTACTAAAAATACAAGAATTAGAATTAGCTGGGCGTGATGGCACGTGCCTGTAGTCCCAGTTACTCGGGAGGCTGAGGCTGGAGAATTGCTTCAGTCAGGAAGATGGAGGTTGCAGTGAGCCGAGATTGTGCCACTGCACTCCAGCCTGGGCGACTGAACAAGACTTCGTCTCAAAAAACCAGTAGGGCTCCAGGCCTGGGATTGGGCCTCTGCTGCTCTACTCCCTGGACGTGTGGCTCCGTCCTTGGAGTCGGCCTTTGGTTTTCATGAAGAGTAGTGTGCATTAACAGCTGAGTGGTTTTATCAGCCTGTTTCCTGCCAACAGTGTATGAGAGTTCCAGTTGCTTTACATCCTTGCCAGCATTTGGTGTTGTCAGTCTTTTGAGTTATTCTGATGGGTGTGGTGTGTCATGGTCTTAATTTTAGTCCTCAGTCACTAATGGTGTTTAGCACTTTTTCCTGTGCCCATGACAATGTGCATCTTCCTTTGTGAAGTGCCTGCTCAAATCTTTTGCCCATTTTACATTGGGTTGTGTGTCTTTTTATTATTGAGTTGTAGCAGTTATTTATATAACCTTTATATCCTGGTTACCTGTCCTCTGTCTGGTTGCCTATTCATTTTCTTAGAGTTGTCTGATGAACAGAAGTTTTACATTTTGATGTAATCAGTTTTCTCTTATATTTTCTTTTATAGTTACTGCTTTCTGAGTCCTAGGAAATCTTGGCTACCTTCAGGCTGTGAAGATAATCTTTCATGTTTTCTTCTGTAAGTTTTTTTTTTTTTTGAGACAGAGTCTTGCTCTGTCGTCCAGGCTGGAGTGCGGTGATGGCGATCTCCGCTCACTGCAACCTCTGCCTCCCAGGTTCAAGCGATTCTCCTGCCCCAGCCTCCCGAGTAGCTGGGATTACAGACATGCGCCACCATGCCCAACTAATTTTTGTATTTTTATTAGAGACAGGGTTTCACCAGGTTGGCCAGGTTGGTCTTGAACTCTTGACCTTGTGATCCACCCGCCTCGGTCTCCCAACATGCTGGGATTATAGGCGTGAGCCACCGTGCCCGGCCTATAAATTTTATAGTTTTAGTTTTATGTTTAAGCCTATCACCCATTTCTAGTTTAGGTGAATGGTGTGAGATATAATTAAATATTAATTTCTTTTCCATATAGATATCCAGTCATTCCAGCACCATTTGTTGAAAATGCTATTGTATTGCGTTTTGGAAATTAAGATGACTGTACAAATGGTAATTGATGTCTGCACTCCCTTTTCTGTTCCATTGTTCAATCCTTGTGTTAGTACCACACTTTTAATTACTGTAGCTTTTTAGTAAGTCTTGAAGTCATGTAGTTGTAGGTCTTCCAATTTTGTTGTTTTCAAGCTTGATGTGAATATTCTAAATCCTCTGCATTTCCATATAAATATCAGAATTATCTTTACCAGTTTTACAGAAAAGTCTGGTAAAGTTGTGATTGGGATTGCATTGAATCTATGGATCAATTTGGAAAGAAATGACACCTAAACAGTATTGAGTCTTCAAATATATGAACTTGGTGCATTTTCCTTCTTATTTAAGCCTTTTAAAATTTCTTTTTAGGCCGGGTGCAGTGGCTTATGCCTGTAATCCCAGCACTTTGGGAGTCTGCAGCGGGCAGATCAGCTGAGGTCAGGAGTTCGAGACCAGCCTGGCCAACATGGTGAAACCCCGTCTCTACTAAAAATACAAAAATTAGCCAGGTGTGGTGGCAGGTGCCTGTAGTCTCAGCTACTTGGGAGGCTGAGGCAGGAGAACTGCTTGAACTTGCTCAGGAGGTGGAGGTTGCAGTGAGCTGAGATAGTGCCATTGCACTCCAGCCTGGGCAACAAGAGCAAAACTCTGTCTCAAAAAATAATAATAATAAAAATAAAAATTTTGGGCCAGGTGTGGCGGCTCACACCTGTAATCCCAGCAATTTGGGAGGCTGAGCCGGGTGGATCACCTGAGGTCAGGAGTTTGAGACCAGCCTGACCAACATGGAGAAACCCTGTCTCTACGAAAAATACAAAATTTGCCAGGCATGGTGGCGCATGCCTGTAATCCCAGCTACTCTGGAGGCTGAGGCAGGAGAATCACTTGAACCTGGGAGGCAGAGGTTGCAGTGAGCCGAGATGGTGCCATTGCACTCCAGCCTGGGCAACAAGAGTGAAACTCTGTCTCAAAAAAAAAAAATTCTTTTAGTTCTGTTTTATGGTTTTCAGTTCAGAAGTCTTATACATATTTTGTTAAATTGATTTCTAGATATGTTTCTTACCTTTATTGTAAAATGGAGCCATCATTTGCATCATTCATTACTCTGTATGTAATGTGTTATCATTCTCTACCTGCTTTCAAGATTTTCTCTTTATTTTTGTTTTTTAGCAGTTTGTCTGTGGTGTATCTAGGTGTCATTTTATTTGTATTTATCCGGAGATTTATTCTTGAGATTTGCAGAGCTTCTTAAATCTGTAAATTTATGTCTGTCGGCCAATTTGGGAAATTTGGAGCTATTAGTTTTAAAAATATTTCTTCTGTTCCATTCTCTTTCACTTCTTCTGTATGTGAGTTCAATTTCACTTCAATTGTATGTGAGTTAGACATTTTGATATTAGCCCACAGGATCCTGAGGTTCTTTCATTCTTTTCAATCTTTTTTTTTTCTCGAAGTTTGCATTTCGTGAGCAGGAGTGACAGTCATTCAGGATGATTTTTGAGATTCCTAGTTCAAGAGTAGTTCCTATTCTTTTCTAGGTGTAGTCAAGTATGGCTTCTAATTCTACTAGAAGGCTTTTTTGTCGGGGAGGTGGTTCTATGTCCTTTGGCTCTTACATTTTCTTTGTGTCTTTCACAGCACAGTTTTCAGAGGGTACCCTTTCTCTTTGGTTTTGTTTTGTTTTGTTTTGTTTTAGACGGAGTCTTGCTCTGTCTCCAGGCTGGAGTGCAGTGGCGCAATCTTGGCTCACTGCAACCTCTGCTCACTGCTACCTCTGCCTCCCGGGTTCAAGCAATTCTCCTGCCTCAGCTTCCTGAGTAGCTGGGACTACAGGCACGCGCCACCACACCCAACTAATTTTTGTATTTTTAGTAGAGACTGGGTTTCATCATGTTGGCAAGGCTGTTCTCCATCTCTTGACCTCGTGATCCGCCCGCCTTGGCCTCCCAAAGTGCTAGGATTACAGGCGTGAGCCACCGCGCCCGGCCAACAGAGGGTACCCTTTCATTCTTTTTCTCCTTCTTCCCAGAAGGCTTGCGTTTTCAAGACTACCTCATCAAGTTCTGCATGTGTTTAAAAGTGTCTCTACCCGACCTTCCCTTCCTCCCTCCCGATTTAACGGAATTCTTTGTTGGTGTTTTCATACTTACCGTGAGTTTTCTTTTTCAGGGTGATATTTTAGTTCCATCTTAGGCTCTCCATTGTCCTCTTCTCTCTTCTTTTTTTTTTTGAGACAGAGTCTCATTCTGTCACCCAGGCTGGAGTGCAGTGGTGTGATCTCTGCTCACTGCAACCTCTGCCTCCCAGGTTCAAGTGATTCTCCTGCCTCAGCCTCCCGAATAGCTGGGATTACAGGCGCACACAACCACGCCCACCTAATTTTTGTATTTTCAGTAGAGACGGGGTTTCACCATCTTGGCCAGGCTGGTCTCAAACTCCTGACCTCGTGATCCGCCTGCCTCAGCTTCCCAGAGTGCTGGGATTACAGGCATGAGCCACCGCGCCCGGTGCGCCCAGCCCTCTTCTCTCTTCTTTGCATCTCTCTTCCTATCTGGATCCCTCTTTGCTGTCCTTAAAGAGCTGAGATGAGAGATTGAGAAACATCTCTACAAGAAATTGACGTTTTTCTACTTATGGGTAATTAGAAGCTTGTAGTATTTTCAGTCTTCTAAGTATGTTGAAGATATGAGACGTTGGTGATTTTCTTTGTTTCTCCGGTTGGTTGGTCTGTGTAGTTTTTGGACATGTGTTTGGATATTTGGATTTATATAGCTGCCATAATCTTGGCTATGCAGGTAGTCTTTCCTGACACTTCATCCTGAAAGATTTGAAGCCTTTGGACAAATTTTACAGTGGGCTGGGTGCAGTGGCTCACGTCTGTAATCCCAGTGCTTTGGGAGGCTGGGCAGGAAGATTGCTTGAGCCCAGGAGTTTGAGACCAGCCTGGACAACATAGTGAGACCCGTGTCTCTACAAAAAATAAAAAATATGCCGTGTGTGGCGTTATACAACTGTAGTCCCAGCTACTTAGGAGGCTGAGGTGGGAAGATCACGAGCCAAGGAGTTTGAGGGTACGGTGAGCCATGATCGCCTCACTGCACTGGGTGGCACAGCGAGACTGTCTCAAAAAAAAAATTTACAATTAATGTCTGCATATCCTTCACCTAGGTTCATAAATTTGTACTTTTGCTTTATCTACTTGCCTTTTTCTCTCTCTCTACACACACACACACACACACACACACACACACAATTAGTTGAATGAATTGAGAGTAAGTTGCAGAAAACATGACACTTTACTCCAATATTGCATCATACAAAATCATACATCTAGTGATAGGCCATTGTCCTACAGAATCACGATATAATTATCACACTAACCAGCTGTGGTGGTGCACACCTGTAGTCTAAGCTACTCGGGAGGCTGAGGCAGAAGGATCACCTGAGCCCAGGAGGTTGTGGCTGCAGTCTCATATTCATCCCATCATCAGATTTCTCCCATTGTCCTAATAATATTCTTTATAGCTTTTCTTTATCCCTGATCCGAAATTTCATTGAAGATCACACAGTGCATTTAGTTGTCATGCCTCTTAAGTCTTTATTTATTTATTATTTATTTTTTGAGATGGAGTCTTGCTCTGTTACCCAAACTGGAGTGCAGTGGCATGATCTTGGCTCATGCAACCTCCACCCGCTGGGTTCAAGTGATTATCCTGCTTCAGCCTCCCGTGTTGCTGGGACTACAGGTGTGTGCCACCATGCCCAGCTACTTTTTATATTTTTAGTAGAGACGGGAATTGTACCATGTTGGCCAGGCTGGTCTTGAACTCCTGAGCTCAGATGATCCACCCGCCTTGGCCTCCCAAAGTGCTGGGATTACAGGCGTGGGCCACCACACCCAGCCTTAAGCCTCTTTTAACATAAAAGAGTTCACCAGCCATTCTATTTTGTTTTGCTTTTTGAGACACTGATGCTTTGGAGAGTCCAGGCCAGTTGCTTTGTAGATTTCAACTTGTTTGATTGTTTCCTGATGATTAGGTTGGTAGAAATACTACCTCAATGATGGGACCTTCTTAGTGCGTCCATCAGGAAGCACATGATGTGACTGTAATTGGTGACATTAAGTTTGATTCCTTAATAATTAAGGTGGTAACTCCCAGGTTTCTACATTGTAAAGGCATCTTTTGCCGCCCTCCTTTTTATTCCCAAGTAGTTTATTTGGAGATTAGTCCTTTACACAGTAGAGGAGCGGGGAAGGGAGACAGGAAAGGAAAGTTTGACAACAAAGGGTGAGTTTTCAAGCCTGTTGCCACGGGGGAACCTAATTCCACTGGAGAAGCTCATGGCTTGGTGATGTTCCACAGAGGGGTCAGAAATTTAGCGTATTTCAACACCAGCTCCTGTCAGGCACCATTTGAGGGCTGCTGCCAGGGTGGTTCAATTTTCTGGTGCTTACAGCTTGCCATAAACAGGTGCAAAGTAGTCTGGATACCAAAGAAAGCTCTCAGGTAACAAGATGCAGATGTTGGCATTTGGAAGTCAGAATAGGGTGCACTATTGTGGTAAGAGCTGAAGGGATGGCTGGGCGCGGTGGCTCACACCTGTAGTCCCAGCACTTTGGGAGGATGAGGCAGGCGGATCACCTGAGGTCAGAAGTTCGAGAGCAGCCTGGCCAACATGACGAAACCCCGTCTCTACTAAAAATACAAAAATTAGCCAGGCGTGGTGGTGGATGCCTGTAATCCCAGCTATTCAGTAGGCTGAGGCAGGAGAATTGCTTGAATCTGGGAGGTGTAGGTTGCAGTGAGCTGAGATCACACCACTCTGCACTCCAGCCTGGGTGACAGAGCGAGACTCTGTCTCAGAAAAAAAAAAAAGCTGAAGGGATGCTGAGTAGAGCATCCGTAGTGTCTGCTATACCTGGGTACCCTAGAACCTGGAGAACCTACAGCTTGAGGCAAGAGCGTATGTGCTATTATTTTTTCAAGAAGTGTGCTCTCAGGAAGCAGAGGTAGGGGAAAGGTGAGTGAAGGGAGAAGGAAGATTAAGTCAGTTCAAGGGTGCATTTTGAAGTTGGTTGCCCTTGGTGCAAGTACAGTTGGTTGCTTGTTCTCCTAAAGCTGTCTCCCAGGAGGATGTATACATAACTGCATTCCAGGGCAATCCATCTAAAGGAAGGGTGGACGGACCCCTCAGCTTCTGTATCTCACTGGAAAAAGGTTTGCTTCATGGCACATTAATTCCCATAGACTTCTAGGTTGTGCATGTGTGGGTACCAGGTGGGTCCCACAGACCCTTACACCTCCAAGGCAAGCAGCAAGCCACGGGTGGGAAGTGATAGGTACCCAGTATGAGCAGGAGGTAAGGGACCGTGGGGTTGTGCCTGTGGGCAGTTGGTTATAACCCAGACGTGTTTGATCAGCCCAGTGACAGCTGGAGTGGACAAAGTGACCAAGGGCCTCAAGGACACACAAGGCCAAGAAGATTTGAAGTGCTGTGTAAGATATGCCTAATGCATTTGGATTCTACCTTTGTTTAACGAATATGCACACATAAAAAACACTTGAACTCCTTGAGCCCAGGAGTTCAAGACCAACCTGGGCAACATAGTGAGACACTCATCTCTAAAAAAATTTTAAAAAAAATTAACCTGGCATGATAGCACTCACCTGTAGTCCTGTCTACTCTGGAGGCCGCAGTGGGAGGATCACCTGAGCCCTGGAGGTCAAGGTTACAGTATGCTATGATTGCACCACTGCATTCCAGCCTGGGTAACAGAGCAAGACGCTGTCTCTTAAATTTTTTTTTTTTTTTTTTTTACTTTTATAATGGAAAAACCATTGTAGACAGTTTTAGGAAGGAAAGCAGAATAGTAAGACATCTTTTTCAAAGTAAAAGAGCAAAAAAGGCAAAAAATATTTCACATTTACTTTATGGACAAAGATAAGATTGTCCTTCAATAAAAGACTGAATTTTTTTTGTTTGTTTTGTTTTGTTTTTTGAGAAAGAGTCTTGCTCCATTGCCCAGGCTGGAATGCAGTGGTGTGGTCTCGGCTCACTGCAACCTCCGCCTCCCGGGTACAAGCAATTCTCCAGCCTCAGCCCCCCGAGTAGCTGGGACTACAGGCACGCGCCACTGCATCTGGCTAAGTTTTGTATTTTTAGTAGAGATGGGGTTTCACCATGTTGACCAGGCTCGTCTTGAACTCCTGACCTCAGGTTATCCACCTGCCTGGGCCTCCCAAAGTGCTGGGATTACAAGTGTGAGCCACCGTGCCCGGCCACAAGTTGCTCTTTAAATGTGAGAAGTGTTCTGGCATGGTGGCTCACACCTGAGGCGGGTGGATCACTTGAGGTCAGGAGTTCGAGATCAGGCTGGCCAACATGGTGAAACCCCGTCTCTAGTTATTTATTTATTTATTTATTTATTTATTTATTTATTTATTTTTTTGAGACGGAGTTTCACTCTTGTTTCCCAGGCGGGAGTGCAATGGCGCAATCTCGGCTCACTGCAACCTCCGCCTTCCGGGTTCAAGCGATTCTCTTGCCTCAGCCTCCTGAGTAGCTGGGATTACAGGCATGCACCACCACACCCGGCTAATTTTGTATTTTTAGTAGAGACGGGGTTTTTCCATGTTGGTCAGGCTGGTCTCGAATTCCTGACCTCAGGTGATCTGCCCTCCTCAGCCTCCCGAAGTGTTGGGATTACAGGCGTGAGCCACCACGCCCGGCCCTGTCTCTACTAAAAATGCAAAATTTAGCCGGGCATGGTGGCGCACACCTGTAATCTCAGCTACTCAGGAGACTGAAGCAGCAGATTCGCTTGAACCCAGGAGGTGAAGGTTGCAGTGAGCTGAGACCACACCACTGCAGGGCAGCCTAGGCGACAAGAGCGAAACGCTTACAAAAAAAAAAAAAAAAAAAGATTCACAGGTGATGGTGATGCTGCTGGTTAAGGAAGTGAAGTGGCTTTTTGCTCTGTAGCCTTCCTGAATGTTGGGGCCTCCTGCTCTTCATTTGTTTCATTTCTATTAAGTCTCCTCCCTCCAGCTATCTTGTTAGCTCCTGGAAAGCATTTCAGTGATTGTGGCTTCTATTTCTTTTTGACCCCACAGTGTCCAGGGTCATGCTGCCTATATAGTAGTGAGCAGTAAGTTGAGGTTTTTAAAAACTTTATTATTATTATTTTTGAGATGGAGTCTTGTTCTGTCACCCAGGCTGGAGTGCAGTGGCACAATCTCAGTTCACTGCAACCTCTGCCTCCCAAGTTCAAGTGATTCTCCTGCCTCAGCCTCCCGAGTAGCTGGGACTACAGGCGCCTGCCACCACATCCGGCTAATTTTTTTGTATTTTTAGTACAGATGGGGTTTCACTATGTTGGTCAGGCTGATCTCGAACTCCTGACCTCAGGTGATCCGCCTGCTTTGGCCTCCCAAAGTGTTAGGGTTACAGGTGTGAGCCACCACACCTGGCCGGTTTTTTTAAACTTTAAAACAGATTCACTTGATTTTTCTTCCCTACCCCCCAGCTTTTTTGAGGTATGACTGACAAAAATTGTATATATTTAGGGTGTACAATGTGATGATTTGATATGTGAATGCACTGTGAAATGATTACCACAGTCAAGGTAATTCACATATCCACCACCTCCCAGTTACCCTCTTAGCTAGTACAGGTTGGGTATTGCTTCTCTGAAATGCTTTGGGACCAGAAGTGTTTTGGACTTCAGATTTTGGAATATTTGAATATATATAATCAGATATCTTGGGAAGGGGACCCAAGTCTAAACATGAAATTCATTTGTTTTCAGAGCCTAAAGATGATTTTTTTTTTTTTTTTTTTTTGAGATGGAGTCTCACTCTCGCCCAGGCTGGAGTGCCGTGGCACAATCTCAGCTCACTGCAACCTCTGCCTCCCAGGTTCAAGCGATTCTCCTACCTCAGCCTCCCAAGTAGCTGGAATTACAGGCTCGCACTACCACACCCGGCTAATTTTTGTATTTTTATAAAGACATTTCACCATGTTGGCCAGGCTGGTCTCAAACTCCTGACCTCAGGTGATCCGCCCGCCTCAGCCTCCCAAAGTGCTGGGATTATAGGTGTCAGTGACTGCGTCTGGCTGATAATTGAATTTTTCTCTTGGAGAAGCTGAATAAACTGTGTGTTGTGTGCCTGCCTTTTTTTTTGTTTTTTTTTTTTTTTGAGACAGAGTCAGACACTCTGTCACCCAGGCTGGAGTGCGATGGGGTGGTCATAGCTCACTGCAGCCTCAAACTCCTGAGCTCAAGCGATCCTCCCACATCAGCCTCCTAAGTAGCATAGCACCACGCCTGGCTAATTTTTAAATTTTTTGTAGTGATGGGGTTTTGTTGTCTAGGCTAGTCTCAAACTCCTGGGCTCAAGCAGTCCTTCTGCCTTGGCCTCCCAAGGTGGTAGGATTATAGGTTTGAGCCACCATGCCTGGCCATTACCTGTGTTTTGACTATAACACATCATGTTGGCACTCAAAACGTTTTGGATTTTGGAGCATTTTGAATTTTGGATTTTTGGATTAGCAATGTTCCACCTATAGTACATTTTTTGTTTGCTTTCCCATAAAGAATTTTTTGTAATTTTGATTTTATAGTTCTAAATGTAATATATTCTTATTGTAAAAATCACCTTTAATAGCACCGCCAGAATAGCAAACATGTTAACAGAAAGGTAGAAGTAGACCTTAAAGAATCTTCAGCAGCTTGAGAGACCACAGCTAACCACTGAGGAACTCTGTTCTGGATTGGAGCAGTGCTTAGAAGCTTATAAATAACTCTTAGGGTATTGCATAGGGATTCTTTTTTTTTTTTTTTCCTGAAATGGAGTCTCGCTCTGTCGCCCAGGCTGGAGTGCAGGGTGTGATCTCAGATCACTGCAACCTCCGCCTCCTGGGTTCAAGCAATTCTTTGCCTCAGCCTCCCGAGTAGCTGGGATTACAGGCGCCTGCCACCATGCCCAGCTAATTTTTTTGGATTTTTAGTAGAGAGGGGGTTTCACCATGTTAGCCAGGATGGTCTCCATCTCCTGACCTTGTGATCCACCCACCTCGGCCTCCCAAAGTGCTGGGATTACAGGCATGAGCCACTGTGCCTGGCCGCATAAGGATTCTTTATGTGATTTTTCAGTAGAGGCTCTTGCCTTTTACTTTAAACATTCTTTGAGGGTTGTTTTTTTTTTCCGCTTTTTATTTATATAGAGGTCAACCAGAATCAAGATGTCTGGGACTGAGGAAGCAATTCTTGGAGGACGTGACAGCCATCCTGCTGCTGGCGGCGGCTCAGTGTTATGCTTTGGACAGGTAACTGTGGTTCCTTCATGCCGGGAAAGAATGAGGTGAAGTGAGTAAAGTTAGGGCAAGGCAGTTTGTAGAGCATCGTAGTACATGTGTGAGCAGTACCTAGTACGTTTACCTAGTACGTGTGTGAGCAGTACCTAGTACGTTTACCTAGTACGTGTGTGAGCAGTACCTAGTACGTTGACGCGGTGCGTGCGGGGGCAGTACCTAGTACGTTTACATAGTACATGTGTGAGCTATTTGTTATTGGTTTTTCCTTTAGATGCATTTTTTGGGAGTCTTGTGAACTCTGGAGGGCATTTTGGAATGTTAGCTATCAAAAGACTGATAGTACTGGGGATTAGATTTAGATTTTAAATTTTTTGTGGGGGGGGATAGATAACATATTTGTATGACATCAAATTCAAAATGAAACTGTGAAAATCTCCCTATTTCCTATTGCCCCTGTGTGCATGCCACCCAGTTCTATTTCTTTTTTTTTTCGAGACTGAGTCTTGCTTTGTCACCCAGGCTGCAGTGCAGTGGTGCGATCTCAGCTCACTGCAACTTCCACCCTCTGGATTCAAGCAATTCTCCTGCCTCAGCCTCCCAAGTAGCTGGGATAACAGGCATGCACCACCATGGCCAGCTAATTTTTATATTTTTAGTAGAGATGGGGTTTAACCATGTTGGCCAGGCTGGTCTCGAACTCCTGACCTCAGGTGATCCGCCTGCCTCGGCCTCCCAAAGTGTTTGGATTACAGGCGTGAGCCACCACGCCCGGGCTTAATTTTTTTGTATTTTTAGTAGAGATGTGGTTTCACCATGTTGGCCAGGGTAGTCTTGAACTCCTGACCTCGTGATCTGCCTGCCTCGGCCTCCTAAATGCTGGAATTACAGGCATGAGCCACCGCGCCTGGCTCCAGTTGTCTTTCTTGGAGGCATGGAAAGTTACTGGGGGTCCTATTCCTTGTAGGGACATTGTGTGCACAGAAAAGAGTTTCTTGCTTTGTCCACCCAAACTCCATCTTTGTCTTTAGCAGAGAGTTGTGAGTATTCATCTCATCTGAGCAGGGCAAGGGGGACAAAACCCAAATCAGCAAGCAGTAGTGTGTTTCTGTTTGTGCAGGATGGGAAATTGTTGTATTGGAGAAGGCGTCAATCTCTGGAAAGGACAAATGGAAGCAAGGCTTCCTACCCCCGTGCTCTTTCCGTACTTGCTTCCTGTGCTGACGTCATTTACAGATCTGGAGGCAGAACATTTTAGCTTCCTAAGCTTCAGAAACATTTATAAGGATGGTAGCAGCAGCTAAGGCAGCAGTTCTCAAAATGCAGTTCTCAAAAACCCTGGGGTTTCTGAAGATCTTTCAGAGTCCAGAAGGTCAAAATTATCTTCATAATAATACTATTTGCCTCTTTCACACTCATTGTCTCATGAGTGAATGGTAGAGTTTTCAGAGAGTGCATGATATGTGGTGATGTCACTGCTATGATGCCTAATGGCATGCATGCCTTAAAAGTTTCTCAGTTTTGATTCCTAATAGGATACATAGAACCCACATAAACAAAGGTTCTGGGGGGTCTTTTTAAGAGTATAAAGTCTCCATAAAGGATGGAGACTCAATGATGTGAGGAATGGTGGAAGTGTGAATTTAATTTTCTTTTTTGGGGTTGCAGTGCCAGTACACAGCAGAAGAGTACCAGGCCATCCAGAAGGCCCTGAGGCAGAGGCTGGGCCCAGAATACATAAGTAGCCGCATGGCTGGCGGAGGCCAGAAGGTAGGAGAATTCATGTGCCTGGAAAGCAGGCATCCATACCGCAGACTCCGATGGTCTTGCCAGTTCCCTCTCTGGGTCCTCAGGGATTCGGAAGTCTGCTGTTAACTGTTCCTGGAGGTCTCCCAGTGCCCCTGGGAGGGGATGGGTTCCAGACTTCATTCTCATCCGAAGGGGCCTGGGCATGGTCTTGACACTCGCATAACCGCCGTCTTAAGATTTTTACATCATCTTTTTTTTTTTTTATTTTTAAAGACAGGGTCTTGCTCTGTCACCTAGGCTGGAGTCCGACCAGTGGTGTCATCTCAGCTCACTGCAGCCTCCACCTCCCAGGCTCAAGCGATCCTCCTGCCTCAGCTTCCTGACTAGCTGGGACTACAGGCACACGCCACCACACCTGGTTAATTTTTTAATGTTCTGTAGAGACGACATCTCGCCATGTTGCCCAGGCTGATCTCGAACTGCTGGGCTCAAGTGATCCTCCCACCTCGGCCTCCCAAAGTGCTGGGATTACAGGTGTGGGCCACCATGCCCAGCCTTTACACCATTAAAAAAAAAATGTTCCTTTTGCCATTTGCTTTTTTTTTTTAATTAAACACTTTTTAAAGAACTTATGATTGACACATAATAATTGCATATCATTTGCTTCTAATTTTAACTTCTGTGTATATTTTTGGTCTTCCATAAAATATGTCAAACAGATTTGTACTTTTTGCAAACTGAATTTTAGCAACTGCTGGGTGAGTTCCTCCTCCCAACAGACCATTCGTTCTCGCGGGCTCCATCTAGAAGATTTTTGAAATAAATTCATTGAGAATTTTCTTGAAAAAAAAATTTTTTTTAACAGACTGGTTCTCACTCTGTCACTTAGGCTGGAGTGCAGTGGCACGATCCTAGCTTACTGCAGCCTTGAGCTCCTGGGCTCAAGTGATCCTCCCACCTCAGCCTCCCGAGAAGAATGTTTAAGGACAGTTTATCGAAAAAAGTAGATGAGGAATAAATTATGTCAATTTTGATTCACATTTAAGTGTGGTAAGGAATTAACACAGCTTTTCCTTAAAAACATTTGTTTTTCTAGGTGTGCTACATTGAGGGTCATCGGGTAATTAATCTGGCCAATGAGATGTTTGGTTACAATGGCTGGGCACACTCCATCACGCAGCAGAATGTGGGTGAGTATGCTCTCCAGCAGTGGGGACTTCTGCACTGTCCAGCTCCTGCTGAAAGTCTGCTGTGGGTGAGGAGGTAAGGTAGGTGGACTCAGCTGCCAGCAGGAGGAATGGTTGTGGCCCAGCGGTCAGTGTCCTCTTCAACTTGCTCTCTTTCCCACTCCTAGATTTTGTTGACCTCAACAATGGCAAGTTCTACGTGGGAGTCTGTGCATTTGTGAGGGTCCAGCTGAAGGTGAGGGGATGGAGTAGACCTGCTGCCCGGAAGGATCAGTGGGTGGTAGGAGAAGGTGAGCAGGTAGGGAAGTAGGTAGCTGGACGGGGACCCAGGCTCCAGAGTTGTGTCTCAGCCAGCGTTCCCTAGAGTGGTGGAATTCAAATACTCTTGCTCATGTGCTCCCTAAAAGAATGGAAAAACTGTTCTCTTGCACATGTTCAAGCTGACACCTAAAAGTTTTCACCATATATAAAAATTGTTGCAAAGGATGTATTTTTTGGCATATGGTAAAATCTGACATTTTAAAATACAATAATTTTACCATCACTGATAAGTGTTTGGAAACTCAACTTTAGGCAAAGCAGGTCCTTTTGTTATAACATTGATGAAAACAAAAATATGTTTTGTTAATAAGTTGTTTCACTTCAAGTCACAGTTATTTAAGGTGTTAAGTGAGCACTTACCGTAAATCTGTTGAATCTTGTTAAATATTCCAGTGGACTCTAAATACTATAGAGGATAAGATCTATCATTTATTTGAAGAAATACAATGAACAAGCTTTTTTTTAATCATTAGAAATTTTACATTGTTCTTTCTTTATCTGAACTCATATTTCTATTCTATTTCCCCACTGGTTTTAATCCTAATACATATTTATGGTTGAAAGTTTGGCTAGGCGGGGTGGCTCATTCGTGTAACCCCAGCACTTTGGGAGGCCCAGGTGGAAGGACTGCTTGAGCCCAGGGATTTGAGACCAGCCTGGGCAACATAGCGAAAGCCCGTCTCTACTAAAAATACAAAAAATTAGCTGGGCATGGTGGTGTATGCTTGTAGTCCTAGCTACTCAAGAGGCTGAGGTGGGAGGATCACCTGAGCCCAGGAAGTCGAGGCTGTGGTGAGCTGTGATTGCGCCACTGAACTCCTGGGTGGAAAAAAAGAAAAGTTTTATCGGTAGCCTTACTGTGCTTCTCTGCCTTTGCCTGTGTATAAAAATAAAAATTTTTGGTAAATTTTCAGTGCACTTAAGGCTCTAAATATTAAAATATTTCTTTTGGATTTAGTTATATTATAGCTACTGTTAACACACAATTGACCAGACAATTGTGTTTATGGTGAAGAGAAAACATAAATACAGCAAAATTTTGATACTTAGAAAAATTAAAGATATGAAATCTTGCCACAAAAATAAAAAATTTAAAATATAAAATTTATGGAAAATGTATATCTTAATGAGATGGATGGTGCTGTTTTTTCTTTTCAGTTAGTTTATATATCCATATATCCATAACTGAATATTACTTACTTCTTTTTTTTTTTTGAGATGGAGTTTTGCTCTTGTTGCCCAGGCTGGAGGGCAATGGTTCAATCTCAGCTCACCGCAACCTCCACCTCCTGGGTTCAAGCGATTCTCCTGCCTCAGCCTCCCAAGTAGCTGGGATTACAGGCATGCGCCACCCCGCCCGCCTAATTTTTTGTGTGTGTTTTCAGTAGAGACGCGGTTTCTCCATGTTGGTCAGGCTGGTCTGGAACTCACAACCTCAGGTGATCCACCCGCCTTGGCCTCCAAAAGTGCTGGGATTACAGGCGTGAGCCACCGCACCCGGCCTACTTATTTCTTGAATGAACAATTCAGCATTAATTCTATTCTGACTTATTTTTCTAAATAGTACTAAAAAATCTTGTATCTATGAGTGAGTAGCTGAGAATGGAAAGAATTGTGTTATAGTGTCACTCATTTATTTGAGTGCTTTCTGAGTTATTTTTTAAAAATCACAGAGCGCTGTCATCAAACATTGTATTTAATTCTCAATCAGCGAATGATGTGCTCAGGTCCACCTTCTCTTTTGGTGAGAGGCAGGAGCTGGACGCCACCTGATTTACAAAGGGTTTGCTCTCCCGTCCTTACAGACCATTAGATCCAGTGTTCAAATCATCCCTTTGTTTCATATCCCAGAGGTTTTTTTTTTTCCAAGACGTAGTCTCACTCTATCACCCAGGCTGGAGTGCAGTGGTGCAATCTCGGCTCACTGCAACCTCTGCCTCCCAGGTTCAAGTGATTCTCCTGCCTCAGTCTCCTGAGTAGCTGGGATTACAGGTGCCCACCACCACACCCGGCTAATTTTTGTATTTTTAGTAGAGATAGGGTTTCACCATGTTGACCAGGCTGGTCTTGAACTCCTGACCTCAAGTGATCCACCTCCCTTGACCTCCCAAAGGGCTGGGATTACAGCGTGAGCCACCACGCCCGGCCCGGCCATCCCAGAGGTTTTTTTTACCTTAGGGTGATGCACACTGATAGGATTTGGGGTGAGTTTCTAATGTGCCCTTTGTGTGTTGGGAAGTTGGGAAGGGAGGATCGTCTTGACACCTTGACCGCAGGCACATGTCCAGGCAGCCCAGGTCTAGGAAGCAGCACTCGCGATGGATTCTCACCCAGCCTTCTGCCCGTGCCCCTGTAGCAAGGCCGCCAGGTGGGAGAGTCCGGCTTTGAACCCTGCTGCTTGAGGAACAGGGGAGTTGTGGCACGCCTGCCGCTCTCGTGTTTGAGTTCAAACTCCTTTTCTGCCCCCAGGATGGTTCATATCATGAAGATGTTGGTTATGGTGTTAGTGAGGGCCTCAAGTCCAAGGCTTTATCTTTGGAGAAGGCAAGGAAGGAGGCGGTGACAGACGGGCTGAAGCGAGCCCTCAGGTGAGCGCGGGGCTGGGAGTCTAACCTGCGTCATTTCAGCTCTTGCTTCAGAGCAGATTTCGATTTTTTTTGGAAGAGGTAACACATCCACATGGTTCAAAAATCCAAGCAGCGTGGAAGGTAATTCTCACCCCTGCCCTGGTTCCTGTCTGCCGTTTTCCCACTTTCGTTAGTATTTTTTCAATGTTTCTGTTTCAGGCTTCCCTTGCTGGGAGTAAGTGGTAGAATCCTGTACTCTCTCTTCTCCGTGCACTCAGTCATGTGTGCCGGAGGCCTTCCCACTCCTACTGCGAGTGCACAGACAGCACCCTCCTCTCCGTGCTCCTCAGCAGTCCTCCGCTACGCACAGGTAGCATAGTTAACGTAGTTACACAGTCACGCAGATGTCCGTGTTAGTCCATTTATGTTGCTATACAGGAATACCAGAGGCTGGGTAATTTATAAATAAAGGAGGTTTGATTGGCTTATGATTCTGTGGACTGTACTGGAAGCCTGGTGCCAGCATCCACTTCTGCTGAGGCCTCAGGAAGCTTCTAATCATGGCAGAAGGTGAAGAGGGAACGTGGAGAGAGAGGGAGCAAGAGAGAGAAGGAAGGAGTCCCAGGCTTATTTATTTATTTTATTGTTGTTTTTCATTTTTTGAGACAGGGTCTTGCTCTGTTGCACAGGCTGGGGTGCAGTGGTGCCGTCATCGCTCAGTGCAGCCTTGAACTCCTGGGCTGAAGTGATCTTCCCGCCTCAGCCTCCCGAGTAGCTGGGATCACAGGCACATAACACCACCCCCAGTTAATTAAAAAAAAATTTTTTTTTTTTTGGAGAGACAGGGTCTCCCTTTGTTGCCTAGGCTGGTCTCAAACTCCTGGGCTCAAGTCATCCTCCTGCCTTGTGCCTCCCAAAGTGCCGGGATCACAGGCATGAGCCATCATGCCCAGCCCCCACACTCAAAACCACCAGATCTCTCATGAGCTGAGTGAGAACTCACTCAACACCAAGGGGATGGCACTAAGCTGTTTATGAGGAATCCAGCCCCAGGATCCAGTACCTCCCACCAGGCCGCACCCCCCGGCATTGGAGGTCACGTTTCAACATGAAATTTGGAGGGGATAAACATCCAAACCATATCCGTGTCTTTGAGAATTGAAGTGAATTGAACCAGAAAAACCTATGAGTTCTGTGGGGGAGTCCGTAGATCCCAAGTTAAGAACTCTGGTCATGGGAGGTTGTGCCCTTGAGCCCCCGGTCCCCAAGTGTGTGTTGCCTACTCCTGCTGGGAAATTGGAGCAGCCTTTGGGGGGAAAAAAAAGAAAAACTCTCTGCAGTTTGTTCTCCATGTCAGGAGGTGGCTGGTGGGTTTTGTGAATGGCGCCGTAATCTTTTCATACTCATCTTCTCTGTGAGGGCAGGGACTTGTGTCTTGTCCTCACTGCAGTATTCTCAGAAACTAACACAGTGCAGGAACATGCTAGATGCTTACCAGACATCAATGGGGAATGCATGTTAGGGTCCACTTCCTCTGCTGCTCCTGAGAAGCAACCTGTACAAAAGTTGTAATTCTATTCTCTGATATTCATGTGTAACAATTCTTAACCCTGTTTCACCTTTTTTTCTCTTGCCCTTAGGAGTTTTGGGAATGCACTTGGAAACTGTATTCTGGACAAAGACTACCTGAGATCACTAAATAAGCTTCCACGCCAGGTATATCAGACATGGATGAGTGGAGTGAAGATAATGCGGCAAACTCTTGTGTGTCATGGGTTGAGTATTTGGAGGATGCAAGGAGAAAAAGTGAGGACTCAGCTCTTTAGAGGGTCGGGAATGTTGATTTCAGATTTCGAATGTTAGAGACAGCAGGAACTAATCCCAACATTTTCCTTTTTTCTAAAGTACATCATGTGGGCCGGGGACCGTGGCTCACGCCTGGAATCCCAGCACTTTGGGAGGTGGAGGCAGGTGGATCACAAGGTCAGGAGATCGAGACCATCCTGGCTAACACGGTGAAACCCTGTCTCTACTAAAAATACAAAAAATTAGCCGGGCGAGGTGGTGGGCGCCTGTAGTCCCAGCTACTCGGGAGGCTGAGGCAGGAGAATGGCGTGAACCCGGGAGGCAGAGCTTGCAGTGAGCCGAGATGGCACCACTGCACTCCAACCTGGGCGACAGAGCCAGACTCCGTCTCCAAAAAAAAAAAAAAAAAAAATCACACCATTTGACAAGAATGTGAGGTCTAGAGAATTTGTGTACGTGTAGGTAGTGAACTGTGGTTGGGGGTAGTCTGTGAAGCCTCAAAGCAAGCACACAGCCCTCTGCAGCACCACTGTCCTTCCCAGACACTCCCAGCCTCGCTGTTGAGCCTTCTTTCTTTTCCTTAGTTCTGGTGTCATTACATGTCTGATGTCATTACAATGTCATTTACATGTCCATTATTTCTGTCAATACCTATAACGTGATCTGAGCCTTTGCCTTTGGAGAATGGGGTCTGTGGTGGGGCAGCCCTGGAGTCACACTGCCTTGCCATGAGTGGCTTCTGGAGTGTTCCTCCTGCCTCATCTGCTCTCCGAGGTCCCTGCCATGTCGCTCCCCAGGGCAGCATTCCCATCCTGTGCCTGAGGGATTCTTGTCCTCATGGAGCCCCACAAGGTGTGTGTCACTGGGCATCTGTAAAAACTCCTTTAAAAAAATCATTTTTAAACATTATTGGATTCAGTTTGCTAATATTTTGTTAGACTTTTTTTTTTGAGACGGAGTCTCGCTCTGTCGCCCAGGCTGAAGTGCAGTGGTGTGATCTTGGCTCACTGCAACCTCTGCCTCCTGGGTTCCAGCGATGCTCCTGCCTCAGCCTCCTGAGTAGCTGGGATTACAGGTGTGTACCACCACGCCTGGCTAATTTTTGTATTTTTTTAGTAGAGACGGGGTTTCACCATCTTGGTCAGGCTGGTCTCGAATTCCTGACCTCATGATTCGCCTGCCTCGGCCTCCCAAAGTGCTGAGATTACAGGCGTGAGCCCCCGCGCCCGGCCTTTGTTAGGCATTTTTGCATCTATGTTTATGAGAGATATTAGTCAAGTTTTCTTTTTCTTTTTTTTTTTTTGAGATAGTCTCACTCTGTCGCCCAGGCTGGAGTGCAGTAGTGTGATCTCAGCTCACTGCAACCTCTGCCTCCCGGGTTCATGCCATTCTCCTGCCTCAGCCTCCCAAGTCGCTGGGACTACAGGTGCCAGCCACCACCATGCCCAGCTAATTTTTTTATTTTTAGTAGATGGGGTTTCGTCCTGTTGGCCAGGCTGGTCTTGAACTCCTGACCTCAAGTAATCCGCCTGCCTCGGCCTCCGAAAGTTTTGGGATGACAGGCGTGAGCCACCGCACCCGGCCTTTTCTTTTTTTAAATTGTAGTAAAACACATCACATTTTAACTATTTTTAGTGTGTGGTCGAGTAGTGTTAAGTGTATTCCCATTGTTGTGAAATTGATCTGCAGAACTAAGACCCTGCACCCGTAAAACAAGAACTCCGCATTTCCCCCTTTCCCAGACCCTTGTAACTACTTCCACTTTCTTTCCTTTTTTTTTTTTTTTAATTTATTTTATGAAAGATGAGGTCTTGCTCTGTCAGCCAGGCTGGAATGCAGGAGTGCCATCATAATTCACTGCATCCTTGCACTCCTGGGCCCAAGGGATCCTCCTGGATCCTCCTGCCTCAGCCTCTCAGGTGGCTGGGACTACAGGTATGTGCCAGTGCACCTAGCTAATTTATTTTTTAAACAATTATTACTATTTTTTTTGTAGAGACAGAATTTCTCAGGGCTGGTCATGAACTGCTGGGCTCATGTGATCCTCCTGCCTCGGCCTCCCAAAGCGCTGGGATTGCAGCGTGGGCCACTGTACCTGGAGCCAGCTAATTAACTTTTTTTGGGGGCTTTTTTTTTTAAGAGGTGAGTTCTTGCTATGTTGCTGAGGCTGGTCTTGATCTTTTTTTCTTTTTTAAAAAATTAGGTTAGGCGCTGTGGCTCCTGCCTATAATCCTAGCACTTTGGGAGGCCGAGGTGGTTAGATCACTTGAGCCTAGGAGTTTGAGACCACCCTGGCCAACATGGTGAAACCCTGTCTCTACTAAAAAATACAAAAATCAGCTGGGCATGGTGGTCAGCCTGCCTGTAATCCCGGTGGTCAGCCTGCCTGTAATCCCAGCTCTTCTGGAGGCTGAGGCATGAGAATCGCTTGAACCTGGGAGGTGGAGGCTGCAGTGAGCCAAGATTGCACTACTGCACTCCAGCCTGGGAGACAGAGTGAGATTCTGTCTCAAAATAATAATAATAAAATATAAAAATAAAATACTTTTTTGTGTGTGGTCATGGAGTTTTGCTATTGCCCAGGCTAGTCTCAAACTCCTGGCTACAAGCGATCCTCCCACTCAGCCTCCTTAAGTGCTGAGATTATAGGTATATGTGTCTACTTTCTGTTTCTGTGAATTTGTCTACTCTGGATACCTCATATAAATGGAATCACATAATTTTTGCTTTTTGTGACTGGCTTATTTCACTTAGCTAGCATTAATGCCTTTAAGATTCATCCATGTAGTAGTGTGTATCAGAATTCCCTTCTTTTTGTGGCTGAATATTCTGTTGTATATATAGACCACATTTTGTTTATGCATTCATTTGGTGATGGGGATTTGGGTTGCTTTCAACCTCTTGGCTATTGTGAATAATGCTGCTATGAACGAGGGTGTGTAACTCTCTTTGAGATCTTGCTTTCAATTCTTTTAGACATATTCTGAAGGGGATTGCTGGGTCATGGTAATCCTATTTTTAATTTTTCGAGGAGCTGCCACACTGATTTTCATACAGTTGCCCCATTTTACCATTCCACCAACAGGGCACATGAGTTCAGATTTTTCTAAATCCTAACCAGCACTTGTTATTTTCTGAGTTTTTGGTTTTTTTTTTTTTTTTTTTTTTAAGCCAACCTAATGGGCGTGATATTTTATTGGGGTTATGATTTGCATACCCCTGATGATTAGTGATGTTGACCATATTTTCTTTTTTGAGACAGAATCTCACTCTGTTACCCAGGCTGGAGTGCAGTGGCACAATCTTGGTTCACTGCAACCTCTGCCTCTGGGTTCAAACAATTCTCCTGTCTCAGCCTCCCAAGTAGCTGGGACTATAGGCGCCTGCCACCATGCCGGGCTAATTTTTGTATTTTTAGTAGAGATGGGGTTTCACCATGTTGGTCAGGCTGGTCTCGAACTCCTGACCTCAGGTGATCCGCCCGCCTTGGCCTCCCAAAGTGATGGGATTACAGGTGTGAGCCCCCGCACCCAGCCAACCATATTTTCATATGCTTGTTGGCCATCTGTTTATCGTCTTTGGAGAGATGTCTATTCAAGTCCTTTGTCATTTTATTTTGTTTTATTATTTTAATTTAATTTCTTTTATTCATCTCATCTCATCTCATCTCATGACAAGATCTCGCCCTGTCACCCAGGCTGGAATGCAGTGGTCTGATCATGGCTTGGCTCCCTGGAGCCTCGACATCCTGGGCTTGAGTGATCCTCCCACGCAGGCTGGAGGGCAGTCGTGTGATCTCGGCTCACTGCAGCCTCTATATCCCAGACTCAAATGATCCTCCTGCCTTAGCCTCCCAAGTAGCTGGGACTACAGGCATTTGCCACCATGCCAGGCTAATTTTTTTATTTTTTGTACAGAATACAAAAAATTTTACCGTGTTGCCCAGGCTGGTCTCAAACTCCTGGCCTCAAGTGATCCACCTGCCTTGGCCTCCCAAAATGCTGGGATAACAGGCGTGAGAAACCCATATGGCCCAACTCCTACTTTTATTGAGCTTTTTCGTATTGTTTTTGTATTCTCTCTTTCACTTATGTTTGCTGTCATCTTTTTAGAATTTCCTTTCTTCTAGCTTTGGGTGTAACTTTTTTTTTCTAGTTCTTTGAGGTATAGCGTAGATTTGAGATCTTTTTTTTTTAACTATGTGTGTAACTTCCCTCTTACGACTTCTTTCCCTGCACCCCAGAAGTTTGGTAGGTTGTGTTGTAGTATCATTTGTCTCTGGGAATTCTTCTAAGTTGGCTTGTTACATTTCCTTTGACTTTAAGAGTGTGGTGTTTAATTTCTACTGATTTGTGGATTTTCCAGTTTTCTTTTTGCTGTTGATTTCTAGTTTCATTCCATTGTGATTGAAAAGATACTTTATATGATTTCAATCTTGAATTTGTTAGGACTTGTTTTGTGGCCTAACATGTAGTCTGTCTTGGAGAATGTTCCATGTGTACTTGAGAAGAATGTATTTTCTGCTATTGGTGGGTGGAATGTTATGTATATGACTGTTAGGTCCAGTTGGCCTATAGTATTGTTCAAATACTCTATCGCCTTATTCATCTTTTGTTTGGTTGTTTTATCTATTATTGAAAGTTGAGTAGTGAAGTCTCCTACTATTATTGTGTTGCTTTTATTTCACCTTACAATCCTCTCAAAGTTTGCTTCATATATTTAGGACCTCTGGTGTTTGGTGCATAAATATTTATAATTGTTATATCTTCTTGGTGAATTGACATTCTTTTTTTTTTTTTTGAGACGGAGTCTCACTCTGTCGCCCAGGCTGGAGTGCAGTGGCGGTGCGATCTCAGCTCACTGCAGGCTCTGCCTCCTGGGTTCACACCATTCTCCTGCCTCAGCCTCCTGAGTAGCTGGGACTACAGGCGCCCGCCACCTACGCCCGGCTAATTTTTTGTATTTTTAGTAGAGACGGGGTTTCACCATGTTAGCCAGGATGGTCTCGATATCCTGACCTCGTGATCTGCCCACCTCGGCCTCCCAAAATGCTGGGATTATAGGTGTGAGCCACTGCACCTGGCTGACATTCTTATCATTATATAATACTCTCGTCTCCTATAACAATTTTTTTTTTTTTTTTGAGACGGAGTCTTGCTCTGCCGCCCAGGCTAGAGTGCAGTGGTGCGATCTTGGCTCACTGCATCCTTTGCCTCCTGGGTTCAAGCAGTTCTCCTGCCTCAGCCTCCTGAGTAGCTGGAACTACAGGTGCGTGCTACCATGCCCGGCTAATTTTTTTTTTTTTTGAGACAGAGTTTTTGCTCTTGTTGCCCAGGCTGGGGTGCAATTGTGTGATCTCGGCTCACTGCCATCTCTGCCTCCCAGGTTCAGGCAATTCTTCTACCTCAGCCTCCCAACTAGCTAGGACTACAGGTGTGTGCCACCACACCCAGCTAATTTTTTGTATTTTGTAGAGAGGGGGTTTCACCATGTTGGTCAGGCTGATCTTGGACTCTTAACCTCAGATGATCCGCCCACCTCGGCCTCCCAAGGTGTTGGGATTACAGGCGTGAGCCACCACGCTGAGCCCAGATTTTTTTTTTTTTTTTTAGACAGAGTCTTGCTCTGTCGCCCAGGCTGGAGTGCAGTGGCGCTATCTTGGCTCACTGCAACCTCCGCCTCCCGGGTTCAAGCGATTCTCGTGCCTCAGCCTCCTGAGTAGCTGGGACTACAGGCGCCCACCACCACACCCAACTAATGTTTCGTATTTTTTAGTAGAGCGGGGTTTTGCTGTGTTGGCCAGGCTGGTCTCAAACTCCTGGGCTCAAGTGATCAATCCACCTGCCTTGGCCTCCCAAAGTTCTGGGATTACAGGTGTGAGCCACTGAGCCTGGCCCCAAATTTCTCTTTTTTTGTTGTTGAGACGGAATTTCACTCTTGTCACCGAGGCTGGAGTGCAATGTTGTGATCACTGCAACCTCTGCCTCGTGGGTTCAAGCGATTCTCCAGCCTCAGCCTCCCAAGTAACTGGGATTACAGGCGCCCGCCACCATGCCCGGCTAATTTTTATACTTTTAGTAGAAATGGGGTTTCGCCATGTTGGCCAGGGTGATCTCAAACTCCTGACCTCAAGTGATCCACCTGCCTCAGCCTCCCAAAGTGTTGGGATTACAGGCATGAGCCACCATTTCCTAAGTGAGCACAGCTGTTCACCTCCCAGATAGAGAATCAGACCTTTACCAGCAGCCCAGAAGCCCCATTTTGCCCTCTTCCAGTCACTGCCTTGCTTTCCTTTTTTCAAAAGTAACTACTATCCTGTCTTCTATTCTGACTTCCATGGATTATTTTTTCCTGTTTTTGAACTTTATATATGTAAAGTTCACAAATGGAATTGTACTGTAAGTGGAATTGTACAGTTCATATTTTAAGAAAATTGACCGAAGTATGAAAAAGAACATATAGACAGGTTAGACGAGTGCACGTATCATCCATGCTCAGCTTGATGAATTTTCCAACCAAACACATCCACACAGCCAACATCTGAATCAAGACACTGCCAGTACCGAGAAGGCCCAGCTGTGTTCCTTGCAGTCACTGCCATCCCCTGCCCTCCTTCCCACTCTGAGCAAACCGCTTTTAACAACACAGATTGGCCGGGTGTGGTGGCTCACTCCTGTAATCCCACCACTTGAGAGGCCAAGGAAGAAGGATTGCTTGAGCCCAAGAGTTGGAGACCAGCCAGGACAACATAGTGGGACCCTGTCTGTACGAAATAAAAATAAAAATAAAAATAAAAATTAGCTGGGCCTGGTGGTGGCGCCTGTAGTCCCAGCTGCTTGGGAGGCTGGGCTGGGAGAATCATTTGAGCCTAGGAGGCCCAGGCTGCAGTGAGCTGTGATTACGCCACTGCACTCCAGCCTGGGCCACAGAGCGAGACCCTCTCTCAAAAAACAAAACAAAAAACAAAGAAAGCCACCAATTTGTTTTTATTGTTATGTACTTTTTTGGAATCCTACAGTTTGAACTCTTTGTATCTTACTTGAATTCAGCATGGTTGTGAGATTCATTCATGGTACGAGCAGCAGTTTCATTGCTGTATAATTTTCTTTTGCATGAGTATGTGGCAATTTATTTTTCTAGTCTTTTCTTAGTAGACATTTTGGTTTTTGTAGCTTGTGGCTGTTTCGATTAGAGATGCTGTTAGCATTCTTTTGCTGTACAGTTGCACTCATTTTTGTTGGGAATTATTGGGGGAGAAGATAGGTACGTGTTTAGTTTTAGTAGGTTCTTCCCGTTTTCCTGTATGGTTGTATTAATTCACACCCCACGTGGCATTGCGTAAGTTCCAATTGTTCTGTATCTTTGACAGCACTTGGTATCGCCAGTCTTTCATATTTTTCAAAGCTCGTTTCTTTTTTTTGAGACACAGTCTTGCTCTGTCGCCCAGGCTGGAGTGCGGTGGTGCGATCTCCGCCCACTGCAACCTCTGTCTCCCAGGTTTAAGTGATTCTCCCTGCCTCAGCCTCCCGAGTAGCTGGGATTGTTGGTGTGTGCCACCATGCCCAGCTAATTTTTTTTTTTTTTTTTTTGTATTTTTAGTAGAGACAGGCTGTTACTCAGGAGTTCCTTCGATTTTTTTTTTTTGTATTTTTGTATTTTTGCCATTTTGGCCAGGCTGGTCTTGAACCCCTGGACTCAAGTGATCTGCTTCGGCTTGCCAAAGTGCTGGGATTACAGGCATGAGTCAACGTGCCTGGCCAAAGCTCATTTCTTTTTAAACTACTCATTTATCTTTCAATGTAGACATGAAATCTGCACTATAATTTTCATTTTCAGGTCAAAATGTAATCATCTTAATCCCTCATATTCAAACAATTATTCCATCAGCATCAGTTTTATGAATTGAGAGATGTTTTCCCAAGTAAAAATGTTCTGGATTTCTGTAGGAATCCGTGTGGAAATGAAACCATTTGCCCTGTGCCACGCAGCACAGGACTGTCCCTTCTCATGTTGATGAGATGCAGAGCAGCCCCGTTCTGGAAGATTCCTTGCAGCCTTGGCTGGCAGCCGGCGTCCGTGCCTCCCAAGGGTTCTTCCCTCTGTCGTTTGAAGGGTTCTTCGTGATGCCACAGCGTGCCCGAGGCTCCCTCAGTGACGAGCGCGATTTGCAGGGGTGGCCCTGGCAGAAAGGGTTGGGAAGGTACAGACCTCCACAGAGACTGTGTGTGCTCATTTCCGTGGAAAAAGGACAAGGAGGCAGCAAAGACAGACCCAGCAGCCCAGGAAAGATTCAAATGCGATTTTACAGAACATCTGCCCTAAGTCAAAACCAAAGAAGGATTCCTTTTTATCAAAACTTCACTAACACAGAACATGAAATTGTTTGGCTCCTCCTGCTCATGGAGTTACAGGACCTAGAAGGCGTGATGGATGGAGGATGTCAAATGCGATTTTCCAGGAATCGCAATCTGTGAGTCAGGGAGAAGCAGCGGAGGGCAAGAGCCAGTTGAAGGAATTTGTTTTTCTTCTTTCCTTCTAGTTGCCTCTTGAAGTGGATTTAACTAAAGCGAAGAGACAAGATCTTGAACCGTCTGTGGAGGAGGCAAGATACAACAGCTGCCGACCGAACATGGCCCTGGGACACCCACAGCTGCAGCAGGTGACCTCCCCTTCCAGACCCAGCCATGCTGTGATACCGGCGGACCAGGACTGCAGCTCCCGGTATGCGGCCTAAGTCCCCTCCTTTCCTCTGCGGCCCCTCCTGTGTCACGGGGCTGCCTCCACTCAGGCCTCCAGAGCCAGCCAGCCGTGCGTGTCCTCCCAGCAGCCGCGGCTGTTGCTCAGGAGCCCGTCCTCGCCGCCGCCCTCTCATGCAGAAGCCTGAGCTCATCCGCCGTGGAGAGCGAGGCCACGCACCAGCGGAAGCTCCGGCAGAAGCAGCTGCAGCAGCAGTTCCGGGAGCGGATGGAGAAGCAGCAGGTTCGAGTCTCCACGCCGTCAGCTGAGAAGAGTGAGGGTGAGCGAGGGGTGGGAGCAGGGCCCTGGGAGGCGTCTGCAGGAGGAAGTGTAGCCGCAGGGTCTTCTGATTCTCTGCGGTAACCCTGGGCCGGCTCCAAACCAGGCCTCGCTGGGACTTCTCTCAAGCTACACGCAGGAGAGATGAGCCCAGGAAATTCAGATATTTAAATCTGCTGTACATTTTCCCGTTTCTAAAGACAATGATTTCTTTTTTCCCCCGTGGAACTAAGTGGGCCTTGATAAAATCTTCTAGAATTAGAAATTTCAGGGTAAAGAACTTTTTTTTGCTTCGAATGCTTTGGCCATCTCTACATTAGAAAGCCTTGGCCGGGCACGGTGGCTCATGTCCGTAATCCCAGCACTTTGGGAGGCCAAGGTGGGCGGATCACGTGAGGTCAGGAGTTTGAGACCAGCCTGGCCATCATGGCGAAACCCCGTCTCTATTAAAAATACATAAAAATTAGCCAGGTGTGGTGGTGCATGCCTGTGGTCCCCCCTACTCGGGAGGCTGAGGCAGAATTGCTTGAATCCAGAAGGCAGAGGTTGCAGTGAACCAAGATCGTGCCACTGCACTCCAGCCTGGGCAACAGAGTGAGACCCTGTCTCAAAACAAAAACAAAACAAAAAAAAAACAAGCCTTGTGTTTCTGAGATATCTTCGAATACAAGGCAAAATTGGGATTGAGAATAACGGGAACTTTTGGCAGATTATTTATCAACTTTAGTTTATTTCAGAGTCCAGATTGAGTGGGAATAGTGATACAGATGCCTTCTTTCTTTCTTCTCTGTCTCCCCACCTGTTCTCTCCTGCCCATCCAGCGGTAGGTAGTCCTTACTCAGAGAGTGGAAACAGAGAAAGGGCTTGTCTCAGACCCATCGAGCTTTTGCCCAGTTTTTCCCTACAAATTGTGAAGCAGATTCACAGAGGACTTGCTTCATGGTTGGTTCATTCATATGCCCCTCAGCACCGACAGGCTGAAATTAACATAAAAACCAAAACAGAACCACTTCCTGTCCTGTGGATATCCTTACTGTTGAGTTATTGCAGGTGTTTAGCTTCTTAACCATTGCAGAAGCTCCCGGGTAGATTGTGGAGGAAGCTGCCCTCCAGGCCTTTCCTGCCCCTTGGCAGACAACCCGAGCCATTGTTATTTTAATCCATTTCACACATCAGATTTTGGCTGAAGATTTTGTTTGTTGGTTTGTTTTCAGACAGGGTCTTGCTCTGTCACCCAGCCTGGAGTGCAGTGGCGGGATCAGGGTTCACTGCAGCTTTGACCTTCCTGAGCTCAAGTGATCCTCCTTCCTCAGCCTCCTGAGTGGCTGGGACTACAAGTGCATGCTACCACACCCGCTGATATTTTATTTTTTGTAGAGGTGGCGTCTCGAATTCCTGGTTTCAAGCGATCCTCCCACCTTGGCCTCCCAAAGTGCTGGGGTTACAGGTGTGAGCCACTGTGCCTGGTCAGATTTTAGTTTAAGATTTTGTTTGAGCAAGGGTTATGGCTGTTAACAAGCGAGCCAGACACTGGATTAGATGGCCTGTGAGAAACCTTTTACTTTTGCTGTGAAAGGAGAAAGAAACTTGTTTTTCCCACTGGTGAGAAGAATTCAAACCACAGACAGATCTGTAGGTAGGACTGGGACTCGGGAAGCTGAAGTTCTTTTTACTGGCAGAAGCAGCGCAGCCCTAAGCGGTGTTGTGCTTCGGAGAGTGTTCCCTCTAACAAGAGGGGAGTGGACCCACGCTCTGAAATCCCATGCAGTGATGTGATGATGACTTGTCCTTTCTCTCCTCTGTGAACCGTAGCAGCGCCTCCGGCCCCTCCTGTGACGCACAGCACTCCTGTAACTGTCTCAGAACCACTCCTGGAGAAAGACTTCCTTGCAGGAGTGACTCAAGAATTAATCAGTAAATACCTTGAAATGCTTGTAAGCTACTGTGCTGTATGTTTCTAGTAGCCACAGAATACCTTTTAGGCGACATAAAAATCCTCATTTTCGTGTGGTTTTGTTGAGGGGGTTCTGGCTGATAGCATATGTCCAGTTCCTCTTTGGTCCTAACCAAAGGGAAGTGTACTTTTAGGGGGAGGGGAGAGAAATTCCAAAAACTTTCAGAAGGTACTGAAGACATGGAATTTCTGAGGGCCAGTTTTTCCAGTGCTTTCTGTGAGAATACTTCATTATTTGCTGATGACGCACTTTTCCTTGACCTCTGTAGAGACTCTTGAAGACAACTCTGAAAAGTGGGCTGTGACTCCCGATGCAGGGGATGGTGTGGTCAAGCCCTCGTCTAGAGCAGACCCAGCCCAGACCTCTGACACATTAGCCTTGAACAACCAGATGGTGACCCAGAACAGGACTCCACACAGCGTTTGCCACCAGAAACCACAAGCAAAATCTGGATCTTGGGACCTCCAAACTTATAGCGCTGACCAACGCACAACAGGTAGCAGAGAGGTGTTTAGGCACAAAAATTAAGGGGAGATCCTAGCTTTAATTCTGGGAATTTTTGAGGAAGGATGACATTTCATTTAAAGTTTGATAGAATCGGGAACTTCTATTAGGGAATGGTACTGCAAGTAGAACAGAATTGATTTAAGAGCCAGAACGTTTCCTTTGGGCTCCTGACTTCAGGTGCAGCCCTTTTCAGCTCCTGATAATAGCAGGAAGCGGAAACGACTGCATGGAGAGCTGTCCCTCCCAGCAGCAGGTCTGTCATGAGCACGAGGCCACTTGGTCTAGGAGAATCATCTGCCTTCCTCCTAACAGTAATTCTCATTCTTGGGCTTAGTCTAAATTAGGATCATTAATATAATCCAGAAATCATTAGCTGTCAGTTTATTTTAAAATTATGGCAGCTACATTTAAGCCATTTTGTCTTCCATAGGAAACTGGGAATCTCATAGGAAGAGCCAGGACATGAAGAAAAGGAAATATGATCCATCTTAACTGAGGCTCAGGCCACATAATTGGACTCTGTCACAAAGGGACTTTGGAAAACTACTTTTTGGTCATGAAATTGTTCATCGCTGCTGGAGAATGAACGTCATTGCGATTTATCTTGCTTCATTCTGAACCTTATCAAGAGGATCTGACTGAGAGCCCACTGCAGTTAGAGCTGAGCACTTTTGAAAAGCTTGTCCATCACTCTAGTAGGGAGAGGCTCTGGACAGATGAATACCTTTTCTTCGGCTTGTGAGGCTTCCCACTATTTATTACTGAACTATTATGTTAATGAAGATGGACATTTTAGGAATCACCAATGGCTCCTTGCCCTCAAGCAATATAGGCCAGACTTGGTCCTAAGCACCTGCCTCAGCAATTGTCTACATTCAGTTGTTTTGCATAACGTCTGCCTTCTTTCCTTTACGGTCCATGCCTTTAATGTTGCCCACATTAAGCACTGTGGATCACGACAGGAAAAAGGTTGGAGCAGTGCTTTTCACTACTTTGTATCAATCCAGGCTACAATCTTCATTTAATATAAATAATTTATGGATTTATGACATTACAATCCTGCATTGTTTCAAGACTGACATTTTTTCCTAAGGAAGGAAATAATCATCTAAGACCACGAAAAAAGGCTGTTTTTTGTTTTTTTTTTTTTTTTTTTTTTTGAGACGGGGTCTGGCTGTGTTGCCCTGACTGGAGTTCAGTGGTGCAAACACAGCTCTCTCCACAACCTCTTGGGCCCAAGTGATACTCCCACCTCTGCCTTACAAAATACAGGGATTACTGGTGTGAGCCACTGTGTCTGGCCAGAAAAGGCATTTTTGAGAAAGCAAATCGTATACCTTATTAACAAAATAGAATATATATATATTGCTTATCTGAAATGCTTGAAACCAGAATTGTTTTGCATTTTTTGAATATTTGTATACACATAATGAGACCTTGGGGATGGGACCCAAGTCTGAACGTGGAATTCACCTGTGTTTCGTGTATATGCCTCATACACATAATTTTGTGCATGAAACAGAGTTTTTGTATAAGAAGATACACTGCAGCTGAAGAGGGCTGGGTTTTTTTTTCTCTTAGGGTCGCTGCATAAACTGTTGTATGCCTGGTGCTTTGCGACTTGTCACACGAGGTCACGTGTGGAATTTTCCACTTCTGGCATCACGTCAGTGCTCAGAAATTTTCTGATCTCAGAGCATTTCAATTAGGGATGCTCAAACGCAACTGTTTCTACTTCCCCATTTCAGGTGTGAGATGTAACCCACCTTGACCATAAATTGGCTTTTCATAGTGCTCAGATGTTTCATAATTCTTCCCCCAAAATAATGAAGTTTGCAGTTTAACAACTTTTTTTTTGAGAGGGGGGGTCTGGCTCTGTAGCGCAGGCTGGAGTGCAGCGGTGCCATCTTGACTCATTGCAGCCTCCGCCTGCCAGGATTCAAGCAATTCTCCTGCCTCAGGCTCCCGAGTAGCTGGGATTACAGACACCCACCACGACGCCCGACTAATTTTTGTATTTTTAGTAGAGGAGACGGGGTTTCTCCATGTTGGCCAGGCTGGTCTCAAACTGACCTCAAGTGATCTGCCCACCTCGGCCTCCCAAAGTAAAAAGTACTAGAATTATAGGCATGAGCCATTGCGCCCAGCCAATTTAATAATTTTTTTAGACGTATTATTTTGGGCTGGGCTGTGGCTAATCTTGAAGCAGTGACTTCCTATTTTTTGGCTCAGACCCATTTGGGAAGCTGTGAACCTGAGATAAGGAAGTCTGAAAGTACTAGCCGGCAGCCGACCGTTTCTATTCCTTTCGAAGTTAAGGAGACAGCAAAGGAGCTCCCAGGAATTAGGGATCCAGTTATAAATTGCACTTAACTCAAAATAGTGCCAGTGAGAATGTGAAGGAATCTTCTGGAAATGAAACCCCACAGCTCAACAAAAGCAAGTTTGGTTTATTTGAATGGTTTCATTAAATAAGTCTACAAAGGTAACAAACTGAAGCACAAAGCGCAATCTTACAAGAAGCGCAACACCCAGAGTTAGTGCAAAATGTACAATTAACGGCTGCTGAGAAACCCCCAAAGTTTGAATTTTTATTTTTATTTTTAACAGTGTACATTGTTAAATAATGTAAGGAAAACATTTATAATTCAGAAAGTTTTTAATGTGGAAAAAGATACTCAAAGTGTACTATTAACACAAAAATAATTTAAACAGTTCAGTAGCACTAGTTCATTCCTCTAGGCTTGTTATTTCATACACAGGAGGATGAAATCAACAGTAAATAACACCAGTTCTGACTTTTTTTGTGTATGAGTGAAAAGATGTCAAAATTATTATTAAACCCAAATAACAAATGATAATGTGCTGCATGAGGCTCCACTGCTCCTCTGGTATAAAGTATGTTTCACTCTTGGGTGGCCCCTTTCTCAGCTACTCAGCCCCTTGTTGGTTCTATCCTTACTCTCTCCACAAGAAATACAAGCAGAGAATAAATAAATCATTTTAAAGCAGGGGTGGAAGCCCTTGCCCTTTTCCTTTCTACCTTTTAAAAACCTTCAGCTCTCATTTGCATATTTAGGGCCGTAGACCAACTTACTTACTTACTAAGGGAAGCAGGGCCCTTAAGGAATGAACAGGGTACAGGAGCCTCCAGCCTCTTTCTGTGGTAGTGGTGGTGGTGGTGGTGATTCCCAGAATATGCCATTGACGTGGGTAAAAGGTTGGAAATATTTTCAGTTTCCCAACTAAGAGTCAAGAAGCACCCCAAAATTAAGAGTCCTAGCTTCTTTCTTTGTCTTCAGAGATAACAAAGATCCTAAACATAGCCAGTTAGGACAGTATTTCCGGAAAGCTCTGAAAATAATTAATAACTACCCATTACAAGGAGGCATAGCACTGAATAACACTGATTGGTTGCAGTTATTACTTACGGGGAGTATTATTTATTTGAAAATGTGAACATATTAGTTGTACTTCTAGAAATAAAGGTGGCACAATAGATTATGATCCTGCAACCATTTGGACATCATAAAGGAAATGAGTAGGAATAAGTATTCTTTCCTAGAATGATTAATTCAGATGTGGAAAGATAGATAGATTAACTTTCCACAAAATGTAGTACCCCAAGCTGAGAAATGCATGGTACATGTGCAACAAGAGGAAAGCAATCCAAACAGTTTTTCTGAGAGCAATTTTCTCCATCTGTGACTTTTCACTATCAGGTTCCCCAACTTGAAAACTAGCCCCCCACCCCCTTCTCTTTATGTTCAGTTTCTTCTAGGTCACGTCTGTTCAAGCCTAGCTCAAATAAGAAAGGTTTATATGACAGTCACTGGCCAGGCATCACGTTTGTTTCCTCATTCTTTAGTCTTTGTCTTTCACCCAGCACACACCATTCTTTTAAGTTGTCCAATTTTGTTACAACACCCCCTCCTCACTATTCCCGAAACAGAACTTTCTGTTTTTAACCACTGATGCCAACCTAACTTCCCACCCTACTCATCTTACACCTGCTCTAGACAAAGTTGTTGAATGACTTAAAAAAATACTTTTTCAATTTCCCTTTGGCATAACCACTGCTGGACTGCTGGGGTCACATGGACCTACGATTTCCTTCCACATGCCCTTTATTGATCTGGGGTCTGGTAAGTTGATGCTAATGGCAGAAGCAATAGAAGTCCAAGGCACTAAAATGTCCAGCAAGCAACACTGGGAAACAGAAGTATTCAAGTACAGTAATTTATACAATTTTACATTCACATTTATTTATCTAATACAATGGAAATACAAAGGAAAAAGTTAAAGTGTCTCAATAAGTAAAGGACAGAGCTAGCTTTTTTTGGAACTTTTTAAACGTTTCATATTTTACTCTTAAAACTACTGTTGTCCAACAACATTTTATATATCACAGTGTTTCCACATCAAAACTGATGGCAAAGTTACATGTCCGCAGGGAACTTAATTTTTTTTTTTTCCTAATTGCTAATGCTGCAGTCAAAGCTGCTAATATCTTTTGCTTAAAGCACTAATGACCTATCATAAGAAAGAGTTGCACCCCAGTACCCTGGTATTTTTCACTGGGTTCTAAAGAGCAAAGAAAAAATAAAAAAGAGAGGGGTAAAAAAAAGGGAGGAGGGCAGGGTAGGAGAGAGCCCAGTAGGTGGTTTTTGTCCTGTGGTTCGGATTCTTGAGGGAGTGAGGGATTCAGGGCATGTACCAAAAGCAAGAGCTCCACCCACTCGAAATTACAGATGGGTTTGATTTTACATTGAGTTCTCCAGCTTCCTTATGAACAAGACTTTCCTAGCCCTCATCCTCATTACTGAGTATAGATAAACAGGAAAGCATGGTCTGAAGCTGCCCCTTGACAAAAAAGCTGTTCTTTCCTTCCTCTCCCATTCCAATAACTGGAGCGGGGGAGACTCTCCATTCTGAGGGCTCAATGCAGTATTAAAAACATTCCCCTCTGGCAAGAAATAACCAGTTAAATGCAGCACTAGTAGTTAGTATATAGGCTACTTCCCACCCCCACCCACCCCCTCAGCATTCCATCTCCTGCCCCCAGATCTATTCAGTTAATGTCTCTAGGTCTAAGTGGTCCGCAGGTTGGAGCCTGGGGGGTTGCTGATGGATTTCTGCAAATTGCTGATGTTGAAATTCTGCAAGGAGGCAGTTCCCACAGGTTGGAACTGGCCAAGTGGCTGTGGTGCTGGGCCACCCGTCCCACTCCATTGAGCGCCAAATGGGGTAGCTGGAAAGCCATACTGCTGTGGGGGGCACATAGACTTGGTGAAGTGACCTAGAGAGGTAGCTGATGCTGCAGAGATGGGGGCAGAGCCACCCAGGTTCGAGGTCATGGAGATGCACAGTTGCCCAGGTGCAGAGAACTTCCTTGCCATTCCAGGGCCCTGAAAACAAAACCACCACGTGTCAAGTCTGGTGTGGGCCATGGTATAAAATGTGTGGCGCTAACATATACTTCTAGTATAATCCTGTAAGATACAGCAGAACAGTCTTCTGTAGTATTTATTGGCTCTTTATATTTACCAAGTAAGGGTGAAAATAATCCTCATGAGAGGGAGGGATGTCATGTGCGTGTGTGTCTGTGTGTGTGTAGTTGAGGATGACGAAGGAAAAACGAAGAAGAAAAAGTTGAGCTGACCAACAAGAGGTTAGGAATTCAGGGAAGGAAAAATAAAAGGGTACCTGGGGGATTTTTGCCTTGTTTTTCTAAAGTATTAAAATTGAAGAAGGTCGTGGCGTAAGACGTTAAGCAGCAGCTTAGTTGTTTCTATCACCTTGACTCAGATGTGTGTTACGGATTCTCTGCGGCAAAAGAGAGACTTACCTCGTAATTCATGTGCCCTTTGCTTCCTCTCCTGCCTGAGAGATTCATGGCATCTCGGGCCCAATTGTCTACCAACTTGTGCAAGTCATCTGTGAATGTGCCCTTCCTGCTGGACGTCATGGCAGGAGGCTGAGCTTGGGCGGCTTGGCTGTTCACTGTTGCCCCAACAGTGTTTGTGCTGCTGGTTCCTATTATAAGCAACAGAATACGAGCATTAAAAGAAGCCTAGGTTACAATTTCAGGAAGAGGGAAAACTTCACGGGATGATGAATGGCAAGCCACAGAATGAGAAGAGGATGAACTGGGAAGCCATGCAAGAGGGAAGATTCCAAGGTTTTGTTTAGCCATTTGTTTTGGTATAATAGGGTGATGAAAACAGTTTCTCTTCAGTAGCTGCTGCTAAGGCTGAACAACTCAGGATGACGGTAGGTACACAGGCAGGGGCCTCTTTCAGTCCATTCACAAAGCACCTAAGAGTATTGGAACTGCTCGCCAGTACGCTATTCCCAGCATCACGTTGCTGATGGAGGTGTGATACAATCAGCAAGGCTAGTTGCTCTGGAATTTTGCAGAATGCAGGGAAAAAGAGGTTTTCTTGTGCATTGGGCACGGTTAAAGTAGGAGTAGGAAAAGATGCTTGGCTAAGGATAAGGAGAAGGTGGGTTTCCAAACCATTGGACACTGCCACATTCTTTAGCCTTTTTTTTTTTTTTTGAGATGGAGTCTCACTCTATTACTCAGGCTGGAGTGCAGTGGTACGATCCTACCTAACTGCAACCCCTGCCTCCTGGGTTCAAGCGATTCTCCTGTCTCAGCCTCCAGAGTAGCTGGGATTGTAGGTGTGCACCACCATGCCCAGTTAATTTTTGTATTTTAGTAGAGACAGGGTTTTGCCGTGTTGGCCAGGCTGGTCTCAAGAACTCCTGACCTCAGGTGATCCGCCCGCCTTGGCCTCCCAAAGTGCTGGGATTACAGACGTGAGCCACCACGCCCGGCTTTTTTTTTTTTTTAAAGGAAGGGTCTCTTCTTTTTCTGTCACCCAGGCTGGATACAGCGGCACAATCACGTCTCACTGCAGCCTCCAACTCCTCCTGCCTCAGCCTCCCAAGTAGCTTGGGACTAGACGTATGCACTTCCACACCCAGTTAATTTTTTACTTTTTTATATAGACAGAATCTCCATATGTTGCTTAGTCATGAACTGCTGGGCTCAGGCAATCCTGCCATGTCAGCCTCCCAAAGTGCTGGGATTACAGGTGTGAGCCACCATGCTCAGCCTAGCCATTCTTTAAATAGAGAGAGGTAATAAGAGAAGTAGCATGCTGTGTTCAGAAAAGTTTTTCACCTGGACCCATAAACATGAATTTGCAAACATAAACTTGGGAGGGGTTAACCTCTCCCAATTTCCCATGAGTAAAGAACAAGATTATTCATGAGGAAAGGACTGTATGGTGTGCCTGAATCTTTCAACTTCAGGAAGACATGGTTTTCCTGAAGATGACCTCAGTTTCAATTGGCTCAAGGATTCCCACCGCTTCTCCCCACTCTTCCCAGAACAGCAAGCACTCCCATGTAGAAGCGACAAGAAAATGCAGCTGAGGCAGGGTGCAAAGGGGAGGAGGAAGCTTTGCGGTTATGATGAAGGAACTCTATTTCTGCGGTTTGATGAGAGAGGAGGGAGTCTATGCCTGCCTGATTTCGGCTCTGCTGGAGGGCACACTGAAGATTATTCCAAGAGGCACGTTTTGGGGAAGAGGGAAAGAAGAGTCATGGTCTTGTCTGTTTTCCTTACCCCCCACTGTCTTACCAGATCTCACGTGTTACAGAATAAATAAAAGCTCCTAAAGTAAGTTGTGAACCACTAGTCCTTAAGGTACCCAAGTAATGCGGGGGTAAGTAAGTGCATGCGTTATCCTGCTTTCAAGGTCAAAGCAGCACCAGATCACAGCAGCACACCTAACGCAATCCTGCCACTTCAAAGCCTGTTACTGACCATCGCTGGTCTCAAGTCAAGCTTATATCCTACCACCTGGGGAATGGCACACACAAGCAGGTCTGTGCTGCAGTAACAGCTAATTCTGAGGTGAAGCTGCAGTGAGGAAGGTCACATGCTTCTTACCGCTATGGCAAGACACGGAACTACTGCAGTGTGAGTGTCAGCTCATTTCTTGGTGTCTGCTGGAGCCACAAGGGGATTGCTATTGCACATACAGTGTGAAGGGAAGAGTAAGCTCCCTACAGTACAGGAAACGCGAGGGGAGAAGCATGAGAGCACAGAAAACAGCCTTCCATGAACAGCCAATGTGAGAGAGTGGTGAAGTGGGAAGCACAGGCAATGAGGATGGGCAGTCATGACAGTGAGTGACTCAATCTAGAAAGCAAGCATATCACATGCATGGGGATTGTCATCCTGTTTGAACAATTATTGCTTGGTGAGCTTGATGTGAGAGACAATCAAAACAAAAAACAGAAATAATCACAGGGGAGCAGAGCTGTCAAAAGCTAAATACAAGAAGCTCAGGAGGCGTGACCATTGCTTATCCACAGAGCTCATGCTGGGAGACACACCTCTCTAGTCTGTCGCCCCTGATGCTGCGAGGCCCCTTTAGAACGAAATTTCACTTTTCATTTTACCCTACATTACCTAATACAGGATTCTCTATGAGGAAAGAGAAACCATGAGGAAGAGTCAACCATACAGCTAAACCTTCACGTTCTGGCTTCTGTATACAGGCCTCCCATTAAAGAATGAAACAAACCTATCATTTTCTGACCAGAAATTAACTCCTAAGAAAAGGAGACTTGACTATAAAAGATGTAGAAAGGCCTTTGAGAGAATATGCTAACTTCTTAACCTTTTTTAGTTCTTCTGAAAAGCCCTAATAAGTAGTATAGACTTACCCCCAAGATTCATTTTTAAATTTCCTCCTGCCATTATAATACATTTCCCCTATTCCCACATCACCAGATCCTACTAACAATAACCTATTATGAACCATAACTTACAGCCCAACATCCCAAGTACAGAATTTCCCTGTTGACCCTACCTACAACACTGTAAGTGGCCTTCTCATTAAAGTATGAGAAGCCACAGTCTAAGAAGACAAACTCTAGAAAGTGGTGTTTTTCTCCTCGTCAATCTAGCACACATCTCCCACTTCAGTGTGAACGTGGGAGGGCATGGACTTTTGTATGCTTTCGTCACTGCTGAGTTTCCAGTTGGGGTAATAACACTGCCCGGCACATATTTGCTGACCAAAGGATCGCTCTCCCATAGGAACTAGGCATCCCTGACCTCCCTATATATACCCATGGCCATTACCAATCCATGTCTGTCACAAGCTAGGCTCACATGGGGTTATCACTGAGGGCACCGACTAGGAGATGATTTCTCAATTAAGCATGTTAAATATTTATTAGAATAGGATACAGAGATAGATGGAAGTTAGGAATCAGGGAGCTATGAGACTGCAGAGTTGAAAGAACTCATGGTTAACAGGCTTTGCAATCAAGGACCAAAAATAACAGAAAAGATAATTACTACAGAGCTGGTTGCAAGGACAGACTTTTTTCACCATCTTCCCTGAAGCACAAAGAGAGAAGCAATGTGTTAAAGATAAAGAAACATCAGTGTAAAATATTTAGAATCTCCAAACAGCACACAAACGCCCAGCAAGAGAAAGCAGGAGGTGAGACAGATAGGTAGGACCTGGTAGCCCTTGAACAGATATAGTTCTACAGAATGTTTCGAACTGGCTGTTAGCCTTAACATGATTATCTGATGGGCTGTGTTACGTGGCTGACAGATGTGGAGTTTCTACACCCAATCTTTGTATCTAAAAGAGTAATGCCCTGCACTGAGGTTCTGGAATTGGCGAGGAACTCCAGTCTCTCAGGTCTCACTGCTTGAATTTCAAATACCCAAGCAGCGTTTCCACTGATCCTGTCCCACTTCCTGTTTCTCCAGCTGGGCTGTTAAAAAGCACTCAGTTAAATGCATTAGCAACCCCACCACAGTAGACTGATAGTATCACTGTTACAGCTTTAAGTTCATTTAAATTGGCTATTATATTTCCACATCCCACATATATATACTAACCCCTTCCCTTCCAGAATAGTTTTTAAAAGTACGTGGAAAACAAGCAACCTCTGAACATAAATATAGCAGTAAGCCAAGCCGTGCTTCCAAACCATTATCTATTTTGAGAGCATAGAATAATACATCTCAAGCTAGTAAGGTGCCCTACTCTTTCAAGTACCTGTTTCCTTTCCATATTTCAAGTATGTCTCTTGGGATTTGTTTACCAGGCTTACATGATGTATCCTGATGTGACTTCTAAGGATGTAGGGCCTTTCATTTTGCACCCAAAGGGAAGTGACAAGATTCAATATTTCTGACCACTTTCATTTGAACAACAGGGGTAATACCACCTACCTTTAAAAGTGGGATGAGAATTTATGGAATTTAATTAAAGTGGTATTTGTCACATTATATTTCAGAAACAGAAGCTTTGGTTCTCTTTCTTCCCTCTCAGACACTTCAGGCTGTAGACCATAGGCCTGACATGTCACATTCTACTTCAAAAACACCCCCCTTGCAACTTTCTAGGTGGACATGCAAATTAAATGCTTATTCAACTGTCAAAGTGCTAATATGCACAGTCCAGGAAAGTCTGACCAGAAAAATTATTGATCTGAGTCCTCAAAAAAAAAATCACACAAGCCTGGAAAACGATCGAATTGGGTAATGCCTTCCACCCGCTTCTTTGTTAAACAGCCTGGGACTAGTGCATGTGGGGAAAGTCAGTAAAGACTGCCTCTCAAGTACAGCTAACTCATTACTAATACAGGTACAAATAATAGGGGTGCTGGAAGGAGCCAATCCATTTCTAATGCAGGTAAAAATAACAGGGGTATGTGTGAGGGAAATGGCAGTTAAACGTGTCATATGCTTCGCTTTAAATCTAGTCACTACAGAGAACAAAGGGAGGTTGTAAATTCTTCCCACCGTGAAGAGGCCCAAGGGCCTCTGACCCATACTCAGAAACAGTGATGGCCTGAGCACATGCATGTAAAAAGCACTTCAATAATCACATCAGAAGTTTGAGGCCTTAACAGAGAAGATCTTTATTCAAATTATAACAAAGGTTTTTCTACTTGAACTATGTTTTTGTTTGTTTTAAACTGTTCTTCCACGAACAGTTATTGACTACCTGTTCTGTGCCAGGTAGGCACTGACTCATCAGAGAGAAACCATGAGTGCTTTTCAAGCGCTACCTGTTTCTCTGTACATGATCTTAGCTTGATTTGTACGATGGCCCTAGGACACTGGCATCATCTCCATTTCACATATGGGGAAGATGGGGTGACTTGCTATTGTGCCTTGTTTTTAAGTAGAAAGCTGCAAAATCCCAGAAATCATGTTAGAAGGAGAATTTTCACTTGCAGATGCTGGGCTTTGATCTTTATTAGACTAAGTGCTTTATCAGAATAACCAAACTAAAAACCGCTTTTGATTTTATGGGGTTAGAGGACAGTAGTGGTGGAATGATCCAATGAAGAGATCCTAGCATCTTTTCAACTGGTAGCTGCTTAGGCTTAATAGAGAAGAAAAATAAGATTTCAATCTACTCTGACAAAGAATGGAAAAAAATGGTACATAATTTTTACCTGCTGCCAGGATCTAAGAGCATCATTGGTCAAAATGCTTTCTTCATTTCGTTTCTTTTTTTTGAGATAGAGTCTCACTCTGTCGCTCAGGCTGGGGTGCAGTGGTGCAATCATGGCTCACTGCAGTCTCAACCTCCTGGTCTTAAGGTGGTAATCCTCCCGCCTCAGCCTCCTGGGCAGCTGGGACTATAGGTGCACACCACCATGCCAGGCTAACTTTTTTTTTTTTTTTAGAGATGGGGTATCACCATGTTGCCCAGGGTTGGTCTCGAGCTCCTGGCCTCAAGCAATCTTCCCGCCTCGGCCTCCCAAAGTGCTGGGATTACAGGTGTACGCCACCGTGTCTGGCTGATTTCTCTCATTTCTAATGCTAGGGCAGACAGACAGCACTGACTACGACTGTGGAGTTCAGTCTTCATTATTCTAAATGACCCAGCAATCTATTGCCTAGATACCATATCCACTCTCTGTCACAGATCCATGAAGAAGCACTTCTACCAGAAAGTTACATTGAAATTTGTAGATAACTTGTTATTTTGACATTTTTTATCATAATTAATGTGGGGGCCCAAACTTCTGAGGGTAACAGTAATTCAGCCAAGCCACTGAGTAGATGATATACAAAAAGAGACAAATGAAAATGGACTGCGTGAAACATCAGATCCAAGCAGCAGAAACACAAGGACAAGGAAGGAGTAAAGGTGTTACACACAAAGAGCCAAGCAGGGCGTACTCAGAAATCGGGTCCTCCTGCCACCAGGTTTGAATGTCACCTGTTCAGATGCACAGTTAAACTTCGCACAGCCTGTGAGAGGGGAAAAACAGGGTAGAACAGAGAGAGGAGAAGAGACAGAACACAACTACAAGATGTTAGAAACTTGAGGCTGGAGTGGTGAAATGCACTAAGATGGCACACAGAAGAACAAGCTTCTGGGGGGAAGGTCAGATATGTAAGAGATGAAATATTAGGTCTTAATTCTACCCATCTGCAAAATGCGGAAGCTTTTCTTAGTTCGAATAATGCTAGCTAGTTTGCCCTCCTTACCAATCAAGTGCATTCTTCCTGTGAAGAGACTGATCTCTAATTTCTGTGAAACTGTGGCAAAGGCACATAAGCCAGTACCTATATTTTTTTCATTCTTCTCACCCAGATGCCCAAGTCTTTTCAATTCTTGTTCTAATATGACTAAAAGCTCTTTCCTCTGTGGGAATTTTTTCAGCAATCACTAATAAACAGAGCTATATTTGGAAAGTAGATTATGGATAAAAAACTGAATTGTAAGGTTATTCATTTTAGTATGCCACTCCCATACTTAAAAGTAACAAAATTCTACAATGGCTAAGAAAATGTATTAGCTTCAGAAACTGCTAAAACACCTTAGAATTTCATCCAGGAAATCTCAGCCTAATATTAAAGCCTAAGTTCCAAATCCCAAATGAGCAAGTCATATAGGCCACACAGATGTAACTTTTCACTGTAATTCCTTGAAAAAAAGTAATTTCACCTAATGGGAGCAGTGAGCCCACCGATTCTCATTATCACTCCACTTCCCTTTTCACCCAGATTCTTCAGTGTACAACACACAGGCTGTGTTCTGGTCAGCTAGTCTCCCAACCCGCCTTAACAGGCTTTTGTCCCAGGTATGGCAACATCTCCATTTTATTGTTTTTGGACGATGATGGTTGCTTTATTACCTTGACCTGGAGCAGAAAGGCTTGGTACTGAAATGGCACCATCACTGGTGAAGGCTGAATAGAGGTTGTCACTGGAGGGAGATGGCTTAAGGGGCTGTAACAGCTGATTCTGCCCGGACTCTGGGATGTTGCCAGGAGGGTGGAGGGTCTGCTGGGGGTGCAAGACTGAAGCTGCACTCTGACCAGACAGGTTACCTGCCAAAAGATAAAGTGGCATGAGGAAACATGTCCAGCTCTTCCCATGCACTCATCAGGCACTGTTCTTATACATTTGGTTTGTTCCACTGAGTGATGAATGATGGGTCAAAAGCTACAAACTGATGAGAAGAACAAAGTCCTCACTAACGGGAGAAGTGAGGAATGACACTAAGACTCAATAGATAGGCTGGGTGTTGTGGCTCACGCCTATAATATCCCAGCACTTTGGGAGGCCAAGGTGGGCGGATCACCTGAGGTCAGGAGTTCGAGACCAGCCTGGCCAACATGATGAAACCCTGTCTCTACTAAAAATATAAAAATTAGCCAGGCGTGGTGGAGGGTGCCTATAATCCCAGCTACTCAGGAGGCTGAGGAAGGAGAATTGCTTGAACCCAGAGGCAGAGGCTGCAGTGAGCCGACATCATGCCACTGCACTCAAAAAAAAAAAAAAAAAAAGAAAAGAATCCATAGGTAATAGGGCCATATGTACTATTCCAGAGCTTTTTAGCTTTAGAAAACCTAGATGGGCCACATGTCTGAGCAGCGTAAGAAGACCAGAGTACCTAGTGGATACCCAGATTCCATTCTGCAATTCCATGATTGCTTTTTTTTTTACCCTATTAGAAAATGTGTTGAATCATTATACAAAAAGGTTTGCTAGGCAGTCTCTGCTTAGACTTTCCTATAAACGTGCATCAGAGCAAATACAAAAGAGGTGTTCAAAAATGATGGAGGTCACTACAGAGCAATGGGTGTTTAAAATTATTTTTGGTAGGTTGCTTTCAATAGGTCGGTTGTCCTAAAATTGACTCTCTGCTCCCCGGTTCCCAGTTGAATTCAAGTCCACTCAAAAAGTATGTCAAAATTAGGATTAGAATTTGATTAGGATCATAGCTGGGCATAGTGGCTCATGCCTGTAATCCGCACTTTGGGAGGCTGAGGCGGGCGGATCACCTGAGGCCAGAAGTTTCAGACCAGTCTGGCCAACATAGTGCAACTAAAAATACAAAAATACAAAAATTAGCCAGGTGTTCTTATACATTTGGTTTGGGATTACATGCTTGTAATCCCAGCTACTTGGGAGGCTGGGGCATGAGAATTGCTTGAACCTGGGAGTTGGAGGTTGAGCCACTGCCGACTCTGCCTCAAAAAAACAAAAACAAAAACAAAAAAGATCTGATTGGGATCAGATCAGAAATTAGCTGATTTCTCTTACAATCACATCTCTACTAATGGGCTGCATGAACTGGCCCTAATGTGCTACATTTGGATATCTGTGAACCTTTCCAGAGAATGGAACTGCTAAGAAGTTTGCAACTGCTTTTTAACATATTTTAACCTTCTTTTACTTTTCAACTAATTGTGTTAACACTACCATAATTTCACCAAAGGATTAGAAACTCTCTATCTATCCCAATTAAAATATAGTCCAGGGCCGGGCACGGTGGCTCACGCCTGTAATCCCAGCACTTTGGGAGGCCAAGGTGGGTGGATCACCTGAGCCAGGAGTTTGAGACCAGCCTGGCCAACATAGTGAAACCCCATCTCTACTAAAAATACAAAAATTAGCCAGGCATGGTGACATGTGCCTGTAATCCCAGCTACTATGCGGGGCTGAGGCAGGAGGATCACTTGAAACTGGGAGGCGGAGAATGCAGTGAGCCGAGATCGTGCCACTGCACTCCAGCCTGGGCAACAGAGCGGGATTCTGTCTCAAAAAAAAAATTCAAAGTTAGCAGGGCATGGTAGTGTGTGCCTGTAATCCCAGCTACCCAGGAAGCTAAGGTAGGAGGACCACCTGAGCCTAGGAGTTTGAGGCTGTTGTGTTGTGTGCTATGATCACACCACTGCACTCCAGTCTGGGCAACAGAGTGAGGCCCTGTCTCTTAAAATAAATAAATATATATATATACTACATTACAAAAGAGTATCACTTAACTATTTCTTTGATTTTAATGACTAGCAAGTTCTTCTTTTTTTTTTTTTTTTTGAGACAGAGTCTTGCTCTGTCACCGAGGCTGGAGTGCAGTGGTGCAATCTCAGCTCACTGCAAGCTCCGCCTCCCGGGCTCATGCCATTCTCCTGCCTCAGCCTCCTGAGTAGCTGGGACTATAGGCGCCTGCCACCATGCCCACCTAATTTTTTTATTTTTAGTAGAGACAGGGTTTCACCGTGTTAGTCAGGATGGTCTTGATCTCCTGACCTCGTGATCTGCCTGCCTCAGCCTCCCAAAGTTCTGGGATTACAGGCGTGAGCCACCGTGCCTAACCAATGACTAGCAAGTTCTTTAACCCAATATAAATGAAATAAAAACCTTAATCAAGAAGTTACCACTTAGACATACACACAAATATCTATATGACGATTACATTCATCTAAGTTGCAATTATGACTAAGTCATCCATTAAAACAAAGAATCTACCCAAGTTTTACTAAACAGAGAATAATGTATTTTCTTCCAACTGCCCAAGAGTTTGGTTAAATGTGAGTTATACGAGTTAACAGGCAAAGCTAAATGTCTATCCTTAAGAATAACTATAAATAAAGATTACCAGTAGATAGCAATATGGATTACAATGGAATAAGCCATTGTATTCACTAAGTCTACTTCTATAGACTCAAAAAGAGGTACAATAAATGTAAGTACAGCAGTCAAGGAAGCAAAAATATCAGGAGAGCCAAATTCCTTTGAAATTTAACAAAAACAACAAATGTTCAGCAGGTCACATACAGCTGGAGACAGAAACAAAAGATAGGACAGCTGTGGCTGACCTAGTCCAGGGCTTTTTACCTGAAAGCTGGGGGCTTTTATTCCCCAAGGAACTGCTTCGACTAGATTTGCTGCCTTTGCTTTTAGTGGGTCGTCGTCTTCTCCCTGAAAGGGGAGCAGCTGGGGGAATAATAACAGCAGGGGGCACCTTGCCCAGTTTGGTATACAAAGATTCAATTTCATGCTTCTGGCGACTCTGCAGGTCCTGAATCTCTTTGAGATGTCTGTGAAAGATAACCAAACATAATTCAAAATACCATAATCCTCTTCATTCAGACAAGAATTAACAGCATATTCCTAAACCTGCTTTCAAGTATGTAGTAGTTACTAATGAACCTTTTCCCCAAATGTACTACCACGAGATTCTAGTTTGTCAACTCACCTTGCTGGCCTGCATTACCCAAGCCATGTTCCAACAAGCTCCTAGCCAACAACAAATGGTTGATAATGTTTTAGGAGAAAAACATTTCCTGACTTTTGAGGCCACGCACACAATAGCTGAATTTGCTACTCTGACCCAATCTGCCAAACAAAACGTGCCAAATAATCATACATCCCAGTGCCAGATTCATTTAGTGGACTAATAAATAAAGAGCAGTTAATAGTGATACAATATGCTATTAATAAAAATAATAATACAATACAGTAACAATAATACAGTAATAATATAGTAACAATGAAGAAGTTCTAGAACTAGAAATGCTATGGGTCTGTATGAGTGCAAGAGAAGCTGCCTGTGCCTGTGAGTCAGTGGTTGGGAATCGTGTGTGTGTGTGTGTGTGTGTGTGTGTGTGTGTGTGTGTGTGTGTGTGTGTGGTGGGGAGGTATGGGGTGGGGCTTCTGTGGCACTGTCTCTTTAAAAGAAATGAGACATTAGCATATTGTGGCGAAAAATATTATTAATCTTGGCCCTGGGATCTAGGTCTGAAAACCTTATCTGACATTCTTTCACAAGAGAAAATATACTTACTTATCTCGTAGTCGTCGCAGCTCTAACTTTAAGTCTTCATCTTCGATATCTGACTCATTGTCGCTACTCATGTAAGAGGAGTTAAATGAATTACTAAGGCTTTGACTTAGATTCTGGCTAGGAAGGCTCTTTGAGCTCAGCTGATGGGGCGAGTGTGGACTACCGGAACCATCATCCACATCCCTACTTAAAAAAGCGGCCTCCGGGTCAGAAGACGGCCCATTTAGATGTGAAGGCTCTGACAGTTCAGGCTTCTCTTTCTTTGGTATCACAGCAGGAAGAACAGCTTGTTCCAAATCCATAAAAGGAGGAGATGCCACTGGTCCTTCTTTCTTTGTGTCAGTGATCTTGTCCTCAGTTTTTGATACAGAGAAACGACCCACTTTGTTTGCTGTAGTTGTCACCTGAAAACGTCCAACCTTGGTAGGCTGCCCAGTGTCTGACTTTGCCTCTGAGGCAGTAGTTTTGTGGGCACTCTCTGGCACATCTGAAGAGATACCAGGGATGGTTATGCCATTCGGCTCTGGTTTCACCAAGGTACTCTCTGGACTACTACTTGATAGCACTGAGGACTCTGAGGTGCTGGATTCAAAATGAACAGACTTTGCATCTTCTGACTTATTTTTACCCTCTTTCTGGGCACCGTCTGCTGCAACAGAAACCTGATAAAAAAGGACAAAGATTAAAAACTTAAGTTCTCAATATCCAATTTCTATCACAGACAATTTAAAAAAGGAAAAAAAGAATCACTTTATTTCCCTGTCAAAGAGTAGGCTGATTGTCTCTTTACATAGCGCCTCCACTTTTGACTAGGAAGAAAAATTGAATACCATCATAGAGAACACATGGGTACTGAGATGCAGATTCTGTGTGGCTGGCTACGCTTATAAAGTAAATAATTTACTTTCGTATTTGATGTCATACACAGAATTCAGATTTATGTCTTAGTCAACATATACATAACAAAAGGTCAGGGCCAGGCATAGTGGCTCATGCCTGTAAGCCCACCATTTTGGGAGGCTGAAGCAGGTGGATCACTTGAGGTCAGGAGTTTCAGATCAGCCTGGCCAACGTGGTGAAACCCTGTCTCTACTAAAAATACAAAAATTAGCCAGGCATGGTAGCGTGTGCCTGTAATCCCAGCTACTTGGGAGGCTGAGGCAGGAGAATCACTTAAACCCGGGAGGCAGAGGCTGCAGTGGGCTGAGATCATGCCACTGCATTCCAGCCTGGGTGACAGAGTGAGACTCCGTCTCAAAAATAAATAAATAGATAAAAATAAAAAAATAAAATAAAAGTAAATAAATAAAATAAATTAGCAAGGCATTGTAGAATTTTTAGGGTTGCCTGTGAATAAGAAAAACTACAAGGTAAATGTTAAATGCCTGGTATGCCTCAAGAATCAACACAACTAACTGGTAACTAAAAAAGAGGATCCAGATCCTTGTTCTGGTTTGTCCATGTATTTACAAATACAAACTCAGCCCACCTATAAAGGTTCAGGACCTGTTTACAAATGAGAAAAATATCACCTACTCTCCCCAGCCAGAAAATGCTCACATGTTGGACAACCTGGTAAAATAAAGTGATATGGTATCATGTGTTTTAATTTAAAGAATTAATCTTAGGACAATTATTTTAAACGTGGAAAACATTTTTATACACAAAGATGTTTGCTGTTACTTAACTTATTATGTTGGAAAAATGAGAAATGATGATAGAGACTGGTTAGGTAAACCAATTACTGGATGGGAAAAAAAGCTGTAACATTTGGAACAGGAGAAATGGTAGTTAATTTTAGATAAACACTTGTACAGAAAACAAGGAGTGGAAGGAAATACACCCCAAAAAGTAATCTTGGGAGGTGGGTGGATAGATAGTACGACTATCTACCGTGTCTCTACTGTTCTAAGTATTTCTATATTTTATTTAGTATATATTACTTTTATTAGGAAAATGCTAAAAAGAGCTATAAAGTACTATGTGACAGAAATCACTAGACTGGCAATTGTGTCCCAAATAGGTAGGCAGTAATTTTATTATATAGACAACTCCTCCAAAGGAAGGAATCAAGGCAACACAAAGTGACTGTCTTACCTGAAATCGTCCCATCTTAAAAACACCAGCTCCTGAACTAGTTGCTAGGACAGGGCCTTCTTTGACTTGAGAAACTGAAACAAATACATGGATGAGGAAAACATAAGTGTCTCCTTCCAGTTAACTTCTTTTCCCTTTAGCTAGAAATACAGCAAAATCAAACTACACATGAGGAAAGCTGTTAGAGGCAAAGAGAACTTCCTTATCTCCTCCCTCCATGAGGCTCTGTCCAACAGGGGAAAAGAGTTATTGTTTGCTCTACTACTAGATACCAACTACAACATTAACATATACTATAAAAACAAAGGTTAACAGGCTTTAAAAACTCAATTACTCATTCTTTAATTCAGATATATAAGTAAGTGAAATGAAGGATGAGATTTTACTGAGGACATTAAGGACCCATCTTTATTTTATTGAGATGGAGTTTCGCTCTGTTGGCCAGGCTGGAGTGCAGTGGTGCGATCTCAGCTCATTGCAACCTCCACCTACTGGGTTCAGGTGATCCTCCTGCCTCAGCCTCCTGAGTAGCTGGGATTACAGGCGTGTGCCACCACACCCGGCTAATTTTTATATTTTTAGTAGAGACGGAGTTTCACCACGTTGTCCAGGCTGGTCTTGAACTCCTGACCTCAGGTAATATGCCTGCCTCAGCCTCCCAAAGTGCTGGGATTACAGGTGTGAATCACCATGTCCAGCCAAGATCCATTGTTAAATGAAAACCAGCTAATTTTATTTTCTCAATGTAACACTGGCAAATTCTAGAATAGGATAGTACAGTTCTCAGAATTATTATTATTATTATTATTATTTGAGATGGAGTCTCACTCTGTTGCCCAGGTTGCAGTGCAGTGGTGCGATCTTGGCTCACTGCAAGCTACACCTCCCAGGTTCATGCCATTCTCCTGCCTCAGCCTCTCGAGTAGCTGGGACCACAGGCGCCCACCACCACACCCGACTAATTTTTTGTATTTTTAGTAGAGACGGGGTTTCACCGTCTTAGTCAGGATGGTCTCGATCTCCTGACCTCGTGATCTGCCCGCCTCAGCCTCCCAAAGTGCTGGGATTACAGGCGTGAGCCACTGCACCCAGCCCTCAGAATTATTTAGTTTTGGGCAATTTAAAAACCTTTCCGGGGAACAATGCTTTGAGTTTCTTTCTAGAGATATATTTATTTTATACAGCTAGTAGAACATTGAGCGATTTTTATGTTTTCATGTAATTCTATATCTTTGAGATCATTCCATATCAATGCCTCATTCTTTTTAATGATTGCATAGTGTCATACCCTATGTATATACCATATATATATTTCATATTTAATCAGGCTTCTACTGATGGGCATTTAAATTATTCAGAATTTCTTTTCTTTTTTCCCTGAGACAGGGTCTCACTCTGTCACCCAGGCTGGAGTACAGTGATGCCATCACAGCTCACCACAATCTCAACCTCCCAGGCTCAGGTGATCCTTCCTCCTCAGCCTCCTGAGAAGCTAGAACAACAGGTGCACACCACCACATCCGGCTAATTTTTAAAATTTCTTGCAGAGATGGGGGTCTCACTATATTGCCCAGGCTGGTCTCGAAATCCTGGGCTCAAGCAATCCACCTGCTTTGGCCTCCCAAAGTGCTGGGATTAGAGGTGTGAGCCACCATGCCCGGCCCAGAATTTCTTGCTATTTTAGAAATAAATATTCTCTTATAGATCTGTACAATAAATATACCACAATGAAAGTGCTGAATTATTTCCATTTAAGACTGTAGTAGACATCACTATTATAAACTGATCCCCCCAGAGGCTGTACCAAGTCACTGGTGGCTATTAGACCCCTGAATTTACCAATGAGAGGTGGGAATTGCTATCACTTGTAGCCTTACTTTGTGTTTCTATCATTACGGACATTAAATATTTTCATGTCTAAGTTTCCTTTTCTGTTATCTTTTGATTGTTTTTTGGTTCATGTTGAATTTTAGGAACTCTTTGTATTAGCAAAACGAGTTCTTTTTGTGATATGACTACACATACCCCTCCCCCTCCCACAAATATATATATTTCCCCAGTTTTTCATTTATATTTGCAATCGGTGGCACTTTTCTTCCATGAAGAAAATTTTATATCTATTACTACTTGCTTCTGGATTAGACATTGAACTTAACACCTCTATTAAACTTATCTGAGAACTCCAAACTGATCCATGGACCAAATTCAGCCTACTGCCTGTTTTTGTAAATAAATTCTATTGAAACACAAACTCATTTATTTATGTATTGTCCATTGCTACTTGTGAGATCTGAGTAAGTTGCAAGAGACTATATGGTCTAGAAAGCCTAAAATTTGTACCATCTCGCCCTTTACAGAAAAAGAGTTTGTGAACCCTGCTCTAGATAGTTGAAAAAAATCCCCTTGGGACGGGGGAGGGATGGCATTAGGAGATATACCTAATGCTAAATGACGAGTTAATGGGTGCAGCACACCAACATGGCACATGTATACATATGTAACAAACCTGCACGTTGTGCACATGTACCCTAAAACTTAAAAGTATAATAATAATAAAATTAAAAAAAAAAAAGATTTCCAAGCCACAAAAAAAAAAAAAAGTTAGTTATAATGTGGGATCTGAAATAATAGTAATAAGATATTCATAACTGTGGCCATTAAAATCCATTGACCTATACATTTTTTTGTTCATGCATGATTTTTTTTTTGAGACAGGGTCTCACTCTGCCACCTAGGATGGAGTGCAGTGGCAAAACCATAGCTCACTGTAGCCTGGAACTCCTGGGCTCAGGCAATCCTCGTCTCAGCCTCCCGATTAGCTAGGACTACAGGCATACACCACCACAGCTGGCTAAATTTTTGTCTATAGTGAAAAAGGAAAATAATGTCTTAGTTTTACTGTAAAATAGTGTTGCCCTCATAGGCACCCCAAAAGGGTCCTCAGCCCACACTCCAAGAACTGATGCCTTAATACTATGCAATTCTCAAGTTGTTATTACTAATAAATTAAAAAACTAAAAAAAAAAAAAAAAAGAAAAAAAATCCCCTTATGATTTCATATAGTACTATTTTATGATATAATATTTCATCTTTGGTCCACTTGGACTTTACTTATGTCTAGGCTAGTGATCCACCTTTGCTTTTTTCCAGATGGCTTTCAAGTTGTTCTAAACCACTTATAAAAATATTCCATCTTTCAGCCAGGCGCGGTGGCTCACGCCTGTAATCCCAGCACTCTGGGAGGCCGAGGCGGGCAGATCACCTGAGGTCAGGAGTTTGCGACCAGCCTGACCAACAGGGAGAAACCCTGTCTCTACTAAAAATACAAAATTATCCAGGTGTGGTGGTGCATGCCTGTAATCCCAGATACTTGGGAGGCTGAGGCAGGAAAATCGCTTGAACCTGGGAGGTGGAGGTTGCAATGAGTCGAGATGATGCCACTGCACTCCAGCCTGGGCAACAAGAGCAAACTCCACTTCAAAAAAAAAGAAATATTCCATCTTCCAATGATTTGAAAAGCTACCTTTTTCATATTCTACATTCTCTTTTTATTGGTAGTAATCTTTATTATTTTCATTGTACATACTTGATACTCTACATATTTTGATAATCTACATTCCCCTTTCATTTTTCCATTTCTAGACCATTCTAATGATTTGCAAATCACTTTTAAAATGAGAGCCAATTGAGAATATAATTGCCTTGAAAATAAAAATGTTTAAATTGATTAACTGAAATCTTACATTTGTATTTCAATACAAATATATGTCCAGACTATTCAAGCTTCTATCCCTATATATCCAGTGTCACAAAAGCTAAGAGGTTATCAGTAAATTTACTTTTCTAAATACAGTATGCTTTAATTTCCTAATCTCTAATAGCAAGGATCTGGCATAGCTAATAATGAAGGGTCTTATCATTACCTCCTGTATAACCTTTCCTCTGACAAATAATAACGGAACAGATTTATTAATTTGCTAATCTTTCAAGCTTTAGATATTACTACCAATGCTCCTCAGTTATCAAATACGTGGAAATGTGTCTTTGAAACGGTAAACCTCCTGAATCAACTACGGGTAGGGCTGGAATTAGTAATATAAAAGGAGGAAGGATGTTTCTCACCACCCTTCTGAGGCTGTGTTCCTGCTTCTGTGATTGCTGTTGGAGCCGCCATGGACACAGGCTGTAAAACACACACAGACAGACACCACAAATCTTTAGCTTCAGTCACTCAAACTTTTGCCTCGTTGCCTTTCCTATGGTCTTTGTAAAAGGGCAGAAAGACAGTATATGTGATGAAACACTTATGTCTGAGAACATTTTATCTTCTTTCCTTTTTCTTTTAAAGTCTAAAAGTCTGATGTAAAGAAAGGCACCTTTTAGGGCCAGGCATGGTGGCTCACACCTGTAATCCCAGCATTTTGGGAGGTCAAGGTGGGCAGATCATTTGAGGTCAGGAGTTCGAGACCGGCCTGGCCAACATGGCGAAACCCCGCCTCTAATAAAAACACAAAAATTAGCCGGGTGTGGTGGCGGGCACCTGTAATCCCAGCTACTCGGGAGGCTGAGGTAGAAGAATCACTTGAACCTGGGAGGTGATGGTTGCAGTGAGCCAAGATCGTGCCACTGCACTACAGCCTGGGTAACAGCGCAAGACTCCTGTCTCAAAAAAAAAAAAAAAAAAGGTACATTTTAAAAGAATGAATTTCTACTCTTAATTCTTGATTGCTTTCTTAATTTTTCTCATAGGATGCTTAAGGGTATAACTTGGATATTCACAGAAAAACAGTTTCAATCAAAACATTATTATTATTTTTGAGATGGAGTCTCGCTCTGTCACACAGGCTGGACTGCAGTGGTGCAATCTCGGCTCACTGCAAGCTCTGCCTCCTGGGTTTTACGCCATTGTCCTGCCTCAGCCTCCCGAGTAGCTGGGACTACAGGCGTGCACCACCACACCTGGATAATTTTTTGTATTTTTACTAGAGATGGGGTTTCACCGTGTTAGCCAGGACGGTCTCGATCTCCTGACCTTGTGATCCGCCCGCCTCGGCCTCCCAAAGTGCTGGGATTACAGGCGTGAGCCACTGCACCTAGCCCAAAACATTATTTTATCTGACAAAATTTAGCCTCCTCTGAAACAAAAATACGAAATCCATAGAATTGATCTATGGCACAATCTGACCAGACGTACAACTAAAAAAGCACCTTTCAAATAAAATCTTTTCCATAGTGATACTCCTGAGTCAGCATGAATCTTTCATTAATCAGTCTCATTTCTTTTGGCTAGAATAAGCAGGAACTCTGAATACATGTTAAAGGTATTAATAATGGTTTAGGTTACAGTTTGTGTCCCAGGCATATAATATATTAGGGTTATGAGGAGATTTTATCAAGATTTTCAAAACTTACACCAACCGCAGAAGTCACTGTGATCATCTCTGGACTAAGTGTTCTTCTCAATTGAGCATCAAGATCCTCTAGAGGTTGCTGGGACTGAATGAAAACAATCACAGTAAATACAGTTCCGTGGCACCTTCAGAGTCACGATATATAGCCAATTTAGATAGGACACACTGTTTTATGCTTTATATTGGCACAACATAACATTTGTCTTTATGGAACATACAAAACTATACTCAAATTTAGTGTACTGCTTTGATTATTTTGCCAGTTTCTCAAGATTGTATGTCAGACTCTCAAGGCTCAGAGTAGTTCATGTTTTTGCAGTTTAAGAGAAGTCTTATTACATTCTATGTTTGATGTTACTCAAAACGGTAGAAAGAGTTATTTATTTGTGCGACCTTTAAAATATATTGTGAAAAATGTACAAAGATCTACTGGTAGATTCACTGTATCTCATGTTCCCTCTTTTCTTTCTCAGTTTTATACATCTTTCTGGGAAGGTGCCCCTATGAATAAAAGATGGCATTAACATATTCTGTCACTATCACAGGGTATTATTTTCCTCTTTCTTACATGTATACTTCTTCCCTACAGATGGTGGCAAGGAGGTCTGGGTATTCCATCCTGTTAACCATTCCATCCACCGCAAGCACACAGCTTCCTTCTACCCTTCCACAGTCTAATCCTACATCTGTCTTGGCTTCTATCAATCTATTCTTGCACAGTCTTTGCTTAGGCCTTTCCCTCTATCTAGGCACTAGCTATTTACCCTTACCCCTCCACATGTCTCACTTGCTATTTTTTGTCACACTTTATACTCCCTTAGAAATCTGAATCCATGTTTTTAAATGAGAAAATAAGTTTAAAACTAATTTTCTAACTCCTGATTTACGGACTTTCACAATGCACTTTCCCCCAAATGTGGTGGCTGATGGAGTGCTTTCTCTGTTGGGGTTTTTACTTCATTGTGGCAAGTTCCTCAAATAGTGTTCCCCTGTACATTGGGACCAAAGAAATAGGGATAAATTCCAACTCAGCTTCTCAAGTAAGCAATTTACCATGTTTTTCTTATTTCTTATATATGATTCAAAAATAAATTCCTAATTTAGTTTAAAAGTTTACTGGCTTGTCTCATGTCAGAAGATTTTTCCTGGTCACAACAGATTCACAATTAGTACTTTTCTTATGGAAATTCAACAAATGTGTTGGCGGTGGACTGCGGTGGGAAAGAGAAATAATAAATATTACAGGTAATTCTGTCCACCACTGCACTCAAGTGAGCAGAACTGTGTGAGATGGGAATCTCAAGTTCATGAGGCTGGTCTCAGTTCCTCCATGAGTGATCTCATAATGTTAGCATCTCACTGAGCTCGGTGGCTTTTATTTTAAAAGAGACAGCACACATAGTTTTCATGAAACATCACCCCTATACCTACCTATAAGTAAGCTAATTCCTTCATTAGGTGGCTAGTGAAAGAAATGATCAACATTCAAGAAGAGACTGGTTGCTCTGGACTCGCGGAAAAAGTTTCTCAGTTGCCATATTGTGCTTCTCCTTTCTAGGGCACTCTCAAAGTTAATTTTGATTATATACGCAATTTCGCTATTCTACAGAAGTGTGAGTGATAAAGGGAGCTATATGGGTCTGACAAAATGTTTGCTTTGCTGTTTTCTTCCTTCATAAGATATAAAAAAAAAATTAGTATCAAGTGTTTTTGGATAACCGGAAGCAACATTACAAACAAAAGAGCTATGAAGCTTCTTACTTAAGTAGGAACTGGGTCATTGGTTATAACATTTTAAAAGAAAGGTGTTACTAAGTCAAAGACAAATAGGCAAAAGCCAAGACCACGTAGTGGAGAACTTCAGCAAGCTTTGTCAAAGAAAGTAGGGCACAGGAAGAAATTTGTCAAGTCTTGAGGCACCTGGGTTAGAGAAGGTCCTGGAAAAGGTGGCAGCTGCTCGCTGGGTAGAGTACCTGCTGGAAGTTCAGTACCCACTGGCAGCACCTACAGACAACAAAGGGAAAATCAAGTCCGTGAGACGCTAAATATAAAGACTGCGTACTGAAGAGCAAATCAACTAATTTGAATGCACAAACATAAGAATAAAATATATATAGTTAAGACATGTTTATCACTGAGGTTACTCTCTGGTATCTGTCTTAAAAAAACGGTGTGACAACTAATGTTGTTATTATAGGGGTTACTACGATATACCTATAAAATGAATAGTAAAATACAGTAAAAAGTTGTCCCCTAGGGAGAACAGAACAAAGGCTATATGTACATAAGTGGCAGTGTCCAGATATTCTTGAGCTACTTATTTGGTACAGTATGTATCAGACTTTCGCCATGTAAAACAAGATTTTCTGAGAAAAGAAAACAGTAACTGGTTAAGAAATAACCAATGGGCAGGTCTGATAACAAAAGGCATCAGAAATCTAATACTATTATCAAGAATTTCTATTTTATCTGAGTGAAGATTCTGCATTATCCTACTATAAAAAGAACCTCACATCAATGGCAATGCAGAAAGAGGCTGAAGCATACAATACAGTAGACGTAACACAGCCTTGTTATTTGGAGAAGGTGGCAGAACAAGAGGAAATCCACCACAGCATAATTAGATAATAAATTTTAGTTACTTCAGTCCTAGGATTAGATTATTTATTTCTCCTCTGTATCAATTTCCTTACTAACTTCCAATTTTTTATAACCCCCAAACTGTACAACTGTGGAATCTACAACAAAACCAAAAATTTGCTTCATTCTCACTGAAACAAAGACTATGAACTGCTATTATTTACGTACATTTTGCTGACAGATGCATTTAGCTCCCTTTTGGGATACAGACTTCTTCAGTTTGTACCAATTCAGAAGAAATACCTGTATTTTACCCGATAATTATACCATCTTGGAAAACTGTGCAGCATAATTAACCCTAAAATCCTGCCACACTTGAAAAAAAAATCTCATGTTCATTGTAGATATACCCTCAAACTGCTGTCAATTTAATAAATACTATAAGCCAGGTACCTTTATAAATATGTTTCTAACTTACAAGGCTGAAGTGAAAAATGTACTCATTAGGGAGAAAAAAAACTGATCATATTTATCTAATTATTTTATAACAATAATTTTACCGGAGCCTTAGTTAGAGGTGGCTTGGAGGGAGCAGTTCCAGGTTTCACTCCTGATGTAGTAGTGCTGACTGGGGTAGAAACTTGCCCAGGTGTGACCACTGGTGTAACTGGCAAAGCAACTGTTCCTAGTGGTAAATTGGTTGGTGGTAAGCAAGTACTTGTGGTAGAAGTCAGGAGTTTGCTTGGTGCAACAGCAGTAGTTGGGATGCCTGGTGTGACAGTGCTCTCTATGACTAGTGAGGTCTCCAGTGAGACAGAGGCATGCTGAGCTCCAGATGAGCTGTGTTCACTGAACAGAGACCGCAGCTTTTCTTCTAGAGTCTTTATGTCATCAATTCCAGGAGCTTTGGGTTGTGTATCAGAATCTACTTCAGGACAATGAGTATGGGGCTGGTTGGGAAGCAAAGCTGGTTGAGGCTGACTATGAATTAGTGTCTGCTGTACAGCAGGCACATTGGCAACAGGCTGTACCAAGGGTGGGATACTAGGTACTTGGGGTAATAAAGGTGTAGAAGTAGGTCCTGCTGCTTGGGGAAGAATAGGAGTAGAAGCTATCACTGATGGAATGACCAAAGGATGCAGCCCACCAGGCTGAGAAATATAACTAGACACTCCTGCTCCAGGAGAGGAAGAGGAAGATGGTGCAGAGAGGGAGAAAGCCAATCCAGTTGTACTGCTATGAGATGTCTTATCTAGTGAGTGTGCGCTAACTACCACGGTTTCAGCTAAAGTAGGAGTAGAAGTACTGCTGCTAAGCTGAATGCACAGCTGTGAAGCTGTGCTTGGGAATGAAGTGGTGGTAGAAACTGATGTTAATGTGGCTCCCACAGTAGTGCTGCCTGCTGCCTGCTGAGATACTACAGCTGGAGGCTTAGGACCTGGGGTAGCAGTACTGCCCCCTGCAGAGGCTGAAGTTGCTGAAACTGTTACTGAAGGATACAGTGCTGTACTAGAAACAACGATCTCAGATGTGGATGTGGGGACTTGAAGTGACGGGGATGTAGTAGATATTGAGACAACTGCAGGTATTGTGATACTTGAAACTACGCTGGAAAGTACTGGTGATTCAGACACAGGTGGTATGGGGAGACCACCTGAAGTTACCACACCTGTGCTGGTGGCAACTCCAGCAATCCCCTCTTCAGTGGGCACTGTAACCTCAGACTGAATTACTGATGTGGAAATGTCATTAGGAGGGCTGCTTGTTGCAGGGACTGGTGCTGTGGCTGCTGCTGTGGTTGGGACTCCAGCAATGCTACTTAAGAAAGGAGGTACTACTGGAAATGTTGGTCCTGTATGACTAAAGTTTGGAGGTGCTGTGTTGGGTCCTTCTGTCATTTGGGCACGTCTAAGTTCAGAAAAGGCCTGTTGTAGACTAAGGGATGATGCAGAGTGAGACAAGTTCATTCCAGGGCTCTGAGCTGTAGAGGCAGCAACTGCAAAGGAATACAAAAAGATAAGAATCAGCTGATTTTAAAAGGATGGATTCAAAAGATTGTCTGCTAGCCTAAGTCAGCTCCTATAAATATCTGTTTTTGATAAAAAATATGGAGTAATCTTAAAACATAGACAACAGTACTAAGTGCAGAAATAAACACATACTACAATATCTATTATACAGACTATATCTTGGTATGGCCGTGCTTCTTGGCTTTTTCTGTAATTCTCTGTATTCTTCATCTATTTCCCTCTCCCATATGTTTATCTGTTGGTTATAACTTCAGTTTTCTATTCTTTTTTATTATCTGTGTCATCATAAATTACTGCTTTATGATTAAGCTTTCAACATAGCAGAGGCACTGTAGAATTTACATAACAATGTGGCAGAATCAATCCCTTACCTGTATCTGTTATTTCACTGGGGAAAACTTTTGATTCTCGTAATCGGCTTTCTGGCACAGGACTCACTATAAACCGCCTTCCCGCAGAATGAACAACTTGAGTTAAAGAACTGGTAGGAATGCCTGGTCAAAAACAAACAAACAAACGTAACTTAATAGCATTATTATTATAAATATTGTTAGACTTCATTATTGGCACATACAACTGCTTTTTTTGAGGCACGGTCTCATTCTCTCACCCAGGCTGGAGTGCAGTGGCGCGATCTCAGCTCACTGCAACCTCCGCCTCCTGGGTTCAAGCGATTCTCGTGCCTCGGCCTCCTGAGTAGCTGGGACTACAGAAGCCTGCCACCACCCTCGGCTAATGGCTTCTTAAGTCAAAGGTAAAAACAAGGAAAGAAAATAAATTCACCTATTTGCTGTGGCATGGAAGACGCAGGAATTGGTTGTTTGAACTCTCCTTCCAATTTCTACAACAAACAAAAGTGATTAAATACATTCTCAAATGCAATCTCAATGACTAGGCAAAGCAAACTGCCACATGTGAAGAGAACATAAAAGTTTGTTGTCGGTCATGGGTGTCAGGTGATATCACTGGACATTTTGCATAGCAAATTTAGAACTATGAAAATATTTTAAATCAACAAAGTTTCACTATGGGAGTGGTGAACCTACCTGAGAACCTGAAAAGCCATAGTCATCCTTTCCTTGTAGACTCTCCAATCCCTGATCACCCTCTGGTTCCACACTGACATCCTCACTGAGCATTTCATCAGCTTTTTCAATAATTTCTCGCACTTGATCCACAAACGACTCTCTCTCTATTGCTAGAATAAAGTCATTGTTCACCTGTAAAAGAAATGTGATGTCAGTCTAATTAGTGTCATTTCTCAAACTTTATGTCACTTTTATGACTTCTGTCCTATCTGCATACTTACCTATATTTTTATTTATTTTGTACTCAAGTTAGCTCTTCTCTTTTTAAGAACTTCAATATCTAGTTAGACATAGCCTAGACAAAAACATCACTAAATCACAGGTTGGGTGTGATAGTTTTATTCACATTGAAGTAAATGCATAACTTTAAAAAAACATGGATTATAAAATATGGCATATTTGCCTAGAGCAATGGCTATTAAGATCAAGTACTAAGGAAAAACCTAGAACTCCAAATGCAGACGTACCATAATTGTTGCTATCTCCTCGGGGTTGTCACCATCTAGGTCAAATTTGAATGTAACCATTTTCCTATTATGAGTCTCTAATTGACATTCTACTACTCGGTCTCCTTTATTTGAAACCTAAAAAGAAAAAAGGTACATCATCTCCAAAGACCATATTCAGCTTTATTACTGAATTTCAGAAAAGCAATGCAGATTAGCACTTGACTTTATGTCTAAGGAAGCATAGTGTTATCGCTGTTCCTTGGAGCACTAGTACTTTGTCTCTTAAACTGGTAGCAAGAAAAATCTTTGAGAAGACGTTAGCCTTTGAGCTACTTACTAAAACTCTCTATTCTTTTTCTAAAAGATAAGTAGTGCTTTATCATAGAAATATGGAATGTAAGAATATCATTTGGCTAATTATAAGATCCTATACATTCATCAATTCATCTAAGCCTTAAGAAATATTTAAATGATATTAACTGCTGGCCCTATCATAGCTTTATGAACTACCTTTTCATTTTTCTAAAAATGTGATATTTAAGTCAAAGAGACTGTGGGCATGAAATGAGAAGAGTACTATATAAATTATCTGGCTGGGTGCCTGTAATCCCAGTGGTTTGGGAGGCTGAGGCAGGTGAGTCACCTGAGGTCAGGAGTTTGAAACCAGCCTGACCAATATGGTGAAACCCTGTCTCTACTAAAAATACAAAAACTAGCCGTGCGTGGTGGCACGTGTCTGTAGTCCCAGCTACTTGGGAGGCTGAGGCAGGAGAATCGCTTGAACCCAGGAGGCACTGCAATCACAGTGAGAAGAGATCATGCCACTGCACTCCAGCCTGGGCGACAGAGCGAGACTCCGTCTAAAAAAAAAAAAAATTATCTGTCACACACAGATAGTTATCTTTATTTTATGAAGTGAGTGGTTTGGATTTGATGACCTCTAAAATCTTTTTCAGTGTCAAATTCCTTTAACAACATGAAACTCACAAATTAGGAATACTTACATTCAAAATTCTTAATTTTGGGCGTGAAGTTTTTTCATGTCGAGAGCGACTCCTTACAGATTTTCGGTAATGCCGTTTTGTAGTTCTTCCTTCATGCCTTCCACTGGAAGATGGGACGTTCTCATTGCCATCACTCATACCTGAAGCAACATCTGAATGTGCACTTTGAAATTTAAAAAGAAAAAAAAGTGCAGTTTATAATATGAGATTTAAAGGTCTGACAGTTTGGCGTTTCATACCGTCTTATTTACCAGTCAAGGAAGGAGAATTCTAGTTTTACGTACCTGTCTACAGAGGAAGCCAAAGTGGTCGGCTGGGTAGCTTGGGTCTGTGCTACTGCAACTGGCTCTGCAGGAGCAACCTGAGAGACTCCCTGAGTACTCTGTGAATCGAAAAGATAACTCAAATCTCGGTAGTAATAGATTTATCATTCACTATCCCCAATAATCTACTTATTTTTTTCCTTATCCCTCCCCACTACGTCCTAGAAGCACTAAATTTACTAGTAAATTCTCAATATTCAGCATCTAGAGATAATGGTCTTAAAATTCCAAAGGAAGTTGCTAAAGCTAGTCTCTGGTATAGACTGCATGGTATGAGGTCAGCCAACATATCTGCTAGGCAGTGTGAACCTACAACTTGCCATGCAGCCAGCATCTTACCAAGAGTGTGCAATAGCGCAGACAGAGCATAGTACAAAGATGAATTCAGATCTTCTCCTAGCAGGGCAAAAATGATTGCTGAGAGCACAGGAGGGTAAGATACTCTTATGACTGCCAATGGAAAAAGTTTGTGAAAGGACAAGAATAATGGCTAAAGTACTAGCTAGAGAAGTGAAGTGCTAATAGGGTTCATCTTCTCCAAGGCACACTCACTTCCCAACAGAACAGCCAGTGGAAACAAGGACCCCACATTGGCATTTCATTCTGCTGTAAGAAAAAGTCATGCAGAAGTTAGTTTGACATGGTCTCCAAATAAGTTCTAAACCAGGGGAGCCTGTTTCTTTCTCCTTTATCATTGTTGTCCAATTACATATATACGTTTTACATATAAACATGCAGTAATTCTATTTACCTCCAAAACTGCTTGCTGGGAGGATGTAGTGGGGGCTTGTGCTAAACTCCCTCCTGGCTGGGACACTTGAACCTGTCCTCCTACACCACCCATAGGAACTAAAAGATTTGATTCCACATAAGGCTGCACCACTGTGGGAAAGTACCCAGGTGTAGCCAGTACTTCTGTCGGCATGGGAGGGGATAGGACTGTAGAATGGATGCAAACAGAAGCCACGTTGGAAGAGGGAGCAATATTTGAATCTCCTGGGTACTGTGGTGGCAGTCGAGGTGGGAAGCCCTGTGACAGAAATGAGGAAGGTGAGTTAGAGCAGGTTGGGGGTCAATAAATTAGCAAAACAGCAAGACATGCAAAAAAAAAAAAAAGAAGCACACAGCAAAGAAGAATAGTAGCCAATCTCTTTCTAATAATCTAAAGGGCATATAAAGACCACATTCTTGAAATGAAGTAGTAGACTGGTTCCAACAGAAGAGACAGGACTCTACAATACTACTTTATTGTCGGTTATCTTCACCTAGAGATGATTTAAATAGGAGGAACACAATTTCTTCCTAGCCAATCTTAAATGGAAAAATGCAAAAATTCTTCCACATAACAGTCATATCATGAAATGCTAATTTTCCCAGTCTAAACCCCGAAGCTTTTTGTTGATACCATGTTGGCTATTCTATTTATTCTACCCATATATGTAAAAGTTGCCAGGTGTACTATTAACCACATCTAGCATTCAATCAGCTTACAGTGAATACTGAGAGAACCATTTTTCTCTGAAGAAGTGTCTTGAGAAAAATGGATCAGGAATCACTGAACATCATTATCCAATCCTTTCTCAGAATTTTACTATTTTGCTTCTCTAGTTGACATGTTATTGCTAGTTATTCTGACACTCAACTATTAGATTTCCATGTTCCTGATGATCTACTAGGATCAAACTCTGTGGTGCCCTCTTTTGCTAACTAACACAATACCTGGTACAGAACATCTCCAGAGGAAAGTGGAACCTCAGCAGCTTGTCCAAGGTTAGCTGGTATTCCCATGGACTGAACTGCTGGTTGTAGGAGCTGTGGGTGAACCTGACTTGGCAGCTGAGTCACAGGCTGCAGAAGGGTTGGAAGCTGACTAGGAACCACAGTTGATACCCCCGGGATCGCAGCTGTTGTAGCAGATGAAGCCAACGTGAGCAGAGGCTGAGTAATGCCAGCTGCCATTGTGATGGGAAGGGATGAGAAACCTGTCTGAGCCGTAGACACATGAGGAGTTGATATGGGAATCTGAGAGACAGGGTACTGAGGGAGCAAGGGAGTAGGGAGCGGCTGTCCCACTGGAAGGAAATGAGCACCAGAGTGGACTGGAACAACCGAGGGTTGTGTCGCAACTGGGATCTGAGGTTCGCCTTGGATAGTTGGTACTGGCTGGGAAACTGGAAGCTGGGAAGGTAAAGAAAAACAAAACAGACAGGCTTAAAAAAAAAAAAAAAAAAAAAAAAGCAAGGCTGCCAAAAGCAAGATTTATGTATTAGCCAAAAAGAAGGAAAAAACAAACAAAAAAAAAAACACCAAACCAACAAAACCCTGCATACATTAGTGTTAAGTTAATATGCCACATAAGAATATGGAAAGGAGAGCAGGAGAGAAAGAGGCTAAATAGACTATTACTGTTCTACACCTTTTGTCATAGAAATATTTGCTAATGCTTCAGCATTTGGCAATAGAAGAGGACCCTTCCATAGACAAGGGGTTGGCTTTTTTTTTTAACAGCTTTATTGGAATATATTTTATATACCATAATGCTATCACTAAAGTTACGACTGCTGTTACAGTAGTTACTGAAATTCAAATGAATTCCTTCCCAGTGGAATTAAGATTTCATTCGTATTATTTCTAAAATTCTTAAGTCCAACATGGCTCAATAAAAATTGGTATAATTCACATATTTCACTCATTCTAGGATGCAATCATCCCTCTCCACTACCTGATCATTTTAACATGTGAGAAATTGGGATCTACTTTATAACTGATAATGTGGTACATAAAATATGGTACATTTTAAAGTTGATAGCATCTCAGATGTGATGAAATATTAGGGTAACAATACACTGTGCACATACATGCACAACAGTACTCAAAAATAAAGTTGAAAAAAGGTCATTCAGAAAAGCATACCTTCTACAGGGTACTTCTCAAGTGATTAGGAGGACTACTTAAGAAAAAAAAACATTCCACACAGTAAACAGTGCAGAAATCTACATGAAAATAAAGCATAGTTTCAAACCTAGAATATCAGACATAGCTGACACAATTCTAGGGAATGTCATAGGTTCAGTTACCAGAGCACCTTTATTTAACCTGTTATTTCTAATACCTGTTACATCAATTTTGGACTGGTAAGACTAGAAGTGAAACTTTGGATTGTCACTGCTGTCAGTAACGTACCCATTTACATTAAATAATGCATATGCACCAATGAGGTGATCTTCACTTCATTTCTGCAATGAGATTAACCTACTTCAAGGGTTGGTTACCCTTAGAAGAAAAGGTAGAAGTCTATCCACATGAAAGGACAAGTTACATGGAAATCCCTTTTAGCACCCTTTCAGAAATTAAGAGTTTACCTGTTTAAAAAAAAAAAAAAAGTTTACCTGTTTTCCAGCTGATACTTGAGGCAAGACTTGTGGAGCTTGAGGCTGACTCACTGGCTGTGCAGTAGTGGCCTCACTGGAGGTTGATGTCTGTGAAAGTGAATACTGCACTGTCTGTTGAGGAGGGGCTGTCTGCTGTATTCCCTGCTGCTAAGAATAAAATACAATGATTCAGTTTTATTTCAAATCAATAACAGCATGTTTCTAAGGAAGCATGTTTACCTAAAGCCTTCAGTGTCTGTAAATAATGATGATTTTAGTAATCAAGACATGCACAAACCCAAATTCATCAATTTCCATTATATATTTGTTTTCCCTCTGATGTTCTTTGTGATGGTGCCACCAGGAAAAATTAACCAATCTTTTAATACTCAAGTTACCATTGGCTCTTCACCCAATTATCTCCCTCACCCCAACAATAGGTCTTTACAAAGACATTTACATAACATATCCAGACAGTTCCTTTCCCCATCCCATCCCTGCCATTCCCTTTTCCCTATCTCTTGGCATCAGCTCTCTCTTTGGCACCTATATCAGATAGATCCAATAGCTTCCTTTAATCTTTTTTCCTTACCCTATTTTATCAACTGTATAATTAATATGCTTGAAGAATAGCTTTGATTATAGCTACAAAATAGGGAGGAAAGCACTGGATTTGGAATAACAGACATTTTCAAATTTTAGCTTTAATATTTACTAGCTGTTAATGCCTTAGATTGCTTATTTTATTAAAAAAATGAAGTTTCTCTTTTTGAAACAAGGACATTATTTTTTAACTCAAAGTGGGGCAAAGGGAATGACACCTGGGAATCTACTATGTACTAGGGACTCAAGTATAATTTAATGCATGGTGCGTAATTATACACCTAATTTAATGCATGGAACATAACTGTACTCGAATACTAAATTCTGTAATAAATCAAGCAAACAAAACCAAACAAAACAGGACTATGACCCCTAGAGTACTGCCCCTTCTGTCTAACAAATAAAAACTTGAGGCTGGGCGCGGTGGCTCACGCCTGTAATCCCAGCACTTTGGGAGGCTGAGGTGGGCAGATCACCTGCGGTCCAGAGTTCAAGACCAGCCTGACCAACATGGAGAAACCCCATCGCTACTAAAATTGCAAAAAATTAGCCGGGCGTGGTGGCACATATCTATAATCCCAGCTACTCAGGAGGCTGAGGCAGGAAAATTGCTTGAACCTGGGAGGCGGAGGTTGCAGTGAGCCGAGATTGCACCATTGCACTCCAGCATGGGCAACAAGATCGAAACTCTGTCTCCAAAAAAAAAAAAAAAAAAAAAAAAAAATGAAGTTTAGGGCTGACTTTCAAGATCTTCTAATACCTAATTTATATTTTTTCTTTAATACAACATCTGCTTGTAATAAAAATTTTAACTAGTACATCATATTATAAAGTTAATGAAAATACCCCTAATCCTATTCTCCAGAGGTAACCACTATTAGTCGTTTGGTGCATAACCTTCATGGATTTTTTTCTATGCGTAAGTGGCCATTTTCACATAGTTTTCTTTTTTTGTTAAAATAAACAAAACAAAAACATGCCTTTCCTATACATAGTGTTCTATAGCATACTACTTTAATTTCTAAATGGCATCAGTCTCCTAATGATAAACACTTTGGTTGTTTCATTTTTGCTACTTAAAATAATGCTGCAACCAACAGCCTTTTACGTATGTGCTGGTATACCCATACGACTAATTGGTTACTGCTGGTATAAAGATAAGCTATTTATTTGTACATTTATTATGTATCTTGCCACCTTGATAAGTGTCTTAGATTTTGTTAGGTGATAATCTACAAATAATATTTTTGCTCTTCTTATATTTATGTCAATTAAAATCACCAAAAGAATGCTAAAATATAATGGCAACAGCAGTCATGTTTGGTTTATTCCTATTTAATTATTTCTGATAATGTATTCTTTTTTTTTGACACGGAGTCTCGCTCCGTTGCCCAGGCTGGAGTGCAGTGGCGCGATCTTGGCTCACTGCAAGTTCCGCCTCCCAGGTTCATGCCATTCTCCTGCCTCAGCCTCCTGAGCAGCTGGGACTACAGGCGCCTGCCACCACGCCCGGCTAATTTTTTGTGTTTTTAGTAGAGACGGGTTTTCACCATGTTAGCCAGGATGGTCTTGATCTCCTGACCTTGTGATCCGTGCACCTCGGCCTCCCAAAGTGCTAGGATTACAGGCGTGAGCCACCGCGCCCCGGCCTCTGATAATGTATTCTTATTTTAACTTTTAAAGAAGCAGAAATGGCTGCTGAATTACATGAAATTTATTTTCTGCAAACTAAGATAAACCACATGTAGCCAATTCTAAAGGTGCTCTGAATATAAGACAAATTTGTTAATTTCCCACCTGAGAAAAAGGAACTAAAAAACCAGAAAACCTTTTTTATTTGCCAACTTGAACAAATTTAAACTTTAAGGAATGTGAATGAGATATCTATAATTATCTAACTCATTAATTTACACACGTAAATAAGATTGCATATTAAATATATTAATTCAGAAATACTGCTCCCTCTCCCCCAAACTCTACATAGGTAAAGACACCAGCATCTTTACCTTCACTGAAGCTAAATTATGAACGCTCCTGCAGTTTTCTGGCATAACATAACACATTCCATCTAAGTTGTATCTTCAGGTAAAATGTGCAGTGAAAAGCACCTATTTACATAACATTAAAATAAAACTAGATTTTTTTTTCCTTTCTCTTATAGGTTTTTATTCATGTAACCCTTATATTGACATCTTAAAGAGATCTTTAAGCCAGTTGTTTAAAATCACATACAGTCCTCAGAATAGTGAAGTCATATTGCTGAGAATAAGGACTAAATTTATGTTTATTCCTTAAAAATATTCTGTCTGATGTTCTCAATGAACATTTCTAACTACATGAGCTGAAGTCTTTGCAGGCACATTTGTTCTCACCTGTTTCATTTTATTTCATTAACCTTTTTTGGTTTGTTGTTGTTCAAAGTAAAGGACAGTGAAAACCCTGTAATATGAGAGTACGATAAAGGTCTGAATACATGGTTATTCCCCTCTTTTCTAACGGATAAATTTGAGGAAGAATTCCCATGTTATCTTTGGGCATATGGTAATCATATGCTCCCAGCCCCCAATACATCCTCCTTAATTCAAAATTATGCTCATATCAAAATTTAGACTCTATCAACTCTTTCCTGAACTTATACCTTCACATATCTATGCTCTAGTTAAACCAAACTAAAGGCACATTTGTTTTTGTACCCTATTTTTCTATCTTAGGGCCTTTCACATTGCTCACAGTATAATTTTTTTATCTTCTGGCCTGGAATATTCTTTATTTCTACATCTGAGTCTAACTTATAATCAAAGTCCATTTCAAATGCCTCCTTTTTCCTAAAGTCTTCCTGATATTCCCTTTCCTGCTTGGGAGAGATGTTAATTTCTTCCCTTTTTTTGGACATAATTGGGTAGTAGTCAAATGGTGAGCTGTGGAATTAGATTATTTGGATTTAAATTCTGTTTTTACCTCTTATAAGCTGTAAGTTTGGGTAAACTACTCACCTTCTCCAGATCTCAGCTTTCCCATCAGTAAAATGGAAATAATTATAGCATCTATACTTATAGGGTTCTTAAAACGATTAAATGAGAATGTAGGTACAATGTACAAAGCACTTTAATATTAGCTATTATCCTTATTTGTTTTTTAGAAATTTACATATATATTTACTATATTATTTAGACTCTTTCAAAGTAGTCATACCTGGTCCAGCTCGGTAGACCTTCAGTATCTGAACTCAATTAGGAAAAAAAGCTGAAAGGACTGTCAAAAATGAGCAGTTTTATGGACAAATTATTTCTTTGCTTAAGACAACTGAGAGGCATCTATGACAGTGACCCTTGTATTAACATCTTAAAGAGATCTCTAAACCAGTTGTTTACAATGGCTAACGGTTAATGTTACATCTTAGAGCATCTGGGGAGAAGTGTCACCTCTGGATATGCCAGAAGTACATGATGATCTGCTGTGCGCAGTCCCACTGACTAATAATCAGCACTTCAGCCAGGCAGGGGTGGTCTAGCTTAACAGTTTAGCATCATGCTCTGCCCAAGCTTGCCTCATGAAACCAGTTCAAACAGACTTTATGGATAGTAGGGTAGGTAGTTCACAACTTCGGTGCTTTTTTTTTTTTGAGATGAGTCATGCTCTGTTGCCCAGGCTGGAGTATGGTGGCAATATCATAGTTCACTGTAGCCTTGAACTCCTGGGCTCAAGTGATCTTCCTGCCTCAGCCTTCCAAGTAGCTGGCACTGTGTCTGACAAAGTTCACAACTTTGTTTGTGGTCACAAAGCTTTTCAGCAGGAGGCAGCTATTTTTGGTACCTTGCTAAGATCTAGTATATCACTATACGAGACCCTACAAAAACACACAAAAAAGCAATTCCTCATTTACTATGTTCAAGAAACGCATGAAATAAAGTAAATTTTAGCAAAAGTATATTTCTTTCCTCACTAAAATAAAACAAGAGATATGGTTCTCTAAGGTGGGATTGGGACCTGAAAGTACGTAAAACAAAAATCATGTCTAAAAATAGACTATCCATATAGTACAAAAAGTTTTCAACCTTTCTTTTTTCAAACGTGGAACTCCAATAATTAAAACAAATAAAGACAGCTTCTGAGGTACATTTGCAGAATCATTAAGTCCCTGCAGAACTTTATTTAAAATGGAAGAAACAATACTATTCTAGGAATCTTGAATTCTGGGTTATAATTTGTAGCTCCCTTATTATCTAAGTGACTTTGGAGAAGTTAATTATTCTAGACCGAATACACTTCCTATATATATCGAGGGCTCAATTTTGTGATTCTACAACACATGCTATAAAAGTATCTAAAACAAAAACATCACTGAAACAAAAATTAATTTTTGTTTCTGCTGTAGAGATAGCATTTAGCCATATTTTTTTCTCCTGGAGAGGTAGCTACCTAATTCTTTTAATCTGACATTTATGGTACTGCTCTCTTCTTTTCTCACACTCTTTCTTAACATGAAACTCAATGAATTATTTTATTATCTTCTTCATTTGATAGTAAGTATACATACATATCCCCAAATACAAGACAGATAACCAATTCCTTTGGAAAAGAAAAAACAGAGCACATACAATTTGCTCAGTTCATTGGTGTTCGTCTACATCCAAAGATAAGCAAGTTAGGAGATTAGTACTCAGTACTTCCATTCTCAACCAGCTTTATGTGACTTGTAATTTGCATTCTAATTAGGAACTGTTAATAGAATAAAACAGATTTTGTTAAGGTTGGCAAAAATATGTTTACTTGAATTTAACCAGTCTTGTTTGGAAGAAAGGACAGGTGCAAAACAAAGCATATAAGTCCCAGTCCTTCAGTTCACGGAGTGAATGCATGTATAAACAAACTAATCAACTGTTTCTGTAGAAAGTGCCTTTAAGTGATTTTCATCTTGTACAAGCAACTCCTGATCTTAAACCAGTATCGAATGACTACATGACCATATGTTGGACTGAAAAAGGGCCATTTGTAATTAAGAACCGAAAACTTTGTTTCAAAACCAAAAACTAATAGAAACAGAAGCCAGTTTAGAGTTTGCTGATTAAAAAACCCACATGGGGAACTAACATTAGGAAGTTTGCATTACATACATAGTGGCTACAAATTTTATGTAGAATAGCTAATAAGTATTCAATTATGCCAAAAATGCATTATTCCCTTGCAAATAATTACTATTAACTAATATCAGTGATGCACTATAAATATTTAATTTTAGAATTACCAGTTTTACTGTTGGATGTATCAGGATGACACTAATCTCTTGAATTCCTTGAACTTTCTGGAACAAGCCCCCCAAAACAAAAGTTAAAATATTTTGGCTGGGCACAGTGGCTCCCAGCACTTTGGGAGGCCAAAGCGGGTGGATCACTTGAGGTCAGGAGTTCAAGACCAGCCTGGCCAACATGGTGAAACGCCATCTCTACTAAATTAGCCAGGCATAAGTAGAACGTAATACAAAAATTAGCTGGGCATAGTGGCACGCGCCTGTAGTCCCAGCTACTCGGGCGGCTGAGGCGTGAGAATAGCTTGAACCTGGGAGATGGAAGTTGCAGTGAGCCAAGATTGCACCACTGCACTCCAGCCTGGGCAACAGAGCAAGGCTGTCTCAAAATAAATAAAAATAAATAAATAAATAAATGTTCTTGAAGTAATTGTTCTTAGGTTTTCATTAGATGCTTCTTAGCGTAAAATCTGACACATCATTCTACAGATTAGAAATAATTAAAAAGAAGTGCAGGATTAGTAGAGGCAAGCACAATGAAGGTAATGACAAATCACTGCTGCAAGCAGTGGAAAAAAAGAGAAAAGGAATGACATACTCTTTGTACCGTAAATTATGTGTAGAATCCAGGCTGGGTGAGGTGGCGCATGCCTGTAATCCCAGCACTTTGGGAAGCCGAGGAGGGTGGATTACCTGAGGTCAGGAGTTTGAGACCAGCCTGGCCAGCATGGTGAAACCCCGTCTCTACTAAAAATACAAAAATTAGCTGAGTGTGGTGGCAGGCACCTGTAGTCCCAGCTACGTGGAAAGCTGAGGCAGGAGGACTGCTTGAACCTGGGAGGCGGTGGTTGCAGTGAGCTAAGATTGCACCACTGCACTCCAGCCTGGGTGACAGAGTGAGACTTTGTCTCAAAAAAAAGGTGTAGAATCCTCTTTTAAAAAGATAATTATATCAGTAATAATGTATGTCTACTAAATTGTTCAAAAGTATATTAAACAAAAGAGATTTTTCTGAAACACAGAAAAGTCTCTTTTTTTTCTTTGTTACTGAACACAAGACATGGTATGCCTCTTAATTTTCCTTTCAAAAACTTAGCAGGCCATTTATATAACAAATCACAAAAGTTAAAATAGTGTTCTGGCCACTGCTAATTCATAAAATGTTGCAATGCATTGTTCTCACCTGCTGAGGATGTTGTATGGGTTGGGAAGATGAAACCCCTGTTAAGCTACTTGAGGATGGCTGACCCTGGCTCTGCCCCTGTGCCTGAAGGAAAGAAGTGAACACAACAAATTAGAGAAGGCCTAAAGTAAGTGTATAGAGGTCAGGCTTTTGCAATGAATATTTAATCTCCTCAGAGTTTGCTTGATCAAAATGAAACATTAACCTGATTATGTATGGGAGAGGCCTCTGGGTCAACTTTTGTAAGAAAAATTTAGAAAAGGATCATACCACACAACATGTTCTGATCCCAACCCATGCAAAACCCACTGACAGTGAAAACCTAAGCTGTCAATGCTGCTCAGGCTGTAATTTTAGCTGGCTAGAATCGTCAGATTCATAATAAAATTTGTTATTAGAAATACAATAATCAGGAACAAAGTATTAATACTATCAATCTGAAATTTATCTGAAGAATTAAAGAAAGGTATTTGGTAATGCTAATTTGGTAATACTTCTTGTAGTGCCACAATGACTTTTATCAAAAGTATCAAAAAATCTGTTATCATCAACTGCCAAGTACCTAGGGCGATCATTGCTATCCAGGAGCAATCCTGCCACCCCCAGGGGGGCACTTGGCAATATGTGGAGACATTTCTGGTTGTCACAACTGAGGGAGATTGCTGCTACTAGTATTTAGGAGGTATAAACCAAGGATGTTCTAAATAGCCTACAATACATAGAACAGCCCACCACAACAAAGAATTATCCAACCTCAGATGTCAACAGTGTTGAGTCTGAGAAACCCCAACTACAGTGTTTCTCACTAGAAAGTGAGAAATGATGCAGGACTATATATAGGTATGTTAACGAAATGAAAAGGCTACCACTTTTGTCATTCCATTTCAGTTTACAAGGGGTTCCTTAAAGCTTACATGGATATAATATCACATTCCACTGCAGCTTAACTATTATAAATATTGATTCCTTCTGTAGTATGTCTATAAATTAACTACCTGGTATTTTTTACTTTGGAAAGTCTAAAGGATAATTACTGGCAATACATTAATATTTATAATAGGGGCTGCAACTTGAATACTGATGTGAATATACTGCATGCCCATGTATAGCTGTCAAGCTTCTGGATCTTTTTGTGTCTTAGTACAGCACTAAATAATTGATAATTTGTGCACATTTTGGGAGTTGTTTATGCTCCTGATGAGGGAAGAACATAGGAAGAAAGTAGGAAGAACAACACATAGTACTTTATGTAGGATATCCAAATGTCTTCAATATATAACTGCATAGTCTTCTATGTAGATTTTATAAGATGTACACATTTGATAAAATATACCAAATGAATATATGAAACAGTAAACACTGACTGTACTTTTGAATTCTATTACATTCATTACATTGTCTTTATTTGCTAAGTGTGTATATGCTCATACACATAAATAACTAAAATTAAATTTGTTGAGGAAAATACAAGGCCTAAGATGTCTACTGTTCCTTAGCTTGCAACATATCACAAATTCTTATAACAAAAAAAAAAAGCCCACCACTCACTAGATTGTTAGTTGCTAAAAATTAGAATCAGTCCTTAATTTTATGAATTAGCATTTTATTTGGACATATAATAATGCACAGCAACTTGCTTGACTGATGCCATTTTAAAAAGGCATTTTCATTTGTTAAGGCAAATTCCTAAACTGTTTCCTTTTCTATCTTTTTTTATTCCCATGATATACTTTGTCTTTTTAGATCCTTCGACACTAATGAAAATTCTGTGTATTATTAATATTACCTCAAAAACAGCATTCCCTATTTTCCATGTTTTATATTTTATAGAAAAAAAATTTATCCTATTTTTTAAAAACTTGTTTGGAGGAAGAAAGTAATACTTAAGATTTGTATTCCTAAATAATGCTGGGTCAACCATACATTACATACACTTGCATTTTCACTACTGGTTGAAAATAACGTGCATAGAAGTCGTGATTGTGAAGAATGACTAAAATTCTAGTTTTTGTGTTTTTTCCACTGGTTTTCACATATAATAGGTAAATCAGGTAGCTTCTCTCACATTTTGTTTTTAAATGCATATATGTAGTTCACAACCCCCCAAAGATGGGGAAACTCTACTGATAAAATTAAACAATATTTCTCCAAAATCCATGATTCAGGGAAATAAGGAATAGAAAATTTAAATGTTATGGTGCAAAGTAGGGTAGTTTAAAATAATTGTGGAAGTTTTCCTATAACCTGTGGATGAAGTGCAGATCCTCCTGAAGAAAATGAGGCAGTTAAGACCTGCTGAGATGTGGTTCCTTGGGGGAAACAGAAGAAAAGTGGGGATTCTTGTAACACTGTCTGAGGCAGATGGATAAAGGGCATTGAGACGTCAGAGCCAAAAGGTGCAGCTGCTCCCCCTGTAGGGGGAGGTGACTGAAAATCACTGGGGTCTGAAGAAGTGATTTGTGAGGAATCACTGGAATATTCTGGGCTTCCTATTGGCCAGTTCTGTCCGATAGGCTCTACCACAGAAACGGTCAATTCTGGGGCATGGTAATTATGCTTTTCTTCAGTCACAGGCTGCAAGTAGCCATGTAATCCAACTGATTGAGGAGGCAGTTCTTCTTGATTCAAGTCCACTGCAACCTGCCGATTTCGGTAAACACGCTGAGGTAAAATTCCACCTCCTTCTCCTGAAGAGGAGCTTGGTGTGTGAACATGAAATTCAAATACACAGTTGCTTCTGCTCTCATTGTTATGAGTTAACACAGCAGGCGCAGAATGAGGAACAAAGACAGGGTGAAATTTCAAACGTGTAGCATCTGTACTGATAGGTGCAGAAATACTAGAGAGGGGAGATCCCGGACCCAATCCAGAATCTAATCTTAGATTCTGAAGGTGTCCTACCAGGAAAGCCTGTCCAGATGGAAATTCAAAGACAGAACTTGAAGTAGGGCCCCCTTGTACTGGCTTCTGTTCAGGTATCTGTTTCATAGGACTTGACAGTACTGATGAGTTGTATGGAATGCCCTCATACTGTTCTGCCACCCGGGCCTGGTAATGTACCCCAGCTACATACACTGCTTCCTGAGGAATAAAATAGTGAGCTTCTTCTGGAAGTACTAGTCCAGGTCTATAGTCACTGTAAACTTGAGATGGTTCAAACATAGGATGGACCTGTATCTCACATGACTCTCCAGTTACTCTACTGGCTGTAGTACCCAACATAACTACGGCCTCTGGTGTCCAGTTAGTTGGGCTGCCACCAGGTGGAAGAAGACTTTGGCCAACAGTCCTCAGCAGGGGTTGGAAGTGGTGAGTTTGGGCTTCCAGGAAGGAGGTGCTCTTACGCCGCTGGGAAATGGCTACTTTCGGTGGGCAGGTGGGAGGTGGTGAAAAAGAAACTGGACGTTCATGAATAGTTGGGAAAAATATCTGTGATTCTGGGTATGTTGGGGTCCCCCCACACGGATGCGCCATGGACTGAGGCTGTATCAACATGAATAAGACAAGTAATTCATACATTCATATGTGAAATTACATCAGACATGCACAACTGGGTAGTTCTGTGTAACCCTATGAAATGGTTACACTAAATTTATAATTAATAAATAAATAACAATGCTTCTGGAAATTATGTGCATAGTAAAAATCCATTAAATACATCCAGGGCCAATGAAATCAATCTGTGGGCTCTTTGCTTTAGATAAGAGCTGCTTTTCCATAACTTTCCTCTCTCAAAGGAAATGGAAGAATTAAACTTTGTAAGTAATTATTTCGTTTTTACCCACACTTAAAAAGTTCACTCTTAAGCATTAATGTAAATTACATCAACAGAAAAAGAGTTAAAGGAAGAGTAAGAACTAAAACAAGGCATAAAAGCCCGACTAGTTCTATACTGTAAGAAGTGTGCTTTAATTTAAACTATTGAACTAACTTTCCCTATATTCTTATTACCCTGTGATATGTTAGAGGCCTTCAGTTTTATTTTCTTATCAATTAATAGTATGCCTTCTAACCAGAAATCAGAAGAGATTTTTGGTGGATAGTAAAAGATATATAATTTGACTAGTGACAGTAATGTCTTTCTCCTATCTCTCCCAAGCTAGATGATTAATAGTTTTATTATATTTTTACTACATGAAACATGTTACAGAGTTAAATCACAAAATGTCCATTTTTCTGATCATAAATAAGAGTTGCATAACCATGAAATTTCTTTTTTCTTTTTTTTGAGATGGAGTCTTCCTCTTTCGCCCAGGCTGGAGTGCAGTGACAATCTTGGCTTACTGCAACCTCCGCCTCCTGGGTTCAAGGGATTCTTCTGCCTCAGCCTCCCAAGTAGCTGGGACTACACGCGTGCGCCACCACGCCCAGCTAATTTTTGTATTTTTAGTAGAGACACATTTCGCCATGTTGGCCAGGCTGGTCTCGAACTCCTGACCTCAGGTGATCTGCTCACTTCGGCCTCCCAAAGTGCTAGGATTACAGGCGTGAGCCACTGAGCCCGGCCGTAACCATGAATTTTCTGATTCTGACATCCTGGTGTTCTAATCAACTGAAAAGGGTAATATAAATGACAGCCAATTTTATTTGATAGCACTTTTTATTCTAGAAGCAGTTCTAGATTTAAGACTAAATTTAGAAACACAGCTTGCCAAATGCAAACAATATACACTATAATAATTCATTACCCGCTGGGCGCGGTGGCTCACGCCTGTAATCCCAGCACTGTGGGAGGCTGAAGGGGGTGGATCACAATGTCAGGAGATCAAGACCATCCTGGCCAAACATGGTGAAACCCATCTCTACTAAAATACAAAAATTAGCTGGGTGTGGTGGCATGCGCCTGTAGTCCTAGCTACTCGGGAGGCTGAGGCAGGAGAATCACTTGAACCCAGGAGGCAGAGGTTGCCGTGAGTCGAGATCGTGCCACTGCACTCCAGCCTGGCGACAGAGCGAGATTCCATCTCCAAAACATAAATAAATAAGTAAATAATAGTAAGAATTCACTATCACAGCCTCCCCCGCTTTTTAAAAGAATTCAGTTTCATTCTTCCATAGGGAAGATCCTTATCGAGCTGGCAAAGTAGATCAACTGTTCACAATAGCTAAATAAGGATTTCTATTTTCAGTCAGAATGCTCATTTTATTGTTATTTACTCATGGTATGTCTCAAAGCCATAATAACACTGTATAGTTCTTCATTCTCCTAAGTAAAAATCTGAAAATTCTGGGGTTGCTAGTTCAGAAAGTTAACTATATTCTTTATTTGGAAAAGCAGCAAGGACCCACATGCTTAAAATAATTTTATAAGATAGATCTTTTATAAACATTAATGGAGCCAAAGAAAGTCATACATACTATATATGCATCTAATGCATTCATTAGAGCTACAGTCCCACCTTAGGTTGAAACCTAAGGAAAAAATACTTCCATGGGGGAACATTATGTAGTTCTTTGGTTTGCTGATACATCATCTTACATAAATGATTAAATTAAAATAAATGTTCACTCCAAGGTTATTCTTTGCTGACTAAGGTTATTAAAAAAAAAAAGGACTCATCCAGTTTTATTAGTGTCTCCTTAGAATAAAGTGAGGAGAAAAAATGTTTGGGTAATGTTTGATAAAATTTGCTTTTGATTAAGGCAATAACTTTAAAATTAATCCTTTTAAAACTAGAATATGAAAATGAAAGAATTTTATGTCGATAGGAAACAGGAAGATATAATGAAAGGTAAATTTTATTGGACACATGCTGGTATGTGCCAAGGACATTATAGGTATTCTCTCTCATTACCTCCTTGCTTTTTATTCCCCCTTAAAGCCTTATTACAAAAAAGTTTCCTACAGGAATAACTGGTATCCTAGAAGCATAATATAACCAAGTTTAGTCCTGTTCTTTATTCAATTTTAATTAAAATTCTTGTTGCCTGGATGTATTCATTGGTAATAATTGTTCATTTGTCAGAAGTTTACAGTTACATACAGTACTGACAAAGAGGGAAGGCAGGCTGGAGCGTCGGTGCTTGCGCTGAGAGGCAGAGTGCATAGGCAGGACACTCTCCAATGCTTTAGAAAGCTTTTCGGCAAAAGTTTCCTCGGGGCAGTCCGGAGGAGGGAAGGAGAAAGAGGTGCAGACAGTACTGGCGGTGGGGTGGAAGAGCACTGGGAGAGATGCGGGACACAGAGGCAACAGCAGAAAGATGGGAACACAAACCGACATGCTACGGCCACGACGAGGCTCAACACAAAACAAACACACACATGAAAAACACAGTACTGTGAAAACAAAATAAACAAAAGTACAATGATAACAGGGCATAGTTGCATGAAGAAATGTTCCATCCTCTCCCAATTCCACAAAGTCAGTTTTTTTTTTGAGGAGAGCTATAACTCAACATAGCACATCTGACAGATCACAACTATTCACAACTATTCTGCGTTGTCAGTCAAGGACAGGTTTAATGAATGATCATGATAATGATCAGTTATCATGCTAAATATTCTGAAATAACACCAAGTGTTACAAGTGTATGAATTTAAGAATGACCAACTGACTGAAGGGTGCAGACAGGGAAAACAATGAATATTAGCTTGCAACTTTGGCAAACTTAAGATTCAACAAGAATGAATTCTATTAGTTTAAAGTACATTAAAAGATACAGAGAATTTTAAGATTGGATTATTTTGCAAGAGCTCTGGAAACCTCAGAAAAAGATTCTCATTTCTATTTTAGAAGACATGAGATGGAAAGTTGTTGGCTCACAGTATTTCTTATACTTGCCACTCTTTATTTGTAAAGGTAAAAAAGTCATGATCTACTAGGAAAAAGTTTAGCTTTCTAGAAGAAATTCACAACTGGATATAGGAAATATTTTGTACTTTTACAAAGTAATCAATGGGAGAATATCTTCAATCTGAATCTCTAAATAATAATTTAGGCCGGGCATGGTGGCTCACACCTGTAATCCTGGCACTTTGGGAGGCCGAGGCAGGTGGATCACTTGAGGTCAAGAGTTCAAGACCAGCCTAGCCAACACGGTGAAACTGTGTCTCTACTAAAAAAAATACAAAAATTAGCTGGGCGTGGTGATGGGTGCCTGTAATCTTAGCTACTGGGGAGGCTGAGGCAGGAGAATCACTTGAACCCAGGAGGTGAAAGTTGCAGTGAGCCAAGATCACGCCACTGTATTCCCACCTGGGAGACAGAGTGAGACGCTGTCAAAAAAAAAAAAAAAAACTTAAAAAAATGTTCAGGCACAGGGTTTAATATGGCTATAAGGCAGTATGATCAATACCATAAAGGTTGTCTTGAATAAGACTGTTATTTTCCTTTTAGATGTTGTGAACTATGAAACTATGTTTTCATTTCCAAAACTTGGCTGTGTAGAATGCTTTGGGCCAAATCTGTGGCCCACCAATACCAAGTATTTACATATCATCATATGATTGTTTAGTTTCATTCCTGTTTTGATTTCTCTCTAGCCTTATTTCTTTTATTCTAATTTCTAAAATTTCACTTATAATTTGTCCATATTATTGTAAGCCACATTCCTGAAATGAGACAAGAATAGAATTAGACAAATTTTTAAATTCTCAATATTTAATAATTCTTCATAATACCTCCATAGAATACTGTCATTAAAAAGCAAGAACGTCTGCTTTTAGAGCATCAATAAATATAGCTAGATTAATGGCTCAAATAATATCTTCATGTCATTCTACTTGCTTTCTAAAATAGAGACCTAATGCTCCCCCATGATGAGTATAGACAAGAGAAAATTTTAAAAAAAAAGTCTTAGCAAAATCTAGTTATAATAATCCAGAAAAAAAACAATTAAAGGTAGAAACTGACAAGAAATGCTGACAAGTAATATTTGTCAGAACACAGAAATATATTTTCTGTGCAGTCTTTATAAAGTTCTTCTATTCTACCCTCAATTATTTTAAAGACAGAAAGTAGATTGTTTTAAAAAGTTAGTATATTAGTTTTTTATTTGTGTTACTGTGGCCATTCATTTTGAGACCTAGCCAAAGCAGGATTAAACGGACTCTGAAACAAATGAACATCTTTTATTCCAAGCTGTAGGATAAAAAATCGAACAAGCAGAAGTATTTTCTTAACAGAGAAAGATTTTCATTTAAAGAAGAGCAAGAATTCCACAAAGTTTAGATTAAAAGCTTTCTGAGAAGGGGAAAATCTGTCTGCTTAAAGATCTCACTAAACAAGTGCTGTACAGTGACAAGTTACTTATTTTCTAATACCTTTCAGAGGCAGATGACGTATTTTATTTTCCTCTGAGGTCAACAAAAGAAATGGGGTATTATCTGATGATCTACTTTAACATTCTCTATATGAGAAACAAGAGTGTCTAATGTAAAACACAGGATAATTGTGTGTGTGTATGTGTATACAAGCATAAAATGTTTCAGGAAATAATTTCTATAAGTTGATTCTGAAAATAAATCAGTAATAAAACAGTTACCAACTAAAGGGAAAAAGCAAAAGAACATATACTGGGGAAGGAACTTGTGTCCAACACAGACTTTAAAAGGCAGGAACACACACAGCAACTGATGATTAACTCAACACAAGCGCTAAATTAAACAGTCATTCAAATAAAGGATTCCCTCAATCTAGAGTACTCACATGCAGCATTCTATAATGGTTTGAAGGTCTTACCTGTGTTTTGTACAATAGGGAATCTTACAGGAAATACTTAGTAATCATTTTAACAAGCTTTTGAAAAACTCTTCTCGCCCCACCCGCAAAACATTTGTATGTCCAGCTTTTGTTGCTGTGAATAGTTTCAACATCTTAAGTGCTAAAGAGAGCGTTCCCTTTAGTAAAAATGCAGACTAATCTAAATCTTGCACATAGCTGCTTCATGTAGGCAGTTCAGCTAATGCCCACACATTAATGTCTATATCCTACTCTATAATAAGGCTTTAGAGACACAGCATTTTATATTTTCTACTTCAGACTCATACTGTTACTTGGTTTGTACAAAGAATTTTAATTTAGCAGACTATCCATTGGCTCTCATTGTAGTATTACATGCTCTTAAGCATTTACTTACCACACTTGAGGGTGGATATACCCCATGGGGCTGAGACTGTGCTTGGACAGTAGAAGGTATATGCCCTGGGACTGTGCCTGTAGAATGTGCCTGTTCATGTTGGGAACCATATGAAACTGTCTGTTGGCTGCTCACTCGAGATTCTGTGAAGACAGAGGATCCCTGACCACTGTCAACCGTCCCATCAGCTGAAGGAAAAATGAATCGCCAAAAAAAAGAGAGAGAGAAAGACAAATCACAAAATGGAGGTTCACATTTTCTCATATTTAGACCCATTATATTAGGGGTAACTAGTTATTCCTTGCACAGATTTGAACTAAATAAAAAATGAATTGTAGCCATATTCAGTAGATTTCTATATTTAAATGAGGAATCCATATGGCTATCACAGAATCTTACCACCTGAGGAGTAAGGGAAACAGCATGAAACACTATAAGCCTTAAATTTGACACAGCTTTCAAAGTCTTAATTATGGAGGCCAGGAGGTTCTCAGTATTAAACAAGTAATTAAATTAATAACCAGTGTTCTCATTAGTTTTTAGTCTATATACCATTCAGCTTTGCTAAAAGAGCTCAACCAGACTGATGGGTTCAATTTTAGTAGCCAAGCTTGTTCATTCTTCATTATTAAATCTGTTTTATTTAAATAAATTGTGAAAAGTAGAAATCTACAAATTGAAACCTCCAAGATGTTGAAGCTTATAAAATTATTTTGTATCCTAATCACATTTCCTTACCACCCCATCCTTCTATTCTCCTAGTCACAGATATAAGAATAAAGAGAAGCTAGACGACAACCATTTCAAATTTTGTATAATAGTAGGATTCATAATTCAAAACCAAAAAGCCAGTGCAAAATAACAAGAAGCTAAAAAAACCAATTAGGAGAATCATTAGCCTATCTGTCCACTTCCCAAGATACGTACATAACACAGATATACTGGGTTGCTGGTACTGTAGTTGTTGATGTTGATCTGCCTCAGGTTCTTCAGGTTCTACTTGTGTAGAAACTGAAGCTGAAGTGGTAGAAGCAGTAGGTATGCCGGTGCTAGCAGAAGGGAGCTGCTTGATTCCTGTCTGGGAAGCACTGGATTGTTCTACCTGCTGTTTGAGACTGCTCTCTTCCTGCTTTTTTTTTTCTTGCTCCTCCCGTACCAACTGCCGCTGCTCTCGTTTCCTCTTAATTAATGATACTCTGTCTTTGATAGCTTTAGCCATGGTCTTGTGATCACCTTCACAGACATACCCAGACTCTACCTACAGAATAAAAGGGTAAATTAAGCAGTAGTATATTGAAAGAAAACAACACCCCCCACCACCACCCCCCGCCAAAAAAAAAAAAGGCATTGTAAAAAAAGTAGAGAAGAGGAGGAAGAAAGAATTCTCTCAGGACTGGCCTTAACCGAACTGTAAAATCTGCATTATGCATTTCCCTACCATCTTTGTAGATACTTGAGGGGTGGGTACCACCATTTTTGCAGAAACTCGAAGGGTAGGTATACCTTCACTCCTTATAACAAACAACGAAACAATAGGGCAACTAAAACCTCAGTTCCTAAACCAAGTAAGGTACTCTGTTCTATTCACTGTATTTCCCCCTCACACGTAACCACTAACATTAACCTGTGTTGATTTCACTTTCTTTTACAAGGCAACTACTTAATCTGCTAAAACAACTGTGGTACGAATATGAAGATTTAACACTGCTCCTCCCCTCCAAAAAAGCAAAAAAGCTCAGACAATACAAACAGCTAACAATTAAACATAAGTAACTCATACCTGATCTCCTCTCAGAGGCAACTACCACTTTTGAATGGTTCTGATAAATCCGAGTAGAGATATTCTGAGTTATCTTTCCATAATAATCAGCTATTTTGGGCACTATGGCAAGCATAAATTTGGGGAAGGGTTTCCTTATGGAAGAGTGATCTTTTAGACATACTTCAAATAATAATACATCAAAGGCTTCCTACTAGTATTTGATCAGGAAAACTCTCTTCAAAGTAAAAACAATTCATGGTCCTATGTCTGTTTATAGAGTTCATCCAGATAACTGATCAAAGGCTAATGTACCAATATGTAGAAACATAACTTGTCATTCTTAATGAATGATGCTTATACAAACTGGGAGTCACTCAATCTTACAGACTTTTCAAAATGACTTCGGAATGCATTCTACTAGTTCTACCTATCTATCTCATCTATCTATCCCTATGTATATATATATCTACATATTTTCTCAAAAATAACTTTTGGCCGGGCGAAGTGGCTCACACCTGTACTCCCAGCACTTTGGGAGGCTGAGGTGGGATGATCACTTGACATAAGGAGTTCGAGACAAGCCTGGCCAACATGGTGAAACCCTGTCTATACTAAAAATACAAAAATTAGTCAGGTGTGGTGGCACGTCCCTATGGTCCCAGCTTCTCGGCAGGCTAAGGCAGAAGGATTGCTTGAGTTCAGGAGTTTAAGGCTGCAGTAAGCTATGATTATCAGGCCACTGCACTCCAGCCTGGTGACAGAGCAAGACCCTGTCTCTCTCTCCATCAAAAAAAAAAAAAATTTACTTTTAAAAAGGACTATAAAATCTAACACCCATTATAAAAGCAATACAAAGAAGTTTAAAAAAAAAAAAAACACACACACACGAAAATCCCACTAATCAAAGATAACTTTTAGGGCCATCACAATTTTATGTCAATGGGATATGCCACACACGGCACTTCATCAACTGCTTTTTTGCTTAATGATAGTATTGATATATATAAGTCTAAATCAATTTTAAAATGGCTAATGTCAATTTACCATTTCTTGTGCAACATCTTCTGGGACATCTCTCTCTAAATCAAAAGAAAACTCAATAGCTTCATTATCTTTGTATTTTCCCTTTAATTTCTTAATATCTTCAATACGTAGCCATAATTTTATGGCTATTTTTTCTCCATCATCTTCTTCTGCTAATTCTACCCGTACTCCTGTTTCCTCTTGGAAGAAGGCATGGTTCAAAAGGTCTTTGATGGAATATCTTCCAAACAGAGGGAAAAGAAAAGGAACAAAAATAAAACACCATTAGTTTGAAAAAATAATTTTCAAATGTGGCCAATTATTGTTATTCGCAGAAGAAAAAAATGGGAAAAAATACAGGGGAAAGTATAACTCATTTTTACATTGCTGAATTTGAAGGGTGCCTACAGAGGTTTACTCTGAAGTTATAAAACATCATAACAATCTCATTCATGAATAAGAGCTGACAGTGATAATTTTTAAATCCAATGATCTCATTAGTAATAGTATACTAGTAATGGCGAGCTAACACAATTGTAACATAATTTTTAAATCCAATGATCTTATTAGTAATAGTATACTAGTAATGGTGGGCTAACACAATTGGCTCTATTAAAGCTTCAAAATACCACATGATCATTTATATAGCATTTTATAAGTAACACAAATCTTCATATTTATGATCTTGTCTGACCAACACCCAATTTGATATCATCTCCTGATTATTAGGAAATGGAGGCCCAGAAAGGTTGAGAATCTTGCTCACAGTTATAAAAGCTGTAAATGCTGAAATAGAAACTAGAAAATAAATATTTTTGTTTCTAGTTTGGTACTTTCTACCACAGCAAGCTTTATTTACACCAGTAAGTTCTCTTAATTCCTTGTTCAATAATTTGTGTACTGGGCAAGCAGAAGTCTGATTGTGAAACAATCTTAAGATAAAATGGTTTCAATATGCCAATCATCTAATAAACTGCTCCAACAAGAGTTGAAACAGGCTGGGCCCAGTGGCTCACACCTGTAATCCCAGTACTTTGGGAGGCCAAGGTGGGTGGTTCACCTCAGGTCAGGAGTCTGCAACCCGCCTGACCAATATGGTGAAACCCTGTCTCTACTAAAAATACAAAAATTAGCCAGGTGCGGTGATGTGCGTCTGTAGTCCCAGCTACTCAGGAGGCTGAGACAGGAGAATTGCTTGAACCTGGAAGGCAGAGGTTGCAGTAAGCTGAGACTATGCCACTGTACTCCAGCCTAGGCGACGTGACAAGACTGTGTCCAAAAAAAAAAAAAAGAGTTGAAACAAACATTCCTTTGTTTATAGTAAAAAGTTCTTAAAGAGATTTAAGTACCCAGCATATATAAAAATGAAAACTCAAACTAAATTTTTACTTAATAAAGGCTTAAAAACCATGAAGTTAAGCTCTTCTAAATAACGATGTTATAAAAAGAACGAGACTGGAGAGGTGAAAAGATGGAATTCTTTAATTCGGTTGATACATCTGATAGCTCTCATTCTTCAAGTGGTAGATTATGCTCAATTTGCAATTTGTATTTGTACTAGCTGGTCTCCTTTTTCTTTTTTGGAGGATGGAAGGGGGTGGCAAAGATAGACTGTTTTTCAGAAACAGACACTGGACCTTCGCCATGCCTGACGGGTGATGAATCAGCTACATGGCAGATCAGATACTTGCCACTCCTCTAAGAGAAGCCCTCTGTTAGTACAAATGACTAAGCCACATCTCCTTCCAACCCCTGGGCCAAGTCTTCTCTTTTTACTCAAGGAATTTTGATGTTTTGCTCTTCTTCAATTCTGGCGTAAGGACGGCAAATCAGACCTGTAATAGCTGAGCTGACTTTAAAGAGCCAAAGTTTTATTTCACCACTTAGAATTCAATGGTAAAGGACTAAGAAAAGATTTCCTGTGTTAGATATTAAACTCTTTTTTGAGTTTTATAAATCATGCTGATGTTTTAAGTAAGCAGTTCTCATGGAATGTAGCTATGTTTATGGTGGTTCTGGTTTACTGAAACTCTACCAAACCATATTTTTACAGTGTTCCAGTATATCAAATCTGAATAACCACAATGAACAAAACCCTACCTTTAAAAATGTTACAGGCACAAATAGAGAAACCAATCACAAATATTAAATACACCGTAGAATGTGTGTTGTACTCAAAGCACATTACTTTTTAGGTTTTGTTCAAGTATCACCCAGATCAAAAGAGGCAACTTACCTTTCATCTTTGTTTTGTCGTATGCATCCTTCAATAATTTCCTTCACTTCAGGAATTGCTACTTTGTCAAAACTGGCTGGCTTCACCCCCTGAAAACCATAAACAGAAATACATTAATAAAAGCAGGGCCTTTGAACTTTGTTTTTTAAATTTCCAATTAAGGTTCTTTTAGGTTCCTTTCTTACTATCCCGGCTTTTTTTCTGACTCGCCTGCAGGAGTTGGTCCATGCAGTGTCACAGTTGGGTAGTGACAACTTAGCTCTTCACAAGAAAACATGGAACAGTGACAGCAGGGTCACTTACTTCCATATGTGACAATGAAAAAATTTAGGCAGATGTTAATATCTTCTGCTGTGTTTCAAGTAAAGGAATTTATTGCCTAAAAAAGAAAGCTAAATGTTCTAATTGGTTAGAAGATCTTTTGTTCAACCTTGTTCCCTAAACACATAAATCAATACAGCATTTAACTATTTTGAACACTGAACCCATGTGTGGGCATGAATTCACATGCTTAGTTTGGCAGGGATTATATTATTATAGTAATCTTTAACAAACTCAAAGGAGTTGAGGATTTATATTGTTTTGGTATGATAACTGAAGAGCAAATTGTCCTGCACAAATAAAACACAATGAAAAGTAATATATTGGACCCATACGAAAGACAAGCTCTGCAATTAATCTCAGAAGAAAACTCATTACCACTATCACATGTGATACTACATAGTAGTCATCACAGTAATAGTTTAAAATCTTTATAAAGTATAAATAAATTCTTTCTTATTTTTTTTTTTCCCTCGAGATGGAGTCTTGCTCTGTTGCCCAGTATGGAGTGCAGTGGTGTGACCTTGGCTCACTACAACCTCTGCCTCCTGGGTTCACGTGATTCTCCTGCCTCAGCCTCCTGAGTAGCCGGGAATACAGGTATACGCCACCATGCCCAGCTAATTTTTGTATTTTTAGTACAGATGGGATGGGGGTTTCTCCATGTTGGCCAGGCTGGTCTCGAACACCTGACCTCAGGTGATCCGCCCTCCTCGGCCTCCCAAAGTGCCGGGATTACAGGCGTGAGCCACCATACCCAGCCAATAAATTCTTTAAAAATAAATTTTCAGGTTGGGCGCCGTGGCTCACACCTGTAATCCCAGCACTTTGGGGAGGCTGAGGTGGGCAGATCACGAGGTCAAGAGATCGAGACCATCCTGGCCAACATGGTGAAACCCCGTCTCTACTAAAAATACAAAAATTAGATGGGCGTGGTGGCGCATGCCTGTAGTCCCAGCTACTCGGGAGGCTGAGGCAGGAGAATCTCTTGAACCCGGGAGGCAGAGGTTGCAGTGAGCTGAGATCAAGCCACTGCACTCCAGCCTGGTGACAGAGCAAGACTCCATCTTTAAAAAAAACAAAAACAAAAACAAAAACAAAACAGCAATGTGTGGAAAATATACATAAGATGTAAGAACAAAATGCTACTGTCTAAGAGGTGGGGTGAAAGAGAAAAAGATCTCATCTATTCTGACCTCATCTAAGTCACCACACGGATCAAGAGTTGAAGCACTGATATGCTGTTCAAGTGGCACTGTAAGTCAACAGACACATAAAACAAAGGGAATGGAGTTGGGGTGGGGTGGTCAGAAAAGTTAAGTTATTAAATATACATAAATTCTGATTATCTATAGTGTCAATGACAGATATGGTAAAACAAAATTAGTGACTAATAAATCACAGAAATGCATGTAATCTCTCATAGATCTAAATGAAATAAATGAAATACATAAAATGATAAGCTCTAAAGTCTTTTAAGTACAAGAGTTATATCCAAAGCTGGATAATGCTCAATTACTCATTGTATTATTCCGAAGACCCAATTTGGAGAATTCTACTCGCAGGGCTAACTTTTCACAGCAAGGAACTGTGTAGCAGGGCTGACCCTAAAGTTAAATTCATGTATTTAAAAGCTTCATTTATGAGAATGACTACAAAGATCACTATCTGTATTTTCCTCAATCTTATTTTTCCAACTCCACCTAAGTTTTTCCCAGCTTGTTTTTATCTTCATATAATTCTAGTGAAGACAAAATAATGCTGCTGAAGCAAAAGCCTGCTTTAATTGAGCAAGCTGGTATTTCAAACTTAAGACTTATGAAAATAGGAAATGCAAGAAAAAAATGAATGCCACACACTAAAAATTCTCTGATAGTAAAAAACTGAGCACAGTTGGCCCTCCTTATTCATGGTTTCCACGTCTGTGGATTCAACGAACTGTATATTGAAAATTCAAAAGAGAAAACTGTATCACAGTACTGAACACATACAGGCTTTTCCCTGTCATTATTATCTAAACAATACAGTATAACAACTGCTTACATAGCACTCACGGTGTATTAGCTATTGTAAATAATTTTTACATGTAAATACTATGGGTCATTTTATATTTCTGGAACTTGAGCATCTTCAAATTTTGGTATCCACAGGAGTGTGGGGTCCTGGAACCAACTCCCCAGACAGGGAGGAACAACTGTATTCTGGTTTACATTTGGTTTTAGTTTTCTACAATAAACATATAAAAACTGCATAAACTTTCTTTTTGTAAAGATAAGTTCTTGGCCAGGCATGGTGGCTCACACCTATAATCCCAGCACTTTGGGAGGCCGAGGCAGGTGGATCACCTGAGGTCAGGAGTGCAAGACAGCCTGGCCAACATGGTGAAACCCCGTCTCTACAAAAATTAGCTGGGCATGATGGCGGGTGCCTGTAATCCCAGCTACTTGGGAGGCTGAGGCAGGAGAATCGCTTGAACCCAGGAGGCAGAGGTTGCAGTGAGCCCAGATAGTGCCACTGCACTCCAGCCTGGGTGACTGAGCAAACCTCTGTCTCAAAAAAAACAAAAAAAAAAAGATAATGATAAGTTCTTGCTCTGTTGCCCAGGCTGGAGTGCAGTGGTGGGATTGTGGCTTACTGCAGCCTCAAACTCCTCCTGCCTCAGCCTCCCAAGTAGCTGGGACTACAGGTGTGTGCCACCATGCCCAGCTAATTTTTTGTCTTTTTGGAGAAACAAAGTCTTGCTATGTTCCCCAGGCTAATCTTGAACTGCTGGGTTCAACCGATCCTCCTACCTTGGCCTCCCAAAGTGCTGGGATTACTGGCATGAGCTAACACAATTGGCCCTTCTGATTATTTTGATAGCATTTTAAAAGTCTAGGGCCAGGTGTGGTGGCTCAAAGCTGTAGTCCCAGCACTTTGGGAGGCTGAGGCAGGAGGATCGTTTGAGCCCAGCTGTTTGAGACCAGCATGGGCACAAAGCAAGACCCTGTCTCTCCAAAGAGACAAAAAACTAGTGGGGTGTGGCGGCACATACGCCTGTAGGTCCACCTACTCAGGAGGCTGGGCCAGAGGATCATTTCAGCCCGGGAGGTAAAGGCTGCAGTGAGCCATGATTGTGCCACTGCACTCTCGCCTGGGTGACACAGTGAGACCCTGTCTCAAAAAAAAAAGTTCCTTCTTCCATAAGCACATACATTTCAAGGGAATGTATGTAGCCTACTGGCAATAAAACTATGTATTAATTTAACAAAGCAAATGTATACTGATTCTTCTGTTTTAATCTAGCATAGGCACATTGAAAGGACAAAAACATTTAACAATAAAAGACATTCAGTGTGAACTGGACAAGTAGAAGTAGTTCTGAGCTTCAGGTTTCCTGTCTAGCCAATAATGATAACACCTGTCCAACTGAATTCAAATGTCGTATCTGGGTTCAAAGCTCCTTGAAGTATTAAGTTTGCTGACCCAAGGCTACCTCTGAGTATAAAGGCAATCACCAAAGATAATAAAGGAAGGAAAATCTTTTCTTGAACCTGCTTTCATCCTTGATTATCCTTAATAATAATCCTCTTGTTAATCCTATCCCTGCAAACATATATGAATTCATGACTTTACAAATAGGAATACTCACTGCGCAAAAGATATTAAGATATAGCAAAACCAATAACTGTGCATAATACAACCTTAAATTTGGTAGGTTATGCTGCTTTTTCAACCTACAGCCAAGAGTTTTGTATAGAAAATTCCATACCAATGCTATACCACATATTTAGATACTACTACTGCCTTAAAAAATGTACCATAGGTGCCAAGTTAGCCAATAAAACTGAGACACACCTTACCAGTCCAGTAGCTGGTATTAAAAGATTAAGACTGCTTAATGCTACCCACTTAAATACTGAAAAATATAACAAGGAATTTTACCAGTCAGCAACCATCAATAAGCCAGGATTATTAAAATACCTAGCTGAGGTATTCTGAATCATTTAAGAAGCAAGCATATACAGGTATTGTATATTAAAAGTAAATGTGTACATGGAATGATTATGAAACCTCACTGATCCTAAAAGTGACCCACAGAAAAGTCATCTGGGACATGTAATAGAAAGCTGTTTAAAATAAATACAAAGTTACAGTTTTTAAAATGTACTCATAGGTTTCTCGTTCTTAAGACATGAGAACTCAATGTAATTTTTATAACTGATAATTTTTGAAAGGTGAACTAGATTATTCTTAAACACGATTTTAAGCACCAGACAGAACAAAGTAATGATAACAAGATGTTTTCATGATAAAAGAAGAAAAAAGAACTAAGCTAGATAAATTGGGTTACTATCTTACACAGAACAAAACTAGAGTTTGTTAAGGACATACAGCCCTCTCATTCCACTCCTCCAGAGCCAACAACTCACTGGCTCTACAGATATTTTTCTCTTACTTTTCTAATTCACAAGAGTTATCTTTAGGCAGTAGTGTCATATGTTTTTTGACATGGGACAGTAGCTTATTTTTCTTCATTAAATATAAGTATTTCTTGAATATCTATTGTACACTCATTACAAAACACAAAGGCCACTTCTGCACAATTTTAAATGGGGTACAAAAAAATGAACAACTGTAACTCTATAATAGCACATTGAGAGTCCGATATAAGACAAATGTTTATCAAATTTTATGTTGTATTATTTGAACTAAAAAAACCCCACAAAAACATATGCACATTTTATAGGCTGACTTCTCATTTGAATTCTATATACTGTGTTTTGCCAACTAATCTGCTAGAAAAATAAAAGTGAGTCACAACACAGAATTCTCTGACGCAATCTTTCAGATCCTAAGAATTGCCAGCACTTGCTTCTTAAAAGCTGATGCTTCAAATGTCGTAGGGTAACATTAACATTAACTCTTAATAAAGGTAAACTTTTCCCTAACCATTCAGAATTTACAAAAGCCTACCCCCTCCTCACACAGAATACACCATAAATTCACTAAATTACAGAACTCTAAATATTTTTAAAGCATTCTCAAGTTAACAATTTCAATACTTTAACTGAAAGTTAACAATTTCAATATTGGAAACTTTCTACCAATATCACCAAAAAGGCTACAATATAAACTGTTACATATACTGGAAATTCTTACCTACCTCATTTATACAATCCTTTTGAGGGCAGCAGCAGCAATGAGAATTTATGATGACAAATACTGAGCAAAAATCTTTCTTTTTAATATCCATCAGAAAAGGCAAAACAGATTTCTTATTGGAGGAAAATGAAGGAAAAAATGTCTCTGATGTACATCAGCCCACAGCATAAGGAAGGCAGACATCAAAGTCAGACTGAAACACAGTTTCTTGTTTAACACTAGCCATGCTTCCCCAACTCTCAGACAGGAATTTGCTCTACTCAGCCAACAACAGATTTATTCTAGATGGACAAAACTGCATGCCCAACAGCAGGAAAACTATTCTGTTAATATTCCTTCTGCTTCTCTGCCAACAGTAATAGATCCTAGACAAGCAAAATGGGATTTTTACTTGCTCAATGCTCCACCTACTTTGCGCACAGTTTCTATCTCCTGGACCTATCAAAACCTTTCTTGGATGCTTAACTCTATGTACACTAGAAACCCATTTACCAAAAACACTCCCTTCCTCCAATCATTTTGAAAGTGTACTTTAAAAGAAAAAAGGGATTGAGTTCAATGAACAAAGTGTAAACTCAGAATATGTAGCCAAACGAACACTGGACAGGGAATCACAATACTGGGGCTGGGTTCTCAGTTCAATCCATCACATACTATGTTTGCATGACCTGGACCATATCCCTTAAATTCGTTTTTAAAGTGGAGATAATAGTTCCTCTGTTCACCTAATTTAAAAGGCAGTGATATTAAGGTAGACTACTTTACTACTCTTTCACAGAACATTTTTTAAAAATCAACAGTATTACTACAAGGCTAGTAACCAAAACAGCATGGTACTGGTACCAAAACAGAGATATAGACCAATGGAACAGAACAGAGCCCTCAGAAGTAACACCACATATCTACAACCATCTGATCTTTGACAAACCTGACAAAAACAAGAAATAGGGAAAGGATTCCCTATCTAATAAATGGTGCTGGGAAAACTGGCTAGCCATATGTAGAAAGCTGAAACTGGATCCCTTCCTTACACCTCATACAAAAATTAATTCAAGATGGATTAAAGACTTAAATGTTAGACCTAAAACCATAAAAACCCTAGAAGAAAACCTAGGCAGTACCATTCAGGACATAGGCATGGGTAAGGACTTCATGTCTAAAACACCAAAAGCAATGGCAAAAAAAGCCAAAATTGACAAATGGGATCTAATTAAACTAAAGAGCTTCTGCACAGCAAAAGAAACTACCATCAGAGTGAACAGGCAACCTACAGAATGGGAGAAAATTTTTGCAATCTACTCATCTGACAAAGGGCTAATATCCAGAATCTACAATGAACTCAAACAAATTTACAAGAAAAAAATCAAACAACCCCATCAAAAAGTGGGCAAAGGTTATGAACAGACACTTCTCAAAAGAAGACATTTATGCAGCCAAAAGACACATGAAAAAATGCTCATCATCACTGGCCATCAGAGAAATGCAAATCAAAACCACAATGAGATACCATCTCACACCAGTTAGAATGGCGATCATTAAAAAGTCAGGAAACAACAGGTGCTGGACAGGATGTGGAGAAATAGGAACACTTTTACACTGTTGGAGGGACTGTAAACTAGTTCAACCATTGTGGAAGTCAGTGTGGCGATTCCTCAGGGATCTAGAACTAGAAATACCATTTGACCCAGCCATCCCATTACTGGGTATATACCCAAAGGATTATAAATCATGCTGCTATAAAGACACATGCACATGTATGTTTATTGTGGCAGTATTCACAATAGCAAAGACTTGGAACTAATCCAAATGTCCAACAATGATAGACTGGATTAAGAAAATGTGGCACATATACACCATGGAATACTATGCAGCCATAAAAAAGGATGAGTTCATGTCCTTTGTAGGGACATGGATGAAGCTGGAAACCATCATTCTCAGCAAACTATCGCAAGGACAAAAAACCAAACACCACATGTTCTCACTCATAGGTGGGAATTGAACAATGAGAACACATGGACACAGGAAGAGGAACATCACACACCGGGGCCTGTTGTGGGGTGGGGGTAGGGGGGAGGGATAGCATTAGGAGATATACCTAATGTTAAATGATGAGTTAATGGGTGCAGCACACCAACATGGCACATGTATACATATGTAACTAACCTGCATGTTGTGCACATGTACCCTAAAACTTAAGGTATAATAAAAAAAAATCAACAGTATTTATGTACACAAGTGGTACAAATTTTTTGCCTCTTCTTCTCCCTCCTATAAAAGTCTCAAAATTAAGACATTCCATTTGCCAGGAAGATCTCATAGACCCAAATAAAAACTACTTTAATTTTAGTGATTAAGGGAAAGTTTTTCTTCAGGGCATTAACAAAGATTGTAGAAACAGCATTGCTCATTGCTTTGTTGTAATGGGTAACAGATTAAAGTCCTCTCTCCCTTGTAATTTTGTAAGCTTGAATCCTGATCAAGACAGTGAATGCTAAGGCTTCAATTACCAACAGTACATAAGATAATGGCTTGGAAGCTGTTTGGAAGTAATACATCTAAAGGTTAGAAATGCTACTAATTCTAACAAGCTATCTCAAAGCAACTACCACTAATCTCTGGCTCAACACAATTTGTTACTACTAAGTAGTCTAGGATGTCAGGTATTGCTCAGAAATGCAGCAATGTGTGCTGCAAAAGTGCAGCCTACCTCTAACTTAACTGTATGAGCAAGCCTGTGTAGGACCATGCTTGGCTAAATGAAAGAGCTAGAAAACAAGTGCCACGTGTCCTGCCTCAAAGGTCCATCAGATATAAAGATGTGGGTAGTTTTAAAACTCTATTAGGCAACAAATAAACCAAACTGAGGGGGCTTTGGGGGGCTTGAGGAGACAAAGGTACGATGTAGGCACAAATATCTAGATTCTATAAAGAGCAACCTTTTCTATAAATCAAAATAAGAGTTTTCAATATATTACAACAAAAGTACCATTCACAGATAACAGTTTACATATCTAAACTTATTCCTCTTTCTCTCAAAGTCAGTGCCTTTCTCTGGATTTCCCCTATTTCTTTCAATCGTGTCATTATTTCCATAGTCCAGAGAAGAAACCTTAGTCATCATTGGATGCTTCTTCCCCCACAATATTTAAGTACTACTATTATTCTCTATGGGCTCTTAACACAAAGATAAAGTTAAAAACAACTGGGAAATGGTTTTGTGACTAGTATTCTTACTCTTCTCCAACAGCCAAAGATCTCTGACCAAGCAAAAAAAAAAAAAAAAAAAAGTTTTTACTGGCTTCTTTGCTGCCTCACAAGTCATTGTTTTTGTATTACAAAAGTAACCATCAAAGTTCTGATTTCTAATACCTCATCTCTTTAAGCCTAGACCAGTTTAAGATGGGCCTCATATTTCCATTCTCTTCATCTCCAATTTGTGTTTTACATTGTGGCTAGCTCCTACCATCTGACTCCATTTAAGCATCTGACATTTAACCATTTCCAATCATCTGGTATCATTTAACTCATAATCACACTGCTCAAAAACGGTTAATAGTTCTCCACACCTACTAAATGACCACAGGATCACAGATCTAGAATAAACCAGATTAAGAGTCCTTCCTTGTTCAAATAACAGAAATGTTAATTCTATGTCAAAGTTAGAATTAATCCATTAGCCAGCCAGGCGCGGTGGCTCACGCCTGTAATCCCAACACTTTGGAGGGCCGAAGCGGGCAGATCACGAGGAGGTCAAGAAAGACCATCCTAGCCAACATGGTGAAACCCCGTCTCTACTAAAAACACAAACATTAGCTGGGCATGTTGGCACATGCCTGTAGTCCCAGCTACTCGGGAGGCTGAGTCAGGAGTTATCACTTAAACCTGGGAGGCGGAGGTTGCAGTGAGCCAAGATCATGCCACTGCACTCCAGCCTAACGACAGAGTGAGACTATATCTCAAAAAAAAAAAAAAAAAAAAAAAAGAGAATTAATCCATTAATTCAACTAGTTGACTATGGAGTGTCTCATCTAGTCTAACAGCTATCAGGCAATCTGCTAGATACACTGCACCACCTTCACCACCTAGAAGATAAATATAATTTATACTCCAGTTAAGTACGGGCCGAATCAATGGTAAAACAAAAACTAGAATCCAGATTTTCCAGCATCTAGTTTAATGTTATTTCTGGTCCATGTTATTGTGCTTTTAAAAGTGGTGTGAAAATCATAATTTAACTTCCACCCACATCTTTACCCAATCTCCCCAAAGTAAGTTCAGTCAAACTGGTTACTTGTTCACTGAATACTTTAGTGAACACTTCTACCAACAAGAATACTTTTCCTATTCTGCCCCCTTTTTTCAGTCAACTGAGTCTTATGCTTCTTTCAGGGTATACCTCAAATCATATATACATACAATCCATTAGAGAAAGTAGCAATTACAAAGTATCTATATGAATCCTTTAGCATTTAGGTTATTTACAGTATATCAGAAAACTCAGTACTGCTGTATTTAAATATGGAAAACAATCTTTCTATATCCTTTGTTTTTATTCTGTAGTCTACCGCCTTGTGAATTACAGATCAATATTCAGGGTAGGTAAGTAAGGTCAGCTTTTTTGAGGAATTCTGAAATAATGATTTAATAATTATTATTTAGTACCTAAAACACTGGGAATGCTACCACCTTTAATCTTAATTAAATCACAGCAGAATAATGAAATGCTTCTGAAAATCATGCAAAATGTTCCTAAGATATAGCCCCCTAGTACTGGAACTTTTCTTTTACAATTATAACCTAAATTTGCTGGATAGACATAGAAACAAAATTTATTAAGGAACCAGTTCAGCTAATTCCAATAGATTTTCACTGATAGCACAACAAATTCTAGCTGCTAAAGAAATAAATACAAAGTTTCCTTCAACTTTTTAAACACCATCTAATCAGGAATCAGTCTCACTTGTTTCAGTAAAAAGGTAGGGTGAATTGCAATCTGTTATATAAAAACTAAAAGGAATTTTACCCTAATGGCTTTAGTTCTGTTTTTTCCCAGACAAAATGTTCAAACCTTGCAATCCAAAAGCTAATGGAATCAGTGACAAAGTCAAATTACACAAACAAAGTAATTAAAAATCCCCATTATTTCTAACTTGGTTGTTATAGGGCTGGATTCAGCCAGATTCTTACAGTTATGAACCATTAGTTTACAGGAATTTGAACATACCCTATGATCCCATTGGAAAACAAGCCTCTTTGAACTCCCTACCAAATCAAGCTAGCTCTATCAAAGAAATTAACTTACTCACGATTCCCCAAGGCTCGTTACTCTCTGAATACATGAAAGCTTGTGTACTGCTCCAGTTCAAACGCACTATCCTTCATATAAAAAGTTGATATCATTGCCTGCTACGGTTTTTATTATTTTAAAAGCACACCAAAGTGGTGCTAAATATATTCCTACTTTTACTTGGATCTTCTCATTATCAGTGGCATAGACTTTCATGACAACTGGGTCAAGACTACAAGTATAGCATACAATTAATAAGTTTTTCTCTGTTAAATAGGGGGAATGAACCTTTACTCAGAGCTCAAAACTGCAGTACCAGACTTTTGTTACTCACATCTCCTAAACTTTTTACCCTCAGTTTTCCTTGCGGTCTAGAAAACAGGTTAAAAACAAAACAAAAAAGAGGTAAAGGAAAATAATGTTAATGTTTGTATTAGTATCATGTTAACAGAACCTTGGTTTCTGACTACTATTATTTCTCCTGCATGTCCTTAGGCAAAATGCTTAAACTCTGAGTCTATTTTCTTACCTGTGAAATGAAGACATTATCTACTTATCATGATATAAAAGATTAAAACAGTATATGTAAAGCACTTTGCAAGGTGATCGACAAGATTACAAATAAATGTTAGCTTGTTCTCCCATTTAAAGCTTGATTTTATGTGACACTTAGGAAGCACATTTAAATTAATGCAATTTGCTGAATGTCACTGGTTAACATAAAAAGAGACACCTTATTTCACTACTAAATATGTATTAATAATAATGATGTTGATGATAATGGTGATACCTATTAGGTACTGATTGATAACTGTATGCCAGGCACTTTGCCTTTCTCATTTAATCTTCACAAATACTTTAGGCTCAGAGAAGTAAATAATTTGCTCAAGGTCTCACAGCTAGGCAATGACATTGCCGGAATTTGAAAGGAAGCAGATCCAACTCCAGAGCCTATTTCTTCCACCTGAAAAGGCAATCCTGAGCTGTTAAATACAAACTCTTCTTTGTATCCTTTTTCTAAGTTAGTACTAAATCTACAGAAGGGGGAGAGTGGTTTACTGGTTACTAATAGCCAGGGTATACACAATAGACCTGGGATGAAAACCAGAAATCTAGAGTGGCTGGGGTCTGTGGGTGTGTTTGTATCAGGAAGCCCTAGGATCGATCTCTTCCAATGGATAACCACGCATGTTTCTTTAATAAGTATGCAATAGTTAAGCAGACAGACACTAACATATTTTAAAATTAGTTAAATTTACTAACTAAAAATTTAAATTGCAAGCTGACTTAAGAGAAGGTACAGGCCGGGCGCGGTGGCTCACGCCTGTAATCCCAGCACTTTGGGAGGCTGAGGCGGGCGGATCACGAGGTCAGGAGATCGAGACCATCCCGGCTAAAACGGTGAAACCCCGTCTCTACTAAAAATACAAAAAATTAGCCGGGCGTAGTGGCGGGCGCCTGTAGTCCCAGCTACTTGGGAGGCTGAGGCAGGAGAATGGCGTGAACCCGGGAGGCGGAGCTTGCAGTGAGCCGAGATCCCGCCACTGCACTCCAGCCTGGGTGACAGAGCGAGACTCCGTCTCAAAAAAAAAAAAAAAAAAAAAAAGAGAAGGTACAATATTTCAAGGCCTATTTCAACACAGAATCATCATGATTGCTTATATAATTATATAAATTATATTATCTAAGAACTTATTTAAACCCTCCACATTTATCTCAGCACCCAAAACATAAGAAAACTTTTAGGAAAGTAACAAAGACCACAGCCCTTTTTATTCTTTACTAGAAGCCAGAAGATGGGAATGGAGATTGGTAAAATCTAGACAGTATTTCCTAGGCAAGAAGTATGGTAATGGACAGTGCAGAATTAAGGACTGTAGAGCATACACAACTAAATTTTCATAGCTTAGAGGAAAAATAAAGCACAAATGCATGCCACCTGCGGCATCCTTAGAAACTAAGGATTCTAGCACAGTTCCAATGGACTTACTCTTCAAGTTTTTTATTCCACATTTTCTACAGCTTGATTTACCGGTTTTCCTTTTTAAAAAGCAACAACCAGGCCTGGCGTGGTCGTTCACGCCTGTAATCCCAGAACTTTGGGAGGCCGGGGCTGGTGGATTGCTAGAGGTCAGGAGTTTGAGACCAGCCTGGCCAACATGGTGAAACCCCCATCTCTACCAGAAAATACATGTTAGCCGGCTGTGGTGGCCCATGCCTATTGTCCCTCCCAGTTACTTGGGAGGTTGAAGCGGGAGAATCACTTGAACCCAGGAGGCGTAGGTTGCAGGGAGCCAAGATCGCACCACTGCACTCCAGCCTGGGCGACAGAGCAAGACCCCGTCTCAAAAAAAAATAAAATAAAATAAAGAAAATTTTTAAAAAGCAACAACCAAAAAGGCAGAAAAAATGCAAAATTGCATATAAATGCTATAATAATATAATTTTTAAGTCAAATTGGTTACTTATAATGCTACTTAAAAGTTTACATGAATGACTGAACAATAGTTTATTTAAATAACATTTTGGTATTATACTATATAGCCTACTTTTTATTTAATTAACCAAATAAAGGTACATGGAACTGAAAAAGACCTTAAGGGATTACTGACCCAGCTCATACTTCTCAAACTTTAATGTACATATGAATCACCCTTGGACTATGTAAAATGCAGATTTTAACAGGCCTGGAATGGGGCCAAAATTTTACACTAAATACAAGCACCCTGAGATGCTGATTCTGTTGGTCTGAGGACTGCACTTTGCATGGTTGGTTTGCTAAAACTGTGGTTCTCAAAGGTGTGGTATAAAGACCCTTCAGGGTCCTCAATATCCTTTCTTGTGGTCTATAAAGTATTTCCTTTTGCAACTACATATCTGCATGAGGCCAGATTTTCTTCATATACTTCAACCCAAACAGCATATTGTAACAGACTGAACAGAAAAGCAGATATGAGAATTTAGCAATCTTCTTTTAGACTAGACATTAGATTTGCAAAAATGTGGAAATGCCCCTCTTCTCAGTAAGTTTTTAAATTTTGTTTTGGAAAATAGTTATTTGTCATAAAAATGTTATTGATACCAACATATACAGGGCTTATGTTATTTATCATTTTTAAATGCTTTTGCAAATTCTATTTTAATTTATAATACGGTAAAGTAGATAGAACACAAGTAAATAAAAGCTCTTTGGGGTCCTCAATAACTTTAAAGAGTGTAAAGGATTACTGATACCATGCTGAACTAATCACTCAAGCCTGGGCCAGGCGTGGTCGCTCACACCTGTAATCCCAGCACTTTGGGAGGCCAAGGTGGGTGGATCACTTGACCTCAGGAGTTCCAGAACAGCCTGACTAACACGGTAAAACCCCCGTTTTAACTAAAAATACAAAAATTAGTTGGGCATGGTGGCGGGTGCCTGTAATCCCAGCTACCTGGGAGGCTGAGGCAGGAGAATTGCTTGAATCCAGGAGGCAGAGGTTGCAGTGAGCTGGGATCATGCCACTACATTCCAACCTGGGCGACAGCGAGAGACTCCGTCTCCAAAAATAAATAAATAAATAAATAAATAAAATCACTTGAGTCTGTTAGCTGTCTTGGTCCCTTCTCAAAAATTCTCAGATGACAGAATCTCAAACCTTTACCACCAAGGCCTCTGCAATATTATACAATGTTGCCAAGTTCTTATGTTCAATTACAGTTTCTCTTCCTTCTTATGTAACCTCCTGAAGATCAAGAAAACAGTTGCTGAGCATCTCCCTCTTCCAATAATGCATATAAGCCCCTTCCCTCAAGAAATTCAAAGGAACAAGTTTTACAAATTGACAATGATGGGTCTTGACAAAAAAGGACTCCTAACATTAGAAAAACTGTCTTGAAACATTTTACGGACTACACCAAGGGAAATTACAATTTGGTCTGCCCTATGAAGTCTCAGGGAAGAAAGAACAAAGTGAGAGTAGTAATTATAGGGTAAAAATTAAGGGGAAATACCTAAAAAAATAAAATAAAATAAAATACAGACCTAGCCCCATAATGGAAAGAGTTAAACTAGTTGTTCAGAAATTACAACTGAGATTTGAGAACCTACAGAAGAGCCTTTCTAGTCCTGGGATAGCCTTTCTACCTATTATTGTTTTCTGCTTTATTTGCACCAAATAGTTTTTCCTATTCTATTAGGTTCATGCAAAAGTAATTGTGTTTTTTGCCATTAATATAAAATATATTGCTTTTATAGGTACATCAGTTTCTACTTGCTGCTATTCAACTTCATTTTAGTAGGATAATTCTGAAGGTCACCTCAAATTTCACTTCTCTTTCACAGAGTAAATACAACTCTCCCAAATATACATAATGTCTGATTTTGACTATATTTGACATTACTTTGAATCATTTATTCTTCAAAATATTAATGAGTGCCTACGGTGTGCTGTGCACAATGAATACAAACAACGATATAATAAACCTAGCTCTAGGACAATACCTTTTAAGACACTCTATATTTCCTCCTTCATGTATGCTATAGTCTGAATGTTTGTGTCCCCCTAAAATTTTTATGTTGAAATCTAACGTCCAATGAGACAGTATTAAGAGGTGAAGGTCTTTGGGAGGTGATCAGGTCATGAGAGCAGATCAGGTCATGAGGGCAGAACCGTGAAATGGATTACTGCCCTTATAATATGAGTCCGGAGGGAGCTTTTTGACTCTTTCACCATGTGAAAATGACACGAGAAAGTCCGGTCTATGAGGAACAGAACCTCACTAGATACCAAATCTGATGGCACCTGATCTTGGGCTTTCCAGCCTTCAGAACTGTGAGAAATAAATGGTTGTTGTTTATATGCCACCTAGTTTATGGCATTTTTGATATAGCAGCCCAAATGGACTAAAACATTGTTCTCAATCTCTCTCCAGATTAAGAGGCAGCTATAGAGTCAAGCAGTTTAACATTGAGAAAAAGAGGAAGAAACTAAAGAACTAAAGGGAAATAAAACCTGCTGAATAGAACAAAATGTAGTATATATATGCAATAGAATATTATTTAACTATTAAAAAGTACTGATACATGCTACCACATGGATGTACCTTGCAAACATTTTGCTAAGTGAAAGAAGCCAGACACAAAATGCCACTTATTGTATAATTCCATTTACATGAAATACCTAGAATAGGAAAATCAAATCCAGAGACAGAAAGCAGATTAGTGGTCGCTAGGGGATGGGTTGGAGAGGAGAATGGGAAATGACTGCTAACTGGTATGGGGCTTCATTTTGGGGATGATGGGAAGGTTCTGGAATTAGTAGTGATAACTGCATTAACATTGTGGATATACTAAAAACCAGTGAACAGTATACTTAAAAATGGTTAAAATGGTTAATTTTATGATATATGATTTTTGTCTCAGTTTAATAAAAAACAAAAGCTGCTGAACAACTGAAAACAGGTTAAACACTATACTGAGAATACAGAAACAGTGACACCAGTCTTTCCAGGTTCTGTTAAACTTACTATCAAAGACATCTTTCATTTAAGAAGATTTTCTTCTCAACTGAGCTTTTGAGTTTGCATTTGGCAAATAAAAATGTTAAAGTTTTAGTTCTACTCTTAACAGAGAGAAAAGACTGCCTACACATTTTCTGACCTGTTAAGTAGCTACTTGTTTGCACCAAGATTCTCATGTCTTTACAAATACAGAGGCTAACGCATTCTTATAGAAGAACATCACCACTACTTTCGTAGATCAGTAATTTCTTACAGGACTCTACAGGGGAACATGTTTTACAAAGTTCTGGTGACATATGTTTAACACAGGAGTAAGTAAATTTTCCTGTTAAGGGCCTAATAGTAAATATTGTAGGCTGTATGTATCATACAGTCTGTTGCAATTATTCAACTCTGCCATTATAGTGTGAAAACAGCCATAAATAATATGGAAGCAAGTGAGTGTGGCTGTATGCCAGAAAAACTTATTTATGGACACTGAAATTTGAATTTCATGTAGTTTTCGTATCATACAAAATACTCTTCTTTTGACATTTTCCCCAAACATTAAAAAATATAAAAACCAGCCAGTCATGGTACTCGTAAATGTAATCCCAGCATTTTGGGAGGCTAAAGTAGGAGGATCACTTGAGGCCAGGAGTTTGAGACCAGCATGGGCAACATAGTGAGACCCCACCTCTACAAAAAAAAAAAAAAAAAAAAAGCTGGACATGGTGGCACATGTCTGTAGTCCTAGCGATTCAGAAGGCTGAGGCAAGAGGATCACTTGAGCCCAGAAGTTCAAGGCTACAGAGAGCTATGATTGTACCACTGCACTCAAGCCTCGGTGACAGAGTGAGACTTTCTCTCAAAAAATTAAAAACAAAACCAAAAACCATACTTATGTCATGGGCTGTACAAAAATGGGCACCAGGCTGAATTTGGCCAAGAAGCATAGTTTGCTACTCCATTTAGAATACGACAGAATGGGCCAGGTGTGGTGGCTCACACCTGTAATCCCAGCACTTTGGGGGCCGAGGTGGGCGGATCACTTGAGGTCAGGAGTTCGAGAGCAGCATGGCCAACATGGTGAAACTCCATCTCTACTTAAAAAAAAAAAAAAAAAAAAAATTAGCCAGGCATGGTGGTGGGAGCCTGCAATCCCAGCTACTCAGGAAGCTTGAGGCAGGAAAATCACTTGAACCTGGGAGGCGGAGGTTGCAGTGAGACAAGACTGAACCATGCACTCCTGCCTGAAAGACAGAGTAAGACTCTGTCTCAAAAAAAGTAATGATTGGTAAGTTAGTAAATAAAATATATAAAACATTTCATATACAAATTATAAATTTTATAGTCCCCAAATCTAAAGTTATATATTTAACCTCACAATCAGGTTTGATATTGTTTGATCTTAAGTATATATATGTACATGAGCATTTATTTTCATAAATGTTAAGTGGAAAAAAACAAATGAGGTTAGCTCAAATCTAATTCACAAACAAAATCTCTCTAATCCATCCACTTTGGCCTTCTCTCTTACAACTCCTTATTTCAGACTATTAGTCATTTCCCTTAGATTACTTCAATACCTTTTTAACTGAGTTTTCAACATTTAGTCTTTCCTCAGAAATCCATTCTCCACTCTGCAGTCAGAAATAATCTTTCTAAAATTTAAGTCTGTAGGTGTTGACATACATGATAGCTACCCACTTTTAAAACAGTCCCCTCAGTGCTCTACATTAAAGTCTAAGCTTTCCTTTTGTCCCTTATCCCTTGCCTTGTCCTTTTCCTACTTCCAAACTTGACAAGATACTCAAAATCATGCATCTTCATATATAACACTATCTTAGTCTTTCCCTAATTCTTTAACACCATATCCCTAACCTGTCCAAACTTGATTAGGTACCACTCTTACATGCTTTCATTAAGTACCTATCCCTAAAATAAGTGTTTTCTATTGTATTGTAACTGTTTGCTTTATTTGTTTGTTCCCCTTCCCTTGGTAAGTTCTTTAGAGACAGGGACTGTGTTTGACATAACAATAATATTCAATATCTAGGATCTAGAAAACAGTCTGGAACATAGAAGAGACTTGAATATTTGCTGAATGAACCCATGAATTGTTATGGGGTTGAACTGTGTCCCTCAAAAAGATATGTTGTGGTTCCAATCTCTAGTACCTTACAATATGAATTTTTTTGGAAAAAAAATTAGTTAAGTAATTAGTTAAGATGAAGTCATCCAGGAGCAGTGTGGGTCCTTAACCCAATGACTGCTGTCCTTTTAAGAACAGAAGACACAGGCTGGCACAGTGGCTCACACCTGTAATCCCAGCACTTTGGAAGGCCAAAGCAGGCAGACCGCTTGATCTGAGGAGTTCTAGACCAGCCTGGGCAACATGACAAAACCTCGTCTCTACAAAAAATACAAAAAAATTAGCCAGCATGGTGGTGTGTGTCCATGGTCCCAGATACTCAGGAGGCTGAGGCGGGAGAATCACTTGAGCCCAGGAGATGGAAACTGCAGTGAGCCGAGATTGTGCCACTGCACTCCAGTCTGGGTGACAGAGTGAGATTCTGTCTCAAAATAATAATAATAATAATAACAACAAGGATTGGCAAGAATATGAAGAGATCACAATTCTCTTACACTGATGGTGGGAATGTAATATGGTACAGCTATTGGAAAATAGGCTGGCAGTTCTTCAAATGGTTAAACATAGGATTAGCATATACACATGGTAATTTCACTTCTAGGTATATATCTAAAGGAAGTAAAAACAGATATTCAAACAAAAACTTGTACATGAATATTCTTCGTAGCAGCTCTATTCACAACAGCCAATGGTAGGAACAGTCCAAATGTCTACCAATCGATAAATGGCTAAACAATTGTGTTTATACATACACACACACACACACACACACACACACACACTGGAATATTACTCAGACTTAAAGAGGAATGAAGCATGAACATTTGCTACAACATGGACGAACCTTGAGAACACTATACAAAGTGAAAGAAGCTAGTAATAAAAGACCACATATTAAATGACTCTATTTAGATGAAATGTCCAGAATAGAAAAACCTATAGTGACATAAACAGATTAGGGGTTGCACAGGAGTGGGGGGAATGTTTGTATAGAAAAGTGATTGCTACAGGGTGCAGAATATCTTTATCATGTGATAAAATTATTCTAAAGTTGACTGTGGTGATGGCTGCACATACCTGTTGTTAAAGCAAACTAAATATGGCCCGAGAAGGACTTTGTACTTCTAATTTGAGTCTGTGTGGACTAATTGCAACCTAACTTAACAGGTAGACAAGACTGAAAACCTAACTTAGGAGTATGCCCGTAACAACTGCTGAGTCTTGGCCAATCCCAACAGCCAAATTTCTATCTTTTTTCTTTTCTTTTCTTTTTTTTTTTTTTTTTTTTAGACAGGGTCTCACTCTGTCACCCAGGCAGGAGTGCAATGGCGTGATCTCGGCTCACTGCAACCTCTGCCTCCCGGGTTCAAGTGACTCTCCTGCCTCAGCCTCCCTAGTAGCTGGGATTACAGGCGCCCGCCACCGCGCATGGCTAATTTTTGTATTTTTAGTAGAGACGGGGTTTCACCATGTCGGCCAGGCTGGTCTCAAACTCCTGGCCTCAGGTAATCTGCCTGCCTCAGCCTCCCAAAGTGCTGGAATTACAGGCGTGAGCCACTGCGCCCAGCCCTCACGGCTGTATTTCAACCACTCATACATTGCTGAGTGTTCAAATAAGGCAAACAGCAAGCTGTAACCAATCCAGTTGTTTCTGTACCTCACATCTGGTTTCTGTATGTCACATCCCTTTTTCTTATCTATAAATCTGTTCTGACCATGAGGCATCCCTGGAGTCTCTCTGAATCTGCTGTGATTCTGGGGACTGCTCAATTCACGAATCGTTCATTGCTCAATTAAACGCCTTTAAATTTAATTTGGCTGAAGTTTTTCTTTTAACACTGTGAAGATGCTAAAACCAGTGAATTATACACTTTAGATGGGTAGGTATATAATATATTCAGTAACACTGATAGAAAAAAACCTAAATGTACATTTTTAGTATGCACATACAAAAAAAAAATATTTCTGATTAATACTCTGACTTGGCACGTTATGCCATGCAGAGAATCAATCAAGTCCCCAAAGGTCTTCTAATATTTAATATGATAAGCACAAAATATTCTATAAACAAACTTCAAAAATTCACTGAAGGATAGAAAGCAGACTTTAAGGACTACTGAAAGCCTATGACTTGATTATGTAATCAGAATCATACTTTTAAGTTTTAATATCTAGATATTCATCTCTACACAGAATAATTTGCCATCTATTTACTTTTTTATTGAAAAGTTGGAGGCATTTTTAAAAATAAAATTCCTTGAATATATCACAATCACAGATTTTGTAACTTCTGTGCAAATATGAGCCTCATTACACTTAAGAAAGCCAGTTAGTGCTACTATCCTCCCAATCTTTTGTAGCAGAAAGCCTAAGTCAAACCCTTCTGAAACATCAAGAATCTATTGAGATAGAAGACATTTCAGAGTCAATCTAGTTATATGTCAAATACAACAAATATATTTCTCAACTTTTTCAAATGTACTTTCTTATATAATTTCAACAGATTTGTTTTTCGCAACCTTAGTAGGCCTGGCAGTTATGACTACCATAATCATATGAGGAAATTAAGGCTCAGGAGTCACATAACAGAAACACCTGTTACTGTTTAGCAGTATCACTCATATAGCATGTTGATCTACAAATCTACTTTGATCCACTACAACTTTTGTTATTTTTCCCCTCAGTTTTGAATCTACTGGCTTATATTTCCTCCCTAATTACTTCATTACATGTTTTAATAAAAAAGTCAGATTGTATTAGTACCTAGTCATACATTTCGGGCAAAAAGAAATGATTGAATTTGCTGTGCTGTAACAATAAACCTAGTTCAGCTTCTCACCCTTTATCTCCCATCTATTCTAGACACAAACCTTATCACTCTAATAGAGTTATCAATTTTTTTTTTTTTTTAGACCAAGTCTTGCTGTCACCCAGGCTGGAGTGCAATGGCGCTATCTCAGCTCACTGCAATTTCTGTCTCCTGGGTTCAAGTGATTCTCCTACCTCAGCCTCCCAAGTAGCTGCAACTACAGGCACATGCCATCATGCCCAGCTAATTTTTGTATTTTTAGTAGAGACTGGGGTTTCACCATGTTGGCCAGGCTGGTCTCAAACTCCTGACCTCAAGTGATCCCCCAGTCTTGGCCTCCCAAAGTTCTGGGATTACAGGCGTGAGCTATCACGCCCAGCCAACTTACTGACTTCTATCAACATTTTTTTTTTTTTAACAAAACTGAATGTAAACTCCAGGTGAGGCACAACTTTTTGACTTGGTATATCCCCAATACCTAGTATAGTGCTTGGTCACAGTTTATAATTAATAAATATTCACAAATACACAGATGAAACTTATTCAGTAGAAAATACACCAAGTAAAATTAACTTTTCTCCTATGAAACCTAACTCATTTATGTCAATAACTTCTATTCTATTCTTCAAACCCTGATACACAGAATTCAGAATATAGAAAACTGAGGACTACTTTAGCAATCTAAGCTATTGTGGGTTTTTTTGTTGTTTTTTTAAGACAGGCTTTCACTCTATTGTCCAGGCTCGAGTGCAATGGCACAATCTAGGCTCACTGCAACCTCCACCTCCCCGGCTCAGGCGATCCTTCTACCTCAGCCTCCCAGTGGCTGGGACTACAGGCATGCATCACCACAGCCAACTATGCACCACCACGGCCAACTAATTTTTGTATTTTTTGTAGAGATAATGTTTCATCATGTTGCCCAGGCTAGTCTTGAACTCCTGAGCTCAAGCAATCTGCCTACCTCGGCTTCCCAAAGTGCTGGGATTACAGGCGTGAGCCTACAGGCCCAGCCTATTATTGGTTATTCACAAGAAAGAAGTATGTAATAGGTAAAAATTTGCCCTTTTCCACTTGCATACACATAGACACGCGTACAAACAATATATTCATTGTTTACATAATAGTGTTTATCAATACTAAAAAGGAAGATTCTGGATGCCTGGTGCTGCTTCACAATTATTATTTCCTAATCAGTTCAAAGTTTCATAGATGTTATTTTAAGCCTTTATCATCCTTAAAGGCCATCTTTCATTCTACACACCCCCCCAAGAAGATGACAACTCATATTTCATAGACAATAACCACAGCCTACTATCAGTACCAGTACTATCTACTGTGCTAAGCAATCTGTAAGAGGGTAATAGTATCTCTTTTACAGAGAACAAAATAATTGAAGTACAGAGAAATTAAGTGAATTGCTCAAGATCGTATGGCAATAACTAGGGCAAGGATGTGAACCCAAGACTTTGCTTCCAAAACCCATCTTGCTTCCCTTACCTCAGGAGAAAACCTTCCCTATCAAGACTTACCATTATACCATGTCACAAGCCCATTGAATCCTGGATATTACTCTACCCTATCCACCACCACCCACCATGATTTCTACTTCTCTCTCTCTTCCTCTTGCTCCTTCCAAAAGCCTATAAACAGATAAAGTCTCTTTCACCATTAAAATACAACAATATAATAGCAGTAAAAACACATATCAGCAGTCAGAAGTTTGCCTCTTAATTACCAACCGGAAACTCTCTGCTCTGAGATGAGACAGGATTTGGGAGCAGGAGAAACTAAGTAGCAATTGATTTGTCCTTGGATCAAAAATTGATTTGTCCAAGACAACAGCTTCACTCTATTTGATCAATTTGCCTTTCCTTCCATTGTACTACGGTGTTTGGCATCTCAGCATTCATGTAAATCCTATTCCTGCTTCTTAGAATGGCCTCTCACCATTCTTCTACCTTCTCTTTTTGACAGTTCATACAACAGCTCTTTTTGTGAAATCTTCCCTAATCCATAGCAGGGTTATCCATTGTTCCTCCACTCTCCTTAGTGCTTGTCTCCATTACAATACTCACCATAATGTAATTATAATTCTTTGTTTACATATTAATCTTCTATATTAGAGGTAGTTTTCTGAAGACAGGGAATATGATTATTCACCTTTACTTAGTATCAAGCTCTGGGCATGGGACATAGCAGGGATTCAGAAAATGTTGCATTTACTGGCACTGAGATTTATTTTGTATTTAGGATAGTGCTACAGATAAGGATGAAATTATACAGATGTACTAGATTAAAATATTTTAAGGAATATAAAGCAATAAAAATAATAAGCAAGTACATTAATTGAATTTATGAATTTATAAGTAGAATAACCACTAATAAACAAAATTTTATCATTCATATCAATTGAGAAGAATCAGCTCAGAAAAGGCAAAGATCATTATACAGTGAAACCAATCAGATAAAATGTCATGGAGGAAGACCGTTAAGTATATGGATTGACTGGATAGCAGAAAAGCTTATAGTGGAGGTACAGTATTATATAACATTTACAAATGGATAGGAATACAGGAAAGGATGTGGCATATGTGCGAGATAATGAAGAGAACTGATTTAACTAAAATAGAGTGCTTGGATGAAGATGAAGAATAGCAAAGATTAAGAATTTGTACTTGCTCTGATATCAGCAAACTGGTATCTTAAGTTCCTTATACCAAGAAAGGATAGCAAGAAAGCTCAACAAGTTTAAGTGAAATAAAAAAATAAATTCACAATGTAAATTACTTCTGGAATATAATGCAAGGTGTGCAGTAAGGAAGATGTGAAATCAGAGTTGTGGCAATGGGAATGAAGAAGGCTTGCATCTAAGAGGTATTCTGAAGCAAGAACCTTATAAACTGGAAGTAGTGGAAGCAGCGAGTAAAAAACAAGAAATCAAATATACCTCTTAAGTTTTCTACAATTTTAAACAAAATAAAGGAGGAAATTACCCAATAAACAGTCGACCCTATGCTCAAAGGAAAAAAAAAAAGAGAGAATGTAAATTACAACGCATCAGGGGAAGAAAGGGGAATAATAAGAGACATGAACTGGGAATGATGATACAGAACTCTGAAAGGCAAAGCAGATGAGCTTTCTAAGGGCATAAATGTAGAATAATGATTAGGGTACTTATCAGAATCATCTGAAGGCATAAAAAAATTTCTCCTGCCCCCATTCAGCCCAAATTGAGAGTCAGTGCTTCAGGGATTACAATTATATTGTGTATTAGAATCTGGGTGAGTATTAAGAAGAGGTTAATAAATTTAACAGTAAGGCCTCAGGCCAGACACTTGTAGACATACACCTAATAATAATAACTGACAAAATACCATCCCAATTACAAAGCCAGAAGTAACTTGAGAGTTACACACTTTCTCCATAAACAATAGCTGTCATTTTTACTGGGTATGAAACCTCAAACTTCATATGAAATTAAACTAATTGTCCAAAGTAGCTCCATATCCATCAACAACAGAATCACATACAAATATACAACAAGGATATTGAAGGAATATTCACAGCAATAAATAATTATAATTAATCTTTGACTCCAAAGATTTCTCCCAAGCCTTTATGAAGAGGTAAAATTTGGTCTACCTAAAGCAAAATGTTTCCTATCAGTTTTTAATAATAAACATTTCTGGCTCATGCCTGTAATTCCAGCACTTTGGGAGGCAGAGGTGGGCAGATCACAAGGTCAGGAGATCGAGACCATCCTGGCTAACACAGTGAAACCCCATCTCTACTAAAAATACAAAAAATTAGCCAGGTGTGGTGGCGGGCACCTGTAGTCCCAGCTACTTGGGAGGCTGAGGCAGGAGAATAGCGTGAACCCAGGAGGCAGAGCTTGCAGTGAGCCGAGATGGCGCCACTGCACTCCAGCCTGGGCGACAGAGCGAGACGCCGTCTCAAAAAATAAATAAATAAATAAAAAATTAAAAATAAACATTTCCATTCTGTTCAGCTATCAAAATCTAAATAAGCAATTGATAATTACATCTTCTATATCAAAATTCAATTAAATTACATCACTAAAAATGAAATAATGAGATACTATGAGCTTCTCGGTGCAATATAACATATACAGCACCACATATTAAGTATCCTTGCAAAAAATGTTTAGCCTAAATTTTATCAAGACTTTTGAACAGTGGTTCTCAAACTTTTGTCTCAGGACCCCTTTATACTCTTAAAATTAACATTATTGGGGACCTCAGAGGGATTTTGTCTATGTGTGTTACATCTATTAATATTTACCGTGGCAGATGGTAAACCTGAGAAAGTTTAAAAATGTTAATTCATTAAAAATTATAACTCATTATGTTACAAATATATATTTAAAATTAAAAAGTCAGTATTTTCCAAAACAAGAAAAATTTAGTGATAAGACTGGTATTGTTTTACATTTTTGTAATCTTTTTAAATATATGGTTTAATGGAAGACAAAGGAATTTTTTTTTTTTTTTGAGACAGAGTCTTACTCTGTCACCCAGGCTGGAGTGCAGTGGCACAATCTTGGCTCACTGCAACCTCCATCTCCCGGGTTCCAGAGATTCTCGGGCCTCAGCCTCCAAAGTAGCTAGGATTACAGGGGTGCACCACCACGCCTGGCTAATTTTTGTATTTTTAGTAGAGATGGGGTTTCACCATGTTGGCCAGTCTAGTCTCATACTCCTGACCTCAAGGGATCCACCTGCCTCGGCCTCCCAAAGTGCTGAGATTACAGGCATAAGCCACCACGCCCGGCCCTACAAATGAATTCTTTTATATGCTTCTGTATGTACTCTGCTGCAATATCATATGTGCAGTATCATATAGCCTCTGGAAAACAACAACGTACACTCTTGGGTGAATGCGAGTAAAAAAGACAAAATTATTTTTACATTGTTAACCTACCCCAACCATTTTAAGGTAAACTTCTCCTTACAGAAATATAGAAGAATAAACTAGTTAAATGACACCACGAGGAAAATTCAGAATGTGGAACATTCCTCGAAATAATCTAATTTTCTCAATAAATCTCTGACATGCATGCAGAAAAAGAAAGTAAAAGCAATAGTTCTAGATTAAGAACTACAACAATAAAATATATTTTGTGGACCTTGATGGAGCCTATTTTGAACACTGTCAACGGACATTTTTGAAACAATGGAGAGAATATCTGAACAGGTTCAGGGTATTGGATGATGCAGAAATGATTGTTAATTTTTTCAGGCATAATATGGTTATGTAAGAAAATGTATTTTAGAGTAGCATAATGAAGCATGTAGTGATAAAGTAAAATGAATCATAACAACTACCTTTCAGGTTTCAATTAGACAGCTGTAGAAAATATCTCTGTCAGCAGACATGAACTACCATGAGTAATTTAAACTACAATAAGGTATTTATTTATGCCTTAAATATGGTAGGTACTAATATATAAGATTTAATAAATCAACTCAAGTCATTCAGAGAAAAGTCAGTGAACAAATTAATTTGACAAAGCATCTTGAATTAAAAACATTACTTTTAACTCTGACCTATGTGGTGGGAGACAACAGGAGTTTAGCTGAATTAATAGGGGGTTAAAAAGTAGGTAATGAGGGTGTGTTTTTAAACATAATAAAGATTTAAATGAATGCAAGGTGGGTACAGGATAAACTAGTGGTTCTTTGATCTTTATCTTTCACTGTATCATGAGCAATAGCCTTACACATACCTCAACACCACCCCCCCAACCCCAACAGTTCACTCAGTATGCCTTCCACTATTGTCCTCTTTTACATGGTTTGATGTCATCCACCTTGGGATTCTTTGTTAGATATGCCCCAAGTTCAACAATCAGTTAGGGGAAGACTTACACTGGTCACGCGACGGTAGATCTGTGCAGCATTTTGGCACTCCGAGTAAGGATATTCAGATGTAGCCATCTCAAGCATGCACATCCCAAAAGCATAAACGTCAACGGATTCATCATATTTCTCCTCATACATCTCAGGGGCCATGAACTCTGGGGTACCTTAAATTAAAAGAACGATTCAGACTCAATGCGAGCAGAAGCTTCAGACGTTACTCACCGGGGTGAGAAGCAGAGGGGTTGACCTGTGAGAGAGAAGAAATTGGAATGGGGAGAAAAAAGGAAAGGGGGAGAAAAGAGGAAGGAAATCTTCTCAGTCAGTCTGTTCCATCAAATATCTCATAAAAGATCTTCCACTGCAAGGCCTTTATATGAAACTGGAATAAGGTCAAGGATCTATTTATTGATTTACTGTGTAAAATGAATTTCTTTATACAATATGCCAAAATAAAACCTTGGCTAAGATAATAAACTAATATAATTCATATTGAAAACAAATAGAAGGAAAAGGAAAGACACTATGCAAGGAACAAAGCAAATATAATGGTACATCTGTAAGATAAGATGATGGGTTTAAAAAGATCAAAATACTTGTGTGCCCACTAATGTATGGTAGCTGTAGGGTTAATATTTACAGCTACACTCTTGGCATTAACACTCAATCTAATTAGTTTCACTTTTTAAGAAGGCCTTGCAGTGAAAAACCCGATATTCAATACATTTTTTAAAAAATGAAATAAAACGTAATTGTCTCCAAAGGCCACTCACCAGAGCCCTTTTCTTCACATACTTACCATCCCACCTGCAGTACACAAATAAGCCTACTACAGACACAAGAAATGTAGTGAGGGACATCCTACAGGCAAAAAGACAAACACACACACACAAATATAGAACCCAAATACAGACTGATTTATGAGCACAGTGTGTGATCCCACAAGACTAGGTTTTGTAATGCTTCCAGAAAATTAGGTCTGCATACCTCAAATTATTAGGCATTTCCAAGAAACAGGCATGCACACTATCATTTAATCAACAAAGAAAATAAAAACTCTATTGGGCCAGAGATTTCAGGATGCCAAAGACAATCAAAGAAATGTTTCCTGTGAAGAAGGCAAAAAAAGAAATTCAGCTTTAAATGACACTTTTCCCATTCTTCTTGTGAATGTATTATAAGAAAATGTGAAAGCATTCCTAACCCTAGTTACATAATATTCCAAGGAGAACACTGTTTTTGAAAGATGTACAAATAACTGGTGTTCTGTGTTTTTCCTAGTAATACTCAGTATCCAAGTTCACTTAAAAATTAATGGGTTTCTTTTGTTATTGTCACCTTTTGGAGGGAGTAAATAGAATGTTTATGAAGACCTCAAGTTTTTAAATTGTGATATCCTCTTCATAGAGTGAAAGCTTATCAAAATAGGCATTAAATTATTTTTCCAGCTTTGAGTTTCTAACATATAAAGTCTGAAAGGGACAGCCTTGTTCTTTAGATAAGTGATTCTCAACAGGGGGCAATTTTGTCTTCTAGGGGCCATATATAGCAATGTCTGGACACACTTTTGGTTATAACAACTAGAAGGCAGGTACAGAGGGAGCGTGCTACTGGTATCTAGTGGGTAGAGGCTGGGAATGCTGCCCCAGAGTCTTACAACGTACAAGACAGCCCCTTGCAACAAAGAATTGTCCAACCCCAAATCTCAGTAGTATTGAGGTTGAGAAACACTCTTTTAGATAGATCATAAATTCTGAAGAGTGAGACTAAGAAAAAAGTTGATAAAACCAACTTTTCAGAATGAATTGTCATATTTATTTTCACAAAATGTTAGGAGGTTATTCTTTTTATTTTTTTTATTTTGGAGATGGAGTCTTGCTCTGTTGCCCAGGCTAGAGTGCAGTGGCGCAATCTCAGCTCACTGCAACCTCCACCTCCCGGGTTCAAGTGATTCTCCTGCCTCAGCCTCCTGAGTAGCTGGGACTACAGGCACCCGCCACCACACCCGGCTAATTTTTTTTTTTTTGTATTTTTAATAGAGATGGGGTTTCTCCATCTTAGCCAGACTGGTCTCAAACTCCTGACCTCAAGTGACCCTCCCACCTCAGCCTCCCAAAGTGCTGGGATTACAGGCATGAGCCATTGTGCTTGGCCAATATTCTTGAATATACATATATATCCAACAGACATTTTATATGTTTAAAAATTTAATTTTTATCTTTTAATTTTAGAAAGTAAAACTAAATATAAATTCCATTTCTTTCATGAAGTGACATACTGTATGTATTAAATAAATAGTGTATAATGTTAAGTATCAACAGTGTGTAATGAAAAGATGGCTGGCTGGGCGGGGTGGCTCACGCCTGTAATCCCAACACTTTAGGAGGCCAAGGCAGGTGGATCACTTGAGGCCAGGAGTTCGAGACCAGCCTGGCCAACACGGTGAAACCCCATTTCTACTAAAAATACAAAAATTAGCCAGGCATGGTGATGCATGCCTGTAATCCCAGCTACTCGGGAGGCTGAGGCACAAGAATCGCTTGAACCCGGTGGGTGGAGGTTGCAGTGAGCTGAGATTGTGCCACTGCACTCTAGCCTGGGTGACAGAGAGAGACTCCATCTCAACAACAACAACAACAACAACAACAAAAAAGGCTATTACATTAGGTTTTATCAACAAAGTTCACTTTATTTCTTGTAACGTAATGTTACCAATAGTCTCTAAGATGATTCCAAGAAGCACAAATATAGAGAATCCTATATCTCATAAGTACAATGGATCACCTCCTGAGTTCAAGCTATGAATTTCTTAAGGTTTATATCACTTAAAACTCTGACAGAGCCAGGATTCTAAATAAAAGGAATGTGAGAAAGCCAGTCAGGCTCCAAGGTACACCTGAAACATACCTATCACACTCTTGGCAAAAGAAGCCCGCTTCAGGGTTGCCAGACCGAGGTCTCCAATCTTGACTGAGCCAGTAGGGCCGGTGATAAAGATGTTGTCACATTTAAGATCGCGGTGAATGATAGGTGGAGTTCGAGTATGAAGAAACTGAAGACCTTTAAGGATCTGACGGCACCAGCTTCTTAGAACTTTGATCTTCATCACTTTAAACCTTTTCAGATACCTAGAAAAAGCAAAGTATACCAAACAAGTTATCAATGATAGGAGTTTGTTGCTTTGAAGAATTCCATTAAATTCTAACATGACTGGAGATGGGAATATCAAATTTAGCATACTAAGATTCAGTAACACTAAAGGTTAATAATACTTTTAGTAAGCAGGGCTATGATAGTTTAAAATAAAAATTCTATTAAGAGACCCAGAAAAATAAGTCTTCCAAATGCTTTTTCATCTAAACAATGATAGTATTAGGTAACTAGTTTTTTCTTAAAGAAATGGGAGATCAAGTTGGCTATATCAGCTAAATATTTCAGAGCCAAAAATATTTAATTAGTGATTGGTAAGAGAATTATGGTAACAAAGCACCAAATATGAATTCCTTAACATTAGGTCACCATTTAAATGATTAAGAGGTAGAGTTCTGCTTCTGTTAAATAGTGGAGTAGTTCTATCAGACACAGATGTATTTATAAACTCTAGTCAAAAATATACAAAACAACTATTACTTGAAGGCTCTGGAGAGCAATCAAAATCAGTCATAGTTGGAAGGGAAAAAGGGAAAGCACTACTTGAGTTTCCTTCTTTATAATACATTTTTACCTAAGGAAAGGGCCTGTTCTGATTCTGCAGGTCTGCTAAACCCCAGACAGAAATGGCGACTGAGTTTGGAATGACCACAGCATCAAGAACAGTGCTGTCTAACAGACCTTTCTGCAAGGATGGTCTGTCCAATAAAGTTGCCACTAGCCAAATGTGACTACTCAAATGTAGATTAACTAAAATAAAAAATTTCATTTCTCAGTTGCACTAGCCACATTTCACGTGCTGAACAGCCACATGAGGCAAATGGCTACCATTCTGGATGGTGTACGTTATACAACATTTCCATAATGGCAGAAAGTTCTACTGGACAGCACAGATCTAGAAAGGAAAGGAGGAAATCTCAGAAAGCAGGCACCAAAGGAGAGCCCTAAATTCTGTGTATCCACTCTGCCCAAATCTCTAGTTGACCTCTGAAATACATGAATGTAGGAAAGATTCCAAGCAGCCCAAGTATGCTAAAAGAACTGAACAGAGACCTCTGGTGCTACCCACTGTAGAAAAGATACATCTGGGGATTGAGTTCCAATGCCTATTTTATCTGGAAATATTCAGGAAAAAAAGAGCACTAAAAATGTTAAATAGAAAAGACTACATTTTCCTTTCAGTATCTTTAAAATACACACATGATTGGTTAAAGGAAAATCTATAATACTGTGATATATATGATATGCTTACATATTCTATTAATTATTGTTTTTCAGTTCCTGAATTTGTTTAATTTTTGTAATTTCTATGTCTTTACTGATATTCTCTATTTGTTGAGGTAAAATTTTCTATACTGTTAACATTTGGCTGTCACTGTTTCCTGCATTTAGTATTCCAATTTTGTTGAATAGGTACTATAATTACTCCCATTTAATAATGACTTATCTATGTACTTGTATAAGATATGAAATTACTTATGTAATCTTGTACTTGTATAAGATATGAAAATTACAGCATACAGAACAAGCGGTAGAGGGGTTATATGAAAACCTTATTTGTGCAAAGGTCTTGTATTTTACATGAAATTGTACAGTATTAGTCCTAAATAAATTGTGAAAAGTAACAACGTAAATGTAATCTTCAGGGCAACTACTTAAAATGAAAAACATGCAGAGATCCAGATCTAACTAAAAATCAAATAGCAGAACTAAAATAAAATTTTACTTCATTTGGGTGGGCTAATTGAAGAAAACTAATAGCAAAAGTGGGTTTTATGGTTTAAAAAATATATCAAAACAGTCATGCTGGATGGAGGGTAAGGAAAAGGCTGCCTGGAAAGCGGCATAAGGGCATTTTCCGATATGATGGAAATGTTCTCTATCTTGAGAGTTTTGGTTACACGAATGAATGCCTTGTCAAAACTCATTCAATCGTACAATAATAATTTATTCTATCCTGATGCTGTTTGGAGGTAAAAGAAAAATAAAGTACACAAATACTGGAACTCTAACGAAATGCATACTGAAGGGTTTACGGGTGAAGCATATTGAATTATTTTATTTTACAATTTATTTTATTATGGAATGAATAAGATGGATGGAGGATGAATAAATGGACATATTAATAATATGGTAAGGCAAGTGATGCAAAAAGTTAGTAACAACAGAATCTTGGTGCTGAGTGTGTGCTCACTGTATGTTTCTTTTGCCTTTTCTATATAATTTTTAGAATTTTATAATAAAATATTGGAAATTTTATTTGTCGTTAGTCCTCCTTATAAACATCCTATTTTTAAACAAAAGGGTATCTTATCCTACTATGAACTTTATATTACTTCTCTCTTTTTTTTAACTATTCCCATAGCACCTCCCTAATTACAGAAAACCTGTTTATCCTTTAAGATCTACTTAAATTATATCTATCATTTTAGTAAAGACCTTCAAGATTATCCCAGCTAGCAGGAGGGAATCATATCTTTGTCTAAATTGCTATTCAAGTGAAAATTACACATATATTATGATTCACATTTCATTTTAAGAACCTATTCTTTGGGAATTGTGTACAAACATGATTATTATAGCAATGTTTATAAGGAAAGTATAAGGACAAGAAGGAATCCAATCTGCTCCATATTACAAATGGAACATTTCTAAACTCAGAGAAGCTAAGTTTGGTGAGAATGAAAAGTGGTTATAAAAATACGAATATTAATTAAAATCACCATAACCAACCACATCTTGAGAAAGAAAAGTGACAATTAGGCACCATCAGTGCAGATAGGACAAAAAAAAAAAAAAAAAAGATGTCTCTGCCAGGTGCAGTGGCTGACGCTGGCTCACTCCCAGCACTTTGGGAGGCTGAGGTGGATGGATCACCTGAGGTCAGGAGTTCAAGACCAGCCTGACCAATATGGCGAAACATGGTGTCTACTAAAAACATAAAAACTAGCTGGGCATGGTGGCATGTGCCTATAGCCCCAGCTACTCGGGAGGCTGAGGTTGGAGAATCGCTTGAACCCGGGAGGCAGAGGTTGCAGTTAGCCGAGATCACGCCACTGCACTCCGCCCTGGGCAACACAGAGCGAGACTCCATCTCCAAAAAAAAAAAAAAAAAAAAAGATGTCTCTGATATATCAAGCACTTCAGGTTCTTCCATTGTGACTGATTTTTGCCCAACCACATTGAAGACAAAGCCCAGTTGCTGAAAAGCTCCACTCTCATAAGCAGAGCTCTTAATCAGTTCTTCAGTACTAAGATATTTACTAAAAACAATCAACTCATGGTTAAATAGGGATAATTATAGTACCTATGCCAAAACTTTGCAGACTAAATGCTGAGAACAATGGCTGCTAAATATTAAGAGTACAAAGAATATTCTATTGAAGTAGAGAATATCAACAGAGACAGAAACTTTAAAAAGGAACCAAGTAGAAATTGAGGTGCTGAAAAATACTGTGAAGATTCACTAACAGATTTCAACAGCATATGCGAACACACAGAAGAAAAAGGCAATAAACTTGAAAATAGGAAGTGAAACTGTACAGTCTGAGGAGCAGAAATGAGCAGAGTCTAAGAGATCTGTGGGACACCATCAAGTTGAGCAAAATATACACAATGGGAGTCCTAGATAAAGAAGACAGAAAAGAGCAGAAAGAATATTTAAGAAAATAATGGCCACAAATTTCCCAAACTTAGTAAAAGACATGAATCTACACATCCAAAAAGTTCAACAAACTCTAAGGATAAATGCAAATAGATCCACAATGAGAAACACTATATTCAAACTGTTAAAAGGCAAAGACAAAGAGAGAATCTTGAAAGTAGCAAGGGAGAAGTGACTTATGACCATGGGATCCTCAATAAGATTATGAGCTGATTTTTCAGCAAAAACCATAGAGGGCAGAAAGCAGTGGGATGACATATTTAAAGTGCTAAAAGAAACAAAAGCAAAACCCCAAAAAAAACCTGAAGACTGCCAACCACGAATTATATATCAGCAAAATTATACTGCAGAAATGAAAGAGAAATTAAGATATTCCCAGGTAAATAAAAGCTGGAAGAGTTTGACAGTAGTACACTTTCCCTAAAAGAAATGCTAAAGAGAATCCTTAGAGGAAATAAAAGAACACTAGACAATAACTTGAAGCCATAAAACCAAATCAAATCTCTGGTAAAGTCCATCACACATCTAAATATTAAAACCAGTATTAATGTATTTTTGGTTTATAATTCCTTTTATTTCCTACATGATTTAAAAGACAAATGCATGTAAAATAATTATTATAAAACTATGCTAATGGGTACACAATGTATAAACATAAAATTTGAGACAATGAAAACATAAAATGGGAAGGAGGAGTGAGGCTGTATAGGATCAGAGATTTGTATGCTGTATTAAAGCTAAGTTGGTATCAATTCAGGGTAGACTGTTGGAGGTTTATGATGTTAATTGTGATCCTCAAGGTAACCACTGAAAAAATATCTAAATATATACACAAAAGGAAATGAGAAAGGAATGAAAATGGTATACTACAAAAGAAAAATAAATACATTTAAAAAGGTAGTAATGAAGGAGATAAGGAGCAAAAAACAGTACAAGACTGTCTCTAGGAATGTGATATATTACGGCTGCGGGCGGTGGCTTACGCCTGTAATCCCAGCACTTTGGGAGGCTGAGGTGGGCAGGACCACAAGGTCAGGAGTTTGAGACCAGCCTGACCAACGTGGTGAAACCCTGTCTCTACTAAAAATACAAAAATTAGCTGGGCGTGGTGGTGAGTACCTATAATCCCAGCTACTCAGGAGGCTGAGGCAGGAGAATCGCTTGAACCCGGGAGGCGGGGGTTGCAGTGAGCTGAGACTGTGCCACTGCACTCCAGTCTGGGCAACAGAGCGAGGCTCCGTCTCAAAAAAAAAAAAAAAAAAAAAAAAGGTATAAGACATACAGAAAACAAACAGCAAAATAGCAAATCATTCATTTTGACTAATTAAATGTAAATAAACTCTCCTACCAAAAACAGAGATGGGCAGAATGGATTTTTTAAAAAGAAAGAAAAAAAGCCAACTATATACTGTCTACAAGAGACTCATTATAGATCCAAGGACAGAAATAGGTTGAAATTCAAAGGATGAAAGAAAAATGATATTCTATGCTAATAGTAAATAAAAGAGGGTGAGGTAGCAAAACTAATATCAGGCAAAATAAGTAAAAATACTGATGCAAGAGATAAAGAAGAGCATGATGTATTGATAAAAGGGCCAATCCATAAAAAATAACAATTATATACATCAAACAATAAAGCCACCAAATAATGAAGCAAACATTCACAGAATTAAAGGGAGGAAATTAGTAGACACTACAGTAATAGTTGGAGACTTCAGTATTCCACTTTCAATAACGGATAAAACATCTAGACAAAAGATGAGTAAGAAAACAGAAGACTTGAACAATATTATAAACCACCAAAAGGTAACAGACATATTTAGAACACACTGCCCAACAACAAGTGAATATATATTCTCAACTGTACATGGAACATTCCTTCAAGAAATCTCCAAAGAAAAGTCTAGGACTGGATGGCTTCATTGATGAGTTCTACCAAACATTTACAGGAGAATTAACACAAATCCTACTCTTCCAAAAAGCAAAAGTGGAGGAAACACTTTCTAAATCATTCTGTGAGGCCAGTATTGCCCTGATACTGAAGATACCAAAAGAAAACTATAGACTAACACCGTTATTAATGTAGATGTAAAAACTCTCAACAAAATATTGGCAAGCCAAACCCAACTGCATAGTAAAAGGATTATACACTATTTATCTATGAAATGCAAGGGTGATTCAACATAAGAAAATTAATCAGTATAATATATCACACTAATAGAACGAAGTGGTTTCATGATTATCTAACTTGATGCAGAAGAGCATTTGACAAAATCTAACACCTTTCCAAAAAAAAAAAAAAAAAAAAAAAAACTCAAGAAACTAGGATAGGAATAGCAGAGAACTTCCTCAACATGATAAAGAACATTTATGAAAAACTCACAGCTAACATATACTCAATGGTGAAAGACCAAAAGCTTTCTCCTTAAAATCAGTAATATGACAAGGATAATCAATGCTAATCATAATTCAAGCTCTAGCCAAAACAGTTAGACAAGAAAAAGAAATAAAGGCATTCAAATCTGAAAGAACTATCTATTCACATATGACTTGATCCAATATATAAAAATCCCAAAGAATGGCTAGGTGTGGTGGCACACACCTGTAATCTCAGCACTTTGGGAGCCAGAGGCAAGGGAGATCACTTGAGGCCAGGAATTTGTGACTACCATAAGCAATATATTGAGACCCTATCTTTATGAAAAATTTAAAAATTAGCCAGGCATGGTGGTACACACCTGGAGTCCCAGCTACTCAGGAGGCTGAGGTGGGAGGATCCTTTAAGCCTAGAGTTCAAGTCTGTAGTGAGCTATGACTGCACCACTGCACTCCAGCCTCGGTGACAGAGTGAAACCCCATCTGTTTAAAAAAAAAAAAAAAAAAAAAAAACCCCAAAGAATGAACACACACACAGATGAGCTAATACAAGAATTCAGTAAAGTTACAAAAGTACAAGACTGACACACAAAAATCAGTTGTATTTATATATACCAGCAATTAACAATCTGAAAAGGAAATTAAGAAAACAATTTCATTTGCAATAGCATATAAAGGATCTAGGAATAAATTTAACCAAGGATGTGAAAGACTTGTATAATGAAACTACAAAACATTGCTGAAAGAAATTAAAAAAGACATAAATAAATGGACAGACACCCTGTGTTCACGGATTAGAAGACAATATAGTTAAAGATGGTGATACTATACAAAATGATCTACAGATTCAACACAATTTCTGTCAAAATTCCAACAGCCTTTTCTTGTAGAAATGGAAATCTAATCCTCAAATTCACATGGAATTTCAAGAAGACCCCAACTGTCAAAAACAATAGTGAAAAAGAAGAACAAAATTGGAGAAGTCACTTCTAATTTTCAAAATTTACAAAAATTACTATAGTAATCAGAGCAATGCGGTACTGGCATAAGAACAGACATGTAGGCCAATGAAATAGAATTGAGAGTCCAGAAATAAACCTATACATATGATTAAATAATTTTTGAGAAGAGTACCAAGACCATTCAATAGGTAAAAGTCTCTTCAACAAATGATGCTGGGATAACTGGACATCAACATGTAAAAGAATGAAATCAGACCCTACCTCACGGCATACACAAAAGTTAACTTAAAAATGGAACAATAACCTAAATAGAAAAGTTAAATTGATAGAACTCTTAGAAGAAAACTTAGGGATACATCTGTATGCCCTTGGTTATTTATGACAATGGACTCTTACATGACACCAAAAGCCCAACCATCAAAAGACAAAGCAGATACATTGGATTTTATCAAAATTTAAAACTTGGCACAGGCTTGAGCATCCAAATCAGAAAATCCAAGATCCAAAATGCTCCAATAGAAAATCTGAACTTGAGCACCAACATGACACACAACAAAAATGCTCATTTGAACATTTTGGAGTTCAGATTTGGGAGGCTTAACTGGTAAGTATAATTCAAAGTTCCAATATCTGAAAAAATTCAAAGCCCTTCTGGTCCCAAGCATTTCGGATAAGAGATACTATACTCAATCTGTACATCATAGAACATTATCAAGGAGCAAAAAAGGCAACCTATAGGAGAAAATATCTGCATATCATGGATCTGGACAAGGGTCTAATTTCTAAAATATATAAAGAACTCTAATAAATCAACAAAAAAACAAGCAATCCAATAAAAAATGAGCAAAGAACTTGAATAAACATTTCTCCAAAGATACACAAATAGCCAATAAGCATATGAAAAGATGTTCCACATTATTAATCATTAGGGAAATGCAAATGTAATCCATAATGAGGTATCATGTCACTCCCGGTAGGATGCCTCCTCAAAAAGTTAAACAAAGATTTCCACATGACTCAGCAATTCCATTCCTAGTATACAGCCAAAAGAAATGAAAACAGGTACTCAAAAAAATACTTCTGCACAAATATTCATAGCAGCAGTACTCATAATAGCCAAAAGGTGGATACAGCCCAAATGTTCATCAATGGATAAATAAACAAACTGTGATATTTCCATGCAATGGAATGTTATTCAGTCATAAAAGGGGATGAAGTACTGATGCGTGCAATCACGATGATCCTCGAAAACACCATGCTAAGTGAAAGACGCCAAACACAAGGATCCATAACATACTTTGAGTCTATTTATAGGACATATCCTGATTAGATAAATCCATAGAGATGGTAAAAAGTTGGTAGTTGTCAGGAGCTGAGGGTTGGGAGAAATGGGAAATTGTTCCACGGGCATAGAGTTTGTGACATGAAAAGCATTCTAGAAATTGCACAGAAATGTGTTTGTATTAACACTACTGAACTATACACTTAAAAATGGTTAAGATGGTAAATTTTGTTATGTTTTTTACAATAAAAAAATCCCATCCACGAATGGCTGGTCCCAGAGATCAGGCAGTCCAACCACTTGTTTTACATACACATGGGGAACTGAAGCCCAAATAAGGTTAGCTATTTGCCCAAAATCACAGTTGGTCAGAGGCAGCGGTGGGAGCAGTCACAACTTCTACTGCAAGTCTAATGCTCTTTCTACTTAATAAACCCTCCTGTTGGCATAAGCCTCTGAAGCTCAGAAACTGAAAATTTCTTTTTAATTGTAAAAAGAAAAAGAACTTAGATAATGTGCAATTAAAGAAAAAATACGCTGCCTGGCTGGAGGAAGGGAAATGCAGAGTAACTGCTTAATGGGCACAGAGTGTTCTGAGGTGATTAAAATGTTGAGTAACTTGATAGATGTGGTACTTACAAAACATTGTGAATGTACTAAGTGCCACTGAATTGTACTTTCTAAAATGTTAATTGTATGATATTTGAATTTCATGTCTATTTAAAAAAATACATCTAAATTTATCTCAACTTTTAATCCAAATTTTTTTTCTTTTTCTTTTTTTGAGATGGAGTCTCACTCTGTCACCCAGGCTAGAGTGCAGTGGCACAATCTCGGCTCACTGCAACCTCCACTTCCGGGGTCAAGCGATTCTCTTGCCTCAGCCTCCCGGGTAGCTGGGATTACAGGCGCCCGCCATCATGCCCAGCTAATTTTTCGTATTTTTAGTAGAGATGGGGTTTCACCATGTTGGACAGGCTGGTTTCGAACTGACCTCAGGTGATCCTGACCTCAGGTGATCCATCCGCCTCAGCCTCTCAAAGTGCTGGGATTACAGGTGTGAACTACCACGCCTGGCCTTAATCCAAATTTTCTGACTCATACATTCCCATCTTATTTTTCAGCTATGGGTGTTTTATCTGTTTCAATGTAAATATACATAGAGAACAAAGGTAGAAACTCGAAAGGTCCAAAAAGCACGCATTTTGGAATTAATTCCCATTCCTTCCCAATCTGCCTCTCCAAATGCTGCCAATGGTCCTAGTTATCCATTCTTCCAGAAATGAATATGAATGTTTTCAATCTACTTGCTTAGGAATCTGTATACATTCTCAATCAGAATTCTTAAATTCTGAAATTTTTCTTTTTCTCATTCTCTCTACTTTTTCATTTTTATTTTTGAGATGGAGTCTCGCTCTGTCACCCAGGCTGGAGTGCAGAGGCACGATCTCGGCTCATTGCAACCTCCACCTCCTGGGCTCAAGTGATTCTCTGCCTCAGCCTCCAGAGTAGCTAGGACTACAGGGAAACCCCTTTTAGATAATTAAATCTATCTGGGTCTTCTCACTACTATGTCATCCTCTTTAAATATTTTCTGTCTTTTTTGTGTGTTCTGTTGCTCATTTCTTCGTAGTTAATATTCCTGTCAATTCAATTCAGTCTGCTGTTTAACCGTTAGACCATTTATGTTTGAATTTTAATGTTCTTATTTCTAGAAGTTCTTCAGAAGCTTTTAAATTATGCCTGTCTTTTTTTTCTTTGGTGTCTTTTTCCTTCAATTCCTTCTTTTCTCTTTATACACTTCATATACACTTACAAATATCTTTACTGACATCATTATGTAAATAATTGTTTGTAATCACTTTCAGACTTGTCCATGATATCCTTAATTGTTGCAGTGCTATTTTCTGGTTGTGTCTATTCACCTTCATTGGTGTGATTTGTAATTTAATTGTGAGGTCATCTTCTTTGGAAACAGTTTTGCCTCTGGACACTGACCAAGGAACTGTGAAAATGTCCCCGGGAGTTTTCTTTCCGTTCCTGATCAATTATCATGTATGTTCTTCGGTTTGGGATTCCTGTACCAAGTAGATGGTACAAATTTATGTTATAGCGCCATCTACATATGAGATGGAAGAATACCAAACAGGCTGGGCACCGTGGCTCATGCTTGTAATCCCAGCAGTTTGGGAGGTCAAATCGGGATGAGGCCAAATCAGGATGAGCTCAGGAGTTTGAGAGCAGCCTGGGCAACAAAATAGACACTGTCTCTACTAAAAAAAAAAAAATTGTTTTTTTATTAGACAGGTATGGTGGTGAGCAACTATAGTCCCAGGTAGTGGGGAGGCTGAGGTGGAAGGATTCCCTGAGCCCAGGAGTTTGAGGCTGCAGTGAGCTATGATTGTGCTGCTGCACTCTGTCCTGGGCAACCGAGTGAGACCCTGTCTCCAAAAAAAGAAAAAGAAAAGATTAGTTTACAGAATAATTAAGAACACTGGTAGCATTTGATGTGAATTTCTATTTTTCATAGGTCTCCCCTCTTATCCACAGTCTTCTGCACACAGGTAAAATTCCTTGCAGCTTTCACTGGCTAGAGCACTGAGGTCTCTCTTTTCACGGATAGTTCAGTTTTTTGACACAGGCTAAGTTCTAGCTCCCCTCTCTACCTAGTTCTAAGGCTTTCTGTCCTTGCATGGACATTAAAACTAGCATCAACTCCTCAACCAATATGTGGTCTAAAATCCCAGAGTATAAGTTCCTGTTTTGGCTTTGAGTTATCTCTGCTTATTATCTGGAGGTTAACCTTTCTTTCCTTAAAGCTTAGACACGTATTGGAAAAAACTTTTATTATATTCCACATTTCAGTTTGTTGGTGTGGGACAGCCATTCCACAGGGGCTTATTACCCCACTATGTTACCCAAAGCTCCTCAATATAGTTTTTAAAACAAGTAAACCATTGTATTTTAGAGTAATCTTAGGCATGCCAGACAAACTGTTGACAACCAAGTAAGTATCCAAACCAGTGGAAAGAATCTCAAGATGTACACATAATTATTACCACATAATTCTCCTTAATTCATTCAAACACTTATTATTCAGTATTAGACACTTCCAGTAGAATGTGATATCTAGCACTTGTTCATAGTACTAGGTATATAGTGCTAGTTAGCACATTCTAATGGAAGAAAAGAGAGTATCAAGAAGCCTGACTAACTAGGATAAAGGTATTGCCATAAACAAGAGTGGAAGTTGGATAAAGAAATTAGAATTTGCAGGACAGAAATGATCTGTTCATGTTTCAACATGCTAACCGTAAGCATTTCAGAAAACATGCAAGTGACTATATCCAGGTGCTGTAACACTGTATTCCAATGATCTGGAATTAATCAGCTCAGCAGTATTAACTTTAACAATTAATAAAGAATATATGCCACAGTGATAATTTAAAAATATCCAATTTCACCAAATAAAAAATTTATACAAGGTAACTTACTACAGGTTCTTCTCTGAGTAAAAACAGATCCTCTAAGATACCAGGGGTCCCCAACCACTGAGCCACAGATCAATATCAGTCCATGGCCTTTTAGGAACCTGGCCACACAGCAGGAGGTGAGTGGCAGGCGAGCAAGCAAAGCTTCATCTGTATTTACAGCCGCTCCCTCACTGCTCGCATTACCACCTGAGCTCTGGCTCCTGTCAGCAGCATTAGATTTCTCACAGGGCCATGAACCCTACTGTGAACTGTGCATGCAAGGGATCTAGGTTGAGCGTTCGTTATGAGAATCTAATGCCTGATGATCTGCCCTGTCTCCCATCACCCCCAGATGGGACAGTTGAGTTGCAGGAAAACAAGCTCAGGGCTCCCACTGATTCTACATTATGGTGAGTTGTATAACTATTTCATTATATATTTTAATGTAATAATAATAGAAATAGAGTGCACAATAAATGTAATGTGCTTGAATCATTCCAAACTTCCCCAGCCCCACCCCCGCACCAGTTCATGGAAAAACTGTCTTCCATGAAACCAATCCCTGATGCCAAAAAGGTTGGGGACTGCTGCTCTAAGAAACCTGGGATTACAAAGGCATACTCCAACACTTACCAAAAGCTCTTTACAATAAGTAACGGGAAATTTCTGCATTAAACCTATTTCTGTGAAAGGAATGATAGATCTAGCTATTTGGGGATTAATTTCTGATGTTATGGGAAATGGAACTAAAAGTATTTTTTAAGTGATAACTGTCACAATATAATCTGCATCTGATATAAAAGTTGCAGGGATATAGCAAAGCACAATACAAATGAAAAAAATAGGTAGTTTCTCAATAAACCTTAATCTCATTTTAACCACTAGAGGGCTACCTTGACATTTGATTTCTGATTCCTTAGCCACTCTTTTTTTTTTTTTTTGGAGACAGAGTCTCACCTAGGCTGGAATGAAGTGAGGTGATCTCAGCTCACTGCAACCTCCGCCTCCTAGGTTCAAGCGATTCTCCTGCCTCAGCCTCCCAAGTAGCTGGGGTTACAGGTGCACGCCACCATGCCCGGCTAATTTTTGTACTTTTAGTAGAGACGGGGTTTCACCACGTTGGCCAGGCTGGTCTCGAACTCCTGACCTCAGGTGATCCAACCTCAGGTGATCCGCCTGCCCCGGCCTCCCAAAGTGCTGGGATTACAGGCATGAGCCACCACACTCGGCCATAACTTCTCATTTCAATACTTACCAAGAAATAATTATCAAATCACTTTATATACTAGAGGACTTTGTGGGCAAGGAAATATGCTAATACAGTAACAGTTGGAAGGACTGTTCCCTTCTTAGGCTGAACAACCAAAGTGAAACTGGTAGACCTGAAATTTAAAAAATCAAATTCTCTCATACTTCTTGGTCAGCTTTTGTAATACTGATGAACTTACGTTTTAAGTGTTCCAGACGTCATAAGTTCAGTCACCAAAACAATGCACTTCTTTCCTTTTACTGTGGATTCCCAGGAATCATAAAATCTAACAATATTGGGATGCTGAAGACCTTTTAACATTTCAGCTTCTTCTTTAAATCTCTGCCTCTCAGACTTTGTTAATTTTCGATCCTAAAATCAAAAACCAAAACAGAATGTGGTTTAAAATGATAAAACACCAAATCAGACAGTTAATCTTAGACACTTAAACATTACTAAATCATGATCGATGGTGTTTAAAAAATGCAAATGCTGAAGTTATAAATGATAGATTTGGATTATATACATTCATGCTTGAGATCATTTTAGTATCTTTACTGTTAATGTGTAACTCAGATATAGTCTCATTTTTGTAAGGTGCAGTTAACTTTCCATATCCAACATAAGTCATCAATTGCTAGACATGCAATTTAATGTCAGGAAATGAACATAGGCTTTGGAGGCAAAGACCTAAATATAAATTCCAGTTCTATCTTTGCCTTGATTAAAATCAATCTATCTTTAACCAAAACATTGTTTTTATTTTTGTTTGTTTGTTTAAAAGACAGGAAGTCACTCTGTGACCAAGGCTGGAATGCAGCGGTGCTATCATAGCTCACTGCAGCCTCAAATCCTGGGCTCAAGGGATCCTCCCACCTCAGCCTCCAGAGTAGCTAGGACTACAGGCATGTGCCACCTTGCCCGGCTAATTTTTTAATTTTTTGTAGAGATGAGGTCTTGCTATGATGCACTGGCTGGTCTTGAACTTCTGGTGATCCTCCTACTTTGGCATCCCAAAGCCTGGGATTACAGGTGTGAGCCACTGCATGAAGCCTAATTTTTTTTTTCTTTTAAGCAATAACTTAAATACTCAAGTATTTGTCTTCAAGTCAGGAAAATTCTCAGTATCTCTCTAAACACTGTCTCCTCTCATTCTCTTTTTTTCCCCTTCCAACTCTTCTTTTCTTTTTAAACAATTTTTAAATGTGTGTGAGTATGTGTATAACTTTAGTTTATCCTTAATATCCTTTAATTTCTCTCTCATTTTCCATTTCCTTCTGTATGCTACTTTCTGGGCAATGTTTTCTGATCTACCTTCCTGTTCATTAATTTTTCTCTTCAGTTATTACATCAATTATTAATTGAACTTTAAGGTTCTCACTCTGTCGCCAAAAGTACCCAATAAGGAATGTAATAAAAGGAAACCAAGTTACTACTCCTGTTTCTACTCTGCCCAATAGCATTAAAACCAATGGATACTATGTACATGCCTCTTACATAACACTTAATCACAGGCAACATTATATTGACTCTTATCCCCCATAGAATAAGCCCTCAGAGGCTTTTTGTCATGAAAAGGCAGTGACAAGATACCTTTTTGTGTTCTATCTTTAGCACCTGACAACCTAGCATAGTGACTTGTTCAACAGCCATTTGTTGAATGAATTCCATAAATGTCTTTTCCCCTCAATACCCCTTTAAAAGTGTGTGTGTGTGTCCTTAATAAGCAGTTAGCATTTCCCCAAGGATAAAAAATTCCTGTGACTTAAAAGAAAAATGAGAATTGAAATTGGGCCTCTGAGTCTCAGTTAAGTCCAACACAACCCATACAGAATGATCAACTTGCAAAGGTCCCAGCTTTTGATTTTTAAAAATGGTTTGTAAAAGCTTATTGTAAAAAAGCTGCCAACTACTTATTTATAGCAAAGCATAGAGGGAAAAAAACGGGGGACTTCTTTGCCATCAAAAATCCGTATTTAATTTTCCTTGAGAATACACTGAATGACAATCTAAAAATTCCATAGAAATATTTAGAATATTTTATCTCTAATTTGCCCAGAAGACATCTATACTATAAATACAGGCTACTTTATATAGCTAAGTGTTTTTATCCTTTCTGAAAAGTATTATTTATTTTAAGGGATCTGAGAACCCCTGCTTAATGTTTGAAGTTAGAAATACAGATGCATGACAACAGATTATCATCAACAAAGCAGGAAATGGGGGAAACCTAAACAAATAATTTGGGGCTTCTTTCAATAGTTTGTCTACTTGTTCCATCTATAACTGAATATTGTTTTTTTTTTAATCTAGGAACATTTCATAAAATATCTTAGAGAAGTACATAATTTTAGCACCCAAAAGACTTTAAGACAATAATAAAGTAGATCAAAACTAACATAAGACACAGATCAGAAGGAACACCTGGGGTTTTAAAAATAATTTTTGCCAAGTATTTGCCATTTACTAGTTGGCTGCTTCACTTCATTTAATCCTCAGAAAAATGTTGTGAGACGAACTGACTCACAAAATTTTATTATCTCCCTCAAATTCACATGAAAAACAGAACTAAGAGACAAATGAAGATTTGGTTCAAAGCTCATGTTTCAATGACAACAAACAAACCCTAAATATTTTGCAAAACTTCTAAAATAATTTTCTTCTCAGAAGATCCACGTTTGTTATTATATAATAATTATTGAAAAGAAATAGGAACTTTATACTAAATTACAGCTGAAGGTAAAATAAGAGGAACCATATATTGTTTAAATATTACCAACTGTCAATCAAATTATCATGAATACAATGATAAAATTTTAAAAGACCGTATCAAAAAGTAGCATTAAAACATCAAGTGAGACTTAGAATGGATTAGCCACTGTTGCTTTTTAGAACCTTCTCTTCACCATTATGGAGCTGGATATTCCTGGGGCCTTAATATACTATACTATCCCAATTGCAGCATTCATTACCTTCAATATAAACTAAAGCTGATACAGCTAACCCATTCTATTCATTTCGTTCATTTCTTTCCATCTACATTAAGTTGTTTTGACAGGATAAATGAGCAAAACCAAGGATCCGTGTCACATGACCTCTTCATAACATGCACAGTTCCAGGCTGCTGGGGGTGGGGTGGGGGTCAGGCAACAACTAAAACAATTGCTCATCTCAGTACTACCCAAATTACAGTGCTCAGTAGATTATCCACTGATGTAATTTCTTCTGGAGTGAGAAGCACAATGCTAATGTTTAGTACAATGACCTCATAACCATTTGCACATCTTCCGTCCCTTGCTTTTAAGAAGCTGTTTCATTTTAAACATCCTCTGACAGACATCTCTCTTTACCCTCATATTTTAGTATTTTTAAAGTAGCAATCCCATCCTTTGCTATTGTTCACTTTATTCGCCCAGAAGCAAACCTTCCAAACCAATTGTGCTAATGGAGCAGTGAGACTAGTTTTCATTCATTAAACTTGAAATTTTTACTTTACAGCTAACAACTGTATCCCCAAAATTATCTGGTCCTCAAGTCTTATTAACATTTAAATTTCTCTAGTATTATATATGTGCAATATTCAAAATTTTACTGCTAAATTAAGACCACACATGATAACTCTACATATCAAAATATGGGTGGAGAAAAGTGTCTGGAATTCTTGATTAAAATATTTTAGGTCAATATTGGAATACTCCCTCCTTATCATTTTCTGCACCACACTGACTTAGCAAGACATGGGCATCTATTTCACCTTTTTTTTTTTTGAGACGGAGTCTTGCTCTGTCGCACAGGCTGGAGTGCAGTGACACAATCTCTGCTCACTGCAACCTCCACCTCCCGGGTTCAGGCAATTCTGCCTCAGCCTCCTGAATAGCTGGGATTACAGGCGTGTGCCACCACACCTGGCTAATTTTTGTATTTTTAGTAGAGACAGGGTTTCGCCATGTTGGTCAGGCTGGTCTGGGACTCCTGACCTTGTGATCTGCCCATCTCAGCCACCCAAAGTGCTGGGATTACAGACGTGAGCCACCGTGCCCGGCCTCTATTTTATCTTTTAAAGTGATACTAATTGTTGTTGGGTATTAGGATAAAGAAATAAAAACTTGTCTTCAGGCAGAGGGTACAGCAGTTTGTAACATTGCTTTCCAGGGCAGCATGGGTTTCAGTTACAGTTTACAGAGAAAACAATTTTTTAAAGAATTATTCTATGTGTTAAAAGAAATTAAGCATATAAATAATTATTTAAGTCTGGCAACTCTCTCATAGGCCTATATGGTATAACAGCAATTCAAAGATGACAGAAGTATTAACTGTAGGTAACTAACTCTTCTTAAAAACTTCAGAATTAGAGATTGAAGGCCTGGGAAAGGTTGGAAAAACTACAACTAGAAACAAAATAATAATTCTCATGCAAAAATTCTTAACTGTTAAAGATAGCAAAAAGACTAACATGGCTTTCAAGGTGTTTTGAAGTATAATATAAAAATTACACCTGCATTTTATGTGGCCAAATCTACAGATTAAATTCCTACTGCAGATTTCTTTATGACCTTCCAGTCTGGTACTCTTACGAGATGAAATTTGGGGTCTATCGCATAAAGAAGAGAGTCTATGTGAGCCCAACTTTCCTCAATGGGTGAAAAGATATCATAATTATGGGGGGGAGGGGCAGGTAAACATGGCATCACATCCCCTGCTTCTCCATGGAGACTTTTACCTATCATTCTGAAATAGCACCAGTTTCAGAAAGACCAAAAAAAAAAAAAATTTTTTTTTTTTTTTTTTCCTCAAAAGAATAGGAAAAAAAAATCTGGTTACCTGGTTGTTCTAACTCCTCTATCAGCCCCTTCTTCCCAATATGGCTCACCTTTATACACTTTATTTATTTACAAAAAGTTTCTGTTTCAAAGAAGCAAGAAGAAAAGTCTACTTATAAGAGAGATAGGAGGCCAGGTGCGGTGGCTCACGCCTGTAATCCCAGCACTTTGGGAGGCCAAGGTGGGCAGATCACCTGAGGTCAGGAGTTCAAGACCAGACTGGCCAAGATGGTGAAACCCCATTTCTACTAAAAATACAAAAATTAGCCGGGCGTGGTGGCAGGCGCCTGTAATCCGAGGTACTTGGGAGGCTGAGGCCAGAGAATCGCTTGAACCTGGGAAGCGGAGATTGCAGTGAGTCGAGATCTCGCCATTGCATTCCAGCCTAGGCAACAAGAGTGGAACTCCTTCTCAAAAAAAAAAAAAAAAAAAGAGAGAGATACAGTTTTCTCAAGCCAGATGTATACGAATGCATAGGTTCTATTCATTAGGCACCCTTCACTTAATCCCCAAATCTGGGCCAAGAGTATGTAAAAGTTGGAGTCTAAGAGGTTCTCTCCACCTCTCTTTGGAGGGCACAAAAGCCACATGGGATTCCAAAATACCTGGGACTTGGCATATACAGGAAGCTTTAGGTTAATGCTAAAAGTAGCAGATACATATAATAGCTGAACCACAAAAAGAAAAAAAAAACACATTTAGTTCTATTAGAAAATGGCTTAGAACATGTGGACAAAGGCAACAAATAAAAATACATTAATAAATAAAACAGAAAATGGCAAACTAGGGCTGGGCATGGCGGCTCACACTTTGGGAGGCTAGGGCAGAAGAACTGCTTGAGGCCAGGAGCTTGAGACCAGCCTACAACATAGCAAAACCCCGTCTCCAAAAGAAAAAAGAAAAAAAAAGGCAAACTACTTTCACTAAGTGACTTACAGTATCTATTGCATAGCAAAACTTAGAACCATACCTAGTCATTCACATAAATTTTTAAAGTTTTTTATTAAAGTAGATTAAATTGATTTGAATGTGAAAGCAGCTAACAGGGTTAAACTCAAACTACTATAGGTGAGGTCTTGCAGGAGGTCTTCCTGAAGAAAGCAAGAAGGCTGAGAAGGGGAGAAAAAGGAAAGATAAATGTGAATGAGAATAATAATAGAAGAATTATTGCTCCCGGCCGGGCGCGGTGGCTCACGCCTGGAATCCCAGCACTTTGGGAGGCCGAGGCGGGCGGATCACGAGGTCAGGAGATCGAGACCATCCTGGCTAACACGGTGAAACCCCGTCTCTACTAAAAATACAAAAAATTAGCCAGGCGTAGTGGCGCGCGCCTGTAGTCCCAGCTACTCGGGAGGCTGAGGCCGGAGAATGGCGTGAACCCGGGAGGCGGAGCTTGCAGTGAGCCGAGATTGCGCCACTGCACTCCAGCCTGGGCCACAGAGCCAGATTCCGTCTCAAAAAAAAAAAAAAAAAAAAAAAAAAGAATTATTGCTCCCTACTGGAAGGAAATCTTACACTTCAGAGACAAATGTTACTCTGCAGCAAATGGGGAAGAAACAGTTCCCAAAGTTTTTTGAATAGGGTAATGAGGGTTTGCCAAAGGGGAAACCAACAAAACAGAACTGAAAAGCTCAAATGGAGTTATTAGCACTGAAACTTAGTGGGTCATCCTGTAAGAATCTGCCACCACAGGAAAGCAAAAGTGGTTGTGCACATCACAAAGACAAGCATCTCAAAGAATTGTTTCATTTTGTTCAGGAAAGAAATCAAGAAAAAAAATAAGCCCAGTACATAAAAACAAAGAGTTAGGTTTTCAGTGTGCCTGATGTGGCTTTCACTTAAAGAAATAAAAGCAAAAGAGGGAGGACTCATTAATCTCCGGAAAAAAAAAAAAAAAAAACAGAGACAGGGTCTCACTCTGTTGCCCAGGCTGGTCTAGAATTCCTGGCCTCAAGTGATTCTCTGCCTTGGCCTCCCAAAGTGCTGGGATTACAGGCATTAACCACCACACCCAGCTCTTGTTAACTTTAAATACTGTGTACTACCTTCCCACCCACTCCCCACACCAACCCCCCACCCCGCCACAAGGGTCTTCTTATCAGCTCAATCTTAACCTTTCTATCCCTCTTTCCCTCTTTTCCATACTTACTTGGGGAATAAGGAATAACTATTTCAAATTTATAGGGAGATCTAGCCCAGAAGCCCAGCGAGAAGATTTGAAGAGTCAGGAAAAACAAAACCTGAAAGCAGAATTTCTACAACAAATGCAACCTGCAACTGAGTTTTATATTGAGAATATACGATATTGAGCATGTACATAAAAATATACAATATCTTTATGCCTGGCAAGGTCTGACTTAAGTGTAATGTTTTACTAATTCTGGAATTCAAATTAGATTTCCAAATATCTACGACATTTTATGAGCAAAGACTCAATATATGTCCAAGCCTATAAAGTCTCTCCACAAATCACTCATTCCCTATTTCCCTTTGTCTTCCCAGGCAATCTCTATAATTCCATGATTCCCCATATCTCATTTCCATGGTCACAAACTAATAAAAGCCACAACTACGTCATATCAAAATAAACATTGCCTGATGACTCTCTTTACCCTTCAACCTACCCTTTAGATAAAGATATTCCCCCAGACACTATTTTTATGACACCAAGCTCCTTGCTCAAAAATAGTAAATGCATAATTAACCAACTTTGCTGAAGTACAAGAATCTTCAGGGGCACTTGTTACGAAAGGATTCTAGGACCCTGGCCCCAGTCTCCAAGGAAGGGATTTCTTATGACCAGCAAGTTTGGAAAATGCTCCATTACATCAAATCCAAATTCCAAAGTCCCTTGGATCCAGCTTATTTCTCAATACTTTCCAAAAACAACCCACTACAGATAAGGACTCTTGTTATTCTCACATGCCATGCTTATTTCTTCTTTTGCACTCCTATTTCTAAAGTAACTGCCATGAGTTTTAGTTTCCTTGCCTGTAAAATGAAAACACCATCTTTCCTGAATAGCTAAGAATTATTCTGAGGGCTCGACATATTGTAAGTGTGCTTTGAAAACTGAAAATAATTACACAAATTAAGAACATTATTTTTATGGCAGCTACCCCATTCACATTGATTTATTCTCCCATATGTATTCCTGAATATGTTTCACAGGCTGAAATAGGCTGTTGAAGAAGTCATCAGGAGAAGTTAGCATTTTCTTAATTTTGGACTATCGATATTATCAGAGGTGGCGAAAAGAATTTTTTTTTCTTCTTTAAATTTCAGAAAAAAGAATTTTGGGTTCTAACTTAGACAATTAATTAAAAATAAATATATGTATATTGTGGCTCATGTAGGTGACCACAAGATTTCATTAGGCAGTTTGTTTTTTGAATCATATTACCAACCAAATGATAACCTAAATGACAATTTATAAGTTTGACACATTAATCATTAATTTTGTTAATTAATTTTGACTATAGGTAGTTTGGCACGTCCTAATGTCAGCAAACTTTCCTAACTATATACTCTGAATTCTTTTACCAGTTAAAGTTTCTGCAGTTATAATTTGTAACTGAAATAGATACTCTCACATAAGACTAAGTTATTTATAAAGGAAGACAGCCACAATTTGGTTTGCACTGTCAAAAACATTAATTTTAGTAGGTTTTAATTAGCACTTACACTAAAAATTGGTTTTGCTGTTATAGCTGTGTAAGATCATTAAGTCACAAGGAGTGTATATGTATTTTTTCCATTTACACATACAATGTTTTAACAATTTAAGTCACATTAAAGAACTGTCCTTTTTTCCTTTAAAACATGTCTAGCAGTAAGATACCACTTCACACCAATCAGGATGGCTATTACCCGCCCCTCCCCAAAAAAAGGGCCAGTAGGGAAGCAAAAAAGTGTTGGCAAGGATGTGGACAAAGTGAAATCCTCGTGCACTGCTGTGATTGTAAAATGGTATAGACAATGTGGAAAAGAGCACGATAGTTCCTCAAAAAGTTGAACACAGAATTACCATACAATTCAGCAACTTCACTTCTAAGTATATGCCCCAAGAAACTGAAAGCAGGCACTCCAACAGATACATGAACACCAATGTTAACAGCAGCATTTTTTACAATAGTCAAAGGGTACAATGACCCAAGTGTCCATCAACAAATGAACAGAAAACAAAATATATAAATATAAAGGAATATTATTTAATATTAAAATATTAATTATATTTTATATTATATATATATAATATTTATAAAATATTAATTATATATATAAAATATAAAAATATGTACCAAATTTTGACACATGGTACAACTCAAATGAACCTTGAGAACATTAAGCTAGGTAAAATAAGCCAGACACAAAAGGATAAATAATGTCTGAGTCTACTTACATGAGGTACATCTAGCATATGCAAATTCACAGAGACAGAAAGTAGAAAAAAGGTTGCCAGGGACCAGGGAAAGGGGACAATGGGGACTCAGTTTTTAAGAGCTAAGAGTTTCGGTTTGGGGCCAGGCACGGTGGCTCACGCCTGTAATCCCAACACTTTGGGAGGCCAAGGCAGGTGGATCACCTGAGGTAAGGAGTTTGAGACCAGCATGGTCAACATGGTGAAACCCCACCTCTACTAAAAATACAAAAATTAGCTGGGCGTGGCAGCGGGAGCCTGTAATCTCAGCTACTCGGGAGGGTGAGGCAGGAGAATCGCTTGAACCTGGGACGCATAGGTTGCAGTGAGCTGAGATCGCGCCAAAAAAAAAAAAAACTTTCAGTTTGGGATGCTGAAAAAGTTCTAGATATGGATGATAGTAATTGCACAACATTGTAAATGTGCTTAATGCCACAAAACTGTATACTTCTAAGTTACTTGTAAATGGTTACAATGGTAAATTTATGTTATGTATATTTCACTACCAAAAAGGCTGAACATTACTTGATTTTGACAAACCTTGCCCTTGGCACTTAAGACAATAAAATGAAATGTAAAATTCAGGACAGGGGAGGCAGGGAGATGTTACTAGGGAGAAGTACACTGAGAGCTTCGAAGATACAGATACTGTTCTGCTTCTTATACTTGGTAAGGACTTGAGGTACATGAGAAAAAGTGTCTATTGGTCATCTTAGGTCTTTAAATAAGAGAAAAGTTTAAAATTTTACATTTTCTTATTTGCAAAGCAAGTAAATAATTCAATACTAATCTCTTGATAAGTGTAACTAGAAAATAGAGTTGTCTGCATTAATATTGTTGTTATAATTTAATCCAATTGTCATTTCACTCAATGGATTGGTTTTAGCATATTACTTTTAAAAAGTCACTGTACACATTAGAAAAATTTACATAAATGTTTTCAAGCATACAGAAATGTGGAATATATATATGTCCCTCTGATATTTGTCACTTCTTAATGTTTTGCCATATTTCTTTTTTTATTATTTTTATTTTTTGAGATGGAGTCTCACTCTGTCACACAGGCTGGAGTGCAGTGGCACAATCTCGGCTCACTGCAACATCTGCTTCCTGGGTTCAAGCGATTCTCCTGCCTCAGTCTCCTGAGTAGCTGGGAGTAGACAGGGTTTCACTATGTTGGCCAGGCTAGTCTCGAACTCCTGACCTCAGGTGATCCACCCGCCTCAGCCTCCCAAAGTGCTGGGATTACAGGCGTGAGCCACTGTGCCCAGCCGCCATATTTCTTTTAGATTATTTTCTATGAAATAATACCACTATTCTTCTCTCCACATCCCCAGAGCCACTATCTGGAATATGGTATTTATCACGCTATTGTATATTTTTATAGTTTTACAACATATTACTTATTCATGAATGATATACTATACTGTTTTGCACTTTGATTTTTATATAAATGTTATTTCTGTACTTACATTGCTCAATTCTGCTATTTTGTTTATGATCTTTAAAAATGAACTAATTTTGTACCCCAACAAAGAAGGCCATCCTTAGAGTACAACTAAACACATTTCCTTGTCAAATCAGCAGCATTTACTGTGGATTTTCAAAGTAACCATTATTTATCTAACTACAGTTTACAATACATAAAACTAACCTTTGAATTAGCATACTTTTAGAAGCTGCTTATCAATCCAGGGAAAAAAGAATACACACATTAATTTCTTCAATTTTATTCTTTTTTCTTTTTTGTGTGATGTCCCTGAGTCATAAGAATATGCACATATTTTTTGGCTAAATCTTGTTCATCATGTTCAAAATATGAATACTATGGAAAATGTCTCTTATTTATTGAACATATCCATCTAACTTTATGAAACTAGTTCTGACTACATTTATTTGTGGCCTCAGGCTGGCTGCAGAGTCTGACAAAAAGAAAATCAGTTGCTGCTTCAAAAATATCTATCTCATTTACTGTCCATCTTCACACTGTAGTTTCATTTATGTAAATCATAACATTTTCATTTAGAAACAAATAAAATTCCCCAGTCTTAACCTTTAAACTCTGTGACAAGAGATCAGTTCCAACCCCCTATACTTCCAAACTTTGTTATTCAAAGAAGAAACTGAAAATTAAGTAAAGGATTTTTTTTTTAATTGTCCTTTTTTACTTCTAGAGGGAAAAAAAGATTCAAACGAAATCAGATTTGTTTAGTATCAGGGCTTCAACAATAAGTCAAAGTCATTTCCATATCAATCATAATAGAACTTCTATACTGAACAAGGATAGATCCTCCAAACCTACTGTTTATGACCCCGCTGTCTGACACACAAGTGGAAGTCAAACTCCCTTCTCATATTTACAACTGTGATACGTGTAAAAAGCAGTACTGTTGCCAGTTTCTAGCAAGCTTTTTTATCTAGAGGAAATGTTTCTCAAGTTTCTGTCATTAATGTTATGCCAAAACTAATAACCAGCTATAATATTTACTTGATATTTTTAACATCATAAAACAGGTACTTACTACCTATTTTAGCATCCTCGTAACTAATTAGTATTGCTGTTAGTTATTAAAAGAAATTTTGGGGCTTTAAAACGTTCATTCACGTACAACCTAAAATATCTACTATTTCTAGAAGTATATGTACCATATTTTGGATAATAATGCCCAATTATACTACATGTACATTATCAGTTTCCCATTTCCACAGCCCTCTTCCCCATCACCCTAATTTTACTAATATTCTTACATGCAGAAAAACTGTGAGGGGAAGTTGATGACTGCTCAATTTTCTGGTTAGCAGGGGCTCCAGGTCTGACTTTTGAACAAACAATGGGGACAGACAAGGATTTTTCCTCCTGGTGGTCATCACTCAAAAAACAAAGTAAATACACATTGTACAAATTGAAATGTATAAGTATTTCTCTGATTCAATCTGCCTCATCATTAGTACCACTTACTCCCAGAGTTCTGTCTTTATATCTGTCAATTTTCATTTGTAGTAATGATTGGAGCTTTCATTCATTCCTGATTTTATGATAATTTTAGTGGGAAAATAGGAATGGTTTGCTGGGCACAATGGTTGACACCTATAATCCCAGCACTTTGGGAGGCCGAGGCAGGAGGACCACTTGAGGCCAGGAGATCAAGACCAGCCTGGGCAACAGAGCAAGACCTTGTCTCTTAAAAAAAAAAAAAAATGGTCAGGCATGGTGGCACATGGCTGTAGTCCCAGCTACTGGGTAGGCTGAGGTGGGAGGATCCCTTAAGCCCAGGAGGTTGAGGCTGCAATGAGTGTGATCGTGCCACTACACACACACACACACACACACACACACACACACACACACAAAGAAAAAAAGGTTATATTGGGAGTTGCTAGTGAGATACTATCCTGAACCAAATACATACATACACCTCTGCCTCCTCAATTTTCAACGCTGCTAAGCAAACAACCAAAGAGCGATACACGTGACACCAAAGAACAGGCTTGTCCCTCCATATTGAAAGGTGACTCAACATTCATTAATATCATTCAAGAAGTCTGCAGGGGCTTACAATTCAGAATGACAGTATAAACAGCTTACTTTACTGTTACCCACTTTCCCTCCAGATTCCATTAACATAACTCAAGAAAGTTACAGAAATAAAATATTAAATGCAAACAATAAAGAGGATGAGAGAGGAGCCATCAGCAGATACAAATGGCGAAATTCTGGCCCAAGAAGTAACAGCCTAAAATATAGTTGGAGGGTACCTGAGAAAGGAACCAATACCTTTCCTCCAAAAACCAATGAGATCCAGTAAAGCAGAAATGAGACATGAGATTTTTAAAAACGAAGAATCTGTAGGACAGACAAATCAATGCCTCTCACCTTCTGTGCGCACAGCAAAATGATCACCCAATGCTTACCCTTGGGTAGGCAGGAAATTAAGGTTCTACTCTAAAGATATCAAAACAACTAGTAGGGCCATTAGAGTGCAAATTAACATCCCAGAACAAAACCAGTTACCATCTGTTATTTTGGGGGTTCCCTGACCATTCACTTGAGAATGAAGTCTGACCATTAACAAGTAATGAGGCTTACTATGAGCTCTAAATACAGACAAACTCTAAATACAGAGTTTGCCTAATGGTAAGCCTCATTCTTAAATATCAGCAGGCCCACAGATCATCACACTTGAGAACTCACAAAGATAAAACACTCTTCCCATCAAAAAGGGGAAATTGCCTCAGAGAAACAAAAAATTCAGGAAATAGAATATACTTTTTAAAATGGTAAATTTTAAGTTATATATTTTACCAAAATAAAAAATAATTATAGCAGGCAATTAAAATAAAAATTATTAACACCCATATAGCAAAAAAACCTGAATGCTAGAGGAAAGCTATATGATCTTTTTATTTTCTATATATAAAGTATTATAAACTCACTGCCAAATAAAAAGGTGATCAAAGAAGATGAAGCCAAAAAATGAAGGAAAAGCAAAAGTAGGATGTGTCTGGTACTTAATAAATGTTTTTTTCTGGATTTTGTGATTTTTTGATATGACTTCTTTTAACTTTATAATTTGTTGTCATTTCTTCTTTCAGTCCAAATAAATATTCAGTTTAAAAAAAATTTTTTTTTGACAGAGGGTCTTACTCTGTTGCCCAGACTGGAGTGCAGTAGTCCAGTCCTAGACCATTGCAGCCTTAACCTCCCAGGCTCAAGCAATCCTACCGTCTCAGCCTCCCAAGTAGCTGGGACTATGGGTGCGCACCACTGTGCCTAATTAACTTTCTTTAAAAATTTTTGTAGGACAAGCGCGGTGTAATCCCAGCACTTTGGGAGGCCGAGGCAGGTGGATCACTTGAGGTCAGGAGCTTGAGAACAGCCTGGCCAACATGGTGAAACCCCGTCTCTACTAAAAATACAAAAAGTAGGCACGTGTGGTGGCATGCACCTGTAATCCCAGCTACTTGGGAGGCTAAAGCAGGAGAATCATTTGAACCCGGGAGGCAGAGGTTGCAACAAGCCGAGATTGTGCCACTGCACTCCAGCCTGGGCAACAGCAAGATTCCGTCTCAAAAAATAAATAAATAAAAACTTTTTGTAATGTCAGGGTCTCACTATGTTGCCCAGGTTGGCCCTGAATTCTTGGTCTCAAGCTATCCTCCTGTTTCAGCCTCCTAAAATGCTGCGATTACAAGGTGTAAGCCACCCTGCCCAATCTACTTTTATAATTTTAAAAGAAATCTTTTACTTTAGAGAAGGCATAAAAATACTGTAATATAAAGCAAGAAGAGAAAATGATTAGGGGTGAGAAAATCAGAAGAAACTCTTAAAATGACAGACATGCAGGCCGGGTGCGGTGGCTCATGCCTGTAATCCCAGCACTTTGGGAGGCCAAGGCAGCCAGATTGCTTGAGCTCAGGAGTTCATGGGCAGCCTGGGAAACAGGGTAAAACCCCATCTCTACAAAAAAAAAAAAAATACAAAAATTAGACAGACATGGTGGTGCACGCCTGAGGTCTCAGCTACTCAGGAGGTGAGGTGGGAGGATTGCTTGAGCCCAGGAGGTTGAGGCTGCTGTAAGCTGAAATTGCGCCACTGCACTCCAGCCTGGGCAACAGAGCAAGACTCTGTCTCAAAAAAGACATGCTCACCAAAACAGAAATTCAATGAAAGCTTGCAAAATAATGTCAACCTAAAATATCAGGCAAGTAGTTGGGGACGGGGGGAAGGTTGTTACAAGAATTCCAACATATAAATATATGCCCCCCCAAAAAAGAGAATAGGGAAAAATGAAGGAGTGAAAATTATCCAAGAATTAGAACACTTCCCAAAACAGAAAAACATATTTACAAGGGTCTATTTAACATCCCCGTACAATAGATGGTAGAGAAAAAGTAAAAATTAAGAGAAGTTTCCAAAACCAAAAAAATATCTAGGAGATGGGGAGAAATACCACGAGTGTCAAGGAGGAAAATGAAATAAACAGAATCCTAAACAAAACCAGATTTTTTTAAAAAGGAAAAGTATGTTCATATGTGGAGGCAAAGTTTATTATACATGCATATTTTCTTACTAGCAAGACACTTAAATATGTATTCATAGATTTTTAAATAATTTATTAAAAAGAGGAACACAATTAAAGGAAAAAAAAGACAGTTGTGCAGCATACTCAGAAAGCAGTAAGTTCAGATCAGCAGGATAGAAAAGTCTGAAGAATTCCCTAGGAAGGCAGAAGACTCGATATACTGGATGGGAAAATGAAAACTTTGAAAATGCAATAGTAAGGCTGGGCTTGGTGGCTCACGCCTGTCATCCCAGCACTTTGGGAGGCCGAGGCGGGCAGATCACGAGGTCAGGAGATCGAGACCATCCTGGCTAACACAGTGAAACTCCGTCTCTACTAAAAAATATAAAAAATTAGCCGGGCGTGGTGGAGGGTGCCTGTAGTCCCAGCTATTCAGGAGGCTGAGGTGGGAGAATGGCGTGAACCCGGGAGGCGGAGGTTGCAGTGAGCCGAGATCGGGCCACTGCACTCCAGCCTGGGCGACAGAGCCAGACTCCGTCTCAAAAACAAAAAAAAAAAGAAAATGCAATAAGAAAAAAACCAAGGCAATTTGAAATGACAGGAAAACCAGGAAGCAGAACAAGGAAGTATAAAAAGGAGCTCTATCCATAACTAGTTACCTTAGAGAAATGTCAGCCAGACACAATTGATTTTCACTTTTAGACATTTTTAAAAGACAGAAGGCAGATATTAATATTACTCATCTTCACAATGTAAAATACATAGAATAGAGGTTAGACAGTGATTTTTTTTTTTTTTTTTTGAGACAGAGTCTCACTCTGTCACCCAGGCTGGAGTGCAGTGGTGCGATCTCGGCTCACTGCAACCTCCACTTCCCGGGTTCAAGCGATTATCCTGTCTCAGCCTCCTGAGTAGCTGAGATTACAGGCGCCCGCCACCATGCCCGGCTAATTTTTTTGTATTTTCAGTAAAGATGGGGGTTTCACGGTGTTGGCCAGGCTCGTCTCGAACTCTTGACCTCCAGTGATCCACCTGCCTCGGCCTCCGAAAGTGCTGGGATTACAGGTGTGAGCCACAGCCGCCTGGCCAGATAGTGATTTTAAGAGAGTGAGAGTATTATGGTCATCTTACAAAGTAGAGAGTAGAACCTGTCTGCATTTGATGCAATAATAAATAAAAGTATGGCATAGGTAGAATACCTAAAGTTGAAATTGACACCAACTGAACGCCGATAATTTGCATACTATCATTAGGATTGCTGCTGTATTATTACGATCATTTGAAAATCTAACATTCCCCCAAAATCTACCTTTTTATAAAACTTAAATTTATTGGTATAAAGAAATTTTACATTACAATACTGATTCAAAACCACTAATCTGATGTTTCTCTTATATAGAAGGTAATCATAAAAATGTTACTAAACTCTAGCTAAATTCTGCCAATCTTTATTGAACACAATATCCATCCAACAATTATAGCTACAGCCTTAAAGAACACAGTAATCACAGTAAGAATGACACAATCATTATGAGAAGAGCGTATAAGTACAACAAGGAGACAAAAAAGAGATTAATTTCTGAGAGGATTCTTTAAAGAAACATTTATTTATTTTCATGAATATGAATTTAATAGGAATGCAAAAAGAAGAACGTGGGTGTGGAAATGAAAATCAGCATATGTATAGTAACTTAAAATAAAGTCTGGGAATTGTTTATATAATTTTAGAAGAGATGGTAGGAGAGAAGATTGGATAAACACTAAAATCTTGAGAACTTCACATAACAATAAGGAGATTAAAATTTATACTGTGGAGAATAGGGCACCACCGAAAATTTTAAAAGATGTGATCAGATTTGCATCTTCATAAGATTGATCATGCTTGCATTGGTGTGGAACAGAGAGAAGTGTAATTAGACTTAGGAAGATCATTTTTGGTTGATATATTGGTACAGATGAGGGAGAATCAAGATGACAAGGTGGCTGATTAGAAATGGAAAATGAAGATATAAAGGAGGAAGAGAAGTCTAGGATGATTCTCAGAACTTTCTGGTTTTGTTTTTTAGGGGCAGGAAAAATGGTTAGGTAGGGAGACTTCTTGAAATAGATCTGTCTATAGCCACAAAGAAATTTAAGTTATCCCAAATTGATCATTCAACTTCAATTTGAGATTTCAGCTGGGCGCAGTGGCTCATGCCTGTAATCCCAGCACTTTGGGAGGCCAAGGTGGGTGGATCACCTGAGGTTTCAAATTTCATTAAGAATTCTGATTATATTCTTTCTGAATTTCTCATATATTCATTTCCCTTTCCCTTTCCAATTATCAAGCTCCTTATTGCGTAATACAGGAAAGTATGTGTTTCCTACTCCTCTGCCTTATAATTTCTCTGGTTCCTATACTTCAGAAAAATACATGACAAGTAGCACAACAGATGGAATAAAGGAATTAAGAATATACTGTTACAAGGTCCTTATACTAATCTTGAAGGGTAGAATATTATTTGAAGGCAGATTAATTTAAAATGTATATTATAAGCACAAGAGCAACCACTAAAAAAAATTAAAAATAAGATACATGGTCAGGAGTGGTGGCTCACGTCTGTAATCCCAACACTTTGGGAGGCCAGGAAGGGCAGATCACCTGAGCTCAGGAATTCAAGACCAGCCTGGACAACATGGTGAAACCCTGTCTCTACAAACGCATACAAAAATTAGCTGGGCATGGTGGAGGGCTACTCAAGAGGCTGCGGTGGGAAGGTCACTTGAACCCGGGAGGCAGAGGTTGCAGTCAGCTGAGATTTGCACCAGTGCACTCTGGCCTGGGTGACAGAGTGTGACTCTGTCTCAAAAAGAAGAAGGAGAAAAGAAGATACTTGTTAAGCCAATGGATAAAAAGAGAAATGTTAAATGACCCCCAAAGCATAAAAATTTTTTTCTTTAAAGGAACAAAGAGAAAACAGTAAGCAACAGTATCAATATTATAATGGGCAAACTTCAAGAAACTGTATAGCAAGAGAGTAGATGATCTAGATAAAATGGAAAGAAATTCCTAGAAAGACACGAACTATAGAAACTGTATTAGTCAGTTTTCATGCTGCTGATAAAGACATATCCAAGACTGGGTTTAACTGTACTCACAGTTCTATGTGGCTGGGGAGGCCTCAGAATCGTGGCAGAAGGCAAGGAGGAGCAAGTCATGTCTTACATCAATGGTGGCAGACAGAGAATGAGAACCAACCAAGCAAAACAGTTTCCCCTTATCAAACCATCAGATCTCTGAGACTTATTCACTATCATGAGAACAGTATGGAGGAAACGGCCCCCATGATTCAATTACCTCCAGCTGGCCCCGCCACTGACACATGAAGATTATTACATTTCAAAGTGAGACTTGGGTGGGGGGATACAGAGCCAAACCATATCAGAAACTGACTCAAGAAAAAAAAAAAAAAAACAACGGAAAATCTGAATAGACCTATAACAAGAAAGGAGACTGAATTAGTAATTTAACAAACTTTCCACAATGAAAAGCCCAGGCCCAGATCACTTCACTGATGAGTTCTATAAAACACTTAAATAATTGACATCAATTATTCACAAATTCTTCCAAAAAATATAAGAGGAATTCTATGAGGCCAGTATTAACCTAACACCAATGCCAGATAGAAACATCACAAGGAAACTAAAGGACAGTATCTTGGCCAGGCATGGTAGCTCATGACTGTAATCCTAGCTCTTCAGGAGGCCAAGGCAGGAGGATCACTTGAGGTTAGAACAAGACCAGCTTGGGCAACACAGCAAGACCACATCTCTACACAATTTTTTAAAAAAATTAGCCAGGCACGATGATACGCACCCATAGTCTTAGCTACTTGGGAGACAGAGGTGGGAGAACTGCTTGAGCTCAGGAGTTTGAGGTTACAGTGAGCCATGATTGTGCCTCTGCACTCCAGCCAAGATGACAGAGCAAGACTGTCTCTAATAAATGAATACATAAATATTTTAAAAGAAGAATATTCCTTATTAATACAAACACAAAAATCCTCACCAAAATACAAACAAACCAAATCCAGCAACTAAAAAGGATTATTTCCCATGGCCACATGGGATTTATCCCAGGAATCCAAGGTTTAGCATCCAAAAATTAGTGTAGTACACCCCATACAGTACAAAGCCCATACGATTATCTCCATAGACACAGAAAAAGCACCGAAGTCCAACACCCTTTCATTTAAAAAAAAAAAAAAATTCAACCAACTAGGAAAAAGGAACATCTTCAGTTGGATAAAGGGCATCTAGGAAAACCCCACAGCTAACATTATGCTTAACCTTATTAGCGCAGATGAAGATGTAAAGAAATTGGAACCCTCATTCGCTGCTGTAGAGAATGTAAAATGGTAGTCACCTTGAAAAACAGGTTTGCAGTTCCTTAAAAGGTTCAACAGAATTACCATATAACCCAGCAATTTCACTCTTTACTATCTGCTCAAGAGAAATTCAAGTATATGTTAATATAAAACCTTATAAATGAACGTTTATAGCAGCATTATTCATAATAACCCAAAACGGGAAACAACACAAATGTCAATCAACTGATGAATAAACACAATGGTATCTCCATACAATCAAATATTAATTACTCAACCATAAAAATGAAGTGCTGATCCATGCTATAACATGGATGAACATTAAAAACATTACACTGAGTGAAAAAAGCCAGTCACAAGAGATCACATATTATATGGTTCCACTTATATAAAATGTCCAGAATAGGCAAATCTAGAGACATAGTAGGTTAGTGGTTATCCACACAACTGGAAGAGTTGAGGGGAAATGGAGTTTTCTTTTTTTTTGGAGGAAGTGATTAAAATGTTCTAAAACTTAGTACTGTGATGGTTGCACAATTCTGAATATACTTTAAAAACCACTGAATTGTATATTTTAACCAAGTGAATTGTATAGTATGTGAATTATCTCAATAAAGCTGTTTATAAAAATGCAAATGGTAAGTTAACAATAAAATAATGCAAACTATCATCATATAGATTTAAGAACTGCCATATTTAGTCAACCTATAGTGCTTCTAATCCAGTGTTCTGTCTCAGGGCCAGACAAGAATATACATATAGTGAGAAGAAATGGCCCACTTCATTTAGGAAGAATAGGGAAGACAGTTCTAAAACCATACCGTCACCCAATATGAATCTCTATTATCCTGATCCTTTTGAAAACTGTTATCAACCTGTCTTTTCATTTGGAATAATTATTTCCAATGTTTTACTACCAATTGAAAAAAGAAATACTATCATTATTTTTGACCGAAATTTACTATTTAGCTCTTGTGGGCAGTCTCCTTGTTTTAATTTACATTAATTAGGAGAACCAACACGTTTTCTCCTTTTTAACTTTATAGGCTTTTCTAGTCACCCAACTTCAGTAAACTCTACTTTATAAAGTTCTTCCATAAAACAGCTAAGAATTTGGTATCTCAATGATTCTAAAAACTACAGAGAAAACATCTGACTCATTCATTCATCATAAAAAGCCTATTATTTGGTAACAGTCATTTTTACTAGGCCACATGAAGATGTTATTCTCTAAAATTAAATGGCTGGCTGATTGTGCTCTATTGCTATAAGTTTATTTCTTAGGTACAGGAGGATCATATAGAAGCATGTTAGCCTTGTTTATTAATAATAGCAGCTACCGTGACTTAGTTACCAGGCTAAGGTGTCCACATGTAGTCTCATTTAAACCTTGTAATAACACTAAAACATTACCCTCATTTTACACATGAAGAAAACAGAGGCTTAAAGGTATTTATATCCAAGTTGTGTCTCTTGTCCTGAGTTCACTAGACCTGATTAAGAACTCTATGAATTAAAGAAAAAAAAAGTCATAGAATAATATGTTTATATATATTTTTTTTAATGTGAGTACATATTTGTGTAAAAGCATGAAGAATTGGAAATACATACAAATATATGGTTGCCTCTGGGCAAAGGAGTAAAGGAGGTTAGGGTCAAGAAAGAACTTCCAGGTTCTGCTGTAAATTTTTTATATGGCTTTAATCTTAAGCAAAACAATATAAATGTATTCCTCATTGTAAGCTTTTTTGTTACAAGAATAACAGTATCAGCCGGGCGTGGTGACTCATACCTGTAATCCCAGCACTTTGGGAGGCTGAGGTGGGCGGATCACGAGGTCAGGAGTTCTAGACCAGGCTGGCCAACATGGTGAAACCCCACATCTACTAAAAGTACAAAAAAATTAGCTGGGCGTGGTGGCGGGTGCCTGTAGTCCCAGCTACTCAGGAGGCTGAGGCAGGGAGAATCACTTGAGGCTGGGAAGCGGAGGCTGCAGTGAGCCGAGATTGCACCACTGCGCTCCAGCCTGGGTGACACAGTGAGACTCCGCCTCAAAAAAAAAAAAAAAAAAAAAAGAATAACAGTATCATAAAAATTGAAACATTTATTAATCAGAACTAATACATATACTACTGTAGTTCTGTGCCAATCTCTCTATCACCTTTATACCTTTGCTCTTCCTAAGCTCACAGTATACATTATTTCCCTCTCTCATTTCATGTGGCTTCTTCCTTCAAAAAACTTTGCCTTGACAAGCTCTCTCACTTTTGCGGGGCTAGCGTAGGGGAGTAGCAATGTTTAGGTATAACCAAGATAATTAAAAAGTTTCTGTATTTAGGTCTACATGGGGAATAAAGGCAGGAAGGCTGACCAACAGTTTGGTGTACTGGGAAATCCTGCAATTCCCCTCATCTGTTGTGCACCCTCTGATAGGACCTGGGTAGAATAAAGCTGCTATTCCCTATTGGAGTCTGGGAAGTGGAGGCAGTGACATTATGATGTGTTCTAAACCTGGGTTAATACATGACTCTTGGACAACCATATGTATAAAAATAAAAAGGCTAAAAAGAAACATCATCCCCCAATTTAAGATTAGAGATAAAAAAAATTATCAAGAAAGGGCATCATTTATATTAATGTCATATATTTTAAGCACAATGTACTATGCTAAGTAAGCTGTAAATGACAATTTTATCTGCCCTCTTCAATATCTTTCACAAAGTGAAACCATTAATAAATACCTGATGAACTAAAATGGATTTCCATCTTAGGGTGGCAGGCTAGATATAAAATGTAATAGGAAATGTAGTTTTTTTTTTTTTAAAAAAGAAGCTCTCTCAAAGAACCTCTTGCGTCAAGTATAAGCTGAAACCTAGAAGAGAATGTTATTATAGAAAAGCAAAGATCTACGTTTTAGATAAAGAACCATACTGTACAAAAAATAATTTTCACATACATGATATAATTTATAACCGCACTTTACGATCATTATTTATAACAGCCACTCTGTTATCACTGAAATGTTGTGCATATACATGAAAATTTCCAGATAGGCCTCTCTATTCATGTATTATCTTTTTCTTAGTTATAAGGAAGTCCTTTATTATGTGTTCATAATTTTGTGTATGTGTGTGTGTGTGTGTGTGTGTGTGTGTGTGGTGAGAGAAATAGTAAAATTCTGTTACTGACATTTCTAGATTTCTATTCTAAGTATGTTACTTAATTATTATATATTGTGGTACTATGACATCCACAATATTTACTACGATCTGCCAATCCTTAAAAAAAGGTTTTATACCCCCTTTTTCAAATATCAAGCTGTCTTGGGTTTAGAAGATTTTCTATTCTAGAGAACTGTCTCTAGAATCCAAACATAGCACATTTCCCTTATTTTTTCACTACAGCTATAATTCATTTCCATAGAAGACCTGGTTAAACCTAGCTTTTCTAGTCAAATCATCAAGTAAATCCTCTTTGGACTTCTACATCTTCATTTCTAAAATTAAGAGGAAGAGATCAGGCAGAAAGAACCAGAAGATGTACTTAAGTTCCCTTCCAAAAGAAAAGAAAGAAAAGGAAAGGAAGGAAGGAAAAAAGAAAGGCAAGACAGAGTAAACACTAAACAAAATAACAGGCTATAAACTCATAGTAACACTAAGATATGAGACATCAAAAGATTGTCTTTTTAAAACTGTGATTAGCAGTTTCTTGTGAGCCCTTAATCTCACAGAGCACGTTGCATTCAACTGAACTGGTTATTATATGTTCTTTTTCAAAAAGTCCACAATGCAGCTTTTACACACACATACACAGGTCAAGACAGATTCCTTGGGAAATGTTAAGTATGTTTACTATCCTTAAAAATGAAAACAAGCAACAGTACCCATAGACAACCAAGGGCTCAGAAGGATAAGGAAAAGTCTTTCTCCCTAATAATCTCCATTTGTCCACAAAACTTAGTTTACAGACCACTTTCTCCAGATGTGGCACGGTGACTCATGCCTGTAATCCCACCATTTTGGGAGGCCGAGATGACAGGATGGCTTGAGGCCAGGAGTTTGAGATCAGCTTGGTCAACATAGCAAGACCCCATCCCTAAGTAAAAAACAAAATGTAATAAAAAATAAAAACATGAAAAGATAAAAAGAAATCACTTTCTCCAAAAAGTCATTTCCTTCTATTCTACTATAGCCCCAACCCTCAAGACTATCTTACTTCCCCATCTCGCAAGAGTGAGTTAAGTAGCAGGCACTGTTGGCAGTCTACTACTGGGTCATTCCCAAACCCCCTCCTCCTTGCTAACCATAATCCTTTATTTGGTTTAAGTATCTATCTTGTACTAGAGGAAAAGCAAGCCCCATCTCCTGTCAAGACAGTCATAACTGGCCTAACCCAATCATGGAAGTTCCATTTTCAGTATTTGATCTAGACAAAGCCATGTGACCCACAACTCTGACCAGTAAGATATGAAGCATTGTTAAAGAAATTGCTGCTTCTGCTGCTGAATGCTATCCAGGATGCATGTGATGGCTGAAAATAGGGCCATAAGGGGCATTAGCCTGAAATACATGCTGAGAATGGCAGAGAGACATTTGATGACATAACTGAATCAATCTGACACTGCCTTACCATCTATGAAATATTATAAAAACATCCTGAAAACTCTATGCTTTCAGAAGTTCTTTAAAAAACTTAGCCTGGCGTTTGGTGGCATACACCTGTAGTCTCAGCTACTCAGTGGGAGGACTGCTTGAGCCCAGGAGTTTGAGGCTGCAGTGAGTATTGAATCACTGCATTCCAGTCTGAGTGACAGAGCGAGACTCTGTCTCAAAAAAAAAAAAAAAAAAAAGGAGTATAACCACACAGTTTCTACTAGGACACTGAACAGAGAACAAAGGACTAATAATACAGGTATACAGGTAGAACTGGGGACAAAATCTAAATTTTATGACTAGCAGTGTGTACCATTTATTAGTATACTACCATACTATGCTAAGTAAAAGTTATTCTTTCATTTTAACAGCAAAGAATTCTGTCTTTTACTTTATTCTTATCTACCTATACATAGTACACTGTTAAGCTTCTCACTGAAGCACTAGAATGGAAAATCATTGGGGTTTTGTACTTCAGACTGTAACTTTTACCAAATGTATGATTCTTTATCATAAATCAGGAGCCCTGTTTGGTGCCATCAACAAACAACTACTTTCTCTGAAAATTATGGGCTAAGAATCTTACCTCTCCACTTCCCAATCTGTATCTGTTCTAGTTTCTACCCTTTCCTCTACTCCTGATTTCACCAACAAAGATGTAATGTAGCCTCAGTATGTCCTTTCATTATTATGCCTTAATTGAAGGAAGCATGTGGCCTTCACATTTGAGAACCAACTAATAAACCTTCCCACAAAAACTGTTATAAGCAAAGGTTAAAGTCTAAACTATTAATATTACTGGCACCAAACAGATGTTTGCTCACTTACCTTTCTTTTTCCCCCCCGAGACAGAGTCTTGCTCTGTCACCCAGACTGGAGTGTAGTGGCACGATCTCGGCTCACTGCAACCTCCGCCTCCTGGGTTCAAGCAATTCTCCTCCCTCAGCCTCCTGGGTAGCTGGGATTACAGGCAACTGCCACCACGCCCGGCTAATTTTTATATTCTTAGTAGAGACGGGGTTTCACCATTTTGGCCAGGCTTGTCTCAAACACCTGACTTTGTGATCCACTTGCCTCGGCCTCCCAAAGTGCTAGGATTACAGGCGTGAGCCACCTCACCCGGTCCTCTCACTTTCATTTTTAAATATATTTTTCATATGTAACATATTTCAGATATACTGTCTGGGTATCAGCTTTTGCTGGTTATTCTGGGAACAATCATTTCCGGTACTGGCATTACAGGCCTTTCTCACTTAAGTCAACAAACAACTCACAAACTTTTAGAAATATGGTCCATTAGTGCATAAGTTGATCTCATGTTAGCAGAGTATAACTATGAATTATTATTTTACTAAAAATATGGACAATGTTTAATTTCCATATAGTATTACACACAGTAGCTTTTTTTTTAATTTCAAGAAGCTGATATGAAGGACAATCTATTGTGAAATAATATACTCATCTGTGATGGTTAGTTTTATGTTACAATTTTGCCACAGTATTCAATTATTCTATCAAATACTAACTAGGTGTTGCTATAAAGGTATTTTTGTAGATATGGTTAAACCTACAATCAGCTGACTTTATGTAAAGGAGACTACCCTCAATTATGTGGTTGGGTCTCATCTAATCACTTACAAGGCAGTAAACTGGGATTTCCTGAGAAATCCTGGCTAAAGGTGCAGCATCAGCTCCTGTGCTAGAGTTCCCAACCCAATGGCCAGCTCAACCAGAAGACAGATTTCAGACTTGCCAGCCCCAACAACCAAGTAAACTAATTCCTTGAAATTACATATAATATCTATCTGTTATATACAAAATCTCCTAATGGTTTTGTTGCCTTGGAGAAACCTGATACCATTTTTCACACTAAAATTACACACACACGCACACACACACAATGTAAAGCATCCACATATCCATGACAACATCTAAGTTTTTAACATTTTTTTGTTGTGCCTGTCCTGAGATGGTCAAAGAGTGGAAATGCACAGAGGTCCTCAGCCCAGCAGAAGACAGATGGTCTTTACAACAGAGCAGCCTACATACATTAAAGTGTGTAAGAATAAGGAAAACCGACTTACACAAAAGATAAAGATTTTTTTTAAACACACAGAAAGCTAATATAGGTTAAGAACCAGGCAAGCATTAAACACAGGAACCCACAAGAACTACGCTAATAATGTAGTTTCAAGCTTTTGTTAATAACTGACACCTAATAATAGCTAACATTTATTGACTTCCAGACCCTGTTCTGGTGCTTTACATATATTAACATATTTAAACTCAACAACACCTCTGTGAAGTAGGTACCTACGTGGGCTTGGTGGCTCACGCCTGAAATCCTAGCACTTTGGGAGGCTGAGGCAGGAGGATCACTTGAGCCCAGAGTTTCAGATCAGCAACAGTGAGACCCCATCTCTACTTTAACCAAAAAAGAAATGGATGCACAAGAGGATTACAATAAAAAAGTGGCAAAGCCAAGCCAAGGTGTAAACAGAAGCTGCCTTGTTCTAGAGTCTGTGCTTTGCCATTCCACAATACCACCTATAAAAGTAGAGAAATAATTTTATTTTTATAAAGTAGATTTATAGTCTAATATGTAGGTGTTTTAAAAATTAACAATGAAAAATACATAATTTCATTTAAGTCACTTAAATAATGAAAATTACATAAAAGATAGACTACTAGGTGTAAAATGCAAAGAAAATAAATCTATCTAAGAAAGGCAAGGCAGAAATAAAACACATAGAAGGCAGGAAGAAGACCAACTCCAAACATACCAATTAAAACACATAGAAGGCAGGAAGAAGACCAACTCCAAACATACCAATTATTACTATAAATGTACGTTAAAGTTCTCTATTACAAAAAACCTGTGGAACAGGCTTTAAAAAAAAGTCTAAACACTGTTTATTTATAAGAAACACATCAAAATTAAAATGACATAAAAAAGAAGATAAAGGGCCAGGCACAGTGGCTCACACTGGTAATCCCAGCACTTTGGGAGGCCAAGGTGGGTGGATCACCTGAGGTAAGGAGTTCGACACCAGCCTGACCAACATGATGAAACCCTGTCGCTACTAAAATGCAAAAATTAGCCAGGCCTGGTGGCAGGAGCCTATAATCTCAGTTACTCAGGAAACTGAGGCAGGAGAATCACTTAAACCCATGAGGCAGAAGTTGCAGTGAGCCAAGATTGTGCCACTGCACTCCAGCCTGGGCAACAAGAGTGAAATTCTGTCTCAAAAAAAAAAAAAAAGGGAAGATAGAGGAACAAATAAAACAAATGTGAAAAAAGAATGACAATATAAAAAGGGAATGTGTTAAGCAAAGAGAATTATTTGAGAAAATGCTGCATATTTTATATTGATAAAAAGTACAATTATTTACGTATATAACATTCATGCTTAACCCAGCCTAAATATAAAGCTATGAATATATAACATAAAAACTGTTAGAAATACAAACGGAAATTGACAAATCCACAATTATTTTGTAGGGCTGACACGTTTATCAAATATCAGCTAATCAAGTAGTCTAAGGCAACAAAAATACATGGAATTTAAGCAATACAATTAACAAATACAGATTTTTTCCCTTAATAAATACTATTTTCAAATAAACATAGAACTTCAATTTTTACAACAGCATACATTAGACTATAAATAAAAAGTTTTAATAAAATCTCTAAAGTGGAAATCACATAAAGCATAAGTTATACTTTGGCATATAAAACTAGGGATCTGAGTAGCATAAATGAACAGCTCTAAAGATCCCAACATCTGCATTTCATAAGATGCCAGAACAGTACAGTCAGATTATACTGGGGCCCACAATCAGCAAACCGCATTTATTTATCAGTTTTCAGTGCCCAACTCAAATGCGACAACCAAGGCTCATGGGATTACTTGAAAAAAGTCTTTAAAGAGCATCCAATCTACATGGGAAGCAAAAAAATAAATAAATAAAATTAAAGAGCAACTAAAATCAGTAACAAATAACAACAACCAAAAAAAGGAACCTGGAAAAGGCAGGGTCATGTGGTGGCTCACGCTTGTAATCCCAGCACTTTGGGAGGCTGAGGCGGGTGGATCACGAGGTCAGGAGATCCAGATCACCCTGGCGAACACGGTGAAACCCCGTCTCTACTAAAAATACAAAAAATTAGCTGGGCGTGGTGGCGGGTGCCTGTAATCCCAGCTACTCGGGAGGCTGAGGCAGAACTGCTTGAACCTGGGAGGTGGAGGCTGCAGTGAGCCAAGATCACACCATTGCACTCCAGCTCTGGGTGACAGAGCAAGACTCCACTTCGAGGGGGTGGGGGGGGGGGAGAAAATGATATGGACGTTAGACCATTGGTCTAGGAGAACCAACATATATGTAACAGGAGTTCTGGAAGGGGCAACATAAAAAACAGAGGGCAAGAAATGAAATGAGTAGAAGGTAAATTTTCAGAATTGATGGCCAGTGAGTTTCCAGACAAAAAGCCACAATGGAAAAAAGAGACCCATACCAAGGCACATTGCTGAAATTTCAAAACGCTGAGGACAAGACAAAAAACCTGAAAACTTCCAGAGGAAAAAAACAATAGGTTACAGGGAACAGAGAATCCTACTAGCCTCAGACTTTAACAGCAATACTGGAAGCTAGAAGAAAATAGAATAAATGTCTTTAAAATTCTGAAATAAATTATTTCCAATCTAGAATTTGTTATCCGAACTACCTATTAAAGAGGAAAGGGAAAGGAAGATGAAGGAAAATATTTTCAGACATGTAAGTTCTCAAAAATACATTTATCTCCCAAATGACCTTTCTCAAAGAGTTATGAAGTTATTCTTTCACAAATGAGGAGACCAAGAAAGAGAAAGAAATGGGATTCTGGAAGCAGGATCAAAAACCAGCTAGATATAAGAAGAATCTCCAAAATGAGAATGAATGAAGATCCCCAACCTAAGCATCAACCTAGAATGCAACCAGTACAAATGGTGAAGTTTAGAAGTTTAAGAGAGGTTATCTCCAAAAAAGAAGAATATCTAAAAGTTTTAATGTAGTGACAGGAGATTTGCACAGCTAGGAGGGAAGACTTCAGGAAAATAGTAATAAATATCTTGACTGTGGTGATGGTTTCATGGATGTGGACAACTTATTAAATTTGTACCTTTTAAATATGTACATTTTATTATGTCAACTATACTTCAATAATGCTATTTTTAAAAATAAAAAATAAATGTCAACAAAAATATTCATATTAAATGCTAACATATTATAAAATAAGACAATCACATCAAAGGCAAAAATTAAAAAACTGTAATTCATTATTGATAATTTTTATCACCAACTTCTTGAGATGGTAGGGAAAGGCTGTTGAACAGTTTAACAAGAGGTACTTGGCATTCAGAAATTGAGCTGTCCAGTAATAGTAGCCATTAGCCAATTAAAAAAAAATTCCTTCAAGATTCACACATCTGGGTTGTAAAAATAAAATAAATAAAATACAATTTCTTTAGAGATGGGAGTCTTGCTCTGATACCCAGGTTGGAGCACAGGGGCACAATCATGGCTCACTGTGGTCTCAAAACTCCTGGGCTCAAGCAATCCTCCCACCTCAGCCTCCCAGGTAGCTGGGACTACAGGCACATGCCACTGTGCCTGGATACTTTTTTTTTTTTTTGGTGGAGACAGCATCTTGGTTTGTTGCCTAGCCTGGTCTCAAACTCCTGGGCTCAAGCAATCCTCCCACCTCAGCCTCCCCAGTAGCTGGGACTACAGGCACATGCCGCTGTGCCTGGATAATTTTTTTTTTTTTTTTTTTTTTTTTTTGGTGGAGACAGCATCTTGGTTTGTTGCCTAGCCTGGTCTCAAACTCCTGGGCTCAAGCAATCCTCCCACCTCAGCCTCCCAGGTAGCTGGGACTACAGGCACATGCCGCTGTGCCTGGATAATTTTTTTTTTTTTTTTGGTGGAGACAGCATCTTGGTTTGTTGCCTAGCCTGGTCTCAAACTCCTGGGCTCAAGCAATCCTCCCACCTCAGCCTCCCAGGTAGCTGGGACTACAGGCACATGCCGCTGTGCCTGGATAATTTTTTTTTTTTTTTGGTGGAGACAGCATCTTGGTTTGTTGCCTAGCCTGGTCTCAAACTCCTGGGCTCAAGCAATCCTCCCACCTCAGCCTCCGAGGTAGCTGGGACTACAGGCACATGCCACTGTGCCTGGATAATTTTTGTTTTGTTTTTTTTTTGGTGGAGACAGCATCTTGGTTTGTTGCCTAGCCTGGTCTCAAACTCCTGGGCTCAAGCAATCCTCCCACCTCAGCCTCCCAAAGTGCTGGGATTCAGGCATGTATGTGTCACCACGCCCAGCCCCAAGTATGGTTATTGAGTACTTCACTGAAATGTTGCTGGTGTGAACCGAGATATGTTAAGTGTAAAACACACAGCAGATTTTGAAGATGTAATAGAAAAGAATATATACTATCTTTATAATTTTTATACTGATTATATGCTGAAAGATATTTAGGCCAGGATGGTGGCTCACACTTATAATCTCAGCACTTTGGGAGGCTGAGGCAGGAGGTTCACTTGAGGCCAGGAGTTCGAGACCAGTGTGGGTAACATAGTGAGACCCACCCTACCCCCGTCTCTACAAAAAAATTTAAACATTAGCAGGGTGTGGTGGCACGTGCTTGTAGTCCCAGCTACTTGGAAAGCTAAGGCTGGAGGATCGCTTAAGCCCAGGAGTTCGAAGCTGCAGTGAGCCATAATCGTGCACCACTCACTGCACTCCAGCCTGGGTGACAGGGCAAGACCCTGTCTCAGAAAAAAAAAAAGAAACTATGTTTGGATATATATTGGGTTATATGAAACATATTCATGAAATTAATTCCACCTGTTTTTTTTTAAATGTGGCTACTAGAAAATTTAAACTAGGTTGGGCGCAGTGGCTCATGTCTGTAATCCCAGCACTTTGGGAGGCTGAGGCAGGTGGATCACTTCAGGTCAGGAGTTCGAGATCAGCCTGGCCAACATGGTAAAACCCCGTCTCTATAAAAATATAAAAATTAGCTGGGCGTGGTGGTGCATGCCTGTAATCCTAGCTGCTCGGAAGGCCAAGGCAGGAGAATCGCTTAAACCTGGGAGGTGGAGGTTGCAGTGAGCCGACATCGCTCACTACAATTTTATTTCTATCACTTTCTCCTTGGATTTCAATTAGATTTCAAAATTCCCATTAATTCATAGACTTAGGAACCGCAGAGTAATATATCCAATGTTATTCAACTAAGCCTTCTAAGATTAGATCTCTGATTTTGGAAACATTATTCTATCAAATTGTTCCCTTGGTTTTCTCATCTATAAAATAGGACTGACAACATACTATGTAGTTATTGAGAGAACTAAATAAGATGTACTACAGGACAGCTTAATGGCACTGTTAGGGACTTGCTAGATCAGTCACCCAGCAATGTAACTACTTCTATACTATTTCCTCTCAAAGTGCAACATTCACATTCAGACCTAATAAAATGATAATTAGGTCATAAACTTTCAGGGTCACTTCAGACCAAAAATCTCAGAAGTTACTTTCCAAAGTCAGTCGATGACAATGATTTAAAATTATATGAAACTTCAAACTCAAATGTTAGTCTACCACAGTGTTTGTTACTTGTTACTTAAAATAATCCAGCCAAGTATACAAAATTGTCATTTTCAGATGAAGAAAAAGCCTTAGAAGTTAAGTGAGGAGGATATCCAGATTCACACAAATATTAATATTGCCAGAAAACTTCATTTTAATCATTGGATTTTAAAAATAAGCCACAAATCCCATAAGAACTCAACCACTGGGAGGGGGAACAAAGAAATCTGACAGAACTAGAGAAGACTGGGAATTTTAATTTAAGTTCTCAAAAAAAAAAGTTATCTCAATCATTAGAACACAAAGTATAAACCCCATTTATTTAAAATAAGAGCATATTTATACTTTAAAATTAAATCTGTAGTCTCCACAAAATATCTTTCAAAAACTCAAATCCAAAAAGGTTCTGAAGATTTTTAGTGCCATTGGTTTGTGTTATAGCTAATGCCAGTATTGTGCCTATTAATAAGAGACCAAATAAAAAGCAAAAATAAAACAGATCATTTAATTATAATTTAATTTATCTAATGAAGACCAGCAATTATAAAACTTCACACACACCTAACTTCAGTTGTTATACAAAATCATAATCATTTGTACCTTTCTAAGAAGAAACACTGTGTTCAGAGCTTATGTTATGATTAATGAACAGTGACAGCAGCTAAAATTCATATAGCCACTATATTTTCATTTTGTGGCAAATAGCTATCAACAACTTACTGTATGATTTAATTAAGTGGTTAAAAGGATCTAGCTTCAAGTTTATGCTCTAAGTAAAATGTTTTTCAAAGATGGGCAGTAAACAGTATTTTCCCCCTGTGGAAAAGCAGTTTTTCATTCTTCCAAAAATTGTACCAAGGTAAAGCAAAGCTCTAGATGATGCAGGCATGTTATGTAGGCGTTAGCAGTACTGCCCTCACTATGTGCTCATTGGACAGTAGTGCAACCCCAAGAAAAAGATGGTTAGCAGTTTTTGTTGTTGTTGTTGTTGTTGTTAACGAAATAAAACAAAAAACAGCTCATTGCTAGTAAGGAAACTATTTTGTGAAACTTTCTTCTTTTTATGTGTGCATATACTAAGTCACAATGTAAATGTATTTCTTAGAATGAGTCTCAGAAAGGTTTGATAGCCACTGCAAAGTAGTCTGTCTATAGCAAACTACTATACATTCAATAACTAGAGAGGTGTTGCAGGAATCAGACTGTACCAAGGTAAAAATCCTTTTTGACTGTGAGAGGATAAGAAGCATATTTAAGGCATGGGCCTAAAGCTGACAGGATTATCCAACTCTACCACTCAGTTTACTAATTAGACAACAAACTTACCCAAGGTCATTCTTCTATAGTTTGCATTAGAACTAAGTCTCCCACTCTAACGCTCAAAATAAGCTCCACAAAGATACTTCAGCATGTAAGTATTAATTCAGAATTTCCTATTTGGTTTTCAATAACCAAAAGAAACTGCAGCTTAACACATGCAACTGTTTCCTCAAATACTATTCTACCAGATTAATGACCATGCCAGCTCTCCCATTAAAAGCTTTTTCTAGCTAGTTACTTGGTACTTAGGTTTTTATAGCACTTTTCTTTTCCCATTATGCTCAGTAGTGCATGCAACACACTACACTTAGGAATGCAACACACTTCCTTTGGGAATGCCTAACTGTGGCCATAACTATGACTGAAATTTTTGTGAATTTCTATCATCTGTCTAAACTTAGAAGAAAAGTACCACAAAATAAAGTTAAATCAGACCATATTTTTGTGATCAGTGTATCTCACTATTAAAACATTGTATGTATTTTAACGGTTATCATTCAAAACTTGAAGTATATCCAAAATACTCCATTCCCATCTCCTGATAAATAAATCTTCACTGACAACTGATTAAGAAGAGAAACATGTTAAGGACAGAAGTTAAAACGGAATTAGACAAAGATGGGGCAGATTATCACAGCTTCATACTACAAACAAAGGTTTATTTCTACATCCTCTTTCCTAAATATCCATAATAAACTCATATTTCTTGCCAAGAACCCCAGAAAAGGTGCCTCAAATTATTTCCATAAAGAAAACAACATTACCCATTAAGCAACTCTGTTAATGATTATCCACAAAATTCCAAATTTTAAAAAATTGCTTAACATTGGGAATGGCAGAGGTACTGAGCCTTATTATGACTAATCAAGCCAGTGAAGTAAACAAAAAATGCAGGCAAGAGAAAAAGGAAGCTGAGTCAAGTACAGAGTTCTTCGCATCCACAGAGAAAATGCTTTGTTCTTTATTTCTCAAACTTGCAGTATAAAGACCAAAAAAATCCATTATTTTAATTTCACAGTCCAGTCAATTCACACGGCTGTATGTGAATTTTTCTTTCAGAAAATTAAGGGAAAGGAGCCAGGCGCGGTGGCTCACGCCTGTAATCCCAGCACTTTGGGAGGGTGAGGCAGGTGGATCACTTGAGGTCAAGAATTCAAGACCAGCCTGGCCAACATGGCGAAACCCTGTCTCTACTAAAAATACAAAGATTAGCCAGGTGCGGCGCGCACCTGTAATTCCAGCTACTCAGGAGGCTGAGACAGGAGAATCACTTGAACTCAGGAGGCAGAGGTTGCAGTGAGCCCAGATCGTGCCACTGCACTCCAGCCCGGGCTACAAAGTGAAACTATGTCTCAAAAAAAAAAAAGAAAAAAAAAAAACAGAAAAGAAAAGAAAGAAAAGAAAGGCAAAGAAAATTAAGGGAAAGGGAATTTATAGTGTGTCTGTGCATTTTAATATTATAGTCACAGCAACATAACCATATTACTTTCCCAACAGGGAATTCGAAATCTGAAGGCAAATACCACTCACATGTCAAATAAAATAACTGCCAAAAATTTACTCACTAATTTTTCTAAAATTTTATGAAAATGAGTACATTATTCAACTGTTTTGGAGAAAAGCAGACAATATGATTTAGAAAAAACACATAATTAGTGGCAATTTTAACAGAAGAGAATGCTCTCCCACTGAACTTCATAAAAACAAAAGAAAATCCAGACTTCACCTGTTTTACTTTTACATTTTAGAGCAGTAAAATTCTTAATTTCTTATTTCTCAAACAATACTCCCCATTATTGTTTGCTCCCCCTGTAATGTTTATTCCTCCCTGAGTTCTGAGATTCCCAGGTATGGAATTTGAATTTCCTGGTAGTACCAGCTTTTGCTCATATTTTTAGAACCTTACTGTGACCCTGTGGTGGTGTTCACCAGAAACAGCACGAGAGAGAAGTCATACCTGTATTAATAACTATTACCAGTATTACTAAGAATTTAAAATTCGTTCTAGAGTTTACATGTACTGTCCTTATCATTTTATATTTTAATAAGTCATTCATAATCTTAAACTCTAATGAATGTTAGCACGATAGATATTTCCTTCCAATTTCTACGAATGACTTTAAAAAAAAAAAAAAAAAAGATCATTGGCCGGGCACGGTGGCTCACACCTGTAATCCCAGCACTTTGGCAGGCTGAGGCAGGTGGATCAGTTGAGGTCAGGAGTTTGAGGCCAGCCTGGCCAACATGGTGAAAGCCTGTCTCTACTGAAAATATAAAAATTAGCCAGGCGTGATGGCATGCCTGTAATCCCAGCTACTCGGAAGGCTGAGGCAGGAGAACTGCTTGAACCCGGGAGGTGGAGGTTGCAGTGAGCCAAGATGGCGCCACTGCACTCTAGCCTGGGTGACAGGGTGAGACTCCGTCTCAGAAAAAAAGAAAGAAAAAGGAAAAGACGAAAAAAAAATTAATAATAAAAAATTTAAAAAGAGAATTTTACATAAATTTCAAGATTTTCAATGCCTTTTAAAACTAAAACATCAAACCACAATCACAGGTATTAAAATTCTAAACATTCAGTAGTATAAGGGAGTAGCCTTCTTCTGGTTTCCCACAGGTCAAGTAAACAGTTTAAGCACAATTTAACCCTAATTATAAGCAAAAAGGTGAAATTGCTTAGGTTGGTAAATGAGCCCTTTTAGGTGAGAATATCATCATTTAAATCATTTAAGTAACCAGGACTCAGCTACTACTTATAGATTTGATAGCTAGAGCACTAAATACAAAGTGAGGTTTAAAGTCTTTCTAAAGTAACAAGGCATCCACTGCCAAAGTTTTGGATTATGTTTTAGAGTCACATTTACCGCATGAAGCTTGTGTTTAATATGACGAATCTACCATATCTGAACAGCAAACAAACACAGATGATAAATACTGTAAACTGTTGGAAGTCAAACACTGTAAAGTTTCCTGAGTCTGTGGTAAGTTATTTTTCTTAAATAGCTACCATGTAGCTATTGATGTGTTTCACTGAGCAACTACAGTGAATTTTAATAGATACTATTTACCACTTGTCATTTCATGAAAAATACCAGGAGCTTTGCTTTCACTGTTTCTCTTCAAATGCTTCCCAGTTCATAATATACTAGTACTTAAGAAATTACATAGCTGAATTATGTTCCATGGTAGATCATATCTAGCTCTATCTCAAAATTCTAGCAGACTACGTTTGGTCCAAAGTAACACAAGTGCCTAACTCTATGACAAAATCATATCTTTCACATAAAAACAAATCTAATTCTTTAGCTACTTAAAAATTCCAGGCTGGGCGCGGTGGCTCACACCTGTAATCCCAGCACTTTGGGAGGCCGAGGCAGGCACATCACTACCTCAGGAGAATGAGACCATCCTGGCCAACATGGTGAAACCCTGTCTCTACTAAGAATACAAAAATTAGCTGGGCGTGGTGGCGTGCACCTGTAGTCCCAGCTACTGAGGAGGCTGAGGCAGAATTCCTTGAACCCAGGAGGCGGAGGCTGCAGTGGGCCAAGATCGCACCACTGCACTCCAGCCTGGTGACAGAGCGAGACTCCATCTCAAAAAAAAAAACAAAAAAAAAAACAAAAAAAATCCCTCCAAATGAAAAAAAGCACAGATGCTGACTAATTTTATCCAATAAGAAAAGTAACTAAAAAGTTAACACTGCACATCATGGAATGAGTTTAAATATACACATAATTCTCAATAAATCACAGAATAGTAACAATAAAGGGACCAAGAGGTCATTTAGTACAGTCTTTTTATCTTCAACACTTCTGAATGAATAGCTACTCTGTGTGAATAAGTCTTTGTAAACACTAGTCAGTTATTATGACTCAAACATAGCACTATGGGTCAATTCTCTATAGTTCACATTCTAATTTATAATAAATCTTAATTTTCTTTTACTGTCTTCTTGGAAGTCCTTGGACAACCATACAATGCAACTTCTCTCCCAAAGCACCAGCCCAGGTACAAACACCACGCAGAGCAAGAACACATTAAGATCTGGGCCAGGCGCGGTAGCTCACACCTGTAATCCCAGCGCTTTGGGAGGCCAAGGCGGGCAGATCACGAGGTCAAGAGAGCAAGACCATCCTGGCCAACATGGTGAAACCCTGTCTCTCCTAAAAATACAAAAAATTAGCCAGGCACGGTGGCACGCACCTGTAGTCCCAGCTACTCGGGAGGCTGAAGCAGAAGAATCGCTTGAACCTGGGAGGTGGAGGTTGCAGTGAGCCAAGATTGCGCCACTGCACTCAGCCTGGGGATAAAGCGAGACTCCATCTCAAGAAACACACACACACACACACACACACACACACACAAACACACAAACACACACAGAGATCTGACTTTAACTTCACATTTTTAAAATGTAACAACAAACAGCAGCTTGAAAACTGAAAAAGGCCACAGTGTCTCACACCTGTAATCCCAGCACGTTGGGAGGCTGAGGCAAAGGATCACTTGTGGCCAAGAGTTGGAGACCAGCCTGAGCAACATAGCTTGACCCCATCTCTACAAAAACTTTTAAAAATTAGCCAGGCATGGTGGTACATGCCTGTAGTCCCAGCTACTCGGGAGGCTAAAGGGGAAGGACTGCTTGAGCCCAGGAGTTCAAAGCTGCAGTAAGCCATGATCCTGCCACTTCACTCCAGTCTGGGCCACAGAATGAGATCCTGTCTTTATTGTCTTTGGGGTCACAGACAACCTGAGCTATTAGTTTTAACGTGCACTACAAGGTAATCATAAAGTTTGAAGAGAAGCATGCTCAGCTTTTAAAACAAAAATGAAAAACAAACAAACAAGAATGATCTAGGCTCCACTGCCACTTCTACGTTTGTTGAACACAAGCTTGGCAAATTACTTCATTTCAGTCTCTTCACCCTGTAAAATGGGACTGATACCTCATTCAGGTGACATAAGAATATATGACACAAGAATAAAAGAGAATATATATAAAACACAGTGTCTGGTTCATAAATAGTATCAAATCGCCACCCTTTTCTCACCAATTTGAGAACACAAGCCCTTCAAACATACATAGCTCAAACTTTTTTTTGAGACAAGGTGTTGCTCTATTGCCCAGGCTAGAGTAGAGTGGCACGACCATAGCTCACTGCAGCCTTGAACTATAGCTAGGACTCCAGGCATGTACCACCTCACTCAGCTAATATGTTAATTTTTTTTTGCAGAGATGAGGTCTTGCTATGTTGCTCAGGCTGGTCTCAAATTCTTGGCCTTAAGTGATCCTCTCTGGCTTTGGCCTCCCAAAGTGCTGGGATTACACGTCAAACTTCTGATCAAACTTTACGTTAGGCCCTAAAAAAAGTTGCCACTGAAAACACAACTTGCCATAACAAGACAAATTTAAAGACAACTGATCTAAGAACTCATTTGTGTTACAAGAAAGACTATTACTTGATAAGCCATTTATCTCATTGTATTCAGTAATGTCTTAATTTACTCTCTACTAGTAAATACAGAAATAAGGGAATAACCATTATTGTAACTGCAAAAGCAAAATTTTAAACATTGATAAGGAGCTAGTATAAACATTTTAAAAATCTATTTTTTGTATACTAAGTTCAATTTCAGATTTTAATACTATAACATAAATATATCCATGAAGATAAATCCATTTTAAACACCAATATCAAGAAGATAAAAAACCAGAAATTCACCTATCAAGTTCAAAGATTCACTATACTTAAATGAAAAAAAGAAAAACAGAATTAAGATGACTAACCAATTTGATGGTATAAACAGTGATATACTATTGACATTAAATTCTCGGCATTGAAAAATATTTGCAGAAAATATAAAAGGATTCATTCTGATATAAGGAACTTATGAAAACTGGTTAGGGGAGAAAAGCACCTGAAGGCAAAAATATAACAAAAGACAAAAGAGGAAATACAATTAGTTATTATTATCAAAGCATATGGGGGAAGTTCTGCAGACATAAACTATAGTTTATGAAATATTTAACAGTATTGATAAATGGGGTTAATAAAATAAGAACTCTCACTTGGGACACTGAAAATCTATATAACTCTTCTGGAAAACAATCTTACAATGAATAGAAAGTATTTAAATGTTCATGCCCTTATCATGCCCTTAGAACCAGTAATTCCATTTCTGAAATTTAATCCTAAGAAAATAGTTCTAAACAGTGAAATCTGAGGTACTGATCAGTGTTTTGTTCACAAGGCTAAGTAGGCAAATTCCCTTCTCCTATTCCAAGCCCTTGTGGGCCTCTAGCCTCAAGACTGTTATTTTAGAACCAGCAATTAGAAGACAGTCTCCTCAGCTGGCTTCTGTCTGAGAAAGTCCAGGCCCAAAGGAAGGAGTCTGGTTGGATTATACTCAAGAGGGAGGGGATGAGAATGGAGTTTGAGAGGTAGATGCTGGAGGAAAGGAAGGGATTAGAGGATTCATCCAGAAAAGATCAATACACTCACCCTCCTTGGGAGCTGCAGGGAGAAGGGAGAGACAATAATGGTAAAAACTTTCCTTCGGAAAATTGTGCAAAGATCCTATTACCCAATATTCTCTGTAACGAGGCCTTAAAGAAACCTTCCAGACTTACATAAATGGGCATGTCAATGACAAGCGGTGTAGGTGAAAGACTGGAGGAAAGCCCTTTCCTGATAAAGTTCTGGAATGTAAGAAGCTCACCAAGGATTAGAGGGAGGGGGATTTGTGCAGGGAAATAATGGCCATCTCAATTAGGTAAGGATACAACACAGATTAAATTTGGTTTTCATAAAACAGAAATATTATTTCATGGTTACAACCTTGTGGAGTAAGACCCTCGCCCACTATATTTACAATAGCAAAAATAACATACTTAACACTGTGGGGAAATGAAGGAAATTATGGCATATGCACATAAGGAACTGTCAAGCAGCTATTAAAAATATTTATACTAATTCTTATGTTATACTGAATTATAAAATTTTCAGGATATAAAATTGCAAACATACACCTATGATCCCACTGAAACATAAGTTTCACAAGGGCAGAATTTTTTTCTCTATTTGCTACCTGAGACAGCCTCAAGCACATAGGAGTACAATAAACATTTGGTGAATAAATATTAAAATCCATCATGAGAGGGAGGAACAGGCAAACATTCTAAATGCTATATCGACATTGTCTTTTAGTGATGAAACTTCAGTGGGGTTATTTTGGTTTTTATTTTTCCTTGTTTTTTAAGATATCTCTGAGTATACATTACTTCTATGATGGGAAAAAAACTGATTGGGAAGTAGTTCCTTTTAAATGCATTAAGAATTTCCTATATTTTCAAAATATCTTTGGTATGCTCTAGAGTAGATTTAACACTTTAAATAAAGGAAGCCAACTTAGGTTATCTTGAGTGGGTAGGAAGTGGAAAAGGCACAGTAAGGCTTTTCCCCCTATAGCTTAGTCAATATACGAAACTAAACTTCTTTAAAGAACTTTTTTTTTTTTGAGATGGAGTTTTGCTCTTATTGCCCAGGCTGGAATGCAATGGCGCAATCTCAGCTCACCGCAACCTCCGCCTCCCGGGTTCAAGCGATTCTCCTGCCTCAGCCTCCCAAGTAGCTGGGATAACAGGCATGCGTCACCACACCCGGCTAATTTTGTATTTTTAGTAGAGATGGGGTTTCTCCATGTTGGTCAGGCTGGTCTCGAACTCCTGACCTCAGGTGATCTGCCCGCCTTGGCCTCCCAAAGTGCTGGATTACAGGTGTGAGCCACCGTGCCCAGCTCCTCAAAGAACTTACAATGTACTGTTATTAAACACCCTAACACTTGGCTTTTACAAATTTCTGAACCACACAGTACCACTGTTCTAAAAACAAACTACTGATAATACCCCAAATTATATGCGAAGCAGTGAATGGACTTTCTTGCAAATCTCTGAACAAAGACTGGAAGTGAAAAAAATAATTTAGCTTTGTAATATATCAACCATGACTTCTAAACTTCTGTTCAGAGCAATCAAATGTATCAATGATCAATTTACTAGATTTAGTTCTAACTAAATGTTTGCATCTGTGGGACAAACATTCTAATTTTCTCTTACTGAGAATTAAAAAAATAATATATACTCAAGAATTCAAGTGTTTTTTATATATAACTTCAAAATTTTAATGTGGGAAATGGTTTTTCTATAAGGTAAATCAGGCAAATGATGCCACCATACAGCAACATAACCGTGTGTGCATACGTATGTATACACATAATTACGCTGCTGTATGGTGGCATACATACATACATACACATACACACACCCCTATACATACACACACACACATACATACACACACACACACACACACCCCAATTATGATTACTGTGTACAAATATTTTGCTGCTTTTTAATCTAAAAACCTCAAGATCTTAAATGGGAAAATGCTTTTGCTATGTGGTAAAACAGGCAAACTGTACAACCATACAATATAACGATAACTATAAAAACAGAGTTCAAACACACAGAAACCAGTGTGTCATACACAGTAACAATGCTTATCTCTGGATAAAGATACTGACTGCAGGTGATTTTTTATTTCCTTTTTCCTCCTCTAATTTCCTAATTTTTATAACGAGAGTGTTTTACTAATTTTTTAAAGCATCTTTTTTGTGTATGAATTAAGGATGGTTACAATAACTAAGGTGGAAATAAATGAAGTTTATAACTCAGATAATTTAGTCAAAATCAAATTAGTTTGTAGCCATAAACAATGACTATCAAAGGCCCTTATGCAAAAAAAAAAAGTAAGCTTCTGCAGTCCTTAAATTAAGAGGGTTTCTCAAGCCTGTAATCCCAATACTTTGGGAGGCTGAAACAGGAGGATTGCTTGAAGCTAGAAGTTCAAGACCAGCCTAGGTGACAGTGTGCAACCCAGTCTAAAAATAAAAAATAATTTTAAAAAATTACCATTAACAGTCTGAAGAGAATGGTCTTGCCATCTCAAATATATTACAACTTTATTAAAATAAAGCAGTTAAGGCTGGGTGCAGAGGCTCATGCCTGTAATCCCAACACTTTGGGAGGCCGAGGCGGGCAGATCACCTGAGGTCAGGAGTTCGAGATCAACCGGGCCAATATGGTGAAACCGTGTCTCTACTAAAAATACAAAAATTAGCTGGACGTGGTGGCATACCCCTGTAATCCCAGCTACTCAGGAGGCTGGGTCAGGAGAATCGCTTGAACCCAGGGGGCAGAATAAGACCCTGTCTCAAAAACAAACAAAAAAATTTAACTATTCTAGAAAAACTCAATGCTAATAAATAGCTGAACTACAGTTTATCTTTCATAAGCAAGAGACAGACACCAAAAACCAATTTAACCAATTTCTCAGTATCATTAAGATATGAATATGGACACTAAATTAATTAACAAGCTTAAGGAGCCACAATGGCCAGAAATTACTAAAGAATATAAAGCGCCGGGCATAGTAGCTCACACCTGTCATCCCAGCACTTTGGGAGGCAGAGGCGGGCGGATCACGAGGTCAGGAGATGGAGACCATCCTGGCTAACACGGTGAAACCCCATCTCTACTAAAAATACAAAAAATTAGCCGGGCGTGGTGGCATGCACCTGTAGTCCCAGCTAATCAGGAGGCAGAGGCAGGAGAGTCGCTTGAACCCAGGAGGCAGAGGTTGCAGTGAGCTGAGATCACACCACTGCACTCCAGCCTGGGCGAGACAAAGCGAAGACTCCGTCTCCAAAAAAAAAGAAAATATAAAGCAGTAAGTTTATGCATTTAACGTATTCCAAACATACACTAGCAGTTTATCTGAAATAAACCAAAATATTTCCCAAATATTTCAAGATATTTATAGTAAACACTTCTAATATTCTCTTAACAACAATTAAAGTTCTCAAAGAACAAAGCCATAAAGAAATGCCATTTCTGATTACCGGACATGCTGGCAAATAACAAAAGATAATATTTTAAAGGATGAGGATTCCAATTTTCTTAACAATCTGGTATGAAAAGCATCACAAACCACTAAGAGTTTAAAACCCCAAATTTCTGTGTTCAGCAACAGCAAAGAATTATGGCCTGTAGAGGATGCTAATGCAAGAAACCACAAAAAGGAAGGTATTAAGATATTTTTTAAAAGGAAGTAGTAAATTTGCTGTAGCATCAACTTTCACAGCATTTTAATAGAATAGTCTAAATTAGCGATGGTTAACAGAAACATAATGTGAGCTAAATGAAATTTAATTTTCTAGTAGTCACATTAAAAATGTAAAAAGAAACAGATTAATATATTTAACAAATATATCTAAACATCATCATTTCAATATGTAATCCAATTTTTTGAAAACAAATGCTTTTCTTTTTCATACTAAATTTTCAAAATCCAAAACACACATGCTTACTTATAAATATTTCCTAACTGCTATGGTCTAAATGCTTCCTCCCCACCAAATTCATGTATCAGAAACTTAATTCCTGGCCGGGCGCAGTGGCTCACGCCTATAATCCCAGCACTTTGGGAGGCCGAGGCAGGTGGATCACCTGAGGTCAGGAGTTTGAGACCAGCCTGACCAACATAGAGAAACCATGTCTCTACTAAAAATAAAAAATTAGCCAGACATGGTGGCGCATGCCTGTAATCCCAGCTACTCAGGGAGGCTGAGGCAGGAGAATCGCTTGAACCTGGGAGGCGGAGGTTGTGGTGGGCTGAGATCACGCCATTGCACTCCAGCCTGGGCAACAAGAGTGAAACTCCGTCTCAAAAAAAAAAAAAAGAAACTTATGCAATGTAACAGTGTTTTGGGAAGTGGGGCTCTGCCTCCATGAATGAATTAATGCAGCTATAAAAAAGGCTTTTGAGAGTGGGTTCACACTCTCTTGCCCTGAAGCCCTCTGCCATGTGAGCACGTGGCAAGAAAGACCTCAACAGATGCCTCTGTCTTGCCTGGACTTCTAGGCCTACAGAACTGCGAGGAAATAAACTTCTGTTCTTTATATATTATGTTATAGTAGCGCAAATGAACTAAGACACTAATTCTTCACCGAAAACAGGCCCAGTAGCCGAGCACACCTGGCACCCAGATTTTTCTGAATACCTTTCTACAATAAAAAGAACCAGGGCTCCAGGAGAAATTGCTGCTGCAGGACTGGGGTGGGGAAATAATAAAATGAACTGAGAACATCTTCTACAGAAAGTAAGGATGTCATAAAAAAATGATAGGGACATGTTAATAACAAGGATGCAGAAGGGGCTAGGCATTGTGGCCCACACCTGTAATCCCAGCACTTTGGGAGGCTGAGACGGGAAGATCACTTGAGGTCAGTCAGGAGTTTGAGACCAGCCTGGCCAACATGGCAAAACCTGTCTCTACTAAAAATACAAAAACTAGCCGGTCGTGGTGGCATGCGCCTGTAATCCCAGCAATTTGGGAGGCTGAGGCATGAGAATCACTTGAACCCAGGAGGCGGAGGTTGCAGTGAGCAGAGATGGTGCCACTGCACTCCAGCCTGGGTAACAGAGTGAGAATCTGTCAAAAAAAAAAGGAAACGGAAGGTAGCTTCTAGCCAAATCTGGGACAACTGTTATGTTTGAAAGTATTTCACAGTAAAGAGTTTTTTGTTTTTTCTTTAAATACTACATCCAGGCTGGGCACAGTGGCTCACGCCTACAATCCCAGCAGTTTGGGAGGCTGAGGCGGGTGGATCATGAGGTCAGGAGTTTGAGACCAGCCTGGTCAACATGGTGAAACCCCATCTCTACTAAAATACAAAAAATTAGCCGGGTGTGGTGGTGCGTGCCTGTAATCCCAGCTACTCGGGAGGCTGAGGCAGAAGAATCGCTTGAACCTGGGAAGCGGAGGTTGCAGTGAGCTGAGATTGCACCACTGCACTCCAGTTTGGTGACAGAGCAAGACTCCGTCTCAAAAAAAAAACAAAAAAACTTCATCCATTACATGAAGAAAGGGAAAAATTATATTGTGTAATATTTAGCTAAGTACTGGTTGTTGAAGAAGTTAACTTTACTCATTAAGAGAATAAGAATGGCAGATGTTTAAAACATTAATGAGGTATTCACACCAAGTACACACTCAGTAAATACAGATTTGTGAAAGCCTATAATAGTGGTATTTATGGGTAATATGGCAGTTTCACTTCTGCCCTTCTAAGAGGGATAGAATATGGTCAAGATTCTTATCACAGAAATCAAACTATGCTTTAGCCAGAGGATGATCACTAGCAAAATATCTCTATGCTCCCCACTTATGTCCATGAAAACAAAAAAATCTGTGGAGACATAAAGAAACCGATACAAGCAGGCCGGGCATGGTAGCTCACGCCTGTAATCCCAGCACTTTGGGAGGCCGAGGCGGGCAGATCACTTGAAGTCAGGAGTTCTAGGCCAGCCTGGCCAACATGATGAAATCCCGTCTCTACTAAAAATATAAAAATTAGCTGGTCATGGTTGCAAGCGCCTGTAACCCCAGCTACTTGGGAGGTTGAGGAACGATAATTGCCTGAACCCGGGAGATGGAGGTTGCAGTGAGCCAATATATCTCTCTACTGCACTACAGCCTGGGCCTGGACAGAGAGAGACTCTGCCTCAAAAACAAACGAACAAAAAAAACCTGATACAATGCAACACAAACAATTTGTCACCAAACTAAAACCTAAACTAGCCCCTCTATGTAGTAGGGTGCCTGGGTAGGCAGAACAAATATTTAAGTTGATAGTTTACCATTTATTAATGGCTGGTGGCTTTTTTTGTCTAGGTAGAAAAGAGCATGTCTAGGTAGAAAGGAGCCATCTAGAGTGGTCCTTCTCAGTTACGTCGTTGAAGCAAACAGACCTGAATTCAAAGGGAGTAGCAGATTCCATGTGTGACCTGATAAAAATCTGTCTCTATCAATTAGGAAGGGAGGTAAGAGGTGTGTAGAAGTATGCAGAAAAAGCCAAAAACTCTTCTGGTAAACAACTACAACTCCAAGGCCTTCCATTTTAAGTTTACTATTATTAGAAATTCCCTGATAAACTTCAATGTACTTCAATGACATAAACTGGCTGAAAAGTTTCCCTCACCCTGAACCCACACAGAGTAAGGCAACTCCCCTTGAAAGACAGGAGAATTAAAGTCTAAATTTGGGGATTACAGAGGGAAAGGAGATTTGCATGTGTAGGTAAGGCTGAAAACCCCTATCAACCCGGCCAGGCGTGGTGGGTCATGCCTGTTATCCCAGCACTTTGGGAGGCCAAGGAGGGTGGATCACGGGGTCAGGAGTTTGAGACCAGCCCGACCAATATGGTGAAACCCCGTCTCTACTAAAAATACAAAAATTAGCCAGGCATGGTGGCGCGCGCCTGTAATCCCAGCTACTCAGCAGGCTGAGGCAGGAGAATTGCTTGAATCCGGGAGGCGTAGGTTGCAGTGAGCCAAGACTGCACCACTGCGCTCCAGCGTGAGCGACAGAGCAAGACTCTGTCTCCAAAAAAAAAAAAAAAAAAAAAAAAAAAAAAAAAAACCTATCAACCCAGAAAGTCTGCCACAACAGGAATATTTTAAGAAATCTGCCATATTTTGACATAAGCTCTTGTGTGTCCAAGTATGGATTACCCCTGGTGTAAGAGAGCATGAACCTGTTTGACCACAATGAACTATTTTAATCTAAAGAACATCTAGGGCCGGGCACGGTGGCTCACGCCTGTAATCCCAACACTTTGGGAGGCCCAGGTGGGCAGACCGCTTGAGGTCAGGAGTTCAAGATCAGCCTGGCCAACATGTTGAAACCCTGTCTCTACTAAAAACACAAAAATTAGCCAGGTGGGGTGGCAGACACCTGTAATCCCAGCTGCTTGGGAGGCTGAGGCAGGAGAATCACTTGAACCTGGGAGGCGGAGGCTGCAGTGAACTGAGATCATGCCACTGCACTCCAGCCTGGGCGACAGAGCAAGACTCCATCTCAAAAATAATAATAAAATAAGCCGGGTGTGGTGGCTCACACCTGTCATCCCAGCACTTTGGGAGGCCAAGGCAGGCGGATCATGAGGTCAGGAGTTCAATACCAGCCCAACCAACATGGTGAAACCTCGTCTCTACTAAAAAAACAAAAATTAGCTGGGCATGGTGGTGCGCGCCTGTAGTCCCAGCTACTCGGGAGGCTAAGGCAGAAGAATCACTTGAACCCAGGAGGCGGAGGTTGCAGTGAGCCAAGATCATGCCACTGCACTCCAGCCTGGGTGACAGAGCGAGACTGTCTCAAAAAAAAAAAGAATAATCAAAGCTAAAGCAGTAATTGGCTTGGAACAGACTTATGATAGATACCAAAGCAGACAAAACATGACAGTTCAATGTTTCAACTTTTAAAGACCTTTTCCAGCTCATCTATCCATCTCATCCTTGTACCCAACCTTCCCTGAACTTATTCATTTAAAATTACCAGAATAAACAGCCTACACTTATTTTGTTCATGGTTTTATTTTTTAATTTTTATTTACATACATATATTTTATTATGGATTCAGGGGTACATGTGCAAGTTTGTTACATGGATATACTGCATAATGGTGAGGTTAGGGTTTCTAGTTACCTAACCTTATCGCCTTATCACCCAAATAGTGAACATTGTATCCAATATGTAATTTTTCAACCCTCACCCCAGCCTACACTTATTGTCTCTACTTTCTAAACTTCCTCTCATCCACTCATTAAACCCACTGCAAATTTTCCCTTCTTCTGAAACTGTAAGGTCACCAAATATTTTGAGTAACTATGACATATTGTTAACCTTTATTAATTCTGCATGTATGTGATAACATCCTTTGTACAGTTTCCCAAAAAATAACTATTTTTTCTTTATTAATAGAGTATACATATTTAAATGTGTAACTTCAGTTCTAAAAACAACACTCTATATACTTTAAAAGGATGAACTTTATGGTTAAAGTTGAACTTTTTGGATAAAGTTATTATTTTTATTTTTAAAATTTTTTGGAGACCCAGATCTTGCTACATTGCCCAGCCTAGTCTTAAACTCCTGGCCTCAAGCAATGCTCTCACCTCGGCCTCCCAGAAGTGCTGAGATTAGAAGTATGAGCCACCATGCACAGTCCTCATATCGTTATATTTTTTAAAAGCACAACTTGACCCAAGATCTGGATATAGCACATTCCAAAAGAATTTTCTGCAATGATTAAAAAAAAATTGTTTTTGAGACAGGGTCATAGCTCTGTCACCTAGGCTGAAGTGCAAGTGGCATGATCAAGCCTCACTGCAGCCCTGACCTCCCCAGCTCAAGCAATCCACCCAGTTCAGTCTCTTAAAGTAGCTGGGGTTACAGATGCACACCACCAGGCCCAGCTAATTTTTTAATTTTTTGTAGACAGGGTCTTGCTATGTTGCCCAGGCTGGTCTTGAACTCCTGGGCCCAAGCAATCCTCCTGCCTCAGCCTTCCAAAGTATTGAGATTACAGGTATAAGCCACCATGCCCAGCCTGAAAATGTTCTTTATCTGTGCAATCCAATATCGTAGCCACATGTTGTCACTGAGCACTTGAAATGTGGCTAGTACAAGACAATGAAGTTCTAAAAATTTCATTTTAATTTATTTAAATTTAAATAGCCACATAAAGGCTGGACGCAGTGGCTCACACCTGTACTCCCAGCACTTTGGAAGACTGAGATGGGTGGATCACCTGAGGAGTTCCAGACCAGCCTGGCCAACATGGCAAAACCCTGTCTCTACTAAAAATACAAAATTAGCTGGGTGTGGTGGCACGTGCCTGTAATCCCAGCTACTCAGGAGGCTGAGGCAGAATTGCTTGAACCTGGCAGGCAGAGGTTACAGTGAGCCAAGATCACGCCACTGCACTCCAGCCTGGGTGGCAAGAGCGAAATAGCCACGTGAGGCTGGTGGATATTGTATTAGATAGTGAACAGTGCAGAAATCTAGGGCATTACCAGTGACTTACATGTATTTATGTGCTTCTCTCTTATTCAACCTCCCCCTTACTGAGGCAACCTTAAATTTAATTGTTACTGACTTTTTTTTTAATTTCTTTTTGTCAGGGCTGTTTCTCAGTGGGAATGTTAATGATTTTTCTTTCTTTTTTTTTTTTTTTTTTTTGAGACGGAGTTTCGCTCGTTGCCCAGGCTGGAGTGCAATGCTGTGATCTCGGCTCACCACAACCTCCACCTCCCCGGTTCAAGCGATTCTTCTGCCTCAGCCTGCCGAGTAGTTGGGAATATAGGCATGTGCCACCAGGCCCAGCTAATTTTTGTATTTTTAGTAGAGACGGGGTTTCTCCATGTTGGTCAGGCTGGTCTCTAACTCCTGACCTCAGGTGATCCGCCCACTTCAGCCTCCCAAAGTGCTGGGATTACAGGCGTGAGCCACCGTGCTGTGTTAATGATTTGTTAATAGCCAAGTGCAACAATTTCAACAGCCTAACTACTACATTTCTTTACTACTTGTTAAATTCATTCTCCACAATTACTACTATGAAAATAGAACTTCTCTGATGTATTATTTTCTTGAAATTTTATTCCCTTGGTAATTGTTACTATTTTGCCTGAGGACCATTACTCTTCCCTCTCCCTCTCTCTAATTTTTCTATCTCTTCATATCCTCTCCCTAGCGTATCTCATTTACTTCCATTATTTCAGCTACAACTAATATAGACATTTTTGGGAATCATCAGCTTTTATCTTCATCTCAGACCTAGTCTTCAAGTTTTAGTAATATATCCAACTGCCTATTGAACTTCTTACTGGAGATTACATAAGAATCTCAAACTCAACATGTCCAATTGAATACATCTCCATACCTCCTCCCATCTAAAAAACAAAAAACCTTAAAACTTAAAAAAAACCTTTGATTTTTCTCTCTCAGTTGACAGCACTATCATCCCCTAACCTCTTATCCATGCTTCATTTTTCCTCCAAACACCAATTAATCACTAAATTATCCACTAAACCCTAAATATTTTATCTCCTAAATATCTAAATGTTCTATTCCTTCTATTATCTCCCTAGTTTAGGTCCTAAAAATCTCACACTCATATCCTAACTAGAGTAGCCCTCCCTTACTTGAGGCTTCACTTCCCACTGTCCAAAAATATTAAATGGAAAATTCCAGAAATAAACAATTCATAACTTTTTCTTTTTTTTTTGAGACAGAGTTTCCCTCTTGTCGCCCAGGCTGGAGTGCAATGGCGCAATCTTGGCTCACTGCAACCTCCACCTCCCGGGTTCAAGTGATTCTCCTGCCTCAACCTCCCAAGTAGCTGGGATTACAGGCATGCACCACCACACCCGGCTAGTTTTTTTTTTGTATTTTTAGTAGAGACAGGGTTTCACCATGTTGACTAGGCTGGTCTCCAACTTCTGACCTCAGGTTATCCACTAACCTCGGCCTCCCAAAGTGTTGGGATTACAAGCGTGAGCCACCACGCCTAGCCAACAATTCACGACTTTTAAATTGTGTGCCATTCTGACTAGTGTGATGAAATCTCGAATGGGACATGTCATCCCTTTGTTCAGCATATTCACACTGTTAATGCCACCCACCCATCTCGTCCTTTAGTCACTTAGTCTAATGGGTTATGGGATGGAAAAAGCAAAGTATGCATAGGGTTCAGTAGTGTCTGTAGCTTCAGGTATCCACGGGAGGTCTTGCAAACCTCAAAGTAAACAGAACCAAAAGATAAAAATACGGACCAGGAGTGGTGGCTCACACCTGTAATTCCAGCACTTTGGGAGGCCGAGGCTGGCGGATCGCCTGAGGTCGGGAGTTGGAGACCAGCCTGACCAACATGGAGAAACCCCACCTCTACTAAAAATACAAAATTAGCTGGGCATGGTGGCGCCTTCCTGTAATCCCAGCTACTCGGGAGGCTGAGGCAGGAGAATCCCTTGAACTCAGGAGGCAAATGTTGTGGTGAGCCGAGATCGCGCCATTGCACTCCAGCTGGGCAACAAGAGTGAAACTCTGTCTCAAAAAAAAAATGAAAAGCAGGAGAAAAAAATAACCATTATCCCCTAAGAAGAAGAGTGGGGACTACTGGAATCTCTACACTTCCCCCTGTATGCCTTTAATCTATTTTTGGGCAATTACTGCTATGCAAATCTAACCAATTAACTTCTCTGTTTAAAACTCAACTCTTCAGTTACTCTCTACTTTCTACACATAAGAACAGTCCGCCCTCCACATCCTCAGGTTCCATATCCACATGTTCTGCATCCATGGATTCAACTAACTGCAGATGAAAATATTGGGGGAAAAAACAATAACAAAACACAATAATAAAAAACAACATGAATTTTAAAACACTACAGTATAAAAACTATTTACATAGCACTTACATTGTATTAGGTATTATAAGTAATTTAGTGATGACTTAAACTATACGTGAGGAGCCACACCTGTAATCCCAGCGTTTTGGGAGGCAGAGGCAGATGGATCACTTGAGGTCAGGAGTTCGAGACCAGCCTGGCCAACGTGATGAAACCCCATCTCTACTAAAAATACAAAAATTAGTTGGGCATGGTAGCATGTGCCTGTAATCCCAGCTACTCGGGAGGCTGAGGCATGACAATCGCTTGAACCCAGGAGGCAGAGGTAGCAGTGAGCTGAGATTGTGCCACTGTACTCCAGCCTGGGCAACAGAGCAAGACTCAGCCTCAAAAAAAAAAAAAAATTAAATTAAAAAATAAACTATACAGGAGGATGTACTACTGTAGGTTATATGAAAATACACCATTTTATTTAAGAGACTTGTGCATTTGTGAATTTTGGTACCCTGGGGTGGGGGCTGTCTGGAACCAATCTCCTGTGTATACTGACGGATGACTGTGTGTGAGAGGGGCAATATGGAGAGTTCAAAGAACATTTTAATATGACAATGATATCTAGTAACTCTTTAGCATGTTAAAGAGATAAATCTGTTGCATTTCCCGATTTACCTTAATCCACAATAATCTACCAGTCCATGGAAGGAGATGATCCACATAAAGATAGATATATCAGGTTATGTAGCTCAAAACTCTTAGCCATGAAAATGATCTTATCCCAAGAAATCTGTTAATCTCTATCTAGTAACAGAGAATGTGCACATTAATCATTTGATTCACTAATTAATTTCATCTCTCACTGTTTGGTTTATACATTAGTGTGTGTTTGGTTAACTAGACCATCTACCACGTATCTACTGACAAAAATAATATTGTCTCTGAGAAGCTGAACCTCAGCTGCACAAAAGGTATCTGCAGGAATGACTGTGGTTTTTCTTAACTAACCTGAGTATGATGATTACAACAAGCAAATTTCCAAACACTCTTAAATTCAAACTGTTAAAATTCTTAAGAATTCTTACATTCCTGAGAAAATTATTTGCTTGTTATGACTAACAGCTTATCTGAGGACTCTTCTAAAAAATCATTCCAACATATTCATTTAGCATAATGTATTTAATATGGTAATTTGGCAAAGCCAAGATTCAAGTCACAACACTAAAAAGTAAATTATTTATGAAACCCCACCTGAAAAATCTAAATTAATGTAAGTGAAGGTGGAGATATTATATGATCAATTAAGTTGGCCACAAAACCACAGCTTACTGATGCTTTTCCTCTTATGTAAAAATCACAAATAACCAATCTTTTAAAAACTACATATAGACCAGGAACGGCGGCTCATGCCTGTAATCCCAGCACTTTAAGAGGCCAAGGCAGGTGGATCACCTGAGGTCAGGAGTTTGAGACCAGCCTGTCCAACACGGTGAAACTCTGTCTCTATTAAAAATACAAAAAAAAAAAAAAAATTAGCCGGGTGTGGTTGTGGGTGCCTGTAATCCCAGCTACTCTGGAGGCTGAGGCAGGAGAATCGCTTGAACACAGGAGGTGGAGGTTTCAGTGAGCCAAGATCCCAAGATCACGCCACTGCACTCCAGCCTGGGCGACAGAGCAAGACCCCATCAAAAACAACAACAATAAAAAAAAAACTACATATAAAATTAAGCCTGCTACCTGTCAAAGGCATAATCATCTTCCAAATAAAATATTAAGAGCTTCTGACAATGTTTCTTCAAACTGAAAAGCTCCCCTGTTAAGATTTGAGAAATTAAGTTGACAAAGCAAAAAGCTCCTAAAATCCAACTAAGTTTAATATATTCCATTTGTAATAGGTGACAATTTATAGCCTTCTAAATGAATATTTAAGTATTCTGTTATATTTTATATAACACTTAACATTTTTCAAAGTACATTCACATAGTATTTCAGTGGATCTTCAACAATCCTAAATCAGTAAGACATATTGCTAATAAATGAGCATTATAGATTAAGTTCCTTACTCAAAGCTCAGAAAATTGGGTAATCTAGAACTCAAGGGTTCTGCCTTGGTGCTCCTTTTCATTGTATAGTATTCTATTACACCATAGTGAACTTTCCAAAGACTAATGGATTAGACAAAATATATAAACAATTTCAATATGATAAATAAATACTATAAGAATTATATATGAGATCCACCAAAAGAAAATATGCTTTCTAGATACATGCAAAGATGAGACAAGGATCTTAGCAGATTCTGAAAATAAGCAGTTCAGAAAGATTGGCATTTGGGTGATGGGTCACAAAATTAAAATGTTAGGCAAAGGCCAGGTAGAGCTAAGGAATTTAAAAGCACCAGTAACATAAAGATCAATACCTGCTTTCCTCCTCCTCCAAGAACAGTAGTTAAGTTTTGCTATATGATTTTTCAAGCATAAATATAAACAAACAAAATCTTCACAGATTCCCTCAAAAGGACAACCTAAAAAAGATGCTGCATCATCACAGTTAATATTTATGTGGCAGGCCCTATCCTACATGTTTTATATATGTTCATTCATTTAATCAGCACAACTCTATAAAATGGGTACTCTTTTTTACACCCATTTTACAGACAGGAAACTGTAGCACAAAACTTGCTCAAGGTGACACAATTATGTAGCTGAGCCTTGATTTGAGCCCAGGCAATCTAGTTCTTAACTACTATGTTACAAGGCAGAAAAATGGCCTCTTCAAACATAAACTGAGGTCATGCTAAGTCTCACCTATTCCTGCAGACCAGGTTTTAAAACAAAACAAAACGGCTGAGCATGGTGGCTCAAGCCTGTAATCCCAGGACTTTGGGAGGCCAAGGCGGGCAGATCACGAGGTCAGGTGTTCAAGACCAGCCTGGCCAACATGGTGAAACCCCATCTCTACTAAAAATACAAAAATTAGCCGGGCGTGGTGGCGCTCGCCTGTAATCCCAGCTACTCAGGGGGCTGAGGCAGGAGCATTGCTGGAACCCGGGAGGTGGAGGTTGCAGTGAGCCGAGATCGCGCCACTGTACTCCAGCCTGGGCGACAGAGTGAGACTCTGTCTCAAAAACAAAAAAACAAAAAACTCAAACAAAATGCAAGTTACTAAATATATAATTTAAATTATCAATATAATTTAAAGAACTGGTATAGCAAAGGTGTACTAACGGTAATTATGAATTATTTCATAGTATGCTAAATATTTTCAGAAATGATAATTGAGTACAGCTACTCTTGCTGCTTTTACAGCTTTATCTAAAAAAATGTAAAAACTACCAGAAAACCCAAATAACAGGTTTAGGATGATTTCTGAAAATGAGAGCCCAGTTTTAGTTGAATGTTTCCATAGGGATGAACTAAGATGAATTTTATTTATATTTATATACATATATTTTTTATTTTTTGAAATTCTTTGATAAGCTGCTGGTGGAATAAGATAAATTTTAAATGACTAGGCTCTTGCATCAGAATTTGAATGTCAAGAAATGAATTGTCACAAAGCAACAATAGATTCCTGGTTTGTTTTACACAAAAACAACCTCTTTCCAGGTTTTTAGATTACTTCTCAGACTGTGTTACTACGGGTCAGAAAAAAGGTAAGAGAAAAAAATTTGCCAATACTCCTAATCGGTGACTTTGAGGATTTAAGAACAAACTCCAAAAACTATTCCCTGAGACGGAAAGTTACGCTGATTCTCATCCTAAAAAATAAGGAATGTGGCACAAATTTAAAAGATAAGAGGGAAAAAATCACCAACATTCAAATAGAGAGATTCAGTTCAATTAGATATTTTAAGAACTATAGCAGACCATCCTGGCTAACAAGGTGAAACCCCGTCTCTACTAAAAATACAAAAAATTAGCCGGGCACGGTGGCGGGCGCCTGTAGTCCCAGCTACTCGGGAGGCTGAGGCAGGAGAATGGCGTGAACCCAGGAAGTGGAGCTTGCAGTGAGCCGAGATTGCGCCACTGCAGTCCGCAGTCCGGCCTGGGCGACAGAGCGAGACTCCGTCTCAAAAAAAAAAAAAAAAAAAAAAAAAGAACTATAGCAAAGAAATAAATGATGGTTTCTTAATCACAGAACCACATCCCATTTCTGTAACACTGCTATACTATTCACAAAATATTAATGTCATGTACTCATGACACACAGTCTTAATAAAAGACAGAGAAAAATAAGCAGTTAAGTATATTGGAGCTTCAACAAAAATATGATTTAACCTCTCTTTTCAGGTAGATGTGGAAACAATCTCATCAACATATAACGCATCATGTGAACTCTTCAGAGGCAACTTGGGAAGGTGCTTAAAATAAATCATTCTTAAATCTGTGCATCAATGTTTTCTTTTTCTTTCTTTCTTTTTTTTTTTTTTTTTTTAGAGACAGAGTCTCACCCTGTCACCCAGGCTGGAGTGCAGTGGTGCGATCTCGACTCACTGCAACCTCTGCCTCCCGGGTTCAAACAATTCTCCTGCCTCAGCCTCTCGAGTAGCTGGGATTACAGGCGTGCGGACCACGCCCAGCTAATTTTTGTATTTTTAGTAGAGATGGGGTTTCGCCATGTTGGCCAGGCTGTTCTCGAACTCCTGACCGCGTGATCCACCCGCCTCGGCCTCCCAAAGTGCTGGGATTACAGGCGTGAGCCACCGCACCCGGCTCCATCAATGTTTTCTTAAAGGAAATTATGCTATCTTTTTTGAAAAACCAGATCCCTTTCTAGAAAAGCAATGTAAACTCTGCAGATAGAGCCCAACAGTAATATTTTCTGACCAAGACAACCAAATATTAAAATTAAGGTGCACTACTTGTCTAATAAAACCAGTTAAAGAAATCTGCATCTTAAACATCTCGGTAATTACTGAAGGTCCTGTGGTATCAAAATATTACCTAGGCATTATTTACTAAGAATTGATGCTTGTAATTAGCTGGGTGTGGTGGGGTGCGCCTGTACTCCCAGCTACTTGGGAGGCTGAGGCAGGAGAATCGCTTGAACCCAGGAGGCGGAGGTTGCAGTGAGCTCAGATTGCGCCACTGCACTCTAGCCTGGAGATAGAGCAAGACTCCGTCTCTTTTTTTTTTTAAAAAAAAAAAAAAAAAAAAAAAAGAATTGATGCTTGTTTTACTAAAGAGCAATGCATAGCATGACTCTAAAAAAATTAGCATGACAGAAAATAGCTTGATTTGTATACCATATTGACCCATCCACAAAAGCCTATTTATATCTCAATTTGAAGTGATAAAAATCAACACCCAAAACAGAAGCCTGAAATTTGCCATGGGTATAAGGACCGGGTTTCTCCAGAAATCCAACAGCCACTTCCACACCAACACAATATTGCTTCATTTGAAATGACTTATTAGCCATCTACTGGACTACAAATGCTTTGTCATCTCCCAAATTATTAGATCCTAACTAGCTTTTGTTCTTCATCTACCTAATCAAGTTATTTACCTGCTCTATGATTTCAGGTTCCTTATTTGTCAAATAAATAGCTGGGCAGAATAACCTAAGATTTCTCCCAGTTTCAATACACTAAGATTTTTAACTCAACAACTTAACTCAATATTCTCCTGTCTTGCTTCAGAAATATATGTATATTAAAAGGATAGATTTAGCGAAAAAGTTTCTATCTTTCCAGTGCTTTAGTAATCCCTTGGCTTGTCCTTTAATTTGGCTCCAAAGATAAAAGTTCAAACACTGACCCACTGAATATTTTATTAGGCATGTAGTGCAAGTGTCCTGGTCAAAAAACCAAAAATACTGCCTAACTACTGCTATAAAGGATTTTTCAGGTAAGATAATCTTTTCAAAATCAAAACAAAAAATTACAGAAGCACAGACAAATAACATGGAAGTTTCTAAACCAGGTACCACTTAATAAGCTAGGATTCATCTAGTTCTGCAGCCAAATCCTGAAATGACTCAAAAATAATATGCGATGTAAGATTTTCTTTAGTTTGGTAATGCCCATGCCTAGATAGAGAATTAAAAATCCAAAAAGTTACGAGTTCTAAGAAAACCTGAGAAGCTTGGACAAAGTTTTTATCGTGACATTAGACAAATTAAGTTTTTTTCACTGTATTATCAGTTCCAAGATAATAAAGTATCAGAAAATTCCAGGTGATAAAAGGAAAACACACATCACATGCTAAGAAGTCTCAGAAGTGAAATAATTAAAACTAACAAAATTAATTCATAAAGTGCTCAACAAGTAATTGGGTCCAGTCTTAAAAAAGTAAGGTAACCGGTTAAGGAAAACAAAATTGTTAAAAAGCACCTATTCAAATATAAAACTATAATGGAAGAATAAAATTCCAGCATCAGTATCAATAAGCATCGATAGTACAAGAAAGAAATGTGTCTACCTGTAAATTTCTGCCTGTAAACCAAAAGGAATCGGACATAAGTTTTTTTGTTGTTGTTGTTTTTGTTTGTTTTTGAGACGGAGTCTCGCTCTGTCACCACGCTGCAGTGCGATGGTGCGATCTCCGCTCACTGCAACCTCCACCTGCTGGGTTCAAGATATTCTCCTGCCTCAGCCTCCCGAGTAGTTGGAATTACAGGCGCGCGCCACCATACCCGGCTAATTTTTGTATTTTTAGTAGAGTCGGGGTTTCCCCATGTTGGTCAGGCTGGTCTCGAACTCCTAACCCCGTGATCCACCCGCCTTGGCCTCCCAAAGTGCTGGGATTACAGGCGTGAGCCACCGTGCCTGGCCCAGACTAAGTTTTTTGAATATGACTGACCAAAATGAACAGTTTTCGTTTGACGAGGTTTTTTTTTTTTAAAGATCTGTCACCTTTTCAATTCTAAAATACTATAAAATTAATGAGTAGTTTTAATTTCACACTACCTTAGAAGTTCTACATCATTAACTGTAAAAGTTAAGAAATGATTATGTTTGTAAAGAACTTCTTAGTTTTTAAGTTTACTTCCACATGCTGTGTTAATTTCACATTTGATATGGCCTTAGTTATTTGGAACCTGACATTCAAAGGGTTACGTGTTAACATATTAGTTCATGGATAAAATAAGTTCCAAGATCATTCAGTTATTTTCATATCCTGTATCAGGCTGGTCTATATTCTTGGCAAGATTACTATATCAATAATGGCAATTTTTATGCATGCATAATGTGGCTGACTTCCTTCAGCATAAACCTGCTCCTACTAATAACCTATGTTCACCTATGCCCAATCAGGGCAATATTTAAGCAAGCTGCTTCAGTAAGTCAAGCAACAAGTAGCCCAAACTCAGCTGTTTAAACCTAGAATGTACTAGTCAACCGGAATGACACACCATTATTTACACCACTAGAGGTTAAAAAAGGAAGTGCTGCGACTCCTTCGGACTCTTGGGAAAGTTCAGCTTAAAGATATTTTATAAGATTAAAACAATGATGATGACATTACGACTCTCAAAGCACTTACACAATTTTGCATGGGCTCCTATACTATTCGCTGTATAGTGAATGGGCTGAAAGACATTAGTTTAATGAACGTCAGAGCAATGCTGCTACTGTAAGGCTTAAGCATCATTAGGTAGAACAACATCAAACATCCAAAAGGGGCAGAGAAGAGTCTTTTTTTAATAATTATTTTATACTAAATGCCTGTGCAACCATCAAGCAAAATACATCCAAAGGTACAAGGTTGTTCTCATTTAAAAAGAACAGCCTGATCTCAGGAATGAAAACACGCTTCTACACCCAGACGCAGCTCATCACTGCAGAGCCTTTGATGAGATTGAAATGCACAGAAGAAGAAGCATCTGTACTTTCAACTTCCCCACTCATTCCAAGTTTCCTGCCAGACTCTAAACCAGGAGACAATTCGTTTGTACTAAGATGACCTTCACCACCGCTGCCCGGTAGCAAATCCCTCTGGCTACCAATAATTCTTATCCTATCCCAACACCTAGGCACATGCTCCACATTCTCCTAATTTCAGCCCCTTTCAAAAGTTGGCCTCCCCGTCCCACTCGGAGTCCAACAGAGAATGCCAAGTGAAGGGTGAACTCGATCAACTGGCTTCGCCGAGCCAAATTTGGGATCCAAAGGACCGTCAAATAAAGTAGGTGGGGCTTTACCTGCAGTTCACACCAGGCGACTTCCACGGTGGTTTCAGTGTCCAGACCTTTGTAGACCGTCTTAAAGGAGCCTCTGCCGATTTCGATGTCAAACTTGAGAAAGCGGCCATCGTTAGACATTCCCACGGCCTTGGTCTCCAGCTCTTCGATATCATCCTGCTGCTGGCTCCGTTCCTCCTGTGGCTCCTTGGCGCTGCCGCCGCCGCTGCCACTTCTCGCCGGCGGCGGCTCCTCTTTGCTCCCCACAAGGCTAGGCTGGGACACTGGGCGGTCTTTGCTGGTACTGCTGGGGACAGTCGAGGGGGCAGGGCCCGCGACGGCCTGTTCCCCAGGGGCGGCAGCGGCTGGAGGCTGCTGGGCTACCTGGGAAGTGGCGGTGGCGGTCACGGTCTCTTCCCGGTGGGGCTCCGGTGGAGCACTCTGCGGGACAGCCGCGGGGATGCTGGGCTGGGGCAGGGAAAGAGGAAGGCCGGGAAGCTCCAGTGCAGTGGCATTGGAGTCACAGATGACGCTCCGGCGGAAGAAGCGGTGCTCAGTGGTGGTAGTGGTCGCGGCCGCCCCACGGCTGTCCTTGTCCATAGTGTGGCGGCGGCGCCTGTACTCCTCGGTCCTGCCGGTCACAGCGTCGGCGGCCGCGGCTCCCAGTTTCTCCCCCACGGAGGAATCGGAGCTGGAGCCATTCTTGGGGGCAGGAGCCGGCGGCGAGAGGAACAGGGAACCGGGAGTGCTGCTCTGCTTCTCTGCGGCGCCGCCAGACATGGTCGGTTCGCTGGAGAGAGGCGAGCGGGCTCGGATTCGTGAACGAAAAGGGCGTGAAGGGCCGAGCCGCCCGCGCAGAGGTCTGCAGGGAACCGCGGCCGGGCGGGTTCGCGCCGACCCGGACGACGCCTCACTCAGCACCGACAAGCCGCAACGAGGGACAGGCGGACCGCTGGGCCCAGCTGCGGCGGGGGCTGGCACCGAGGCTGCTGCGGCTCACGAGGAGGGCTCGAAGGCGGGCGATTCGGGAGCTGAGCCACGGGGGTTAGCGCCGCACGGTCCGCATCCATCCTGCGGCGAGCGGCGGCCGGGCGGGCGGTGGCAGCAGAGGCGCCGCAGTCATGAGGGGAGGGCCAGGGGCCGGCACCGAGTCGAGGCGGATGCGGCGGACGCGGCTCCCACTGCCGCCGCTCGCCGAGCTGGGCGGGCTAGGCCCAGAGGGCGGCGGCACCGCGAGCACGGGACCAGGTCCGACGCCCGGGCGGTGGCGGCCCCGGGGCAGAGGAGTGGGAGGGGCCGAGGCGGGCGAGGGAAGGCCGCGGCCCGGCTCCCGGTCACTCGGGCGGCCGCCTCCTCCCACACGCGCCCCCAGCGATGGGGACCGGCCTCACAGGTCGCCCATCGCCCAGAGGCGAAGGGCCGGAGCCTCGGAGCCTCGGCGCCTGAGGAGCGGGCCCCCCCTTCCCCGAGGCCTCCCCGCCCGCCCCAGGCCTGGCAAACCCGTCTCCTCCCGGGCCGGTGCCGGGGGCTGACGGAGGAGGGAACGGCGGGGAGGGGAGGGCCGCTCACCGCGGGGCCCGAGCTCCGCTGCTTCTCTGAGGCAAGAGGAGAGGAGACCTAGAGGACTGGGTGAGGGGGAACAGGGAGAGAAAAGAGCAGCCACCCCCACCAGGCGCCTTCTGTCACCGAAGATGGGGGTGCGGAGTGGCCGAGAGAGGAGCCGCGTCCACCCGGGAAACTCTCCGCGCTAAATGGCGCCGGGAGTCTGAAGCCTCCACACAGCCCGCTCGGATCCCGCCCCCCGCCGCCCGGAGCAGCCCCACCCCCCAACTCGCTCCGGGGCTTTTGCGCAGGCGTGCTAGCCCCGAGGCACCCTGGGACTTATAGTTTACGGGTTGGCGGGGATGAACGGGACCTAGAAGAAAAGTGCCTACGACTTCCGTGATGCCTTGCGGTTGCTGTAGCCTAATGCCTCGTGGGAGTTGTAGTTTTCTTTGGAAACCGTCCCTTCTGAAAGGCTGATGGGAGCGTCATCACGGGTCGCTCAACCCCATCCCGAAGTCCGCGCGAGCTTAGGAAAATCATTATTTAGGGATTAATTGTGGAAGAAGGAAAGGAAGGAAAAAAAAAAAAAAAAGAAGAGGAACGAGCGGGCGGGGGGTGGGGGGGGGGATGGAAAGACTCCCATCATGCTCTGCTAAGCTAGAGAGCTCTTAGGGTTGCCATGCAATGAAAAATGATCTGTTGTTCATCTTTAATGGAGAGAGCCTCAGTAGTGTTGAGTGACTGCAGGGCTGTGAGGGTGGAAGGGAAGGGCAAAGCAGGATAACCGGAGCCTGAGCTCTGAGTCGGAGGAGGGGAAAAGAAACTTTGTGAAGATTGTGCATGAAATTAATATTGATTAAACGGATTGGAGGAGGAGACACGGAGGATTACCTTCCATCCTCCTCCCCTCATCAATTAAGGCCACATTCTCAGCTCCCGGCCGAGACGGATATTCTGGCTCTCAAAAAAGGGCTGCCTTACTGAAATCGGGGATCCTAGTGAACTCTATCTTTGCTTTGTCTGAAAAATAATAAAAGGGGGGTTGGGGGAGCGGTGGATTCAAGAAAAGATAAGGTCTACGGATCTATGGGTCTTTGACCACACTTGGGGGGCTGGGCTGACTTCTGCCTTTGTAGTTGGTTGAAACTTATTTTCCACCTTTCTTCTGCTGGTGGCTTCGTGAAACAACACCCCCTCTTTCTCTAGAGCTCCTGAATGTCCACATGCAATGTCTACAAAGGCTCTGGGCCCGGGAAATGTGGATCCATGCGGCTTGCCGCCATGGAATGTTTTTCTTGAAAGCATCCTTGTCTGCCTGGACCCCTGTGCTCTTCGCAACTACTCAAGATGTGGAGGGGACGAGCACCAGGGGGCACCAGACCGAGTAGGAAGCCGGACTCGGGAGCAGACTGCAGTTTAAAAGCCTCAGTCCAACCGGTGGAGAGCGGGAAGCGCTGAAAACGTACGCAACCGCATCAGAGCGTCCGGACGCGGCCGCCTCTCTTCAGCGCCCGCTGCGGAACAAGCTCGAAAGCGCGCGTCGGGGCCGAGGACCACGCTGCGAGCGAGCAGCTAGCAAGGAACTCGGCAGGAGGTTCCTTAGCACAGTTATCGGATGAGCTCCACCTACAGAAGTCTTGCCCTGCAGTTCATGTTAATTCATCTGATACGTAAAATACTTAACCCTATTTTTCTTTTCTTTCTTTTTTTGTTGTTTATCACAAGCTACACTTTCAAGTTTACAAAAATGTTTTAAACCAATGATCGTTAGGTTTCATGAAGCTGACAGGTTACGAACATTTTAAAATGCCGATTCAGCAGGGACAACTAGAGTACTAAAATATTAGTGTTCCATTGCTTTAGAAAATGTATCTTTCATTCGTTTGCTATTGGTAATGGTAAATAATCTCATTATGGCAAATGGAATTAAGAGTGTTTTTCTAACCGTAAACCTAATGTAAGCAAGGGAAGAAATGGCTGTAAAATACATTTTTATTGTACTTTTGAGTAAAATAAAACTTACCCAATTGTTGCTTCACTAGGAAAAATAGTCTGATTTTAAACATAAGGCAGCTAATTACAAATTGGCAAGTTAAAAGAAGATCAGTAAATCACAATGTTCCCTTTTGGCACCATGAAAAAATTAGGATATTTTTGTGTGAGTGGTTGTTAAAGGATTTTATTATTGCCTGTTCCTGTTTACTGAGCCCTGAAACTTTGGCCACACTGCATTGGACACAAGTCCCTTGATAATCACCATGCCCTATCAACATGTCTTTTCAACCAGGAACAACTAAATTCATTGTAAGTAATTTAATTAACTGTTGACTTAAAACCACACTTGCCTAGGAGACAGCTTTTCCCACTTGTGTAATATTAGCTTTACAATGAAAACAGATACAATTTTAAGTTGAATATAATCTTATTATGTACAATGATTAGATTTAAAGGTTATATTATTTAGTGTGCGTATTTTACTAACAAACACTTTTTTGCTCAGTTTTTGTTTTGTTTTGTTTTGTTTTGAGAGAGGCTCACTCTGTCGCCCAGGCTGCAGTACAGTGGCTTGATCCCAGCTCACTCAGTTCTTTTTAATGCTTACCAACCTACCTCCAAGTAAATGGTATTTTCTGTTACTCATTACTATAATTCCTAATAGTACTTTTCCTTTCTCTGTCACTTCAATTATCCAGTAAAGAATCAACCTCTCTATGTTCCATATAAAACATCAAGTGACTGTAAACAGAGATAACAAAGAACCCAGGATACAATGAATGCACTAAGCTCAGAGGTTTGACTTCCTTACATTTGGTTCCACAAGAAGAATACAAGTATGTTATTCTGTCTCACCATGTCTCTATTCTCTCTAGTTCTTGTTCATGTTCTCACATTGATTGATTCATGTTTCTTTCTATTCCCTTCCATTCACATTTTTTTGTTTACATGGTTTCTGCCATTGGTAACTAGCTAGCAATGAAAGTCAGAGACACCTTTGATTTAGACAGTGGCTGAAATATCCTAAACACACAAAATCTACCTTACTTTGAATGTGGCAAAATATTGATACATAAAGTTGCTTCTTGAAGTGTAGGGGAAAAATTGTCCCACCTTAAGAGCATTTCTCTTTTTTTTTTTTTGTCTCCTTTCCCTCATTTTCCCATGCTCCTTTGTCTTGCCTATGGGTAATTTTTATTTTACCTCTTTGTCGTCTGGAACCCTGTCATCTGGAAGTAGGAAGTGAGAATCAGGCAGATAAACAATGAAGAATAGTTTTTTAAGAACTTTATATTATAAATGAAATAAAGGGGGTGGGATTTTCCCTATATCAAAGTATATTATAAAACCATAAAATTAAATCTATATGGTATTGAGATAAGCATAGGCAATGGAACAGAAGAGAGAGTACAGAAACAGTCTCATGTATGTATGGGAATTTCATATAGAAAATGGCATTTGAAGTCAGTAGGGCAAAATAATAAACAGTGCTTGGACAATTAGTTATTCATTTGAAAAATAAATGAGGTCAGTGTTTACTTCAGACTGTTCACAAAATTAATTTCCACATAAATTGAAGAACCAAACTTTTAAAAAATATCTCTAAATAATTTTTTAAATGTAGGAGAACATAGGGTACTAAAGGGCTTCAAAGAGCAATCCAAGAGCCACAAAGGAAAATATTTGACAATATCAAAATTGATAATCTATTCAACAAAACACAAGTGACAAACTGCCAGAAAAACTCTGGAGACTGTATAACAAAAGATTAATATCCAAAAGATATGGGGGGAAAAAAACCCTCTTAAATCACTGAGAAAAAGGCAAACCACTGTATAGAAAAGGAGGATATGAAAAGATAATTTACAAAGCAGTAAATGCCATGGTGGCTTACACCTGTAATCCCAGCACTTTGGGAGCCTAAGTGGGAGGATCACTTGAGGTCAGGAGCTCGAGACCAGCCTGGCCAACATGGTGAAACCCCGTCTTTACTAAAAATACAAAAATTAGCCGGGCATGGTGGTGCGCGCCTATAGTCCCAGCTACCCGGGAGGCTGAGGCACGAGAATCGCTTCAACTCAGGAGGTGGAAGTTGCAGTGAGCCGAGATTGAACCATTGCACTGCAGCCTGGGCAACAAAGCGAGACTGTGTCTCAGAAAAAAAAATAAAATAAAATAAAGCAGTAAATGCAAATAACAAAAATAGACATGAAAAAGATGCTGAAACTCAGTAACTAGCAAAATGCAGATTAAAATATAATATTTTCTCTCATAAAATTGAAAAATTATCTTTTTTTGAGACAGAGTCTCATTCTGTTGTCCAGGCTGGAGTGCAGTGGTGCAATCACAGCTCACTGTAGCCTCATACTTCTAGGCTCAAGCCTGCCGAGTAGCTGGGACCACAGGTGTGCACCACCATGTCCAGCTAATTTTTAAATTTTTTGTAGAGATGAAGTCTCACTATGTTACCTTGGCTGGTCTGAACTCCCTGGACTTAAGCAGTTCTCCTATTTCAGCCTCCCAACGTGCTAGGATTGCAGGCGTGAACCACCACGCCTGGTCTAAATTGAGCAAAAAAAAAAAAAAAAAAAAATTTTTTTTTTTTTTTTTTAGTGTCCCCATCATGGCAATTTGCAAAATTTTTAGGGATTCATAATATCAAGTGTTGGCGAGGATGTGGAGAAACGTGCTGTTAATGATACGGTAAATTGGTACAAGCTTTTTTGAGGGCAATTTGTTAGCAATTATTAAAACGTACAATGTGCATCGTCTTTTTCTTTCTTTTTGGTACCTACCTTGGAAAAATACTTGCACGTGTTTCCTAAGAAATATCTATAAGAGGGTGGGTGCTCACGCCTGTAATCCCAACACTTTGGGAGGCCGAGGCGGGTGGATCACAAGGTCAGGAGTTCGAGACCAGTCTGGCCAACATGGTGAAACCCCGTCTCTACTAAAAATACAAAAAATTAGCCGGGTGTGGTGGTGTGTGCCTGTAACCTCAGCTACTCGGGAGGCTAAGGCAGGAGGATCACGTGAACCGGGAGGTGGAGGTTGCAATGAGCCGAGATTGTGCCACTACACTCCAGCCCAGGCAACAGTGCAAGACTCCATCTCAAAAAAAAAAAAAAAGGAAAGAAATATCTATAAGAATATTCACTATAGCCAGGTGCAGTGGTGTGTGCTTGTAGTCCTAGCTACTTGGGAGGTTGAGGTGGGAGGATTACTTGAGCCCAGGAGGTCGAGGCTGCAGTGAGCTATGATCACGCCACTGCACTCCAATCTGAGTGACAGAGCAAGACCCTGTCTCTAAAAAACAAAAACAAAACATAAAACCTTTCACTATGGCTTTATTTGTAACAAAAAATCCAAATGATCTGCATGTTCATCAATAAGAAAATAGCTAAACTATGGTATTTCCAGTTTGGGGTACACCATGCAACAGTAGGAAAAAAGGAGGGAAATATGTATGTGGTGCCATAACTATTAAGTGAAAGGCTCAAGTTTCAGAATAATATGCACTATATCACATCTTGTATTTTTTTAAAAAATTCTGTTTCTGTGTGTATTTAAAGGCATGCAGAAAAAGTCTAGGTAGTACACACCAAAATGAAAAGGAGAATTACTTCTGGGGAATACTCAGATCTTTTTTGTTGTTTCTTTTTTGAGACGGAGTCTCACTCTGTCGCCCAGGCTGGAGTGCAGTGGTGCAATCTTGGCTCACTGCAACCTCTGCCTCCCGGGTTCAAGTGATTCTCCTGCCTCAGCCTCCCAAGAAGCTGGGACTCCAGGCACACGCCACCATGCCCGGCTTATTTTTCTTTTTAGTAGTGGTGGGGTTTCACCATGTTGGCCAGCCGTGAGCCACGGTGCCCAGCTGAATACTCATCTCTTTATTTTGTGAATTTCTTAACACATTGTCACTCGTTGCAGATAATTTGAACGTTACAGAATAAAGTATGGAAGAAAGTGAAAATTACCAGAAAATCTACCCAGCCATAGATAGCAACCTTTAATATGTAGGCGTATTTCTTTCCAGACAGATAAAAATTTTATAATTATGTCGTAAGCTTTTCCAGTGTATTACATACTCTCTGGAAACATCGTTCTTTAATAGCTGCACAGTATGTCACCATAAGACATTACCAAGTATAAGTTTTTCACATTATCTGGAAAGAACATAGGGGGAAATATTTAAAATGTCCCAGGCTTTAACATGCTCTCACAGGAAAAGATTTATCAGAATCACCTAGGAAGCTTTTACAAAATACACCTGTTGGACTGTTTCACCACTACTCCTCATCCAACCTAGATATATTTTTTGGTGAGAGAATTCATTGCAAGCAGACCTGCATTGCAATAATTTTTTTAAAGGAAAGTATTAGTATATTAGTAAAAGGAGTAGTAAATTAGGATTTAAACAAGGAATGAAAATACCAGAAAAAAAATATGTTGGAAAATATAAAAGCCCAGAAAATAAAAAAGAAAATAAATAAAAGAAAACATAAAAGGCACTTTATTAGTCATGTTAAAAGGTAAATGATGGTTTCAAGCAAACGTAAAAACAAGGTATAATATGCATTATAATATATGAAGAAGTAAGCGGGACATGGAGGCTCATGCCTGTAATCCTAACACTTTGGGAGGCCGAGGTGTGAGCATCACTTGATGCCAGGAGTTTAAGACCAGCCTGGGCAACATAGTGAGACCCTGTCTCTAAAAAACAAAAAATATTTTTAAAGTAAATAAAATTTTAAAAAAATAATATATATAGAAGTAAATGTATAATGGTTATAGCATAAGGGACAGGAGGAGGAAATGGAAGAATAATGTTATTAGGGTCTTATACTATATATGAAATGTCATAATATTATTTGAAGGTAAACTATAATAATTTCAAGTTACATATTGGAAAGACTGAAGCAATCACTAAAATTATCAAATACAGAGGTATAGGTAATAAACCAGTAGTAGGGGTAAAATTGAACCATTAAAAAATGCTTAAATAAGGGGCCAGGCGTGGTGGCTCACGCCTGTAATCCCAGCACTTTGGGAGGCCAAGGTGGGTGGATCACAAGGTCAGGAGTTTGAGACCATCCTGCCGAACATGGTGAAACCCCGTCTCTACTAAAAATACAAAAAAATTAGCTGGGCGTAGTGGTGGGCGCCTGTAGCCCCAGCTACTCGGAAGGCTGAGGCAGGAGAATGGCGTGAACCCGGGCCGGGAGGCGGAGCTTGCAGTGAGCGGAGATGGCGCCACTGCATTCCAGCCTGGGCGACAGAGCGGGACTCTGTCTCAAAAAACAAAAAAAAAAAAAACTTAAATAATTCAGAAGAAGGCAGAAAAAGAACAAAAAGAGAGCGAATGAAATGACTAGAAAACAGACCAACAAGAGGATTTTAGTTCAACCACACTGACAATTATGTTAAAATTATATGGTTTAATCTCTTTTAAACTCTCCAATTCAAAGGAAGACATTAAAAGATTGGATAAAAAACAACACCATACTACATGCTGCCTATGAAAAAAAACTTTAAAGATTAAGACACAGATTAAAAGGATGAAAAAATATATACCAAGAAAACACCAATCAAAATAAAACAAGAGTGGCTATATTAATACAAAACAAGGACTATTAACAGAGATAGAAAGGGATCTCTCATAATTACGAAGAGGTCAATTCCTCAAGAAGACATTTCAATTCTAAATAAGGGTTAAAACTATAACACTTCTAGAAGAAAACAGGTGAAAATCTTTGTGATTCTGGGTTAAGCAAAGAATTTTTTTTTCTTTTTTTTTTTGAGACGGAGTCTCACTCTGTCACCAGGCTGGAGTGCAGTGGCACAATCTTGGCTCGCTGCAACCTCCACGTCCCAGGTTCAAGTGATTCTCCTGCCTCAGCCTCCCAAGTAGCTGGGACTACAGATGCGTGCCACCACGCCCAGCTAATTTTTGTATTTTTAGTAGAGACAGGGTTTCACCCTGTTGGCCAGGATGGTCTTGATCTCTTGACCTCGTGATCTGCCACCTCCGCCTCCCAAAGTGTTGGGATTACAGGTGTGAGCCACCACACCTGGCCTAAGCAAAGAATTTTTAGGTCTGGCTGCAGCGGCTCACATCTGTGATCCCAACACTTTAGGAGCCTAGGAAGATTACTTGAGACCGGGAGTTCAAGACCAGCTTGGGCAAAATAGCAAAACCCTGTCTCTACAGAAAATAAAAATAAAAGACTTTTTAGGACACAAAAAGCACAAACCATAAAAGAAAAAATTGTTAAACTGGACTTCATCAAAATTGGAAGTTCGTGTTCTTTTTTGTTTGGTTTGTTTTTTACAGAGTAGAGACAAGGTCTTCCTGTGTTACCTAGGCTGGTCTCAAACTCCTGGGCTCAAGGAATCTTCCTGCCTCAGCCTCCCAAAGTGCTGGGATTACAGGTGTGAACCACCGTGCCCAGCCAGAAATGTTTGTTCTTTAAAGATGATATTACAAAAATGAAAGGGCCACAGACTGGGAGTCAATATTGCAAAACAAATATCTGAAAAAATATTTGTAAACAGAATATATAGGAAACTCTTACAATTCAACCTTAAGATAATAGTACAGTAAAAATGTGTGCAAAAGATTTGAACAGATACTTCACCAAACAATATAAATGAAAGGATAAATAGGCACATGAAAAGATGTACATCATTAGTCATTAAGGAAGTGAAAATTAAAATTACCATGAAATATCACCACATACCCACGAAAATGACTAAAATTAAAAATGGTTGGTGAGGATGTAGAGCAACTAGTTTCTCATACGTTGCTACCGGGAGTACAGTGGTTCAGCCAGTTTGGGAAATAGCTTGACTCTCTAATAATTAAAGTTGAACATATACTTACCACATGATCTAGCAATTCCACTGCCAGATATTTAACCCAAGAGAAATGGAAACATGTCCACACAAAGACTTGCATGGAAAATTTCATAACAATTTTACTCATGATAGCCAAAAACTAGAAACAAACCGAATATCTATCAACTGGTGAACAGGCAAGTAAATTGTGTTGTGCCCTTATGATGGAATGCTACTCAGCAATAAAAATAAACGAAGTGGTATGTGCAATCATATGGATAACTCCCAAAGCATGATGCTAAATGAAAGAAGCCAGACACAGAAGTCTACTGATTTCATTTATGTGGCCATGTAGAAAACCCAAAACTGGCGGCAGAATGATCAGTTCTGGGGTTAGAGGGGGAGGAAATGAACTGCAGAGGAGCGCAGAGAACTTTTTGAGTCACGAGAATGTTTTCTGTCTTAATTTTGGTGATGGTTACATGACTGTATTCATTCAAAACTCATTAAGTGGGTGATTATACTTTTTTTTTTAAGGACAGGGTCTTGCTCTGTTGCCCAGGCTAGAGTGCTGTGGTGCAATCATAGCTCATCACAGCCTCAAATTCCTGGGCTCAAGGGATCCTCAGGCCTCAGCCTCCTGAGTAGCTGGGACTACAGATGCACACCACCATGCCAAGCTAATTTTTTTTTTTTCGTAGAGACGGGGATCTTGCTATGTTAATGATTATCCCAACTTGGTCTCCCAAAGTGCTGGGATTACAGGTGTGAGCCACCGCACCTGGCCCTGACTATACTTTAAATGGGCAATTTTTTATTGTATATAAGTTATTCTTCAAGAAATCAGATTTTTAAAATGATATTTAGTTGTGCCAAAATTATTGAAACATAATATTGAATTATTGAATACTCTATAAAGCATCCTATTCTGCTTACAAACTATTTGTCTCAATACCCAAGAGATATGAAACCTACCTGAAAAGTCTACATACACTCTATGGTAAAAATGAAAAAATGATATTACTAATTCAGTTTGAAAAACCTTTAAGCAATGGTCATTTTCATCCATTTCGATGGTTGGGAGGGATAGGGATAGCTATCAAGACAGATATTGAAAAGATTCTGAACATAATGTTCACCTGAGTACCTCCTTACCAGTAAATAGAAGGACAAGCTTCCCAACTCCTTATGATCTCTAAGAGTTTGCTTACATTATTTAGTCATTTATGATCAAGGCACATTCTGTATGCTACTTATATATTCATAATTTGACATTCAGTGATAATTTTTTGAATCTTTTTTTTTTTGAGACGGAGTCTTGCCCTGTCGCCCAGCCTAGAGTGCAATGGCGCAATCTCAGCTCACTGCAACCTCCGCCACCCAGGTTCAAGCAACTCTCCTGCCTCAGCTTCCCGAGTAGCTGGGATTACAGGCACCTACCACCACGCCTGGCCGATTTTTGTATTTTTAGTAGAAATGGGGTTTCACCATGCTGGCCAGTCTGGTCTCGAACTCCCGACCTCAGGTGATCTGCCCACCTCGGCCTTCCAAAGTGCTGGGATTACAGGCGTTAGCCACCGCGCCCAGCCAATTTTCTGAATCTTAAGATAATTTTACTGAACATACTTTGCTTAATTAACCTCTACAGTCAGGTTAATTCTGTAACCAAAAAGAGTATTTAGCAAATTCAACAACAGCAATAATATTATCATCTTCCAGCGTCTGCCTGTGTTTGGACCAATTGAAGATATGGTAAATTGACTCCCTTAGAATAGCTGGGAATTAGGAAAAGAGTGCCAAACTCTATAGCAGGTAATACTTCTCAGTAGATAGAAGTATACATTCTCTTAAGACAGTAATAATACTCTTTAAATAGTAGTCTCGGCCAGGTGCAGTGGCTCACACCTGTAATCCCAGCACTTTGGGAGGCCAAGGTGAGTGAATCACCTGAGCTCAGGAGTTCGAGACCAGCCTGGCCAACATGGCAAAACCCTGTCTCTACTAAAAATACAAAAATTTGCTGGGCGTGGTGGCATGCACCTGTAATCCCAGCTACTTGGGAGGCTGAGGCGGGAGAAGTGCTTGAACCCGGGAGGCGGAGTTTGCAGTGAGCTGAGATTGTGACACTGCACTCCAGTCTGGGCGACAGAGCAAGACTCCTTCTAAATAATAATAATAATAATAATAATAATCACAAAGCTCATGAAATTATACCAGGAAACAATAGGGGAAGAAGATGAAGAAAAGGAACCTGGGCCACTGAAGTCCGTAGTGAATGAGATCTTAGCAAGCTGACCTTCCCAGAGCTGAGCCCTTCGTTGAACTGAATTAATAAGTTGGCATTCTATTTCAGAGTGGCAAGTTACCTCAACCTACTCCCTTTGGAACCCACTTCCTGTGAAGTTTCTTACTTGGAAAATCCTGAAATGATTATTTATTTCACCCTCCTGTGTTTTCCCTTCCCCACCCTTCCTAAGATACTTTGAAATGTCTTTTGCATGCGTATCTAGATGAGGTTCCCACTGGAGAAGAAGCATGTTGAATTTCACATCTTGTAGGCTATGCAATTCTCACTCTTCAATAAGGGTGCTAAGCAATAATTATAGTCATGATGATAAAGGGGCCAGGCTATGGGTATGCATGTGTACAAGGAAACTAGATATGAATGTGGGGCTTCCTAGAGAAAAACAAGGTAGTGTGGCCTCATAGTTTAGTACAGGTAGGGAGTAGCTTCTCAAATTAGACCCTGTCAGCTGCCAGGCTGATTTCAGCTCTCTATCTATGCATCTCTACAGCTCTCACCACGGAGCTTTGACAGAGGTATTACCTTATGACAGGATAGGACTGGGGGATCTTATCACTTGTCTCTGCCTATAACAAGCCAAGACAGGTTGGAGTGTGGATTGGCTTCCAAAAAGAATCAGGACACCAGGGCTAGGTCTTGATTAGAAAAATAAAGTCTGTCGGGCTGTCTTTGCCCACAGGTAGTCATTAGAAGGACGCCTCGAGGGCGGAACACCAGCTGGAAGAGCAATGTGAAGCCCCGTAAAGACTTAGCCCTTATTGCCACATCTATTCTGATTCAGTTTTTGAAATGGAAAAAACAGTGTTACCTCTGTAGACACCTGTGATACATGGCCACCCCCTAAAGATAGATGACATTCCAAAATAGATTTCCTAAGAGATTTTCAAGTGCACAGATCCTCTCAAGAAGCATCTTCTAATCATCGAGTTACATGAATGAAAATCTGTGTAGCAGCTTGTTGAAAAACTTGTCAGCTAACCGGGAGGATCATTGTTGACATTCCTACATATTTCCACAATCAGATGTAAGCTGGCTGAGAATAAGGTCTATGCCTCACACTTACTTGTGTCCTCTCTAAGAAGGCCTTGGGCACAGCAGGTGTTGATTAACTACGTGATTGACTTAAAATGTTTAATTTTGTGCAGCCGGGCGCGGTGGCTCACGCCTGTAATCCCAGCACTTTGGGAGGCCGAGGTGGGCAGATCACAAGGTCAGGAGATCGAGACCATCCTGGCTAACACGGTGAAACACTGTCTCCACTTAAAAAAATACAAAAAATTAGCCGGGCATGGTGGCGGGCGCCTGTAGTCCCAGCTACTCGGGAGGCTGAGGCAGGAGAATGGTGTGAACCCGGGAGGCGGAGCTTGCGGTGAGCCAAGATCGAGCCACTGCACTCCAGCCTGGTGACAGAGCGAGATGCTGTCTCAAAAAATAAAATTTAATTTTGTGTATCCAAGCCCACCCTCACACACATTCATGCACACTTACACACACACACACACACACACACACACACACACACAGAACAAACTAGGTTTTTTAATGAAATGTGTTCATCATAACAGTAAAAGATATACTTTTATTTATTTTTATTGAGATGGAGTTTCGCTCTTGTTGCCCAGGCTGGAGTGCAATGGCCTGATCTCGGCTCACCACAACCTCCGCTTCCCGGGTTCAATCGATTCTCCTGCCTCAGACTCCCGAGTAGCTGGGATTACAGGCATGTGCCACCACACCTGGCTAATTTTTGTATTTTTAGTAGAGACGAGGTTTCCCCCATGTTGGTCAGGTTCGTCTCGAACTCCTGACCTCAGGTGATCCACCCACCTCGGCCTCCCAAAGTGCTGGGATTACAGGTGTGAGCCACCATGTCTGGCCAAAGACACACACTTAAAAATTATATTATCTCTTCAAAGGCCAGAAAATCATGATGTTTCACTTTTTAAAGGCCAGGTGTGGTGGCTCATGCCTGTAATCCCAGAACTTTGGGAGGCTGAGGTGGGTGGATCATTTGAGGCCAGGAATTCGAGACCAGCCTGGCCAACACAGTGACACCACTTCTCTATTGAAAATACAAAAATCAGCCGATGTGGTTGCGCGCCTGTAGTCAGTTACTCAGTAACGGAGGGAGGAGAGTCGCTTGAACCCTGAACCCGGGAGGCAGAGGTAGCAGTGAGTCGAGATTGTGCCACTGTGGTCCAGCCTGGGCAACAGAGCTAGACTCTGTCTCAAAACAAAAGAAGAAAAAATAAAGGTTTTAAAAAATTATTACTATAATTATTTAAATACTAAATATAAGATATAGAGCTTCGTATTCATTACTTCTCCATCCCAGCTTGACTAACCCATTCATCCAATCTCCTCTAGCTCAATCTCGCATTCATTCCTTCTTTGCAAAATTCGGTTTCTCTCTCCACTCTAATATTAATGATACTCTGTTTTATAAGAAGACCATTTCAAAGCTTATGCAATCTGATCATCTTGTACATTTTAATTACATGTAGAACATACATAATTGGACTGAATATAATCACTAGAGCATTGTGGTGAGGAGTGAGGGGAAGACCAAAATGAATTCCTTAACGAGCTTTGTGTTCGAGGCTTTTCACTCTCACTGTTTAGAGGCTCTGTAATGAGCCCAGTTAGAAATAGTCCAGTAAGGAGGAGGGATGACCTGCCAGTCTGTGTTGTTTTCAATCACATTAAGGCCCTCAAAGTAATTTTTTTTTTCCATGACCACTGAGAATAACAAGAGTTGACAATGGGGAAAAGGTGGGGAAGGAAATAAGTAGGAAATTGTGACAAATGGACATGAGAGCCAAGCTCCATTTTAAAGGTCAACAGATCCATTTAGATATTATGATAGCTTGTCAGCTTCTAACACACTATAAGCTTTTAGTATTTCTATGATATTAACTGGGGTTTTAAAGGGCCTTCCCAGTCAGTTTTTATATTTTTTTAGGTAAAAATAGAGGCACAAGGGACATGCAATATTGTGTCAAATAAAGTCTGACCTGCTTCCTGATCCTGACAACAGTCCACTTCACAGTTAAAATCCCTCATTAACAATAGTCCCTGAAGTTATAGCCGGCAATTTATGTGACTCTTAATTTAAATGAGGACGGCAGGCCTAATCCTCATGTTAAATTTAGGATTAGTTTTCTAGCTGGGCTTGCATATCTGTATTTTTAAAAGGTGATGCAATGGCCCACTCAAGTTCGTTATTTTACAGTAGTTTTAATTCCAAAACGGTGTTTATTGGTCTTTTAAAATTTTTTTCTTTTCTTTTCTTTTCTTTTTGGCAGGGGCGGGCAGGGTCTCACCCTGTCGCCCAGGCTGGAGTGCAGTGGCATGATCTCGGCTCACTGCAGCCTTTAACTCCTGGGCTCAAATGATCCTCCCACCTCAGCCTCCCCAGTAGCTAGGACTACAGGTGCATGACACCGTGCCTGGCCTGTTTATTGGTCTGTAATGGCTTATTGTTCAGGACAGATAACTTCTAATGGCACCTTGTATTTTTCTGCTATCTTTTTCTCAAACTCATACACTTATCCTCTTTCTCCCACAGTCCCTTTGAGGAAGGGTGCAAACTGGAATAAAATATATGGGGAAACTGAGACACAGAAAGGGGATGAGTTCGGCCGTAGAGTCACCTACACAGTGACTAACTTTACTAGCAGGTAATTGTATGTCCAAATATAACCTCCATCTAAACCCAAGACACTGAATCTTAGTGAGTCTTAGGATTTTCCCCCTCTCGTATTTACTGATTAGAAAGAAACTTGCCTACCTGAAAACATATTTTTCTGGGCAAATAGCAAGCGCTAAGGATGCTCTATTCATTCTCTTTGACAGGTAAACAGCGTGGAACCAGGATAGACATCCTGAGGGAGGAAACCAAATTTGCAGATAATTATTAAAAGCTCAGTGTTCCTCTAAGTCTGAGATTTTAAAATTACCAGGCTGTATTTGCACATGAATTCTCTAGACAAACCCTGGGTTCAAACCCTGGCTCTGTCACTTAGTAGCTACTTAACTTGTCCGAGCTCCTTAATCTCCCTCTGCCTTTTCCCTCATCTATAAAACGTGGATAATAGCAGCACCCGCTGCATCGGTTGTTAGATTAAATTCGCAAGTGGGTGTAACCCCTTTGGAACAGCGCCTATCAGTAAGTTCTATATATGTTGGTTATTATTAGTATATTATTTGCACAAATCTCGGAAGCACGACTGTTGCATAACATGATAAATATGGCATCAACTCTAAAACTAATGCCTTGTCATAATGCCCATTTCCTTTTCTGATAAGAACACTAACCTGCTGAATCAAGGAAATGCTATAAGACATGGTGTCCTTTTATTTTTATCAAGGCTTATTACGAAGTCTATTAGGATATTTTCATGGGCACAATGGAGAAATGTGAGCTGGAAGATATCAAGAGCACAGCTGTACAGAGGGAGGACCTCAGGCACATGCCAAATTTTGTCCCTGATCTGTACTATTCAACATCGTAATGACTCAGTAAACACTAAAAGAAACACCAACTAAATCTTCCGAGACACAGCCTTGGTTGGTTTGTTGATTAATATTAACACCATGCCTCAGCAAATAAAGAATTTTGTGTCTATATTCTTTTATAGGAAGGGTACATAGTTTTCACCTGACTCCCAAAGGTGTGTTTGACCCCCACCTCCTCAAAAAAAAAAAAAAAAAAAAAAGCTTAAGAACCATTAATAGATAGTATGATGCTCAGTTCTGGCCACTATATATTTTTTTTAATTTTAGAGATGGGATCTCACTATGTTGTCCAGGCTGGTCTTGAACTCCTGGGGTCAAGTGATCCTTCTGCCTCAGCCTCCCAAAGTACTGGAATTACAGGTGTGAACCACTGTGCCCAGCCCTGACCACTACTTTAAAAAGTTTTTTTTTGGAAACAGGGTCTCGCTCTGTCACAGTGGTGTGATCACGGCTCACTGCAGCCTCAAACTCCCAGGCTGAAGTGATCTGAAGTGATCCTCCCACTTCAGCCTCCCAAGTAGCTGAGACTACAGGCACACACCACCACACCCAGCTAATTTTTTAATTTTTTGTAGAGACAGAGTCTCGCCATGTTGTTCAGGCCAGGATTCCTGGGCTCAAGAAATCCTCCCACCCTGGCTTCCAAAAATGCTGGGATTATAGGTATGAGGCACTGCACTCAGTCTGACTACTATTTTTAAAGAAGAAATTGACAAAACAAGTGCCAAATATTGGAGCCTGGGGTGGCAAAAGGTTTGGAAATCACGTCCTATGAAAGTTGTTGAAGAAACCTGGGAAACATAGCGTGGATAAGATAATTTGCGTTGGGGACAAGATGACATTCTTCAACTATCCGAAGGACTTGTGTGTGTAAAATGGATGAGATTTATTCTGTATGGTTCCAACAGGCAGAAGGGTGAAAGTCACAAGGAGGCAGATTTCAGCTTTAATATAAGCAACAATTTGCTAATGATTAAAGCTTCCCTAAACTGGAATCGACTGTTGTGTGAGCCAATGAACTCCTTGCTACAGAAAATGTTCAAGCAGGAAGGAGCTGGATCATCAGTCAGCGATACCAAGGGCAATTTCCACATTGGACCTTAGGCTGGAATGAATGGCCTCTAAGGACACTTTCAACTCCAGGAGTCTGTCATTTCCTAATCCTTGTCTTTGTTAGACAGATTCCTTAGCACCCCTTCCCATCATCCCAAAATAAGAACAAAAAGTGTTTTTTATCTACCTTGTATTTTTTCAGTTACATTGAATGGAGCGTATAAAATAGTACCTTCCTGGAGAAAAAAAGTGACTTAAACGGAATCATAAAACAGGGTCTTAGAAGAAGCTTGAAAGGCACTTAGAGTTCAATCCAGTCCTATCTGGGGCCCACAACCACTTTTCAAAAATAGGTAAGGAAACTGTGGCTTAAGGAAACAGAGTTATTTGCTCAAGATCCTGACATTTACTGTATTGTAGTTCCATTTATTTGTTTATTTATTTACTTATTTCTTTGAGACAGAGTCTCTCTCTCTGGAGTGCAGTGGCGTGATCTTGGCTCACTGCAACCCCCGCCTCCCAGGTTCTGGTAATTCTCAAGCCTCGACCTCCCTAGTAGCTGGGACTCAGGAATGCGTCACCACATCCAGCTAATTTTTGTATTTTTAGTAGAGACAGGGTTTCACCATATTGGCCAGGCTGGTCTCAAACTCCTGGCCTCAAGTGATACACCTGCCTCAGCCTCCCAAAGTGCTGGGGTTACAGGCGTGAGCCACCGTGCCTGGCCCCTGTAATTCCACTTACAAAAGCATAAAAAGGAATAAAACACTTAGAAATAAGTTTAACAAAAGAAGTACAAAACTTGTACTCTAAACTTATTCTCAAAACTTATACTCTAAAAATTACAAAACTTGACAGATCTTGTAAACTCCCTAGTCTATTCTTTCCCCTTCTCACTACTGGACTAGACTAGTCTTAAAAAAAATTACAAAACATTGTGAAAAGAAGTTAAATGCCTAAATAAGTATTAATAAAAAGACATCTCATGTTCTGTTTAGAAGACTTAATATTGTTAAGATGGAAATACTTCCGAATTAAACTACAGATTCAGTGTGATCCCTATTAAAATTCCACTTGGCTTCTTTGCAAAAATTGACAAGCTAATACTAAAATTTGTGTAAAATTTCAAGAGAATCATCAACACAATTGCGAAAAAGAACAAAGTTAAAGCACACTTCTTGATTTCAAAACATTCTACAAAACTACAGTAATCAAGACAGTGTGGCATTAGGATAGAATAAATGTAGAGATCAATGAAATAGAATTGAGCATTCAGAAATAATTCCTCACATTTATGACAAATTAATTTTCAAGAAGCTTGGCCGGGCGTGGTGGCTTATGCCTGTAATCCCAGCACTTTGGGAGGCCAAGGCAGACGGATCACGAGGTCAGGAGATCGAGACCATCCTGGCTAACACAGTGAAACCCCGTCTCTACTAAAAACACAAAAAAATTAGCCGGGCATGGTGGCAGGCGTCTGTAGTCCCAGCTACTCTGGAGGCTGAGGCAGGAGACTGGTGTGAACCCAGGAGGCGTAGCTTGCAGTGAGCTGAGATCGCACCACTGCACTCCAGCCTGGGCAACAGCGCGAGACTCCATCTCAAAAAAAATAAATTTCAAGAAGGGTGACAAGAAAGAATCCAATTAAATGGGAGAAAGAATAGTCTTTTCAACAAATGGTGCTGAGACAATTAGATAGCCACAGGCAAAAGAATGAAACTGAACACCTACCTCACACCATACACAAAAGTTAACTCGGAATGGTCTATAGACCTAATTGTAAGAGGTCCAACTATAAAATACTTAGAAGAAAACAGGAGTAAATCTTTGTCACTATTAGGCTGCTACTCGAGAGGCTGAGGTGGGAGGATTGCTTGAGCCCAGGAGTTCAAGGTTGATTGCGCCACTGCACTTCAACCTGGGTGACAGAGTGAGACTCTGTCTCTAAAAAAACCTATACACACACACACACACACGCACACACACACTATATATATATACACATATATACACACAAATGTTCAATTAACACATGAAAAGATGCTACTGGATTGATGATAGTCAAAACCATAATGATGTACTGATCACATCAACTAGGATGACTATAATCAAAAAGAAAGATAGGCCAGGCACAGTGGCTCATGCCTGTAATCCCAGCACTTTGGGAGGCTGAGGTGGATGGATCACCTGAGGTCAGGAGTTTGAGACCAGCCTGGTCAACATGGTGAAACCCCGTCTCTACTGAAAATACAAAAATTAGCCAAGCGTGGTGGGAGCTACTTGGGAGACTGAGGCAGGAGAATCACTTGAACTGGTAGGCGGAGGTTGCAGTGAGCCGAGATTGCGCCATTGCCCTCCAGCCTAGGCAACAGAGCAAGATTTCATCTCAAAAAAAAAAAAAAAAAAAGATAGTAATAAGTATTGGTGAGGATGTGGAGAAATTGAAATCCTTATTTACTGTTGGTGGGAATATAAGGTGATATATGTTCCACTGACTTGGAAAACAGTCTGGCACTTCCTCAAAAGCTTCAACACAAGTTGGGGGCAGTTACTTATGCCTGTAATCTCAGCACTTTGGGAGGCTGTGGCAGGAAGATCCCTTGAGCCCAGGAGTTCAAGACCATCCTACTGAGACCCCATATCTAAAAAACAAAAATTAAAAATTAGCCAGTTGTGGTGCCGCACACCTGTAGTCCCAGCTACTTGGAGGCTGGGGTGGGAAGATGGCTTGAGCCCAGGAGGTCAAAGCTTCAGTGAGCCATCATTGCACCGCTGTACTCCAGCCTGCACAATAGAACAAGACCCTGTCTCAAACAACAAAAAGGTTCAACACAAAGTTGCCATACGATTTGACAATTCTAGCTTGTTCCAGTAATTCCACTCCAAGGTACATACTCACAAAAAATAAAAACATATATCCACACAATAACTTGTACATGAATGTTCATAGTAGTATTAGTCATAATAGCCAACCCAAATGTCCATCAATTATAGATAAACAAAATGTGGCGTATCCATACAATCGAATATTTTTCAGGCATAAAAAAGAATGAAGTACTGATACATACTAAAACATGGATAAATTTTAAAACATTATGGATAATCTGTCATTTATCCCATCCAGTAGAGTCGTCATCTCAGACATTGTAGTTCTCATTTCTTTTTTTTATTTTTTTAATTTATATATATATATATTTTATTATACTTTAAGTTTTAGGGTACATGTGCACAACGTGCAGGTTTGTTGCATATGTATACGTGTGCCATGTTGGCGTGCTGCACCCATTAACTTGTCATCTACATTAGGTATATCTCCTAATGCTATCCCTACCCCCTCCCCCCGTAGTTTTCATTTCTAAAAGTTAAATTTGGTTCTTTTAATATCTTCCATGTCTCTACTTAATATATTTAATCTTTCCTCTAGCTTTATTTATTTATTTTTTTTGAGACGGAGTTTCACTCTTGTTGCCCAGGCTGGAGTGCAATGGCGTGATCTCGGCTCACTGCAACCTCTGCTTCCTGGATTCAAGCGATTCTTCTGCCTCAGCCTCCCAAGTAGCTGGGATTACAGGCATGCGCCACCATGCCTGGCTAATTTTGTATTTTTAGTAGAGACAGGGTTTCTCCATGTTGGTCAGGCTGGTCTCAAACTCCCGACCTCAGGTGATCCACCCGCCTCAGCCTCCCAAAGTGCTGGGATTACAGGCATGAGCCACCACGCCCAACCTAGCTCTTTGAACATATAGAATAGAGTTATAATAACTATTTTAATGTTCTTGACTGCTAATTCTAATATCTGCATAGGTTCCAGGTCAGTTTGATTGATTAATTACATTCCTCATTATGGGTACACTCAGTAATTTTTATTTAATATTATTCATAGTGAATGTACCCTGTTAGGGGCTGGATATTTTTATAGTCCCACAAATATTCTTGAGCTAATTCTGGGACACAGTTATTTGGAAACAGTTTAATCCTTTAAGGTCTTACTTTTAAGATTTGTTAGGCAGAACCAGAGCAGCCTTTGGGCTAGGGACAATCTTGGTCCAGAACTGAGGCAAGACCTCCTGAATACTTTAACCCATGCCCTGTGAATTATTGATTTCCAATATGCCTGGTGGGAACAGGCACTACTTCTGGCCCCACGTGAGTTCTATCTACTGGGGCCTCCATACTTTCAGGTGGTTCTGTCCCCAGCCTGGGGCAGTATCCTCACATTCATGTCCTGCCAAGTACTCTGCTGTATACTCACGGGGGGCCCTCTGAAGATCTGTGGATTTGCTGTTGCTGAGTCTTTTTTCTCTCTGTGTACAGTTCTCTCCTATCTGGTATTCTGCCCCGTCCACTCTAGCTGTCTTGGTCGCCCTGAACTCTCAGCTCCATCTCCTCACCTCAGGCTCTCCCAGGCTCTGCCGAGGTTCCACCTTTCTGTGCCACCACCTGGAAACTCTCTCCAAGCAGTAAGCTGGGCAATCAGAGGGCTTACCTCCTTTGTTTCCCATCTCTCATAAATTATTGTTCCTCGTGGCCCAATGTCCCACTTGTTGAAAACAGTTACTTTTTAAAAAATATTTTGTCCATCCTGGCTAACACGGTGAGACCCCATCTCTACTAAAAAAATACAAAAAAATTAGCCAGGCGTGGTGGCAGGCGCCTGTAGTCCAGCTAGTTGGGAGGCTGAGGCAGGAGAATGGCATGAACCCAGAAGGCGGAGGTTGCACTGAGCCGAGATCGCGCCACTGCACTCCAGCCTGGGCGACAGAGCGAAACTGCATCTCAAAAAAAAATTTGTCTAAGTGTTTAGTAATTTCTGAAGGGAAGGCAAATTTGATCACTGTTATTCCATCTTAATAAGAAGTAGACATCTACATTCATGCTATGTTTAGCAAAAGAGGTAGAATTAATTGGCTCACGTAATCCAACCATAGCAAGGAAGAAAAAACACTGGCCTTAAGGTTAACAGGATAGATCATCTCATATTACACCAGTATGCTTTCTCTTTCTCCGTCTCTCCAGCTGCTCTCTACTTCTGCATGTTGACCACATTCTAGTGAAGACATGGCTACTGATAGTTCTAGAATCCCAACCATATAGCCAGAATGCCAGAGGCCAATGACAGAACTCCTTCCATATCTCCAGCTTGGATCATTCTATAGGAGGGGCATCTCATGTCTGTGTCTTATAGCAAACACTAAGGTCAAGAGACTATTACACGGATTGACCCAACAAACACACAAAACGTACATGTTGATATGATTTGGATTTGTGTCCCCGCCCAAATCTCAAATCGAATTGATTTGTGTCCCCACCCAAATCTCATATTGAATTGTAATCCCCATTGTTGGAGGCGGGGCCTGGTGGGAGGTGACTGGATAATGGGAGACGGATTTCCCCCTTTGGTGCTGTTCTGGTGATTGAGTTCTCACGAGGTCTGGCTGTTTAAAAGCGTGTGGCACCTCCCCCCAACTCTCTCTCTTCCTTCTGCTGCCACCATGTAAGAGAGGCCTGCTTTGAATTCGCCTTCCACCATGATTATAAGTTTTCTGAGGCCTCCCTGGAAGCAGATGCCACTATACTTCCTGTACAGACTGCAGAACCATGATCCAATTAAACCTCTTTTCTTTACAAAGTATCCAACCTCAAATATTTATTTATAGCAATGTGAGAATAGACTAATACCTGTATCATCTACATTGCCATTGTACACAAAGCTTTGGGCATTTCTAAGTATTCTCTTGGAATAACTACCTCAAAATAAAATTGCTGTGTCAAAGGTTTTGGACAAACGTTTTTCACATGTTGTCAACTTGCCCATCAAAAAGTTTATACTGGCCGGGCACGGTGGCTCATGCTTGTAATCCCAGCACTTTGGGAGGCCGAGGCGGGCGGATCACGAGGTCAGGAGATCGAGACCATGGTGAAACCCCGTCTCTACTAAAAATACAAAAAATTAGCCAGGTGTGGTGGCGGACACTTGTAGTCCCAGCTACTCAGAGAGGCTGAGGCAGGAGAATGGCCTGAACCCGGCAGGCGGAGCTTGCAGTGAGCCGAGATTGCGCCACTGCACTCCAGCCTGGGGGACAGAGCGAGACTCCGTCTCAATTAAAAAAAAAAAAAAAAAGTTTATACCGCTTTACATTCCCATCAACAACGTGTATATGGCACATTTCTCCTCACCATTACCAACACTGGCTATTAATTTTTTTCATTATTGCCAAGCTGACAGGTGAAAATGATATATCACTGTCATATTTTAATTTGTAGTTCTTAGATTAGTCCTGAAGTCAAACATTCTTTCATAGGCATTTATTCATACGGTGGCTATTTACTGTATGTGTACTATGTCACATACATAACAATATGTTCAAATTTAAGTTCTCTGCCTTTATTTTGCTTTTAATATCTTATTTTTTCTTTTTAGAGGTGGAGTCTGGCTATGTTGCCCAGGCTGGACTTGAACTCCTAGTTGGCCTACTTTTTATAACTTTGATGTACAACTTTTTACTATCTTGGGTCAAGCCTATCAATTGTTTTCTTTATGATTTCTGCATTTCATGTTGATATAGGTTTCATTCACTTTTAGCTGGTCCCATTTGGTATGACAGCCAGATTCTGTTAAGACTTGCCAAGTCATATGTAAAAATCAGCTTTTGGCACATATCTCTTCTAGATCTTAATTGGCTCCTGCTCTTAAAAGATTCCCAGGGCTATAGGCAGCAATTCAAAACATGGTTTCTCCCAAAAGGCTAATTAAGAGAGGCAGTACTTCTGCTGTGCTTACCAAGTTAATCAATGACTTGGGCTTTAAGCAGATATTCTAGTTGATGATGCTCTCTGATTATTAATTTAAGAAAATCTATGTATAATAATACTAGTAAGTGATATACACTCATTTTTCATTTAGGAGCTTTTACAATTTTGCTTGCTTTGGATGGATAGCTAGCTTATTTTCTGGTAGTCCAGAAGGAAAGTAGAACAACTGCCTTCACAAATGTAGATCCACAAAGCTGCTTCTTTCATATCAACTTGTTTTTCTGGAACAAAGATGCCTTCTACCTTTTCATCAAACACCTTGCATATTCAGTAAGAGTAACAGATGAACAGGAAGACTGTGGCTTGGCTATGTCAGAAGGGGCCTTCTAGGGTTTCCTGGCAGTTTCCCAGCCTCAAACATAGTTTTTTTTAAAAGCTGTAAAATAGTTTTTTACAAGCTATCTTTTGCTTGGCAAAAGTGATGTCCAACGGAACGTTCTGTGATGATGGAAATGTTCTATATTTGTACTGTTCAAGATGGTAACTATTAGCCACATGTGGCTATTGAGCACATAAAATGTGGCTAGTAGACTGAGGAACTAAATTTTAAATTAAATTTTAATTAAGTTAAATTCAGATACTCATGAGTAGGGTTATTAGATTTAACAAATAAAGTACAGGATGCTCAGTTAATTATCAGTTACAAATAAGCAACACATAATTCTGTAGCTGAAGTACACTCCAAATATTGCATGGAATACACTTATACTATAAAATTATCCTTTTTTATCTGAAATTCAAATTTAACTGAGCATGCCATATTTTACCTAACAACCTTATACTTGTGACTAGAGGCTGTATATCGGGCGTTGCAGGTACAGAGTGTCCTGTTTTTTGCAAAGTTCTTCGAAATTACTCACAGACTCCTGCAGAATCTAAATCAAGGAGGAAAAGAAATCATTATGATCATATTTGGACAAAAAAATTAAAAGCTGCCTGACTTCTGAAAGAAGGCCATTAGATACCACAGCCAGGACTACTAAACCAATAAAATTCAATTCAAAATTTTTTATTGGATGCCTTCTATGTGTAGAACAAATATTCAGCTCTATACACCAATATTGTCATGAAAATTGCTTAAGACCTCTGTCAGTTTGAATTGGTCGGTGTCTGTGCTGTACTGAGTGTCAACTATTATGAATATCAACCTTCACTAGGAGGAAAATGGGATAGGTCTTGAGATCTTTCCAGGAACTCACAACAGGTGGAGAACCAGCTCCAGACACCAGCTCCAAAAACAAACAAACAAACATTAGCAAGCAATGGATTTCTGAAAAACAAAAATAAAACAAAAAGTTATTTAATATAAGACAGATTCTAAGTGATATATGCAAGAAAAATGCTTTGGGAATATAAGGGGTCAGCCATAGAGGGGAACCACTGGATGGGTGATATTGCTTGTCTATTTCTTTTTTTTTTTCCCCAAGACCTAACAAGCTCTGATCTTTTCTTCCAAGGGCTTCCAAGGGTTTGACAAGTAAGGGTATTTTGTTGTTGTTGTCACCCAGTCTAGAGTGCAGTGGCATGATCACAGCTCACTGTAGCCTTGACCTCCCGGGCTCCAGCAATCCTTATTTGTGAGGCTGAGGTGGTAGGCTTCTTTAAGCCTAGGAATTCAAGGTTAAAGTGCCGCTGCACTCTAGCCTGTGTGACAGAGACAGACCTTGTCTCTAAAAATAAAAAATAAGCCAACAAACCAGCATTTCTCACAGATTTTGAGTTTTAAATATGACTCAGAGTTGCACAGCAGGCTATGGTGGATACTCGGATCCTCGCACTGGTAGCTGTTGGTGCCTCATAGCTGAGTCCATCTCTTGGAATGGCTCTCAGCAAGGGCCTTGCACAAGGCTACACCCCTTCCCTGAGGTCAGGCACCATCAAATGAATGGTCACTAATGGATACAAAGGCCCACACGTTGCCTCATCGGAGGTAACTTAGCACTTTTGTCACTCCGTGCCCCATAAGCCCAGCTGAAGCCTCTATAGCAATGATACTATAGTTCAGCTTCTCCCTCTGTCCAGTTCTGCTTCCCTGACTCCCAAGAGTTGTCACTCTGTACTCCCCATGAACAACAAACCAGTGAGCCCTGCATGCACATCTCTGTCTAGGAGTCTGTTTCTGGGGAGCTTTACCTAAGACATAGGTTATTGAAATATCTTTTAAGTAACCTTCCAGATTCTTAGGACAAACTTCTAGCTTTACTGAGATTGGCTTTTTCTACTGCTTGGGAAAAATGAGACCTGAACTGCCTTTTTCCAGACAGATGTGCAAACTTCACAGAGTCAAGAGACTTAGTGGTTTCTGGAATGAGGGAGGAATTTTCTGGGGCTGGTTACATTAAGTGGGATGACTAGACTGGCAGGTGCCCACAATTAATCTTCCCATTCCTCAGTAAAATGCAGACAACTCAGTGAGATCTGTAGATCTTTGAATGCCCTTAAACCAATCCAATTCTGGACAACAAAATAGTCACTCATCACAGTAAAAGAATCCCAAGGATGAATTTCACCCTCTGCTAGGAATAAATACTTCCTTTTTCTTCCATTAGGCCTCTCACTGATCCCTCTCCTGCCTATAACTTTTCCTGCAAGACTAGAAGCTGCTCTTTGGAACCTTGGGAGTGGACCTTGACACCTCTGATTCACAATCACGTAACCTTGTGGAATCTGACTAACATCTCTCGTGTTGCCAGCTGTCATCTTTCATCTCTCCTCTTGGCTTTGTGCCTTCTTTCAGCTTAGCTGCAAAGCAGGGATGAGGCTAGAGGGGAGGGTAGTGTTAACGTGTGAAGTTCTTTCTATGTACCAAGCACTGTTCTGGGCAATTCACATTATCTCATTAAACCTCACAATAACCCTACAAGGTAGATATGGCTGCCCTCTCCCTCTGACACACACAACAAACACCACAGTTCAAAGAGTTATGTAATTCAGTTCTTTGAGATGTGTAACGTCTCCTTTTTAGGAAGTTATCAGACTCGGCTAGGTCTGCATGGCACTGTGAAGCAGTGTCTTGGGTTAACTCTAACGTTCCTAATGTTAGTCTTGGAAGAACTCAGTTTGATAGTGGTTTGGATATGAAAGGATCTAACCCTGATTTTATTCCTAAGTCCTTTAGAGCCTTAGCCGTCCTAAGGTGTAGGTCAGAAGAGGTATCTGAAACTGCGATGGTCTAACAGCTGCCCAACATCCTTGGATCATGAATGAACTGATTAATGAATTCACGTAACAGGTGTCCACTGCACCTTTACTGCTGACAATGTGCAGAAAGCGTTATTCAGGGGTGCTATGGCCCAGTGGTTAAGAGCAGAGACTCTCAAGTCAGGCTACTTGAATTCAAATCCAGGCTGTACCACTCAGTAGCTGTGTCACATTATACCAGATATTATATTAATCTTTCGGGACTTCAGGTTTATCACTTGTAAAATGAAGGTGAAAATACTTCATGGGAAGTAGTTGTGAGGCCTAAGCAGGATTGTCCGTGTAAAGGGCTTGGCACACAAGTAACTGCTTGAACCATGGTAGCTGTTGTCTTATTATAGGACAAAGCAAGCCATGGAAGAATGGATCCAAATTTTAGGAAACACAGAGTTTAGGAGGGGAGATGAAATGTGTGCATAAATAACTATAACACAAATTTAGAAAGTGATGGATGATGTGGAGGTAAAAAGCATATAATAAAACTTAGAGGAAGAAAAGATTACTTCTAGGTAAGGAGATCAGGGGAGGTTTCTTGGTTGAAATAATATTCAAGCTGATAGATGATAAACACAATCAGTTTTAAACCTGTGAGTGGAAACCCTGTTGTAAACCAGCAAACACTAACTGAAGTCAAAAATAATACCAAATGACAGGCTGCTGGTGCAGAGTCCTGGAATACAGCATTGCACATCTTGGTGCCTGTGGGGCAAAATGAATACAGGGTGAAACCTGTCCAACCCACAGATCTGCTTTCCAGTCAGTTCCACAAGGGTCATTCTGACCCAGGCAAGACTTGTCTGGTGACCTCCATCAGGACTAGCTCTGGAGAAGACTCCAAATCAATGACTGACAGCAAGCGTTCATTAAGTGGATGCCATGAGCCCAACACCGCAGGTATGGGAAAGGATACCACATACACACACAAGTGACTCCCTCTGTCAGGGAACTTATATAGTCTTGTTAGGAAGACAAGATTAATATACTACATGATTTTTATGGCATTTGTTGTTCTTTTTCCTGTTCATAAAAGCAATACGAGTTCACTGTAGAAAATTCAGAAAATACAATTACATATTATAAAAGCAAATTTATCCCAAATCCCACTATCCAAGATTAACCATAAAATTCCATAAAATTAACCATAAAATTAACCATAAAAATTCAAATTATGAATTTGTACAGCCTTGTCTCCCGAGACAGGCATCTTATCCCCACCCTCACCTAACACTTGCTCATAGGAGAGATTCTTGTGCAAGTGGATCATTCATTTTCTTGTTTCTTCTTTCCCCGCTGGATATGTCTGCCTGGGAATGCGATTTGGCTTCAAGTACAGAGAAGAGAGTTATTTGCACGCTATTTCAGGTTCTCAGTGTAGCCATCCATCAACAGGCATCTCTGGGAAGGCTCCTGGTTCTGCAGGTAGGCCTCTGGGCCTGGTGCTACCATATAAGGCAAGGAGAAAGGAAGTGACTCACATAGCCCTGCACAAAAAAACCTAAAGCACTGTTCCCGTTTGGGCAGGGGAAGGATCAACACATATTATGTTGCATATAGGGAAATGGTTTCCTTCCATAATACAGCTCCAAATTATACTGTATGTGAGAGAGAATAATCGGGCATGCCTGTGTGTGTGTGTGTAATTCTGGATGACTAAAATGAAATCTTCATTCTGTATACTCAGTGGCAGTGAGATCTTAAAAAGGACTCATAGGCCATTTTGGACTGATCTGCTGAAGGGAAGGCCCCCTGTGGTGGTGGTCTAGACCAGAGATCCCAAACCAGGAGCCCCAGACTGTGTTGGCTTGTACAGTGTGTTTAAAAATCAAATTAGTTTTCAACATGAAACCTTCAGGAGATATCGTATAAAAATTTGAAATTCCAGCTTTGAAAGGAAGAAAGAGAGAGAGAGAGGATGAATGAATCTGGCAATCTAAGGAAATTAGCTCTTTGAGGGTCATTATGTTTTCCCAATTTATTATTGTGTTTTAATTGATGGGGGGAGCTTTTTATTGTTGTTGCAGTTCGTTTTTGTTTTTATGAAGAAATTTTCCATTTTTATGCAGTTAAATTTATCAATCTTTTCTTTCACTGCTTCTGAACCTTGTCTCTTGCTTAGAAAGATTTAATCCCCATATTGGTTTGCTAGGGCTTCCATAATAAAGTAACCCAGGCTGAGTGGCTTAAACAACACAGAGATTTATTTCCTCACAGTTCTGGAGACTAAAAGTCCAAGATCAAGGTGTAGGCAGGGTTGGTTTCTTCTGAGACCTCTGTCCGGGACTTGCCAGGTACCTTCTGCACGTGTCTTCACACAGTCTTATCTCTCTGCTTGCCTGGGTCCTGATCTCTTAAGGACACCAGTCATACTGGATTAGGGCCCACCCTAACAACTTCATTTTAACTTAATTACCTTTTTGAAGACCCTATCTCTAAATACAGTCACATTCTGAGATACTGGGGGTTAGAGCTTCAAACATGAATTTTGGGGAATCCAATTCAGTTTATAACATCACCCAGAATTATTTTTTTATTTCTCCCATGTTTTATTTCAGTACTTTTATGGTTTTATTTTTAAATGTTAAATATATGATTCATCTGAACTTTGTTTGGTATAAGAAATGAGATAGGGATCCAATTTTATTTTTTTCTAGTTACTAAGGTAAATGATTCAACTCCATTTATTAGTAATCTTTTCCCTCAAATCTTAAAATTCTACCTTTGTCTTAATACTCCATTTCCAGGTATATTTGGGCTATTTCTACATACTGCTTTGTACCATTAATCTGTCTATGCCTGTGCCACTACCAAGCTTTTAATTATATACTTTTATATTTTCACCTTCTAGGGTAAATCTTCCTCTGTTATTCTCTGTTTCAGAATTTTCATCATGTTTTTGCACATTTACTTTTCCCAGTTTACTTTAGCATTGCCTAAAATATTCTGATAGCATTTTTACTGGAATAGGGTTAAAGACACAGATGAATTTAGGAAGACTTTACATTATGTTGTTGAAAGACTTACTTAGCATTGTATATCCTTTGTACTGCTGGAATTTTTAACCATGTACATGTACTATTTTTATGAAAAGGAAAAATTTAATTTCATTCTTAAAAAAATAAAAAATAAAAGAACACAGCAAAGGTAAACAATGATTAGCAGAGATAAATTTATCTAGAGGAGCCATTTTGGAGCTCCTTAAATTCTAAACCCCACAATTATAACTTCTCCTCTGTTTATGGATGCCTTACTTTCTCACGGTTAGAATAAAATAGATTCGGCAACTCATTTTGACAGTCTGCATGGTGTGCTAAGGAGAAATGTTAGTTCTCCCCTCTGCTGTGTCTCATTTCTGCCAATTCAAGAGATACACTCCTCTTTTAGAGGTTGTCTAGGCTGAGAGGCAGACTGAAAACCTGGCAGGTTTTCCCCAACATTCCCCGGCCAAGGCGGTCATTGTCTGGCTAAACCCAAAAGGGTCAGGTTTCTAGTGACAATGAAGCTGCCTCAGGTCTTCCTCCCATCTCACCAGCAGCCAGCTGCTTCTTTTCTCTCCTGAGCTCAAGTGTCTTCCCTGCCCCTCCTGCAAGCCTGAGGAGACAGCTGCAGCAAGCAACGCTGGCACCTTAGATGGTCTTCATGTCTGTAATGTGGTGACGAAGAGACCCTGGAGTTATACTTCTCCATGAGTCTTCCTATTTTCTTTCTTTCTTTCTTTCTTTCTTTCTTTCTTTCTTTCTTTCTTTCTTTCTTTCCTTCTTTCCTTCTTTCTTTCTTTTCTCTATTTCTCTCTTTCTCTTTCTCTTTATCTCCTTCTTTCCTTCTTTCTTTCTTTCTTTCCTTCTTTCCTTCTTTCTTTCTTTTCTCTATTTCTCTTTCTCTTTCTCTTTATCTCCTTCTTTCCTTCTTTCTTTCCTTCTTTCTTTCTTTCTTTCCTTCTTTCCTTCTTTCTTTCTTTCTTTCTTTTCTCTATTTCTTTCTCTTTATCTCCTTCTTTCCTTTCTTTCTTTCTCTCTCTCTCTCTCTTTCCTTCCTTCCTTTCTTTTTTTTTTTTTTTTTTTGAGGAATCTCGCTCTGTCACAGGCTGGAGTTCAGTGGTGCGATCTCAGCTCACTGCAACTTCCGCCTCCCGGGTTCAAGCCGTTCTCCTGCCTCAGCCTCCCCAGTAGGTGGGATTACAGGCATGTGCCACCATGCCCGGATAACTTTTGTTTTTATTTTTGTTTTCGTTTTTGTTTTGAGACAGAATTTCACTCTCGTTGCCCAGACAGGAGTGCAATGGCACAATCTCGGTTCACTGCAACCTCTGCCTCCCGGGTTCAAGCAATTCTCCTGCCTCAGCCTCCCAAGTAGCTGGGATTACAGGCATCTGCCACCACGACCGGCTGATCTTGTACTTTTAGTAGAGACGGGGTTTCTCCATGTTGGCCAGGCTGGTCTTGAACTCCCGACCTCAGGTGATCCACCCGCCTTGGCTTCCCAAAGTGCTGGGATCACAGGTGTGAGCCACTGCGCCTGGCCCTCTATTTTCTTTCTTGTTTCCATGCTCTTCCATCCACTCCTCTGTTCGTTCACCCGTTCGTTCACATTTAGCACATAAGAGTGATCCTACTAAGATGTAAGCTAGAACCATGGCAGCCTCTGCTCGTAGCCCGGCACTGGCATCTCACCTTGCTCAGAGGAAAAACCAAAGGCAAAGGCATTACAATGGCCGACTTAGGCTTCACGTGATCTGTCCACCATTCTCACTACCTGTGACCTCATCTCCAGCTTCTTTCCCTGTCATTGACTCACTCCACCACACTGGCCTCCTTGCTGTCTCCTTCATGCCTGGAATGCTCTTACCTCAGATGGCCACATATTCTCACCTCCTTAAGTTCTTGATGCAAATATCACCACCTCAGTGGTTAGGAAGAGTGTATAAATAGAGAAGAGATAGGGGCTATGGCCCAGCCCAGTGGCTCAGGTCTGTAATCCCAGCACTTTGGGAGGCTGAGGCAGGCGGATCACCTGAGGTCAGGAGTTCAAGACCAGCCTGACCAACATGGTGAAACCCCATCTCTACTAAAAATACCAAAAAAAAAAAAATTAGCTGTATGCAGTGGCGCACACCTATAGTCCCAGCTACTTGGGAGGCTGAGGCTGGAGAATCGCTTCAACCTGGGAGGTGGAGGTTTCAGTGAGCAGAGATCGCCCCACTGCACTCCAGCCTGGGTGATAGAGCCGGACTCCATCTCAAAAAAAAAAAAGGGATCAGGGCTCTAGGTGATATGGTTTGGCTCTGTGTCCCCACCCAAATCTAATCTCAAATTGTAATCCCCACGTGTGGAGGAAGGGACCTGGTGGGAGGTGATTGGATCATCGGGACCGTTTCCCCAAGCTGTTTTGTGATAGTGTGTGAGTTCTCAGGAGATCTGATGGTTTTAGAAGAGGCAGTTTTCCCTGTGCTCTCTCTCTCTCTCTCTTTCCTGCCACCCTGTGAAGAGGTCTCTCCTTCCCCTTTGCCCTCCACCATGATTGTAAGTTTCCTGAGGCCTCCTCAGCCATGCAGAACTGTGAGTCAATTCAACCTCTTTTGTTTATAGATTACCCAGTCTCAGGCTGAAAACGGACTAATACACTAGGACTGAGTCCTGTATGGTTTAGTTACTTCATCTATCACACTATTAGAGTTTGTGTAGAACACAAGGGCCCTGCAAAAGAGAACAAAGGGAACAACCAGAGACCTAAAGAGTAAAACAAGGAGGTTGTGGGGTCATTGAAGCCGAGAAAGGAGCTTGAAGAAAAAGAGAGTTCCCAGCTATGGCGAATGTTGCTGAGAGGTCCAGTAGTAGAAATGAGTGGAGATTCATAGGTTCAAGCAACAAGCAAGCTATATATTGTTGAGAAACATGACAAAATCCATTTTTCAGCAAAGGGATGGGAACAGAAGCAAGGTAGCGTAACCGAGTATTCACAGTTTTTTCTAAGAGATATTTTAATTATTTTTTTCTCTCTCTCTTCTTTTCTCACTTCCTTGGTTCTTCATTTCCTACTTGTCTTTTAGAAATGCAAATATGTGGCTCAGGCCTGTAATCCCAGCACTTTGGGAGGCCGAGGCGGGCGGATCACGAGGTCAGGAGATCGAGACCACGGTGAAACCCCGTCTCTACTAAAAATACAAAAAAAAAAAAAATTAGCCGGGCGTGGTGGCGGGCGCCTGTAGTCCCAGCTACTCAAGAGGCTGAGGCAGGAGAACGGCGTGAACCCGGGAGGCGGAACTTAAGAGTGAGCCGAGATGGCACCACTGCACTCCAGCCTGGGCGACAGCAAGACTCCGTCTCAAAAAAAAAAAAAAAAAAAAGAAATGCAAATGTAGCCTTTTACTTCCCCTTCACCAGACACTCCCTACAGGGCAAGTTCTTCTAACTGTGCTTCCAGACTGAACTCTCCTCGAGAGTTAACAGTCCATTTGCCGACCGAAGTATGCCCACAATGGAACTCTCACCCTCCAGGAGGCTGCTAGAGAGATAGCAGTCAAAAAGCACGCCCACTGCTCTCTCCCACTTGGAGAGTTTTCAGCCTAGTAAGATGCCAGCAGTCACCAGCTCGGCTGCCCAGTAGACAAGGCCCTGCCTTGCTTGCTCTCTCCCACTTGGAGAGTTTTCAGCCTAGTAAGATGCCAGCAGTCACCAGCTCGGCTGCCCAGTAGATAAGGCCCTGCCTTGCTTGCTCTCTCCCCTGACTTTTAAAAGTGCCTGCTTTCTGCTCCAAAAGAGAAGTGCACATTTAAAGGCAGGATGCCTGTGCCTCTTCCCCTAAGCCAGCTTTGGAAATAAATCACTTTCTTTCCACCAGACCTCACTCTCGTTAATTGAACTCCGCGAGCAGAGTGACTGACTCGCACTTCAGTCACGGCAGGAACAGGAGGAAGGGGAATGGAAGGCGAAGGAGTAGTGTGTGAAGACTTAACTCTCCCGAGAAGGTTGCCTCTGAAGAGATCAGAGACAAGGAAGGCTCCTGGAGAGAGACGAGAAGTCAAAGAGGACAAAAGCATGTAAATAGTGGTAGATGGAGTGAAGTTAAAGACACAGGAAAGGGAAGGGATAATCAAAGAAGCCAAGTCCTTGAGAAGGTGACAGGAGATGACATCAGGGACACAGGTGCAGGAAGAGAAAGATTTATCACAAAGTCAATGAAGCCAAAGACTTAGGGCTCCTCACTTGCATGGGCCTGTCAACACTTACATTTTATTTATAATTTTATATTCTTTTTCTTTCTTTCTTTTTTCTTTTTTTTGAGATGGTCGCCCAGGCTGGAGCACAGTGGCGCAATCTCGGCTCACTGCAAGCTCCGCCTCCCGGGTTCACACCATTCTCGTGCCTCAGCCTCCTGACTAGGTGGGACTACAGGTGCCGGCCACCACGCCTGGCTAATTTTTCGTATTTTTAGTAGAGACGGGGTTTCACTGTGTTAGCCAGGATGGTCTCGATCTCCTGACCTCGTGATCCAACCGCCTCGGCCTCCCAAAGAGTTGGGATTGGCATGAGCCACTGAGCCCAGCCATAATTTTATATTCTTTTTCTTAAAGAGGCCCCTCGAGTTATGTAGGTTTCAGGACCCCACAAAACATGGTTCTGTCGCTGTGTGGAGGGACTGACCTTTGATAGGAAGAGAGATGCCCCAGTGTTTCTTAAACTTGAGTGATGACAGTAAAGCAACCCCAAAAAGTCTAACCAATAGAGAAATAGAGGAACCCCAGGCATTGGTGTCCCTGTGTTTGAGAACCACTTGTCTGCTTGAGACATTTACACACCTGATTGGGAACCACGAGACCTGAGGTCTATGCCTGGCTTTACCTGTACCATGTAAAGGGCTGGCTTCCTGGGCAAGCGACATATGCAGGGCCAGAGTTCCCATCTCCGCTGTCACTGTCTTCAAATTCCTCGTAGTAATTGAACAAGGGGTCCCACATTTTCCTTTTGTGAATGGAAATTCTGTAAATGGGCCCTGTAAATTCTGTAACTGTTCCTGGTCAAACATTATGATTTAGTCGTCTTATTTTGTGACCTTGGGCAAGATACTTGACTTAAAAAAAAAAAAATTGAGCTGGCCGGGTGCGGTGGCTCACGCCTGTAATCCCACCACTTTGGGAAGCCAGGGCGGGTGGATCTTCTGAGGTCAGGAGTTCGAGACCAGCCTGGCCAACATGGTGAAACCCTGTCTCTACTAAAGATACAAAAACTTAGCCAGGTGCAGTGGCACGCTCCTGTAATCCCAGCTACTTGGGAGGCTAAGGCAGGAGAATTGCTTGAATCCAGGAGGTGAAGGTTGCAGTGAGCCGAGATCACACCATTGCACTTCAGTCTGGGCAACAGGGTGAGACTCCGTCTCAAATAAAAAAAATTAGCCGGGCTTGGTAGTACACGCCTATAATCCCAGCTACTCAGGAGGCTGAGGCAGGAGAATCACTTGAACCTGGGAGGCGGAGGTTGCAGTGAGCCACTTCATTCCAGCCTGGGCGACAGAGTGAGACTCCGTCTCAAAAAAAAAAAATTGGTCTATGTCTGGGTGTGGTGGCTCACCCCTCTAATCCCAGCACTTTGCGGGGCCAAGTCAGGAGGATCACTTGAGCCCAGGAGTTTGAGACCAGTCTGAGCAACACAGTAAGACCCCCTCTCTACAAATAATTTAAAAGTTAGCCAGGCACGGTGGCACATGCTTGTGGTGCCAGCTACTTAGGAGACTGAGGTTGGGGGATGGCTTGAGCCTGGGAGGTTGAGGCTGCAGTGAGCTGTGATTACACCACCTCACTCTAGCCTGGGCAACAGAGCAAGACCCTATCTCAAAAAAAAAATTGATGCCAGGCACAGTGGCTCATGCCTGTAATCCCAGCACTTTGGGAGGCTGAGGCGGGAGGATCACAAGGTCAGGAGATCAAGGCCAGCCTGGCCAACATGGTGAAACCCCATCTCTACTAAAAATACAAAAATTAGCAGGGCGTGGTGGCACACGCCTGTAGTCCCAGCTACTCAGGAGGCTGAGGCAGGAGAATCACTTGAATGCAGGAGGCAGAGGTTGCAGTGAGCCGAGATGGCGCCACTGCAGTCCAACCTGGCGACAGAGAGAGACTCCATCTCAAAAAAAAAAAAAAAATTGCAATATCATTAACATACCATAAATACTTGAGTTATTTGTGCCTCAGTTTCCTCATCTTCAAGAAACCATAATAAATCTCCCCTCCCAGGTGGGTCGTGTGACAATGAATGCAAGTTGTCAGTGAAAGGCAATGGAAGTTCTGTGAGCTCCTGCTGTGAGCTGTTTTTTCCATGAGGCGAGTGCTCACTCACGTTGCATACCCCTGCTTATCATGCCTGGGCTTCTTGCAGCTGCTGATGAAGCTTTCTATTCTTAACCCACTCTGACATGCTTGTTTTCTTCCTTTTAACACCCAACAACTTTTGCCAAATGAGACTTAAGTACATTAATCACATCATACTCTTTCCCAAGCTGTCTCTGCTCACTAGAGTTTGAGTCTGTCGGTGATTCTCCTATATAGAAGGCATAGCTGATACAAATTCAAGACAGGAAAAGGCAAGGTAAGTGCTTTGGGTTCCCTTCTTTTAATGAGAATGCTAAGACCAGACCTCAGCAGAGTTGGCAAGAAGAGGAAAAAAAGAGAGGGAGAATTGCTTCTAACATTTGCAAGACCCAAGGCACAGACGAAGAAAGAAACTCTAGACTTGATATTTAAAATGTATACATTAAGCAAGCACATTGTTAACATTTTATATTCTTCTACCTTGACAAATATGTTGTCATAATGTTGACCAGGTTTAAATTTAGAAGTTTGGATCACCTTGCGGATCATGAGGTCAGGAGATCCAGACCATCCTGGATAACATGGTGGAACCCGTCTCTACTAAAAATACAAAAAATTAGCTGGGCGTGGTGGCGGGCGCCTGTAGTCCCAGCTACTCGGGAGGCTGAGGCAGGAGAATGGCATGAACCTGGGAGGCGGAGCTTGCAGTGAGCAGAGATTGCGCCACTGCACTCCAGCCTGGGCAACAGAACGAGATTCCATCTCCAAAAAAAAAAAAGTTTGGATCTCCTTAGAGTTCTTGCAGGAACACAGTTGTGTGAGGTGAGCCAGACTCCGGTCCTCTCCACTTCTTTTCCCATCCTTGGCTCAAAAAATTTTAGGCGATGATAGAGAAGTAGCCACAGAGGGCCAGAAGACATAGAGGATAAAGAACTTTCACACTTTTCCAGGCTCAATGGCTAAATGCCTGTAATCATAGCACTTTGGGAAGCTGAGGTGGAAGGATCACTTGAGTCCAGGAGTTCAAGACCAGCTTGGGCAACATAGTGAGACCACCCGCCTCAGTCTCTACAAAAAATAGTAAACAAAAAAATATCCAGGAAGGCTAGCATGTGCCTGTAGTCCTAGCTACCCAGGAGGCTGAGGTAGGAGGATCATTGTGTGAGCCCAGGAGGTTGAGGCTGCAGTGAACGGTGATTGCACCACCATACTCCCGCCTGGATGACAGACAGAGAACCTGTATTTAAAAAAAAAAAAAAAAAAAAAGGAAAAAAGGCCGGGCGCGTTGGCTCATGCCTGTAATCCCAGAACTTTGGGAGGCCGAGGCAGGTGGATCACCTGAGGTCAGGAGTTCGAGACCAGCCTGGCCAACATGGTAAAACCCCGTCTCTACTAAAAATACAAAACTTAGCTGGGCATGGTGGCGCATGCCTGTAATTCCAGCTACTGGGGGGGCTGAGGCAGGAGGATCACTTGAACCCGGGAGGTGGAGGTTGCAGTGAGCCGAGATCGTGCCACTGCACTCCAGCCTGGGCAACAGAGCAAGACTCCATCTCAAAAAAAAAAAAAAAAAAAGAGGCCAGGTGCAGTCGTTCATGCCTGTAATCCCAGCACTTTGGGAGGTCAAGGTGAGAGGTTCACTTGAGCCCAGGAGTTTGAGACCAGCTTGGGCATCATAGTGAGATCCCATTTCTATTAAATATTAGAAGAAAAGAACTTCCAAGTCTCATCCTTGAATTGAGCTGAGCTTGTGAAGGCATCCTAGTTTTTATTACTGGTTTTATTATGGTTCGGATGTTTGCCCTCTCCAAATCTTATATTGAAATGTGATTCCCAATGATGGGCGTGGGGCCTGGTGGGAGGTGATTGGATCATGGAAGTGGATCCTTCATTAATGACTTAGAACCATCCCCTTGGTGGTGAGTTCTCACCCCGTTACTTCACGAGAGATCTGGTTATTTAAAAGTCTAGGACTTCCCTGCTTTCTCTCTTGCTCTCACTCTGGCCATGTGACATGATGCCGGCACTATGCTTTGTGTACAACCTGCAGAACCGTGAGCCAGTTAAACCTCTTTTCTTTATAAAGTACCCAGTCTTGGGTATTTCTTTTTATTATTTTTTATTTATTTTATTTATAATTTTGAGACAGGGTCTCACTCTTGCTCAGGCGGGAGTGCAGAGGTGCCATAACAGCTCACTATAGCCTTGACCTCCCAGTTTCAAGTGATTCTCTCACCTCAGCCTCCCAACGTGCTGGGATTACAGGCGTGAACCACCGTGCCCAGCCTCAAGTATTTTTCTTTTTTTTTTTAGATAGAGTCTTGCTCTGTTGCCCAGGCTGGAGTGCAGTGGCGCGATCTTGGCTCACTGCAACCTCCACCTCCCGGGTTCAAGCAATTCTCCTGCCTCAGCCTCCCGAGTAGCTGGGATTACAGGCATGCGCCACCACACCTGGCTAATTTTTCTATTTTTAGTAGAGATGGGGTTTCACCATGTTGGCCAGGCTGGTCTCAAACTCCTGACCTTGTGATCCACCCACCTCAACCTCCCAGTGTTCTGGGATTACAGGTGTGAGCCACTACACCCAGCCTTAAAGTATTTCTTTATAGCAACACAAGAACAGACTAACACAATCATCATTGTAGGGATCCATTTCTTAGTATTGAAAAGACTAAGTGCTATGTAAGTACCATGAGCCCAGCAGGAATGCTGGGGTCAGCTGAAGAAAGAGCTCACGTGTGTGCCCTACACAATGCCCTGCGCACCACCTGGCTCAGCCTCCTGCACCCTGAGGTCCTCTTCCAGGAATGCCTGCCCAGCAGCACTAGACCCCTTGCAGGACAGAAGAGCAGGACCAAAGCAAAGATATGAGAAGGAAAGGAATAGCAGGCAGTGTCAAAGAACAGGTCCCGAAACACGATTATTTTCCAAGCATTCTACAGGTAATTTTCACCAATGTTGCCAATAAGAACAGACAGGTTTCGGTGCTTGCTATCTGAACGTGAGTTGCAAGTTGGTGAGCCTAGCATTTTCACAAGAATTTGTGTGGAGAAAAGTAGTCACACTGTTGTGGTGGGCGACTCTGAGGGTGTCTCCAGAGTTTCCATCATGATGAGATCAGCTTTAGCTGGATGTTAGGTTACTATTGTTACCAGCAGATTGGTAAATACAACTTAGTTGCCTTGCTTTCTCATGTTTATGGCAAAGTAATGACAGGAAAGGGAGCTGCCAGGGAACATCTCACTGCCAGGTGACAAGAACCTTTCTGAGAATAAAGCCAAGACAGAATCAAACAGAGCCCTTCGAGTCAGGAGGACACTGAGCACAAGGGCACAATCTGATGACCGTCACCCCTGCCCCGCCTGAAGTTTAGGCGCTCTAATACTGAGAGCCAAATACATTCCTCTCCTGCTTTTCTTTTTTTTTTTTTTTTTTTGGTGGGGGGTGGGGAGCAGGGGTAGGCTTAAATTAGTTTAAGTTAGTTTTCTGGCACTTAAAGCTGAGAAAGTCCTGACTAACCTCTGGAGTAAGGCTCTCTAAGCATGAAGAGATTGAGAGGAGTTGAAGAGCACAGGGAAGGTCCTCCTGGTCTGTGAATGTAGCTTAGGTTGGCTCTGTCATTTTGAATAAGAACGGATTTGGCCGGGCGTGGTGGTTCACGCCTGTTATCCCAGCACTTTGGGAGTCCGAGGCAGGTGGATCACAAAGTCAGGAGTTTGAGACCAGCCTGACCAACATGGTGAAACCCCGTCTCTACTAAAAATACAAAAAAATTGCTGGATGTAGTGGCATGCGCCTGTAATCCCAGCTACTCGGGAGGCCGAGGCAGGAGAATCACTTGAACCTGGGAGGCGGAGGTTGCAGTGAGCCGAGATCACACCACTGCACTCCAGCCTGGGAGACAGAGAGAGACTCTGTCTCAAAAAAAAACAAAAAACGGATTCTTCTCCCACTCTGGGACTCTGGATGAACACTGTACCAGAGGATTAGGTAAGCCACTCTTCCTAATCCTCATCTCCCTTACACCACCACCCGCCAACCACCGTCACCATAGTGTCTATTCCCCGTGACATACACACACCCACAGCTGCTTGAATTTCTCCAGCATGTTAAGTAAGGAAAACAAAGAAAGCTATATATATGTACGTGTCCACCAGCCAGCTGACAGTAACACTTTCTGTACTGACTCCCAGGATAAAGGACATATTGTCTTAATTACACATTCACATACAAATACTAGGTGTAGGCCTTAATGTAGATACTGTGGCAGATGCTAGGAAGTAGAAAACTGTTCCTTCCTTCAAGGAGTTTATGAAGTTAATTGGGAGATTGAAAACTCAGCACCCCAATTCACTCTGCAGAAAGCAAAAAAAATAAAACTGAAAGCTGAGTCATGCAAGAAGCAGCCTTTCCTTTTGTTCCTAAGCAGAGAGTTACAGAGAAAAAGCTAACAACCTCCACAGGTAGCTACTGCATGTTCACCTTATCTTACGTACGGTGCCAATTTACTGAGTATCAGATGAACACATAATTGACCGTGCCCCTACCTGCTCCTTTTCCTTGCAACATATGGATCACCACACCCTCCTCTTTCCTCTCCATCCCACTTTTCCCTTTTAAATATTGAAGCCTTCAAAATCATCTTTGGAGAAAGACATAGACCATAGACTGTTTCTGTGATTCCATGTTATTTTCTCCGGGCATTTCCTTAACCTTGGCAAAATAAACTTCTAAATTGATTGAGACCTTTCCCAGACACTTTTTGATTTACGAACCTAAATAGTATATCTAGAAAGTTAAAAATATATATAAGCACTTTTAAAAATAGTTGAACAGTTTGGCAGTTCCTCAAAAAGTAACAAGGAGGCCAGGCATGGTGGCTCACACCTGTAATCCCAGCACTTTGGGAGGCCGAGGCGGGTGGATTGCCTGAGCTCGAGAGTTCGAGACCAGCCTGGCCAACATGGTGAAACCCCGTCTCTACTAAAAATACAAAAAATTAGCCGGGCATGGTGGCGGGCGCCTGTAGTCCCAGCCACTTGGGAGGCTGAGGCAGGAGAATCGCTTGAACTCGGGAGGTGGAGGTTGCGGTGAGCCGATATCATGCCACTGCACTCCAACCTGGGTGACAGAGTGAGACTCTGTCTCAAAAAAAAAAAAAAAAGTAACATGGAATAACCATTTGATCCAACAATTCCATTTTTAGGTATTTACTTAAAATCAATGAAAACATATGTCCACACAACAACTTGTACACGAGTGTTCACAGCAGTACTGTTCACAATTGCCAAAAGGCAGAAACAAGCCAGATGTCTATCAGCCAAGGCATGGATAAACAGAATGTGGTATACCCAAAAAAACAGAGTATTACTCAGTAGGATATTATTCATTCAAAGGAATAAAATATTGTAGTATAATAAGAAATAATGCAATAGTACAGTAGGGGGATTCTAGTTAATAATACTTTATTGTGTATTTCAAAATAGCTAGGAGACATTTGTAATATTCCAACATAAAGAAAAGATTAATGAAGTTGGGCGCAGTGGCTCATGCCTATAATTCCAGCACTTTTGTAGGCTGAGGTGAGAGGATCACTTGTAGCTAGGAGTTTGAGACTAGCCTGGGCAACATAGCAAGACCCCGTCTATACAGATAATAAAAAAATTACCTGGGTGTGGTGATGAATGCCTGCAATCCCAGCTACTCAGGAGGCTGAGGTAGGAGGATTGCTTGAGCCGAGAAGGTCGAGGCTGCAGTGAGCTGTGATTGTGCCACTGCACTCCAGCCTGGGAGGCAGAGCGATACCCTGTCTCAAAAGAAAACAAAAAAGGAAAAGAAAAGATGTATGTTTGAGGTGATGGCTAGCCCAATTACCCTGAGTTGATCATTACACATTGTATAAAGTATTAAAATATCACAGATACCCCCAAAATATGTATAACTAATATATACATAATTTTTTAGGCTGGGCGCGGTGACTTACACCTGTAATCCCAGCACTTTGGAAGGCTGAGACAGGCAGATCACCTGAGGTCAGAAGTTCGAGACCAGCCTGCCCAACATGGTGAAACCCCATCTCTTCTAAAAATACAAAAATTAGCTGGGCGTGGTGGCGCACACCTGTAATCCCAGCTACTCAGGAGGCTGAGGCAGGAGAATCTCTTGAATCCAGGAAGCGGAGGTTGTGGTGAGCTGAGATTGCTCCACTGCACTCCAGCCTGGGCCACAGAGTGAGATTCCATCTCAAAAAAACAAAACAAAAAAAAACCCAAAAAAACCATATATATATAATTTTTTAAATATAGAAGATAAAAATTAACATAATGAAAATAAAATAAAATAACCAAAAAAAGATGGGATAAATCAAAATTTCCCTTTGCTAAAAAAAAAAAAAAAAAAAAAAAAAAAAAAAGCCGGGCATGGTGGCTCACGCCTATAATCCCAGCACTTTGGGAGGCCAAGGCAGGTGGATCATGAGGTCGGGAGTTCGAGACCAGCCTGACCAATATGATGAAACCCCATCTCTACGAAAAGTACAAAAATTAGCTGGGTGTGGTGGTGCGTGCCTGTAATCCCAGCTACTCAGTAGGCTGAGGCAGGAGAATTGCTTGGACCCTGGAGGCAGAGGTTGCAGTGAGCTGAGATCGTGCCATTGCACTCCAGCCTGGGCAACAGAGTGAGAGCAAGACTCCGTCTCAAAAAAAAAAAAGAAAAAAAGAAAATATATTTGGTCTTTGTTTCTGCTTCCTGGCACAGAGCTCCTGAAACTCTTGTGATGGGGGATTGGAGTGTCTTTTGTTGTTCACAATGAGCTTCTTTCAACTGTACCTGAGTTTATACTAACGAGATGCCTCTTGCTGGTGGGAGGTGGTGTTGATAGCTTCACCGTGGAAGCTAGTTGCCAACCCTTGATTACAGGGTTTCGCCCTCACCTCCCACCTCCAACCTCCAGGGAGGGGAGAAGGCCTGGAGATCTAATTCCCAACCACCAACGGCCAACGATTTAATCAACCATGCCCATGTAATGAAACCTCCATAAAACCCCTAAACGACAGGGCTCAGAGAACTTTTGGGTTGGTGAACACATTGAAGTGCTGGGAGGATGGTGCCCTGGAGAGGGCAGGGAAGCTCCACCCTCATGAATATGGGTTTCTGCTTGGAATGGTCAAAATGTTTAGGAATTAAATAGTGGCGGTGATTGCATGACTTTGTGAACACACTAAAAACCACTGAACTGTACACTTAAAAAAATTTTTTTAAAGGCAAGAGGAAAGAGTATGACACAGTTCTATATGAAAGATTATCCCCCCACTCTCCACATAGAGCAATCTCTTGTGAAGAAGGCACTGTACTGACAGACAGTAGAAATTATAGCTTCCAGTTTACTGACAGTGACTCCCAAGTAAGAGTGGCTATTTTCAGGCTATTGCCTTTGCTTAGCGCAATACAAAAATCAAGTATTTCTGTCTTAATCACATAGCAAATCCTTTCCAATTCCCAACGGCCGCTTTCCTCTTCGTCTTATATCACTGGTTGCAGGAAATCATTTGTTATTTTAGACTTAAAAAAATATATATATAAGAGATGGCTGGGCACGATAGCTCACACCTGTAATCCTAACATTTTGGGAGGCCAAGGTGGGCAGATTGCTTCAACCCAGATGTTCAAGATGAGCCTGGCCAACATGGTGAAACCCCATCTCTACGAAAAATACAAAAACTAGCCAGGTTGGCCGGGTGCGGTGGCTCACGCCTGTAATCCCAGCACTTTGGGAGGCCGAGGTGGGCAGATCACAAGGTCAGGAGATCGAGACCATCCTGGCTAACACAGTGAAACCCCGTCTCTACTAAAAATACAAAAATTAGCCGGGTGTGGTGGCGGGCGCCTGTAGTCCCAGCTGCTGGGGGGCCTGAGGTGGGAGAATGGTATGAACCCGGGAGGCAGAGCTTGCAGTGAGCCGAGATCACACCACTGCGCTCCAGCCTGGGTGACAGAGCGAGACTCCATCTCAAAAAAAACACAACTAGCCAGGCGTGGTGGCATGAGCCCGTAGTCCCAGCTACTTGGAAGGCTGAGGCAGGAGGATTGCATGAGCCTGGGAGGTCAAGGCTGCAGTGAGCCAAGATGGTGTGGGGAGGGGGAGGAAGAGAGTGATCTCATGGAACTGGGAAGAATGAAACAGGAAAGGAGGAAAAATCATCATAAAGGCATCTTCTCAAATTGTTCACTGTGGGCAACTGGCACTCTATGTCTCTGGGGCCTTCTGGGGAGCCATGCAGAATGACCTCAGAATGATCCACCTGAGGTAAGGAAGGACTGGTTCCTGCCCCCACTGGTCAAGGTTTGCCCCATGGACATGCTTGCATGGGTGAGTGGTGGGTTTCACAGGCATTCCCCAACTCAGTCTTCAAGTTCTGGGACAGAACGCAAGAATTATGCTCAAGAAATGTCCATCAACGATAGACTGGATTAAGAAAATGTGGCACATATACACCATGGAATACTATGCAGCCATAAAAAAGGATGAGTTCATGTCCTTTGTAGGGACATGGATGAAGCTGGAAACCATCATTCTCAGCAAACTCTCACAAGGACAAAAAACCAAACACCGCATGTTCTCACTCATAGGTGGGAATTGAACAATGAGAACACTTGGACACAGGAAGGGGAACATCACACACCAGGGCCTGTTGTGGGGTGGGGGGAGGGGGGAGGGATAGCATTAGGAGACATACCTAATGTAAATGATGAGTTAATGGGTGCAGCACACCAACATGGCACATGTATACATATGTAACAAACCTGCACATTGTGCACATGTACCCTAGAACTTAAATAAAAAAAAAAAAAAAGAAAGAAAAGTTGGTGGCCAGCCAGGTGCAGTGGCTCATGCCTGTAATCCCAGCACTTTGGGAGGCCGAGGCGGGTGGATCACCTGAGGTCAGGAGTTCGAGACCAGCCTGACCAACATGGTGCAACCGTGTCCACTAAAAATACAAAACTTAGCCGGGCATGGTGGTGGGCGCCTGTAGTCCCAGCTACTCAGGAGGCTGAGGCAGGAGAATTGCTTGAACCTGGGAGGCAGAGGTTGCAGTGAGCCAAGATTGAGCCACTGCACTCCAACCTGGGCAACAGAAAGAGACTCCATCTCAAAAAAAAAAAAAAGAAAGAAAGAAAGAAAAAAAAGAAAAGTCGGTTGCCTCAACAGTGGCTGGAGTGAAAGGTTAATTTTAATAACTTTGATGGTTTAAAAATTTTTAATAATTTAAGAAACATTATAGACAATGAATGCTAAGAGATGAATGAAAGAAAGGAATCACTCTAGGCTGGGGAGGTAGGGCATCATAAATGAGGTAAAACTTAGATTTGCAATATTAACCTAGCTCTATGTGGTAGTTGCCCAGTTTAATTCTCATATTTATTTAAATATATGTTGCTTATGCACTGCTTACAATTTTTGTAATTACCACTTTTCCTTCCATAACAAGGAAACTAAAAACATGTAAATATAAAAGAAATTAACCCAGGAAAGGACAGTCTCTTCAACAAATGGTGCTGGGGAAACTGGATACCTACAAGAAGGGAATGAAGTTGAACTCTTACCTTACTGCATTTACAAAAATTAGCCCAAAATAGATCAAAGACCTAAAACTGTAAATGTAAGCATTACAACTCTTAGAAACTCTTGGAAGAATTAGCGTAACATTTTTATGACATTGGGTTTGGTAATGATTTCTTGCATATGACACCAAAAGCACAGGAAAGGAAACAAAAAGCAGGGCCAGGCGTGGTGGCTCACGCCTGTAATACCAGCACTTTGGGAGGCCGAGGAGGGTGGATCACGAGGTCAGGAGTTCGAGACCAGCCTGGCCAACATAGTGAAACCCCGTCTCTACTAAAAATACAAAAAAATTAGCCAGGCATGGTGGTGGGTGCCTGTAATCCCAGCTACTCGGGAGGCTGAGGCAGAAGAATCGCTTGAACCTGGGAGGTGGAGGTTGCAGTGAGCCGAGATGGTGGCACTACACTCCAGCCGGGTGACAGTGCGAGACTCCATCTCAAAAAAAAAAAAAAAGATAAATTGGACTTCATCAAAATTGGAAACTTTATGCATCAAAGTATGCTATCAACAGAGTGGAAAGGCAACCCATAGAATGGGGGAAAATATTTGCAAGCCATATACCTGATAAGGGAATAATGGAAATAATATCCAGAATATGTAAAGAACTCCTACAACTTAACAGCAAAAAACAAAACAAAACAAAACAAAAAAAACCCACACACAGAAAACAAAAAACCTCATTCAAAAATGAGTAATGAACAGCTATTTCTACATAAAAATGTCTACCATAAAGAAAATATACAGCTGGCTAACAAACACATAAAAGATGCTCAACATCACTAGTCAATAGAGAAATGCAAATTTAAAACACAATGAAATACCACTTTATAATCATTAGGACGGCTATTTTTTTTTAAAAAAAACACAACACAAAATCAAAAGCTGGTAAAGATGTATAGAAACTAGAACACTTGTGCATTGCTGGTAAGAATGTAAAATGGTGCAGCTGCTATGGAAAGCTGTTTTGCAGTTCCTTAAAAGATTAAACATAGAATTACTATTTCATCCAGCAGTTTTACTCCTAGGTATGTACCCCCAAAGAATCGAAAACAGGGACTGAAACAGATACCTATACACCATGTTCATAGCAGCATTTCATCCACAATGTGTAGCAGCAGTCAAAAGTTAAAAACAACCCAAATGTCCATCAATAGGTGAATGGATAAACAAAATGTGATAAACATTTATAATAGAATATGATTCAGCCTTAAAAAGCAATGAAGCTTTGATACATGCTACATGAATAAACCTTGAAAACATTATGCTAAGTGAAATAAGCCAGCAAGATATTTCACAAAGGACAAATATCGCATGGTTCCACTTATCTGAGGTAGAATAGGCAAATTCATAGGGAAAGGAAATGAGAGGTTACCAGGGCTGGGGGTGACTCTTTAATGGGTACAGAGTTTCTATTTAGGGTCATGATAAAGTTTTGGACAGAGATATTGGTAATGGCTGCATAACACTGTGAATGTACTTAGTGCCACTAACTTGTATACTTAAAAATGGTTAAAACGGGCCAGGTGCGGTGGCTCATGCCTGTAATCCCAGCACTTTGGGAGGCCGAAGTGGGCATATCACTTGAGGCCAGGAGTTTGAGACCAGCCTGGCCAAAATGATAAAACCCTATCTCTGCCAGAAAATACAAAAATTAGCCAGGCATGATGGCGCATGCCTCTGGAATCCTAGCTACTTGGGTGACTGAGGCAGGAGAATCACTTGAACCCAGGAGGTGGAGGTTGCAGTGTGTTGAGATCCTGCTACTGCACTCCAGCCTGGACAACAGAACGAGACTCTGTCTCAAAAAACAAAAAACAAAACAAAATAAAAATGGTTAAAATGTCCAGGCATTATGGTATACATCTGTAATCCCAGCTACTCAGTAGGCTGAGGCAGGAGGATTGGTTGAGCCCAGGAGTTTGAGTTCAGCCTGGGCAACATAGTAAGACCCTATCTGTAATAAAAAACAAAAACAAAAATAAAACCTTTTTTTAAAGGTAAATGTTGATATGGATGTTTTGCCACAATAAGGAAGGAAGGAGGGAAGGAAGGACAGAAGGAGGAGAGGGAAGGAAGAAAGGAAGGAAGAAAGAAGAAAGGAAGGAACGAAAGAAGGAAGGAGGGAGAGAGGGAGGGAAGGAAGGAAAAAAGGAGGTAAGGAAGGAAAACAGTACTTAAAATACTCCAAAGGGACCTCTTCAGCAGCATCCAGGGCAACCTGTATCATCTTAATTGTATTAAGGCAATGTTTAAGGGCCTTTGGAAAAGGAAACAAGGTGGATTTATGAGCGGGACAGGTAATTGTGATGTGTGCATTACATAGGGCATTTCTAGCTTGGGCACCTGGTAGTCATAATGCCTTGAGAAAGTGGTTTCAGGTTGACAGTTGGCTGGGGTTACTCTGAAATCAAACCCCTACAAGGTTTAGCTTTCCTCTTGGTTTGTCTGTTTGGCTTCTCTTTCACTGTTGTGAGCCAAGGCCGAGGCCAGATCACCATCTGGCAGCCAAGGATGCAAGAGGGACTTGGATCCATGATCACAGCATGTCTTCAGCTCCTGTCCCAGGCTACTAGAGTCCACACACTGATCCACGCCCGTTGTCATCTTTGCTTTCTTGTTTTTGTTGTTGTTTTTGAGATGGAGTCTCTCTCTGTCTCCCAGGCTGGAGTACAGTGGCATGATCTCAGCTCACTGCAACCTCCACCCGCCAGGTTCAAGCGATTCTCCTCCCTCAGCCTTCCAAGTAGCTGGGATTACAGGCATGCACCACCACGCCTGGCTAATTTTTTTGTATTTTTAGTAGAGATGGGGTTTCACCATGTTGGCCAGGCTGGTCTTGAACTCCTGACCTCAAATGATTCATCCACCTCAGCCTCCCAAAGTGCTGGGATTTCAGGTGTCAGCCACTGTGCCTGGCCCGTCTTTGCTTTCCAAACTCTAGTCTTGGAGCACTTTGAGGCATTTTTCTCCAGAGGCGCTGAATGGGGTTTCAAGAATTGTTTTCTGGGTTCTTCCTGTTTAGCACCTGCTATTGTGATTACACTCACAACAAAGTCACAACAAATGGTTTTTCCTTCCAGTTTATTTTGGCCATGGCATGCAACTACCTTCAGTTAGTTCGCAGCCCTGAGTGAACCCAAGGGCTTGCTCCACGCTGTTTCTCATTCTTCCTCACTCAGAGTACCCCTGCAGGACCCAAGAAGTGCCTGTCCCCTCAGACACCACATATCAACGCTTGTCGCTTATGGCAGGCTCGCCTGCACTTGGCACTATTTCCCCTGAGAACTTCCTGCTTGTTCTTCTTCTTCTTTTTCATGGTTCTTCAAGGCTGTGTCTTTCTCTGGTTGCATACTTTGGGGAAAAATTGCCATCTCTCTTTCCAAGGCTTACAACTGGGCAAGATCTCAGATTTATTACCATTTTTGGAGAATTATATATCCATAAGCAAGTTTGAGAAAGGCTCTCTTAAAAATGTCCCCTTGCCAAAATTTAATTTTGAAGTCTGTCCTCATGAAGCGTTTTTAAAAATTGAGATTAAAAAACACATAACATTTACCATCTTAACCATTTTTAAGTGGCTCATGCCTGTAATCCCAGCACTTTAGGAGGCCGAGGCGGGCGAATCACCTGAGGTCAGGATTTCGAGACCAGCCTGGCCAACATGGTGAAACCCCATCTCTACTAAAAATACAACAATTAGCCGGGTGTGGTGGCAATCCCAGCTACTCGGGAGACTGAGGCAGGAGAATCGCTTGAACCAGTGAGCCGAGATCATGCCATTGCACTCCAGCCTTAGGGACAAGAGCAAGACTTCGTCTCAAAAAACAAAAAACAAACAAACAAAAAAAGAATCTTAGTGGTAGCAAAACTGAAAATTGCTTGGGATTCCCACTCCCTCTTCCTCTTTGCAGCCATCCCATTCTATTTCACCTTCCTCCTACGCATTTTTCAAGCTCCAGCCTCCTACTGACCAATTGCTAGGAACTGTCAAAGTAGGCACATTTCAAATGCAAATACAGTGCATTCTCTGAACATAACACAGGAATGGAAACCTGTAAACAACACAGGAATGGAAACCTGTAAACCTCATGGTAAGAAAATAGTCCCTCCCATCCCCTTTACACGGAGCCATCACATGTCCCAGAGGAAGGAAACTGTACCTGCAGGAGTGTAACAGAATCGTCAAGAGCACACGGAATCGGTCTTGATTCTGTGACAGAGTGAATGAAGACTGTGATGACATATATAAAAATCACACATTTTCCAAGCTAGAACTTAAAAAAAAAAAGGTTAGAGCATCTTCGTATACTTAACTGACAATCATCTTTAATTACTGTGACTAAATGAGAGTCCTGCCACTATCCCATCTGTGTGAGCTGAACCTCTTCCCAGACGTGTTAGTCCTGCTACGCTTACGCTGTGGGCTGGAGGATTCCGAAGAGTTTACCCCACCCAAACCTGTGAAGATGGCGTTCTATCAAATAGGTATGGTCTGAGTTCCAGGCCATTTATTTGTATTCTTCTTCTTATTATTATTATTTTAGAGACCTGGTCTCGTTCTATTGCCCAGGCTGGAGGGCAAAGGCATGATTATAGCTCACTTGCAGCCTTGATCTCCTGGGCTCCAGTGATCCTCCTGCCTCAGCCTCCCATGTAGCTGGGACTACAGGCATGCACCACCACACCTGGCTAATTTATTTTATTTTTTGTAGAGAAAGGGGGTCTCACTATGTCACTCAGGCTGGTTTTGAACTCTTGGCCTCAAGCGATCCTCCCACCTCGGCCTCTCAAAGCGCTGGGATTACAGGATGTGCCACCACGCCCGACTATTTGCATTCTTAGTGTGTGCATGGTTCAAGGTTGTATTGGATACTAGATTCCTCCCCTGGCTTCCCAGCATAACAGTATATCTTTGAAAAGTGGCCGTGCTTCTGAGAATACTCAGAATGCAAGGAGAGGAGCGGGAACTGATCCCCAAGTTCAGAGCCCCATCTTTAGTTGCTGTGCCAACAATGGAAGTATTATTCTCATCCCTCCCTTAGCAGGACCCATTGTTCTCTGGTTACAACAGAAGTGAGATAAACAGCAGCTGCAAGGACCCGACCCTTCCTCCCTCCAGGCCCAGGCACTGAACGTGAGAAGCCTGGCATTATTACCACACAGGCTTCTGACAGTTCTTGAAGGACAGAGTTGATGAGGATGGGGGCATGAGATTCACTTTTTACAGACAAAATGTCGTCTGTAAGGATAACAGGAGAAGGCGGAGACGTTGCAACAACTCTTTTCCCTAACCATTTCCTGTATTCTGGCATATCAAATAACTAGAGAAACAACATGATATGTGACATAGTGAGACCCCATTCTGTAAAAAAATAAAATAAAATTTTTATATTATATATATGTGTTTGCATTTGCCAAGCCTTTGAGTCAATTTTCAGGTTTTTTCCATTTTTTTCTTGTCTTGATTTTTGTGGTTCTTCCATGTGCCTTGAGCCTTCAGATTCCCTACGATATACAGCCGATTCTCATTTTCCATAAGGTTACTGTGAATACTGAAACATTGCTCCTAGGGGCAACACAGGGTGAGGTTCCTGTGAGCCTCCGATCACATTTTTCTTTTTTTTATTTTTATTTTTTGAGACGGAGTCTCGCTCTGTTGCCCAGGCTGCAGTGCAGTGGCGCGATCTCGGCTCACTGCGACCTCCGCCTCCCGGGTTCACGCCATTCTCCTGCCTCAGCCTCCCGAGTAGCTGGGACTACAGGTGCCCACCACCAAGCCCGGCTAATTTTTGTATTTTTAGTAGAGACAGGGTTTCACCGTGTTAGCCAGGATGGTCTCGATCTCCAGACCTCGTGATCTGCCTGCCTCAGCCTCCCAAAGTGCTGGGATTACAGGCGTGAGCCACTGTGCCCGGCCTCTGATCACATTTTTCATCAACCAATCAATTATGTGTGTTTGTGTTTAAAGATACTTATTATATATTGTTGATTCATTAACATTAGATCTATGGCCAACAGCACTGTCACTCACGCCTGAATGAAGCTCATTTAACACACATATTTTCTCCGTAAGGCATATTACAGCTTTCTTGCACTTAGGAACAGTAGACAGCACTTCAGCACTATGCTTGGGGACTATTTTTTAAAGAGCAAAATCACCAAAAAAAGCACAAAAATGTCAAAACATAACATTACATGTACTGCAAATAGGAAGGACACCGCATTACCGTGGAGAGCTAAAACAAGAAGGCAGGGCCTGGCTTTGTTTGACTGCGGCAGGAATGTGCATCACCTTGGTTTGAGTGACTCAAACTTTTCACTTCTCTGCACATGTCTGTGAACGACTGAAGGTACTGCAAGGATGGATTTGGGGGTTCCAAATAAATTTCAGAGAGTAGCAAATTCCCAATATGAAATCCAGGAATAACGAGGATTGATTGTAACCATGCACATTCAAGAATGAAAATATTTTGTGGGTGAAATCTTGCAGTGGAATCAGAAGTCAAGAACACATGTTTCTATCAACTCTCAGAACATGGGGAACTCTATTCTAAGGGCACTTGGGGATCTGTTGGCCTTCCCATACAAGAGTGACACTGTCACGTTCCCTGACTCCACTGCCAGTAGGACATGAACTGGGAAGTGCGTTTTCCATTCCTGGAGACTATTAGCTCTAAGGTAGTTAATCTCAAGGTGTGGTTCTGGATGGACTGACACCTTCTTAGAAATGTAAAGTGTCTGGTTCCACTCCGGACCTACAGGACCAGAAACTCAGAGGTGGGGTCTTCTGTGTTTTAAAAGGCCAGGAGATTCTGCTTCGTGCTCAAGTTAGAGAACAGTGCTCTAAGCCACCCAACTCATCCGGCCCCTCTAGTGGCTAACGGCCTGTAGGATGCCTGATTGATTTTCCTTTGGTGTGGAAAGAGCCAGGCCTTGACAGATGAATCCCACTTCTGCCTTTTATAATGGAGAGAACTTGTTACTTAAATACTCTGACCCTCCAGTTTCCTTATGTATAAAAATGTGGAGATTAAAAGAAACCATGAAGGAGGAAGTGTCTAGTTCACAAAAGGACCTCAGTAAATGTCAGCATTCTTTGTCTTCCTTTCTTTTATTATTCCTTCCTGAATAAGACATGAAGGGTGAAGAAAAAAATCCTAGAGAGAGAGTTTTCTTTCCTTAGCAGAGAGCTCAGGTTTTTATCTCAGAGGAAACAATCATCATCATTTCTCATTTTCATCATTGTCTCTCTCTCCCCCTTCTCACTCCCTTTCTCTCTCTGCAAGGAAAGCTGGTACTCTGGTCTCAACGTAGCTACAGGAGGAAAAGCACACTAAAGTCATTCAAAAAGAATGCAGAATATTTGAGAGTTCTTACACTTTAATATACAATTAAAAGCAAGTCCTCTGAACTCATTACCTTCTGCCTATTTTCCTTCTACCTTCACATAGCAACTTTTTTTTTTTTTTTTTTTTGAGACGGAGTCTCACTGTGTCACCCAGGCTGGAGCGCAGTAGCGTGATCTCGGCTCACTGCAGCCTCTGCCTCCTGGATTCAAGTGATTCTTCTGCCTCAGCCTCCTGAGCAGCTGGGATTACAGGCGCCCACCTCCATGCCCAGCTAATTTTTATATTTTTAGTAGAGACGGAGTTTCACCATGTTGGTCAGGCTGGTCTTGAACTCTTGACCTCAGGTGATCCACCCACCTTGGCCTCCCAAAGTGCTAGGATTACAGGTGTGAGCCACCACTCCCAGCCCACATAGCAACATTTTTTTAAAAAATCATTGTTTAAATTATCGAAATGGGGCCTCACTCTGTCACCCAGGCTGGAGTGCAGTCCCATAACCAGAGCTCACTGCAGCCTCAAATTCCTGGGCTCCAGCAGTCTTCCTGCCTGAGCCTCCCACGTAGCTAGGACTACAGACATGTGTCACCACACCTGGCTAATTTTATTTATTTATTTATTTATTTGAGACAGGGTCTTGCTCTGTCACCCAGGCTGAAGTGCAGTGGTACAATCATAGCTCACTGTAGCCTCGAACTCCTAGGCTCAAGCAATCCTGCCTTCTCAGCCTCCCAAGTATCTGGGACTACAGACATGTGCCACCATGCCTGGCTAATTTTTTTATTTTTTGTAGAGACAGTCTCACCAGCCCAGGCTGGTCTTAAACTCCTGGCCTCAAGTGATCCTCCCTCCTTAGCCTCCCAAAGTGCTGGGATTATAGGCGTGAGGCACTAGGTGCCCATCCCACATAGCAACTTCTGTGCTCTTTTAGCCTGAGGAACTAAGAATTCCTTTCAGTTGGCTTACTAGGGCCTTAAAGACTTAATTTGAAAAATGGGTGATTACAGTATACTACCACCCATTCCTCCAGCTCTCCCTGGTTGTTGCTGAAGGAGAATTCAGGTCTCAATTTACCAGCCCTTTATCTTGAGCCATGCAGTCAATTAAAATCAAAATTGAGGCCAGGGAGTTGTGTTCAGAGATTGTAATTCTGTGTACTGGAAGGATCTTTTCTTTGAAATTGACTATTCCGGCTCCTCCCTATGTTTGTAGTTCTTTGGCTGCATGCACTAACTGTCTTCCTGACTTTCTCTGCTGGAGTCAACCTTGCAGACCTGCTATTACTACCAGTGTGTAAAGTTGTGTTAGAAATGCTTGTTCCCTGGTGCTGTAAAGAAATAGCACTTAACATAAATTTAATTTTCTCAGCAAGGCCATTTTCACTTTCTGCAGAAAGGGTACACTCGCCAGCAGTTTTGCCACGAGAGTACACTGAACAAAGGAGACAGGGTCATTTATAATCTGATGCGTCCACCCTACTGCTGTGTCGGTTTCCATTGGCTGGAACAGGACCTCACATTCTGTATTTGTCCCAGTTGGCTAGCAACTTAGAACTTTTTAAGAGAGGCAAAGGCAGAAGAGGACAAAGGAAGGAGGAAGTAACTTGTGGAATGCTGAGAAAGGTAAAAACACCTTCAAATAAGGAAGAAGAACAGGCTATGACCTAATGCTTGCTTGGACCAGTAGAAGCATGGCAGGGCAAATATTTAGGCTAAATTGTGGGAACTAAGAACATAAAGTACATTGATTTCTTTATTATGGCTAGAGATATTTAAGAATATTAACACAGGTCTTTGAATAAATTTTGCTTCTAAGAGAAGTTACTATTTATTCCTAATTAGATGGGGAGGAAAGTCTTTGAAGAGGAACCTCTACTTTGCTTTTTACAATTGTTTCTTCTAATCTCAACTAGTTTCCCCTGAGGATTGGTAATGTCCAGTAGTGGCTAACCAACATTTACAAAGAGGAAGAGAGGGCTGTAACTTTGGAATTTTAATGGTAAAAACCAAAGGGATTTTAATGGTAAAAACCAATTGCCCTGTTCTAAGCCAGGGAAATTCCTTAACACAGGTTTCAAGATACCTCACCAGCTTTCCCCAGCCTTCCTCTCGCTCCAGCCCACCTTAATTTTTTTTATACTTCAGCTTAGACTGCTTCAGCTAGACAAACCTGATTGCCATTTCCTTTCCCATGCAACTTCCTTCTCTGAAAAATAGAGCTGGAGGAAGTTGAGACGCAGAAAAGAGAAACAAGTTACCCACACCACATTTTGGTCCAGGTTTCCTTCTCCAGCATCACACTTCTATTCCTACTTGAAAAAAGAAAAATAGCTCAGAGGGGTCTCTAAGTCACCCTCCCCACAACCACCTATATCCCCCAAACCCCACCTCCATGCCCCGGATGCAATTGTTTAAAGGGATTTTGTTCTTTATTTTCTTCCCTATAGTTTCCTGACTAGCTGCCTCACCCATTATCTTCATGTTCCTGGGATGTGTGATACAAATAACAATGTATAGCCAATCAATATCTTAGGTTATTTTTATGTAAATTCTTGGTAAATAGTTTAGGAACTGCCTTTTTCTTTTCCTTTAAAAGAAGGAAAAGGCTACTACCACTTGTACCTGTTAGAAGAAATAAAGTTCCAGAAAAAGAAAAGAAAAAAGAAAAACCCACTTGTAGGCAGGTGCAGTGACTCCCACCTGTATTCCCAGCACTTTGGGAGGCTGAGGGGGGTGGACCACTTGAGCCTAGGAGTTTGAGACCAGCCTGGGTGACATGGTGAAAGCCCCATCTCTATCAAAAATACAAAACTTAGCCAGTCTCATAACCCAGTCAATAAATAAATAACTAGATTAAAAAAAAAACACAACTGCTGCTACTGGGAGGATAGATTCAGGGCAACTTGAATCTATGCTTCTGGGTTGCAGTCCTCAAACTTGGCCCAGGTAAACTCTCCACTCAGAATGTATTTTCCTTTAGGTCGATATAGCTGGCGTAAGTCAGCAGGATTCAGAGTGAATCCCCCACAGCAACCACCCATTGTTTTTCTCTGAAGGCAGTGGTTGGTACTAGCACAAACCCATTGCGTTCTCCATCTTCAGAAGTCTCATTGGTGTTGCGGGTGAGTTCTCCTGAATCCAGACTCCCGTTTCTTTGGTGGAGGTCTAGACTTTGAGCGGTTTCTCTTTGACTCTCTCTGAATGAGGGTTCTGTCTCTGACTTTCCTGTTTAAGTCAGGAGATCAGGATATTTTTCTGGCAACTCACAGGTCTGGAGTTAGCAGTTTGCTTCCATTTTCGGCCAAGACATTGTTACATCATGACCTTTCATTTTGGAAATCAAACTTTTATGCATGACCAACCTCTCTTAGATTCCCTTTTTCTAATATATGAGAGTGGATTCTTCACTCCAAAGATAAAAGGCACTCGCTCCCTCCAGCCCGTTAGGGCACCCTAAACAATTAGCGACTTGCTGGGGGTATTGGGACTTTCGTGCCTTAAAAGGTTTCCTCTCTCAGGAGAACATCCGTAATCTCTCTCACTCTGCCAACAAGTGCACATAAAGGCTGGCCACTTAGCACTCGTGAGGACTTTGTGACCCTCTGGGGATCAATGTTTCTGAGACACATAAAAACGTGGACACAACTCAGTAGTGACACACTAAGGAGTCACACTCACAAGCAGCACATTTTGACCCAAAACACAGCCCAGAACTTGGCTGTGAGTGATTCAGGCCTCTAAATTATGGGTAACAAACCTATTCAAGTCTGAAGACTCTCTAACGACGCAGCCTCCCTTGGAAACATCGGCTGATATTCTGTATAACACTTACGGAGCTTTGTCTTGCAGACATTTGAACAAATGGGCCCACAGGACTTCAGATGACCCTAAATTACAATAGCCAAAACGGAGGTCCTTTGATAGATCAGAAAAAAAAAAAAAAGCTATTTTAGAACCAAACAGAATGGGAGACCTACTTTCTACTTGTCCTGGCTGAAATCTGATAAAAGATTTGAAAAGATTTTTTTAAAGAGCTCTATGGTTAGAAATCAGCTTAATTAAAAGCTGATATTCAGGGCATAATTTTTATTGACAAAAAGGGCCTTTCTGCTTTTTCTCCCTGGGATCCCGTTTCTGGGAATTCTTTTTCAGTCAACTGAAACTCCTTTTGAAAAAAAAAAGTTTAATCTCTCCATTTGCTTCCTTTCTTGTTGGCATGATTTTGCTGAGAAAAACGTAAAACTTCATTGGTCTTTCAGAAAATTTAAAATCTTTCCAAATTAGCCCCGCTAGGCCTTGTTCTTCCATTTCCTTCCACTTCCGCTCCTCCTTTCTTTGGCCATCTTTGATACCACGTGAAGAAATCTAGAGACTTCTAGCAGAGACTTCTGAGACCTCTTGAGGAACACAGGAAAAGGCACCACACACGCACACGCACACACATGCACGCTCACACACGCAAGCGCACACTCACGCACGCGCACATGCACGCGCATGAATATGCACGCACACGCATGCACATACGCACACAGACACGGACACACACACGGACGCATACACACGCAACCACACACGCACACACGCACGCACACGTGTGCACACACATGCACACACACACACACGCACACACACATGCTCTATTTTGTGGTCTTCTCTTTCTTTTGTGGAGTCCTGAGAATTGTGGGCATACTTTTCTCAGGTCTAAAGCTCTGCTCTCTTTTGCATTGAGTTTCCTGGTCTCTGGCTTTTGGAGTACAAAAGGATTACTTTGTATTGAGAGAGAATTTGACCTTTGTGTGTGCAGTGGCTGGCAAGTGACTGGCAAAAGCTGCAGTTTTAGAAGTAGCTGACAGCAAATGCAGCGAATGGTTATTACTGCAGGGGGCTACTTGTTTCGTTATGTGTTTAGATAAGAAAGGTGAAGTTCGAATGCTTGGAGGTTATGAAAACATTCTCCAACAAGGGGTAAGACCTCCTGTGGGGGATGGGCTGACCACAGAATGGGCTGATGTTGCAAGGAGCACTGTGGAAACATTGTGTGGCCCTGGACCCATGGCATTCTTTCCTCTTTTGGGGACCTGCGATTCAAAGTAAAAGTGGGATTCTTGATTTTTAAAGATCTAGATCACCTTCCCAGCTGTGCCTGCTTTTCACGTGTTTAATTATTAGGCCCTGAGAACAGCAAATACTTTCTTGGCCCTATTTGTTAATGGGCTCCACCCTAAGCTCAGTAATCCAGTTAAGAAATGGAAAACTAAATTTAAAAATCCACCTATCCAACTAGATTAGTCTTCAAAATACAACTTTCTGGCATTTGGCTGGCTACTTTGAAAAGGTTTTGGTTCGGGACAGGCAAGCCCCAAAATCGGGGCTTAGCCCGGGAGGGTTCCCAGCTTTGCCCAGGAAAGAACTCAGCAACTTTTACTGAAGTGGCCGTGTACAGCAGCAGCAGAAGGGCTGCTGCTGTGGAGCAGGGCTGCCCCAGAGTAGCTCAGAGTAGCAGAGTAGCAGCTCAGAGGTGGTTCTGCTCTCATCTTTATACCCACTTTTAATTATATGCAAATTAAGGGGTGGTTTATGTAGAACTTTCTAAGATGAGGGGAGTAACTACTGGGTCCTCCGGTTGTTGCCATGAAAGGGGGCAGTAACGGCTGGGTGTTGCCATGGCGATGGTAAACTGACATGGCACACTGGTGGGTGTGTCTTATGGAAAGCTGCTTCCTCCCTGGACCTGTTTGAGCTAGTCTTCAGTTTGGTCTGGTGTCCAAGCCCCACCTCCAGAGTTGAGTCCTGCCTCCTACCTCAGTTTCTGAATTTTTTTCTAGGCCCATCTATGTATTTCCTTGCACAACTTTCTAGTGAATTCCTATGATTTTGCATTACCTTGACATCCACTTTTAATCTTCCTTTAACACATGTAAACTCCTTCTTGAAAATGCGTACATTCTCTCTCCTTTGAGACGCAATTTGCTTCCCTGTTTTCTCTGAAACTCCATAAGGGCTTGTGAAAACTTTAATCTGTTCCATTTAGAGAGACAGAATTTAATCCAACTGTCCTTTTAAACTAGTGAGTTTTACCTGTCTGATGACAAATTTTAAACTCAAAGCTGTAAAAATCTTTTTTTTTTTTTTTTGAGACAGTCTCGGTCTGTCACCCAGGCTGGAGTACAATGGCATGATTTTGGCTCACTGCAACCTCTGCCTCCCAGGCTCAAGTGATTCTTCTGCCTCAGCCTCCTGAGTACCTGGGACTACAGGTGCGCACCACCATGCCAGGCTAATTTTTGTATCTTTAAAAGAGACAGGTTTTTGCCATGTTGGCCAGGCTGGCCTCAAACGCCTTACCTCAAGTGATCCACCTGCCTTAGTCTCCCAAGGTGTTGGGATTATAGGCGTGAGCCATTGCACACAGCCAAAGCTATAAAAATCTTAATTTGTGTCTGTGTCTATTTTTTTTTTTTTTGAGATGGAGTTTCGCTCTTGTTGCCCAGGCTGGAGTGCAGTGGTGCGACCTCGGCTCATCACAACCTCCGCCTCCCAGGTTCAAGCGATTCTCCTGCTTCAGCCTCCCAAGTAGCTGGGATTACAGGCCTGTGCCACCATGCTCGGCTAATTTTATATTTTTAATAGAGATGGGGTTTCTCTATGTTGGTCAGGCTGGTCTCAACTCCCGACCTCAGATGATCCGCCCGTCTCGTCCTCCCAAAGTGCTGGGATTACAGGCGTCAGCCACCATGTCCAGCAGTGTCTATTTTTTATGTGTATCTGTGTACATGCTGTGTTTTTATATTGTCTACATGATACCAAGTTGACTTATAAATAAGTGAGCACTCATAAACTAAGTAAATAAGCCCAAATGCTTTTCAGGTTCACACGATTTTTAGTAACCTTTGGTAAATAAAACTAGTTTTTAAATTGTTGTTAAAATTAAATTAGAAAGTTTGAAGACTAAATATAGTTCAAACATTTTTACGTGGTCTATTGGTCAAACAGATGTATACCGTCTCTGCTAGATGTTTTAAGATTATAAAACTGTTGCCTCAGCTGAGTGTGGTGGCTCACACCTATAACCCCAGCACTTTGGGAGGCAGAGGTGGATGGATTACTTGATTAGCTGGGTGTGGTGTGGTCGCACACACCTGTGATCCCAGCTACTCAGGAGGCTGAGGCACTAGAATTACTTGAACTCAAGAGGCGGAGATTGCAGTAAGCCAAGATCGTGCCACTGGGCTCCAGCCTGGGCAACAGAGTGAGACTCTGTCTCAAAAAGAAACCCCAAAAAACAACAAAAAAAACCCTGTTGCTTCTGTGATATTTTTGATACCTGCTGAATTTGTCTGTGACCTAAAGTGGTGAGGGCTGGCTGCTGGGCTTCCCCCAATCCTTGCACACATTTTACAGTGAGCTAACATCTTTGGTTTTGAGCCTTTAGGTTCTGGGGTCTAGACAGGTGGCCTTGGTGAGGCCTGAAGACATTGGCATGTCCATAGCACCAAGGACACTAGCTGCAGGGCAGGGCCAAACCCAATATGTCCTCCCTGGCCCAGCTGTGCCTCCTGGGGACATGCTGGGAAGGGTTGGCCTTTTTAGGCATCTTTACATCTTGGTCCTGTCCTGAGCTCTATACCTGGTATGTAAATTCAGGACCCAGATGGTCCCTGCCCTTTATAGCCATTCTGAGTGCCATATGGGTACTTGGGACCCAGGACAACTGAGGAACACATTGGGGAGGGTACTTGTATAATAATTTCAAAATTGCTTTCAGGAATTTAAACTCTTAAAATAATGTTATGTTAAGGCCAATTGCTATGATTTACATCTGTAATCTTAGCACTTTGGGAGGCAAGGAGTTCAAGACCAGCCTGGGCAACATAGTAAGACCCATCTCTAAAAAAGAAAAAAACAATTAGCCAGGCATGGTGGCATGTGCCTGTGGTCTCAGCTACTAAGGAGGCAGGGGTGGGAGGATTGCTTGAGCCTGGGTGGGTGAGGCTGCAGTGAGCTCTGATTGCACCACTGTACTTCAGCCAGTGCAACAGAGTGAGATCCTGTCTCGAATAATAATTGACCTTATTTGTGTAATCTGTTTTTTTTTTTTTTTTTTTTTTGAGACTGAGTCTTGCTCTGTCATCCAGGCTGGAGTGCAGTGGCGTGATCTCGGCTCACTGCAAGCTCCACATCCCAGGTTCACACCATTCTCCTGCCTCAGCCTCCCAAGTAGCTGAGACTACAGGTGCCCGCCACCACGCCCGGCTAATTTTTTGTATTTTTAGTAGAGACGGGATTTCACCGTGTTAGCCAGGATGGTCTCGATCTCCTGACCTCGTGATCCGCCCGCTTAGCCTCCCAAAGTGCTGGGATTCCAGGCGTGAGCCACCATGCCTGGCCGATTGCGTAATATTTTTAATTCTTAAATTGATTATGTCTTATGTTTCTAAGTGTCTAAAATGTGAATCAAAAAGTACCTGAGACAAGTCTCAATCAATTTAGAAAGTTTATTTTGCCAAGGTTAAGGACACACCTGTGACACATGTGCCCAAGGTGTTTGGGATATAGCCTGGTTTTATACATTTTAGGGAAATGTGAGACATCAATCAATATATGTAAGATGTACATTGATTTGGTCTGAAAGTCAGGACAACTCAAAGCAGGCTTCCAGGTCATAGGTAGAGAAGAGACAAACAGTTGCATTCTTTATTTTATTTTATTTTTATTTTTTTGAGACAGTCTCATTCTGTCTCCCAGGCTGAAATGCAGTGGTGAGATCTCGGCTCACTGCAACCTCTGCCTCCTGAGCTCAAGCGATTCTTTTGCCTCAGCCTCCTGAGCTCAAGCGATTCTTTTGCCTCAGCCTCCTGAGTAGCTGGGATTACAGGTGTGTGCCACCACACCCAGCTAATTTTTGTATTTCTAGTAGAGACAAGGTTTCACCATGTTGGCCAGGCTGGTCTCGAACTCCTAATCTCAGGTCATCCCACCCGCCTCGGCCTCCCAAAGTGTTGAGATCACAGGCGTGAGCCACCGCACCCAGCGGGTTGCATTCTTTTGAGTTTCTGATTAGCCTTTCACTGAATACACATTTTACAGGAATAGTCACTTATGCCTTAGTCTAGCTTAGTGAGACAATAGGACAAAGGAAGTAATTAGATATGCCTGCTTTTGTCTCACGTGAGCAGAGGGATGACTGAGTTCCGGCTGTCCTTTGTCCACAAGGAATTTCCCTTTGGGCAAATTGTGACGGATGTATGTGATTTTTTTTCTCTTTGTAGCTATCTTATTTAGGAATAGAACGGGGGTCATGTTTGCCGGATGCAGTTCGCAGCTTGAGTCTTCCCTTTGGACTAGTGACTTTGGGGTCCTGAGGTTTATTTTCCTTTCACAAAAGCCAACAACAAAAAAAACTAATCATGATAGCTAGATGCTTAGAAATGATTCAGCAGGGGTGGGCACGGTGGCTCACACCTGTAATCCCAGCATTTTGGGAGGCCGAGGCGGGCGGATCACCTGAGGTCGGTGAAACCCCGTCTCTACTAAAAATACAAAAAGCTCACCGGGTGTGGTGGCACTTGTCTGTAATCCCAGCTACTCGGGAGGCTGAGGCAGGAGAATTGATTGAATCCGAGAGGTGGAGGTTGCGGTGAACTGAGATCGCACCATTGCACTCCAGCCTGGGCAACAAGAGTGAAACTCCGTCTCAAATAAATAAATAAATAAATAAATAAATAAATAAATAAATAAATAAATAATAAAAAGAAAAAAGAAGTGATTCAACATACCGTGGCTCCTTTGTAAGCAGATGACATGACTGAGGTCTGTTGCTTTGTTACCGGACGGAAGGTCTTGACTGTGAGTTGTCCAGGTTCTTGGGGTTTCAAACAAAGAATTAAACAAAACGCACAAGCAAAACAACAAAAGAACGGAGTAACAAAGGCACAGATTTATTGAAGAAGCAAAAGTACAACTCACAGAGTAAAAGCAGGTGTGAGCAAGCAGCTAGAGACTCCTCAATTAGGGTTTTTATTAAGCTGAAAGAACTTGGCAACACCCCAGGTGCCCTTTAGAGGCCTCCAATTGGTTACACCCTATGAAGGATTGGCCTCAGACCAATCAGAGGCTGAAGTGGAGGCTTGGCCTGCAGTCAATCAGAAGCTGAAGTGGAAACTTCTGTCTTGTTACCACAGAAGTGAAGATGTGGCCTGCACGCTGCACAATCTTGCCTAGAACTGGCTGCACCTGCTGTTCTCTTGCTTATGAGAACTGGCTGCACCTGCTATTCCTTTGCTTCTGCCCCAACCCTTGGCTACCCTAATTCCCTGTTCTCCTCCCTCACCTTTGTGCTGCCTATCAGTTTGGACTTGAGACTTCTCTATGTTCTTGAGCCATAGTACCTGTTTCTTCTTTCCCTTCGATGTGCTTCATGGTGATGTGGGACAGACATCTAAAATGCTGATCCTCAATACTTTTTTTTTTTTTTTTGAGGTGGAGTTTTGTTCTTGTTACCCAGGCTGGACAGCAATGGCACCATCTCTGCTCACCGCAACTTCTGCCTCCCGGGTTCAAGCGATTCTCCTGCCTCAGCCTCCCGAGTAGCTGGGACTACAGGCGCATGCCACCACACCCGGCTACTTTTTTCTATTTTTAGTAGAGACAGGGTTTCGCCATCTTAGCCAGGATCGTCTCGATCTCCCGACTCAGGTGTCCCACCCGCCTCCGCCTCCCAAAGTGCTGGGATTACAGGGCATGAGCCACTGTGCCGGCTGATCATCAATACTTTTAGAAGAGAAAAATTCTGATCGAAAGGGAGAAATGAAAAATAAAAATAGCTAAGAGCAGTCAGAGCTTTGTGAGGTATGCAAAATTTATCTGGCCCAGAGAGAAATGAGTATGGGGCTTCAATCACATGCATGCCCCCACCCATACCCAGGGACAATTATTTGAAGACATTTTGTTCTTTCTTTTCTTTCTTTCTTTTTTTTTTGAGATGGAGTCTGGCTCTGTCGCCCAGGCTGGAGTGCAGTGGCCCAATCCTGGCTCACTGCAAGCTCCACCTCCCAGATTCACACCATTCTCCTGCCTCAGCCTCCTGAGTAGCTGGGACTACAGGCGCCCACCAGCACATTTGGCTAATTTTTTCTATTTTTTAGTAGAGACGGGGTTTCACCGTGTTAGCCAGGATGGTCTCTATCTCCTGACCTCGTGATCCGCCAGCCTCGGCCTCCCAAAGTGCTGGGATTACAGGCATGAACCACTGTGCCCGGCCTGTTCTTTCTTTTCTTCCCTGTAGTTTTCAGACTAGCTGCTTCACCCATTGTCTTCATGTTCCTGGAATTTTTGATACAAAGAAAAATGTATAGCCAATGAATATTTTATGTCATTTGAATGTAATTTCTTGGTAAACAATTTAGGAACTCGTCTATTCTTTTCCTTTAAAAACTTTCTTGTAACTGCTGCTAATCAGAGCATACATTCAGGGCAACTTGAATCTATGCTTCCAAGTTGCAGTGCTTAAACTTGGCCCAAATTAACTCTCTGCTTACATTTTCAGTTTTTCCCCTTTAGATCAGCATACTCCCAAGCCATTATCTTGGGCCCTCTCTTCTATCCCAGACCTTGCCTTTTCCCTTCCACCAGTAAATCAAAAATAAAATTCTAGGGCCCCCTCCAACCATCTGAATGGATCCCTCCTCTTGGCCAAGTGCATTCTAAAGTTAACCTGAAAAACTAGTTCAGGCCATGATGGGAAGCAAGGGTCTGACATTCCTCATATATGCTCTTCCCTTTTGGAATTCAGGAAAAGCTGACCAGCATTAACATTAACACAGATCTTAAGTCTTGTTAGTCTAAAAAGAAACATTTGTAATCTATTCTCTCTGAAGCCTGCTGCTTGGACGATAAAGTCTTGGTCTCCACAACCCCTTATTGTAACCTAGACATTTCTTTCTATTGATAATAACTCTTCAACCAATTGCCAATCAGAAAATGTTAAAATCTACCTATAACCTGGAAGCCCCCTGTTTTGAGATGTCCCACCCTTCCAGATCAAACCGATGTAAATCATACATGTATTGATTGAGGTCTCATATCTCCCTAAAATGTATAAAAGCAAGCTGTATCCTAACCACCTGGGGTGAGACTGTGTCATGGGTGCATTCTTAACCTTGGCAAAATATACTTTTTAAATTGAATGAGATTTTCTTTCTTTTTTTTTTTTTTTTGAGACTGAGTCTCACTCTGTTGCCCAGGCTGGAGTGCAGTGGTGCGATCTCGGCTCACTGCAACCTCCGCCTCCTGGGTTCAAGCAGTTTTCCTGCCTCAGCCTCCTGAGTAGCTGGGATTACAGGTGCGCACCACCATGCCCGGCTAATTTTTGTATTTTTAGTATAGTTTCACCATGTTGGTCAGGCTGGTCTCGAACTCCTGACCTCATGATCCACCCACCTCGGCCTCCCAAAGTGCTGGGATTACAGGCCTGAGCCACTGCGACTGGCTTGAATGAGATTTTCTCAGATACTTTTGGGTTTGCACACCAAAGGCTGTCCTCACACCTTTTGAATCTCTCTTGAAGATTCATCTCCTAAGAAACCAGACCTTGCTAATCCTCGCCTGGCTTTAATCATCTCATTTATTCCAAGATCCACTTTATCCTCCAGGCATAGAATTATAGACCGTAGGATCCCAGAAATTTCTGGCTTAGAAAGTCATTTCGATTTTTACAGATATGGACCACAACTAGCCAAGTGATTAGTCTAAGATCACTACGTGAATGATCTTAACTCACGTAGTTAAGGGACAAAGACAAGTCTAGAACCCAAGTCTTTGAGTCCTTAGCTCAAGATTATTTTCACTACGTGGAGATCTATTATTTGTGCTCCTTTTCTCTATCTGTATTCTTATGTTTTTTCAGGAGACCCATCCTTCTCAATTCTTTTATTGCTGTTACCATCATCTTTAGCATCATAATCAACATCATCACTTCAGCTGTTCCCAGAGCCCCCCTACATGGTGCCAGTGGGTACTCTATAACCATTCCTGATAGCACAGCTTCTTAACCCTTTTTCTCTATGCCAAATGATTACATGTTTATCGCCCTGTAAGTATCAATCGTCTTCAAGACTCAAGGTGACCAAAGTTGGTAGAATGAAAGAAGCATTGTTACTGATGCAGGAAACCCAATGCTTTATTTCAAATGTCAAAATACAACTTGCCGTACTGAAAGAGCAGGAAAGCTGGGACTATAGTGGCCACAGTATCAGGGAAGTTGACCCAGCTCTTGCCCATTAGAAATCATAGGAACCATTGAGTGTGAGGATGCTGGATTTCAGAAGGACCTGTTAATTGCTTACACCGTGACCTACCCTAGCTATAATGCACTGTGCAGCAGTGAACTCCTGACTCTAGCTGGGCCAATCTGACTTGCTAATGGCAGCTTAGAATTGAGGCCTGGAAGCACTGGGCCTTGTCCGGTAGGGGCTAGAATTGTGAAGTGATGGCCGGGCATGGTGGCTCACACCTGTAATCCCAGCACTTTGGGAGGCCGAGGCGGGCAGATCACGACGTCAGGAGATCGAGACCATCCTGGCTAACACAGTGAAACCCCATCTCTACTAAAAATACAAAAATTAGCCGGGCGTGGTGGTGGGTGCCTGTAGTCCCAGCTACTCAGGAGGCTGAGGCAGGAGAATGGCGTGAACCCGGGAGGCGGAGCTTGCAGTGAGCCAAGATCGCACCACTGCACTCCAGACTGGGTGACAGAGAAAGACTCTGTCTCAAAAAAAAAAAAAAAAAAAAAAAAGAAGTGATGTAAGGCTAGGGCCAGATGGTCATGCCTGGTGAAGCTCAGAAAGAGAGAATGAAGGAGAACCTCAGAGAAGCAGAGATGAGAGACCCCAAAAAACAAAGAGCAGTCATGGGTCCTGACTCCCACTCCAGCTCCCATCTTTTGGTGGTCTGTACAAAACCCAGTATCTACAAAAACCCTTCTTTCTTTTTTCTGCTTGACTTGAACTAGTTGAGTGGGTTGCTTTTGCAACCAAGAAGTCTTAACTAAGACCTTCCCCTTCTCTACAGAGCTGAAAGATGAACCAGGCAGCTGTGCACAGTTGGAAGGTCAGGGAGAGGGTTGCCAAGAATTTAAAGATATTGTTTCCTTCTCTGTAGGAGATGGTGCTTGTCAGTCTGTGATTTTCTGTGAATCAGATCTCACAATCACAGACATGCCTCTCTGCCCCCACCTCCCCACCGCAGATAAACATAGCAACCGTTGCCAACCTTCAGCCTTCACTCAACTTCATTTCCTCTCTTGCACTTGAGCCTAGAGGAGTCAGAAACAAGCTCAAAGGCTTGTTGATGTGAGTCTGCCAGGCATGGTGGTACACGCCTGTAATCCCAGCTACTCAGGAGGCTGAGGCAGGAGGATCTCTTGAGCCCAGGAGTTCAAGGCTGCAATGAGCTATGATCACGCCACTGCACTCCAGCCTGGGTGACAGAGTGAGAGTCAAAACAAAACAAAATAAAACAAACAAAAAGCCTGGTTAAGGTGAATCTAACTGGGCTTTGGCTTACCTTCTCTTTTTTGGGAGGTAGAAGGTTTTTGGAAGGTAGAAGGATGTATTGCAATGATTCCCCAGCTTCATTCACTAGCACACCACCTTCATGATTTTTGACGTGTCCACATATCAGTTGTACTATTATTTTCTTAATTAGACTTTCTTATTTTCTTATCTTCACCTATGATATTTTTTAATGGAACCATGGCTTTGCAATACATATGATGTTTTTTCAAATATACATTAAAATGCAAAACTATTAAAATAATTTTTTTTTTACCACCTAAGATTATTTTATGTGTACTACCTTAGGAAACAATGTCATGTAGGCTTTGGAATCAGGCAGGCTTGTTCAGGTAATACCTGTATGTCCTTGGGCAAGCCACACTCTCTAACCTCCAATATTGTCATAATAAGTGTGTCTTCCTTAGGATTTTGGTGAGGGCTAGATGGGTCAGTTTGTGTGTGTGTGTCTGTGTGTGTGTTGCGTGTCTGTGTGTGTAGATGTGGGTCTCACTGTGTTGCTCAGGCTGGTCTCAAACTTCTGGGCTCAAATGATCCTCCTGCCTCGGCCTTCCAAGTGCTGGAATCACAGACGTAAGCCACTGCACCCAGCCCTAGATGGGATGATTTAAACACTGTGTTTCAACTGCCTTGCACGTGGGTAACACCTAGTAAGTACTCAGTCACTGTTAACCATTGCTGTTCCTGCATTCTCTATTTCTGCACTTTGTCTGCTTCTCTGTATTTCCTTTCTTTCCTTTTTGGTCTGTTTGCAGCAGGAACCAGCATGGAATGGGTTTGCTTACTGGAGCATATGAAATGTATGTAAAGCCCTCAGGGACCAGGACAGAAAGCTAAGTGTGGTGCCTCTGCGGGGTCCGGGTGTGTATAATAGAATCTAATGATGTGACTTGTTATCCCATCGTGCTTGTGTGGTTGAGATAATAACATTGTTTCTATAGAACCTGCTTTAAAGGGTCAAAGCCCTCATGGACATTATCTAGCTCATCTCTCTTAAGTGTGGACAAGTGTTATCGTCCTCGTTTTTCAGGTGGAGAAATCAAGACCCCAACAGAGGGCTGACCAGGTTACTCAGCAATGCTGTGGCAGAAACACACAAAAGAGTCCGTGGCTTGTGATTCACAGGCCAAGACGCTGCCTTGGCGCAGCACTCCCCGTGTTGACGTGGAAGGTGGTGATGGCAGTGAGCAAAAAAGTGATCCATGCACAGATGCATTTGTGAACGCCGGATGAAACAAAGTTAAAATAGGTGGGTTTTTTTTTTCTGTAGGATTTCTCAGTCTTTCATAAGATAACATGCATGATGATTCTCCGAGGGAGATAGAGCATACATAATTTTCCACATGTGAGCATTAAGTATACCTACTTAGGAACTCTAAAGATAGTGTCCCTCAGAGCACTAGTTTGGGAAATAGCGTCTTAGTTGATCATACTGTCTTGAAAGCCTTCTTCTGATTTCTTTATGTTATAAAAGAAAGCTGCTTTTGGAATGCTAAAACAAAAACAAAAACAAAAACAAATCCCATGTCCGAAATCATTCTACCCCCATATCACCCTAGTCCCACCCTGGGGACTAGGATTTCATTCCTGTATCACTTGTTGCTACACGCCTGGGGAACTGCCTGCCTTTGATCACATACTTACTAATGTGTAATATTTCAACTCTATTTGGTTCTTAAGTTATTTCATTTTATTTTATTTGTGAGATGGAGTTTTGCTCTTGTTGCCCAGGCTGGAGTGCAATGGTGCAATCTTGGCTCATCGCAACCTCCACCTCCCGTGTTCAAGCAATTCTCCTGTCTCAGCCTCCCAAGTAGCTGGGATTACAAGCACACACCGCCACACCCAGCTAATTTTGTATTTTTAGTAGAGACGGGTTTTCTCCATGTTGGTCAGGCTGGTCTTGAACTCCTGACCTCAGGTTATCCGCCTGCCTCGGCCTCCCAAAGTGCTGGGATTACAGGTGTGAGCCACTGCCCCCGGCCAAGTTATTTTTTTAATTCGTAATTTTTCTTTTTTTTTAATTTTGAGGACTTAAAATAATACAAGAAAATAATAACTTCTAATTTTTAAAATGAAAGTGTTGATAGAAAGTTAGTGTTAGGAGAAATGTCATATTATACAGAAAGGACGTGAAGTCCTACAGAGGCCAGGTCACATGGCAGGACAATAGCATACCCACAAATAGAAGAGAAGTATCCTGTCTCTTGGGACAGACTGTTTTTCACTGCTGAAGCGTTCCTTTGCTTTGATTTATAGGTGAGGTGTATTGCTGAGCCATTTCAGCGATCTTGACTCTGTGTTTCTCATTTAGATATTTAATATAAAATACTGTGTGGGAAGAAAAGGAAGTCATGGAAGCATCTGTTTTACAAATACGAAGTAGACACAAAGCTCTCTTTCCACAGAGAGCCCTCCTTTATTATACCAACGTGAGAGGTCAGGACCAATCCCACGTTACAGGCTCACCCTGCTCACACTAGGCTTTTACGTAGCGCAGTGGCCGTGTTAAGGACTGATGAGCAGGTTTCCCCTGCAGCCGAGGTCCCCTTGCTGTAGGAGAAATGAAGCATAGTCAGGGCGGAGGCCCTGAAAAGGAGATGACGTGACAGAGGATTCACACTTTATCACTTTTGTTTTCTGAAGAGGTTTGAGATGGCTTAACATGAAGAACATGCATATCAGAATTGGTGTTTTGTTGTTGTTTGTTTTGTTTTGTTTTTGTTTTTGTTTTTGTTTTTGTTTGAGACAGAGTCTCGCTCTGTTGCCCAGGCTGGAGTGCAGTGGCGCCATCTGGACTCACTGCAACCTCTGCCTCCCGAGTTCAAGCAATTCTCCTGCCTCAGCCTCCCGAGTAGCTGGGATTACAGGCATCTGCCACCACACCTGGCTAATTTTTGTATTTTTAGTAGAGACAGGGTTTCACCATGTTGGCCAGGCTGGTCTCGAACTCCTGACCTCAGGCAATCCACTCACCTCAGCCTCTCAAAGTGCTGGGATTACAGGCATGAGCCACCATGCCCGGCCAATTCCAGGGGACTTTAAAAAAATGTTCACAAAAAACGAAAAAGAATGAGGGTAATATAAGACTCAACACTCTCCATTCAAAATGAACAAATGTTAACACTTAGTCATATGTTCTCTAGACCTTAAAAACAAAAAGAAGGAATGAAACATTACAGATAAAGTTGAAGTCCCTGTATCAATGTGATGGGCTAGCTATGCTACAGTAACAAACATATACTCCCACAGTTTTAGTGGCTTAAGGAAGCAGAGATCCATTTCTCAGTCATGCCTCATGTTCACTGTGGGTCATTTGGAAACTATCATACACTGTCTTCACTCCAGGACCCAGCGGATGAAGTGGACTGAAACACTGAATCTGAAACATTGATGATCACTACAGCAAAGGGAAGAGCTCGGTAAATTGTGCATATCGTTCTTAGATCTTCCACCCAAAAGTAACACTTCCACTTACATGTATTGGCCACGGTAAGTCATGTGGTTGTGCCTAACTTCAAAGAATGTAAGGACATACAATCCTACCATGTACTGGAAGGAAATCCAGAAGATTCCTTTTTTTTTTTTTTTTTTTTTGAGATGGAGCCTTGCTCTGTCTCCAGGGTGGAGTGCAGTGGTGCGACCTCGGCTTACTGCAACCTCCGCCTCCGGGGTTCAAGTGATTCCCCTGCCTCAGCCTCCCGACTAGCTGGGATTACAGGCACACACCGCCACGTCTGGCTAATTTTTTTTTGTATTTTAGTAGACACAGGATTTCACCATGTTGGCCAGGATGGTCTCTATCTCCTGACCTTGTGATCCACCTGCCTCGGCCTCCCAAAGTGCTGGGATTACAGGTGTGAGCCACCACGCCTGGCCAGAAAGGCTCTTAAAGAGGCCTAATGACTATCACAGTCCCAGAACTGCTTCCCTCTCCCGCTAGAAGCAGCCACATGAATGTGACGTGTATCTAGACCCTATTTTATATTTTCACTACAAATACACTGTAATAGAGATGGTATTCATTTGCATATTTTAGAAAATATTTGTTAATGGGATCATCCTTTTATAATGTACAATTTTTAGTCAATAATTTTCAGGACTTATCAATGCTGAATCATATAGATCTAGTTCATTGATTTAAACTGTTATATAGAATTCCACATTAGAAATATACTGTGATTTATTTATCTATTCTCCTACAAATGAACAAACTATTTACAATTTTTTTTTTTTTGGGATGGAGTCTCACCCTGTTGCTCAGGCTGGAGTGCAATGGCGCAATCTTGGCTCACTGCAACCTCCGCCTCCCGGGTTCAAGTGATTCTCCTGCCTCAGCCTCCTGAGTAGCTGGGATTACAGTCACGTGCCACCACGCCTGGCTAATTTTTTTTTTGAGATGGAGTCTCGCTCTGTCACCCAGGCTGGAGTGACACAATTGTGCTGCAGTGGCACAATCTCGGCTCACTGCAAGCTCCGCCTCCTGGGTTCACGCCATTCTCCTGCCTCAGCCTCCCAAGTAGCTGGGACTACAGACGCCCGCCACCACGCCCTGCTACTTTTTTGTATTTTTAGTAGAGATGGGGGTTTCACCAAGTTCGGCAGGATGGTCTTGAACTCCTGACCTTGTGATCCGCTCACCTCGGCCTCCCAAAGTGCTGGGATTACAGGTGTGAGCCACCGCGCCCAGCCGGACTATGGACATTTTCAAGTTTTCTAGATATTGTCAAGTTATTCTCACAAATGACCTTGTCATTTACACTTCTGCCAGATGTGCATGAGAGTTCTCATTTTCATACCTCTTTGCCAACATTTGCTATTGTCAAACATTTTACTTTTGGCCAGTTCCATGGGTGTGAAATTGTATCTTAGTGTTGTTTTTAAATTGTATGTCCCTGGTTGCTAGTGAGTGGAGCCTTTTTTCATATTTGGTCATTGAGTTTCTTTTTCTGCTGCATGGTATTGTTCAAATTCTTTGCCCATTTCTCTGCTGGGCTGTTCATGTTTTTCCTTTTTTTTTTTCTTGAGACGGAGTTTCACTCTTGTTGCCCAGGCTGGAGTGCAATGGCACGATCTTGGCTCACTGCAACCTCTGCCTCCTGGGTTCAAGTGATTCTCCTGCCTCAGCCTCCCAAGTAGCTGGGACTATCACACCTGGCTAATTTTTGTATTTTTTGTAGAGGCGAGGTTTTGCCATGTTGCCCAGGTTGGTCTTAGACTCCTGAGCTCAGGACTGTGCTTAACCCAACACAACATTTTCCAGATCTAGCCATTCAAACATTTCTTGCAATTTAGGCAAGTACAGAATACATCCTCTGTTCATGGAGGGGGTTACTTAGGGATAGAAGGAATATATAAAATGAGTCTACATATTTTTTTATTTCAAATTTTTTTAATTTAAAAAAGTTTTTTTTGTTTTTTTTTTTTTGTTTTATTTTTTGTAGAGACAGGGTCTTGCTATGTTGCCCAGGCTGGTGACAAAATCCTGGGTTCAAGAGTCTATATATATAGACTCATTTTCTATATTCCTTCTATCCCTAAGTAACAGTTATTGTTATCCAAAGATCAGCCGGTCCAAATGCCCTTCTCACAGAGGGCTTCTTTGACCTAGAAGGCAATGGAAGTGTTTAAAATAAGCTGACCAGTTCCTTAAATGAAACTGAATTTATGTTACTCTCTAACAGACCAAGGCTGAGCAGTCAATGGTGCCCTGTGCTCATGAATGGACAGTAGTGTCTTGCAAAGGGACCATGAGCTGAAAAGACATTCTTAAGTGCAAAAATAGTGTGGTAATTATAGGAGTAAGTGGAGAGTCAATTTCTTCTTAAAACATCATCGTTATTAAAATAGACTAAGTGCAGGGGTGTTGGGATTATGACGTTGTTTACGGTATTTTTTCCCTTCTCTATTCTCCAAATATTCTGCAATGAACTTACACTATACTAATAATTCAAAAATCATAATGAGAAGTAAAACCAAAATGTAACCCACTGTGATGATAAGGATTCTCAGTTTCTCAAGTAGATGTTCATCTCAAGCAGTAAAGGGGGCGGGGAAAATTCCAAGGCAGAAAAGCATAAGGGTCTTTCCCACTTGCAAGCTTTTCAAAGTCAAGTCGAAAGTGTTAGAAAACTGAAGCTTTACGTGGAAAATGGGGGAGGACGTGGCCAGATGCTGTGATGGAAAAGCATAAAGAGGAAGAACTGCTGATGGAAGGAGAGGAACAGAATGGACGAGGAAGGAAGAGGGAGGCTTGGCCAAGGGCAAGGGTATCCTGGAATAGGAGGTGTGTATGCCTGGGGGAGCAAGGCAGCAAGGAACAGAGGAAAGAATACAGGGAGAGTCGATGTCCACGACTCACGTGGAAGCCGTGGCTCTGTCCTTTGCTAGTGTTTGGCCATGGGCTCTTGGCGCAGCCTGGTCTGTGAAATAAAGGGGTACGCAGGGTCGTCCTGTGACCCATGTGTGACGACATTATAGGAAAACATTTGGAGAACACAGAGGTTCTGTCCGCAGGTTACTTAGTCTTAATGAGAAAAGGGCTTGACCTCAGCCTCTTGAAGAAGGTACAAAAAGAGAGAGAGAAAAGGGCACCAGAGGAGTGCTAGTAAAGAGCAGAAAGAGAAAAAAACTCCCAGCTGGGGCACAGTGGGAAGAGTGCATGAGAGAACAGCGTCAGAGCCTCCAAACACAGGGGCCCACCCATCGCCATCCCTTCCTCATTCACTGTGAGTGACCTGGGGTTACGTGCCTGCTGGGCCTCAGGAGACAGATTTGGGGGGAACACCGGACAGGCACTGTATGTATCTAAAGTCTAATCATGTTTTTTTTTAATTTCTTTTTCTTTTTCTTTCTTTTTTTTTTTTTTTTTTTTTTTTGAGATGGAGTCTTGCTCTGTTGCCCAGGCTGGAGTGCAATAGCACGATCTCAGCTCACTGCAACCTCCGCCTCCCAGGTTCATGCTATTCTCCTGCCTCAGCCTCTCCAGTAGCTGGGATTACAGCATGCACCACCACATCTGGCTAATTTTTGTATTCTTAGTAGAGGCGGGGTTTCACCATGTTGGCCAGGCTGGTCTCAAACTCTTGACCTCATGATCCGCCTGCCTCGGCCTCCCAAAGTACTGGGATTACAGGCATGAGCCACCGCACCCGGCCCTCTTTTTCTTTTTCTTTTTCTTTCTTTTTTTTTTTTTTTGAAACAGAGTTTCACTTTTGTTGCCCAGGCTGGAGTGCAATGGCCTGATCTCAGCTCACCACAACCTCCGCCTCCTGGGTTCCAGTGATTCTCCCATCTCAACCTTCTGAGTAGCTGGAACTACAGGCATGCGCCACCACGCCTGGCTAATTTTTGTATTTTTAGTAGAGACAGGGTTTCTCCATGTTGGCCAGGCTGGTCTTAAACTCCCGACCTCAGGTGATCTGCCCGCCTCAGCCTCCCAAAGTGCTCCGAAAGTGCTGGGTGCTGTGAGCCGCCGTTCCCGGCCTTTTTTTTTTTTTTTTTAGAGATAAGGTCTGGCTCTGTCACCCAGAGTGCAGTGGCATAATCATAGCTCACTATAATTTACCACCATGCTCAGCTAATTATTTTTATTTGTTTTTTGTAGTGACGGGGTCTTGCTATGTTGCCCAGGCTGGTTTCAAACTCCTGGGCTCAAGTGATCCTTTTGCCTTGTTCTCCCAAAATGCTGGGATGACAGGCCTGAGCCACCATGCCCAGCCTGTTATTTCTTATTAAATCTCTTTGCACAACATTGGGAGAGCTTGCCAGCAAAGGGCAGCAAGTCATCTAGAAAGACGCATTTTGATAGGTGGAAACTTAACACCAAACGAAGAGGGATTTTTTTTCCTGCCCCAGTGGTCCTCACTTTCTGTGGCCTGAAGCTTGTGTCCCTTAGCTGCTTAAATTCCCCAAGACTCAGCTGACTTCAGGGGTAAATCACTACCTTGGTGCTCTCTCCCTCATACACCTTGAAAGCTGAGGATTGTGTTTTGGTTTTTTTCTCTCCCTAAAAGGTAGCTGTACTCTGTCTTCCTTTTAACCACAGTTCCCTAGAAAATAAGAACTGTGACAAACAAAAGGAGATGGGTACAAGAATAGGCCTTACTCCTCTTCTCCCCCAGTTCCTCAGCCCCAGATCCCAGGGACCCTAACCATGGTTGCAGTTTTCGTTGAGGAATTAAGGCCTACAAAGAAAATCTAATGCGCAGTAACCTAAGCTTGACTCTTGGCTTAGAAGTCCCAGCTTCAGGAAAAGCCTACCCATTAGGTTCTTTCCTCATTCTGTTGAGGTAGCTCTTATGAGCTCTATTTTACACACATGGCTCCTCAGACTTAGAGAGAGTAAGTCAGTTTCCCAAAGTCTGCAGTGGTGCATAGTAACATTTTTAATATTACCTTCAGTACTGGCTCTGTTTTACATATAACTCAGTGATTGCCAAGGAAGACGGGGCTGCACACCCCCATAAGGGTATTCGAGCGTGTGTGTGTGTGTGTGTGTGTGTGTGTAAGGAGGAGGTTGAAACTTATATTCCATATAATATTATTTATGCTTGAAAAAGGACCCATTGCTTTCATTTTACAATGAAACTTTTACTTTTGTGAAAAGTAAATTGGACAGAAATCTTGACTGTCGGGGATCTGCAAAGGTATCCTCTTTAATGTGGAGGATGTTCAGAGCAGGGAGAGTGAGATGTTTATATTCTATTTATCAGTCGGGGGCTGTGGGTTAAATACAGCAGCCTAGCCTTTGCCAAGTCTCCACTGACCACGTGCTCCTGCTTTGGATCATTGATGTTTTGTATTTAATCTAATCTTGCAATGAAATTCTTCTCAGAGCTTTGTCATTTAGACTTCACTCTTTCTCATAAATAGCCGCAGTTTTTCTCCTCTGTTTAATAACAGAGGAAGAAAAAACAATCGTGATATAAAATGAAAAAAAATGCAATATAAGATTTTATGTATAGTATAATCTCAACTTTATTAATAATTTTTAAATGAATTTATAAAAGTTAATATGAGGGCCGGGCGCACTGGCTCATGCCTGTAGTCCCAGCTACTCGGGAGGCTGAGGCAGGAGAATGGCGTGAACCTGGGAGGCGGAGCTTGCAGTGAGTCGAGATCGTGCCACTGCACTCCAGCCCGGGCAACAGAGCGAGACTCCGTTTCAAAAAAAAAAAAAAAAGTTAATATTAGAGGGAATGTGCTGCAATGTTAAAAGCACAGACCTGAAGCCAGAAAGACTCAGGTATGAATATTGTCTCTGCCCTGACTAGCTGTATGAACTTGGGCAAGCTACTTAAACTTTCTGATCCCCAGTTGTTTTATCTGCAAAAATGAGGAGGGGGAAGAATTGTATTTATATCAAAGAAGCTGAATTAAATTATAACTAATTAAATGAAATACTTGACACACAGAGAACCCTCAATAAATGATCTTATTATTCTGAGTAGGGAATACAAAGAGCCCACTTCATGGGCACGTGACCACGCAGTCAAACAGGACTCCAGAGTGGGTTCAATGCTCTGCTGTGGCCTTCTTGAAGTTCCTCATAATTTGGGAACAAGGGGCCTAGGTTTTCATTTTGCACTGGACTCCGCAAATTACACACACACGGCACACACACAGAAAAGATTAAAAAGCAATAAACCAATTACATCAATTTTTTCTATTTTCTATTTTTTATTTTTATTTTTATTTTTAGAGAGTCTTGCTCTGTCACTGTGGCTGGAGTGCAGTGGCGTGATCTTGGTTCACTGCAACCTCCACTTCCTGGGTTCAAGCGATTCTCCCGTCTCAGCCTCCCGAGTGGCTGGGACTACAGGCGCCCGCCATCACGCCTGGCTAATTTTTGTATTTTTAGTACAGGCAGGGTTTCACCATGTTGGCCAGGCTGGTCTCGAATTCCTGACCTCAAATGATCCACCCACCTCAGCCTCCCAAATTGCTGGGATTATAGGTGTGAGCCACCACGCCCGGCCTACATCAAATGTTTAATAGAAATAAATAAAAACAAAAAGCAGTAAACCGAAATGTAAACAATGTTTAATCTCTGGATGGTTTTCTTTTTCCTTTTTTGTTTTTCTGGGGCGGGGGTGGGGGGTTCACTCTGTCGCCCAGGCTGTAGTGCAGTGGCACAAGCTTGGCTCACTGCAACTCTGCCTCCCAAGTAGCTGGGACTAGGCATGTGCCACCACGTCTGGCTAATTTTTATATTTTTTGTAGAGACAGGATTGTGCCATGTTGCCCAGGCTGGTCTGGAACTCCTGGACTCAAGTGATCCACCCACCTCGAACCTCAACTTCCTAAAGTGCTGGGATTACAGGCGCGAACCACTGTGTCTGGCCTCCGGGTGGTTTTAAGTGGGAACTTTTATTTCTCACACATTCTTCTGTATATTCTATATTTTCTACAAGAAATATATATTACTTTTCTAATCAGGAAAAAAAATGAATATATGCATGTGCCTTTACAAAACTGTTCTCATTCTGCAGATGAGTGAAACCAAGGTAACAGATGGGAAGGAAATGACTCACGTAAGATCACACAGCAATCGATGTCACATTATGACAATGTTCAGGAAACTGCATTTCCATTTTTGCACCCCACTCTCTTGGGTCTGTGTTACCCACAGCTTTTCTAACAAGAATCTCGTTGGCATCTGACTTGATCTGGGGACCTAGCACTACACTATGCAGAAGGGGGCCCCCCCTCAGAAGCCCAGTATCAGTTAGTATGTGCTTATCTGCAGGGGCTCACTGCTGTGGGAGTTTCAGAAGTAGAAGCCACAGTCCCTGTTCTCAAAGGCTTACAGATGGGTACTCACAGTTGCACATGAAGCAGGGATGTCAGTGCTGTTGTGCAGACTCTGAATGCTGTAAGAATAGCAGGGGAAGGAACTGGTTGTCAGAGGAGAAACCAAGAACCGTTGGCACAAAATCTTTTTACCAGGGTTGTTCACAAAAGAAAAAATGCTGGAAGCTCTGCTCCTTTTAATTTCCCCCAGCTACCCTGTGTAGGCACCTGAAGGTCAACAGTATGAAGGAGAAGGGGGTAGAAATGCACAAAATAGTTCTCGTTTTGCATATTCCATAGTTCATAGTATGTATTGAAGGTCTTCTTTGACAAACCCCACTGAAGTTTCCTGATTTCACCTTCACCATGGCTAAAAGCAGCAGCTCGCCCCCACGCTTTGATTTTTCCCTCCTGTACTTTCTCTTCCCCTTCTGTTTCTCTTGGTGAGGGGTCCAAATTGGAAACTTTTTTGTCCCACAGCCCACCATAAGGGTTCATTCTGTGAACCTATGTCTATTGCATCCCAGCTTACCTAACAGCTCTTTCCCCAAGAACCAAACTTTAAGTTCCTCTCAGCAGCACAGTAAATCTTCAGAGGCTAATACATGTTTTTTTTTTCTTGAGATGGAGTTTTGCTCTTGTTGCCCAGGCTGGAGTGCAATGGCACAATCTCGGCTCACTGCAACCTCTGCCTCCTGGGTTCAAGCGATTCTCTCACCTCAGCCTCCTGAGTAGCTGGGATGACAGGCGCCCGCCACCATGCCCAGCTAATTTTTGTATTTTTAGTAGACACGGGGTTTCACCATGTTGGTCAGGCTGGTCTCAAACTCCTGATCTCAGGTGATCCACCCGCCTCGGCCTCCCAAAGTGCTGGGATTACAGGTGTGAGCCACCGTGCCCAGCCCACAGACTAATATCTTTAAGGAACTTCTAGAAATCATCTCTGGCCGAGTCATCCAGGTGCAAACGAGAGGTTCTGGGCTGAGATCAAAGAGAACAAGGGGAAGATTCAGCAGTTACACAGCTGGGCTCATAGTGAGGGGATTTGCATGAATATTAACATCAGCTCCATTTACTGGGTTCTTTTACCCTGTGCCAGGCAGGTAATTTGCTTGATATGCATGATCTGATTTAATTTAGTTCTCATAGTGATCTTTCTAAAGTAGGCACTACGATCCCATCTTCACAGGGAGAAAGGAAGCAAAGTAAGTTGCTCAAAAACACAGCTAGTCAACACCCCCAGAATGTATCATGCCAAGAGTGAACTCTAATGTAAACTGTGGACTTTGGGTGATAATGATGTGTCAATGTAGGTTCAATGATTGCAACAAATGTACCACTCTGGTGTGGGATGTTGACAGTGGGGGAGGCCATGAGTTGGGGTGATAGAGGAGAACTCTCTGTACTTTCTGATTGATTTTGCTGAGAACCTAAAACAGCTCTAAAAAACAAAGTCTATGTAACCACACACACACACACACACACACACACACACCCCTAGTAAATAGTAGGACCAGGAGTTAAGACTAGGTCTGTCTCCTTAGGTGATGGTGAGTTATTATCAACAACATGTTGAACTCCACCGTACAGGTAGCAATAATGATGTGTGTGTGTGTGCGTGCGTGTGTGCACATGTGCTGTGCATGTATTGAGGATTGAGGGGGTCTGTGTTAAAAAAGAAAGAATTGGAAGGAAGAAATCTCAAACTGAGTCCTGGCTCCATCACCAGCTGTGTGATCCTGGACAGGACACTTTGGTTTTAGTTTCCTCATCTGTAAATTGCTACTGGGTCATTGTGAAGATCCAATAAAATAAAATATGTACAAAGTACTCTGAAAGCATAAAGTACTCTGAAAGCAACTACTCCTGTATTAGTTTCTCTCTCTCTCTCTCACACACACACACACACTCTCAAATGTATACATCTGTGTGATTTAAAGGGATAGCCAGGAAACTCGTCTTGTAAGTCTCTAGTCCCACCTTGACACTGAACTACTCCTCTCATTTGTAAAATGAAGTGGTAGTTGAACTGGTACTTCCATTGGAGGGTTTGTTGTGGTTTTCTTGAGACTCTAAACTCTGACTTCCATCCTCTACTCAGAACTCCATTCCTATGTCCCCATCCAGTCTTAAAGACTTGGCTGCTGTCTCTTCTGTCCACTCTCCACTGCCACCTTCGAGCTTGCATCCTCCCCACACCCCGACCGGAGTCCCCTGTGCAATTCAAGACACAGTGCATCAGTGACATTCAGACATCTCTGTCTGAGGAACACTTTGTGGTTTCCCTGCCATTTAGAAAAGCCTTTAGCTGTAGAAATTTTCCAACATACACAAAAACAGAGAGAGTAATATATCTTCATGTGCCCAAAACCCATTTTCAACAATTATCAACACACAAGCAATCTAGTTTCATTTGTATTCCCACTCACCACCCTACCAGTGGATTATTTTGAAGCAAATACTATACATCATATTGTTCCATCTAAAATATCTTTAAAAACAATGACTCTTTTTATTAACATAACCAAAATGCTGACTAGGCACGGTGGCTCACGCCTGTAATCCCAGCACTTTGGGAGACCAAGACGGGCAGATCATGACGTCAGGAGATCGAGACCATCCTGGCTAACACGGTGAAACCCCGTCTCTACTAAAAATACAAAAAATTAGCCGGGCATGGTGGCGGGCGCCTGTAGTCCCAGCTGCTCGGGAGGCTGAGGCAGGAGAATCACTGGAACCTGGGAGGTGGAGCTTGCAGCGAGCCAAGATCGCGCCCTGCACTCCAGCCTGGGTGACAGAGCGAGACTCCATCTCAAAAAAAATAAAAATAAAAATAACCAAAATACCATATATCACCTAAAGTTAACAAAATATCCTTAATAATATTAGATATCTAATCAGTATTCAAATGTCCCTGGTTATCCAATATAGGTTTTATTATTCAGTTGGTTTGTTTGCAACATAATCCAAACAAAGTCTATACGCTGTATTTGGTTGATATGTCTCTTAGGTCTTTTTTTTTTTTAGATGAGTCTCCCTCTGTCACCCAGGCTGGAGTGCAGTGGTGTGATCACAGATTACTGCAGCCTTGAATTCCTGGGCTCAAGCAGTCCTCCCAACTCAGCCTCCTGAGTAGCTGGAACTACATACAGCTGCTTGCCACCACACCAGGCTAATTTATTTTTCGACACAGAGTTTCGCTCTTGTCACCCAGGCCAGAGTGCAATGGCACGATCTTGGCTTACTGCAACCTCCACCTCCTGGGTTCAAGCAATTCTCCTGCCTCAGCATCCCGGATAGCTGGGATTACAGGCATGCACCATATGCCTGGCTAATTTTTGTATTTTTAGTGGAGATGGGGTTTCACCACATTGGCCAGGCTGGTCTCAAACTCCTGACCTCAGATGATCCATCCGCCTCAGCCTCCCAAAGTGCTGGGATTACAGGCTTGAGCCACCATGCCCAGCCCAGGCTCACTTTTTTAAAAAATCATTTGTAGAGAGAGAATCTCCTTATGCTAGTCTCGAACTCCTGGACTTAAGTGATCCACCCGCCTCAGCCTCCCGAAGTGCCGGGATTATAGATGTGAGCGGCTGCACCCGGGCCTGTCTCTTAAGTTTTCATCTATGAGTTCCTTCTTTTCTTTTTTCCTCTAATTTATTTGTTGAAGAAACCAGGTCAGGTTGTTTGCACTGTAGAATTTCCCAGGCTTAATCCATCCCTGAGTGTCTGTAATATGTTCCTGTCTTCCCTGTGTTTCCTATAAACTGGAAATTAGATCTAGAGCATATTCAGTTTCAATATTTTTGGCAAGAATGCTTCATAGGTGGGGTGTCTGAGGAACACTTTGTCAGTTAAAAAGGTCCTGTGGGCCAGCATCCTGTCTGCTGCCTGGATAAGTGGCTATAATTTTGACTGTGCTTTGTAAACCTTCTTTTCCCTTTTCTTTTCTTTTCTTTTCTTTTCTTTTCTTTTCTCTTTCTTTCCTTCTTTCTTTCTTTCTTTCTTTCTTTCTTTCTTTCTTTCTTTCTTTCTTTCTTTCTTTCCTTCTTTCTTTCTTTCTTTTATTTTGACGGAGTTTCACCCTTGTCACCCAGGCTGGAGTGCAGTGGCACAATCTTGGCTCACTGCAACCTCCACCTTCCGGGTTCAAGAGATTCTCCTGCCTCAGCCTCCCAAGTAGCTGGGATTACAGGCGCCTGCCACCGCGCATGGCTAATTATTTTTTTTTTTGTATTTTTTTTTTTTTAGTAGAGCGGGGTTTCATCACGTTGGCCAGGTTTGTCTTGAACTCCCAACCTCAGGTGATCCAACCGCCTTGGCCTCCCAAAGTGCTGGGATTACAGGTGTGAGCCACTGCTCCTGGCCTTTTTTTCCTTTTTTAAATATCACTTCAAGACTTGAAACCTCCACACAATTTTGTGTGACTTGGGGTTGCCCAGCCCCCCCACACACCAGCCCTTAGAGGCTTATTACCATATGCCTCCTGAGCAGAAGTCCATTGGTTCCCAAGAGGTGCCTTAAGGGGCAGCTCGAGAAATGGAACGGGGCAGTTGCGGGGGGTAGGTGGCGGGACAGATAGGGCAGAAGTGGATGTGACTCTAGCATTCAAACAGCTTCACTTTAATCTGCTTTATGTTAACTTCCACATAAGATTACGTTTAAGAAAAGGATTTCTTATCTTTAAAAAGTTTGCAAACCACTGATCTTTGTCTCTCTCCTATCACTAAGAAAAGATCATCTATTCCTCTCCCTTAAGCCACCAAGAGAGTGCCAGGCACCTTTTTTTTTTTTCTGAGACGGAGTCTTGCTCTGTCGCCAGGCTGGAGTGCAGTGGTGTGATCTCAGCTCACTGCAACCTCCCCCTCCCGGGTTCAAGCGATTCTCCTGCCTCAGCCTCCCAAGTAGCTGGGACTACAGGCGCGCGCCACCATGCCCAGCTACTTTTTTTGTATTTTTAATAGAGACGGGGTCTCACCATCTTGGCCAGGCTGGTCTTGAACTCCTGACCTCGTGATCCACCCGCCTCAGCCTCCCAAAGTGCTGGGATGACAGGTGTGAGCCACCGCGCCCAACCGGAGGCTCTGTTTTTAATCATTCATTGAACAGTGAGTCACAGTTAAAATCCCCCTCCTCTGAATGTGAAAGAGTGAAGGGAAATTTTACTCACCACCACCAAGAGCATCCCCAGGCCTCGTGGGGCATTCCCACGAGAGCTGTGTGCCCTGACTTCCTATTTGTGTGAAGTCAGGCCCCGTGAGCATCTATCAAGGCGTGAGCAGCCAAATAGAAGTGACACATACACAATGACAGGATTCTAAATGTGGAATTTTGGTTGATAGCTCCACTGGCCGAGAAGGTGGCTACTAGCTACTTAAATGTAACCACGTAAATGTGAACTTAGAGGCTGGGCGCAGTGGCTCACGCCTGTAATTCTAGCACTTTGGGAGGTCGAGGTGGGCGGATCACCTGAGGTCAGGAGTTCGAGACCAGCCTGGTCAACATGGTGAAGCCACGTCTCTACTGAAAATACACAGAAAAATTAGCTGGGCATGGTGGTACACGCCTGTAATCCTGGCTACTCAGGAGGCTGAGGCATGAGAATTGCATGAACCTGTGAGGTGGAGGTTGCAGTGAGCTGAGATCACGCCAGCACACTCCAGCCTGTGGGACAGAGTAAGACTCTGTCTCAAAAAAAAAAAAAAAAAAAAAGTGGGGGGTGATTTTAGGCCAGGCACAGTAGCTCATGCTTGTAATCCCAGCACTTGGGAAGGCTAAGGTTGTGGATTACTTAAGCCCAGGAGTTCGAGGTTGCAGTGAGCTATGATTGTGCCACTGTACTCCAGCCTGGGTGACAGAGTAAGACCCTGTCTCTAAAATAAATTTAAAAATAAATAAAATCAAAATATGTGAATTTATTGAAACTAAATCAGATTTAAAACTCAAATTCCTACTCAGCCAACCAAATTTCATGTGCTCAATTGGCTAATGTGGCTAATGGCTACTATATTGAAGAGTGAAGATGGAAATGTTCAATAACATTTACTGCACTACCAGCTCCCTCCATAGGCCCTCAGAAAGCTTCCCTTTGCCATCCCTGTTGGCCCTGGGATTCCTGGAGAAGTGAATTTGAAAGCAGCTGAGTTCATGTGTAAATGGGCATAAGCAAGTTTGTAAGAATGTTTTGAAGTCAGCTTTTATTCTCACTTCTGTATCTTGTTTGACGTGGGTATGCCCTACTCAGTCTCCATGAGCAGGGGCAACAGACAGTGGTAATTTTCCCTAAAATTTTTCTAATTACATAAATTTTCCATCAGGGAAGGTCTTATTGGTAAAATTAAACTAAAAGCATTAGATTCTTCTTGCTCTGCTTCAATTTTTTAAAAAGCCAATAATTTCTAGCCCTCAACTTTTACACACTGAAATTCAGACCTGTATCTGAGATTTTATATTGTTACACAGGAAGTATTTAATATAAACTTTTTTTTTTTTTTTTTTTTTTTGAGACAGAGTCTCACTCTGTCACCCAGGCTGGAGCGCAGTGTTGTGGTCTCGGCTCATTGCAACCTCCACCTCCTGGGTTCACGCCATTCTTTTGTGCCTCAGCCTCCCAAATAGCTGGGATTACCGGCATGCACCACCAGGCCCAGCTAATTTTTGTATTTTTAGTAGAGAGGGGTTACACCATGTTGTCCAGGCTGGTCTCAAACTCCTGACCTCAGGTGATCTGCCTACCTCGGTGCTGGATTACAGGTGTGAGCCACGACACCTGGCCAAAACACACATTAGAAACAGAATTTAAGAGCTAGAGGGATCTTAGGAATCAACTCTTTTGATAGCTTCACATTCACAAACAAGAATGTAAGCCCCAGAGAAGTTAAGTGACTTGCCTAAAAACACAGTGACTCAGCACACAGAGAGGAATCCAGGCCACCTGGCTTTCACCCTAGAGCTTTTCCCACAATTCAAAATTAAAGGATCTTCTTGCTGTTGCCTTCTTCAGTACCCTACAACAATGCTTTGCTCCTTCTACATAGCAAGATACCTAGGGTCTCATTGTAGACCCCTCATTCCATGAAACTAGACTCAGAGTAGTTTCTGAGTCACTCTGAGTGTCTACTTATCTGTAAGTTCAAGGATATTCCAAAATATGCTTTCCAAGAGACAGTCTCCCTAAAAATGTCCCTCTGGCTTTACACCACAAAAATCACCCTAGCAGTAAAGAACAATAGAAACCATTTCCACCCACAGTGATAACCTCCACGTAGGTGCAGTTTCAGCACCAGCCAAATGGCAGCAACACTCTTCACTACAGCTTCCCTTGCCATCAGTTGTCTCACCAGGGCGTGCATGTGGTGCTTTTATATCCCCGCAGTGTTTAACCCAATATCCACGTGGTAGAGACTCAGTAGTTGCCTCTCAAGTGGGAATTAGACTTCAAAGACTCTGATTAAATCCTAGAGCAGGGGTCAGCAGACTATAGCCTGTGGAGCCAACTCCGGTCTGTTTTTATGAATATCTGACTCTTTTTGTAAATAAAGTTTTATTGGAACACTCCCACACTCGTTCATTTACATGTTGTCTATGACTGCTTTCACATTATTATAGAAGTGAGTCATCGCAGCAGAAACCATATGACACACAAAGGCTAAAAAATATTGGCTCTCTGGCCCCTTACAGAAAAAGTTTACTGGCTGGGCATGGTGACCCACGCCTGTAATTCCAGCACTTTGAGAGATCGAGGTGAGCGGATCGCTTGAGCTCAGGAGTTTGAGGCCAGCCTGGGCAACATGGCGAAACCCCCGTCTCTACAAAAAATACAGAAATTAGCCAGGCATGGTGGCACGCGCCTGTAATCCCAGCTACTGGGCTGGGGGTTGGGGCCTGAGGTGGGAGGATCACTTAAGCCCAGGAGGCAGAGATTGCAGTGAGCAGAGACTGTGCCACTGCACACCAGCCTGGGTGACAGAGTGAGACCCCGTCTCAAAAAATTAAAATTAAAATTAAAAAAGCTTCATATAGCAATTTGAATTTTATAAAAGGGAAAAATGAAAAAGAAAAACTTTGCTGACCCCTGGTCCAGGGTTACAGCGTGATATGGTAGATAAACCATTTTCCAAAGCCTTTTTTCTGTTTACTTCCAAATGATGCTTATGAGATGGGGAAAGGTCCAAATCCAGAAAGATCTTGCCAAACCAAAACCATTATTATAACCAATTACAGCTGTTTCCTTTTCAAACCAATGTGCTTATTAATAGGAAATTTTTTGAAATATATTCGAGTACTTTTCTCTTTTGCATTTTTTTGTTCCTGTTTCCCTCTATTCAGCCAGATGTATCCATATTATTTAAAAGATAATGAGGATTTTCACAACAGGAGTGCAAAGAGAAATAAATAGTTAATATTTTGCTTCTGGCATCCGAAATAAGGTTTTCCAGAAAGTTTTTTTTTTTTTTTAAGACATGGTCTTGCTTTGTCAACTCAGGCTGGAGTACAGTGTCATGATCATAGCTCACTGCAGCCTTCAGCTCCCAGGCTCAAGCAATCCTCCCACCTCAGCCTCCCAAGTACCTGGGACTACAGGTGCTGCAAGCTGCCACATCTAGCTAAATTAAAAAAAAATTTTTTTTTTGTAGAGACAGGATCTCACTGTGTTTCCCAGGCTGGTCTTGAACCCCTGGGCTCAAGTGACCTCCTGCCTCTACTTCCCACAATGCTGGGATTACAGGTGTGAGCCACCATGTCCAGCCAAAAAGTTCTTCTACAGATGGGATCTCACTATGTTGCTCAAGCTGGTCTTGAACTCCTGGGCTCAAGAGATCCTCCGGCTTTGGCCTCCCGAAGTGCTGGGATCACAGGTATGAGCCATGCTGCCCAGCCAAGACAATATTTTTGACAACCAGGTTTTCTTGAGAGAGAGGATTTTCTAAATTTCTTCATTTCCCTTTGAATTGTTGTCATAGAGTTCTACATCAGATACATCCCAGCCAAACAGGAAAAAAAAAAAAAAAAAGAAGACAAAGCGTACATTTTCTGATTCTAGATTAAGGGGACTATGGGAAGAAGTAATCTCAGCTACTCGGGAGGCTGAGGCAGGAGAATCGTTTGAACCCAGGAGGCAGAAGTTGCAGTGAGCCGAGATGGCGCCACTGCACTCCAGCTTGTGCAACAGAGCGAGACTCCATCTCAAAAAAAAAAAAGTGCTTAGAATAGTGCTTGATACATAGTGGTATTATTATGAGCGGTGGGGTGATAGATATTACTGGTAGACTTTTTAAGGAGTGCTGAGAAGAGTGGGTTCCAGGTCTCATTTCCATTCAGGAATGTGGAAGGAGATCACCTCGCAGACTGCCCTGTGTCAGTTGGAGCAGCCACATCAGAGCAAACTCTGCTGGAAGTGGGGCTGAGCTTGCCTTTCCCCTGCCCTTCGTCAGCAGCCCTCAGTCCCCATGTGCCTAAGGGGGCTCAGGAGCACTGGTCAAGCATCTCACAGGAAAATTTCGAGGGGCTTATCTTAGAGATGTGGGCCACTGAGCGGATACAGTGGGATGGGGGCACATACAAGTCAAAGCCAGGTCTCAGGATGGTCCACATTGCCACGAGCCAAGGTAGCGCAGACAGCAAGGGAGAACACTGGATCTCAAAGGCAGAAAGAGAATCACCCATGAGTGACTCTGGCCTAATATCAGACATCAGCCACCAAGGCCAGCAGAAGACCCAGGAGCAGGACCTGTGTCTCCTCAGCAGTCAGCAATTCGGGCGGGCCCGTGGGCCCAGCAGCTCCAGAACAGAAAGGAGCCGAGATGGAGAGGCCACAGGATAGATGCAAGAACCGTCCCCACCCCGCCCTCCTGTGCACCTAGGTGCCATCTTCTGCAAATCCGAAAGACTGAGCATTGTGTCTAAAGTGGACTGTTTACCATTTAAATGATTAAATCCAACTATGCTTCATAGATTAGACTAAAATATGGCCCCCATCCAATCATCCAACCCTCCCTCGCACCACTGTCCAGAGGGATGGGAACTTATAAAGGCATTTCATAGAACTGAAGAAATCGCCTTTTTTTTTTTTTACATTTGAATGTGGTGAGGGTAAACGTGTTGACTCTGCCTGTCTTCCTCCTGCCCGCACCTCTTCAAGCCCTGAATTGGATTACAGGTTAACACCCTGCCATGCACGTCTACAGACATACCCACACCCACACCTGCACAAGCTTGTGTCTAAACCTTGCTTCAGGAACAAGCCAGAAGAGTTTTGGGCTCTAAGGTAAACAGGAGAGGAAAAAAAAAACTTTCTAAAAAAAGACTCCCTCCTGGTAATTTTATTTTAAAAGTAGGGAGAATACCACTGTTTGCATAAACAAGCTTCGAAGGTACAACTACTCCCTGCTCCCTCTATGGCTAATCAAGGGAGGAGTTGAAGGAATCAAACAATCCGTCAGTAAAAACGTATTGTTCACTCACTTTGCAGAACAAAGCCTATGCTTTGGAGCCTATTAGGTAAACTACAATTTTTTTAAAAACTTTTAGGGATATAGGGAACAAAGCAAAGAACAACGGAAATCCCTCTGCCTCAGTATTGAGACTGTGCTGGAGGTCACTCCACCCGTGGCGACTGGGGACTGGACCCAGCGGTGAAGTCAGATAGCGTTGTCCTCAGGCTGTTTTTCAATTTGCTTGATAAACATGCAGGATTTCTTTGCCAGTCATAAAGCTACTAGCTCAAAGCAGGCTGGGTGACCTCAGATGGCTCCGCTGGGACTGGAAGGTCACTGGAGCCACTGGTGAAAATGATGCTGTCACTACCAACTCAAAAGGTCACCTATCAGTGTGCCATGTGCCACCTCCTGGAGCACACACATGTGCACACACATACACTCACACGTGTGTGCAGGTGCACACCTCCCCCAGAGGCTGCAGCCAAGACGGGCATCCCACATCAGAGGGATGAATGGCAGGTCTGTCCCGCCAGCTGTGTGCTCTCTCCCACCCGAAGAAAGCAGCAGAGACTCAGACGGCGGAGCCTGGAGGAGCCCACGCAGTCTGTTCCCGGCACCCGGTGCGTGTGAAGGGACTTGAGGGCAGCGAGATGGAATCAGCAAGAGAAAACATCGACCTTCAAGTAAGTTCTCTCTGGAAGAGAGCAGAGGGGAGACCGGGAGTAGAGGTGAAGCTGGAAGAACAGAGGATTGATACTTTAGTCACTTGATATTCTCCCTCCCCGTTCTCTTCTTACTCACTCCCTTCTCCAAATGCTCCCTAGGCTTTGTCTCTTTATTTTCTCTTTCTCTCTGTTTCCCTATCTGGTTCTTCACTTGTTTTGAAATATCTGAAAAACAGATTGGTTAACTCCCTTTTGGCCTCTGCTTCCTCTTGTCAGTCAAAGAGCTAATTAGATCCGTATTACCAGAAAATGATTTCACATTCTGAGCAGTGCTTTCCCCAAACCCCAGGACAGTAGAGACTTCTCTTAGAGCTGCCGGGGAGACAGGAAATATATGAGTTTTGAGGCTAGGAAGAGAGGCAGCTGGCCAACTTTGCATTTTACAGGTTGGAAAAAACTTGAGCCGTTTCTCGGCTGTCTTCACAAAGCTCTACTGTGTAGGACAGAAAGCGTCTCATTTGGACAGTGCAAGGAAAGGAAATCAGTCTAATCTCCTAGGAAGAGGCAGAGATGTGTGTCCCTCTGTAGCTGGGATGGGCTTGGAAGGCATCAGAGGTTCCAGTCCACTGCTGGAGGGGAAAGGGTGGGATGTTACGGTGAGAGGAGAGCCAGATTGCTGGGAGCTGCACTCTGTGACTCCTTGCCAATGGATAGAATAGAACGAACCCTTCTATGACCACTGCTGAGGCTGTGTAACATTGCAGAGAATCAAACAAAGTGTGGAAAAGGACTTTTGAGATCAAGAATTTCTGATCCCTGAACCTGGTCCTCGAACAAAATCTTAAGCAGCCACCCAATATACACTTCGGATTAAAGAAGAGCTGTTTTGTTGAAGCAGAGTATGTGCACGCGTCTCTCTCTCTCTCTCTCTCTCTCGTTCTCTGTGTGTGTTTTGGGCAGGGTGGCGTGAGTCTGGCAGAGTCTCTGTCCTTGGCCCCTCCGCCCTTGAGACACCACCAGGGAACTGTAGGACTGCTTGGTGTGCTGTGTCAAAACCATTCACCTAGTACAACTGCATACCCAGTGCTGTTTTCCTGGATTGGCAGCCAGCCCCGAGAGCGGTCCCACCGCAAGGCTTGCTTGTCCCTCTGTCTGGAACCTTCTTTCCCTGGCTTATCTCCTGGCTGGCCCTTCCTAGTACATTCAGGTCTCAGCTCAAATGTTACTTCCCCCAGGAGCCCTCCCCTGACCAACCTCTTCACAGGATGCCTCCTCCCCAATTTGTCTTTATCATTTGTTTAATTTCTTTCATAGCACTGCTCACCACCTAAAGTTACACTGCTTATTTATTTAGTATGTATTGCCTGTCACTCTCACTAGGACACAAGATCTCTGAGGGCAGGGCCTCTCCTGTTTTATTCACTGCTGCAGCCCGAGTGCATGAGGCAACTCTTGGTACACGGTCATTGCTTTAGAAAACATTTGTTAAATGAATGAGTTGAGGAAGCCATGAGTTGGAGAGGCTCTGAGATAGGAATAAGGTCACCTAATTGGCCCAAGACCTCCAGTCCATGTCTTCTGTCCCTAGTATGTGTTTTCTTCTTACTTCTAGTTCTTGCCTCTATAAGATCCTTGGTTGTTAAGGAAATTGTGTTGCTGCTTATTTTCATTCTCAGAAGAGCAAGTTTCTTATGTGCTGATGGGTTGAACGATCCAGAGTTACAGGCTAAGGACTCTGCATCTGAACCAGAGGTTCAGAAGGAAAGAGGTGGTGGGAGGAAGGAGAAGGAAATGACTGGCTAGGCTGGATGAATGTCTCTCTCTAGCAGGTAACTGAGGTGTTAGTGTACCTTTCTCTTCATTTGTCATTCACTCTCTTCTAATATGCTATTTAATTCTTGTATCTTACATTTTCCTTTGCTCAGAAGGTTATCCATTATTTTCTACAATTTATTGTCCACCTTTGGCTGGGCACGGTGGCCTACGCCTGTAATCCTAGCATTTTGGAGGCTGAGGCAGGAGGATCACTTGAGCTCAAGAGCTAGAGATCAGCCTGGGCAACATAGCAAGACCCTATCTCTATTAAAAATTTAAAAGTAATTAGCTAGGCATGGTGGCATGCACCTGTAGTCCCCACTACTCGGGAGGCTGAGGTGGGAGGATTGTTTGAAGCCAGGAGTTCAAGGTTGCAGTGAGCTACAATCATGCCATTGCACTCCAGCCTGGGCGGCAGAGCCAGACCCTATCTCTAAAAACAAAACAATAACACTCTTTAGTTAAAACAATGTTTCCCCAAAATGTGGTACAATTATCACCAATGGGTGGTAAAGGTACATCAATGGCTGACAGCTTTTTATTATAATGTTTATTTTTACAGTTTTTTTTGAGATGGAGTCTCACTCTGTCGCCTAGGGTGGAGTGTAGTGGCAAAATCTCAGCTCACTGCAACCTCCGCCTCCTGGGTTCAAGTGATTCTCCTGCCTCAGCTTCCCAAGTAGCTGGGATTATAGGCATGTACCACCACACTTGGCTAATTTTCATATTTTTAGTAGAGACAGGGTTTCATCATATTGGCCAGGCTAGTCTTGCACTCCTGACCTCAAATGATCCACAAGCCTCGGCCTCCCAAAGTGCTGGGATTACAGGTGTGAGCCACCATAGCTGGCCATCTTTATAGTTTCAGTATTCATTAGAAAGAGCATAACAGGGCCGGGCTAGGTGGCTCACGCCTGTAACCCCAGCACTTTGGGAGTCTGAGGTGGGCGGATCACGAGGTCAGGGGTTGCAGACCATCCTGGCCAACATAGTGAAACCCTGTCTCTACTAAAAATACAAAAATTAGCTAGGCGTGGTGGTGTACGCCTGTAGTCCCAGCTACTCAGGAGGCTGAGGCAGGAGAGTTGCTTGAACCTGGGAGGCAGAGGTTGTGGTGAGCGGAGATCGTGCCACTGCACTTTTGAGACTCTGTCTCAAAAAAAAAAAAAAGAAAAGAAAAAAGAAAGAAAGCATAACAACTTATCAGACCTGTGATTCCTTTTTTTTTTTTTTTTTTTTTTAACAGACAGGATCTTGCTGTGTCACACAGGCAGGAGTGCAGTGGTGCAATCTTGGCTCACTGCAGCCTTAACCTCCTGGGCCCAAGTTATCCTCCTGCCTCAGCCTCCTAAATAGCTGGGACCACACATGTGCACTACCATGCCCAGCTAATTTTTTTTTTCTTTTTTTAGTGATTGGGGTCTCACTGTATTGCCCAGGCTGGTCTCTAACTGCTGGTCTCAAGTGATCTTCCTGTCTTGGCCTCCCAAAGTGTTGGGATTACAGGCATGAGCCACATGTCCAGGCAATTCCAACATTTTTATTGCTTAGGATGAGCCTCAAGTAAGTGGCAGGAAGTTTTTTGACACCTTTATACAGTCCTTGCACATGACCTGGGCATACCCTCAATGTCTTAGTAACTGTTTCTGTCTGACCTGTTCAGAAGTACGGCAGCCCTGGGTGACATGGATCACAGGTGTGTGTGCCCGCACCTACTACTGCACTGAGACGTTGAAACCCTGAACATGGCACAACTGAAGTTTGGGAAACTCTAATCTAAAATAACATTAACTTGAGCCTCTATAATCAATGTTGCAAATGTATCTCCAGGTCAAGACCTGTGAGACTGGGATGGGTAGCAGCAGCACAGCTGGCTGTGAAGAGTGGCGCACAGCACTCAGGGCAGGTGGCCTCCACCAGCTGGATGCCTGGAGCTGCTCCTTCTGTTCTATGGCCTGTGGCTGTGGCCTCCAAGCCTCTGCCCTTCTCCCTGCCTTCACTGGTAGCCCTGCCAGGGAGCTAAGCCTGCGCATCTCCCAGAGTCTGGATGTGTGAAAGGTTGAGGATAATCCCTTTCTTCCCCTTCGAGCCAGTGTTGCAACCCTACCCCCAAGTACAGAGTTTAAGCCCCTAGCCTGGCTCCTTCCCAAAATGCAGCTCCTCTTGGGCTTCCAGATTCCCCAGGCAGATCCAGTTATTGGCCCCTTTTTTTCCACCTGTGCTGCATGTTGATGGAAATGTGAAGATGATCTGCCAAAAGAGGAACTAAGACTTGTCCAAACCGAATGCAAATTCAGTATAGCTCAGGTTAAGTAGAGCGAGATACAGATAGAATGAGATGGGAGTGGAGGTAAAAACACTTATGAATAGAAGAAGGTCTATAGGCAAAGTACTCTGGGAGTGTTTTTGTTTGTTTGTTTGTTTTATTGTTTTTAAAGACATATATATATATAAGCAGTTATATATTATATATATATTATATATAATATATAATAGCAGTTATATATAGAGAGAATAGCAACTATATATGTAATAGCAGTTTTAGGTTCATGGCAAAATGGAGAAGGAAGGCCAGAGATCTCCCATATAGCCCCTTGCCCCACATGCATAGACTCCCCATTATCAACTTCCTCCACCAAAATGGTACATTGTTTTTTTACAACCGATGAGCCTTACATTGACACATCATTATGACCCAAAGTCTACAGTTTACATGAGGGTTCACTCTTGGTGTTAAACATTCTATGCGTAATAACATGTTTCCACCGCTATAGCATAGTATAGTATAGCATAGCATAGCATTAGCATAGCATAGCATAGCATAGCATAGCATAGCATAGCATAGCATAGCATAGCATAGCATAGCATAGCATAGCATAGCATAATAGAGAAGTTTCACTGCCCTAAAAATCCTCTGCATTCTGCCTCTTCATTGCTCCTTCCCCTCTGAACCCCTAGCAATGACTGACTTTTTGTTTTGCCTTTTCCAGAGTGTCACATAGCTGGAATCATACAATATGTAGCCTTTTCAGATTGCCTTCTCTCACTCAGTAATGGCACTGAAGTTTCCTCCATCTCTTTTCATGGCTTGATAGCTCATTTCTTTTAAGTACTGAATAATATTCCAGTGTCTGGATGTACTACTGTTTATTTTATTCACCTACCGAAGGACATCTTGGTTGCTTCCAAGTTTTGGCATTACGTATCATTCTGTATAAAGCCACTCAGCTGGGCGCAGTGGCTCACACCTGTAATCCCAGCACTTTGGGAGGCCGAGGTGAGTGGATCACTTGAGGTTAGGAGTTCGAGACCAGCCTGGCTATCGCTAACATGGTGAAACCCCACTTCTACTAAAAATACAAAAATTAGCCAGGCATGGTGGCAGGTGCTTGTAATCCCAGCTACTCGGGAGGCTAAGGCAGGAGAATCGCTTGAACCCGGGAGGCGGAGGTTGCAGCCAGCTGAGATCGCACCACTGCACTCCAGCCTGAGTGACAGAGTGAGACTCTGCCTCAAAAAAAAAAAAAAAAAAAAAAAAAAAAGCCTGTGTAGGTTTTTGTGTAAACACAAATTCTGAATTCATTTGGGAAGATACCAAGGATTGCAATTGCTGGATCATATGGTAAGAGTGTGTTGAGTTTTGGAAGAAACTGCCAAACTGTCTTCCAAAATGGCTATACTGTTTTGCATGTCCACCAGCAATGAATAGGTGTTCCACATTCTCATCAGCATTTGGTATTGTCAGTGTTCTGGATGTTGGCCATTCTAGTAGCTGTGCAGTGATATCCCATTTTTGTTTTAATTTGCATTTCCCTAGTGACATAAGATGTGGAGAATCTTCTCATATGCTTATCTGCTACCTTTGCATCTTCTTTAGTGAGGTGGCTGTTCAGGTTTTTTGCCCATATTTAGTGGGGTTACTTATTTATTTATTTATTTTTTGAGAAGGAGTCTCGCTCTGTCTTCCAGGCTGGAGTGCAGTGGCCCGATCTCAGCTCACCGCAACCTCTGCTTCCCGGGTTCAAGCGATCCTCCTGCCTCAGCCTCCTGAGTAGCTGGGACTACAGGCATGCGCCACCATGCCCCGGCTAATTTTTGTATTTTTAATAGAGGCGGGGTTTCACTATGTTGGCCAGGCTGGTCTCAAACTCCTGACCTTGTGATCCACCCGCCTCAGCCTCCCAAAGTGCTGGGATTACAGGTGTGAGCCACTGCGCCCGGCCTTATTTTCTTGTTGTTGAATTTTAAGATTCTTTGTCTGTTTTGGATAACAACTGTTTATTAGATGCATCTTTTGCAGATATTTTCTCCCAGTCTGTGGCTTGTCTTATTCTGTTGACATTGCCTTTCACAGAGTAGAAGTTTTCAATGTTAATAAAATCCAGTTTATTATTTCTTTCATGGATTGTACCCTTTGGTATTGTATACAAAAAGTTGTAAGCATATTCAAGGTCATCTAGATTTTCTCCTATATTATCATTTATGAGTTTTATAGTTTCGCATTTTACATTTAGGTTTATAGTCCACTTTGAATTAATTCTTGTAGAGGGTGGAAGGTCTGTGCTTAGATTCATATTTTTACACGTGGATGCCCGGTTATTCTGGCACCATTCGTTGAAAAGACTATCTCTGCTACATCGTATTGTCTTTGTTCCTTTATCAAAGATCAGTTGGGTCTATTTCTGGGTTCATTATTCTGTTCCATTGATCTATTTGTCTATTCTTTGTCCAAAACACATTGTCTTAATTATTGTAGCTTTACAGTAATTTTTTTTTTTTTTTGAGACAGAGTCTTGCTCTGTCACCCAGGCTACAGTGCAGTGGCGCAATCTCGGCTCACTGCAACCTCCACCTCCCAAGTTCAAGCGATTCTCCTGCCTCAGCCTCCCGAGTAGCTGGGATTACAGGGGCCCGCCACCACATCTGGCTAATTTTTGTATTTTTAGTAGAGATGGGGTTTCACCATCTTGGCCAGGCTGGTCTCGAACTCCTGAACTTGTGATCCACCAGACCCTACCTCCCAAAGTGCTGGGATTACAGGTGTGAGCCACCATGCCTGGCCGCTTTACAGTAATTCTTCAAGTCGGGTAGTGTCAGTCCTCTGACTTTGTTCTTTTCCTTCAGTATTTTGTCACCTATTTTGGGTTTATTTTATTTTATTTTATTTTTAGACAGAGTCTCACTCTGTCTCCAGGCTGGAGTGCAGTGACGTAATCTTGGCTCACTGCAACCTCCGCCTCCTGGGTTCAAGTGATTCTCCTGCCTCAGCTTCCCAAGTAGCTGGGACAACAGGTGCCCACCACCACGCCCAGCTAATTTTTTGTATTTTTAGTAGAGATGGGGTTTCACCATGTTGGCCAGGATGGTCTCGATCTCTTGACCTCATGATCCACCCACCTCAGCCTCCCGAAGTGCTGGGATTACAGGCGCGAGCCACTACGCCCTGCGGGTCTTTTGCTTCTCTATATAAACTAACTATACAATTAGTTTGTTGATATTCACAACTGATTTTGATTGGGATTGTTTGAATCTATAGTGAGTCCTCTTATCCATAAACATGGAATATCTATCTATCTATTTATTTTATATTTATTTATAAATTTATTTATTTATTTATTAAGATGGAGTCTTGCTCTGTCACCCAGGCTGGAGTACAGTGGCACAATCTCAGCTCACTGCAAACTCCGCTTCCCAGGTTGAAGCAATTCTCCTGCCTCAGCCTCCTGAGTAGCTGGGATTACAGGTGCGTGCCACCATGCCCAGCTAATTTTTGTATTTTTAGTAGTGACAGGGTTTCACCATGTTGACCAGGCTGGTCTCGAACTCCTGACCTCAAGTGATCCACCCGCCTCAGCCTCCCAAAGTGCTGAGATTACAGACGTGAGCCACCGCGCTTGTCCCCTTCATTTATTTAGTTCCTTGATTTATTTAATCAGTTTTGTAGTTTTCCTCATAATAGATATTGTACATATTTTGTTAGATTTATACATAGGCATTTCACTTTTTTAGGTGCTAATGTAAATGGTAGTGTTTTAAGTTTCAGATTCTACTTGTTCAGTGCTGTTTCATAGGAAAGTGATTGCATTTTATGTATTAACCTTGTATCCTGCAACCTTGCTATAATTGCTTATTAGTTCCAGCAGATTTTTGGTCAGTTCATTTAGATTTTCTACATAGACAATCATGTCATCTGCAAACAGAGATAGTTTTATTTCTTCACTCCCAATCTGTAGTCCCTTCATTTCCTTTTTCTGAAGGAACTACATTGCATTTACTAGGACTTCCTAGCAAAGACTGGGAAACTGCTAAGACTTGTTCATACTGAATGCAAATTCAATGTATGAAGCAGTGGTGACAGGAGACATCCTTGCCTGTTTCTAATCTTAGTGGGAGTGCTTCTACTTTCTTATCATTAAGTATGATGTTAGTTATAGGCTTTTTGTAGATATTCTTTATCAAATTGAGGAAATTATCTAGTGTACTGAGAGTTTTTATCATGAATGGGTGTTGAATTTTGCCAAATACTTTTTCTACATCTATTAATATGATCATGTGATTTTTCTTTTTTAGTCAGTTGGTGTGATTAATTACATTAATTGATTTTCTTTTGTTTTTATTTTATTCTCTTTTTTTTTTTTTGAAATGGAGTTTGGATCTTGTTGCCCAGGCTGGAGTGCAATAGTTGATCTCAGTTCACTGCAACCTCCACCTCCCAGGTTCAAGTGATTCCCCTGCCTCAGCCTCCCGAGCAGCTGAGATTACAGGCGGGTGTCACCACGCCCGACTAATTTTGTATTTTTAGTAGAGACAGGTTTCTCCATGTTGGTCAGGCTTGTCTTGAACTCCCAACCTCAGGTGATCCACCCACCTCGGCCTCCCAAAGTGCTAGGGTTAAAGGCGTGAGCCACTGCACCTAGCATTAATTGATTTTCAAATGTTGAACCAGTCCTGCATACCTGGACTAAACCCCAGTTGGTGTGGTGTATAATTCTTTTTTTTTTTTTTTTTTGAGACGGAGTTTCACTCTTGTTGCCTAAGCTGGAGTGCAATGGCATGATCTCGGCTCACCGCAACCTCTGCCTCCCGGGTTCAAGCAATTATCCTGCCTCAAGGTCCGGAGTAGCTGGGATTATACGCATGTGCCACCATGCCCGGCTAATTTTTATATTTTTAGTAGAGACGGGGTTTCTCCATGTTGGTCAGGCTGGTCTCGAACTCCTGACAGGTGATCTGCCCACCTCGGCCTCCCAAAGTGTGGGATTACAGGCGTGAGCCACCGTGCCTGACCCCATCCATTTACTTTTAATCCGTATGTGTCTTTTTTTGTTTGATACAAGGTCTTACTCTATCACCCATCACCCAGGCTGGAGTGCAGTGGCACCATCTTGGCTCACTGCAGCCTGAAATGCCTTGGCACAAGCAATCCTCCCACTTCAGCCTCCCAAGCAGCTAGGACTACAGGCACAAACCACCACACCCAGCTATTTTCTTATTCTTTGTAGAGATGGGGTCTCACTATATTGCCCAGGCTAGTCTTACTCCTGGCTTCAAGTGATTTTCCCATTTCAGCCTCCTAAAGTGCTGGGTTACAGGGGTGAGATACCACACTCAGCTGATCTATATGTATCTTTATGGTTAATGTGAGTTTCTTGTAGACAACATACAGTTGAGTCTTCTTTTTGTGTCCATCCTGACAATTTCTGCCTTTCAATTATGCACTTAGACCATTGACATTCAAAGTGATTACTGATATAGTTGGATCTACCACATTTGTTACTGTTTTTCTATTTGTTACCCTCATTCTTTGCTCCTATTTTTGTCTTCCACTTTTTTTTTTGCCTTTGGTGGTTTTAACTGAGCATTTTATATGTTCCTGTTTTATCTCCATTCATAGTGTATCAGTTGTACTTTTTTTTAACTTTTTTTAGTTATTGCCCTGGAGTTTGCAGTTTACAAGTACAACAAATCCAAGTGCACTTTCAAATAACACTATACCATTTCATGGATCGTGTGAGTACCTTATGATAACAAAACAATCCTAATTCCTCCATCCTGTTCCACGTATCATTGCTGGCATTCATTTTACGCACATATATGTATACATATATATGTGTATACATCATAAAACATATACATAAGTATACATAATCAAATATATTGTTGATATTTTGATTTGTTCATTTTGAACAAACTGTTAGATCAATTAAGTATAAGAAACAAAATATGGCTCACGCCTGTAATCCCAGCACTTTGGGAGGCAGAGGCGGGCAGATCACGGGTCAAGAGATCAAGACCATCCTGGCTAACAAGGTGAAACCTCGTCTCTACTAAAAATACAAAACATTAGCCAGGCATGGTGGCGGGTGCCTGTAGTCCCAGCTACTCGGGAGGCTGAGGCAGGAGAATGGTGTGAACCTGGGATGTGGAGCTTGCAGTGAGCCAAGATCGCACCACTGCACTCCAGCCTGGGTGACAGAGCAAGACTCCATCTCAAAAAAAAAAAAAAAAAAAAGAAACAAAATATTACTTTGTATATCACAAATGTATGAATTTTTTTCTTTTTCTTTTTCTTTTTTTTTTTTTGAGACAGAGTTTTGCTCTTGTTGCCCAGGCTGCAGTGCAATGGCGTGATCTCGGCTCACTGCAACCTTCGCTTCCCGGGTTCAAGCGATTCTCCTGCCTCAGCCTCCCAAGTAGCTGGGTTACAGGCGCCTGCCACCACGCCCAGCTAATTTTTGTATTTTTAGTAGACATGGGGTTTCACTATATTGGCCAGGCTGGTCTTGAACTTGTGACCTCAAGTGATCTGCCCACCTCAGCCTCCCAAAGTGCTGGGATTACAGGCATGAGTCACCACGCCTGGCTGAATTTTTTCATTTGTTAATTTTAAAAAAGAATAAGAAAAAAAGTTTTTCTTTTACCTTCATTGATTCTTTCTTTGATAGTTCCCTTTTCTTTACATAGATCTGAGTTTCTGACCTATTTCATTTTCCTTCTTTCTGGAAGTCCTGGCCTCAAGTGATCTGCCTGCCTTGGCCTCCCCAAGAGCTGGGATTACAGACATGAGCCACCATGCCCAGCTTCATTTTCCTTCTTTCTAAAGAACTTCTTTCAATATTTCTTGCAAGACAGAGCTACTAGCAACAAATCCTCTTAGTTTTGTTTGTCTGAGAAAGTCTTTATTTCTCCTTCCCTTTAGAGGGATAATTTTGCAAGATAGAGAATTCCAGGTTGGTGGATTTTTTTCCTTCAATGCTTTGAAGATTTCACTCCACTTTCTTCTCCGCATGTGTCTGAGGAGAAATCAGATGTAATTCTTATCTTTGTTCTTCAATAGGTAAGATTTTTTTTTCTTGTGTATTCTTTCAGGATTTTTTCTTTGTCTTCGATTTTTTTGTAGCTCTTTAGGTATTTATCCTGCTTGATTTTTTCCTGAGTTTCCTGTATCTATAATTTGGCATCTAGCATTAATTTGAGAGAAATGCTCAGTCATTATTGTTTCAAATATTTTTTCTGTTCCTTTCTGCCTCCTCCTTCATTTATTTCCATTACACATATATGATACCTGTTGTAGTTGTCCCACAGTTCTTGAATAGTCTGTTCTATTTTTCTCAGCCTTTGTCTCTTTGCTTTTCCATGTAGGGGCCTTCTATGAGATATGCGTAAGCTCAGAGATTCTTTCCTTAGCCATGACCCGTCTACTAATGAGCCCATCAATGGCATTCTTCATTTCTGTCAGTGTTTTGACCTCTGGCGTTTCTTTTTGGTTCTCTCTTAGGGTGTCCGTCTCTCCACTTACGTTGCCCATCTCTTCTTGCGTGCCATCTGCTTTATTCGTTAGCACCCCTAGCATATTCATCATAGTTGTTTTAAATCCTTGGTCTGATAAAGTCCAATATCCCTGCCATGTCTAGTTCTAATGCTTGCTCTTCTCTTCCAATTGTGGTTTTTGCCTTTTAGTATGCCTTGTAATTTTTTCTTGATAGGTATGTATAAGGCAAAAGGAACTGCCATAAATAGGCCTTAGTATGTGGTGGTAAAATGTGAGGGGAGGGGAAGTGTTCCACAGCTCTATGGTTGGGTGTCAGTCTTTCAGTGAGCCCATGCCTCTGGACTGAACATCACAAATGCGTCTAGTACCCACACCTTAGGTGGGTCAGGACAGCTAGAGTGCGCTGCAATCGGATCTTCCCCTTCCCCCAGGTCACCTGGGCTCTAATAAAACCCCAGCAAAGTTTGGCTCTGGTTAAATAGTTCTCCTGAGGTCAGGCCTTGTTAAGAAGAACCAACAGAATGCTCTGGCCTATTTTGAAATGTTTCCTTCTCCCTTTCCCCTGCCAGAAGCATGAGGAGATTTTTCTCTGACATTTACTATAGAACTTGGGCAGCTCCTAGAGGTAAAACTCACAAAAGCATTTCCTCCAATGCCCACCCCCATGACTGGGTCACCCTGGAGTTTTTAACTCTCAGACTTGTCCATTCTGAGCCTCCAAGCAGTTTGTTGACTACAGTTCAGGTTTTCCTAGCTGGCACTAACTCCCGAGGAGAATTGCCCTTGTGAGTCTGCCCCAGTAAGCCATGACTCCCTGTATGCACCTGTCTGTCTCACTGATGTTAGGGGCAGTGGTTTGCCCTATGTCTTTCCCACTCTTTTGGATCCAAGAAGAGTTGTTGATTTTTCCGTTTCTTCAGCTTTTTACTCGTTAGGATAGAGTGGCTAATTCCAAGTGCCTTACATGCAGAATCAGAAACCAGAAGTCTCCAGAAGTATTTTCAAATGGAAGTTCCAGAAAACCATTTGATACTATAATATGTGTCAAGATATCCCTATACAGACTGAGTCTCACTGTGTTGCCCAGGCTGGAGTGCAGTGGCGCGAACTCGGCTCACCACAACCTCCGCCTCCCGGGTTCAAGCAATTCTCCTGCCTCAGCCTCCTGATTAGCTGGGACTACAGGCACCCGCCACCACGCCCGGCTAATTTTTGTAATTTTTGGAAGAGACAGGGTTTCACTATGTTGGCCAGGCTGGTCTCGGACTCCTGACCTCGTGATCCCCTAGCCTTGGCTTCCCAAAGTGATGGGATTACAGGCGTGAGCCACCGCGCCTGGCCAAGAGATTTTAAAATGACTTGCCAGGAGCAGTGGCTTACACCTATAATCCTAGCACTTCGGTACATCACCTGAGCTCAGGTACATCACCTGGTACATCACCTGAGCTCACTTTGAGGCCAGCCTGGGAAACATAGTGAAACCCCGTCTCTACTAAAAATATAAAAATTAGCCAGGTGTGGTGGTGAGCGCCTGTAATCCCAGCTACTCAGGAGGCTGAGGCATGAGAATCGCTTGAACCTGGGAGGCAGAGGTTGCAGTGAGCTGAGATCACACCACTGCACTCCAGCCTGGGGAACAAAGTGAGACTCTATCCCTTGCCTCCAAAAAAAAAAAAAATCTACTAATCTCACTTCTAGAAACAGCCTAAGAAAATGATCGAAGTTGTGTTTAGATATGCAAAGATGTTCATTGAAATATTATTCATAACAAAAAATGGGGAGTCCAATAATGAAGAAATGGTTAAAGTTTGATATATCTGTAAATAAATATGGAACAATTTTTTATGTTTTGGAAGAATACTTAAGGGAATATCAAAATGCTAATCATATGTTAGGTTAAAGAAGTAAGATACACAAGCTCATAAACACTTCATCTCAATTTCCTTTAAAAATCATATAGAATAAACATGTGTAGGAAAACTATTGGAAAAAATAAACCAAAAGGTTAATACTAGTTATTTCTGGATTATGGGTTTATGAATGATTTATTTTCATCTGTTACTTTTCTTTTCACTTTTTATTTCCTTTGCACATTTTCTACTAACCCATATATTATATTTAGAATAGAAAAAAACTTGTAGTTTAAAAAAGAAAATTAGAGAAGCAGGTGTGCCTATATGCAAATGAGTAGATTTCATGGGCTACTATATATATATATATATATATACACATATACACACACACATATTCACTGTTTCTGATTACCATAAAAAATAAACAGTTTATACATGACTATTATGTATAAGTAGGCATCTCCTTTTAAGTGGCTGTTCCACTTTTTAATAGTTTTACATAGGACAACTCTTATTTTTTGTATCTGAATATGCTCCAAGACTAGAAATGTGACATCCCAGCTGGGCGCGGTGGCTCATATCTGTAATCCCAACACTTTGGGAGGCCAAGGTGGGCGGATCACCTGAGGTCAGGAGTTTGAGACCAGTCTGGCCAACATGGCAAAACCCCGTCTCTACTAAAAATACAAAAATTAGCCGAGTGTGGTGGCGCATGCCTGTAATCCCAGCTACTCTGGAGGCTGAGGCAGGAGAATCACTTGAACCCGGGAGGCGGAGGTTGCAGTGAGCCGAGATCGCGCCACTGCAGTCCAGCCTGGGCGACAGAGACTCCGTCTCGAAAAAAAAAAAAGAAAAAGATAAAATCACTTGAGATAGATAGATAGATAGATAGATAGATAGATAGATAGACAGATAGATAGATAGATAGGTGGATGACTTCTTTGAAAATATAGTCATTGAATGAGCTGCAAAGGATGAATAGGACTTTGACTAGTGCAAGAGTATTCTAGTGCCGAAAACAGTGTGAACAAAAAGCTGGAGGCAGGAAAACACAGGGCATATCTGGGGAAGGATGAGTAGATAGATTTGTTTAGACTCTAAGGTGAAAGGAAGAGAAAAGTGAGAAATAGGATTGTAATGGTAGGTTGGAATCAGATCATGATGGACCCTGAAGGCCAAATTTGGTTTATTAGACTAATAGGCCTTCCAGGTCCTGTGCAGAAGTCCAACTCTGATGGGAGTATGGGGTGCTTAGATTTGCAGGTGACAGCCAAATGTTTTATTCCTTGTCCAGGCCTTTCCTGGACCTCTATCTGAGAGCCCAGGTGCCTCTGCAGAGCAAAGAACACTCATGAACACGACCATTCATTCGGTCAGTTCATCCCCGATGAACGGGTCTAGCCCTTGTTTTAAAGAGGAAAAAATCAAGGTCCAGAGACGTGTGATGTTTAACTGGGCCTTAGAATCTTCATGGCATTGGGTATCTAATGAACAACAGACAGACTACTCAATAAATATGTGTTTGTTAGGCCGGGCGCAGTGGCTCACGCCTGTAATCCCCACACTTTGGGAGGCCAAGGCAGGCGGATCATCTGAGGTCAGGAGTTTGTGACCAGCTTGGCCAACATGGTGAAACCCTGTCTCTACTAAAAATACAAACAAAAATTAGCCAGGTGTGGTGGCGGGTGCATATAGTCCCAGCTACTTGGGAGGCTGAGGCTGGAGAATCGCTTGAACTCAGGAGGCGGAGGTTGCAGTGAGCCGAGGATCACACCATTGCACTCCAGCCTGGGTGACAAGAGTGAAATTCCATCCAAAAAAAAATGTATTTGTTGACTAATTGATGTATCCAATTTGCCATGCACCGTGAAAGGGTCTTTCAAACACATGATGCAAATGAATCCTCCCAACTACCCAGTGGTCATTACTACACCATTAATGGATGCAGAAGTGAAGCTCAGGAAGGTCAAAGACAAGACCACAGAGCCTGGAAGCGGCAGGGCAGGACTGAAACCTAGGTTTTCTTTTTGCTATACTCGAACTCAGTGGTTTTCAAATGTGGTCCCTGGAACAGCAGCACCCCATCACTTGTTAGAAATGCAAATCCTTAGACCCACCAAATCAGAAACCCTGGAGATGAGGGTTTCTGCAATCTGTATTTTCACAAGTCCCCTGGTGATCCCGATGCATACTAAGGTCTTACTTAAATCCGTTAAGTGACTGATGTATGGGAGAAATGGAGACTTCAAGACTGGCTCCTTTCTCCCAGGTAGTCCTGTAGCACCTGCACTAGACCTGGAGTAAGCAACGCACCCAGAGTCACGCAGAGATGTCAGCAGATCAAGGGGCCCAGGTTGGAGCAGGTGCCAGGGAGGAGGAGCTGCCAGTCACTTTCTAAGAAGACAAAGGTTCTAAGCCTCTCAAGTCCAAACTTCTTGTTTCAGTGTGGGGCACCACCACACTGTCAGTGCAGGGCACCACCACACTGTCAGTGCTACTATGTGCATGCCACATACTTGTGGGATTTACAGCCACTATGATGAGAGGTGCTTTGGGATTACTCCAACCTAGGAAAGAGACGTGTTTGACAGGCCCACCCCCACTAGAAAGATTAAGCATAATGAAGGGCTCGGGTGAAGATGAATGTCTGTCTCCTGTCACCCAGCCTTGCGTCTCAGGAGAGGGAAGAGAGCTACTGAAGGCAAGAGTGGGCTTTCCCACGGGGCACCTGGGCACAGACACCTGAGGGATGGGGGAATATGCCTTCTGCAGGGGTGGAAGAGAAGGAACAGAGGGGCCTGGCACCCCTGAACAGTTTGAGGGCCTTGGGAACAGGGGTAGGGAGGGCAGGGGGCAATGTGGAAGTCAGGTGGGAGAGAGTGCCAGCCCAAAGTCTGCAGCATCACCTCCAAGCTTCTGTGAAAGAGCTCCCAGTATCCTGGAACAGCGAGTCTCTGAGCTAGAAGTTGACCAGGCTCCACGCCAGGAGAATGGAAAACCCCTGCGCCTCTCCAGAGGTGAACTCCCTGTTTCCACAACCCTTGTCCAGGGAAGCAGGTTTGTTTACCCTCAGGTTTGAGGGGTCAGGCTTTGGTCATTTTGTTTTGTGTGCTTGTCTTGTGCCTCGGGTGTGGAGTCCAGAGACCAATTGTCTGCCCGGATACACATTTTCAGTCCTAATCTGTACACAGCCTCACTCACACAACCAGGACCTTTCCTCTTCAGCTGCAGTTTCCTAGAAATGTGACCGCCCAGTGTTATGATTCAAACAGGGCTCCGTCCCAAGGGATAGTGGGGCAGGGTGGGGTTGGTAGCATTGGATCTTTAATGCCGCACCCTTCCTCTGTCCCTCTTTTTCTCTGGCTTTCACGGTGATCTACGTAATTTAATGCTCACCCACATTCCTTGTTGTGAACTGCCTTCACTAGGGTTGGGAAGGGGAGCAGGAATCTTGCAAAGCCCATGACCTAACCCGGTTGCTGCAAAGGAGTCTCTGTAAATGGGATCCTGGGCTGCTCCAGGCACTCACGGGCAGTGCCCTCCTGCCCCACAGAGCTTCCCTGCAGAGCTCTGTGCTTTCAGGCCCTCAAGGGGCAGTCCAAGAGGTGGACGCTCCTGTAAAAGCTGAGATTTCGCTTCACTGCGTAGGAGAAAAAAATATCCTGGGGGCTATGGAGTAGCCTGAAGAGGAGGCAGGTAGGATGGAGGGGAGCACAGGGTAGACAAGGCTTATCCTCAAGTTGCCACTAGTGTCCTCAAGGTCCAAGAAATCAGTACTGCCTGTGCTGTTTCCAGAATGCTAGTCACAGTAGTAGTGGCTGGCAGCGGGCTGTCCCTGTGAGATTGTGTGAGAGAATTAGGAAAAGAGAGAAACCCTGTTATTTTGTTTTCCATTCTCCATGTGACCTGCAGTATTTTTCCTCCTCCCATAAGAAGTCAGCTTCCTCCCTCGCCATCCCGATGTGACCTACTTATCTGCTCCCTTGAAAGGGAGGTACTCTGGAAGACATCCCAGTCGGGGGCGGTTCTGAGTCTCAGAAACAAGCTCTTTAATAAGGAAAATCCAGAAGCTATAAAACTGGGGGGCAAGGTATGAGGGAGGCTGGAAAACGTTGGAGAAGAAGGTAAATGGAGGCTAGTGGCGCCACAGCAGAGTATTCGGTGGTGTGCCATCAGCCCTCACAGCTGACTCATGCCATGACTAAGGGAAATTGGTCGTGGAGCCATCAAAGAGGGCAAATGTCAACTGCTGGAGAGAGTGCATGGACAGAAGTGCAAGCAAAATAAAGTCCAGCTCTTCCAGGTTGACCACTTTGTGCCCCTACTTCACAGAGCTGTGATCTAATCTCTGAGCCCTTTTCCTTATCTGCAAAATGAGGATAATAATTTTTATCTCAGAAGATTGATGAAAATACTAAATAATTTATTCTACCCTCTGTTACTTCCTAGAGAAAACTTAAGCAGATTTCAGAACAAAGGCACATAAATGATAACGGCTACCATTTATTTCTAAGTACCCACTCCATAAGAAGTCCTACATACATAGTTTTCTCACTTAATTCTGTGAGGAATCGATTATGCTCGTGTTACCAGTAAGGAATCCAAGGCCCAGAGAAGTTAAATCACTTGTGCAAAGTCACATAGCTAGCAAGCAGCAGAACTGAGGCCCGTACCCATGTCTGTCTGGCTCAAGGCATATACTGATTGACTGTAACATCATTTGCCTTCAAGGATTTGCCAAAAACCCTTGTCCCCAGATCTTAAGTAAATTTAGAATGCTGAGTCAGATTGGGGATGCAGGAATCAAAGAATAATTGGGTTATATAATGCTATGATTTTATGCTAATCTTGGCACTAAAGAGAGATTGTCTCGCAGTCTGGAAGACTGTAACTGCCTATCTGGTCTCTAGCCACTGGGCCTCCAGTCTGGCCTCCCTCCAATCCATTCTCCTCACTGTAGCCACAGAGAACATTCTCCTGCTTCTCTCAGTGGTTCCCAGCTGCCCTCAGGATTATATCCAAACCCACTGGGGCCAGGGCTTGGCCTGTTCTTAGTAGGCCCTACCCCGTTTTTAAAATCAAATGCATTAAAATATACCCGTATCGCTTACTAAATATGAATTCTATCATGTAAAATTTTTGAAACAATTCGTGATTTGAATTTTGGAATTATTAATTTAAAAGTTCACTTTTCCTATGTAGGTGTCAATAAATTTTTTTCAGGTCTCAAATACTTGGGACCTTCAGGAAGCCCATAGCCCCAAGTACTGTGCTTATAACGTCTAACGGTGAAACAGCCCCGTGTGCAGGCCCCGTCCCCCTGCCCTGTATGCCAGGCTTTCTGTAAATCCTTTTTCCTCTGCCTAGAACTTTGTTTCTGCACTGTACACTGCCCACACTATTCTCCCCTCCCTCCTTGCCCTGCAGTCTATTTATTTTGATGTAAGTTCATATATGCTTAACCTCTGTTTCCTCATCTGTAAAATGGGAATAGCAGTAGTATTTCATAGGATTATTAAGAAGATCGAGTTAGTTAATACACCAAAGCCTTTCTATACAAAGTATCCTGGGAGCTTGTTGGAAATGCAGAATCTCAGGCCGCACCCCAGAGGTACTGAATGAGAAACTGCATTTTACCAAGATCCGCTGCGATTCAGGCCCACATTTAGGTTTGAGGAACACTGCACTCACACACTGAGAACAATGTCTGTTACATAATAAGCACTCGATAAATGATGGCCAGTATTAAGGTGACGAAAGGTCAGGTTTTTACAGTTGTTTCCGGTTTTCCTTCTTGCCTTACTTTAACTTGCAGACTCTAGTTCAGTGGTACTCAATGGTGTTCCTGGGAAACTCTGGCCCCCTGGGAGCCGGCCCGTGGCACTTCCGCTAATGCTGAGGCAGCAATGAAGACCATGGTTCCTGCGCTCAGGTACCTTCACTCCATCTGCAGAGGGAGACAGACAAGGAAATGGGCAATTGCAATAGGTGATATTATAAGGGCTATGAAAACCGGAAGCAGAGGCGCTGGAGCACCCGGTGGGGTCAAGGAAAGTGTCATCTAAGACCTGAGCGATGAGCTGGTAGCTCAAGATTCCCCCCAAAAGTGGCAAAACAGTTTCTACTGGAAGAGTAGACTGACTGCTCCCATGATGTGAGGGGGGAGCGAGTTCCAGAAAAGATGTGACCTCTTGGCTGATGGCAGACTCGTTGCGGTGAGGCGTGGCTCAAACGACCGCCGCTAAGAACAAAACGTTGGCTTTGGCTTCGTTGCAAAGCAGCCGCTCGGTGGCCGTACAACGCTTCATCTCTCCGAGCCTCGGTTTCCTCATCTCCAGCCCTAAAATGACGACACGCCCCACAGGTCTTGGGAGGATTAAGTGAGGGGACATGAGGTACAGTTCCAGGGACAAAGCCGTGTTCCCGAATCGGGTCTTTCTTCCCTTCTCCCCTCCCTAGTTTGTGAGCCGCGTCGCGGCGGAGCGGATGTAGGCCCGAGGGCTGGCGCGACTGCAGCTGCGACCCTTTCCTCCGCGGACTCAGGAACGCCACCCTCCCCTCCCCACCCGGCGCGGGGCTGCGAGGCTGCGAGGCCGCGACGGTGCAGAGTCTCCAGACAGCCGCGCCGCCGGAGGGCAGGACAGGAGGGTCGCTGAGGGTCACAGGAGGGGCGCTGTGGGCCAGAAGAACGGGCCTGGGGTGCTCCTGGAGCCCTCGGTGGCCCCTGCTGGAGGCTTGGGCAGCGGCAGGGGGACAGAGCGGCGCAGGCAGCAGGGGAGCCGGGTCCCGAGGGGAAGGCGCCTGTCCTCGGGAGGTGAAGGTTCCTGCGCTCCGCAGGCGGCCGTAGCCCGCGGGCCGACTCGGGGGAATGGCAGGAATGCGCGGGCGCCGGGCGGAAGAGGCCGCGGCGGCCGGGCCAGCTGGGGAGGGAGGGCCGGGCCGGCGGGCGCGGCGTGGGGCGTGGGGGCGGCCGGGGCCCGGGAGCGCGAGGGCGCAGGGCCCGCGGAAGCCAGGTCAGCTGACGCGGGCGGGCGAGCCGGGCAGGGGAGCGGGGCCCCGAGCCCACTTCCCGCATCCGGTCTGCGGCGCGCTCGGGGCCCGGCTTTGGGCCCTGTCACGTGGCTTCATCTCTTCCTTCCCCCGCGGGAGGCCCAGGGCCGCCCTCACCTTTTCCCGGCTCAGAACTAGCCCCGCAGCTCCTTCACCTTCGTCTCCCCCGGATCCCCCACTCCCAGCCCGCCCCCCTCCGTGGGCAGCGCCGCCCGCTGCAGAGTCCGGGGAGCGCCAGTCTGGGCTATTTCGGTTCCTTTTTTCTCACGAGAGTCCTTGATTTCTGCTGAGTTTTCCCTGGGCTTCCCTTAGTTATTAATAATAATAGCGCCGGGCGCGGTGGCTCACGCCGGTAATTCCAGCACTTTGGCAGGCCGAGGCGGGGGGACCTGAGGTCAGGAGTTCAAGACCATCCTGGCCAGCATGGCGAAACCCCGTCTCTACTAAAAATACAAAAATTAGCCGGGCGTGGTGGCGGGCGCCTGTAGTCCCAGCTACCCTGGAGGCTGAGGCAGGAGGATCGCTTGAACTCGGGAGGCGGAGGGTGCAGTGAGCCGAGATCGCACCATTGCGCTCCAGCCTCAAAAACAAAAACAAACAAACAAACTACCACTTCTGGGCCCTTTGTACGAAGCAGGCATTTTGCATAGACTTTTTTTTCCTCTCTGATTTTTTAGGGCCACTGTGTAAGTATTATTAACCGCGACTCACAGATGAGAAAACTTGAAGTTCAGGAAAGTGAATGTGCTCAAGGTCACAGCTAGTCAATGGCTCAACCGGGATTCACATCTCAGGCTGTCAAACCGAAATACGGGCCCTTTCCCGCCTTCCACGCCCCAAGGGGAGGCCATGCCGGGACCATGTCGAAAGGTGGTGTTCCGCTAGATTCTACCCTAAAGCGGCATTGTCCTCAAAGACAGGTCTTTTCTGAGCCAGTCTAGGAAATGTCCTAGCTCCAGGGCAGTGTTAGAAGAGACTTCCCTTACAGCCTGCTTTTTTTTTTTTTTTTTTGAGACGGAGTCTCGCTCTGTCGCCCAGGCTGGAGTGCAGTGGCGCCATCTCGGCTCACTGCAACCTCCACCTCCCGGGTTCAAGCAATTCTCCTCCCTCAGCCTCCCGAGTAGATGGGACTACAGGCGCCCGCCACCACGCCCGGCTCATTTTTTGTATTTTTTAGTAGAGACGGGGTTTCACCCTGTTAGCCAGGATGGTCTCCATCTCCTGACCTTGTGATCCGCCTGCCTCGGCCTCCCAGAGTGCTGGCTGGGATTACAAGTGTGAGCCACCGCGCCCGGCCCTAGCCTGTTTCTTTAGCACAAGAGTCTTATCAGAGCTAGTGATCTGGAATTCTTTCCTGACTTCCAGGAGAAGCATTTTGATTTGGAGCACACTCCTCCCATCCTCATGGCCTCTCCCCACGCCTTTCACCCTGGGGAGAAAAGTAGGCTTTGCTTTTGTCCAGAGACTCTCCAACTGGAACCCACCTGCAGATCAAGGTAGACATCAACCTAGAGAATCTGCAAAGCAGGAGGTGGAGGGGGTTGGGTTGGGGGAGGGAAGGGAGACAGGAGGGGCAACTCAGTGCAGCCACTTTCCCATTCCCCCTTCCAAGTGGGAAGGTAGGGCTGTTCCAGAAGGGAGAAGCGGTAGTTTTGAAAACCAGTGAGCAGTCTGCACACGGAAGGCAGAATTTTTGTTCTGATGAGACATTAATAGGGCAATGGCTGGTTTTCATTATTTGAAAATAGTACAAGCACATTGTCAAATAATTTCACCTCATAAACATGGTTACATAAGAGAACAGCCTGAAAACCGCCTGGAGGACCCATACCTTAAGGACTCTAGACACAGGCAAGGCAAACAATTTATGAAGATCACTTCTAACCGCAGTCTCTTAAGTTGCAGCCTTCCTTCCATTCTTCCGGGACTGAAGTTAGGAGTGGTCTGTAACATTGGAGCCACAGTGGAGGGGTTGGAGTGGGGTGGTGGAATGGGGGTATGATTCTCCTTTTCTGTATGAGTAAACACAACACAAACAGAACAATTAAAAAAAAATGTGGCCTAGCACAATGATTCACACCTGTAATCCCAGCACTTTGGGAGGCCGAGGTGGGTAGATCACTTGAGGCCAGGAGTACAAGACCAGCCTGGACGACATAGTGAAGAGACAGGGTCTCTACTAAAAATACAGATATTAGCCCTACTTGGGATGCTGAGGCACGAGACTCACTTGAACCCTAGAGGCTGAGGTTGCAGTGAGCCCATATCACACCACTACACTCCAGCCTGGGTGACAGGGCAAGACTCAGTCTCAAAAATAAAACAAAATAAAATAAAAACAGGACCATTAAGAAGAAAGGAGGAATAGAAGTCAAGTACCAGGGATGAATTAATGACTGTAGTTGGGACTAAAGGCCCTGCTGTCATTGAAAGGGAGGTCTGAATGAATTGTATTGAAAGAACTACACTTTAACTTTGCTCAGGCAAGGAGCCCGCAGGCCTACCTTTTTTTTAAAGCTTCAGTTGCCACATTTGTAAAACAAGGACTTTGGATATGATGGTTCTTAAACTGCCTCCAAGTTTGGAAACTTCTGATTCTAAGATGCCAAGATATTTTCATTAAGTGATGCCCAGTTCTTCCATCTCAATACCTTGGTAATCATGTGACTGACTGCTCAGCTTTCCTGCTTTTGTGAGATCATTACTGCCAGTTCCAGTGTATTTGGCTGCTAGAGAGCAAACATTCCGTGTGTGAACTGGGGATACATATTGCTGTGACAGTAGGTCTGGCACATTGGAGGGACGCTGACTTAACCTGAAACAGCACTAAACACCGTGTCATCTCCAATACACTATTCGGGGGCCTGGGCCTGGGCAAGGCCTCCTAATTTGCTTTTAGATGGCATCAATCTTCATTCCTTCGGCCTTTGAAGAGCCAAGAATCAGAATCCTAGGAACCTTATACTTTGTACCTATGTTTCTATAAAAGTTAGCGGGTCTACCCCTGCCGGTTTCAATCAGGTGGGATTTGTTACACCTGGACCATCATTAGCCAGCTTAATAGCTGGAGCTGTACTTGATATGATCTAGGGTTGGGGCTGGAACCCGTCCTCAGGAGGCACTTGCTGGGGAGATCTATGTATATCACTTGACTAACACAGTCATAGCAAATGGTCATGTTCTCTCAGTAGCAGCCCACACATAGTTTCCAGAAGGCATCAGTAGCTCCTTATAGGTACCTCAAACCTACAAGTCCATAAACGGAGCCATAGGTTAGGGTGGCAATGGGGACTTTTTTTTCTTTTCTGTTCATTCTTACACAGCATTCTGAGTGCCATCCATCACTGAGGCATACACAAAATAGAAAAAAAGAAGAGCACCTTCAACATAGAGGTTAAGGACACAGGCTCCTGAGCTAGACTGTCCAGGCTTGAATCCTGGGTCTGCCACCTCCTTGCTGTGCTGTCTGACCTAGGGCAAGTTACTTCACCTCTCTGTGCCTCAGTGTCTTATAAGACTATTGTGAGGGTTAAATGAGTTAATTCATGTAAAGCACTATGAGCAATGACAGCCCCATATAAGTGTGACTAGTATTGTGGCAAGTCCTATGGCAACTGACTTAGACATTTATTTAACATTAACTACAGTTCTTTTTGAAAGGGAAAATACAGGAAATTACTGAGTTCTGCCACACGAGATTGTAACAAATGTCTGCGACTAGGGGTAGTAGGAGGAAGGAAATAAACGGATGGACCAGGCCCTTGTTTCTTTTACTTCCTTCTACATAGAGGGTTTTGTACTGTGCCTGATTGCTTTAATTTTCAGGGGCAAAATAATATGAATTGGAAATCTCTCCATGTCAGAATATATAGATCCACCTTATTATTTTTAACAGTTGCAGAGTATTACTTACTATGGATATACACTAGGTTATTTACATCCTCCCATATACCGATTGATACTGATGTAATGTTCGCTGTGTACTGGATGTGGGAGGGAACATAGGTGCTAAAGCAGGGTGGAGCATGGTTCCCGAGAGGTTTGTAATTTTGTGGGGGAATTCAAGAATTACATAAAATAAGTGGAAACCAGTACAAGAACCTGTGTATAAAATATTAAACTGGATTTAAAACTAAGTGTCGGCCGGGCGCGGTGGCTCACGCCTGTAATCCCAGCACTTTGGGAGGCCGAGGCGGGCGGATCACGAGGTCAGGACATCAAGACCATCATGGCTAACACGGTGAAACCCCGTCTCTACTAAAAATACAAAAAATTAGCCAGGCGTGGTGGCGGGCGCCTGTAGTCCCAGCCATTTGGGAGGCTGAGGCAGGAGAATGGCGTGAACCTGGGAGGCGGAGCTTGTAGTGAGCCGAGATTGCGCCACTGCACTCCAGCCTGGGTGACAGAGCGAGACTCCGTCTCAAAACAAACAAACAAAAAACTAAATGTCAGTGCTAGTGTAATACTCAGTGGTGGGTGAAAAGATCGGATTTAATAGGAAATAACAACACAACGTATGCATATATTGGAGCGATGGGCCTGGCTCCTGGAACCCTGGCTGGAGTAGAGAGGAAATTTACCTTCTAGTTCTTCCAGCCTCCCTGAAAAATTACTCAACACAAGAAGGACAAGTCTACACTCCCTTAACAAGCTACAACACAGGAGCACACAGGTGTCTCTGCAGGAGGTGGAATGCAGCAGGCCTAGGTGCTCTCCTGCAACTGGCTTAGCATGTGGGCAGCACCTTCCTCCTAAAGCATAGGGGTGCAGGGGAGAGTTCCCACTCCCACCTTCTGGTAGAGGCCTTTGTTGTTTTCCAGTGTTGTTTTCCCTGAAGCACAAATGGTGCTGGTCCTTCAAGGTACAGTGACTCTGCTGAAGGAGCTGGAATGAGAACTCCCTTTTTTTGAGGTCCTTAATCCTTTGGCCCTGATTCCTTGGGAAGAACTCACAGGGTTGTGAGAACAGTTGCCCCATAGGGCCGAGGTGGGGACATTCTGTGCCTAGGTATTCATAAGCCAAGGCTGTATTTCTTTTACCCCACCCGTAAGCACTAATCACTAACCTAAACCAGCAACACCTGGTTGCCACAGGGAATTGGGTTGTGTCAAAGCCCACACTTAGCATTCCTTCTGCAAGGCCCTACCCAATGGCATTTGGGGTACATTAATTGGGGTAAAGGTTTTTCTTTTTCTTTTTCTTTTTTTTTTTTTTTGAGATGGAGTCTCACTCTGTCGCCTAGGCTGGAGTGCAGTGGTACAATCTTGGCTCACTGCAACCTCTGCCTCTAGGGTTCAAGCGATTCTCCTGCCTCAGCCTCCCGAGTAGCTGGGATTTCAGGTGCCTGCCACCATGCCCAGCTAATTTTTGTATTTTTAGTAGAGACGGGGGTTTCACCGTGTTGGCCAGGCTGGTTGTGAACTCCTGACCTCGTGATCTGCCTGCCTCGGCCTCCCAAAGTGCTGGGATTACAACCTTGAGCCACCATGCCCAGCCTTCTTTTTTTTGAGATGAAGTCTCGCTCTGTCGCCCAGGCTGGAGTGCAGTGGCACAATCTTGGCTCACTGCAACCCCCACCTCCCAGATTCAAGCAATTCTCCTGCCTCAGCCTCCTGAGCAGCTAGGATTACAGGAGTGCACCACCACGCCTGGCTAATTTTTGTATTTTTAGTAGAGACGGGGTTTTACCATGTTGGCCAGGCTGGTCTTGAACTCCTGACCTTGTGATCTGCCAGCCTGGGCCTCCCAAAGTGCTGGGATTACAGGTGTGAGCCACTGTGCCTGGCCAGAATTTCCTTCCTTTCTAGCCTGAAAAATATTCCATTGTATGAATATATCGCATTTGGTTATCCATTCATCTGCTGATGGACACTGGCTTGTTTCTTTTCGCCGTTGTGAACATGCTGCCATTAACATTGGTGTATAGGTATCTGAGTCCTTTCTTTCAGTTTTTTGGGGTACACACCTAGGAATGAAATTGCTAAGTCATATGGTAATTCTCTAACTTTTTGAGGAACTGCCAAGCTGTTTTCCACAGTGGCTGCTGGCTGCATCATTTACGTTCTCACCAGTCATGCATGAGAATTTCAGTTTCTCTGTATCCTTACCAAAACTTGCTTTTTTTTCTTTCTTCTTTCATTTTTTTCAAATAGTCATCCTAACAGGTAAGAAGTTGTATCTCATTTTGTTTTGATTTGTATTTGTCTAATGACTGGTGACATTGAGCCTTTTTTCATGAAGCTTGTTGGCCATTTGTGTGTCTTCTTTGGAGAAATGTCTACCCTAGTTCCTTCTCCTTTTTTGAATTGAGTTGTTTGGTTTTCTCGCTGTTAAGTTGTAGGAGTTCTTTATCTATTCTGGATATTAATTCCTTAACAGAAATATGGTTTACAAATATTTTCTCCCATTCTGTAGGTTGTCTTTTCACTCTTTTATTTTTTAATTTTTATTTATTTATCTATTTATTTATTTATTTATTTGAGATGGAGTTTTGCTCTTGTTGCCCAGGCTGGAGTGCAATGGCATGATCTCAGCTCACCACAACCTCTGCCTCCCAGGTTCAAGTGATTCTTCTGCCTCAGCCTCCCGAGTAGCTTGGATTACAGGCACGTGCCACCACGCCTGGCTAATTTTGTGTTTTTAGTAGAGACGGGGTTTCTCCATGTTGGTCAGGCTGGCCTCGAACTCCCGACCTAAGGTAATCCACCCGCCTCGGCCTCCCAAAGTGCTAGGATTACAGGCGTAAGCCACCACGCCTGGCCTATTTATTTATTTATTTTTATACAGAGTCTCGCTCTGTTGCCCGGGCTGGCGTGCAGTGGCACACTCTTGGCTCACTGCAACCTCTGCGTCCCAGGCTCAAGCGATTCTCCTGCCTCAGCCTCCTGAGTAGCTGGGATTACAGGCACCTGCCACCATGCTCGGCTAATTTTTTTGTGTTTTTATTAGAGACAGCGTTTTACCATGTTGGCCAGGCTGGTCTCGAACTCCTGACCTCAGATGATCTGCCCGCCTCGGCCTCCCGAAGTGCTGGGATTACAGGCGTGAACCGCCGCGCCCGGCCCCTTTTCACTCTTTTAATAGTGTCCTTTGGTGCGCAAGTTCTGTATTTTGATGAAATCTAATTTATCTGTTTTTTTCTTTTGTTGCCTGCAATTTTGCTGTCATATTCTAGAAATCATTGTGAAGTCCAATGTCATGAAGATTTTTCCCCGTGTTTTCTTGTAAGAGTTTTACAGTGTTAACTCTCAAGTTTAGGTCTTTGGTTCATTTTGAGTTAGTTTCTGTATATGGCATAAGGTAAGGGTCCAGTTTCATTCTTTTGTATGTGGGACTATCCAGTTTTTCCAGCACCATTTACTGAAAAGATTATCCTTTCCCCATTGAGTGGTCTTGGAAGCCTTGCTGAAAATCAGTTTACCATATAGGCAAGGGTTTATTTTGGGGCTCTATTCTATTCCACTGGTCTATATGTCTGCTCTATTGCATTTAAAGAAGTATACAGGGGCCAGGCCTGGTGGCTCATGCCTGTAATCCTAGCACTTTGGGAGGCCGAGGCAGGCAGATCACCTGAGGTCAGGAGTTCAAGACCAGCCTGGCCAACATGGCGAAACCCTGTTTCTACTAAAAATACAAAATTTAGGATGTGGTGGCACGTGCCAGTAATCCCAGCTACTCAGGAGGCTGAGGCAGGAGGATCACTTGAACCGGGGAGGCGGAGGTTGCAGTGAGCCAAGATCATGCCATTGCACTCCAGCCTAGGCAACAAGAGCAAAACTCCGTCTCAAAAAAAAAAAAAAAAAGTATATGGGGACTGGGTGTAGTGATTGACACCTGTAATCCCAGCACTTTGGCAGGCCGATGGGGAAGGATTAGCCTGAGACCAAGAATTCTAGACTGGCCTGGGCAACATGACCAGCTCCTGTCTCTATTTTTTAAAAAAGAAGTGTATGGTTTCTTCCAACCTCTTGTACTTATACCATTCCCTCAAAGAGAAAGAGAATTAAGAGGAAATGTCTTAAACACAAAGGAATTTAATGTTATGGTGCCCTGGGTCTGAATGCTCTGAAGAGGGCAACATTCTGGAGGTGCCAATTTTCAGATGAGCATTTAAAATGTCAGCGTTGGGCAAACATTTTATTTTGTCTTGAACTCATCCCCCCTTAATATCTTGGGTACGACCATTCTCTACATTTTCTCTCTGTGCTACTAAACTTAGAGGATGCAAGTCAGGATTGGGAGGAGACTGATTTTGTGTGTGTTTGGCCTTTACTGCAGAAGAAAAAGAACTGCAACTAGGCCGGGCGCGGTGGCCCATGCCTGTAATCCCAGCACTTTAGGAGGCCGAAGCAGGCGGATCACGAGGTCAGAAGTTCAAGACCATTCTGGCCAACATGGTGAAATTCCGTCTCTACTAAAAATACAAAAAATTAGCCGGCTGTGGTGGTGGGCGCCAGTAATCCCAGCTACTAGGGGGGCTGAGGCAGGAGAATCGTGTGAACCTGGGAGGCGGAGGTTGCAGTGAGCCGAGATCGTGCCATTGTACTCCAGCCCGGGAGACAGTGCAAAAAAAAAAAAAAAAAAAAAAAAAGAACTGCAACTAATCAACATTTATTTAGTGAGCACAACTTATGTGAGGCACTATAACTTACATAAGTTGTGCTGAACTCATGGTGGCTTATAGTCTATTGGGGGAGGTATATATATCAAGGCGTGACTTGGTAATTACTTGGAGAAGGAGAAATGCAAACTGAAGTAGTTGGCCAAATATCCTAAGGTAGGGTCTTTTGGTTTTGTTAAAGAAGAATAAATTCAGATTCAGGAATGAATGTGGAGAAAACTGGGAATGAAACAGGCAGGAATGAGTAAGCTATCTGGGACAGTGCAAAGGCCTTTCTGACCAGATCAGACGGTGTGTGTGGGGGAAAGCACAACTGGATAGGTGGGGTGGGGCCGAATTATGGGGGATTTTTAAATAACCAGGCAAAGGAATGTGTACTTGATTTAGCAGACAGTGGAAAACTCTAAAGTGGTTTGTTTTTTTTACACAATCTCACTCTGTTACCCAGGATAGAGTGCAGTGGGGCAGTCTTGGCTCACTGCAACCTCCACCTCCTGGGTTCAAATGATTCTCCTGCCTCAGCCTCCTGAGTAGCTGGGACTACAGGCATGTGGCACCACGCTCAGCTAATTTTTGTATTTTAGTAGAGACGGGATTTTGCCGTGTTGGCCAGGCTGGTCTTGAACTCCTGGCCTCAAGTGATCTGCCTGCCTCAGCCTCCCAAAGTGCTGGGATTACGGGCATGGGCCACTGGGCCCAGCCTCAGAAGTTTTTAAATGACATGATTTTTTTTTTTTGGAGACAGTCTCTTTCTGTTGCCCAGGCTGGAATGCAGTGGCACCATCTCGGCTCACTGCAGCGTCCACCTCCTGGTGGAACCAGTGATTCGCCTGCCTCAGCAACCCGGGTAGCTGGGATTACAGGCACGTGCCACCATGTCTGGCTAATTTTTGTATTTTTAGTAGAGACAGGGTTTCACCATGTTGGCCAAGTTGGTCTTGAACTGCTGACTTCAGGTGATCCATCCACCTCGGCCTCCCAAAGAGCTAGGATTACAGGTGTGAGCCACCGCGCCCGGCCTTGTTTTTTTTTAATGGAGGAGTGGGGCACAGTTTTAGGGAGGTTGGTTCAGGAAGGGATGCAAGATAGATTAGAGGGCAGGAATTGATTCAGTTCTCAGAGAACTTCCCTGGAAAAGAAAGTCCTAGATCTTTGCCCCAAGCCCAATGCCAGGCTGAGGTATATTTCACGACCTTTCTGATTGAAATCTACTGACAGAAAATACACTGGATCTAAGATCTTGTGAGATCTTGCCCAAGCTCAACCCGGCCCACTAACCTTTTGTGTTCATGGCATGAAATGCCCACACTTGGTTCTGGTTTGGGCTGGCACCCTCCCCGGCTTGCTTCACTGTGGTGCGATGTTTCCAAAGCTTCCACACTCCAGAAAGGGCTATAACTTCAGTTTCCTCATTTTTACAAAAGGTCAAGTTTTCAAAAGCTTAGATCCGCTGGGATTTGTCTATGTTGATGAAGATACATGAAAACTGGGGGACATTGCAGTTGACCTTTAGAACCCTCTCTCCACCCCCACCCCCATCTCCATTACCCCAGAGCTAAGCCTCCTCAGGACCTAGTACTTCTCTTCATTCAGTGTTTTCTCACACTGCTGAAAATTACCTGTGACTCATACAAGTGGTTCAAGCTGCTCAGTCCCAGACAGGAATGTTGAGTCTTGCCAGCTGACATGTTGGGGTCACAAGAAAGAGAGAGCAAGTGTCCTGTGGGCTGGAATCAGGGGAGATGCACAGACACCCTGTGAACATTCCAGAGTGCAGGGCTGAAGAATGGCCTGAATGGAGCCGTTAGGCTGATTTCCCTGTGGTCAGAGGCTAGCTGCAATTTTACCCTCCCTTCCCTGCCCAAACACTCCTGACACTGGAATTTCATCAAACGGCTACCGTGTTTGGTTTTCAACCAGGACAAACAAAGAAAAGAGATTTGTTTTCCTGTCTGCTTTTGCTGAATGGAATCTCTGATTCTACTTACCAGCGTGCCTCAGACACCCTGGGGCTGGTTAGGACTTTAAGCACACAGGAATCTCAGCTTTACTCAATCTTTTTCCATATCCTGAGCCCGAGTTCAGACTTCATCCTCCCGGGTCCCCCATGTCCCTTCAACGTCTGATTAATTCTCCAGTCAACTCCCTGCTAATAGTCCACCCACAAATTGCTATTTCAGCTGACCTTCCCCAAAACTTGAGCATCCTTACCAAATACCTTGGGCTTCCTCATAACCTGGTTATCTTCTCATCTGCATGCCTTTCTGGAATAATTTTGAAGTATTAAAAAAAACTCCTCTAATTGTCAAGGGCATGCAGGAAGCTCAGCCCCTAAGGAGCATTGCAGAAATCTGGAGTTCTACTCTGTTTATACCTAAATCTAGCCTTCCAGGAGTTTCAGATAGTTTCCTGGAAACATTTTGTGCTTTGTGTTTTTCACCTTTCTCTCTTAATTGAATATGGGGTGAGGAGCAAGAAAGGGGATTGTGAATTACAATTACAAACAGTACACACATAACACAGGGACAATCTTTGCATTTCTCATTTCTGATCCCAGGGATCAGAGGTAGAGGCAGGCCAGGCGCGGTGGCTCACGCCTGTAATCCCAGCACTTTGGAGGCCGAGGCAGGCGGATCACGAGGTCAAGAGATAGAAACCATCCTGGCCAACATGGTGAAACCCCGTCTGTACTAAAAATATAAAAATTAGCTGGGCGTGGTGGCGCGCGCCTGTACTCCCAGCTACTCGGGAGGCTGAGGCAGCAGAATCGCTTGAGCCCGGGAGGCGGAGGTTGCATTGAGCAGAGATCACGCCACTGCACTCCCGCCTGGTGACAGAGGGAGACTCCGTCTCAAAATAAATAAATAAATAAATAAAAATTTAACAAAAAAAGGTAGAGGCAGCTCTCAGGTGAGTAAATTCGCAGATGCCCACGCATGTCTGGAACATACCCCAGGGGTCATTAGAGACTGCCCAGCAGAGGCGGGAGGATCTTCCGTTTGCTTTTCCTTCAGAACGTTTGTCCGGAGAGCATCCTGTTCTGTTATATGCATATCCACCTCCGTCTCCAAATTACTAGGTTGAGCACAGTGCTCAGTGCCTGGCATTGAGTTAGAAATAGAAAATGAGCTGGCGAGTCCCGGCCCGAGGCTGTGACAGGGGCCATTACTGAGCCCACTCCCCACCAACCTTTCTGCGGTTTAACTGACTCTCCTCCTTCCCCTCCAGATCCCAAGGGCTTGACTCCTACCTCCTCTAAGGCATTTTGAAAAGTTTGCAAATGCACCCTTGATCCTAGCACGTACTTAAGAAGCGGCTCCCCCCTAGAACGTCAGGCTTGAAGCTGACCCCTTCTTCCTCCTCCCGCGCCATTTGGGTCTGTGCGCAGGGCCGGAAGCCTGCTGGGGAGGGGCACGAGGCCGGGCTGGGGCCTCTCCGGAGGGAGCCCGCCGCCCCGCCCAGGGCGCACGCACCCAGCCTCTGAGGGAGGAAGCTGAATGGGGCCAGAGGCTGGCCCTCTTTGGGGATTTGCATTATACAGGCTGTATTTAGAAGCAGCGGCGGGGAGCGGTGGCTCACGCCTGTGATCCCAGCATTTTGGGGGGCCGAGGCGGGCAGATCACCTGAGGCCAGGAGTTCGAGACCAGCCTGTCAACATGGTGAAACTCCGTCTGTGCTAAAAATACAAAAAAAATTAGCCAGGCGTGGTGGCCGGAGCCTGCAGTCCCAGCTACTCGGGAGGCTGAGGCAGGAGAATCGCTTGAACCCGGGAGATGGAGCTTGCAGTGAGCCGAGATCACACCACTGCACTCCAGCCTGGGCAACTCAGCGAGACTCCGTCTCAAAAAACAAAACAAAACAAAACAAAACAAAAAACCAAGAAAAAGAGAATAAAAAAAAATAGAAGCAGCTTTCTTGCTGATAGAAAGCAATGACCCTCTCTGCTATAATTACAACTGAAGAGTCACTTTCTTTCAAAAACTCTATTTTCAGATGTTTACCACTTTCTTTAAAAAGGAAAAAAAATTTGCCTCAAAGGCAGGCAGTCCCCAGGGCATTTCTGGTCTCCTGGGGAAGGAACCTAAGAGCGGTTTGGTAAAATTCCATTTTGCTATCTTGGCGTTACCTAAGGGCAAGAACTGAGGTGGGGCTTTGGTGACAGCAGGGGCTGAAGAGTGCTCTTTTTCATCATCCAGGGTGTCCAATTGTTTTGTTTCCCTGGGCCACATTGGAAGAATTGTCTTGCCCCACACATAAAATACAGCAACACTAACAATGGCTGATACACTTTTAAAAAATCGCAAAGAAACTTCATATATATATATATATATATATATATTTTTTTTTTTTTTTTGAGTTTTGCTCTTGTCGCCGAGGCTGGAGTGCAACGGCACGATCTCGGCTCACCACAACCTCTGCCTCCCAGGTTCAAGTGATTCTCCTGCCTCAGTCTCCTGAGTAGCTGGGATTACAGGCATGCGCCACCAGGCCTGGTTAATTTTGCATTTTTAGTAGAGACGAGGTTTCTCCATGTTGGTCAGGCTGGTCTCAAACTCCTGACCTCAGGTGATCCACCTGCCTCGGCCTCCCAAAGTGCTGGGATTACAGGCGTGAGCCACCATGCCCAACCAAGAACTCATAATGTTTTAAGACAATTTACGAATTTGTTTTGGGCCGCGTTCAAAGCCGTCCTGGGCTGCACGGGGCCCACAGGCTGTGGGTTGGACAAGCTTGCTGGACTGTCATGAAGTTTTGAGTAGGTTAATTGCGTGGAGAGACCTGGAAGACAGGATCCTGGGTTGTACTGTACTCTCCCCGCCATTGGACCTGTGCTCCCTCCACCCAGGTGGCATCGCAGTGGCCAATGGAGAACAGAGCCAGACTGCCTCGGTGCAAATCCCAGGCTCCTAGTCCTGTGGACCACTTACTCCTTCGGTGAACTTGGGAAGCTGTTCATCCTTCCGGCTTCAGTTTTCCCACATGTAAAATGAAGATAATAATGGCACCTACCTCAGAGGATCATTGTGAGGATTAAATGAATTACCACAATAAGAGGGTATCATTGCCAGAAAGGGGTCCCGATCCAGACCCCAAGAGAGGGTTTTTCGGATCTTGTACAAGAACTCTGGGCTAGTCCATGAAGTAAAGTGAAAGCGAGTTTGCTAGACAAGTAAAGAAACACGAGAATGGCTACTCTATAGGCAAAGCAACCCTGAGGGCTGCTGGTTGGCTATTTTTATGGTTATTTCTTGATCATATGCTAAACAAGGGGTGGGTTATTCATGAGCTTTTTGGGAAGGAGATGGAGATTTTCCCCCTCCCCCAGTTGAGGACTCCTCCTTCTTTTAGACCATATAGGATAATTTCCAGGTGTTGCCATGGCATTTGTAAACTGCCATGGTGCTGGTGGGAGTGTCTCTTAGCATGCTAATGTATAATTGGCATATACTGAGCAGTGAGGACAACCAGTGGTCACTTTCATTGCCATCTTGGTTTTGGTGGGTTTTGGCAGGCTTCCTTACTGCATCCTGCTTTATCAGCAGGGCCTTTGTGACCTGTGTCTTGTGCTGACCTCCTATCTCATCCTGTGACTAAGAATGCCTAACCTCCTGGGAATGCCACCTAGCAGGTCTCAGCCTCATTTTACCAGCCCCTATTCAAGATGGAGTCATTCTGGTTCGAATGCCTCTGCCATAGACACGTATTATATATGCATTACCATGCTTATGTTTTTTGCTTTCCCTGTCTGTAAAATGAGGAAATGCTATTAACTGTTATGTTGGTCACTCTGTACCAGAAAAGCCAGGAAGAGTGTCCACTGTGTGCCAGACCCTTGTAGGTGACGCTGTGAGGAGACGCAGAAGAACGGAAAGACCTGGCTCCTTCCTATGTACTCTGAGATCTCTATGAGGAGGCTTCCCCCTTCCCCTCTAGGAAGACTCCTCATAGAGATCTCAGAGTACATACGAAGGGGAAACATCCACACCCAGTTTTCCCTGGTGGAAAGGTGTGACACAGAGGCCTGCCAGAGGCTCATGGCCCCTTCTCCACCCAGAGCAGCATCTCAGCTCAACCTGGGGATCCAGTAAAGCGGTGCAGGGATCCTGCAGGCTCTGGCAAACTCAGCCTTGACCTTTGGATCCAGCTCTCTGTCCCCATGGCCAGTCTTTTCACTCCCAGGCCTTCTGTCTGGCACAGGGTGTGAAAGAGGAGCCGGGGGCAGGGCGGGGAGGATGCGGCAGGGACAGGGACAGGACAGGAAGGACTTGGCCTAGCTGATTGAGACTTTTTTTTTCTTTTTGAGACGGAGTCTCGCTCTATCGCTCAGGCTGGAGTGCAGTGGCCCAATTTCAGCTCACTGCAACCTCCACTTCCCGGGTTCTCCTGCCTCAGGCACGCAAGTAGCTGGGATTACAGGCATGCACCACTGTGCCCAGGGATTACAGGCATGCGCCACTGTGCCCAGCTCCAGTTGAGATTTTGGCAGGGGTCTCTTGAGCAGCTGATGGGCTCCTGTCACTGCGCCCAAAGTCTGTCCCAGGCGAGTCTGGTTCCACTTAAGCCCAGGTCTGGGCACAGAGGTGCCACCCTTAATGTGTGTGCAGTATGCTGCAGCTGTACCCACGAAGTCTGCCCCTGCCTCTCATGAACACCCAACCCATTCGAGGCTCCAATAATTAGAATTTTCCTTGCTTCACTTTATCCATCTAAATCCTATCGAACTTGTCAAGGGCTACGTCAGTCTCACCTCCTCCATGAAGCCTTCTCTGATTGCCCAGCTGACATCAGTCTTACTGTCCTAAGTTTCCTAGTTCTCTATTTCATTCATTTAGAAATTAGAAAGTAGAAATGTACTTAATTATATTCTCAAAAAATATTTGAGCACCTGTTTGATTGCAAGGCAGGGAGGGTGGCTGTTGGGGCATCCATGAAAATACAGGACAGAATCTTCTAACAAGAAGCTTCAATTCTAAAAGGATGATAAAAATTCTAAAGGCATGGCCTAGAAAATTCCTTATTGCCATATATTGCTTTTCAGGTTGGATGCTATGATTTAATTCAAAAATAATAGTTAACAGTTATTAGGTGCTTGCTATGGGCCATTACTGTATTTAGCACTTTACACAAATTATTCTATTGAATTTTTTTTTGAGATGGGGTCTGGCTCTGTCACCCAGGCCGGTGTTCAGTGGTACAATCATAGCTCACTGCAACCTCGAACTCCTAGGCTCAGACAACCTTTCCGTCTCAGCCTTTTGAGTAGCTGTAACTGCAGGCATGTCTTACCACACCTGCGTACTCTTTTAATTTTTGTAGAGACAGGATCTCACTATGCTGCCCGGGCTGGTCTTGAACTCCTGGGCTCAAGCAATCCTCCCGCCTCAACCTCTCAAAGTGCTGGGATTATAGGCGCAAGCTACAGCACCAAGCTAAGTTATTTTATTTAACTCTTAATAGTACCCCATTTGGTAGATACTATTATTATTATTATTCCTACTTTAGAGATAAGGAAACTAAGGTGCAGAAAGGTTGACTGCCTCGTGTCAGCTAGTGAGAAAGCCAGGATTTGAACCAGGCACCCTGACTCCATTGTTTATACCCTTAACTACAGTGCCATATTTCTTCTGTGTTTCACCTTTTATGTTCAGCTAGAGTGAAACTCTTTTAAGTCCTGGAGGGCCCTGTGGCACTTAGTGCATCAATGCCTTTGTAGGTAGCAGGCACTGGTAGGAGGCAGTCAGTATTCAGGGATGCCTTGATGATCAGGCCCTGCGGTAGAGAGAAGAAGAGAATGTCCAAAGTTTCTTAGTTCTGGGCAATAGAATTGGGAAAAGCAACCAGGAGTCCAGCGCCTAAATATTGCTGTATACTAACTCTTAGCTCCCACTACCTCCTCACTAACGCAGCTCTTTTTTCAGGCCTACACCAAGGTTCCCGTGAATGTAGCCAGCAGATATTAGGAGGGCTTCTTATGAATCCCTCATCACTGGGTGGACACAGGCCCATTAGGAACAGGCCCAGAGGCCTAGTGACTTCAGATTAATGCTTGCCAGGACCAGTGAGGTCAAAACATTACCCAGAACTGGGGCTTGATGTCCTGTCTCAAGGACAAACTCATCCCATCCTATCTGCCAAGTTATAGTGATTGTACTTCTGAGAACAGGGAACACTTCAGGCAAGAAAAATGTCAGTCCTCATTCAAAGGGAATGATTCTCCTAAATTTAATGAAACTCTTACAGCCTAATCCCTCACCGATCATGATATCTGTTTATTTCATATTCATTGATCATCTACTTGGTACAAGAAGCTGTGGCTTCCTACCCATAAAGGAGGTGATTCCAGTTTTAGACACACGTATCTACAAGATGAGTCATAGGATAATGATTATCCTATCAACCATTTATTAAAAATTGCTTATCCGTTCCCTCTATGCTAATAAGTGTTTTGATAGACTCTATCTCATTTAATCTTTAAAACAAATCTGGATATAATTATTCCACATGGTGGACCAAGCTCTGAGAAGGTACTTTATAGTAGACTCTGCCCCTAACAACTATATTGTCTTTCTGTACCGTCCATGAGAGGTCCAGACAGTGAGGACCATAGAGAACGGAGGCCAAGGTCCCTTTTGGCTTAGTTGACCAGAAGTAGCTTGCTGGAAAAGGCTCCTGTAGATGTTCCCTCTTCTAATACCCCTACCCAATGCTTTCTTTTTCTTCAACGTAGCCTCCAGAGAACTCCCAAATTAATTTTTCTAGGATACAGCTATGATCACCATGAACTCTACTCAAAAACCTTCAGTGATTCCCCTGAAATTCCCAAACTACTCTTCAGCCTGAAATGCAAGGTCTCGACTTCACCTTGGCTTTCTGACCTTCTCTCTGTCTACTCCCTCTCCCTATGTTCTTGCCAAATAGAACTATTTGCTAGTCTGCATGTAGGTCCACCTGCTGCTTCCAAGGCTCTTGGCATACCATTCCTACCACCTAGATGCCTTTTCCTCATCTTTGTCTCTCCAACTCTTACCCATCCTTCAGAGTCCAGCTTAAATATCACTTGCTAATGATAGTTACTAAGCTAGGGCAAATATATCTATATATCTATATATATATCTTTTTTTTTTTTTTTTTTGAGATGAAGTCTCTCTCTTGTTGCCCAGGCAGGAGTGCAGTGGCACGATCACTGCAACCTCCACCTCCCAGGTTCAAGCAATTCTCATTACTCAGCCTCCCAAGTAGCCGGGATTATAGGTGCTCACGACCATGCCAGGATGATATTTGTATTTTTAGTAAAGACGGGGTTTCACCATGTTGGCCAGGCTGGTCTCGAACTCCTTACCTCAGGTGATCCACCCACCTCGGCCTCCCAAAGTGCTGGGATTACAGGCGTGAGCCACCGCGCCCAGCCATCTTTTTTTTTTTTTTTGAGATGGAGTCTCACTCTGTCTCCCAGGTTGGAGTGCAGTGGCGCAATCTCGGCTCACTGCAACCTCCATCTCCTGGGTTCAAGCAATTCTCCTGCCTCAGCCTCCCAAGTTGCTGAGATTACAGGCACATGCCACCACGCCTGGCTAATTGTTTGTATTTTTAGTAGAGACAGGGTTTCACCATGTTGGCCAGGCTGGTCTTGAACTGCTGACCTCAGGTCATCTACCTCCTCTGCTTCCCAAAGTGCTGGGATTACAAGTGTGAGCCACTGTGCCCGGCCATATATATTTTTTATACCATGTGTTGTGGCTTATTTGTATGTCATTTCCTCTACTAGACGGCAAGCTCCTTGAAAGTGAATCCAGATCTCATTCATTCATACATTTTCCCGTATTCCAGTATCCTGGTATATCTTTGTATTTTTCTGTATCCCCATACACTAGTATCCTAACCCAGTTAGAGCTCCATAAATATCTATTGGATAAATTGATTTTTAAAATCAAAGAATAAAATACATAAGCAGAAGGATTGGCCTTCCCTGCCAATCTTCCTTTGAAGTGCTCATACCTTTACACATAGGTTTGGAGTCCTACAAAGCTCAGATAGGATTGAACCCAGTGGGGTAACATTGTAGAGAACAATGAGTCATTTGCATAGTAGGTTGTAGAGTAAGAGGATGGGACGTAGAGTTCAGGGTGAGGGTAGAGGAAGGGCTGTAATAGCAATGAATTTCATTCTTTGTTTTTTGTTTTTGTTTTTGTTTTTGTTTTTGAGACAGAGTCTCGCTCTGTCACCAAGGCTGGAATGCAGTGGTGTGATCACAGCTCACTGCAGCCTTGACCTCCTGAGCTCAAGCGATCCTCCTACCTCTGCCTTCTGAGCAGCTGGGACTACAGGCGTGTGCACAACCACACCTAGCTACTTTTAAAATTTTTTGTAGAGACAGGGTCTCACTGTGTTGCCCAGTCTGGTCTTGAACTCCTGGGCTCAAGCGATCCTTCTGCCTCAGCCTCCCAGAGTACTGGGATTGCAGGCATGAGCCACCATGCCCAGCCTCACTCTTTGAAATATTGCCCAACATCCTGGTATTTGAATTCACCTCCCTTGCCTGGTGCAAATTGTGGCACCTCAGCCAAACCTAGCAGCCTGGTCTGTCACTAATAAACCCCAGATCCCTTCCTAGCCTGTCGCCTCTCACTCATCCCAGGGTACATGCTGGTTGCAAACTAAGCCCAAGAGTGGATTTGGACGCAAGTTGGTAAATAACAACTAGGCTTTTAGATTCGGAGTTTGGATGATGAGAAAAGTGAAGTTTTGAGTGGGTGGGAAGAAACCTTCCCTGATTTTGGCTGGTACATTCAGAGACTCACAGCACTAACAGACAGGGCAGGCTGCCGGGGCAGGAACCCTGGGGAAAGGTGTGTCACACAGGGCCTGAGGTGAAGGGAGAGCTGCTCGGGTAGCAGTGGGGGAGGGGGACAGAGGCTGGGAGATCCTTCCTAGAGATGGGAGCAGCTTTCCACTTCAAGGACCACAGGTCTGCAGGCCCACAGCTCCTAGGACAGAAACTTACAAAACTGTCACTGTCAGGAGGGAGTGCTGGCTCTCAGATGGACTCTGTTCCTGAGCCCCTATCTTGCTTCCATTCACCTTGCACCAGCTGCCCAGAGAAGCTAGCCTTGAGCTGATGTCTACCTTTGCAATATTCCACCTGAGTGCATGCTGTCTTTTGCTGATCTGGTCTTCCAAAATCTAAGAAGCCTACAACAGCATTTTGGGATATGGGACATTTAGAGGTCTCATTACAAGTTCCATGGGACTTTTAGAAAAAGCTTAGATCTATGGACAACTAGGAGAAGGCAAATTTAAACTTGTTTGAAGCAACCCACACAAGAGCAGGTTTTCCTAACCTGGGCGGGGGTGTCCATAAATTCCCAAGGGGGTCCATGTGAACTCAGGAGGCGATGAACCTGCTGAAATTATGTGAAAAGTTATTCATGAAAAAAATTAAAATTAAAAAAAAAAGAAAAGCTATCCGTGTGTGACTGCATTTAGGGTGAGGTAGGGGGTCCATCACCTTTATCAGATTCTGAAAGGGTCTGTGACCCGAAAAGTTAAACAAAACAAAGCAACACATTTTTCTAGAGGATGAAGGTGGGAACTGGGTGTCAGGGGAATTTGGAGGACATTCTAACTCCTCCCACTTCCCATATGCTGCAAACGTGTGCAGTAGGAAACAATGACAAATACTAGGAAGTGGCAAGCATTTCTTAAAAAGGGCCTTTAAACAAATAGAGTCCTGAGCATTTCCCAGAGTTTCTTATAAAAGTTGTCTTCCTCTCTTTAGGTAGCCCCTTTCTTTCTTTCTTTCCTTTTTTTTTTTTTTTTTTTTTTTTTGAGACGGAGTCTCACTCTGTCACCCAGGCTGGAGTGCAGTGGCGTGATCTCAGCTCACAGCAAGCTCCGCTTCCCGGGTTCATGCCATTCTCCTGCTTCAGCCTCCTGAGTAGCTGGGACTACAGGCACCCACCACCGCACCCGGCTAATTTTTTGTATTTTTTAGTAGAGACGGGGTTTCACCGTGGTCTCGATCTCCTGACCTCATGATCCGCCCGCCTCGGCCTCCCAGAGTGCTGGGATTACAGGCATGAGCCACTGCGCCTGGCCTTTTTTTTTTTTTTTTTCCCGACACAGTCTTGCTCTGTCACCCAGGATGGAGTACAGTGGCGTGATCTCAGCTCACTGCAGCCTCCGCCTCCCAGGTTCAAGCAGTTCTCTACCTCAGCCTCCTGAGCAGCTGGGATTACAGGCACCTGCCACCATGCCTGGCTAATTTTAGTAGAGACAGTGTTTCGCCATCTTGGCCAGGCTGGTCACGAACTCCTGACCTTGTGATCCACCCACCTCGGCCTCCCAAAGTGCTGGGATTACAGGTGTGAGCCACAGTGCGTGGCCACACTATTCTTTCTCTCTCTTTTTTTTTTTTTTTCTGAGACGGAGTCTCACTCTGTCACCAGGCTGGAGTGCAGTGGCGCAATCTTGGCTCACTGCAACCTCTGCCTCCCGGGTTCAAGTGATTCTCCTGCCTCAGTCTCCTGAGTAGCTGGGACTACAGGCACACGCCACTATGCCCAGCTAATTTTTGTATTTTTAGTAGAGATGGGGTTTCACCATGTTGGCCAGGATGGTCTTGATCTCTTGATCTCCCATCTCCCGTCTCGGCCTCCCAAAGTGCTGGGATTACAGTTGTGAACCACTGTGCCCAGGCTCTCTCTCTTTTCTTTTCTGTTTTCTTTTTTTCTTTTCTTTTTCTTTTCTTTCTTTCTTTTTTTTTCTTTTTCTTTCTTTTCTTTTTGACAGGGTCTTACCCTGTCACCTAGGGTGGAGTGCAGTGGTGCAATCACAGCTCACTACAGCCTCAAACTCTCAGGATCAAGCAATTCTCCCATTTCAGCCTCCCAAGTAGCTGGGACTACAAGTGTGTGCCATCATGCCTGGCTAATTTTTTTTTTAAATTTTTTTATAGAGATGGCATCTCTCTATGTTGCCCAGGCTGGTCTTGAACTTCTGGGCTCAAGCAATCCTCCTGCCTCAGCCTCCTAAAGTGCTGGGATTACAGGTGTGAATCACCATGCCTGGTTGTACACTACTCTTTCTTACTTGTCTCTCCTTCTAGTTTGTCTTCACTGCCACAGGGGAACCTCTTCTAGTAGCTGCTATTTCTTCAAGAAGGACGTGAAGCTAGAGACTCAGGAGTGCTTGTTTGTTAGGTTGGAATTAGGAGCCACATCCAGGAGAGGCTGAGTAAGTCCTTCATCTCATCCAGTGGTAGCCAAACTTTTCAAGCCTGAGTACCTCTTTAAGACTTCAAAACCTTAGCTGGGAGCAGTGGTTCATGCCTGTAATCCCAGCACTCTGGGAGGCCGAGGTGGGTGGATCACCTGAGGTCAGGAGTTTAAGACCAGCCTGGCCAACATGGCAAAACCCCGTCTCTACTAAAAATACAAAAATTAGCCAGGCATTGTGGCGCACACCTGTAATCCCAGCTACTCCGGAGGCTGAGGCAGGAGAATTACTCCAACCCAGGAGGCAGAGGTTGCAGTGAGCCAAGATTGCGCCACTGCACTCCAGCCTGGGTGACAGAGTAAGACTCTGTCTCAAAAACAAACAAACAAACAAACAAACAAACTTCAAAACCACTTTTGGATCCTTCCAAGTAATCATAATTGTACTTTTAGTATCTACAAATGAAGAACTGCATGCTGAGAAAAAGCTACCATGCATTCAGTAATACTTTTTACATGTATCTTAAAAATTATAGCAGCACCTCTGTGCATTTGACAAACAGCACAGGCTTTATGTGTGAGACGCATCATCTATTTGTTCTCTAGGCAATGTTTGCTGTGCATCTGGATTCAGGGACCCCATACTGTCTGAGACCCTCTCCCCTTCCCGCAAAGCGGGGATCGCTGGTCTAATTTAAGCTGTTTATTTTATAGATGAAGAAACTGTGGTCTAGGAAAACAAAGCTCCTAGTGAAGTAGTTTGGGGCCCATTTCCATCCAGGTCTCTTGACTATGTCAAGAGATGCCCATGGCATGATGCCCACGAGCTATAGAATGGACACTCAGCTATGACATCCAGTTTCCCACTCCCATACTGCCTGTGCTCTCCCGTCACTAGGAGGTGTCCAAAGGGATGAAAGGACGCTTTAGGGCTTGCCTGATCTGGGAAACAGTCAGACAAGAGAGTGAACCATGAAACACCAGGCCCTGGCAACAAACTGGAGCACAAAGCCATGACACGGCTGCCATGGGCTGAGGATGCCAAGCTGGCAGCTGAGCCCTCCCTCACTTAGTCCTCACTATAACCCTGACCATTAAGGAATATTATCTTCACTTTATAGATGAGGAAACTGAAGCTTAGAGAGGTCAATGACAATGTCACACAGTTACTAAAAGCTGCAGAGATAGGACTCAAAGCCAAGTCTAAATCCAGACCCTGAAATGGTAGTCACTATGCAATACTACTTTATGTAAGGCTGCTGGGCTCAGGATACTTGGGGCTTCTTCAGGACAAAGTTACTTTGCTACCCCTTTTCCCAAGGAATCATTCTAAACCCAGCCACAGCTTACCAAGAATGTGTAAGCCCCTCTCTTCCGGGAGACTATCTGCAGCACCAAGCATCTTGGCCACATCCTGCAAGGGCCCAGGAGGACTCCGCAGGCAATATGCCACCCTTGGAGGACACAGCGTTCTTTACATTCTAATTCTAGCTCACAGCCTGTGTACAAAGGAGGTTAGAAAGGGTGAGTTCCTATGCTCATTCCCACCTCTCTCCTCAGTTCACACACTGACTGCAGGGTGTGGGGCTGTGTAAAGATCGCCCCACTCCATGAAGCTCTTCAGAACTAGAGGAGCCCACACTGATTTTTCTCATTCCTTCTAAAGCATGTTCTCTTTGGCCATTAACATAGCTTCTGCCTTTTCTCTTTTTTGAATCACATATGAGAATCTTATATTGCCAGCAAGCACCTTGTAAGCAGGGGCCAAGTCCTAAACATACTCTCCATCCCCTACCCCAAGTGCCCAGCTTGGGGCTGCACACACCATCAACTCCTGATAAATACTTGCTGGACTCCATCCAATGGTCCTGACAATAAACTGCCCCCCTCCTGGACCATTCCTTCTAGCCACTGCTCTCCTCAAAAGAAATTGCGGGCACCTCACTCCCCAACTATTTCTCCACAAGGCACGTGACCTTTAGAAGTTCTGGGATTTAGTTTTGCTGCCCCTGTCAGAAAGAAGCCTGACCTTTCTGATAATCTGTTGTTTGTGGGGACCCATGGAGAATACACGAGACCAGTTTTTCTGCACCTGAACAGGGCTCTCTGAGAGCTCTGAGAGGCCATTGGAGGCCTTGGCTCTAAACCATCTGAGTCTAGAGCCAAAGCCAGAGATGGAGGGAGTCGGGTGTTTGCTCTTCTCCACTCTTGCCACCTTCTCAAGGGCTCCCGGTAACCAAGTGTGTTTGCCTTTTGCTACCCTGGGAGGCCAAGAGCCTCCTTTTCCCTGCAGATGGAGACAGAACTTCTGCGATAAGAGGCAATTCGGCTCCTGATCCAAAACTGCAGTCTCCTTGGAGCCCGAGGCTCTGGTGCCATGACTGAGAGGGCCCTGGGCCACAGTGCTGTCAGACTGACCTTCACTGGGTCAACCCAGATCACTAACCAAAGCCTGCTGGTAGGTTATATGCCTCTCTGAGCCTCAGTTTCTTCCTCTGTAAAATAGACAGATCAGGCACAACTGATTACTAAAGCCCTTCCTGTGGTAAGTTTCCATAGTCCTAAAACGCCTCTGGGCCCTGAGTCCTAAAATGCTGTTCTGGGGTTCCAGAGTGGCATACTGCCTTCTCAACACTCCCCCCTCACCCCCACCTCATTACCAACTCCTCACCCCCACCTTATTACCAACTCCTCACCCCCACCTCATTACCAACTCCTCACCCCCACCTCATTACCAACTCCTCACCCCCACCTCATTACCAACTCCTCACCCCCACCTCCTCATTACCAACTCCTCACCCCCACCTCCTCATTACCAACTCTCCACGGGACTTTTAACCACATACTGCAGCCGCACTTTGGCATTGTCCAGCAAGGAGCTCCTACGGGTTCAGATGGTCCTATTGACAGAACAGGGTTGCTGCCACCTAGCACCCTAGAAAACTTCCGAAGGAGAGAGAGGAGGCTTTTATGCAGTCTGACATTAAATCCGTAAATCAGAATCCCCCCTTATCCCTTTCAGACCACCAGAGTACGTTATTCACTGAATAATGTTAAAAACAGCAATAATATCTGAAAATTTTACCTGGGCACCAAGTGCCCAGAGAAAGAGGCACCTGGTGTTGGATGGACTTGAGTGTCAGGGCCCTGGGGTGAGCAAGGGCTTGGAGAACAAGTGACTTCAGACTGACCTGTGAGGGAGAGGCCCCTTCTTAGGAGGCAGGGCCCTGACCTCGCTGCCCAACAGAAGTTGCCCAATCTCTGTGGCTAAACAAAGAGAGCTGAGATGAGGAAACCAGAACGTCCTGGGGAGTGAGCGCAGAGCACAGAAAACACGGCGACGCCAGCGGGGCTGCAGCTGGGAGTGCTCAGCCAGCCGGCCTTCTGTGTAGGAAAGCCCTGGGGGAGCTCAGGGACCTGTGAGAAGAAGCACAGCAGCCTGAGCCTTTTATCCCCAGGAGCTTCAGAGCTGCACAGGCATCCTCTAATGTCAAGGCCAGAAAGAAAGGGGATGTGAACTGCTGCGCTTCAGCCAGGACACTTGCCTCATCAGCTGTTGTGGAGGCAGGTCTGGAGGCAGAAGGAATGCTTGGGCCACGGATATGCAGGGGCAGGATTAGAAGGAAGGATTCTCAGCACGCGGCCAGGGCTTTAGGGAAGGCTTCGTGAGGGGAGGACGTGCTCTGACTGCTGTGGGCTCTTCCCCCAGTGTCTTTCCTCTGTTGTCCTCTTAGCGCATCCCAGGCTTTACTACAACAACTTCGCTTAGATTAGGGACCTAGGGCAAGAACAGGGGGTGAACACACTTTTTTGTTTTTGAGATGGAGTCTTGCTTTGTCGCCCAGGCTGGAGTGCAATGGAGTGATCAGCTCACTGCAACCTCCGCCTCCCAGGTTCCAGCGATTCTCCTGCCTCAGCCTCCCGAGTAGCAGGGATTACAGGTGTGCGCCACCACGTCTGGCTAATTTTTGTATTTTTAGTAGAGACGGGGTTTCACCATGTTGGCCAGGCTGGTCTTGAACTCTTGACCTCAGGTGATCCGCCAACCTTGGCCTCCCAAAGTGCTGGGATTACAGGCATGAGCCACTGCGCCCGGCTGAGCACACTTTTTTTAAAGAACTGGAGGCAATGCTAGCTTTCCAAGTGCCTGAGATGCCAAGGTAAGCTTTTAGCGTCTTTTGATCCTTCATTGGTTCAACTAGGGATTCTTGTCTCCACACTTAGGTCACATCAGATGCTATTGTGTAGAAAGGTGTCTCATTTTGGATAAATCTTAAAGGTACAAGAGAGGAGAACACTAGCAGTTTCCTGACACCACTCAGAAGTCTTGCTTCTAATTTATAAGTTGGTAGCTAGGCCCATTTTGTAGTCAAGAAGTCCCTTTTCTTGGCATCGTGGCCTCTTTCCTATTTGGAGGGGGAATGGGGTGGGTTTCCTGCAACCTGCAGCACTGTCACCGTCATTACCCTGGGACCAGAGCAGTCCCACTCTTCACTGTAATGAAGCTCACGCACAGATGATCGTCTAGATTCCATCTCCAAACATTTTGTTCTGCCACCACCCAACGACCCAGTCTTATGTTCTCCCAAGACCAAACCCCTGGACCTACACACAGTCCTCTCTCTCAGGCAGTCTAGAATATTCAGCAGAATGCAAGAAGTCATGAGGTATAAACCATGGTGGGATTAGTAACTTACAGGACACAACCTGGTTACTCAGTGCAGCTTGACACAGTTTATCCCAATGGTAAGGTCATTACCATGGCCTTTGCTTCCTTCTTTCCTCCTCCAGCCTCTGTTCTTGGAGAAGTCCAAGTCAGCTCCTGGAGTTTTCCTGACTATAGGACTTTGCTTCAAAATCTAGTCCAGGCAACCCGTTGAAATGGCAATGCAGTCCTGGTTTTTTTATACTCAGAAGTTTCCTTGAACCAGTCCTTTACCTTCCTGAGAACTTCCTTTACCGCAACAAATTCTTATCAGCTTTCTCTAACTACTATACCTCTGGCCCATTACAAGTACTGCTTTCTGCAGCCCCTCACCCTAGCTAAAACCCCCTGGAATGATATTCTAGCTCTCCGAGAGTGTGCCTCACTTTTCCTTTCAGCCCTTTCCTCTCAGACACTTCCTACATCAACACAACTGCTCTGCCAATTGTAGGATTTTCCCTTGCTTGTCAGATGACCCTGAAAAGGGCATGTGAAGTCGTGTGAGGCACATTTCCTGTGCTTGGGATGCATGCAGCCCACAGGATGACAGTCCCACACATAGCCCTCTAATAGCCCATGGTACGTGCTGTACTAGTGGAGTGAAGCAAATGCTTTGGGAGAACTGAGAAAGAGGGATAAATTTAGCCGATAGGAGCTGAGGAAGGCTTCCCAAGGGCTGTGGCAGTGGAGCTGGGCTTTGAAGGGTGAGCAGAGTTTCTTTTTTTTTAAGATGGAGTTTCGCTCTTGTCGCCCGGGGCTAGAGTGCAATGGTGTGATCTCGGCTCACTGCAACCTCCGGCTCCCAGGTTCAAGCAATTCTCCTGCCTCAGCCTCCCAAGTAGTTGGGATTACAGGCATGCGCCACTACGCCCGGCTAATTTTTTATTTTTGGTAGAGACGGGATTTCTCTGTGTTGGTCAGGCTGGTCTTGAACTCCTGACCTCAGGTGATCCACCTGCCTCGGCCTCCCAAAGTGCTGGGATTACAGGCATGAGCCAGAGTTTCTTAGTAGAGAAAAGAACGAGAAGGAGATCTAGCCTTTGGAAAAGCTGTCAGTCATTTAAAAAAATCATGCTCCTCTTGGTAAATATAAGGTGTTCTCATTTAGCACCCTGATTGCTGAGATTTGGATGTAGCTTCCTAATGGGGCGTGCATATCTCCTTTGAGAGTCACTCATTTATCAGAGCTGAAAGATGACTGTAGGTTATTATTTCTATAATCCATAATGAAATCAGAGAGTCCTCCCCTACCTTACACATTCACACAAACCGCTCTCCCGACTCTTCAGAGAGACCATGGGAGTGCAGAATCCTCCTGTGGCTGGTGTCAGGGACGTGGGCTTGTGCGCTAAATGGAAGCAGTTAAGACCTCAAGCCTGCATCTTTTGAGCTCGGGACCACAGCCTCCATGAGCCAGCAGCTTCCTTGTCTTTGCATAACTGCTATTTGTTTTTCATAGAGCGCTGACAATGCACGCTGCCCGACGTGTGAAGACATGGTCTTGCCCCTAGGCCTCTGGGAACCTGAGCTAGACAGACACTCAGCTCTGGGTGCAAACACAGCTCAAAAAACAGGCAGGCCGAGCCCTGAGGTGTCAAGCCTTTGTTCCCTTCTTTGGAGGAAAAAAAAATGAGCTAACTAAGTGACTTCTCTGGATAAGAGGGAAGCAGGAATCCTCTTAGAGCACAGGTACTAAAGAACGTCTAGGCATGGAGGAGGAAGACATGTAGAGAGGCAAGTAGGGAATGCAAGGGGAAGAAGACAGAGGGAGGGAGCCAGGCCCGGCAGGACTGTGAGGGAAGAGTGCCATCTGCTGAGCCCCCCGTGGGCACACAGGCACACCGCCACCCCCACCCCACCATGTCCCCTGGGCATGAAGCTCACGCACAGATGATCATCTAGATTCCATCTCCAAACATTTTGTTCTGCCACCACCCAACGACCCAGACTTATGTTCTCCCAAGACCAAGTCCCTGGACCTACACACAGTCCTCTCCCTCATGCAGTCTAGAATATTCAGCCGAATGCAAGAAGTCATGAGGTATAAACCACAGTGGGATTAGTAACTTCCCAATACCCATGGACCCAAACCAAGCTGAGCAGGTGCCTGTGGAGAAGGCTGGAAAGTCAAGGCAGCAACCATCGCTAAGGATGGTCTTCTTTAGGAGGCAGTAGGACATCGTGTAAGAGACTGTTCTTACTAGCCACGTGCTATGGACAAGCTGCTTGGCCTTTCTCCACCCCACATGCCTGTGGCTTCTGGAAGGGCTTAAATGAATAGCACCTGGAAAGAAAATGCCAGTGTGGGGCCTGGCACATGGTGGAGGTACCATCATTGCTCCTTCCAGAGAAGAAAGGCCATTTTTAATTAATTAATTAATTTATTTATTTAATTTATTATTATTATTTTTTGAGACAAAGTCTCACTCTGTCACCCGGGCTGGAGTGCAGTGGCGCGATCTCGGCTCACTGCAAGCTCCATCTCCTGGGTTCACGCCATTCTCCTGCCTCAGCCTCCTGAGTAGCTGGGACTACAGGCGCCCGCCACCACGCCCGGCTAATTTTTTGAATTTTTAGTAGAGACGGGGTTTCACCGTATTAGCCAGGATGGTCTTGATCTCCTGACCTCGTGATCTGCCCGCCTCAGCCTCCCAAAGTGCTGGGATTACAGGCGTGAGCCACCGCGCCCGGCCTATTTATTTATTTTTGAGACAGAGTCTCGTTCTGTCTCCTAGTCTGGAGTGTAATGTCGCAATCTTGGCTCACTGCAACCTCTGCCTCCTAAGTTCAAGCAATTCTCCTGCCTCAGCCTCCCAAGTAGCTGGGATTACAGGTGCCTGCCACTATGCCCAGCTAATTTTTTGTACTTTTAGTAGAGATGGGGTTTCACCATATTGGCTAGGCTAGTCTTGAACTCCTGACCTCAGGTGATCCACCTGCCTCAGCCTACAAAAGTGCTGGGATTATAGGCATGAGCCACCGCCCCCAGCCCATTTATTATTTAAAATGCGTGATGAGATTTAGAATTATAGAGAAAGACCCAGAAAAAGGAGAAAAGGATACATTTTCATTTTTCTTAGGAGCCGCAGATATGCTTGATTTGACATAGCTGTCACAGGGATTTTGCTCATTAGCATGGGGAAACTATTCCTAGTGTGTCAGAGCACCCCCAGATTGGGCCAGCCAGGGATGGCAGGGGAGGAGGAGTGAACCTGGGAGTGCTGGGCTGGGGTCCAGTTGAAACTCTGCCACTGAATTGCACGCTTTGGACATGTCACTAAGCCTTTCTGGTCACACCTTGCCTGATGCCTTTTGTCCCTTTCACCCTGATTCTGTGATTCCATGAGGCCTGTTTAGCATCCCTTGGAAGACCCATGGATTGATTCACCAATCAGCCGATCAGGCGATCAATCTGTCTATCTACCTAGTTCACCTCAGGACCTTCTATGATTGCAGTGACGGAGAGGACCCGGTGTGCCAAGGGTGTGCTGCAGACACATGGGTCCTCTGGTTTTGAGGATACACAGATCTTTACAAGGATCAGAAGAGACTCAGGCACTTTGGGTTACGGGTGACAGAAAGGAACCTAAAGCATCTGAGACCAAAAGAGGGAGTTTATCATAAAGTGTCAGGATCTCTCCCAAGAACCACACAACAGGGAGATCAGGGAGGTCATCCAAGTGCCTGGGCCAGAACCTCGAGCCCTACCAACCCAGACAGCTCCTTCCCTCTGCTTTTCTGGGGCTGCCTGGCCTCTCATTTTTGCTTCTCCTGGTGCATCTTGGTTCATGTAGTCCGTGGAGGTTGAATAGCAACAGTGAATCTCAGTTCCAGATTAATGGAAGGGAAAATCTGATTGGCCCTGCTTGGACAGGACTCCCGCCCCTACTCTACCCAGCCTGAGCCAGATATTCCTGGACCGGATATAATGTCACCAGGCTACCTCCTAGGTGTGTGGAATTGGGGGTTTCTCAGAGAACGGGAGGTTGCGACTGCCCCGACACCCCACAGAGTGTTGTGTTAGGATGCAGGTTTCACTGACGCAAGACGCCAAATAATAACAGCTTAGACCAAAATGGAAGTTTATTTCTCGCCTGTGTGTAATAGTCTGCGTGCAGACAGTCCAGGGATAATACAGTAGCTCCACGGTGTTTGGGACCCAAGCTCCTTCTAGCTTGTTGCTCTGCTCCTGGGATATGTACCTTATACACATGATTGAAGATGCTCACCACAATCTCCACATTCCAGCCTGGGAAAAAGGGAGGGAGGGGATAGAGAAGACAGGTGCCTTCCTTTTAGGGCCACAATTCTTCTTGCTAAGTTCTCATTAGCCAGACCTTGGTCATACAGCCCTGCTGCTGCAAGACGGATTGGGAAATGCTGACTTTAGCTAAGTGGTCATGCATCCCGTCAAATATTCTACTATCCTGCAAGAAGGTCAAATAGATATTGGGGGGCAACCTCCTACAACAAGTAATAATGGCCTCGCTTCCTGGAAACTCATGGAAGTTTTTCTCTCTTCTGACTTCTAGCAGGTTATTTATTGCCAAGAAAGAGGTATGGTGGGTATGGGAAGAATATCTACAGGGAAATGCTTCCAAAGGTGTAACCAGGAGGAGTTTAGACTAAATGATTTCTAAAATCCTTTCTTACTTTTATGCCACTTCAAGAAAGCCCTGGGAGCCGGGCACAGTGGCTCATGCCTATAATCCCAACTTTGGGAGGCTGAGGCAGGCAGATCACTTGAGGTCAGGAGTTCGAGACCAGCCTGGCCAACATGGTGAAACCCTGTCTCTACTAAAAATACAAAAATTAGCTGGGTGTGGTGGTGTGCCCTTGCAATCTGAGCTATGCAGGAGGCTGAAGCAGGAGAATTGCGTAAACCCAGGAGGTGGTGGTTGTAATGAGCCAAGATCGTGCCACTGCACTCCAGCCTGGGTGACAGAGCAAGACAAAAAGAAAGAAGGAAGAAAGAAAGAAGAAAAGAAAGAAAGAGAGAGAGAGAGAAAGAAAGGAAGGAAGGAAGAGAAAGAAAGAGAGAGAGAAAGAAAGAAAGAAAGAGAGAGAGAGAAAGAAAGAAAGAAAGAAAAAGAAAGAAAGAAAGAGGGAAAGAAAAAGAAAGAAAAGGAGGAAAGAAAAGAAGGAAAGAAAGAAAGGCAGGCAGGCCTGGGGTTGATGTGCCTCTTCCTCTATCGTAACTTAGGGCACAGAAAAGGAAGTTCTTGGGACAGATTGCAGAACTGAATTTGGTAACACAGAGTTCTTTAAAGAATAGATGTCCAGCCTAGGTGCCGTGGCTTATGCCTGTAATCCCAGCATTTTGGGAGGTTGAGGCAAGTGGATCACCTGAGGTCAGGAGTTTGAGACCAGCCTGGCCAACATGGTGAAACCCCGTCTCTACTAAAAAGACAAAAAATTAGCCAGGTATGGTGGTGGGTGCCTGTAATCCCAGCTACTTGGGAGGCTGAGGCAGGAGAATCACTGGAACCTGGAGGGCAGAGGTTGCAGTGAGCCGAGATTGCACCATTGCACTCCAGCCTGGGCAACAAGAGCGAAACTCCGTCTCAAAAAAAAAAAAAAAAAAAAAGAATAGATTTCCAGTGCTGTGGTTGTCCTTGTCATAGCCCAGTTCTGCTAAACAAGGTTGAGTTGAAGTTGTCTCCTTCAGACTCTAGAGCCACATATTAAGTCCCTGCCTGGTAACCCCCTCCTGTGGCTGGGCTGAACAGAGTCGCTCAGAGCAGCTAACCCACCAGTGAAGCTGTGGTGGGCATCTGCTGCATGCAGGGCCCTGGGCTGGCCGCTGTGGGGACCCACGGGGGCAGAAGGCTGTGCTCGCTGACCCTTTTCCTCTCAGCCACCAGGCTGACCTCATTTTCCGTTGAGACTTCCTGTTCTCCAGTAATTGCTTGGTGGGGCAAGAGGCTTCAGTTCCAAGTCAGCAAATGGGATCTGAGTCATGATGTATATGGTAAGTGTGCCTCTGGCCACGGGATCTTCACCAGCTCAGCACTGGGTGCTGGGCACTGGGGACTGGGCAGGTGAAGAGGGCTGCCAGAGGGGCTGTTTCACTCACGCAAAAGCATTGATTCTGTGTCTGCTGGGTGTCTGGCAATGTGTGTGTGCATGTGCACTTGTCAGGATGGGGAAGGCAGGAGGATGGAAATGACTCTGCAAAGTTAGAGCTCAAAATGGACTTTGTAGCTTTTGGCCCCAGTGATGCCAGATGAATTAGGCTAGTAGGACAGCTGGGAGTGGAAAGAGGCCCAGACTCAGAATCGACTTGGATCATGCTCTAGCTACAACAAAAATGTGTGACCTTCCATGGTCAAACATTATTTCTCTCCTTCGTCTTTTTTTTTTTTTTTTTTTAAGACAGGGTCTTGCCACTCTGTCGCCCAGGCTGGAGTGCAGTGGTGCCATCATGACTCACTGCAGCCTAGACCTCCTAGGCTCAAACAATCCTCCTGCCTGAGCCTCCTCAGTAGCTGGGACAAGTCCCCTATTGCTGCTGTTGTTGTTTTCCCTATTTTTTTTTTTTTTTTTGAGGCAGAGTCTCACTCTGTTGCCCAGGCTGGAGTGCAGTGGTGCAATCTCAGCTCACTGCAAGCTCCGCCTCCCGGGTTCACGCCATTCTCCTGCCTCACCCTCCTGAGTAGCTGGGACTACAGGCGCCCGCCACCACGCCCGGCTAATTTTTTTTGTATTTTTAGTAGAGACGGGGTTTCACCATGTTAACCAGGATGGTCTCGATCTCCTGACCTCGTGATCCACCCGCCTCAGCCTCCCAAAGTGCTGGGATTACAGGCGTGAGCCACCGCGCCCGGTGTTTCCCCTATTGTTTTAAATAAAAGGATGATAATGCCTTGCTCAGCTCACAAGGACTACAAAATGGAAAAGAGAATTGGGCTGTGAGCCTTGCGAAGGCCCGCTCTGCATTTTACTCATCTTTGCGGCCCCTTCAGCACCTAGCGTGGCGCCGTGCGTGTGCGTTCAGCACCTAGCGCGTGGCGCCGTGCGTGTGCGTTCAGCACCTAGCGCGTGGCGCCGTGCGTGCGTACAGCCCCTAGCGTGGCGCCGTGCGTGCGCGTTCAGCCCCTAGCGCGTGGCGCCGTGCGTGTGCGTTCAGCACCTAGCGCGTGGCGCCGTGCGTGCGCGTACAGCCCCTAGCGTGGCGCCGTGCGTGCGCGTTCAGCACCTAGCGCGTGGCGCCGTGCGTGCGTTCAGCCCCTAGCGTGGCGCCGTGCGTGTGCGTTCAGCCCCTAGCGCGTGGCGCCGTGCGTGCGTACAGCCCCTAGCGTGGCGCCGTGTATGTGCATGAATTCTTCTGTGAGCGAGTGTTGCCTAGATTGAATTAAACAACAACAACCCAGAAAGCACCTGGTCCACTTTCCACATTAGAAAACAGAGACCCAGAGAGGGACAGTGACTTGCCTCAGGTCACACAGGCTAGCTGGGAAGATTAAACATGGACCTGATACGTGCTCTGCATTCAGTCAGCATCAGTGTCCTTCTTTTCCAGGTGGCAGCATCAGGACGTAGAATCCAGATCTTTTCCTCTGACACCTCAGCTCTTGCACCTCACCACATTGCTGAGTTATTCATATTTAGCTGAAGCCAGCTAGCTAGTGAGGGCTGAGATGGGATTAGCTAGCAGGAGGACTGTGGCTGACCCTTGCCCACCAGGCTGTCCCTGTGTCACGGCTTGGGTACAGCGGCTAAAGGGCAGGAGCTCTGGAGCCAGATTGCCTGGGTTTGACTCCCAGTTCTGCCATTTGCTAGTTGTGTAATCTCATTTAATGTCTCATTTATGTCTCAGCTTTCTCATCTGTAAAATGAGGACTGCAATTGTATTTGACCTCATGAAGTTGCTGTGAGAAGTAGATGAATTAAAATATGTACTTAGAAAAGTGCCAGGCCGGTAATAAGCACATTATTAAGTGTTCGCTATTATTCAAGGGTAACATTAGGCTTTTATTGCTGTAGTGGTGGCTGCAGAGTTGATTACTATGGTCAGCCTTCACAAGGACGGCCGTTGGATGATGGTAGAGTTTGTTGTTGCTGAATAGGATAAGATTCCTAAAGATAGTCTAAAGGACTGGGGACTCTAGCATATAAATTCTTGGAGGGCTGGTGTGCTTGGTAAAGACTCTTAAGGGTTGAGTACAGTGCCACGTAATTGGTGGACAATTCGAAAACAATGACCGCTAGCTCCTAGGGAAGATCCAGACCTTGGATACTCATCCTCCATCCATCCACAGCACACCGAGGGCCCAGATGGAACACCAGCTCCTACAAGCGCACATTTCCTTTTAAGCCCCAGCTTCCATCAAATTGGCTTGCACTGGAAAGTCAACGGAACCCCCAGCACAAAGACGGTGGCTGATGGCCAAAGGACTGGAGCCAGGAAAACTATGTGACAGGCAACTTTGCTCCTGCCAAGAATGAGGACGTGATTTCCTATCTCCACCCCGCAGCAGGCCCCCAGCCTCCTCTCATCCCCATTCCCCTTCCACCCCCAGTCCTGTGGGCCACAGGTTTCTGCCTGAAAAAGCAATTTGGAGCTGCTCACACAGGATATCTCCTCCTGACCTACTTCCTGAGTGCTGGGGCAGAATGCTTGCTCTACTGAGAAAGGTGGCATTAGCTCAGCATTCCCCCAGCCAAGCATCATACCGGATCTGACTGTCAATCACTCACTCACAGCCAATGGCCACACCTGAGAAGGGTTTTCTTAATGGCTTTCCTATGTCAACACCTGGGCTGAGTAACCCAACAGGCTCCTGGAGTAGAGCTGAACCTGTTTCTTGGGATATTGCGCTTTCTGTCTTTTTGGTTGTGTGCTTGCTTTTGTAATTTGGTGCAAAGCCACCATTTGCCATGGTCCCAGGAACTCTTTCTGAGATTGTAATTCCGAAGTATTTCTACTCCAGTCGTCATCATCATCATCATCATCATCATCATCCCTTACAGAGTACCTACTATGTAGTCAAATATTTTACCTATTATCCCTAATATGCTCGCCACCCTACCTTGCAAGGTGGATATATCAGGACAGTGCTTCTCAGACTCTGATGTGGCTGTAAGTCACCTGGGAATCCTGCTAAAATGCAGATTCTGGTTGAGTAGATCTGGGGGAGGCCTGAGGTTCTGCATTTCCAGCAAGCTCCCAGGTTCTAATACCTTGAGTAGCAATATATCAGGAGAAATTTTTTGGTTGCAAGTGACTGAAATGCAATGTGAACTAGTTAAATAAGAAGTGGAATTTATTACAAGGGTATCTGGTGTCTCACAAAGCCAAAGGACAGGATTGCAGCCGGGCCTCCGGAAGAGTTGGGGCCGGGGATTCAAATGCCAGGAGGAACCTCTTGGTCTCCTGACTGCTTTCTCCATGCACCCAGTTCAAAGCGTCGTCCTCTCTCCCTCCCTTCTTTTGCTCCACTCTTTCTTCCTTTCCCCTCTGTTCTGCTTAGTGCCAAAGCAACTCGGCCCACAGTCCTGTGGGTTCCTTGTCTTCTTCCTTGATTTTGGTGGCGCACACCTTCCAGTAACTCCCTAAGAAAGTGAGCAAAGGAAGGACAATTTTTGTGGACTAACTTACCTAAACCGTCTTCCCGCAATTGCTAGTGGGTTGAGTATAGAATTGTAGCTTCTAGTGTGGCTGCTGTGACATCGAGTGCCATTTCACTCCTCTGTCCTCTGGAGCTCATGTCTGGAAGTTGTTAGATTCCTTCTGACCTCCAGTTCCAAAAGCTGACAATGATGTGGCTTGGGGTGAGTTGTTCCTCATTCATTATATAGGGCACTTGGTAAGTCCTTTTGACCCCAAAATTGATGTTTTCTGCTCTAGAAAAAACATCTGAATTGTTTATTTAATAATTTTTGCCTTTCTCTTTTCTTTGTTCAGCCCATCTTGAACTCTCAGTGTTAGGATGTTGGATCTTCTGATGTGATCCTTTAGTTTTGTCTTTTGTATCTAATTTTTTATCTCTATCATCTTTTTGTTCTACTTTCTATGAGATTTTATAAACGTTTCTCTATCTTAAGTTGAATTTTTAATTTTTATATTTTTAATTTCATATTTTTAGTTTCCAAGAGTTCTCTTTTCTTTGGTTTCCGAATATTCCTTTTTGAAATAGAATATTGGCTGGGCAAGGTGGCTCATGCCTGTAATCCCAGCACTTTGGGAGGCTGAGGCAGGCAGATGGCTTGAGGCCAGGAGTTCTAGACAAGCCTGGGCAACATCTCTATTAATAATTTTTAAAAATAATAAATAAACTAAAATAAGACACAGTTCTTATTACATTGATGGAATAGCTTCTCTTTTTTCTCTGCAGATGTTATTCTTTTCCTTTTTTGCACTTTTCTTCTGCTCCCTACATTCTCTCTGTCTCTTCTCTTATTTCTTTATTTTGGTCTCCATCTTTCATGTAGGCTTTCTGTGTATATTAAACAGTGAGGCACCAAAAAGCTTACTGGAAGGAGAGCTAAGTTGTGAAGGACAAAGTGGACCTTTTCATTGTACCTTTTGAATCTTTTGAGTTCCGAACCATATTAATATAGAACCCATTCGAAAAACAAACCCCAAAACCCCTCATCTTCCAGGTTATGTGAAGCTTTATCTGCATGGGTAGGGCTTGTTTGCTGGGGAGCTTCAATGCAGAAATGTAGGGTGGGTGTTAGCTTCTTTGCTGAGTGGACTCCAGATGTCAGTGTCTTAATGTTGTCTCTCTAGATTATGTCATCTCTTTTATTTTTTATTTTTGTCTTGCTCTGTCTCTCCGGCTGGAGCGCAGTGGTGCAATCACAGCTCACTGCAGCTTCGAACTCCTGGGCTCAAGCGATCCTCCGGCCTCAGCCTCCCAAATAGCTGGGACTACAGGCACATGCGCTATTCCCAGCCCCAAGGTAGTCTTTTCCGATAGGAATCATCTGGACTTCTGTCTGGGGATAGGTGTTGGGGAAGGGTATAAGCCTAGTTGCCAGTTTTCAGGAATGAAAGTGGGAGGACAGCTGGGTGTCCCAGTGTTCTGAATGCAGATTTTCAGCAGTTGCCTCAACCCTCTCCCCATGATGCACAGCCGAGCCTGCCAGCCTCTAGAGCAGCACTTTGCAGACTATCTGTGGGGAAGGCGGAGTTTTGAAACTCCCATTCTGTCAGGGACATGTACGTGGTCCTGCTGGGCATGAGTAGGCCGCATCTCACACGGCACATGCCTCACTCTGGGAGTTCAGACATCCAAACTGGCCTCTATCCTTCAGCCAGGAGAACCCACTGATCACACACTGAGTGCTGAGGCAACGTCAAATTTCCGTGAAAATCCTAAACACATATTCTTGCTTCCTGTACTTATCTTACTGGGGCCACTAACAGTTTGTGGACCTAAACCAGTTCCTGGACCACACCGCAAGAGCACTGCTCTGGAAAATAACAAACCTCTGGTCACTTGCCTTGGGGAGGATCTGTCAACAGGCTTTGAGGGGTGGTGAAGGAGTCGGAGGGTTGAACTGCTCTGTAAGTAGACTTTCAGCCCGTCCTCCATCTCAGGTCTGTACCTCGTCCCTACCTCCCTTGCACTTGTGTCCCCACACCCAGTGCCTTCCTGGATTCCTCGTATCCTGTTGGTTCCTTCCTGCAAGCATCAGGCTGTGGCTTTTTTTGCTATTGTTGTTGTTGTTGGGACTGAGTCTCGCTCTGTCGCCCAGGCTGGAGAGCAGTGGCGCCATCTCAGCTCACTGCAGCCTCCGCCTCCCAGGTTCAAGCGATTCTCGTGCCTCAGCCTCCCGAGTAGCTGGGATTACAGGTGCCCACCACCACGCCCGGCTAATTTTTGTATTTTTAGTAGAGACGGGGTTTCACCATGTTGACCAGGCTCGTCTCGAACTCCTGACCTCAAGTGATCCGCCCGCCTCAGCCTCCCAAAGTGCTGGGATTACAGGCGTGAGCCACCGCACCCGGCCAGGCTGTGGCCTCTATTGCTCGGCCAAGACATTCATTTACTACTCCTCGTTCTACTTATTTCCTCTTCCAGTCTATTTTGTCCTCGCAGCTTATACTTTAAAAAATCCCTTTACTGTTGTTAAGATAGCGATACTCCCCAAATTGGTCTACAGATTTAATGCGGTTCCCATCAAAACCCCAGCAGACTTTGCAGAGCTGATCCTAGAACTGTGCGGAATTTCAAGGAACCCAGAATAGCTCAAATGATCTTGAAAAAGAAGGCTGGAGGACTCACGCGTCCCAACAGGAAAACTTACTACAAAGCTACAGTAATCAAGTCAGTGTGATGCTGGCGTAAGGACAGACATATACACCAATTCTATGACGACTCAGCGGGGGAAAGAATGGTCTTTTTGGCCAGGCGCAGTGACTCATGCCTGTAGTCCCAGCACTTTGGGAGGCTGAGGCAGGCAGATCACTTGAGGTCAGGAGTTCGAAACCAGACTGGCCAAGATGGCAAAACCCCGTCTCTATTAAAAATACAAAAATTAGCCAGGTGTGATGGTGCGTGCCTGTAGTCCCAGCTACTCAGGGGGTTGAGGCAGGAGGATCACTTGAACCTGGGAGGCAGAGGTTGCACTGAGCCAAGATTGCACCACTATACTCCAGCCTGGGTGACAGGCTGAGACTCCGTCTCAAAAAAAAAAAGAAAAAGAATAGTCTTTTCAACAAATGGTGCTGGGATAACTGGATGTCCACATGGAAAAGAATAAAGTTGGACTCTTACCTCATACCATGTGCAAAAATTAATTCAAAATGGATCATAGACTTAAATGTAAAAGCTAAAATCTAAAATTCTTAGAACAAAATGTAAGTAAACCGTCATGCAGGAAAGCCTTCTTAGATATGACACCAAAAGCACTGTAACAGAGGAAAAATAAATTGGGCTTCATGAATATTAAAAAAGGTTGCGTTTCAAATGGCACCATCAAGGAAGTGAAAAGAGAATCCAGATAATGGGAGAGATATTTACAAATCATATATCTTATAAGGGACTTGTATACAGAATATATAAAGCACTCTTACAACTTTATAATAAAAAGACAAATAATCAAATTTTAGGGCAAATGAGCTGAATAAACATTTTTCCAAAGAAAATATACAAATGGCCAATAAGCACATGAAAAGATGTTTAACATCATTAGCCAGCAAGAAAATATAAACTCAAAACCGCAAACAGGCCCAGTGTGGTGGCTCATGCTTGAAATCCTAGCACTTTTGGAGGTGGAAGCAGAAGGATTGCTTGAGCCCAGTAGTTCAAGACCAGCCTGGGCAACATAGTGAGATCTCATCTCTACAAAAAAAAAAATTAAAAATTAGCTTGCATGGTGGCCATGTGCCTGTAGCTCTAACTAGTCAAGAGGTTGGGGTGGGAGGATCACTTGAGCTCAGGAGGTCCAGGCTTCAGTTAGCCATGATGGCACCACTGCACTCCAGCCTGGGCAACAGAGTGAGACCCTGTCTCAAAAAATAAAGCAAAAGAAAACCCACAATGAGACAGCACTTTACACTCATTAGGGGACTGTTATTTTCAAAAAAGCAGGTAATAGCAAGTATTGGTAAGGATGAGGAGAAACTGGAATCTCCTACTTTACTGGCTGGAATGCAAAATGGTGCAGCCACTTTGGAAAGCAGTCTGGCAGTTCCTCAAAAAGCTAATCACAGAGGTACGGTATGACCCAGCAATTAACTCCACTCCTAGGTATATACATTCACACAATGAACCAATGTGCACAGCAGCATTATTTATAATAGTGAAAAGGTGGAAACAACTCAAATTCCTATCAGCTGAGGAATGTATAAGCAAAATGTATATCCAATGAAATATCTATTCAATGATAAAAAGAAACGAAGTACTGAAACATGCTACAGCATGAATGAACTTTGAAAACATTATGCTAAATGAACAACACAAAGGACCACAGAGTATGTGATCCCACTGACAGGAACTATCCAAAATCGATACAGACAGAAAGTAGATTAGTAGTTGCCTAGGCTGGGGCTGGGGATAAGGAAGGGATGGGCACTGGGTTTCTTTTGGGGATGATGAAAATGTTCTAGAATGGATTGTGATGATGTTTGCACAACTCTGTAAATACTAAAAGCCACTGAACCGTACACTTTAAATAGGTGAATTGTGTGGTGTGTGGATTATGGCTCAGTCTGCAGTTCTCCAGTGTCATCCCCATTGAGTGTGGAAGCCTCCAGCGTACCTTATGCATGGGGTTCCTCAGTCATCACCACACGGGACATTGCGTCTGAAGTGACACAGCTGTTCTTAATTGAATAGTTATTTAATTAAGGGATTGCTACTGGCTTCATCTGGGGATGTCAGTACCTTAAAATGGTGTGTATCAAGTCAGACAGATAATAAACTGGGTCAGACTCTACTCTCTTATTCCCATGGAAATCATTTTATTTTATTTATTTATTTTTTTGACACAGAGTCGCACTCTATCGCTCAGGCTGATCTTGGCTCACTGCCACCTTGGCATGATCTTGGTTCACTGCAACCTCCGCCTCCCAGGTTCAAGTGATTCTCCTGCCTCAGCCTCCCGAGTAGCTGGGATTACAGGCACCCGCCACCACACCCAGATAATTTTTTTGTATTTTTAGTAGAGATGGGGTTTTGCCATGTTGGCCAGGCTGGTCTCAAACTCCTGACCTGAGGTGAACCACCTGCCTTGGCCTCCCAAAGTGCTGGGATTACAGGCGTGAGCCACCGCACCTGGCTATTTGTTTTATTTATTTATTTTTTTTTTTTTTTGAGACGGAGTCTTGCTTCTGTGGCCCAGGCTGGAGTGCAGTGGCCTGATCTTGGCTCACTGTAAGCTCCGCCTCCCAGGTTCACACCATTCTCCTGCCTCAGCCTCCCCTGTAGCTGGGACTACAGGCGCCCGCCACCACGCCTGGCTAATTTTTTTTGTATTTTTAGTAGAGACGGGGTTTCACTGTGTTAGCCAGGATGGTCTCGATCTCCTGACTTCCTGATCCGCCCGCCTCAGCCTCCCAAAGTGCTGGGATTACAGGCGTGAGCCACTGCGCCCGGCCTGTTTTATTTTTTTAAAGTTAATTTTTAAAAAGATATATTTTTAAATTCATAGTAAATAATACAAAAAGCAGCTACCTAGTTACATGCATTCTAAATGAGGATGCAAACCCAGTTCATGCATTTATTCCACAAATTCTGAGCATTCACAATGCTCTGCCAGTTCTGCAAATGCAGGAGAGAGCAAATCACAGGGAGGTGAGAACTAAATAGTAAGTCTTCTGGTCAAGGTGGACCTGTTTTCAAAGGACAGAGATCTCCCTACCAAAGGAATTGGGAGTGTTTTAACTATTGAGAGTTCAGATAGATTTCTACATATCTTGTTTTCACCCTTTGAAAACTCAAGATTGATTTTTTTAAATTACATAAATACTAGAACAACCCTAACAAATAGAAAAAAAGAAACTTACAACAATTCTGGGCCAGGCATGGTGGCTCATGCTTGTAATCCCAGCACTTTTGGAGGCCGAGGTGGGAGGATTGCCTGAGCTCGGGAGGTCAAGGTTGCCGTGAGCTATGATGACACCATGCACTCCAGCCTGGGCAGCAGAGGGAGACTGTCTCAAAACACACACACACACACACACACACACACACACACACACACACACACCCCAAAAAAATTCTGCCACCCGCCTTGCCATCCGTCTAATTTCAAACTGTTTCTCCACTCCACCCTTTTTAATTTAATTTTATTATTTATTTATTTTTTGAGATGGAGTCTCCCTCTGTTGCCAGGCTGGAGTGCAGTGGCTCGATCTCAGCTCACTGCAACCTCCGCCTCCCAGGTTCAAGTGATTCTCCCGCCTCAGCCTCCTGAGTAGCTGGGACTACAGGTGTGCATCACCCATGCCCGGCTAACTTTTTTTGTATTTTAGTAGAGATGGGGTTTCACCATGTTGCACAGGCTGGTCTCTAACTCCTGAGCTCAGGCATTCTGCCACCTCGGCCTCCCAAAGTGTTAGGATTACAGGCCTAAGCCACCGCACCTGGCCCCCACCCATTTTGTAAAGCCTCTAGCTCCATTTCCCTCGTTATCTTGACCACCTTTTCCCCTCATAGCCTTGACCACCTTCATTGCATGTCTCCCAGAAGGACTCAGCTGCAAGGACCTCCCAAGATCACTGAGAAATTCAGCCCCGAGGAATTGAAGCTTGGAAGTAGCCAAGACCCCCCAGTGGCTCAGGCGTTCGGAAGGAGTAAAGGAGTAAATGTGAATCTCAGCGCCAATTTGCTTCTGGGCACATTCCTCAGACTCAGAAACCAGGCAGGGGAGGGCTGAGTATCGGGGCCCTGGCAGCTGGGCAGAAGGAGGCGGGCTGGGCCAGAGCTGCTCAAACCTTGGCATCAGAGGTATCCTGAGTGCACGGCTACTCCTGTGCCCGAGACGGGCAATGGGACACTGGCACCATGGTGAATCAGTGGCGGCATCTCGGGGAGGAATGTGAGCCCCCCGGGCGTGCTGGGGTGCAGGTCCAACCAAGCTGAGGAGGAGAGGCAGTAGGCCAAGCGCAGTCGTGGGGCTGGGAGGGCCTCCGCACTTCCAGACTTGCTGGGACTGAGTGGTCCTAATCTCCCAACTCTACTGAGGCAAGTCAGGGTTCAAATTCCAATGAAGCCACGAACATGGGTGGCATCCTGATAAGTCTCTTAACCTCTCTGAGTTGTTTTCTCACCAGTAAATGGGGGGATAATACCCCCTTGTAGGATGTTGCAGAGATCATGTTGTGAGGTCTTACACGCTGCTCAACGTGTGATGGCTTGTGCTGTAGCTAGGACACTCACCCTTTTCTTGGGGGCTATGACCCCCTCAAATGTCTAAGATTTAGCTTCGTCATTCTCATTTCTTATCCACTGACAAATTAACTGGGGCGGGGGGAGGAATACTTTTTTTGAGATGAAGTCTCTGTCTTGTAGTGCGACGGCGCAATCTCGGCTCACTGCAACCTCCGCCTCCCGCGTTCAAGAAATTCTCCTGCCTCAGCCCCGCAAGTAGCTGGGATTACAGGCGCCTGCCACCACACCTGGCTAGTTTTTTGGTATTTTTAGTAGAGACAAGGTTTCTCCATGTTGGCCAAGCTGGTCTCGAACTCCTGACCTCAGGTGATCCATCCGCCTCGGCCTCCCAAAGTGCTGGGATTACAGCCATGATCCACCTCACCCGGCCTGGAATACTTTCCAAATTTGTGCTTTATTTATTTCAATATTTCTCTCTTTTTCGGCTGGTACAAGAAATACATCCTTGTAACAAAAATACAAGCATTGTAGGCTGGGCGCAGTGACTCACGCCTGTAATCCCAGCACTTTGGGAGGCCGAGGCAGGTGGATCACTTGAGCCCAGGAGTTCGAGACCAGCCTGGCCAACATGGTGAAACCCCGTCCTTACCAAAAATATGAAAACTAGCCGGGTGTGGTGGTGCACATCTGTGGTCCCAGGTACTTGGGAAGCTGAGGTGGGAGGATCGCTAGAGCCCAGGAAGTCGGGGCTCCAGTGAGCCGTGATTGTGCCACTGAACTGCAGCCTGGATGACAAAGAAAGATCCTGTCTCAAAAAAAAAGTTAAAATTAAAATATTGTAGAAAATAATATTAAACAGGATTAAAATTTTCCTTAATTCTATCGGCCAAAGATAATTGCTGTTAACAGTTTGGTGTCTATTAGGTGGACCTCAAATGACTCTAATTAGATTGAATTGATGACCATGTTTTAAATGTCTCCCCCCCTTTCTCCTCATTTCTCACAGCCCAAGCTGAGTCACGGGTGAGCTCCTTCGAAAGTGGCCTATGGCCAGGTCCACAGCACTCACACCTTAGACATAGCCCTGTCTGGTAAGATGGGCAAGCTCGGGCAGCCCTCTCCAGTCCTCTCTGGAATTCACTGCCAGTTTCCTCCCTCTGGGCAGAGGGAGGGCAAGGAGGAGGGTGGGGGCGGAATGGAGCTGTGGACACAGCTACCTGCTGAACGTAGATCCGCACTTACCCCCTCGGTGCCCAGGGGGAGGTCAGTGAAAACACCTGTGAAGCAGCCAAGTATGGAAACATCCTTGCGCATACCAGAAACAGGGTGTTGGCAAAGTGCTGTCTGTACATATCTATACACAGACACACACGCATACACACACATTATACACGATTGTGTGAGTGAGCAGTTCTTCCCTTTCCCACCCGTTAACAAGCTCATTTCCTTACAGGAAACTTATCTGCAGATGCTTGTGTTTATATACGAGAGACCAAGCTTTCTCCGCAGGGGACCTCCTACCTACATAAATTAGCCCAGAGCTACAAAGAAAAATCTTACTAGTGATAATAAATGTTCCTTTAAACCAGAAGGGTCCAGCATTATACTAGAGGGCTTCAACAAGGCAAAGGCCTCTGGGCCCTCTGGCCTGTAATAGCCCAGCATTCCCCAAAAGCAACAATGCCCCAGACCCTCCACACCTTCAGTGCAGAGTTGGCTGCACTGCCGAGGTGCAGGCTCCTGCGACACTTCTTGGTGTTCATTGTTAATGGTAACTCCCACTAATACATTCGCCTCTTCTTCAGCTTCTGAGATTCTATCTCCTCCATGAAATGTTCTTGGCCAATGGCAAGAGAAGTGGAAATTTCACTTGGCCCTACTTTGCCTCAAGACGCAATGTCTTCGAGACTTCTTCAATTCATCATATACAAGGAACAGCTCCTTGGTTTTATGTAACATGAATAATATGTGCTGCCCTTACTCTTTGATTTGTCTGACCTATTTTCACTTGTTTGTTCCTTATAATCTTTAAGTCTGTCCATGTCAGACTATGTTCTCCTGTGTCACCATGTTCTTAGTACAACCCTTAGTATCCTGGGTAAACAGTGGAAATCTCAAAAGCCCATCTGTAAGAAAACGTATAATAATAGCAACACTGAGATTTATTGAGTGCCGCACACTCTTACAAGTACTTTACACGCAGTAACCCAGGTAGTGCTCATAGCAACCCTGTCAGGAAGGTGCCATTATCATTTTCATGCTACACATGGGGAGACTGAGGCACAGAAGGGGGAACTGACTTGCACAAGGTCACACAGATGGTGGAACCAGCCATCACCCGGAAACCCACAGCCTACAACTACCAACCACGTAGTGTTTCGCCTTCCATTTTTCCCCTTTGTAGATTAAGGCATTTTGTTTTATTTTAGAAAACTGGGATCATAATTGTACTTAATAGGTGTGTTATTTGGTTTAGGGTATAAATTTGTAATAGTTATGACGTGACTTTTAATTTTAACAAGTTTTTCATGTGACAGAAGCTTAACTTTTTTATGTTTATTTATCTTTTCGACTGTGAATTCTGCCATTTTTTTTTGTTTTTTTTTTGAGACAGGGTCTCACTCTCATCGTCCAGGCTGGAGTGGGATGGTGCAATAATGGCTCACTGCAACCTCGACTTCCTGGGCTCAAGTGATCCTCCCACCTCAGCCTCCTGTAGCTGGGACTACAGGCACACGCCGCCACGCCCGGCTAATTTTTTGTATTTTTGGTAGAGACAGGATTTTGCCATGTCCCCCAGGCTGGTCTCCAACTCCTGGCCTCCAGGGATGCCCCTGCTTCAACCTCCCAAAGTGCTGGGATTATAGGTGTGAGCCACCGCACTCAGCTTGCCACTTTTTTATATTTGGAAAATTCTTCTCCATTGAGTCACTATCTTGTCTTTGGTTTTATTGTTTGTTTGTTTCTTTCTTTTTAAACTTTATTTTTTTAGAGTAAAATTCACAGCGAAATTCATAGCGAAATTGGGAGGAAGGTACAGAAACTCCCCATATGCCTCCTGTCCCTACATACGCACAGCCGCCCCCATTATCAACATCCCCCAGCAGAGGGGTCCATTTGTTGCAGCTAATGAAGCTGCGTTGACACATCATTATCACGCAACATCTATCGTTTACACAGAGTTCACTCCTGCTGTTGTATGTTCTACAGTTTTGGACAAATGCATAATGATGTATTTCCACCATCATACCCTCATACAGAGTATTTTCATTTTGGTAGCTTCCAAGTTTTGGCAGTTATATATAAAGCTTCCGTAAACATCCATGTGCAGATTTTTGTGTGAACGTAAGTTTTGAGTTCTTTTGGGAAAATCCCAAGGAGCGTGGTTGCTGGATCGTATGGAAGAGTATGTTGAATTTTGAAAGAAATTGCCGAACTGTGTTCCAAAGTGGCTGTACCATTTTGCATTCCCACCAGCAATGAACAAGGATGTTGTTCCACATCCTTGCAGCATTTGGTATTGTCAGTGTTCTGGATTTTGGCCATTCTCATCAAATTGTTGTTTTAATATGCACTTTCCTGATGACGTATCATGTGGACATCTTTTTATATACTTACTTGCCATTTTATGTCTTCATTGATGAGGTGTCTGTGAAGACGTCTTTGGCCTATTTTTTCAAATCAGGTTCATATTCTGATTGTTGAATTTTAAAAGTCTAAGAATTTACATATTTTAAATAACTGTCCTTTATCAAAAGTGTTTTTTTTTTCCCCCTAAGACGGAGTTTAACTCTTGTTGCCCAGGCTGGAGTGCAATGGCATGATCTTGGCTCACCGCAACCTCCGCCTCCCGGGTTCAAGCCATTCTCCTGCCTCAGCCTCCCGAGTAACTGGGATTACAGGCATGCACCAACACGCCCGGCTAATTTTGTATTTTTAGTTGGCCAGACTGGTCTTGAACTTCCAACCTCAGGTGATCCACCCGCCTTGGCCTCCCAAAGTGCTGGGATTACAGTCGTGAGCCACCACGCCTGGCCAATATTTTTTGCAAATATTTACTCCCAGTCTGTGGCTTATCTTCTGATTCTCTTCACATTGTCTTTTACAGAGCAGAGGCATTTAATTTAATAAAGTCCAGTTTATCAATTATTTCTTTCATGAATTTTGCATTTAGTGTTGTATATAAAAAGTCATATTGTTATGACATAACAATAACCTAGGATGGAAATCCTGTGTCATCCTATCCTATGTTACGTTACATCATCTAGATTTCCTCCTATGCTACTGTCCAGGAGTTTTATAGTTTTGTGTTTTACATGCAGATCTATGATCCATTTTGAGTTAACTTTTGCGAAGCGTGTAGGTCTGTGTCTAGATTCTTTTTTTTTTCTTTTTGCATGTGGATGTCCAGTTATTACAGCACAATTAGTTGAAAAGAGTATCTTTGCTACATTGTATTATCTGTGCTCCTTTGTCAAAGATCAGTTGACTCTATTTATGTGGGTCTATTTCTGGACTCTATATTCTGTTCCATTGATCTACTTGTCTATCCTTTTGATAATATCACACTGTGTTGATTACTGTAGCTTTGTATTAAATAAGTCTTGAAGTCGGGTGGTGTCAGTCCTCTGACTTTATTTTTTTCCTTTAATATTGAGTTGGCTATTCTACATCTTTTGCCTCTCTATGTAAACTTTAGAATCGGTTTGTTGATATCTACAAAATAACTTGCTGGGATTTTGATTGGGATTGCATTGAATCTATAGATCAAGTTAGGAAGAACCGATGTCTTGACAAATATTGAGTCTTTCTATTCATGAACATAGAATAGCTCTCTATTTATTCAGTTGTTTTGTTTCTTCCTTTTCTTCCTTTTTTTTGTTTTGTTTTTGTTTTTTAAAAAAAATTGAGATGGGATCTTGCTATATTGCCCAGGGTGGTTGTGAACTCCCGGACTCAAGTGATTCACCCACCTTCGCCTCCCAAAGTGTTGGAATTACAGTCATGAGCCACAGCACCTGGCCCAGTTCTTTGGTTTCTTTCATCAGAGTTTTGTAGTTTTCCTCACATAGATCTTGTAATTATTTTGTTAGATTTATATGTAAGTAGTTCATTTTTATTGATACATAATATCTGTACATATTTATGGAGTACATGAGTAGTTGATTTTTTGAGGACTAATGTAATGGCATTGTGTATTTAATTTCAGATTCCACTTATTCATTGATGATCTATAGGAAAACAATGGACTTTTTTATATTAACCTTGTATCCTGCAACCTTGTAATACTTGCTTATTAGTTCCAGGGATTTTCTTTATTATTTTCGATTTTCTTTATTATTTTCAATTTTCTACATAGACAATCTTGTCATCTGTGAACAAAGGCAATCTTGTTTCTTTCTTCCCAATCTGTATACATTTTTTTCTCATCTTATTGCGTTAGCCTGGAGTTCCAGTATGATGTTGAAAGGGAGTGGTGAGAGGGGATGTCTTGCCTTGTTCCCTGTCTTCGTGGAAAAGCTCTTAGTTTTTTACCATTAAGTGTGATGTTAGCCACAGGTTTTTTGTAGATATTCTTTATCAAGTTGAGGAAGTTTCCCTCTATCATTTCTTTTTTACTTTTATTTAAGCTATTTGTAATTTATTTGATAAATAATTTGCCCCCTTCCCTGATAAGTTGGTGATGCTGCTGCTGTTGCTGCTGCTGCTTCTTCTTCTTCTTTTCTTTCTTCCTCTTATTCTTCCACTTCCTCCTCCTCTTCCTCCTTCTCCTCATCCTCTTCCTCCTCCTCCTTCTGCTCCTCCTCCTCCTTTTTGAGACAGGGTCTCACTCTGTCATCCAGGCTGGAGGCAGTGGCACACTCACGGTTCACTGCAGCCTCAACCTCCTGGGCTCAAGCGCTCCTCCCACCTCAGCCTCTTGAGTAGCTGGAACTACAGGCCTGCACCACCACGCCTGGCTAATTTTATTTTTTGTAGAGACAGGGTTTTGCCCTGTTGCCCAGGCTAGTCTCAACCTCCTGGGCTTAAGTGATCCTCCTACCTCAGCGTCCCACAGTGCTGGGAAGCTGTGATGAAGATGGGAGCTTCATCTACTGATATCCTTGTAACTCACAAATTTCTGATGAAGCTGGGAGCTTCATCACAGGCATGAGCCACTGCGCCCTGCCTGTGATGCTTCTTTAACAATCGCTAGGTTTTCAGATCTGTTTCAAAGTTGACTGAGTAGTAAATGTTGATGTATTGCAGGGAAATTCTTGCCTTCTTATTCTTTTCTTCCCCTAAGAGTTCTTAGTAATTGTGCTTTAATACTTTACCAAATGAACAATGTAGTCATTACACCCAGTTAGTATTGCAGTGAACCTAATAAATTGAGAATGGTTCCTATATTTAACATAGATTTCTGGATTTTTTCCATTAAAAAATCTTCTTTCCTACTATATTTATAACATCTGTATCCACTCTACTTTTGTCTGTTCATTTTTTTTCCCTGTTTTTTTCTTGATTGCATTTTTAGGGAAAGGATTTATTTTACTTTTCTTTAAAAAAATCCATTCCATAGTTTCATTTACTCAATCTACTGATAGCCTTGTAACTCACAAATTTCTGTAATTATCTTAATTTTGTTCTTCCTTGCTGTTTTCCTAAGGTGTGTTTTATTGTCTTTTCATAACTTTTCTGAGATGAATTTCAGTTGGCTTATTTTCACTAATTTTTATAATGACAGTATTTATCCCTGAACAGAGCTTGGACTTGGACTACATTCCTTAGTATGTTCTGCTTCTTACAACTAACCAAATAATTTGTAATTGATTTTTTTTTAAATTTTGAGATGGAGTTTTTCTTTTGGTGCCCAGGCTGGAGGGCAATGGCACAATCTTGGCTCACTGCAACCTCCACCTCCTGGGTTCAAGCGATTCTCCTGCCTCAGCCTCCCAAGTAGCTGGGATTACAGGCATGCGCCACCTCGCCCGGCTAATTTTGTATTTTCAGTAAAGACGGGGTTTCACCACGTTGGCCAGGCTGGTCTTGAACTCCTAACCTCAAGTGATCCGCCAGCCTCGACTTCCCAAAGTGCTGGGATTACAGGAGTGAGCCACCGCTCCTGGCCAGAGAAGCTAGTTATTCTGTTTCTTCGTAATCTGTGTCTAATATCTTTCTCCATTTGTTCAACACCTGTTTGTTGGATATTCACAAGAATGTACCGTGACGGGTCCACTCTGAATCCCTCCGGCAATGACGATGACTCCCTCATGTTATCTAGGAGACACCTAACTGTTTTATGTGTGCCCTACTGTTGTCGCAGCAGCCCAGTGAGGTAGGGACTATCTTTTATCCCATTTTGCACTTGGGGACACTATGGCTCAGACAACTTAGCTTGTTCAAGGTCACCTAGCAGCAGGCAGTAAAGCCAGACTTGACCCCATTCTGGCTTCAAAGTTCCTATTTTTCATCTGTCACAGATTAATGGTAAGTTCACCGAGAATGCAAACAAGATATGCGTTTGGCTACAGCCTGGCGGCTGGGGCTCCAGGCCTTCAGGCTAAAGGAGCAGTTGGAAGGATGAGCAGAGCAGGAGGGGCAAAGGGAGTGACCCGGGAAAAACGCCTGGGGGCCTCTGTTTGCTCAAAATTGACTAGTTAAGTCACACACCATACCTGCCGCCGGCCACGTCACTCTTTCAGAAGGCTTTCCTGTTCTAATGAGGCCCAGAACCTGAGAAATATCTCTAAAGAAACACCCTTGGCCCTTGCAGCCAGCTCCCACAAAGTCTGGCAGCACCCCCAGCCCAGCTGCACGATAAGATAAGACGTGCCCAAGGGACCTGGGGCGAGAAGCCAGACTGGTGACACTGCACTGCTCCCTCCGTGACATCTGTTCACAGCAGACACTGTCCCTCCAGGGACTCGGAGCTCAGCCAAAAGGCCCCTGCTTTTAAGACCAGCTCTATGGAACTCCGCTAGCACTGCCCATCCAGAGAGCTTCTGCAATCAGAGTTGCCCCCAACCCTCTGACCAACCTAGTAGGTGAATCAGCACTCAGTCCTGGGCAGCAGGTCTTAGTAGTCATGACTAGCAGAAAGGACCTTGCATCAGGAGAGCGCACAGCCCCAGGTTGTTGACGTGTGTGCAGCTGGGCATGAGTGACAGGGCTATTTCTGCCCACCAAAGTGCTCTCAGCAAGCAGGAGGTGAAGGGAGATGCTGCCGGGAATTGTAAGATCTAGGCATGGCACCCGCTGCTTGAACCCTGCTAAGGACTGGGGCCCCAACACCCTGCAGTACCTAAACTGCCCTGATGGTTGGTTCACACAGACCACATGATGGTGAGAGGCCCTCACAGCACTGAATCCAGAAACAGGAGCCAGAGAACCTAGGGACTGTCATACCATTTTGAAAAGAGGCACCACTCTCGCTGAACTTCTTTTCTCTGCCACCTCCCTATAACCTTGATAGTGAGTGCTAGTGTCCTGGATTCTGATCAGCTGTAAGCATCAGCCTCCCTATAACCTTGATAGTAAGTGCTAGTGTCCTGGGTTCTGATCAGCTGTAAGCATCAGCCTCCCAGTAACCTTGATAGTAAGTGCTAGTGTCCTGGGTTCTGATCAGCTGTAAGCATCAGCCTCCCTATAACCTTGATAGTAAGTGCTAGTGTCCTGGGTTCTGATCAGCTGTAAGCATCAGCCTCCCAGTAACCTTGATAGTAAGTGCTAGTGTCCTGGGTTCTGATCAGCTGTAAGCATCAGCCTCCCTATAACCTTGATAGTAAGTGCTAGTGTCCTGGGTTCTGATCAGCTGTAAGCATCAGCCTCCCTATAACCTTGATAGTAAGTGCTAGTGTCCTGGGTTCTGATCAGCTGTAAGCATCAGCCACAAAGGACTATGCCCTTGACAGGCTTCCAGGCGCCCTGGGCAGTGGCTGGGCGGACTGCTGTAATCCCACCAGGCAGCTGCATCTGTGCAGGTTCCCGCAGGTGCCCCTTTCACACAAGAGCCACGTTCCTGGAAAGTTGTTCATCAACTGAGTCCTATTGGGGCTGCAACGCTGAGGGTGCGTTTTTAGACTATGAAGGCACAAAGTTGCCACCCAGCCAGAGGCACAGGGTGTCGTCTTCCACCCCTCCCTTTCCCCACCCTCAGCATCCAATCGCTCACCCAGTCCTGCCAGTTCTGTTTCCTCACCCTCTCTTGGGGCAGTCCCATTTTTATACCCACTGCCAATGCTGTGCTGCAGACCTCCAGCAGGGCTCCCGCGCGTGGCTCTCCGCTCCAGCCCATCCTTCGAGCCGCTTCCATCATGGTCCTGCTAAAATGCTGCTACAGCACATTGGGAGGCTGAGGCAGGAGGACCACTTGTTTGGGACCAGGATTCCAGACCAGCCTGTGCAATATAGCAAGACACCGTCTCTACAGAAAATAACGAAAATAAAAAATAAGACGCTGCTCTAAGGATGCCACTGGCTGCGGATAACCTTCCTACTGCTCCCTGCTGCCCTCAGGACAAAGCCTAAGTGCCTCATCAGCCCCTCCCTGATCCGCTGCCCCACACCGCTCCACCTCTGCCTTCCACCTGTACCCTAGGACCCCTTGGGTCCTGACAGGGAGACCCCGCCCTCTCTGAGACGGCTGCCACAGCAGCCCATCTGCCTCACCCCACGGAGGAAAACTGAGTCCAGGAGACAATCCCCCCCTAAATTTACCAACTGTTTCCCCCCTTCCAGAAGTTTCTTGAGAGCAGGAGCCATATGGATTCGTCTCTGCATGCCCAGCCTGAGACATCAGTGCCTAGGACTCAGGAGGCATACCCAGCACATGCTTGTAGAAGAAAGAAAGAAACAGGGAAGGTGTTTTTTGCTATTTATCGCATATTTAATTTCATCTTTATTATATTTTTCCTGATTGTAACAGGATGATGTCTTAGGTGTGAAAAATTAGAAGTGGAAGTGTTAGAGCTCTTCTAGAATTTGTCTAGCAGGTTCTCTGGTTTTTACTGAAACCAAACTCCCATGAGAAAACAACCTACAATTGGGAAAATACATAACTTAGAAAGAAAGGGAAAGTCTTTAGTGTGATAGAAATTCCTCCCATATCTGTTTCCTGTGCTTATTCTAATGCATTGAAATATAAAGTAGATCCTCTGAATACTTTGTTTCATTTTTACCAATATAGAATCATATCATGTTCTTACTGACTTGCTCCCCACTAAATACATTTTAGATATCTTCTGTATCTAATCATAGGGATCTACCTCATTCTTTTTGTTTTGTTTCATTTTGTCCATTGTTTTTTACTGATTGAACAAGAACACCTCTCTCTTTTCAAAGACACATGTAGTATTTAATTGTGTGGTTGTAGGCCAGCTTATTTAGCCCACACACCCTTGATTACAATTTGGCTCATTCCCAGTTTTTGACATTATCAATAATGATGCATGGAATAGCTTGTCTTTTTGAGCTTTGGGGAGCATTTTCTGTGGGAGACTTATTCTGTGGGAGACTCCTAGAAGTGGACTTACTAGGTAAGACTATTTTAAATTTTAATAGATAATTGTCAGATTGTCCTCCAAAAAAAAATGATTGTAACAATTCTGGTACGTTTGGTAGTAATTTACATTTCTACCAAGGACGTGAAAGTGCTTGCTTAGCCATGTCTTCACCAACACTGAGTATTATCAGTCTCTTAAGTCTTCGCCAATCATGTAGGCTATCATATCTATTACACAGATTTGTGATGTTTCTTCAGGGGCTTGCTTGTTTGTACTCAGTTTTTCTGTTGGCTCATTTTTAAGGCCTCCACAGACTTCAGGATAATCAGTCCTTTGTGCTCTGTGCAGCAGTGTTCCCCCCGTTTCTCTTTGTCTCCTGATTTTGTGTGGTGTGTGGTGGTCGAGGAAATGGCTGGAGCACACACTCTGAAGGCAGGCTACTGGGTTTTGTCTGTAACTTACTGGCTGAATGACCATAGTTTAGTTACTTAACCTCAGAGTCCCTTAGATAAGGACAGTACTTATCCCAGGGATTGTTATGAGAATGACACGACTTCAGATATATAAAGTGTTCTGTGCAGGGTTTGACATGAAATGAGCGCTATAAGTGTATATGCTATTATTATTTTGCATTCAAATAATTTTAATTTTATGCAGTCAAATGTATTAATCCTTTATGGCTTCCGGATTTGATGTCATAGTTATAAAGGTTTTCCTCATTCTAAGATTAGAAAGAGATTCACAAAGGGGACTATTTGAAGGAGTCTGCGGGGAGTCCATTTGCAAGATGTCTCCTCCTCCCTTCCCTCCCTTCTGTCCCTTCCGTCCCCTCCGTCCCTTCCGTCCCCTCCGTCCCTTCCGTCCCTTCCGTCCCTTCCGTCCCTTCCCTTCCTTCCGCCATTTTGCTGTCTTGTAAATTGATTTGGCTTTTCACATAGTGGGAATTTTTTTCAAGGGGAAACCTATCTGTGTTTACATAGTGGAAGGATGATACACTGGTCTGGGGACTATGTTGGCTGTCGTGTCATGCCTAAAGTGTAGGCCTGTGTAGGTCGTCCCCTCCCTTCATGGATAAAACAACTACTAGTTATCAGTAAGTGCCAGCCTCATACTACGGCTCCTACCCTGAAGGAGTTCACCGTCCAGTGAGAGAACGGATAGTGATCAGGTGAGAGGTGTCACCAAGGCCCTGTGGTGGAAATAACCAGCTTAATGGAAGGAAGAGCTTCCTGGGTGGACGGCGAGGAAGGGCCCAGAGGGCATTTCAAACACGGGGGATGGGGTGTTCAATCTGCTCTACAGATCCTGGTGACCTGCCTGTGAGGCGCAGGGTCCCTGGCCACCCCCACCCCCCACCTGCACAGAGGCCCCGGGGCAGGGAAGAATGGCTCAGCGCTGGGCAGGGTGAGATGGAGAGTGGTCAGAGGCCAGACCACAAGCATCGGGCCAAGACTAGGAAAGCCCAGCTCCCCTCCCAGCTGTAGAACTTCACTGGTCAGAGAGCCTGAGGAGCCCTAAGAAAGGGACTTCAGTCCTCTGGGGCTCCCTTTGCGTGTCCTTACAATGCAGCCTCAGCTTCTGTCCTTAGGCAGCTGTGCAAATTCTGTAAGATGGTGCATGTGCAGACATTCTGTCCTGCACAATAAAAGTGGACACCTTTGGGGCACTTCCTGCCGCCGCTTGACCGGGAGTTGCTCCCGCCATGGGGGCTGTGCTGTGGGTTCAGCCTGTCTGCATTGCCAGGGGTTCCTGGGCCTGCTTCCTGTGGAGGGGCAGCTTCACCCTGGATGCAGACCTCCCCGTTTGCAGCCCGTCCTGGTGAGCTGACTCTTGCCTCCTGGTCCCCTAGTCTTTTTGTTGACCCAGATCAGGACTCTAGTCCAATACTATTGAACCCTGGCAGAGATGCTCCACAGGAAGGGCTGAGCCTCCTCCTCCCACAGGTGTTTAGTAGCAAGAAAAGAAACTGTGCTTGGGGAGCCTACGCTTTCCCTTTGGCCTTGTTTATCCCAGATATTGGTATGAACCCCTCTTGGCACTGGCAGGGGTTCTACCATCTGCTCACACTAAGGGTTAAAGGCCTGCAGAGGGGACAGTGAGCTCTTCCATCCAAACTTCAACTCCATTCCACAATACCAGAGCCCAGTGAATGGCGTCCCCCGTGGGCAACAGTGATTCTCATGGGAGCAGGGCCCCGAAGGTGAAGGTCACTGCAGAGGGATCCCCACACCTGGATCCCTACGATCCAGTCAGAGGGCACAGAAAGGCACCTGGCTGTTGGGGAAAGGACCCTGGTGGGAGTCACAGAAGCCTTTGTCCCAGTTTCAGCACTGCCCAGTTCTGTTGCCTTGGAGAGGTCCCTTGCCCCGATGGTTCTGTGTCCTGATTTGTAAAACGGGAAGGTTGGACATAGGGCCGAAACGCATGCCCTGTGGGCGGATGGGAGCTTATGCACTTTGAGGTTGGATGCCTTTGAGTGGGCGTGCGCTGCCCAGGGAGAAGCAGCTCCCACCCCTTCCTCCAGTGAAGGCGTTGGCCTTTGTATTTTGCGCTGTTCCCTGGTCCTGGCTTTTGAGAAAAGAGCCAGCAGCCTCTGGTCTTGTTGACACCATCATCTGAGAGTGGCAGGCCACCAGAGGGAAGGGCTAAGGACAGAGCCAGATCTGGCTGGGCCATCTCACCTTCTGGAGGCCGAACTTGACCCGGGATGGAAATAATGAAGCAGCCACTGGCTTTCCCAAGGCCTGTGATCCTCCTGGTCACCAGAAATCCCAAGTTCTTATCTCCTGCTCTTCCAGGTAGGCTGGGCCAGCTTCCCAGGATCTGCTCAGGAGGGCCCTGTGCTGAGAAGGGTCCTGCATTTGGTCTAATTCTCTGCTTTTGCCATCTTGAAATTCCGAGTCTTTTTTTCTTTTTTCCTGTTTTAGACTTCATTCCTGAGGCTCACCCTTAATCAACTTGAACGAGGGGCCCCATATGTTCCTTTTTACTGGGCCATGCAAATTACTGTGGGTTACATTAATGCTCATCTGGAAACCTTTTACCAGTCTCCTCTGTTAGGGTACTGGTTCCCAGCGCAGAGCTTCTGTGATTACCAGAAGAACACTGAAGGAGTCTTCTTGTCTGTCTGGAGCCAGCTGAGATGGCCCTGAGATCCACAGAGCCTCCTCCACGCCCCTGGATGGAGGCGCTCCTGCTCTTCCACCCTTTGTATCTCTCACTTGGCACCCATTCCCGTAATTAATCACAAACTCCGTCTGAGCTATTCCTTTCTAAGCCATGCCCTCTGTACTCTGACTTGCCCCAAATAGACAGATGCTCAATAAATATTTGCTGATTGGCTGGAAAGCAAACAGAGCTATCATCTCAGCACAGAGTTCAGGACATTGCACACAGTGGGTGCTTAATCGATGCTGCTGACTCATCCGCAGAGCAGGCCAGGGTGCAACACAGCGTGACCGTGCCTGTGCTCAGCCTCCCTTCCCTCCAACCGTTCCCTTCCCTTCCCTCCAACCGTTCCCTTCCCTTCCCTCCAACCGTTCCCTTCCCTTCCCTCCAACCGTTCCCTTCCTCCAACCGTTGCCTGCCTGATGAGGATAGGACTGACACTGAAATCCTGGGTGGTGCTGTTGAATCGTGGGGCTTCCTGGTGTGGGATTGTCCCCGGCGAACCTACTCTTTCCCTTTGGCCTCGTTTATTCCGGAAGTTGGTATGGACCCCTCTTGGCATGGGCAGTTCTACCATCTGCTCACGCTAAGGGTTAAGAGCTTGCAGCAGGGAAGCCCAGAGCCCCCAGAGCCCAGTGAATGGCGGGGAGAGAACCGCTGGCGGCAGGTGAAGGTCACTGCAGAGACAGCCTCCATTTCATGGCGGTGGAAATGCAGCCTTAGCGAAAAGAAGGATTTGCTTTTATTTATGTGTTTATTGAGACGGAGTCTCGCTCTGTCTCCCAGGCTGGAGCGCAGTGGCGCGATCTCAGCCCACTTCAACCTCCGCCTCCCCGGTTCAAGTGATTCTCCTGCCTCAGCCTCCCAAGTAGGTGGGACTACAGGGGCCCGCCACCACGCCCAGCTAATTTTCTTTTATTTTTAGTAGAGACGGGGTTTCACCATATTGGCCAGGCTGGTCTCGAACTCCTGATCCACCCGCCTCCACCTCCCAAAGTGCTGGGATTACGGGTGTGAGCGCGCCCCTAGCCTGCTTTTATTTTTAATTAAATTTTTGTTTTTGTTTTTGTTTTGAGAGACGTCTCACTCCATCCCCCAGTCTGAAGTGCAGTGGCGCAATCTCGGCTCACTGCAACCTCCACCTCCCGGGTTCAAGTGATTCTCCTGCCTTAGCCTCCTGAGCAGCTGGGATTACAGGCACCCGCCACCACACCCGGCTAAATTTTGTATTTTTAGTAGATATGGGGTTTCACTATGTTGGCCAGGCTGATCTCAAACTCCTCATCTCAGATGATCCACCTGCCTCCGCCTCCCAAAGTGCTGGGATTACAGGCGGGTGCCACCATGCTCGGCTAATTTTTTAATTTTTAGTAGAGATAGGGTTTCACTATGTTGGCCAGGCTGGTCTCAAACTCCTGACCTCAGGTGATCAACCCAGCTCAGCCTCCCATAGTGCTGGGATTACAGGCGTGAGCCACCGTGTCCAGCCAAAAAAGTTTTTCATGGAGACAGGGTCTCGTTATGTTTCCCAGGCTGGCTGGAACTTCTGGGCTCAAGTGATTTGCCCACCTCAGCCTCCCTAAGTGCTGGGATTAAAGGTGTGAGCCACCGCACCTGGCCAGGAAACGATTCTCTCCCCATCCCTGTAGTTCCAAAATGCCCTTGGAGAAAATGATAAGGACCATTTACATTTGCAAAGAACTTTACAGTTTGTAAACCACTTTCATAAACATCATTCTCAAACTGTCCTGTAAGTCAGGACAAATACTTAAGTACTAATTATCTGGTTGTTGCTTTAACATTTTGGGTTTTTTTTTTACTCCAAATGTTCATTGAAGAAAAATTAGAAAATACAGATAAAGCAAAAAAAGAAAATAATATCTGATATCCTATCGCCTCAAGACGATGCTTAATATTTTAGTCTGCACCCTATCAGATTGATCTAAGTATATAAATATAGATCCTTAAAAATAGGTTAATGCTATCACTGTTCTGTAATCTTACGATCCCCATTTTTAGTAGGTGACTGAGAGAGCTCCCAAGCCATGCAGCTATGAAGGGGCAGGGCCAGGTCTCGACTCCGCTGTCCTGGTTCTAAGTGTCCGCGTCCTCAAGCCAGGCTGCCACTCACACTTCGAGGCTTTGCAGGGGTTGACCGCCTCCATTTCATGGCTGTGGAAATAGAGCCCCAGCAAAAAAGAAGGGTTTGCTTTGGTTGGGCTCAGGGTTGGAGACCCCCAAGCTGTCCTGGTATCCCACAATTCAGCATGGGCAAGGCTGGGCCAAGCTGGACCTGGCTGCTCAGGAGTCCCCACCTCTGCCAAACTGGACTTTGCCTTACAGTGAACAGTCACAGCGATGACAGGGGTCAGCTGTCAGGCGGGAGGCCCAGAGGCGGCAGGTGCCAGGTGGCAGCCTCAGGCTGTGAAGGACTGACCCCAGAGAACAACTGGATATCTGTTTGGTGGCCTTGGAGGTCTCTCGCTCGTTAGTATTTTTAGAAAGAGGGTGAAGGCACAGCAGGGACCTGACACTTGCCTGGCTGCCCTGGGGCATCGCCCTGAGCTGTGGAAAGGGCACTTCTAGCCTGAATCTGGGCCAGCGCTAAAGGCAGGACTAGCATGCCTGCCTGCCTGCGCCCATTCATTCATTCACACTAGCATGCCTGCCTGCCTGCACCCATTCATTCATTCACTCTAGCATGCCTGCCTGCCTGCACCCATTCATTCATTCACACTAGCATGCCTGCCTGCCTGCGCCCATTCATTCATTCACACTAGCATGCCTGCCTGCCTGCGCCCATTCATTCATTCACTCTAGCATGCCTGCCTGCCTGCGCCCATTCATTCATTCACTCTAGCATGCCTGCCTGCCTGCGCCCATTCATTCATTCACTCTAGCATGCCTGCCTGCCTGCGCCCATTCATTCATTCACTCTAGCATGCCTGCCTGCCTGCGTCCATTCATTCATTCACTCTAGCATGCCTGCCTGCCTGCGCCCATTCATTCATTCACACCAGCATGCCTGCCTGCCTGCGCCCATTCATTCATTCACACCAGCATGCCTGCCTGCCTGCGTCCATTCATTCATTCACTCTAGCATGCCTGCCTGCCTGCGTCCATTCATTCATTCACTCTAGCATGCCTGCCTGCGTCCATTCATTCATTCACTCTAGCATGCCTGCCTGCGTCCATTCATTCATTCACTCTAGCATGCCTGCCTGCCTGCGCCCATTCATTCATTCACTCTAGCATGCCTGCCTGCCTGCGCCCATTCATTCATTCACTCTAGCATGCCTGCCTGCCTGCGTCCATTCATTCATTCACTCTAGCATGCCTGCCTGCCTGCGTCCATTCATTCATTCACTCTAGCATGCCTGCCTGCCTGTGCCCATTCATTCATTCACACTAGCATGCCTGCCTGCCTGCGTCCATTCATTCATTCACTCTAGCATGCCTGCCTGCGTCCATTCATTCATTCACTCTAGCATGCCTGCCTGCCTGCGCCCATTCATTCATTCACTCTAGCATGCCTGCCTGCCTGCGTCCATTCATTCATTCACTCTAGCATGCCTGCCTGCCTGCGTCCATTCATTCATTCACACTAGCATGCCTGCCTGCCTGCGTCCATTCATTCATTCACTCCTGAGCACACGCTCCCAGCCAAATTCTGTGTTAGGCACTGGAGGAAAGGATTCCCCAGGACTCTGGCCTAAGAGCTGCGGGAGGAGGAACACAGTGGTGAGGACAGACCCGGGTTCAAATCTTGCCTCTGATCTCCTAGCCGTGTGACTTTGGGTAAGTTCTGTCCTCTCTGGAGCCTGTTTCCCCTCACAGGGCCTCTGTGAGAAGTGAAGGGGGATGCACAGGGAGCCTGGCCGCACATGGGGTCAGTGCAGGGAGCCAGGGAGAGGCTGTGGATTGGAATCCCTCCAGGGCTGGGCTTTTTGTGTGTTCAGCGTCCGCGGAGAATCTGGTTCTCAGGACACCTTGGGGCTGAGTTAGACATCGCCTGGGACTTACATTGACTTTTGCTGAGGGTTTTGCTGAGTTTGGCAGCAGCTCACCTATTTCACCAGATACTAGCTTCTCACCACGAGGAGGAAGGGGTGTCTCCTCTTTCTACAGACGAGTGAGCTGGGAAGCACCGAAGCTGCGTGAGTTGGATGGTCAGCAGTGGGATCAGATCCCTGCACCCACTTGCCGGCCCTCCCCTGCTTACCTTCTCCCCAGAGCAGACCCTGGCCCCCTTCACAGAGCTGCTGCTCAGGTTCAGGTGTCAGGGCTGGGAGAATGTGTGACTGGCCCCATTTCGAATCCTGAGGAAGGACAGGAGAGCCCCGGTATGAGGATCCAGGCTGGACCTGCTTTGCTGGCAGGGAAAAGGCATGAGTCCTAGGGCCAGGCAATCCAGGCAGGCTGGTTCCAGGCCCAGGCCTCCTTGGATTGGCTGAAGCTGGCAGGCGCAGCAGATTCAGGCTGGCCCACCAATCAGGAGCGGCTTTGATCCCCAGACTCAGTGCTCAGGGACTTCTCTATCTTGACCTCCTGGGCCCCCCGAGCTCCCTCCGGATAATGCACCAGTATCCCTGCCTTGTCTGTAGCCTGTCTCATCTACAGGTCTATGGCCAGGACCCAGGATACTGCTGAGCTCAGGGACAATAGACACACACACGCACACAGAGACAGACACACACACAGACACACACACACACACAGAGACACATGCACACACACACAGAGGCACAGAGACACGCACACACAGACACAGACACACAGAGACACATGCACACACACACAGAGGCACAGAGACACGCACACACAGACACAGACACACACAGACACATACACAAGACATGAACACACACATTCACACAGACATATGCACAGAGACATGGACACACACATACACACAAACACACATGAATACACACAGACACACAGGCACACACACACAAACATACAGACACACACACAGACACACAGACACATGCATAGACACATTCACACAGACACTCATGCACACACAGACACACATGCATACACACAGACACACACGCATACACACAGACACACACACACAGAAAACACATTGTGGCTGCCGTGGCATATGGAGGGGAGTCAGCAGCGCAGTCGAGGTGTTTGTATACTATAGCCATTGGCAGGCACCCCCAGAAGGTGCCACAGAAGAGGTTCATGGAGTTCAGCTCACCCTGGTCCTGCCTTTGAAGTCTCTTCTGAATGCAGTGAATGACAAATGGATATATATATATATATATTTTTTTTTTTTTGAGACAGGGTCTCTCTCTGTCATGCAGGCTGGAGTGCAGTGGTGTGATCTTGTCTCCCTGCAACCTTTGCCTCCAGGTTCAAGTGATTCTCCTGCCTCAGCCTCCCGAGTAGCTGGAATTATAGGCGTGCACCACCACATCTGGCTAATTTTTGTATTTTTAGTAGAGATGGGGTTTCACCATTTTGCCCAGGCTCATCTCAAACTCCTGACCTCAAGTGATCCACCTGCCTCGGCCTCCCAAAGTGCTGGGATTACAGGTGTGAGCCACCATGCACTGCTGACAAATGCATCATTCATTCACTCCTTCATTCATTCAGCACTCCAGGTGAGGCGCCCCCTTGTTCCCATGAAGCTTTTCCACTGGGGAGGGATGGATAAGCTCTCTATCTCCTGGCTTCCCCCTTTATACACTTTATACAGGCTCTGGATTCTGTGTCCTTAACTGCTACAGCCCTGGAAGCATAGGCTGTGTAAGTCCCTCAACAATGGGGACCAGTCTAAAATATTTATAGGTAGCATATCTAGATCATTCCAGAGAGGAGTGAATGGATCCAAACCGTCTTTTGAACCAGCAGCCAGAGGCCCCAGCAGCTCCTGTCTTCCCAGCCCAGTGCTTATTCTCTTATTCTCTGCTAAGCTTTGTCATTTTAGGGGATTAGGAGAATAGGATGTAAACCGAAACGTGACTGAGACAGATCTCCATTGAGGAGAGATTTGTTTTGCCAAGGTTGAGGGTGAACTCAGAGAAAAGAAACACCATAGGATCTGTGACCTATGCTTTTTCCAAAGAGGATTTTGGGAATTTCAATATTTAAAGGGAAAGAGCAAAGCAAGAGGGGAAGCTTTTTTAAAAGGAGGTTGGGTAGGCAGTGAGGCTCGGGGCACATTCTTGTGAGGCTCTGATAGTGCTCGATGAATCTACATTTTACATGTGACAAGAGGGAGTGGGGGCGGATCAATTATGTATTTGTCCTGGGCTCGGTGAATCCGCATTTTATGTAAGATAAAGTAAGCATGTGAAATGACTGCCGTTTGGGAACACAAGGAAGGCAGTTGTTTTGTTTTGTTTTGTTTGTTTTGTTTTGTTTTTGTTTTGTTTTGTGTGACTCCATGTCCAAGCTTAACTTTCTCTTCATCATGGTGAATTTGGGGGTCTCAAGAGTCTAGTTTTCTTTCACAGGGGCTTCGGGAAGGCAGGGATCTTCGTTGTATCCTAGATGCCTAGCTCGTGCTAGGAGCTGGAAACAGGTTTGTTGCATTGAACTCAGTAGGAATCTTGGCAGGCTGTCTGCAGGGCTGGGTGGGGTGGGAAATTCACCACCTTCCCTTTCTCCCATCTCACTGTCAGATCTGATCTACTTCATGAGGTCTCACCTGGACGATAGCCAGAGACTGCAGGCTCAGCTCTCATTGCTTCTTATTCTAATTGCCTGAAATCCCGAGGAAATAACTCTTACCTTTTGGAAATGTATAATCTAGTGGGGACATACAAAACTCATATACACCCTTATGTGGAATGTTGACATTTTGCTTCATGATTAATTGTTCTGAAAGTCCTTTCCACTTACCCGTGTTTAGGTTTCCTGTCTGGATTTAGGCTCCATCACAAAATCTAAGGTTCAGCAAAAACGAGAGGCTCTCAGTGCTTCTGAGTGAGGACATGAAAAGGATCTGGGAATAAAAGCACTAGACCCTTACAGACTCATGAGCAGCAGCAGCTGGCAGCACTGGGCTGGGAAGACAGGAGCTGCTGGGGCCTCTGGCTGCTGGTTCAAAAGACAGTTTGGATCCATTCACTCCTCTCTGGAATGATCTAGATATGCTACCTATAAATATTTTAGACTGGTCCCCATTGTTGAGGGACTTACACAGCCTATGCTTCCAGGGCTGTAGCAGTTAAGGACACAGAATCCAGAGCCTGGCTGGGTTCAAAGGCCAGCTCTAATACTTAAAAAATGGGTGCTCTCGGCCGGGTGTAGTGGTTCATGCTTGTAATCCCAGCACTTTGAGGGTGCAAGATGAGAGGATCCCTTGAGGCCAGGAGTTCAAAACCAGCCTGGGCAACATAGCGAGACCACATTCCTACAAAAAACGTTTTAAAAATGTAGTGTAGTGGTGTGCACTTGTAGTCCCAGCTACCCAGGAGGCTATGGCAAGAGGATCCCTTGAGCCCAGGAGTTTGAAGCTACAGTGAGCCATGATTGCACCACTGCACTCCAGCCTGGGTTGTAGCAGGGCAAGCCGCAGACAACACCCCTCAGGCACCGAGTTAAAGAAAGAAGGGCTTTATTCGGCCAGGAGCTTTGGCAAGATTCACATCTCCAACAACCGAGCTCCCCGAGTGAGCAATTCCTGTCCCTTTTAAGGGCTCACAACTTTTAAGGGGGTCCGCGTGAGAGGGTCATGATTGATTGAGTAATCAGGGGGTACGTGACCGGGGGCTGCATGCACCGGTAATTAGAACGGAACAGAACAGGACAGGGATCTTCACAGTGCTTTTCTTATACAAATAACTGATTACGTCAGGGGTCGATCTTTAACTACCAGGCCCAGGGTATGGGGCCGGGCTGTCTGCTCGTGGATTTCATTTCTGCCTTTTAGTTTTTACTTCTTCTTTATTTGGAGGCAGAAATTGGGCATAAGACAATGTGAGGGATGGTCTCCTCCCTTAGGGTGACAGAGGGAGATCCTGTCTTAAAAAAAAATAAAAATAAAAGGGTGATCTCGGGGCCTGGTGCAGTGGCTCACGCCTGTAATCCCAACAGTTTGGGAGGCTGAGGTGGGAGAATCGCTTGAACTCAGGAGTTTGAGACTTAGCCTGGCCGACATGGTGAGACCCCATCTCTACAAAAATTTAAAAATTTTTCATTTCTAGTGAGTTTTCAGGTGATGTTGCTGCTGCTACTTCAAGGAGCACACATGGAGAACCACTGGCATATAGGAGAAAAACGCAGGCTTAGGATTTAGACACTGGGGCCATCCCTCAGTATCTGGTGACTTTGGGCATTTGACCTCTTTGAGCCTCAACTTCTTCACTTGTAGAATGGGACTACATCCCAGTTACTTGGGAGGCTGAGGCAGGAGAATTGCTTGAATCCAGGAGGTGGAGGTTGCAGTGAGCCAAGATCGTGCCAAAATATTTATATATATATATGTATATATATATATGAGACTAGTGTTGCTTCTCAACTTATGATAGAGCTACATTCTGATAAACCCATAGTAAGTTGAAAATATTGTAAGTCAAAATGCATTTAATACACTTAGCCTACTGAACTTCATAGTTTAGCCTAGCTTAACTTCAGCGTGCTCAGCCCACTTACACCAGCCTACTGCTGGGCAACATCATCTAACACAAAGCCTACTTTATAAGAGACTATTGAATATCTTGTGTAATTTATTGAATAATGTACTGAAAGTGAAAAAGAGAGTGGTTGTATGGCTACTCGAAGGACAGTTTGTAAAGTGTATCACTTACGATGGTGCGAAAGCTGGGGACCATCTGTATTAATACCTGCTTTGTGGAGTCATGCCTGACATACAGCAATATCATTATTTAATTATTACTGTTTAAATTTTAACAATTTTGTTAGCCCCTGAGGGATGAGTAGGATTGAAGTCAGCAGAGATCGGCTGGGAGGGCTTTGGGGAATGTCTCTGAGAACCTCACAGCTCAAGTGGGCATAGAGCAAAGAGCAAAAGGCCAGATGGGTCTGGAAGCCCCAGGACAAGGCGCTGATTGGGAAAGTGCTCTTGTTTAGGGTGGATATTGAGAGGGAGCAGATCGATTCTTTGGAAATTTCTGTGTGGTAGGTAAATCCACGATTAACTCTGAACCCCGAGATGACAACAGTCTTTTCTGAAAGCCACTGGCAAAACGGCCTCTTGCAGGGGAGGTGGAAAATGCTCCCTGAGAAAGAGCACGGAGGCCGGGGTGGCGGCTCGCGCCTGCAGCCCCGGCACTTTGGGAGACTGAAGCAGGAGGGTCGCTTGAGCCCCGAGGTTGAGGCTGCAGTGAGCTATGACGGGGCCACCACCCCGCAGCCTGGGCGACAGAGCAAGGGCCTGCCCCAAGAAAACAGTAATAACTAAAATAAATAAGCAAGCAAGCAGGCCCGAGTTCCGGTTTCAACGCACGTGCTTTCCTGTTCTTCCCTACACACTCTGCTTCCGTTTGTAATTTATGGCCCCCTTTTGTTGGAGAGAAACCCGTCCGTGTCCTCGATCACAAAGGGGTCAAAGCCCGGGTGTGCCCGCGCGGGCGGGTTGAGCTGGGGCCTCGCCGCGCCGTTTCCTGGCGCCCCCTGGTGGACAACGGCGGCGCCGCAGGCCTTCCGGGGAGGCCTCGCCCCACGTGGCCTCTCGGTGCTGCAGCTTTAGGCCCCAGTTTGCAGCTCGGGGCAAGGGCTGGAACTCTCAGTGAGACTGTGCCCAGGGCTCAGAGGCGGTTTCTGGACCAGTTACGTATTATTGCTGGAATAACACGCAAAAGAAACCCCACCCCGACGTGGATTAGAGACTGTTGATTTTTAAGGGCGAGATCACTGCTCTTGGCTGCAGTCAGGAGCCTGCATGCGGCCTGCCCCAGACAGAAGGCCTCAGGGGTCTGGGCTTTTACAGCTTTTGGCCTGAAGACCAGCTGCAGCTTCCAGCCCCAGTCATTCATTCCCTGAGGCTCCCTCAGGACTGCTGAGAAAAGGCAGGATCTAGGGGAAAAAGGGCTCTCCCTGCAGTGGGGGTGTTTAAGAGCAAAGATTCACTCCCCAAACTCCTCTCCCCCACCCAGAAGCCACTGTGCCTGAAGCCCCACCCTTAAAGAGCCTTACTTTTGCCTTTTTTGAAAAAGCTGTCTCATAAAAATTCAATGCGATCATCATTCATTGTGTACCTCATGTGGGCAAGGTGCTGAGCTAGGCTCCATGGAGACTCAGGCCTGTGGAAGATGGGGTCCGTGTGCTAAAGTGGGCAGCAGAAGGAGCCGTCTCAGGAGGACTCAACAACGCCCAAGGCCAGCACAGGCCAGGGAGCAGGCGACCTTCTTTCAAACAGGGCCTTGGTGGAGTGCATTTGGGGACAGGGTCTAGAAAGGAGGGGAGGCTCTCCCTGGGGGGAGCATGGTGAAGAAAGAAAGGCCTGTAGTCCTGGAGCAGAGCAGGAGCAGCTGGGAAGGGTGGGGTGTGTTCAGGGAACAGTGAGTAATCTGGTGTGGCCCTGCACGTCTGAGCATCACAGAGCCTGGCACAGGGCACAGGGTTCGCTCTTCAGGGGTGGGAGGAGGAGCTGGGGACCAGGCTAGAGAGGTGGGTGGGGGCCCCAGGAGAGAGGACTACGCTTGAGTAACAATGACCCTGGAGACCCAATGCAGGTGGGCTTGTGTGAGTGTTTCCCTTCCTGCAGGCGGCTCGAAGGCGAGAGCCAGCAGGAGCGAGGAGAGAGGCTGCCCAATGGGTACAGGAGGCATTTCAAACACCATGGAAGTTGTTAGGACCATAAATGGTGCCTACTTCAAAACTGGGGCTGGGACGGGCCCTGAGTCACAACACAGTATTTGAAATGCCTCTAGGCCCACACGTGGGAGTATAATCCTCTGTGGGATAGATTTCCCTCTCATCTCATATTTGTTTAATACTTCACAGCTTTCAAAGCACATTCACCCACATGATCCTATTGATCTTTCTAACAGCACTTTGTGCTAGACAGGGCAGATATTATTCCCACTTCAGAGGAGGACCAGCTAGGGTCTGGGTGAGATGAAGTCATAAATTCACTTTTGTTTTAACATGTTTATCTTAACCACTGGCCTTCTGGGGGTATGTCTTGGTCTGTTTTGTGTTGCTATAACAGAATAACTGAGACTGGGTGATTTATAAACAATAGAAGTGTATTTGGCTCATGGTTCTGGAGACTGGCAAGTCCAAGAACATTGCACTGGCATCTGGTGAGGGCCTTCATGCCACATCCTTCCCTGGTAGAAGGTGGCAGGGCCAGAGAGCTTGCAAGCCCAAGAGAGAGGAAGGGAGCCAAGCTCACCTTTTTTTTTTTTTTAATCCTGAGATAACCTGACCCACTGCCATGATAATGGCATAAATGAGGGCAGAGCCCTCGTGACCCAATTGCCTCTTAAAGTTCCCACTTCTCAACACTATTACAGCAGGGATTAAGTTTCCAACCCATAAACTTTAGGGGGCACATTCAGACCATAGCAGAGTGCATATTTGCTTTTGTTACAAATTTATTATTGTTATTATTATTATTTTTTTTGAGATGGAGTCTCGCTCTGTCACCCTGGCTGGAGTACAGTGGCACAATATCAGCTCACTGCAACCTCCCTCCACGCCTGGCCTATTTATTTATTTATTTTAGAGACAGAGTTTTGCTCTTGTTGCCCAGGCTGGAGTGCAGTGGCACCATCTCGGCTCACTGCAACCTCTGCCTTCCCAGGTTCAAGCGATTCTCCTGCCTCAGCTTCCCAAGTTGCTGGGATTATAAGCATGCACCACCACACCCTGCTAATTTTGTATTTTTAGTAGAGACGGGGTTTCATCATGTTGGCCAGGCTGGTCTCGAACTCTTGACCTCATGATCCGCCTCCCAAACTGCTGGGATTACAGGCATGAGCCACCTTGCCCGGCCAAATTTATTTTTTAAGATAGTTCATTCACATGTTTCAAAATTCAAAAGGTACAGATAAAATTCCTTCTCTCAACCCTATTCTTCCAGTCACCCAGGTCCCTTCTTACCAGTTTGAACCCAAGCCTTTTGCCTTTGGGTCTTTGGGTCTAGTGCCCCTTCTGAGGCAGCAGTGCAGGGGCTCAGGGACACAGCCCCACTGCAGATTCAGGAAAGCCTCAGACAAGTTTCACTCAGGTAGAGGTTATGCCTCCTCTTAGTAAGTGTGCATGTGTACCCTATGGGACTAGTCTTCTTTCATCTTAGGCTGCATATGTTTTTGTTTTTTATCTGTTTTTTTGTTTGTTTGTTTTTTGTTTTTCTGTTTTTTTTGTTTTAGATGGACTCTTGCTCTGTTGCCCAGGCTGGAGTGCAGTGGTGCAATCTTGTCCCACTGCAACCTCCGCCTCTGAGGTTCAAGCAATTCTCCTGTCTCAGCCTCCTAAATAGCTGGGATGGCAATAGGCATGCGGCACCACACCCAGCCAGACTGCACGTGTTTATCTTTCAATCTTAAACTCCTTGGAGTAGGGAGTATGTCTTCCACTTCTTGGGCACAGTAGAGTAAGGGTGAAAATTACAGGCTCTGGGCCTGGTGTGGTGGCTCACGCCTATAATCCCAGTACTTTGGGAGGCTGAGGCAGGTGAATCACCTGAGGTCATGAGTTCGAGATGAGCCTGGGCAACATGGTGAAACCCCGTCTCTACTAAAAATAAGAAAAATTAGCTGGGTGTGGTGGCGGGCGCCTGTAGTCCCAGCTACTCGGGAGGCTGAGGCAGGAGAATGGCGTGAACCCGGGAGGCGGAGCTTGCAGTGAGCTGAGATTGCGCCACTGCACTCCAGCCTAGGCGACAGAGCGAGACTCTGTCTCAAAAAAAAAAAAAAAAAAAATTAGCTGGGTGTGGTGGCACACACCTGTAATCCCAGCTACTCGGGAGGCTGAGGCAGGAGAATTGCTTGAACCCTGGAGTGGGAGGTTGCAGTGAGCTGAGATTGTGCCACTGCACTCCAGCCTGGGCAACAAAAGTGAAACTCCATCTCAAAAAAAAAAAAAAAAAAAAAAATTACAGGCTCTGGCACATAGAGGATTGGGATTAAAAACTCTGTGCTGTGTGATCTTGGGCAAGTTACTTAGTCTCTCTGAGCCTCCATTTTCTCAACTGTGATGATGATGCCCTCATCTACTTCGCAGAACTGTTGTGAGGACTACATAAGGTGACTCATGTCCTGTGTTTAACCCTGTGCCAGCCACAAGGTATGTCCTCTGTAAGTGGGAACCACCATCGTTCCAGTGTGCTGAGAGCCCACTGTGTGTGCACACAGTGTGACAGGCCCAGGCACCCTTCCCAAGTGAATTCTGACAAGAGGACTGATACCGAATTAAAAGCTCACCTAAGCCCCTTCCTTTGAACGAATCACTCTTCCCAGGCTGGGACCCACCCTTTCCCTTTGTGAGAAATCAGCTTTCCAAAAGCCTAGGTCGCCACTGTCCCCTTCTCAAGGGAGGCCTGGCTTTCCCGGGCAGTCGGTCATTTTGAGGCCACCAGCAGGGTGACAGGCCCCTGTTCCTCTGGGCCTGCTAGTGTGTAGCCCTGACTGTGCGCTGGCACACAGGAAGCTCCCACGTGGGTGTTCTCAGGGCTGGCAGGAACGACTCATGGGAAGGTCACCCATGCCCTGCAGCGGCCTCTCAGCGATGTCCTCAGCCCCCGGGATTCTCCGCTCAGAGCCGGCTTTCCCATCCCTAGATTACTCCGTGCTAGGAAGGACCCAAGGAAGCCTGTGTTCCAGTCCCTTCGACCTCGCAGATGATAAGAAAAGGCGTCCAGTGCTCCCGGCCCGGATTGCTCACTCATTAAAGCAGGGCTGGAATGTGGTCAAGGTGCCTTTGGTGATGCCCTCTGGGCTGCTACAACTCCCCTCACCATGCCTATACTTCCCTTGGGACACACACTGCCTGCCACAGGCCCCAGGGCCTAAACACACTGATCTGCGGGCTCCATGGCTTTTTGGTAGGGCAGTTACTTACCACTCTGGGGTTTACCCAACCTCCATGGCCCTCTGGGAGAACAGCCCTGTAATCTTGTTTCCAAGAAAGAGCAGAATGATCTGTTGGAGCTTATGGTCCCCACTGACCATAAAGTCGATAAACAATGAAAAACATGTTTACTTTTCTGTTAAAAAAGGCATTCCTTTCCTATCCAACCTAAGTCCTGTAAATAAACAAAAATATAGGCCAACAAGGATTAAGGGATAAAGGGCTGTCTGGCAGAACAATGAAGCAATCCTTGACTTCAAGGGATGGAATCGCACCAGCCTTAGGAGCTGGGACTTGGCAAGAGGCCTAGGTGACAGGGAAGTCTGAGCTGGAACGAGAGAGGAGGGCGCGGAAGAGGGAGGGTAATGACTGTGCCGGGCAGGCCCAGGAATGGGGCAAACCGCTGGGTCTGTGGTGTCCCCCACCCCCCTGCCTCATCCCATGCCAATCACCAAACCCACGTCTGCCAGGCAGGCCCAGGAATGGGGCAAACCGCTGGGTCTCTGGTGTCCCCCACCCCCCTGCCTCATCCCATGCCAATCATCAAACCCACGTCCTCTTGTTGCCCAGATGCCCAAGGGCGTCCAGATCAAACTCTGGATCTACTCCCACCTTCCCTGCACTGGCCGCGCTCCAGCTTCATGCCGCCCCAAACTCCCCGTCTGTCCAGGTGTCATTGGTTGGCCAGATTTTGATGGGCAGCCTTTCCCACAGGCAACCGCGCCTTGAACAGGGACTCTGGGAGCCCAAAGCTATGAGTCTTGGGTCAGTGTCCTGCCGCCCTTGAGTGGCAGGGGAGGGGCAAGTGGGGCGGGGCAGAATGAGACCTGAGGAAGATACCGAGAGCCAGCCTCATTGAGAGAGGGATCTCAGCCTGGGAAAATGGGAACCGCTTGGATTCTGTCCTTCCTTCTGTGAAGGAGCAAAGTGTCGTTCTGCTGTCCATGGCCTCTGCCCTCCAGAGATGGGATTTTCCTCCAGTTTTATAGATGTGGAAACTCAGCACCAAAGTTCCAAGCCCAGAGGCAGAGCTGGGCCCAGCAACCAGCAGTCCTAGCCCACCGGTCCCCTGCTCCTCGAGGATCAGCAGAAAAGGGGCGGGGAGTGGGCAGAGCCCTGTGCGCTTGTGGCGGGTGGAGGCCGCCAGCCCACCCGGACCAGCTCTGCAGGGAGGGCGCAGAGGCCAGGGCCAGGGCCAGGGGAGGGCGGCAAGCGAGAGCCAGCGGCGAAGAGTCCGGCGAAACGGGAATGACTCATGCTGGGTGGCTCTGCTCCCCAGTCCAGCCCACATTCCCGGGTCTCTGTTCCCGACCCGCCTGGGCCTGGCCTTAAAGGGCCAGCTCCTCTGAGCGGGAGCGGGGGCCACCCTGCTGCGCTCCCCACTCCTCTGTCACCCTGACCCCTGTGGAGTTGCTCCCAGTCCCTGGGCTGTGGGCGAAAAGGATGACCCCCTGCAGGATTTAGGACTTTATCTGATCCTCTCCTCCCGCTAGAAGGGAGGGCCCTCAGGTCATTCCATCCATCCCTCTGCCGCAGAGCAGGGCTGCACCTAAACTGGCCCACGAGGATTAGAAAAGCCCGGTCCCTGCTTTTAAAGATGCTGCAATGAGAGGACCCCTTTCCAGGCACCTTCGCCAGGGCCTCACTGCCGGCCCTTCTGCCCGCCGTCCCCTCGGCTGCAGGTTGTGCTGGAGGCCCCTCCCTTCTGGGTCCCCCCACCCCACGCTGGCTCCATTTCAGCTTCGGTTGATTCTCGAACTCTGGCTTGACGCACGCGTTTGGTGGGTTTTAGTTCGGCCCATCCAGACTTGCGGGCGAGGCTCCCGTCCTGGGCCTCGGAGGGGTCCAGGTTTCCCATTAATCCCGTCCTGCGCGTGGGTTCCTCGGGGTGGAAACGCCCCCCGGCAGCCGCGGCGCCCAAGTCACGTCTCTGGACCGCGCGCGCCACCGTGTGGACACTCTGGAGCAGGCGGGGACACCCTGATCCCGCCCAGCACCCGCAGTGAAAGGCAGGCCCGAGTCGGCCCCGCATTTAGCGAGGAAAGGATGAGGCGCACCCCCTAAGCACACTGCGAGCCTCACGTCCTCTGTGAAGCAATGGCTCTCAGATTAATGTAACAACAAAAGCCAACCAGCTCTGTTAAAACTTACAAATGGCAATACCTTCCATAGAGGTTGGGAAGACCTCCGTGCTGCCCGTGTACTCACCCCTGCCACCCCCTGCCACCCCTTCCCCCACTATTTGGTCAGTGCTCAACACATGCCACTAGAGGTTTGGGTTTAAGGTTTTGTCCACTGTTAACGATACATTTGGGGGGAAGGGGGTCTGTCTCCCTCTGAGCTAGACCAGGAAGGAGGAGAAAGGGCAAAGCTTGCTGCTACTGCACAAACTGGAGGATGGGGAAGAGACAGGAGGGGTGGCACAGCCATGGGGCAGGGAGGCCAGGGGGCACAGTTGAACCTGGGCAGAGACACTTTGAATTTGGGTGCAGGGGGTGAGACTCTCTTGCCTAATGAGTGCTCTTGGAGACCGAGGACAAACCTTCACCAAATGGGCTAAGACCACAGGTTGCAGCCTTGGGGCTGACGGCGACCATGGGCCTTTGTGAAGTGTTGGCCCTGGGATCCCTGGCCCTAACCAACCATGCCAGCTGGCCCTAGACAAGCCAGCCTTGCTTGAACTGGATTTCCAAAGGCCCTGAACGCCGTGTGTGGCCTCCCAAGTCCATGCAGGTCCTCATTTACCCTCCATCCCTACCTCCTCCAACCTCACTGGCTGCCCCCAGCACCAGCTGAAACCCCGGCCCCAGCAAAATCAAACACGAAGGAAGATGGGAGAGATAGTGAGCACTCCATTCCTTTCGTGCCTATGGCCTTTTTTCTTATTTCTGTGGGCCCTGGGCCCCAGCCTGATTTTGGTGGCTGTCAAAAGGAGTTTGCCAGGGCCTGTTGTGAGCAGCCTGTGGCCCAGTGCTTACCCGGGGGGCGGGGGGGGGGGGGTGTCCTCACAGCCCCAAGCACCGCCTGGCATGTACAGTCAATCTATTGAATGAATGCTACCCGCTGGTCTCCATTCTACTCTCCCAGAGAAAGTGTTTAAATTGCTCCACTGGCCAAAGTGCACACTCCTGATTACCCTCTGTGAGTCCTGCCCCGTCCAGAAGTTGAGGACACTCGGAATCTCAATAATGAACAACCCAGGTGCAGGGAACTGCCCCGTGTAGAAAGCTGATGGCCTGGAGTGTGGTCAGAGTGAAAGAGCCACTCCTATATGTTTGATCCTCCAATGACTGGTCCACAGAGTCAGAGAGGGGCAGCCTGCGGGGCACAGGCTGCCAGGGTGGATTCCATCAGAGCAGGTGCTGTTAGCACCCATGACCACCCTGTGCCTCTTGAATGTGTCTGTGTGTGTGCACCCTCCTGGCAAACAGAGCAAAGGGCCAGGAGCTTGGAAAGGAAGTGAGAAGAGCAGGGTGGAGACGTGGGGCTGAGTTTTGAAGGCAAACGTTAGGAGAAGGACTGGGGAAGAGAGGCTCCCTTCTGTTGGCCTAGGAGAGGATTGGTCCAATCTGTAGCCAGGCATGTGGATTAGAGCTGGATCTCCAAAGACGAGTGCCCAAGACCATATTTTAGGATAAGAAAATTAAACTTCTATTTATATTGAATTTTATGTAATCCTTTCAAATGTTTCTACTTTTGCATATTTTACTATATATATAATTAGTCCAATAAAAATATGTATAGTTGATAATGGAAGAATGTACATATATTGAGGATGCATGGCCAAAACAGTTTTTAATGCTGAGATTACACTATCAAGAAAGTCTGGAGACTACTGCATTTCAGAGTTTTGTTTTTGTTTTTGTTTTGAGACAAGAGTCTTACTCTGCCACCCAGGCTAGAGTGCAATGGTGCGATCTCTGCTCACTGCAACCTCTGCCTCCTGGTTCAAGTGATTCTCCTGCCTCAGCCTCCTGAGTAGCTGGGATTACAGGCGTGTGACACCATACCCAGCTGATTTTTTTGTATTTTTAGTAGAGACGGGATTTTGCCATGTTGGCCAGGCTAGTCTCAAACTCCTGACCTCAAATGATCCCCCTGCCTTGGCCTCTCAAAGTGCTGGAGTTACGGGCATGAGCCACTGCACCCAGCCTCATTTCGGGGTATCCTAAGGGCTCATAGAATCCAAAGGTTCTGATAGATAGGTAAATCAGTTAGCCTATGTGTAAATCAACTGTCCTCTGTGTAAATCCCTGAGGTACAGAGAAGTGAAGTGACTTGCTGGGGCTGCACGAAGTACAAGGAACATTCCAGACCCTCTGAGACCTGCCTATCCAATCATCCACGCATCCATCCATCCACCCACCAATCTCTCCATCCATCCATCCATCCCTTCATCCATGAAGCTTTATTTTATACTTCAAAACAAAATCAAATGTAAATTATGCTTCAATAAATCCTAGCCAAAAAAATTAAAAACAAATTACGAGTGTTTAACTGGTATGCATCACTGTGCATATATAGGCACGCATCCATCTATCCATCCATCTGTCCCCACGCAGCAGGTATCTGTCCTGTCGTGGTGATCTGCTGGGTCATCTTCCCTACCTCCAGGCCATAGCATCCTTCAATCCATCCGTCTCTCCCCACTCTGCAGGTATCTGTCCTGTCATGGTGATCTGCTGGGTCATCTTCCCTACCTCCAGGCCGTAGCATCCTTCAGAGTCCTCCATTCCTTCCTGTCTCACCTTGCTCCACTTCAGTTCCTTTTCACCCTGATCCTAAATCAATACTATAACTTTTAAATGACTCTCCCTGCTTCTAGCCCTTCCTGGCCCAGTCTGTTCCAAGCACCACTGCTAAATCAATCTTCCAAGTACTCTTGAGTGACTGCAGATTGCCCTTGGTCATGGCGCCCAGTCTGAAATTCTTGGCCCAACCCAGAGGCCCACAGCATATGCCCTGTATTGTGATTCTGTCTTTTGGAGTTAGTGGCTTCTGGAGAAGCTTTAGTAAATTATGCTTCAATAAATCCTAGCCAAAAGTAATAATTAAAATGATGTGAGTGTTTAACTAGTATGCATTACTGTGTGTATACACTCATGCATGCATGCATGTGTATGCTGAGAGCCTGTGTCTGACAGCGTGTGTGCCTGAGCAGGGCGGCAGCTCCAGTGCTCCTGAGGGTTGGAAATCCAGCCGATGATCAGCTGCTGAGCTGTGCACCCTGCCTTGGGGGCCACAGCATTATGCGAGAGGAGGTGCCTTTCTCTATTTCACCCAAGCCTCCAAGCTCTTTTTATTGTCTTCTCAGGTGCTTTCCTCTCAGAGGAAAAGAACACAGCCCAAAGCTGAGGCCTGGCCCAGGTAAAATAGTGAATAGGGTGAGGAAGGTGCATTTTACCAGCAGCAGAGAACCCTCCCGGCTTTCTCCAGCCAGATGTGTGAAGGTGTGAGGGAAGGGGTGACTCTCCAGGAAGTATCAACTGCAACAGAATGTCATTTCAGAGTGCAGAGGTCCTTATGGGTTTTCTCGTCCAACCCTTCATTTTATCAGGCCATGAAACTAAGGGTGTCATTTGCCCTGAGCTTCCCATCTGGATTGGAAAGAGCTTTAAAACCTCTCTCCTCTCTCCCACCTCTCAACTGCTTCCCTTCCAGAGCTCCCCTTGGTAAGTCTGTGCTTTCTCCCCTACAGCCTGGAAGCTCCGACCCCAGGAGCCAGCCCATCAACCTGAACCATTACGCCACCAAGAAGAGCGTGGCGGAGAGCATGCTGGACGTGGCCCTGTTCATGTCCAACGCCATGCGGCTGAAGGCGGTGCTGGAGCAGGGACCATCCTCTCACTACTACACCACCCTGGTCACCCTCATCAGCCTCTCTCTGCTCCTGCAGGTGGTCATCGGTGTCCTGCTCGTGGTCATTGGTGAGGAGCCCAGCCTGCAGTCAGACCTTCTGCCTCGGCACCCGTGGCTGGCAGAAAGGCCCCACGTGTCCCCTGGGCCACCCTGCATTGGCACAGGCAGCTTTGCAACCACACGCTGACCTGCAGTGAGCCCTCCGCTAACAGAGGCCCAAAGACCAACTTCCACCCCGCGAGGGCAGGCGCCCTGTCCTGTCTCCTGGTATCCCATGGAGCAGACCCTCCGCAGTACCTGCTGAATGACTGCGCCAGCACCTCGCTAACTGCTAACTCACTCACTCGCTCACCGCTTCTCCATGAGCACTCGTCCCCACGCTTACAGGACCCAGCTTAAGTTCCCAAATCCTGGTGGGATGAAGCACACTAGGGTGCCCCATTGTACTGGTTGGCGAGGGCAGAGGCATCTCAGCCCGATGACGACCACCTCCCTTGATTTCTGCCACATGGGTTTCTGAAGGGCCCCTCTCTCCAAACTCTGGTGGGTGTTGTGGGGGCAGCTCCGTGCTGTGGCCCCGTCTCTGACCCTTTCCCCCCACTCCACTTCCCTGCAGCACGGCTGAACCTGAATGAGGTAGAAAAGCAGTGGCGACTCAACCAGCTCAACAACGCAGCCACCATCTTGGTCTTCTTCACTGTGGTCATCAATGTTTTCATTACAGCCTTCGGGGCACATAAAACAGGGTTCCTGGCTGCCAGGGCCTCAAGGAATCCTCTCTGAATGCAGCCTGGGACCCAGGTGAGGGAGGATGGAGGAACCCCAGCTCCAGGGACTCCCCAGGTGGCCCTTCTCTCTCCTCTGGGGCTTTGGGGCAAGAAACAGATCCCTTGCCAAACAAAGGGGGAAGGCCTGTAGCTCCGAGAGCAAGGAGAGGATCTGCAAGAGCCTGGCCTCAGCGAGGCTTGCACAAAGCCCCACTGCTGTGTTAATGGCTCTCTGCTCTCAGGCTCAGGTTTTCCCACGGTCTGGGACAGGGTGGAGGCGATGCCATTAGTGGTTGACTCTGCCCCTCCGGCAAGAGGAAAGGTGGAGATGGGGAATTTCTCCCTGCCATTGTCTAGCAGCTCTTGCTACTGACTGTGGTCCATGGGTCAGCAGCATCCACAAACCACCCAGGAACTTGCTGGAAATGCAGAATCTCAGGCTCTGCTCGAGCACGTGCTACAGGCACGTGCATGAGTAACGTGGCCAGGTGCATCCTGGGCATGCTGAAGGTTGAGGGGCATTGATCTGGCCTGCCATCCTCATTGCCTCTTCTCTGCTTCCTCAACAGGTTCTGGGCCTGGAACTTCTGCCTCCTTCCTCCGTGATCTGCCAGGCTCGTGGGCACTTTCCACAGCCCAGGAGAGCTTCTGAAAGGACAGTATAGCTGCCCTTGCTCCCTACCCACAGCACCTGAGTTAAAAAGTGATTTTTATGTTATTGGTCTAAGGGACTTCCATCTTGGTCTGAAGTCCTGAGCTCAGACGCAGGTACTGCCAGCCATACCTTCCTGGTAGCATCTGCTGGACCTAAGTAAGGCATGTCTGTCTAAGGCCAAGTCTGCCCGGCTTAAGGATGCTGGTTCTGACTCTACCCCACTGCTTCCTTCTGCTCCAGGCCTCAATTTTCCCTTCTTGTAAAATGGAATCTATATCTATAAAGGTTTCTTCAAATCCACTCTTGAGTCCACTTACTTGTCTAGTCCTGCAGGCTCAGGCATCCAGGCTGGTCTCCATCTGTGCCTTGGAGAGGGCTCAAGAGAGCAAACCCCAGACCTGGAGGGTGGGAAGGCTTTTAAATTACTTCCTCCTCTGTGGGTTCTGCTCGGAGCCAATGTTCCTGGCCCAGATGTCTTGCGCTTATCGTCATCTGCCCCATGAACTGTAGATTAGTCCATTGCAGGTGGATGCACATATGCACAATCTTCTCCACGAACCTGCTGTAAGCTATTCTGGCTTTCAGTCTCAGCTTCCCTTAGGCATGTGTTTAAGGACTGCAAACTCATTTTGATCTTTGCCTGGGCCAAATATAACGAGGAAGGTAAATCTGTAAAGCATTAGCAAAGCATTGCCAACTCAGAAACAGAAATGATTTTTAGAAGGTCTGCCAGTTTAGAAGCAGCCACTCGTTGGCTTCTCTCCACTGCTCACCAAACCGTTCTGGCCCTATATCTAGCCTTCTCCACCCAGCGTATCCATAGCTTTCCTCGGCTAAAACCACCAACCTCCATTAATCTGCTGAACAGAAAATGCCTAGTCTATTACACGGTGAGCTGCTCAGACAGGAACAATGTTGTCTTCTTCCTGAGTAAACCGCAGTGCAGAGAAGGCCATCTCACACACAGCAGGCATCACACTTGTGGTAAGGGTGGAGGGTGGTGTGGGAGGGTCCTTGGCACGCCCACCTGGGCCCCTCAGCCCAATCCTTTACATCCGTGAAGAGCAACAGGAAAAGACAAGCACCTTTTTTTTTTTCTAAGAAGTTGCTGTATTTAATGCTTCCCCTCCCACCATCCCACACCCTCTCCTACCCAAGACATTTCTCTAGGGAGTAGGGGCCTTGCCCGGCCCTTCCTCTTAAGGCAGATGGTGTGGAGGTAACATCAAACGCAAGGCACTGGCCCAGGGCGCAGGGGTGTGGGCAGGGCAGGAGGCTGGGCTGGCTCCTAGTCATTGGAAGTGAAGCAGGTGGGCAGTTTGGGCTGGTTCCAGCCTTCCAGTGCAATGCCCGAGGACGAGAGTGGTCCCAGAAAGAAACTGGCAGCCCCACTGGCCAACTGCAGCCCTAGCCTATGCCCCACCATCCTTCTCCAGGGGCCAGTCGGCCTCAGCAGGGACCAGAAAAAGCCACAGCCCAGGGAGCAGGTATGGCCTTCCTAAGCCACAATCTCAAAAGTCTCTGTCCTTCATGATTCCTTAAAGGGAGGCAGGGATTCTCCCCGACCCCCCAGAAGGTTCTCCACGGGCTCCATTCTCCCATGTGCCAAACTCGTGCTCTCGGGGAATGCAGAGCCCACTAGGCAGACCCTGCAGCTCCAGTGCCGTGGTTTGGACCGTCACAGCCTGGAGCGCGGGCTCAGTGGCCTGGTCTTCTGGGCCCCGCCGCACCTCCCCCAGCCCTGTGCTCACCTCCCTAAACAGACTCTGGAGTTCAAGATCCAGTGTCCAATGCACCATGGGTGAATTCACAGCAGTGGTGGAGGCAGCAGCAGCAACAGAAAAACCCCCAGCCACAAAAGCACCGGGGTTATTAGTGCAAGAGAAGTACAAGGTCTCCAGGTGACAGAAAGGGTGGCATCGACTAAAAAGGCTAAGGGCTATTTTCCCTGAAACTGCCCCCCTCTTCAGTTCCTCCTGCCCCCACTCCTCTCCCTGCCTCCAGGGGATATCTCAGGGCAATGTCCTCACCTCCCCAAACCTCTCATCCCGCCCCCTTCTTATCCTGCTCCCTGTCCAGGGTTTTGCCCCCGTACACCCTTTCCTCTTCTTCCACTCAAGGCCGGGTGGCCAGGGCTCTCCCTGCAGAAGGGCAGGTCTGCAGTGGAGCTGGACTGTGAGGCTCACAGCTTCCACTTCCCTTTTCGTCCCTTTCTGTCCAGCCCCCACCCGCTTCTTGCCTAAGGAAATTGACAGATATGTCCACATCCTCTTTACCTCTTCTCCATGTCCTCTCGGGAGGCCTTACCCACAGGCACGCCGGTAAGGGAAAGGGCTTCTCTCCCCTGCCTTCATCACCCTGCCTGTTCTGCAGGCCTCAATGTCCAGTGCCAGGGAGTGGCAAGCCCCCTGCCCGCCAGCTCCCCACCTCCCAATGCCCAAGCACCAGAAACAGCCCGTTCTGTGCTTCTGGTCTGACGTGAGCCATCCGGAGGAAGTTAATGCCCTAATCAGTGGCCAGCTGTTTGGTGGCTACTGGGAGATGTGTGTCTCTGGAAGGCACGAGCCTGGGGTGGAGCAGAGACCTGCCCCACGTGGGACCAGTCCCGCGGCCAGGGACAACGCCCAAGGGACATAGGAGTGGGCGGGAGGCCTGCACGTGGGGACAGTCCCTCAGTGCACAACCTCACCCCCGCTCTGGACAGCAGTTTCGGTTTTCTGTTTTTAAAATCCCCGCCCCCCAATAAAATATGTCCACTAGAAGAGGGTCTGGTGGTCAGCGCTTGGCGTGAGGAGCGCTTGGGGGATGTGGGCGTGCACCTTCATGGATGAGGATGGTGTCGCTCAGTCAGATCTCTCCTTCCTGACCCGTCCTTCTCAGGAGCTCTTCCCGTTCTCGACTGAGCAAGTGGTCCCTCCTGGCCTCTCTCTCAAAGTCCTCCCTTCTGAAGGCCCAGGAGGCAGAGACAGGAGCCCCGGAACCTGCCTCTGTGAGGGGACAGCTCCAGGTGGAGTGGGCCGTCAGCTTCGAGGCCTCTTGGGGTCCAGCCGTCACCCCACTCCCCATCCCTGAACAGTAGCAGGGCCCTGGGGAGCCACTGCTAGTCCAGAGCGGGGAGTGCTGGGCCCCGCGGACACCCTCCGGCTACAGCGTCTTCATCTGGCGACGGCTCCACATGCCTCGCTTGGAATGGAAATGATGGAAGAAATTCCTGAGGGAGAGACGCTCCACGTCCAGGCCCGCTTGGAGTATCCTGGAGGAGGAGAAACACAGATGAGCCAACAGAAGCACAGAAGGCAGCTGGGGGGCCCCTCCCCATCGACCACAGACCCTCTGTTCGCTCCCCACGGGGCAGGGAAGGCAGGTGCAGTGGACGGCTGTGGGCTTTGAAGCCAGGCAGCCTGGGTTTGGATCCCAGCTGCATGACTGGGTATGTCACGCCTTCTTTCAGAGCCTGTCTGCTCATCTCTAGGAGGACGATTATCACATACGTGTAATGAGAGGATAATGTGTGATATAGAATTCTATCTATCTAATATTAGAGTAGACATACTATATACACATCAGAGGTGGGGAAGACGAGAAGGATGGATGCTGAGGGCTCAGCACGGCTCCTGGCACACTCTGAGTGCCCCATAACTGGCGCCCAGCCTCCAGGGCACACGTCATAGACGGAGGAAGGCAGGGCTGCTGCACTGAGACACCTGGCGCCTAGGCCCTCCCCAGGCCTTTTGTGCATGTGCAGCCTGCAGGGTGTCCCTCTCACAGGGAGGCTGCACTTCTGGCAGGGCTGAGAGTGGCCGAACTGGATGCCTGAGCCTCCGAGGAGGCAGGAGGTTCAGGGCTGTACAGGAGCCGTGCATGGCAGCAAAAGCCCAGCACAGAGATCAAGGTGGAGGTGACTGCTGGACCCGGCTTCCCAAATCAAGGCTTCCAGCTGCCCTGGGGGCTCCTTTGATCTCAGACCCTTTTTATGAGCTCCCAGTTATCTACGTTCCTTTACCTTCCCCCTTTTCACTCGAATTCTCTTAGTGTGTCACCTTCCTTTTCTTTCTTCCCTCAACGGGAAAAAACACCAATAGACCTAGTTTTCAAGCCTCTAACGCTTAAGTGAGTGAGATTTGGGGCAAGTTATTAACTTCTCTTCAAGACTCAGTCTTCTCATCTGGAAAATGGAGATCATGATGCCGACCTCACTGAGGTCTGGGGAGAAATAAACGAGGTAACGGATGTGGATGGCCGGCCATGTATAGGGACCCAGTGACTGGTGGATGCATTTTGTCCTGCCTCTCGGGAAGAAGTGAGCGTGTCTTCGTGTCGAGGTCCCGCCCCCAGTGCTCCTGACCTTGCCCTGTCCACCTCCTGTGGACGCTGTTACAGCGCTTATGCCCTTCTGAAGGGTACCCTCCCCTCTCCTTTGCTCCCTCACCATAGGCTCAGATCTCAAGGCACCATCCTCTCTCTGCCCCTTCTCTTGGCAGCACATTTCTTGAAAGAGGAACCTCACACGGAACAGCCTCCGCCTCCTCACCACCCATGGCCTGGTGTCCCTGCCCAATCTTGCTCTCCTTGTCCACCTGCCAAGGCAGCAGCTTGTACTGTGTTCTTCTCTGAGGCTTTTCATCTCATTGACCCTTTCCTCCTGCTCCAAACCCCCAGGTCCCTTGGTGTCTCATGACCCGGCACCTCCTGGATGTCCTCTTGCCCTTCAGTGGTCTACACTGTCTCTTCTGCTGGCCCCAAAGTCTTTCCTGACCTTTGCCAGGTCTACTTATCCATTCCCACAACTCTGGGCTCCCCGCTCGGCAGCTGACGGGAGGCGCACTACCCTCGGGCTGGGGAGGATGCAGTCTCTCCCACGGTGCCCTGCTTGGTGCTGAGAACATCATGGTTTATGTCTACACAGCTTGGTGTACCTGGTACACGGTGTACCAGGCATGTTAATTTTCACACCAACCCTGTGACACAGACAGAGGGCGAGTCACACCCCTCTAATAGAGAAACTGAGTCCCAGCGAGGCCGGTGATTTGAGGGCGTCCTCCGAGTCCAGTGCTCTTTACTGTGCTTTGGGACTCTGCGGCCGAGGGGGACAGCTAGGCTGCTGTAGCCTGGCTCCCTGCCTGGAGCGCCATGGAATTCCCAGGCCTCGTGGATGCCCTCCTCTTCCCAGTCACCTGTCCAGCAGCTCCCAGTCTTCCCCGCCCCAGCGGTCTCGGAACTCCTTGGTGTTCATGCCCCCAATCCTGTCCAGGTCAGACTTGTAGATGCCAAGCAGCCCGAACCCATTCACCTCCCAGTAGCCTGTGGACAGACAGGAGCTTCGGGTGAGATGAGCCAGAGGCCAGGAGGAGGAAGGAAGGAGGCTTCCAGGCTGTGTGCCTAGAGGCTCTTCTGAAAGTCAGAGGCTGGGGTTGAGGGAGGCTGAAAACTGTCTTAGCTGAACAAGTACTTTGCCTGTTTTGGAGGAAAGACCCCTAACTAAGGTTCAGGGCTCAGCAGTGCTACCAGGCTGTGCCCATGGGCTGATAACAACCCTACAAATGGATCGGACAGCGGCAGCCACAGAAGACACAGCTGTGTGTCAGTTTACATGTCCGTTTCCCTTTCCACAGGCAGGGAGGCTACCTTTCCCATCTTTGAATCCCCACAGGGCAGAGCATCTGGCACACAGCAGTGCTTAGTAAGTGTGTGATGAATGAATCAAGGAGAAGACGGCGCAGGAGGTGTGCACTGCTGCACCTGCTGCTGTGGCTGTCAGCTCAGCCCAAGGGGACCTTGTCTGGTGAGTTTTCCGGGGAGTGAAGGCCACAGGAGGGCAGGGTGGGGCAGGGGAGGAGGATGCTGACGCTCATAGATATGACTGTTCCCAGCTCTGGAGTTAAGAGCCAAGATCAGAGAAGTCTTTCCTCCCTCCCCAGTCTGAGCAGGGCTCACCCTCAGGCCACTGGGGGGTGGCCCCACAATGCAGCCTCATCACCATGGGGGCAAAGGCCATCTTTCCCTCCACACAGTGCTTCCGAATGGCATCGATGACTCCAGCTGGGAAGTGGATGTGGAGGTCACAGAGGAAGATGATGCTGTGCGGGTCCTGGGGACAGATGTGGGCAGGGTCAGCAGACCCTGCAGACCAGAGCTAGGAGGTCAGGTCGCCGTCTAGGAGAAGCCTCGGAGTCTTCCCTATTGGAGTGATTCACAAACTCCCACAAAACCAGCTGCTGGGCAGAGTTCCACAGTGCTGAACATTGGAGCACAGGTCTTAACCATCAGAGTGAATTCTGACTCCTCCCCACTCTTTATAGGCTCCAAGGACCCTGGACAACTGGGCAAATGCTCCACTGTGATTTGCTGGTCCCACCCTAGCACTGGCCTGCAGCACAGCAGAGAGGACCTCCTGTGTCCTCATTCCCGTCCTCCCTGAGGGGCTCACCACCTCATTTACCCCAAATGTCTCTCTACCTCTTAACCAGCCTTGAATTCCATCTCGCAGGCCCCATCCAGGCCCTTTACCTTCACGAGGTCTATGCCAGCCTGAAGTCCAGCTGAGCGTTCAAAGTTTCCACTTAGCTTCACGTACTGGTAGCTGCAGGAAGGGGAGAGAGGGCTGCGTATCAGGACTCAGCTGCGGTGGTCCCCTGGAGGAAGTTGGCAGGCATAGAAGAGAGATGATGTGTGCTCCTGGGATGGGATTATGGGCAGGTGAGCCCTCTGGGAAAAGTTGGAGACTAGGAATCAGGAAGGCTGGGCAGGACTCCTGGCTCTACCCTGGACCCAGCAGCCCTAGGACTTTAGGATGGACGTGGCCCATGCCACCCCCTGGCTGGTGGTCCCCCTCACCTCCGCAGCTTGGACCTCTTCAGTGCCATCTCAACATCCATGTCCTCACTGCTATAGTCAGTGATGACGATGTTGAAGTGTGGGTCACCGGTGACCTGGAACAGGTTTTCCATGTCTTTGATGAATTGCTGTACCCAGCGTGCCTGGTTCTTCACTACCCCAGGGGGTCAGGCAGGAGAAGGAAACACAGACAAGGCAAAGATGAGCGGATGAGCGCCTCCACCCCCAGCTCCCAGGTGAGTCAGGAGTGCCCATCGGACCTCGGCTGAGGGGACAGTGCAACTCTGCAAAACCATTAGCAGTGCAGCACAGAGACATGAGGCAGAGGGAGTGCTCACCAGTTAAGGGGGCCTCTGCATCCTGCTCCCCACGTTCCCTCCTCCCAGGCAGGGGACCCACGAGAAGGCCTTGGCTGGGGCTCATTGTCAGTAGCCCTGCCACGCTCTACTAGTGAAACCCTGTTATCTGTCCCTCTTAGTATCGTCGTCCTATCCCCATCATCCTACCTCTGTTGTTACACTTCTGCCTGTTGTGTGTTCCTCCTTCTCATATAAAACCCTGCTCATCACTTCATTAAGTACGCTGCCCGTCTTACTTCCCCAGACCAATGATCATCCCCAGTGTTAGCAACCCCAGTTATCACACCCAATCCTGAAACCTAGTACGAAAGAAAGAGCACTGGCCTATGAGGCAGTGTTTGTTTTTAGCGGCAACATTTACTAGCCACATAACCTTAAACCAGTGACTTTCCTTTTGTGAGCCTCAGTTTCCTCAACTATAAGGTGGTCTTTCTCAGAAGTGCTTATGGGATCAAATCAGTGCAAGCAGATGTGGGTGCTCCTGACAGTGTGAGGACCCCGCCCCTGAGAATGCCGAGGCTCAGCTTGAGGCTCACCAGGCACGACGAAGTGGACCACGGCTCGGTGACTCCAGGAGAAACCCTGAGGCCAGCACAGCTTGGGCTCTTGGGCCCGGGTATTCAGGACCTGTCTCCTACGGTTGTGTGGGTCCCAGACCAGGCCTTGCAGGTTCCGGGCCTCGACCTCCTCCCCACCAGCTGGATCGATGCCCTGCCAGCCTCGTGCAGACACATACTCCGAGAGCCGCACCACGCGCTGGCCTTGTTCCAACAGTTCAAGCTCCAGGAGGTAGCGACCCCCACGTAGCTGGTCCTGACGCTTTTCCACGTTCACAATGCGCTGTAGCTGGTACCTCCTATGGCAGAAAGTGTGGGGAGGCTGAGTGGTTCCTTTCCACACTGGGAGGGTAGCACGGTGTGTGAGAAGCCTGCAAAGCTAGTTGTTGGGAGACCCTGGTTTTTGTCCTAGCTTTGCCACTGGCTGGCTATAGGGCCTCAGGCAAGATTCGCAATCTCTCTAGGGTTCGCTGCCTCCCTCTTTGAAAATGTACCTGTTGAGCTGTGATGATCCTGAAGGTCTTTTACAGCTCCAAGATTCTAAGTACATGAGCTGAATAAGAGGGGTCACACTGAAGAGGTTCCCTGAGAAACTGACCCTCAATAAAAACGGTCGAATCAACATTCCATAAGACAAAATGAGTTATAAGACAGATGTCAATTGGTTGGCTCAAAATCATTAGTCACTAGAGAAATAAAAATCAAAACCACAGTGTGATACCATTTCACACTCACCAGGATGGCTATTTAAAACAAAACACAATGCCAGGTGCAGTGGCTCACACCTGTAATCCCAGCATTTTGGGAGGCCAAGGCAGGTGGATCACAAGGTCAGGAGATCAAGACCAGCCTGGCTAATATGGTGAAACCCTGTCTCTACTAAAAATATAAAAAATTAGCCAGGTGTGGTGGTGGGCACCTGTAGTTCCAGCTACTCAGGAGGCTGAGGCAGGAGAATGGCGTGAACCCGGGAGGCGGAGCTTGCATGAGTCGAGATCGCGCCACTGCACTCCAGCCTGGGCGACAGAGCGAGACTCCGTCTCAAAAAAAAAAATAAATAAAAATAAAAATAAATAAAACACAATGAAATGAAAAGTAACAAGTGTTGATAAGGATGTAGAAAAATTGGAATCTTCATACCCTGCTGATGGGAATGTGAAATGATGCAGTTGATTTAAAAAGCAGAGTGGCAGCTCCTCAACATGCTAAACAGAGTTACCATATGACCCAGAAGTTCTACTCCTAGATATATACCCAAGACAACTGAAAGTATGTTCACATAAAAGCTTGTGCATGAATGTTCATTGCAGCATTTTATTTGTAATAGTCAAAAAGTAGAAACAACCCACATGTCCTTCAACGGATGAATGGAAAAATGTGGTATATCCACACAATAGAATATTACTCAGCAATATCGAGGAATGAAGTGTTTAATAGATTCTACAACACGAATGAAACTTGTGCTAAGTGAATATTCTGCAAAAAGCCCGATATAAAGGCCACACATTACATGGTTCCATTTGCATAAGATGTCCGGAATAGGAAAATCCACAGAGCTAGAAAGGAAAGTAGTTATTGCCAGACACTACTGGGGGTAGGAGGAGGAATGGGAAGTAACCACTAACACATACGGTTTCTTTTTTTTTTTCTTTCTTTTTCTTTTTTTTTGAGACAGAGTCTCACTCTGTCGCCCAGGCTGGAGTGCAATGGTGCGACCTCTGCTCACTACAACCTCCACCTCCCGGGTTCAAGTGATTCTCCTGCTTCAGCCTCCCAAGTAGCTGGGGATACAGGTGCATGCCATCAAGCCCTGCTAATTTTTGTATTTTTATTAGAGATGGGGTTTCACTGTGTTGGTCAAGCTGGTCTCAAACTCCTGACCTCAAGTGATCCACCTACCCCGGTCTCCCAAAGTGTTGGGATTAGAGGCGTGAGCCACTGCGTCTGGCCAGTATAATTTGTTTCAAAGATGATGAAAACGTTCTGGAATTTGACAATGGTGATGCTTGCACAACACTGTAAATATACTTTTTTTTTTTTTTTTTTTTTTTTTTTTGAGACGGAGTCTTGCTCTGTCGCCCAGGCTGGAGTGCAGTGGCGCAATCTCAGCTCACTGCAAGCTCCGCCTCCCGGGTTCACGCCATTCTCCTGCCTCAGCCTCCCGAGTAGCTGGGACTACAGGCGCCCGCCACTATGCCTGGCTAATTTTTTGTATTTTTAGTAGAGACGGGGTTTCACCGTGTTAGCCAGGATGGTCTCGATCTCCTGACCTCGTGATCCGCCCGCCTCGGCCTCCCAAAGTGCTGGGATTACAGGCGTGAGCCACCGCGCCCAGCCTGTAAATATACTTTTAAAACCACTGAAAGGTACACCTTAAAATGGTGATTTTAATGTTATATAAATTTTATCGTAAAAAATGTTGACTGGTTGAATGAATGGATGAATGAAAACACAAAGAACTCCAGTCATGCATCACGCCCTAACCCTTCCAGCCCACATGCAGGGTCTTAATTTGTATTTTTCTAGCCTCTGTTTTGCCTGTTTGTCTATTTACTAGCTCTTTCCTCGGAGGAGGGGACCTCATCTACTGAGTCCTTCCAGTCCTCAACACACGTACTGGGCCAGGCACCCAGGGATTTCAGAACCTTGCCTAATGGCGGGACAAACACCTGCCTGGTCAAGATCCTCTCCAGGGACAGGGGCCCCGGGCACTTGTCCTTCCCAGGAGCCTGAGTCGGGGGCAAAGTTCCAGCTATTTCCGCGGCTGGGGGAACCCACTACCAGCCCTTAGGCCCCTGCCTTCCAGGCCAGCTGGCTGCCACGTGCCCCAGTCCCTGGCCCCAGGAGAGCCCTTTACCTTACCCCCGGCTCCTCTGGTTGAGCTTCTTCAAGAAGACTCGCGTGACCTCCAGAGCTTCCTGCTCTGGAAGCAGCAGGTTGCCAGATGTGTTACAGCTCAGATCGATCCAGTCAGTCCTCAGGGCTTGGAAGTCGAGATTCCGGGCACTGAAGGTCTGGTCCCAGTTTACTACCGGGTCAAACACAGGTACGTACTCGAACACCTCACTCATATCCTCTTCCTCCTCCTCTTCTTCCCCCTCTTCCTCTCCCTCCACTTGTCCTTCCTGGCCTGCGGCCGCCACCACTTCCTCCTCCCCATGCCAGCCCCTTCCAGGGGCCTGAGGCCGCATCCTGTCACCCCGTCTCTGCTCTGCGATGTACGACTCCACCTGGTTCAGCCACTGAGTCTTCCTGGGGCTGTCACCAGCGGGCCTGGGCCTGGGCCCCCTCATCTGAGGCAGGTTCTTCACAGGGTGCCCAGGAGGCCACTTGTCGGAATGAGGTGAATCTTGGCTGGGCTCAGGGCTGGGTTTTTGCTTCCTCTTCTCTGGCTGCTGCACTGGAATGTGGCTGGTCCTCCCTGGGAAGGACGCTGTGGAGTTCCGCTTGGAGAAGGGGGCCAGCAGGCCCTCCCGGGGCTGAGCCAGGAGTTTCCGCAGGCTTCGGAGGCGGTAGTCAGTGGCATCTTGCTCCAGGGTGGAGGCAGGTGTCTGTCTTCCCTCAAGCATCCTGGCATTCTGGTTGTTGGAGGCAGGGGTCTCCTCTGCCACTTCCCCATACTGGGACTCTTCTAGAAGGTTTTCCTCAAAACCTGCTATTAATAACAACCATTCCTCATGTCAAGAGTTTCCAACCCTTTCCAAACAAGACATACAAGACAGAGGATGATCATACGTGTGACGCACCATGGGGCTCCAGACTGGGGTTGAATCCAGGTTCTATCGCTTACTGTGTGACCCTGGGCAAGGTACTCAACCTCAATTAACCCCAGTTTCTTCATCTGCATAAAGGGAATAATACTGCATCTCTCATGGGTTTGTGAAGACTGAGTGAGATAAACGGCATCACATGCCCGGCAGGTGCATAGCACCTGAGGGACCCAGCAGATGGTCCCAGCCACGCCCTAATCCCCCAAGAAAGGCCCCAGAAGACAGTGCTTCTCTAAACCAGAACCTCCCAAATGGTGCGCCAGGGACAGCAAGCCCCTCCAGCAGTCCAAGTAACCTCCCCCGGGCTCTCACTCTCCTCCAGCTGACCCCAGCATGCTGCTAAAAATAGTGTCATTTTCCACATGTGCCTGGATATGGAAAAGGCAGGAGTCATGCTCTCCACTCCCTTGGGTGTGAAGGGAGAGGTCACGTGATTTGGATCTTGAGCTCCTCAGGGGCGGGGCTGGCACGGTCTGAACATCCCCTGGAAACAGACCATGGTCGCCCCTCTCAGCCTGACCTGGAAGCCTCAGCTGTCACTCTGTACCTGGCTGCTCCAGCCCCTGCTTCTCAGGCTGGTCAATCTTGATGTACTCCTGAAAGCTGAACCTGCAGGAGGAAGGGAGGTGTGCATTGGCACCCGGTGCATGGCGGGCTCAGCCCTGGCTCTGCTGGAAGTCTCAGCAGGAGTCTGACGTTTTGCCCCAGACTAGAGTGGAGGAAGGAGGCTGGTGAGCGGGTGTGTGTGTGTGTGTGTGTGTGTGTGTGTGTGTGTGTGTGTGTAGTACTCAGGAAGAGCAAGAGCAAAGACTTTGGGCTGGGGTGCCACCATCACCCTGGTCCAGGCAGCTCTCCTGGCTCCCGCAGAGCCCTCTGCAAGGTCACCTTCCTGCCCCACTCAGTGTCTCTCACCGGTCTTGGTAGTAGGCGTTTTCCTGGTAGAAACATTTATTGTGGGTCTCCATGTGGCTCAGGCGGGTATAGTCATTGGGGTAAACAAAAGACAGATGAACCTGGAAGTGGAAAAATCAGCAGCAGGAGTAAGAGAGTGAGATCTTGGTAAGAAATCAGCCAGCCAGGGTTAAGCCTGCCCCTGGCTGGGATCACATAGGGCTGCTAGGGACCCGCCCTTGGCAGGGAGAGAAGGGTTGCTCTGAGCGCCGAATGAAACGTGGTGATGCAGATGGGGCTCTCATTCCCCTTGTTATGCTAGTGATCCCAGGCCCTATGGACCAAATGCAACCCTGAGTCAAGCCCCTGGTCCACATCTCCCCTCCTGAACCAGCTCCCGTCCCTCAGCTTCAGCCAAAACCACTCCTTCCTCCCTCTGCCACCTGATCCTCTCCTGAAACCTCTGAACCTTTACCTGCAACCTCCCACAGCCCTAGAACAACCCCTCTTCCTATTTACTTCACTGCTTCCTTTGCCCCCTTAAACATAGCTCGTGGTCACCACCACCAAAGAACTTCTCAATTACACCCCAGCCATTCTCTGACCTGGTGATGCCTCCTGACCTCTTTCTTCTGCCCTCCAGCTCTTCCTTATAATCATCTCTAGATCTGGATGCACAGGAGAGTGGCCACGCTGCCTGTCTGGCTTCCGCATGGGTTCTGGGTTCTTTAAAGCTAACTTCCCCTCCATAGCTCTTTTTCCCCCAGTGCCTGGTCTCTGGGTTTAGTAAGTCCTGCTGGCTCACTAGCTGGCGGGACTGACCAGGCAGGGTAGGGTTGTGTGGCCCTTGGAGCAGGGAGCTTAAGAAGCCTCAGCCAGGCCACCTGATATCATCACGGGGCTGGGCTGAGTTGGTGTGTGTTGGGGGGCCCTGAGGCAGAGCACCCACGTGCAGGCTCTGCTGGACAGTCTATTCAGGGCGGTCCATCTGGGAGTGCAAGTTCTTCCCAGCCCAGGGACCTGTGAGGACGTCCTGTCTGCTGGGATGGGATGTTGGGAAGATGGGAAAGTCAGCCTCACCACCTCCCATCCCAGTCACAGGCAGCAATCCCTCTGCCAGCCCTGCTCTCCATGACCCAGGCCCAAGACTTACAAACCGGAGTCCCTGGTAGCGCTGCAGAGGAAGCCCATCCACCAGATAGCTGGGTTTGTAGGGACAGTCAGGCAGGACGTGGCGGAGATGCGACTTGGGGATCAGAGGCACTGAGGACAGTGGAGGAGGAGGAGTGAGGGTGAGGGTGAGCACGAAACTGGGGCTGAAGTCCTCTGCCCTGAGCAGGGCCCTTTCTGTATTCGCAAGCGGCAGCTGTGTTCTGCCGACGTCTGTGGCTGAGGCTGCCAGCTGGAGGCTGCCCCACGCACCTGGAGCAGGGCCATTTGAGGAGCACCCTGGCAGCAGAGGACTCAGCACACAGCCCCAGGTACAAGGCACCGTTTGATCTTAGAGTCACTGTGCAGGGATAGCCTCAATAAGGTCTAGAAACTTCTAAGAGGCCAGAAGGTCCCCTCCCTCGTACAGTACCGATAACTGGATTTCCTACCATGGGCTGAACATCCCCTTAGCGTCAGTTGTCATTTTTTTGAGAGGGGTGAGGAGTAAAGAAACTTTGTTGTTTTTTTTGTTTGTTTGTTTTTTTTGACAGGATCTCACTCTGTCACCCAGGCTGGAGTGCAGTGGTTCAATCACAGCTCACTGCAGCCTCAACCTCCTGGGCTCAAGCGATCCTCCCACCTCAGCATCCCAAAGTGCCAGGATGACAGGAATGAGCCACCATGCCTGGCCATCTTGGCCGTCTTTTAAAATGTAAACACTCCCAAGAGGAATCATGCATTAAGACTCTAACACTGTGGTGTCCACGTATTTCTCTCCTTGGATGACAAGAGTTGGAATGCAGTAAGAGGCGGGGACGTGTGAGATTGGGAAGGGATGTGTGGGGGACTTCCGGGTTCTAACTCTATTTCTTGTTGTGGGTGGTGGTTCCACAAACGTTCACTCTGTAATGATATGCAGAATTGTAAAATTACACGTAAATATTTTATACTTATTTACATGCTCTCTTTTCTGTATGCATGTTCTATGTTACAAGGACGATAAAAAGTTCTACGGTGATTGGGATACTTGGCAGGTCTCTCAAGCCTTCTCCACCATCAGCAGTGGACCTGGCAGTGCAGTGTCCCCAGAAAGGACGCCAAGCGCTGGCCGAGGCCTTACCTCGATAGAGGGTGTCCCGGGGGTCAGGCCGAAGCATGTCAGCGGGCGGCTGCTCATCCCTGGGAAGAGCGTTGGAGGAGTCCACGTGGCTGGCTGCTGTCTGTGGGATGTGGCCCACCTCATCCATCTGTAGGAACGTCTCATCTGGGCGCAGGGAGGAAAGAAAGCAGGAGGCTGTGTGGCCTGGAGCGCAGCAGCCCACTGCCCTTGAAGGGGAGGGAAGAGACGCAGAAGGGGCTCCTGACTCCAGCGGCGACGGTGTAGGATGTGCGCAGCCACACTCCCTCTGGCCCCCGCCACAGCGGTGGCTTCACGATTCATCTGCCTTCGGCCCCCTCTGCCAGCCCCACGGCTGACCCACACGACTGTGTTGCGTACTCGGAAAAAGACACCTCTTTCTCAAAATGTGTTACTGCGGACTGCTAGAAATGTGGCATTAAGTACGCCTAATTTATTGAACGCTTACAGAGCACTTAATAATAAGCCAGGCCCTGCTCTAAGAATATCCCAAATATGAACCCTTCTAATCTCCAAAAGCACCACATGCCTTCTGTACTACGATCATTCCCAGTTTACAGATAAGGAACTTTGGCATAGAGAATCTAAGTCATTTGCCCAACATCATACAACAGACGGGTGGCCAAGCTGAGTTTGAAGCCAGGTGATCTAGTTTCAGCATCCAGGTTAAAGCAGCCACAGAGAAGGGGGGTGGGGGGCTGGCTGCTTCTTTGCTCTCTGTCTCCCGGGTTCATGCATCTGTCTACACCTGCCACGGAGGCCTATGGATGGCATGTTTTTCAACGGGGCCTGAGGATGGGAGTCTCACTGAGGAAATGATATGAAATGGAAAATGCCATTGAAGAAAGAGGTCGCTTCCTGTGCACTGAAGGCAGGTGAACAGGTTTCCTCTGCCCTGGCCATGGCTTTGCAAGAACCGTGGTTACCTCATCTGGAAAATAGGGGATTGGACTCGCTCAGAGGGTTTTTTTGTGTTGTTTTGTTTTGCTTTTGAGGCAGCGTCTTGCTCTGTTGCCCAGGCTGGAGCACAGTGACCCAATTACAGCTCACTGTAGCTTCAGCTTCGAACTCCTGGGCTCAAGCGATCCTTCCCAGTAGCTGTGACTACAGGCATGCGCCACCACACCCAGTTAATTTTTTAATTTTTTGTAGAGATGAGGTGTCGCTATGTGGCCTGGGCTGGTCTCGAACTCCTGGGCTCAAGCAATCCTCCTACCTCGGCCTCCCAAAGTGCTGGGATTACAGGTATGAGCCACCGCACCCAGCCTCAGAGTTTTTAGATCTGGTGTGAGCTCACAGTCTCTGGACTCCCTTGAAGTTGTATTCAAAATGTTGTGTGTGGGTGGGTAGACAAGGGCATTTTTCTGAGGCAAGGGCTCAGAGAGCTTCTAGCAGGTTCTCAAAGGGGTCACTGACCCTGGGGAGTTAAGGACTCCTGGTCATAAGGTCCCACTCTTGTTCTGGACCCCTTCATACCCGTGTCCCAAGCATCTCGAGCTTCCTTCCTCCCCTCCTCCCCTCCTCCCCTGCCAAATCCCCCAGGGTAGGCTGTCCCCACCTGGCCTCCATCTCCAGGGCAGGGCCAGAGCCTACTCACTTGTGAAGAGGGACAGGGAGAGGGAGTCAATGATGGTGAACTTGGCTCCAGGGTCGTTCCGTCGCCACTGGAAGAGGAGAGAGAGGGTAGATGCAGAAGGTGGGAGGTAGCTGGATTTCCAACAGGGGTCAAGGGACAAGGGGAGATGAGTGCCAGGAACTGAGCTGGGAGAGGCGGGAGCAGCAGGAAACTCACTGCAACTTCCACGTGGTCGGTGCCCTCCTCATTCTGCTTGTGCAGCACCTCGAAGTAGTACCTGTGGGAGGCTGACAGGCTGGCGGGAGAGAGGGCAGGGAAGCAGAGCGCCATCTCCATGGGCCCTGGGGTCGCGGCTCTGTCCCACCCCCTTCCAGCACCTTACACTCCCTCATCCCTTCTCCTTGCTCTTAGAATGCCAGGAGTTAACTGCCTAGGTTCGAGCCCCCACTCTATCACTTGCTAACAGTGTGAGCTGTTTTCTCTTGGTGAGATGGGCATAATCAGAGTACCTCCTCCACAGGATGATCGGAAGAACCCAAAGAACAGTAACAGAAGCCGTTAGAGCTCAGAGACTGTGGCAGACACTGTTCTAAATGCTTTCAATATGTGACCTCATGTAATCCTTGTTCGTAGAGGAGAACACAGAGGCACAGAAGGCTTGGGTAGTCTGCCAGAGTGATGAGGGGTGGAGGTGGGATTCCGCCGGCCGACTTGCCCCAGGGACCACGCACCAGCTGCTCTGCGGAGCTGCACACGGCGTACCCACCACGGCAGCTGGCACGCGAGTGCTCTTTGCAAGCAAGATTGTCTCCTTAAAATTTTAAAATTTATTTTTATTGATACGTAACCCTTGTGCATATTTATGGGGTGCACACGGCCTTCTGTTGCATGCGTAGGATGAGTGAGGATCAAGCTAGGGGATTTAGGATCCCTTCACCCACCTGGAGCACTTGGCATTCTATGTTTTGGGAATATTCCAAATCTTTTTCTCTAGTTGTTTGAAAATACACAATCCATTGTTGTTACTACAGTCACCCTACTGTGCTGTCGAGCATCAGAACGTATTCCTTCCATCTAGCTGTGTCTGCACCCCACCTCTCCTCACCCCCACGCCCGTCCTTCCCAGCGTTTCCAGCAACGTCCAGCAACGCCCAGCAACGCCCGCTCTTCCCGCCTGCGTGAGCGCGCGTGGGCCACCAGGGGGCGCTCTGAGGCCGCGCTACGCTCCCTCCCCGCAAGGGAAAGGGACTCGTGTCCCCAGACGACCGAGGGGGACCTCGGTCCGGGGTCCAGGCTGTTGTGGGTGTGGAGAAACGGGGGAGGGCAAGGACTGGGAGGAAGGAGACCTATTTTCCAGTCCCGCGTGTCACTAAAGAGCTGCGTGACCTGCAATAAGTCACGGCCTTCTGGGCCTCAGTTTCCCCATCTGTGAAACGAGGACGGATGGGCTCGCGGCTTCTGAGCCAAAGACCCGGTTGCCGGGAGCGTGTGGGTGCCGGACACACGGAAGCTCTGGAGTCGGCAGCTGGGCTGGCGGACAGGGGCGCAGCCGGGCTCCACCGAGGCACCGAGGCGCCCACAGCGCCTGTCCTGACCCTCACTCACCTCACCGGCTTGGAAATTTGGCTCCGAAATTTCCCAAACTCTCCCGGGGCGGTCCACTCCTTTCCAGTCTAGAGGTGTGGAAGAGAGAAGAGGAGGGAGGAACAGAGAAAACAGGAAGCACGCGAGGCGGTGAGTGCGAGACCAGGAAGGAGAACCAAGAAGTGAGAGAAAAAGGGAGGAAGACGGGCGGAATGAAGGTGAGAGAGGTAGGAGAGAAAACAGAAGGGAGTGAAGGAGTGAGCGTTGCCCACGCAGGAGGCAGCCCGCCTTGCCAGGAGCCCGGAGCAGCCGGATGACCTGCAGCGCGAGTCAGCACCCGGCCAAGGCCAGAGGGCCCCAGAGATGCTGCGCTGGGTGTCCCAAGCCGAATCGCTGTGGTCCTTCCCCAGCCTCAGACTCGCTCCCCACTCCTCCCTGTCCGCACTCTCTGCCCCACTCCTCCCACCTCCCCACTCCTTACTCCTCTCCCCACCTCCCCACTCCCCTCCTCCCACACCCCCCTCCCTCCTCTCACACCCCCTGCCCACTTCTCACTGCTCCCTCTTTCTCATTCCCCCCTCCTCTTCCCTCTTCCCGACTCCTTCCCGCTTTTCCCTCCTTCTCACTCCCCACTTTCCCACAACTCCCCACCCTAACTCCCAACTCCTCCCCACTCTTCACTCCTCCCTACTCCTCACTCCTCCCCATTCCTCACTCTTCCCCACTCCTCTCACCTCCCCACTCCTCTCATCTCCCCACTCCTCTCACCTCCCCACTCCTCGCACCTCCCCACTCCTCTCACCTCCCCACTCCTCGCACCTCCCCACTCCTCACCTCCCCACTCCTCGCACCTCCCCACTCCTCTCACCTCCCCACTCCTCGCTCCTCCCCACTCCTCACCTCCCCACTCCTCGCTCCTCCCCACTCCTCGCTCCTCCCCATTCCTCTTACCTCCCCACTCCTCTCACCTCCCCACTCCTCACTCCTCCCCACTCCTCGCTCCTCCCCACACCTCGCTCCTCCCCATTCCTCACTCCTCCCCACACCTCGCTCCTCCCCACACCTCGCTCCTCCCCACTCCTCACTCCTCCCCATCCTCAGTTTATCCCTTTGTAGAGGGGTAGGGGTGAGGGAGGAGACTTCTTTTCCACCCCTTCTTCCCCGCTGTCACACCAGAGATGCTAACAGTAATGAGCAGCTGCTGGAGGACTCAATGAACAGGCTCCAGGAGCAGATGGGAGGGACCGGGGTTGAGCTGGCCTTACCTTGCCCACACTGGCCAGCAGCTGGAGGCCTGAGACCTGGTCATCGAGGCTCAGCCAGAACTCCGCGTTGTCATCTGCAGCAATGGCAAACTGGATTTTCCCTGGGCAGCGGGGAGAGTTTCCAGATGAGGGCAAGGAGGGCATCAGCATAAAAGCTGGAGGCTTTTGTGAGTGTCTTAGCGATTAAATTCCCTTCAGTGCTTGATGCTGTGGCTTCCCTCTCTGTAAAGTGGGGGTTTCTACATCCTGGGAGACAGTGTGAAGATGGAGAAGACTTATATGGAGAGATGAGCTGGTTCCAGGCTGCAAACCAGGGAGCAAAGCAGCAGCCTGTGGGAGTTGGACAAGACCGCAATATGACTCAATTTCCCCTCTCTTCCTGAGGGTGGACTAACAGGAAGTTAGTCCAGTCTACCTATAACCTTATCTTATGTTCTTTGGGTCCGATGCAGAACTCTAGAGCAGGAAGAAGGATGGGGTTTTGGGGCTGGCCTCACCATCAGTAAAGGGGTGCAGGTAGCCAAAGATGCGGAGGCCATAGTTGGTCCATTTGGGGGACACAGCAAGCTTCCTCAGGGTTGTGCGAATCTATGCCAAGAAAGGGGAAGGAAACAGTTACCCAGAAGAGGGAAAAGGAAACTTCCCGCCAGGATTGGCGGGAAGACCAGGAGGGGACTATGACAGGAGGGACCAGGGCTGTGGCTTTGTGAGTGGAGTGCAGGCTCAATTTCAGTTCCCATTTGCCTCTTTGTCCAGGAGACCTTGTACAGTGCACAACCAGCACAACTGTACATGGTGGCCCTGGGTACACTATATTGTGAGCCAGAGAGCCTGAAACTGAAATGATGCAGGGGATGAAATTGAAAGGATCCCTAGGAAGGAAACAAGGGAACTATTATGGGCAGACAAAAAGAGAGCTCAAGAGATAAAGGAGAAAATATGGACCAGAAAAGATGTAAGGAAAGATGAGAGACAGAAGTGGGCAGAGGAGGCAGGTGTGGAGGGAGGTGGGCAAGGCAGCCCTCAGGCACTCACATGGGGGTACAGTGGGAAATGCAGGTTCCTCCTGAGCTGCTGGATAGAGCTGCCACACCAGTCTTCAAACACATGCAGGTTGGCACGGCCCCGGAACTGCAGGGCGGAGACGCCAGTGGTGAGTGAGCGTGAGCACCCCATGCCCGCCCCAGATCCTCAGCTCCAGGGGGATGAGCATCCCATGCCCGCCCCAGACCCTCAGCTCCAGGAGGATGAGCACCCCATGCCCTCCCCAGAGCCTCAGCTCCAGGAGGATGAGCATCCCACACCCGCCCCAGATCCTCAGCTCCAGGAGGATGAGCACCCCATGCCCGTCCCAGCTCCTCAGCTCCAGGAAGATGAGCACCCCATGCCCGCCCCAGCTCCTCAGCTCTGGGAAGATGAGCACCCCATGCCCGCCCCAGCTCCTCAGCTCCGGGAAGATGAGCACCCCATGCCCGCCCCAGCTCCTCAGCTCCAGGAGGATGAGCATCCCACACCCGCCCCAGATCCTCAGCTCCAGGAGGATGAGCACCCCATGCCCGTCCCAGCTCCTCAGCTCCAGGAAGATGAGCACCCCATGCCCGCCCCAGCTCCTCAGCTCCGGGAAGATGAGCACCCCATGCCCATCCCAGCTCCTCAGCTCCGGGAAGATGAGCACCCCATGCCTGCCCCAGCTCCTCAGCTCTGGGAGGATGAGCACCCCATGCCCATCCCAGCTCCTCAGTTCCAGGAGGATGAGCACCCCATGCCCGTCCCAGCTCCTCAGCTCCAGGAAGATGAGCACCCCATGCCCGCCCCAGCTCCTCAGCTCCGGGAAGATGAGCACCCCATGCCCGCCCCAGCTCCTCAGCTCCAGGAGGATGAGCACCCCATGCCCATCCCAGCTCCTCAGTTCCAGGAGGATGAGCACCCCATGCCCGTCCCAGCTCCTCAGTTCCAGGAGGATGAGCACCCCATGCCCGTCCCAGCTCCTCAGCTCCAGGAAGATGAGCACCCCATGCCCGCCCCAGCTCCTCAGCTCCGGGAAGATGAGCACCCCATGCCCGCCCCAGCTCCTCAGCTCCAGGAGGATGAGCACCCCATGCCTGCCCCAGCTCCTCAGCTCCGGGAGCGTGACCACCCCATGCCCATCCCAGCTCCTCAGCTCCGGGAGGCTGGGCAGAAAGGGGCCGGTGCTCCTCTCACTGTGCGGGTCCGGCCCACTCTATCCCATTCCCAGCCCAGCACCCAGCACTTCTTTCAGGAACCTGGTGCTGATGTTCACCCCATGGCCTGGCCTTGGGGACAAGGTCTGCTCTGGCCATGCACACACACACACATACTCTCCCTGGACCTCCCATGCAGGAAGGGGGCTGGTGTTCATTCCCCAGGCAACGGGGACAATGGTTGTGACAGAATAGCTGAGAGGACAGGGAACTAGGAGGAGCCGGCTGGGGTTTCAGGAAAGACTTGCTCTCCTCCCCTCCCCATCCCTGATCCTGAGGAGAGGAAAGCGCCACAGCTGTCTGCCGGTGAAACCTTATCTACCCAGTGGTCTCCATGCTTCTGGCTCCCCTTGGGAAGCAGCTGGGAGGCACTGCAGGAGTGAGCTGGGGCCCATCTGGGCTTCCCAGCATCTTGGTCTCCCACAGCTCTCTGAGGCCTCCTAGACTCATTCTGAGCAAGCTGCTCCTGGGACAGCCTCGGGGCAGTGCCAGTTGGGTTGGAACCCCTTTCTCCTCTGCAGGACTGGGCTTGGAGGCCCTGAGCAGAGGGCTCCCTTCCCCAGAAAGGGGGAAGGCAGGAGCCAGCACTCTGAGTGGGTGGCAGGGCTGGAAATTTGAGAGGAGAGGGGAAGTGTGGGGACTTTGTGCCAATCATCCTGACAGTGGGCCTCGGATCACCCCATGTCCTCCCCTCCCCCAGGGCTTCTGTCCAGGTTGTGGGAGGTGGGGCCTGGTGACTCCCTACCAGCAGCCTGCCCTGGCCTCCCCGCCATGCCCACGAGATAGCAAAATCTGGGCTGCCCTTAGGAGCTCTGAGGGGACACCCAGATAAGAAGAAGTGGCACAAGTTCTACAAGAGATCTGTAGGAGGGAGGATGGGCAGGCAGGGAGAGGAGGGGGCAGGGAATAACTCCTCAACAGGAGTGCCCGAGGTCCCAGGTGTGGCTGGTGGGGTGGGCGCAGCCTCTGGGGAACACTGCCTCAATGCTGGATCCAGAAAGACGCAGGAGAACCTGTCTCTCCCTGCCCTGCAGCAGAGTGTGGCGCTAATGGGGCACACTGGCCTGGTCAATGCCAGGAATGTGGGCCTTGGGAAGCAGCCGTTACTCACAGAAACAGAAGTGGGAGACTGGAACGGATGGGAGAGGGAAAGTAGGCTGGGTAGGTGGGTGGCGGGTTAAGGCTTCAAGGAAGGAAAGAATGGGGACATTGTGCTACTTTGGGGGAAAATCCTCAAGTTCAGTTTATAAGACTCAGCTGTCTCCTCCAAAGGCTTCTTTCTGCCCCCTCCCTAGGAGATACAGATCCCAGGAGGGAGGGCAGTGGGGGAGGGCATGCCACCAGAGAAGCCTGTTGTGTTCAGCCTGGAGGCCAGAGGCCGGGGGGTGGGGGGGGGTGGGGGGGGGTGAGGGGGGGGACTGGGCAGGGAGAGGAGGGCCGAGGGAGGCACTGGCTGGCCACTCCTGCCTCACCCTCAGGGCCTTTCTTGCCTGAGCAAAGGGATCATCAGATGATGCAGGCAGCCCCAGGCAGAGAGGCTGGCAGTGTGGGAAGAGGAGCTACCTGGCTAAGCCCAGGCCCTTGTGCAGCACTAGGCTAGCCCTCAAACCATGCTTCACCCCACTCTCAGGCTGTAGGTGGGGGTCTCTGAGGGGCCAGAAGGCACCCTCTTCCTCCCTGGGCCTGGGATGAGAACCACCCCGTCCCCCAAGGATTTGTGTCCCTCTGAGTCTTGGAGACTTTGTATCTGGCAGGGACGTGGGACTCCAGCACACCAGCCCTGCCCTCTGCCCACTCGCTCCATTGTCCAGCAGTGACTAAGGCCCAGGGAGGGGCACTGGTCACTCCAAGCACCAGAGCATGTCTATGGCCAATGGTGGTTTTGAAACTTCCAAAGTCAGAAGTGCTGGAGAAGATATCTGTTGGAACCCTCTCATTTTAAGGGTGAGGACATTGAAGCTCAGAGAGGTAAACTGACTCCCCAAGGACACACAGCAAGTAACCCTTGGGAGAGGGGAGGGCATCGTGCAGGGGTGTGGGTCACACAGGAATATCCACCGGCCCTGCCGGGCCCTCACTGGGCCGCAGCAGAGCCTCCAACTGGATCTCAGCTTCTCCCCCACACGGAGTCCTCACCGCTTCCAGAACTCTCGTTCTAAAGCTCGGATCTGACCAAGTCACTCTGCTGCTTAAAACCTCCGAAGCTGCCGGGCACGGTGGCTCACGCCTGTAATCCCAGCACTTTGGGAGGCTGAGGCGGGCGGATCACGAGGTCAGGAGATCGAGACCATCCTGGCTAACATGGTGAAACCCCATCTCTACTAAAAATACAAAAAATTAGCTGGGCGCGGTGGTGGGTGCCTGTAGTCCCAGCTGCTCGGGAGGCTGAGGCAGGAGAATGGTGTGAACCCGGAAGGCGGAGGTTGCAGTGAGCCGAGATCCGACCACTGCACTCCATCCTGGGCGACAGAGCGAGACTCCGTCTCAAAAAAAAAGAAAAGAAAAAAAGAAGAAAAAAAACCTCTGAAGCTTCCCAGAAGGCTTCAGAACAGAGCCTCACCCAGCACACGGAGTCTGACCTACCTTTTCCAGCCTCACCTCACACCACTCCCTGCCATACACCTTTGCTCCACCCACATCAAAACCCTGTCTTTGCCAAAATCGTCATGCTGTTTCCCTTCTCCATGCTTTTACAAATGCAATTTCCTGATTAGAAGGCCCATTCATTTCTTCCTTACGTGGCAAACTCCTGCTCATCCTTCAAAGCTCTTCTCAAATAGTTCTCTCCGAGGCCTTCTATGACGTCCCCAGGCAGAGGGAACAGCTCCCTCCCCTGTGTTCCCTGCACATCCTAATTATTTAAATGAACAAACGCTTGGAGGAGCTAAGCCCAGAACAGTATCTTCCTCCATTCTATTAGCACTGAGTGTCTGCACTGTACCCCTTAAAGATGAAAGAGAGGTTGGTCCTCAAAGGAGGCAGACATGTAAACAAAAGGGTGTCACCTGCGCCAGGGGCTCTGGCAGAGGTACGAGGTTCAGAGGCGCACGAAGGCAGGCACCGTCAGCCTCCTCCAGGAGCACTCGGAAGCCCATCGCAGGACATGAGTGCTGACTGGCCCTCTGCTTCCGCTATACCCTCTGCTACTCAACCAGAGTCAAACTCGCAAGACCAAGGGTACCTGGCTAGTGGTTCAGTTCTAACTCATGCGGCAGTGGGGCCTCCCCCGGAGGAACACAGCAGGGTGATCAGGTCACCGGTTCCTACACACCAGGAACTCCTATGTCCTGTTCAGAGTTTCGAGGTACTCGATCTATTTTATTTTATTTTATTTTTAAGGTCAGGGTCTCACTCCGCTGCCCAGGCTGGAGTGCAGTGGCACAATCATGGTTCTCTGCAGCCTCAAACTCCTGGCCTCAAGCAATCCTTTTTCCTTAGCTGCCCAAGTAGCTGTAACTACAGGTACACGGCACTACAGCTGGCTCATTTTTCTATTTAGTGGAAATGGGGTCTCCCTATGCTGTCCAGGGTGGTCTCAAACTTCTGGCCTCAAGCGATCCTCTCATCTTGGCCTCCCAAAGTGCTAGCATTACAGGTGTGAGCCACCACACCCAGCCTTGAATTGTACACTTTAAACGAAGTGTATGGGTGAAGTGTATGGTATGTGAATTACAGTTCAATAAAGCTGTTTCTTTCTTTTTTTTTTTTTTTTTAAAGGAAAGGCTGAGAACAGGAAGGAGTCTGTGTCACAGCTCTGTCCACAAAAGAGAGACACTGCCTTCTCAAAGCCTGTGTGAACAACCCACGAGAACTCTGATCTCACTTGCTTTGATCTGACTTTGTACTCACCAAATTTCTTTCTTGTAACTATCTTGGGTTTGGGGAGTGGCCTGGCTGGCAGACATAGCATTTTGGTGAATGGAGCAGTGTATTTACCAACACATGAACAGATTGGCACTGGGGTTTGTTAATGAGCGTCTTGTGATCAGTGTTGGTGTGAACAAGTTTTGAAACAGTCACTCCATGAAGCCCAGGCCCCTAGCCATCCAATCTGATCAGTCAGCCTCTGGTGCACCAAGTAAAACGTCTGAGGCTGCTGAGTCTCCGGAGTGACTTCTGGCCTCAGAGACCCTGGGCTGCCAGCCAAAGCTCGGGGCAGGGAAACAGTGAAAGAGGAGGCCATCGTCATCTTTCTCATCTCCTGCCCTTGCTCACCTTTAGCAGGGCCCTGCACTAACTCTGTGACCCTGAGCTGACCTCTCTGAGCCATTATCTGGAAGAGGGATAACAGAACAACCTGACAGCTCCCGGACAGTAGTAGATGCTCAATAAACGATGTGTATTATTAACCTGGGAACTTCCTGCTGGCCAAGGACAGGCAAGGGGATGGGAACAGAAGTCCCCAGAATGTGGCGAGACTGCAAGGCTGGGCTGGATGCCAGCTGGCACCATAATGCAGCTGTGTGACTGCGTGTGGTTTGGCCTCTCCAGGACCTTCCTTCCTTATTCTCCTCATTGATAAAATAAGAGGATTGGATCAGTGAACCCCTGAACATCCATGAAGACTGTAATGAATATTTTGTAAGCTATTTTTAGTATTTAAAAATGGAAATCAGTCATTTACCACCAAAAGGCCATACACACTTACTAAAATAGCCAATATTTCTTTTTTTTTTTTTTTTTTTTTGAGATGGGGTTCTCAACTCTGTCACTCAGGCTGGAGTGCAGTGGCACAATCTCGGCTCACTGAAGCCTTAACTGCCTACACTCAAGCAATCCTCCCGCCTCAGCCCCCCAAGTAGCTGGGACCACAGGCGTGCATCACCACGGCTAGCTATTTTTTTTTTATTATTTGTAGAGACAAGGTCTCACCATGTTGCCCAGGCTGGTCTGGAACTCCTGGGCTCAAGCAATCCTCCCACCTCGGCTTCCCAAAGTTCTAGGATTCCAGGCTTGAGCCACCAAGCCCAGCCCAATTTTGATCACTGTTTACTATTTGTTCACTGTTTTTGTTTCATTATATGTTTATACATATGGCCTTGATTGGCAAAAACAAGTGGATAAATTAATTATTAATAAATGTAGAATGTTATGGCGCTATAAGCTTTCAAAATAATTGGTTTATTAAGAAAAAGGATCCATGCTATCCTTAAAGGAGAGAAGGCTGGATCACCAGACCAAATGATCTGTAAAGCAAGTTCTTTTCAAAGTACTATCTCCAGGTAGGGCGGGGCATAATTACCTGGTGATGTCATCTAGTGCAGGTGTGCCAGCATTGTAATCCATCCTCTCCCAGGGCTTTAAAAGGAGGTAGTTTCACAGTGTGGATAACTAACGTCACATTCAGTACAATACTGCCTCCTTCACTCCTGCCCCAGAGCAAGTGGGTGGATTCCAAATAAAACCACCCAGGCTGAAGAGCTCCACCTATGATAGGTATGGATGAAGACAATGAGCTAGCCCGTACCACCCAGCCAAGAAAAGTAATCTGTGTCCGCAGGGCCTCGAGACTAAAGACGCTGGGTTCTAAACAAGTTGTAAAATAGGAAACTCAAATTTAAAATTTTCATCCCCAAAGCACCGTGCTACTCGGAAATCTTGACATAACGATTTATTTACTCAAGGTAATCTTGTGTATGTTAATTAACTTCCTTGAGCCTCAGTTTCTTCACCAAAAGAAAAAGAATCTGGGGCCAAGTATGGTGGTTCATGCCTGTAATCTCAGCACTTTGGGAGGCCAAGGCAGGAGGATCGCTTGAGGCCAGGAGTTTGAGGTCAGCCTGGGCAATATAGTGAGACCCTGTCTCTATAAAAATTAATTTTAAAAATTAGCCAGGCAACGGTGGTACATCCCTGTAGTCCTAGCTACTCAGAAGTTAAAGATACAGTGAACTATGATTGTGTCACTGTACTCCAGCCTGGGAAACAAAGCAAGACCCTGTCTCTAAAAAATAAAAAACCAAAAGATGACACACAATCTATCAAAGCCTGTAAAAATGAAAGATATTATGATGGTTCTGATAACTTTTATTCATTTAACTGCTTCCTGTAAGTTTTCTAAAGCAGAGTTTCCCAGTGCATGTTCGTTACAGCATTTCTATGGATCCTCGAGCACTAGTTTCATAGAGTATAATAGGCATTTCATGGAAAAAAGCAATTCAGTTTGAGACATGCTGAGCTAAACCAAGTTAAACAGATGGCTGCAGAACTTCTCATACTCTTTCATATGCTAATGTACATTTCCAGGAAGGCAAGGTAGTATATTATAGTTTTAAAAGCTTATTTAACAATGGACTCTTTTCTTCCTGGAATATCTTATGGGATTTAAGATAGTGGCCCAAGAAAGACAGTTTGGGATGCTTATCTTTAAGACTGGGGATTGGCATGGCCATGAAAGTCTTGTAGCTTTCCTGAGCCTTGTTTTTCCACCTATAAAATGAGGATAATGATACTATTCCACAGGGTCGCAAAGCTGAGATGACATGATCCACAAAGCCTGCCACACAGTAGGCCTTTGGCAAATGTGATTGTTCCTTCTCTAAAGAGAGAAATTGAATCAACCTGGAACGCGTGGAGTGAAAAATTTTCATGAAATCACTAAACTAGGTGTAGTAATGCCCACCTGTAATCCCAGCTAGTCAGGAGGCTGAAGCTGGAGGATCGCTTGAGCCCAGAAGTTTGAGACTAGCCTGGCCGACATAGTGAGACCCCTTCTCTAAAAACAACAACAACAAAAAACTAACTGAATAAATAATTTAAAAATTTTTTTAATTCACTAGTAGAAAGTTTTCTGTGATCTCTGGAATTATCCATAAACATTATTTTTTAGCTCTCTCAAAGAGTAGGTACGGTAGAAGGTCCCTAGTAGAAAGTTTTCTGTGATCTCTGGAATTATCTGTAAACATTATTTTTTAGCTCTCTCAAAGGGCAGGTACAATAGAAAGTCCCTCACCTCTGAGAGCCAGGGGACAGGCTTGTTCCACTTCAAGTAGCTGCTGTTACTGCTCACCCCTTGGTCAATGTCGTGGTCCTAGGGGAAGAATGAAGAACGAAGTTGGTAGGAATATTAGGATGAGAAGCTACGGGCAGGACAGGAGGCACAGTGCCTGCTCCCAGGAGGCGTCGGCTCGGAGCACGCTGCCGTCTGTCATTCACACCATGTCCTGGGAATACATCTCCATAGTTTCATCAGCGCCTGCTCCTCGGGTTCCTTCACTTTTCTGAATTTTCTGTCCTCCCCATATGGGAAAGCAGTTTACCCTCTTTAGGTCAGGACCTCTTGAGGGCAGGGACCTCGGCTCCCTCTTCCTCCTTATCCCCCAGCTGTATAGATTTGGGTTCCAACAAGTGGGAGCCCCTCAGGGACACCACCAAACCCTCCCTATTGTGCAGGTCCACAGGTTCAGTTTGGCTCTGGTCCAGCTCTGGAATCCATGTCTGTTCTAGGCTCAGCCTTGGGGCTCCTGAATGAATTAGACCCCAGTTTCTCTAATCTGCCTCCTTAGGGACCATTGGTTCAAGAAGCACTGCAGGCAAATGCTCCACCACAAGTCTGTACTCCCAGCTACGGGCAGGGAGGGGTGTCCATCCACCTCGTCACCTCTGATCTCAGCAGCAAGCACAGCACAGCCCAGCCCTCACCCTAGTGAGAGGCACCACATGCCACTGGTGATGGAGGTCGCAGGCCCGGAGTGGTTCCGGCACGGGCAAACTGAACTAGGGAACGAGGGCAGACACCAGAAAACCAGGCCCAGTGGCAGCCCCAGTAAAAGTTTCCTTTTACTGGCTTTGAGGAGGCTGGATGGACATCTCTAAGGCTCAGCTAGGAGGTCCTGAGGCCAGACTAGGACTCTGGGGGCTGTTTATCCTCTGCCTCTCCTCCCAGAGTAGCAGAGGTTACCCTTAAGGCAACTGGGCAGAGCACCTGCGGACCTTTGTTAAGGCATCAGCAGGGACAATGGACTGGCTGGTCACCTACCTCGAGGCTCAGCCTCTGGGGATGGTAGAACTGGAGGTGTGGATCCACAGCTGGAATGTTCCTGCTGGCCAGAGCCTTGGCCAGTTCTCTCCAGCTGCCGTACCCTGTGGAAGGGGAAGAGAGGAGCCCTCAGGTCAGCGTAACCTGGAAACCTCATACACCTAAAAGATTTGGGAGGTTAATGGAGGGAACCGTCTTCCCTTCTCACCTCTCTTCAGAGGGTGGGTGGGAAGAGGGCTGGGCTGGGGGCAGGAGATAGCTGCAGACTGGCCAAGGCCCACAGGGCAGAGAGAGGAGATGAGCTTACATCCCATCAGCAGTCACCGCCTTCCAGAAACCAGAGAAGGAGCCAGTCCAGGTGAGCCTGGACCACGGGCCTCCCACTACCAGCTCGTTCTCCCCCGGCTGCCTCTGGAGGCCAATTTATCCCGAGAGCTGCCGTGGAGAGATGGTCGTGACAGGCGGTACACTCTTCCCTTCCTGCTCAGTTTCTGTGCCCTGAGCCCGGGGAACAGCAGAGGCTTACTAATGGGTGGGGACCCCCTACCACTGATCACTGGGTTGCTGGATAGAGCCGGAGCTGAGAGAGGCAGGAAAGAGTGGGCCTGGGATGTGATGTCTGTCAAACAAAGGTATAAACCACTGGAGATACAAGATCAGAGGCCCTGCTATTACTGGAGTCACCGGGAGGCTGCGTGTGGCTGACGCTGTCTGTACCCTGAAGGCTCTGGACCAGGTTGGCTTACACGCACCTGGGAAGGCAAAAAGCCAAACCATGGCGAGAGGGAGGGAGGGAACAGGAAACTGGGGGGTGCACGCGCATTCACAAGTCAGGAGGCAAGGGGCTGCACCAGGGTGAGGGCCGGGGAGAATCAGTCCGGCGGCCGGCCACTGCTGACACTCCCGAGGGCTGGGACTCCCATCTCAGAGGAGATTGCTGGGCTTTGGATAAGTGGAACCAAACCACTGTTAGTCACAAACCAGAACCGTAGACCACTGGAAGCGAAAGAGGCTTTTGAGATCACCTCATCCTCCCTTCAAGTGAGGAAAATGGGACCCACACTGGTCAAATGGCTGATCAAGGCTCACTTAGCAAGTAGTGGCAAGGCTAAGACTAGGACCCCAGTGTGCCACGGATTTCCACTGAGCTCCCCTTTCCCTCAACAGCTTCACCACGATGTCCCCAGGATGCTGCGCTGGGCACTGCTTAGACGGAATTAGCCTGACAGTCCCCGACCCCTGGGAGCCAAGAGTCGACAGTAGGCAGAAGTGTCACAGAGGAACCCCTACGTGAGCACCAGCAGAGACACAGACAGCCACGCAGACACAGAACACAGAGCACCACCCACGAATATGGGCTTCACCGAAGGTGGCCACCCACGCTATGCACGAGTGTTTCTGTAACAGGCCTGGGGAGGGGTGGGATCAGGGGCTGCACGCTGAAATGCAGGTGTGGGGTGAGAGTGCTTTTCTTACATGATTATGCTTTGTGTGGGCCCTTTCGGCTTACTGAGTGTCCCACAGGCGTGATTTCATCTGAACCTTCTAAGAACCTCCTGAGAGGCCAGCTCCATGACCCCATTTCACAGATAGGGAAAGAGCGCTCCGAGTCTGAAGTCACAGAGCTGGTTGTTCCGCAGGCAGGATCAGAACAGAGAGCTCCCCTGTCTCACAGGCCCAGGTTTTCTCATTCTGCCCACATTTCTCCTGTAGTCACTTTCTGGCATAGACTTTGAGGAGTGCCGGCGCAGAGGCCTCAGCAGGGGATCTGTCTCTGGGTTTCTGCAGATGTTCACCCTCCACTCGTGTTATGGTTGCAGGGACTTCTGCAGCTTTATCCCTCTGCCATCAAGGTCTCTCCTGTTTCCAGGCTGGCCCAGCTGGCAGGAAGAGGTCTGGCGAGTTCAGGGCAGGGGTGTGTTCTGGGGAAGCAGGATGCTGGGGCCACTGAAGTGATGTGAAAATATGAGGAGTGAGGGAGAAAGAGAAAGAATGCTCCCAGACTATACCCTCCATTTCTGGATGAGCTCAGGGGAAAACTGCTTGTTCATCTGCTAATCCCAACCCAAACACATGATCTAAAGCAAGAGCTCATCCCTTCCCAGCCCTGAGGATCTGCTGGCTAGCAGTTGTGGGTTCAGGCGTGCCTGGGTGACACATGAGTTACACTGTGGGGAGGAGGAGGATGGGCCCTGCCTTGCTCCTGCATCTGAATGACTGGGTCATCTTCATTCTTATGACTAAAAACTTCTTACTCAAGAGAAGCTTGTGGGGAAATACCCACGAAATGCTGCCTGCCCCATCAGTGGGAGTTACAGTGCGTCTCAGGTGCACATTCCTTCTCGAAGACGGTCTTCAGCTCAGCCAAAGTCCTTGACTGTTGGGAGTCACACCAAGGGGAGATGACTAACCCTCACAATGAACTAGCATTGTGGGTCTTCAGCTGCCCTTGTCCTGGCATCTGCTGGGAAGTGACAAGGACTCTCTCCTTGACCAAACCTTAGATGCTCCTCTGAGCACTCTTTTTTACAAGACCTCATCCTTGGGCCCTGTCCTGGGCCTACCTAGTCCAGTTTTCAGCAAGAATTCTTCTAGGTCAGTTTAGTAGAACCCCCCGCCCCCTAACATCTGACCAAGCTTCTCATCTCCCACCCTTGCCTTTAGCAAGAGTCCCATTAGGCCAGTTCAGCAAGAATCCCTCCATTCTTGATGTCTCAGTCGTTTTCCAACCACTGACCCCTTAACTCTGCTGGCTGGCTATAAATCAGCAGTCATTGCTGCTGTATTCAGAGTTGAGCTCAGTCCTGTCCTGAAGCCTCTCTCCCATGTTGCAGCAGTACTTGATAAAATCCATCTTCACGACCTGTAACTAGTGTGCAGTTCTATTTCTCTTTAACAGAAGGTAAGAGGCAGCTCTCTCAGTGACAAAAGACAAATCCATTTAGGGAGGTGAGTGGATTACAGGTAGGAAATTCAGTGAAGTTAAACCCAGTCAGGTCTTGCCCCTGGGTAACAGGTGAGTCTAGGTGGCTGTGAGATACCTAAAACTTGGGCTAGTCAACAGCCCAACCCTCATGGATTTAAGGAGTAGGAAAATTCCTTTGCAGTCCTCATGATAGAGTAGGAAGACAAGCAAGCCTTCTGAGTCAGAAAGATCTAATTGTGGCCTGGCGTGGTGGCTCATGCCTGGAATCCCAGGACTTTGGGAGGCCAAGGCAGCAGGATCACTTGAGCCCAGGAGTTTGAGACTAGCAACATATGGGCAACATAACAAGACCCTCCCTTTTTTTTTTAAAGAAAAATAATAAAAAATAAAGATCTAATTGTATATCTACCAATTATAAACTGTGACTGCTTGAACAATTTAACTTCTTTGGCCCTGGTTTCTTCATCTGAATGGTGGAAATAAAAACACCTGCCCCACAGGGACTGCTGTGAAGATTAAATTATGTGGGCCAGACCTAGCGTGGGGTCTTAGTACCCAATAAATGTTTTCTTCCTAAAAATTTCCAAGTTTGAGGTTTTGGATTTGGGAGTCGGAAGATATGAGTTTCAACTCCTTTAAAAAATACTCAGTATCTCTCTGACTCTTTTCCCTCTATGCTTCTTTTCTTATTTTTCTTTTTTTAAGAGACAGGATCCCCCAGGCTGGAATGCAGTGGTACAATCATAGCTTACTGAAGCCTTGACCTCCTAAGCTCAAGAAATCCTCCCACCTTAGCCTCCTGAGTAGCTAGGACTACAGGTGCATGCCACCATAGTTGGTTAATTAAAAAAAAAAATTTTAGAGATGGGGTCTTTCTATGTTGTCCAGGTTGGTCTTGAACTCCTGGGATCAAGTGATTCTCCCACTTCAGCCTCCCAAAGTGCTGGGATTACAGATGTGAGCCACCGTGCTCAGCCTTCTCCATGTTATTGACCAGAGTAGTAAGCAGTGGGCCAGCAGTGGGCCAGCAGTGGCAGTATGGCAATAGGTAACACCCCCTCTTTGTTTCACAGTGTTGCTCTTTGCCCCCCACCCTCCCGCATCCCCCATAAATATTCACCAAGTGCGTCTCAGGTGTCAGGCGCTGTGCTGTGCATTGGGATATTTCCTCTTCCTGTATCCTTGCCTCTGTGTTAATCCTGCCAGTGAATAACCAGGCATTGCTTAGCCCCCCTGGGGGAATGTGGAGCTGAAAAATGTGCTGATTTAACTACTGACATTTGTCGCTTACCCTCTGGTAAGCGAACTCCTCCTGCTCCTAGCCAGACCTCTTCTCCCAGAGCACCAGCTGCCAGGGCCTGTTTCTGCTACAACAGGTGTCACATTTGTGCCAGGAGACAGACACCCCAATCTCAGGTGACAGATAAAGCACCACCGTGGGCCTCATATTCTGCCCTCACAAAGCTGGGCTATCAAATTCACCATCAGCCGGAGCTTTGCCAACATCCCTCCTCTGTGCAATGCAGACTCTTCAAAGGCCTGAAGATTACCATCTTCCTCATTGGTAAAAATAAGGCATGCATATATCCCCTTGTGCTTTTTTCTAAGACTCTCGCATATGTTATTTCATTAGCTCTTCTCAACCTCCCTGTTAAGTGTTGTCTTCTCCATTTTAGAGATGAAGAAACAGAAACAGAAAGGCAAAGTCATCCGCTCAAGGCCACACAGTGAACGGGATAATCCGTGTCAAGGATTTATTACCCAGAACATAATAAGCCCTTAACACATGGCAGCTTGTTATTTGCATTAGTCATGATGCTGCAGATCTGGAACTCACAATTATTTCTCCTGACGCCTGGTGTGATTCATACCCAAGAGAAAGGAAGTCTCTCGCTGCCCAGGCTGGCATTGGTGTTACAGATTCTGTGCTGGGACTGCAGGCCTGAGCCTCCCAACTCCACTCCAGGGCTAAAACCCTTCAAAGCACTTTCAACTTAGCAGACAAAAAATTCAGACTAAGTTCTCACGTAAGTATAAATCCTAAACCCTGTTAATAAAGGCCCAGGACTAACTAGCTGACCCATCACACGCCAGGGCCATGGCTCACGACAGGAAAATCTTCCCTAAATCAGCCTAAGACATAGCAACGCTCAAACTTCTGCCAATGCCCAACAGGGCATTTTACAAGGTACACGGCAGGATGTATTGCTTTTGCTCCTAAGTAGTTGTAATAATGGCAATATTCATAGCAGCTCACCTTTACCGAAGGTACACGGCAGGATGTATTGTTTTTGCTCCTAAGTAGTTGTAATAATGGCAATATTCATAGCAGCTCACCTTTACCGAAGGTACACGGCAGGATGTATTGCTTTTGCTCCTAAGTAGTTGTAATAATGGCAATATTCATAGCAGCTCACCTTTACCGAAGGTACACGGCAGGATGTATTGCTTTTGCTCCTAAGTAGTTGTAATAATGGCAATATTCATAGCAGCTCACCTTTACCGAAGGTACACGGCAGGATGTATTGCTTTTGCTCCTAAGTAGTTGTAATAATGGCAATATTCATAGCAGCTCACCTTTACCGAAGGTACACGGCAGGATGTATTGCTTTTGCTCCTAAGTAGTTGTAATAATGGCAATATTCATAGCAGCTCACCTTTACCGAGTGCTTATCATATACAAGGCACTATGCTAAGAGTTTTATTTCACTGAGTAAAATTGCAGATAATGTGCCACGTGCACACACATCACTTCATGGTAAATGGCAAGGGAGCCCGATATATATCTCCAGAATCTGTTCCAATCATCTGCTGATCTACGCTGGGAGTAGTATCGTCGGCCCCAAATGAGTTAGATTCACCTCACCCATCACTCCACATCTTACTGCTTGCTCGTGTGGAAACGAACGTTGCCCGCCTACAGATGTAACTGGGTGGAGACTGCTCAACCCAGCGGATGGCGCAAGTCCATCACAAGGGGGTAGACAGGGAGCTAAAGGGTTAACCCCGACCCCAACCAAAAGCAAGCTCCCTCCATCAGTAGGGAGCCTGGAGGCAACTCATGAATGCCAACAGGAGAGGTGGGGCTGAGAGTAAGCCCGAGAAAGAAGTGGAAGCAGTGGGTGTGGGGGTGACACCTACAGGGGGAGATGCGGAAAGGTCTTTCTGAAGCTCTTTTGGGGCAGGGCTCCATTAGAAAGGGCTTGTCCCTGGGCAAGGGTATGCAAGAGGGGAAGGACGGGCCCTACCAGGGCCCTAGGAAAGCGAGGGAGAAGGAGAGGCCTGGGAGGGCTGGTTCCATGTACACCACCACATGCAAAGGACCTGAGGATCCAGGGTGAACGTACATGATTGGCTAAGAAGCCCCGGGGTCTGTAGACAGAACTGTCACCAGACACTCAAACTGGAATGAGAAAAGGTGATGAAATCCAGAGGAGCTGAACGGAAACAGAGCCCTTCTCCCACTAGAGAGCAGGAGGTTGTCAAGGGAATGAACATGAGGCCATGACATCCAGGGCGCAGTTCCACAAATGCCAGGAACCAGCACTGAGTCCTGGGATGGAAAAGCAGGGGCTGTGGCTCTGTCCTTGGAGAGCATGTGGGACCAGTCACACATCCTCAGCAGGACAAAGCTGCTAAGGCTAGAAGCCAGCAGGGCCTGAACCCCGCCAGAAACCTGAAGTGGCACAGAGAGTCAGGGGTGAAGCCAGGGGCCTGCCACCTGGGAGGGAGTCCCTAAGGCAAACCCAATGCTCCAATGGCAGAGCCAGGCTGTGTGGCTAAACCTATCCTTTCTAGTACACGATGCGCCAGGGAACTTGATGCGAGAAAAATTATTAGTAATACAACAGTAACGGTTAACACTTACGTGTTAGGCATTTATATACACATACATATGCCTGTTATATGTATATTAAGTGAAACATCGGGTGTTTTATTTAATATAATAAACCAGCTGGGTGCAGTGGCTCACACCTGTAATCTCAGCTACTCAGGAGGCTGAGGTGGGAGGATGGCTTGAGCCCAGGGGTTCGGGCTGTAGTGTGTCATGACTGCACCTGTGAATTGCCACTGAACTCCAGCCTGGGCCATATGATGAGACCCCGTCTCTAAAAAACATTTAAAAATTAAAAATTAATAGAATAAGCCGGAAAAGAAGGCTTAGAGGTTAAAATTCTTGCCAAAAGTCACATAGGCAGTAGGTGACCGAGCCAGTATTTGAACCCAGGACAAAAACCTGTGTACCAAATTCCACTACTCTACATTGAACGTGCTTGAGAATTTGTGTCTGCCTCCACTATTGCCATCTTATCACCCGGTGTCAGGTACCCACTGAGTCACCAGCTACCCCTGTTCCCCTATCCCCTCTCCAATGACCTCCTACTCACCCACCCACCCACACTTCACACACACACACACACCCCCAGACCATTTCCTTATTATCTCTCATTTGACTAACATCTCTCCATGTAAGCCCCCAAAATGCAAGGAAGAGTGTGGAGACCCAACTCTATTGTCCCACGGTCCCAAACAGCTGGAGAATTGGACATGAGAGCATTTGAGTGTGAGCCTGCTCCCCTCTTCCTGGCTCCCAAGCTCTTCCTTCTCAACGTAAGCCACCCAGCTGTGTGTCTGCAAGCAGACACTGCCCCTGGCCCCATCTCATGCTCCCTCCCAGCACAGGTGTGCATGGTGGGGGGGCAAGTGAGGAGCCGCAGAAAGGTGGAATCCTAAGGCCTACCCGTTCCTCTAGATGAGCAGATGGATATGGGTGGGGCCATGATAAGTCTCTTCCCCGACGCTACCCTGAGCCTGCTGATGCTCACGGCCAGGGCAGGCACCTGAAGAACAACCAGCTGTCCTTTCCCCCAGCTTCCTGCCAAGCTAGCACCTGAGCTACTGAAACGGCTGTGGCTGCAGGCAGGCTGAGGTTTGCGAGCTACAGGCACAAGGGACTGTACCTACTGCCCCACTGGGTGCCCCCTAAGGGGGCCCAAGAGAGGGCATCTGAGCCCATGCCAGGTGTTTGCCTGGGAACTTCTGCCCTGCTGACAGTGCTTCCTCCTCACCCAAACATCCCTGCTTGGCCCAAACATCCACATTAAAGCATAAAACCAGCCGGGTGTGGTGGCTCACGCCTGTAATCCCAGCACTTTAGCAGGTGGAGGGTGAAGGATTGCTCGAGTTCAAGAGTTCGAGACCAGCCTGGACAACATGGTGAAACCTCGTTTCTTTAAAAAAAACAAAACAAAACAAAACAAAAAACTAGCTGGGCGTGGTGGTGCGCACCTGTGTTCCCAGCTACTCGGGAGGATTGAACCTAGGAGGTAGAGGCTGCAATGAGCCACAAGTGTACAACTGCACTCCAGCCTGGGTGACAGAGGGAGACTCTATCACAAAAACAAACAAACAAAAAACAAAAACACAAAGTCTAAAACCAAGGGGGCAGATAAGGAGAGGAGGTAAGAAGAGGGGGCAGACGCCCTTTCTATTCTGCTGTCGCTGCTCTGGGAATATGGAGTCTGTCTGGACCCAGCCCAGCTCAGTAAATATCCATTTTCCAAGCCACGAATTTGATCAGAAGAGGCCACAGAAGGTTTAGCCAGGCCATGGGGTCACCTCTAAGATATCATCATTATCATCATCATCATTACAAACAAACAAACAAACAAACACCTATAACATTTAAGGGCCCATTTAGTAGTAAGTGTTGTGACAATTACAGCGACAAACACAGTCCTGTGAAGGGGAATTTTGACTTAAGACCCTTGATACAATGGGGTGATTTAGGAAAATCTAGACGTAATAGGCTCCGGGACCTCTAAGACTGGCCGGAGCCCATGGACCTAGCGAAGGGCCACAGAGGTGCTTCCAGGATCCCTCAGGTCAGTACTGACTTTTCTGAACCCGCTAGGCTTGTCTTTTCCTATCTTCTTTCTGGCCTGGGACAGGATAAGTTTCTGCATGCAGACGGAAGATGTGGGGCAATCCTTTTCCTCCCTGGAGTCTTTCAAAGAGGAAGTTTAGTGGTGGTCAGGAGTAAGCGATCAGCAGGCTGAGAAAGAATGAGCAAATGAGTCAGTGAACCAACCATCAGCAGGCATTTACTGAGCACCTGTTGTGTGCTGTACTTAGTCCTCTGCTACCCGCTGTGATACATAGAAAAGCACCAATGGAGACATTCAGCTCCACCCTTCCCTAGGTGCAGTTAGGACGGACATCCATGGACTTGAGGATGCGCTCTGGCACACATACCCATGCCCACATGCAGGGCACACACAGGCCAGTTCTGCATTATGCAAACAAGCAGACACTCATTAGACATCAGGGCTAACTGGATGCTGATGACATGACATTGCTCAATAAGTTTCCATTTCTCAGGCCGCAGGAACCTCAGGCAGAATGTTCTGCACACGTTTTCCGGGATTGGAAAACTGGTCTTCAGTGTCCTAAAGAGTCCAGGAAAAGCAACAGAGCTACAGGAAAACCCTGACTCTGTAAGATGGCAATGGAGTAGTTTCAGCAGAAACATCTCCAGAACTCACCTCAATGTTTACCATTGCCCATGGATGCTCTGAACGGTTTAGGGCCACAGTGGGACAGGAGCCCCGTAGCTGGTCAAAAGCCTGTGCTCTTCCTCCTATTCCTTTCCAGGTGGAAGGAGGGAGCAGGAACTCTTCCCAGCTTGGCGGAAGTGACTCCGCCCTGACTTGAGGAGGGAGGCGGTTTCCATAGTTGGAGGGCCTTCAGGGACACACGACTTACAGAAACAAAGAGAAGGAACCAGAATGAAAAAACTGAAGATTGGAAAAAGAGTGGGAGAGAAGAATACAGTCAGGAGTGTGGCTTTGGAAAGGAGAAAAGAGAGCATCACCTCACCAGCAACGGAGACAGGAGGAGAGACATGGGAAATACTTGATGACAATTGTGTTATTGGCCGAGCGCAGTGGCTCACGCCTGTCATCCCAGCACTTTGGGAGGTCGAGGCAGGCGGATGACCTGAGGTCAGGAGTTCGAGACCAGCCTGACCAACATGGTGAAACCCCATCTCTGCTAAAAATACAAAAATTAGTGGGGTGTGGTGGTGCTTACCTGTAATCCCAGCTATTCGGGAGGCTGAGGCAGGAGAACTGCTTGAACCCAGGAGGTGGAGATTGCAGTGAGCCGAGATCACACCACTGCACTCCAGCCCGGGCGACAGAGCGAGACTCCGTCTCAACAACAATAAATAAATAAATAAATAAATAAATAAATAAAATTGTGTTATTTATGAAGAGGCTAGACTTGTACGCTGACTACAGTAAGATGTCAAAAGGGACCTGGGTGGGAAACAACACTGTTTACAAAGCCCTCCTCTGTACATTAACCCACTTAACCCACCAACAAGTTCAACAGAAGATAGTGGCAGGTTTAACACAACAAGTTTAACCCACCACATGCATTTAACAGAGGACAAACACAACAGCTAACGAATGTGCGTTTGCGCAGGCCAGTCATCACGCTAAGCACTTGACATAAATGGTCTCATTTAATCTTCCTAACAATCCTTACGGTAGGTATTATTATTCCCATTTTACAGATGAGAAAACTGAGGTCCTGACTGGTAAGGAGAGTGCATATCTGCCCAAGAACTACAACATCTAGATAATGGAGCTGAGATTTAACTCGTTTGTTTTCTTTTCTTTTTTCTTTTTTTTTTTTTTTAACATGTCTTAACAAGTATCTCACACAGACCCTTTTGTTTGTTGAATGCAAAAGCAATGGAATCCAAGGAAAGCAGAAAGAGGTATGGCCCTGAGGCCAAAAAAGTTTTCCAGGCCCACACAGGGACTGGGTTTGGGACCAGCAGCCAGGAGCCACGGCCACCCTGCCCTCTCCCCACCTGACGGCTCCTTTTGGAAAAACACACTCTTTTAAGGATCTTATTAAGCCCTTTCTCTTTTCTGCATCAAGCTTGAAAACAAATAAGGTACATTATCTGATCTGGAGGGCTGCCAGCTGCTAGATCTGCGAGGTCTGATGATTATAACTTGCCAAAGTCAAACTGAGGTTGTTGTAACCTGTCCTTGGTAGTGATAAATAGGACGGAGAAGGCATGTATGACAGTAACTTTGTTCTTCAAGAAAGGAATATGGGGATCTGCTTTCCTGCTCCCCATGAAACATCATTTTAATGGAACTTCAGGTTAGACCATATCGGGGTGGAGGAATGGGTTGTATGGTTTAGTCAACCATCCCACCACGGATCAGTCTATCCGATGTGTGTTTTTTTGTTTTTGTTTTTGAGATGGAGTCTCTCACCGTCGCCTGGGCTAGAGTGCAATGGCATGATCTTGGCTCACTGCAACCTCCCCCTCCTGGATTCAAGCAATTCTCCTGCCTCAGTCTCCCGAGGAGCTGGGATTACAGGCGCCTGCCACCACACTCAGCTAATTTTTTGTGTTTTTAGTAGAGACGGGGTTTCACTATTTGGCCAGGCTGGTCTCGAACTCCTGACCTCGTGAGCCGCCTGTCTCAGCCTCCCAAAGTGCTGGGATTACAGGCATGAGCCACTGCGCCCGGCCTATATCTGATGTTTTCTATCGGAGTTGATTCACATTCTTAGTTTATTCTTATTTTTATCCCAATGCCAAAAATCATTTCCATTTTGCCGATGGAGACATAGAGACCTGCAGAAAAGTTAATTAATTTGTTTAATGTCAAAGGGAAGCCTGTGCTAGGGACCGGACTAGAGCCTAGGCCTTTGATTCTTGGCCCAAGACTTCGTGCACCACAGCTCAGTACTTAGCCATAGCTGCTGGAGTTAAGTGAGCTGCAGGTAGAGTATTCCGGGGAGGACGCTGGCTGAGCCTAATCTAGGAAAGGGCTGAAAATGAGCACAATGCAGGCAGAAACCAGGTCTTGTTTGTTATTAGATTCTCGCTGTATAAATGAGTTAAAGTTAGTAGTTTCAACACATCCACGCTTCAGAAAAGGATTAAATTGCCTGGGCCTGATTTTATATTCTCACTATAGAAATCAGGCATTTGATGCATGTGGAGTGAATGAATGAATGAAGGAAGGACAAGGAGGGTTTAGTGAGAGGCCTGGCATATTTATCATGCTAGAACCGATTAGGCATCTGCTGGTCACGATTCTGGGCTAGGGACTGAGTGAAGTGACAGACACTGGCCCTGACATTGATAAATTAACAACCAGCTGAAGACTGCCCCAGCACCCTGTGGACACTCACAATGGCACAGATGTCAAAGGCACAGTCCAAAGGTGCCTCGAAGGAAGTGCTTTCTTTAGGGAATGCTTTCTCTCTTTTTTAAATTTAATTTTTAGGGGGAGTGTGTATTTAGTAAAATACCTATAACATAAAAGTTACCACTTTAACCTTTTTTTTTTTTTTTTTTTTTTTAAACAGAGTCTCCCTCTGTCACCCAGCTGGAGTGCAGAGTACAGTGGTGCAATCTCGGCTCACTGCAGCCTTGACCTCCCAGGTTCAAGCGATCATCCCACCTCAGCTCCCAGGTAGCTGGGACCACAGGCGTGTGCCACCATGCCTGGCTAATTTTTTTTTTCTTTTTTGGTACAGACAGGGGTCTCTCTGTTGCCCAGGCTGGTCTTGAACTCCTAGGCTCAAGTGATCCTCCCTTCGTGGCCTCTCAAACTGCTGAGATGACAGACGTGAGCCACCACGCCTGGCCCATGTCAACCATTTTAAAGTGTACACTTAATGGCATTAAGAACATTCAAACTGTTGTTCACCACCATCCACCTCTGGAACCTCCCCATCATGCCGAACTGAAACTCCGTACCCATTAAACACGAACTGCCACTTTCCCTTCCCCCCAGGGCCTGGCAACCACCACTCTACTTTCTGTCTCTATGAATTTGACTACTCACAGAATTTGACCTCACAGAAGTGGAATCATACAATATTTTTCCTTTTGTGTCTGGCTTTTCTCACTTCACGTGTTCTCAAGGTTCACCCATGTTGTGGCATGTGTCAGAATTTCCTTCCTTTTTTAAGGCTGAATATCCTATTGTATGGACAGACCACATTTTGGTTATCCATTCGTCTGTCTTAGACACTTGGGCTGTTTCCACCTCTTGCTACTGTGGAAAATGCTGCTGTGAACAAGAGTGTGCAAATATCTCTCAGAGCCCTTGCTTGCCATGCTCTTGGAAGGCACATTTTTTTAAACTGCACACAAGGAGCAGGTGCTGCAGGCCAAGGGAGGCCAGGCTGCTCTCTTCTTTGGTGGCAAAGCTCATGTTTGATGGAGAAAGCAGAAAGTCTGGGAAGCCTTGGGTGGAAAGAGGAGGGGTGGCAGGTGAGTAGAGTCAGGTTGGGGCAATCCCAGCCAATAAGTTAAAAAAAAAAAAAGAACTTCTGAGCGGGCCTGGAGTAGGGCTCTCCCCAGGGACAGGGAGGTCCTAGTCCACTAGCCTGTGTGGAAATCAGCAGTTCCAACACATCCCAGCTTCAGAGAGAGGCTAAGTTACCTGCTCCCATGGAAGCTCCAGCTCAGTGCCGATAGAGGTCTGCGAACTGTTGGTTGCCTGTCCTCAGTGAGGCCGGTACAGGAACTTAGAGCGAGCACGTAGAATTAGTGCAATCGGACGCTGCGGCAACATCAACGTGTCAGTGGAATCGTCCCACTGAACGTGGCATTTTGGATGTTCTGAACCCCGTGGTGAGCAAGCCGCATACCGGGATTGTGTGGCAGGACCATGTCACTCAGTGACGGCCCAGGAACTAAAAACAGAGGCGGGTAAGAACGGTCCTTCACTGTAGTTTCTTCCAGTTACCATCATGGCCTGCCTCTCCGCCCTCTCTTCCTTCCTAATTCAGGCCAAGAGTAATTCTGGGAAAGACCACAGAGTAGCTCACAGAATCAAAGACAGAACCACACGACTGGGCCCCGGAAAGGCCAGGAACCACGGCAGTGATTAGATCTCAACAGCCACCCAGTGACCCGGCTCCAGACACCTCAGTGTGTCTCTGCTTAGGATTCAAATTCCCAGGACAGTCTAAGTGACTTAGGATTTAAATTCCTGGGAAAGAGGGTCTAAGTGACCCCAGGATTCAAATCCCCAGGTGTCCCGTGGTGGTGGAGGGTGGGCTACATCAGGAGGGTGATGACGAGAGTCCTGCTGGCAGAAGGACCGCACATCCTTCTAACGCCATTAGACTCAGGGGTGGGGAGAGGGCGATGTTCTGAATCTTCCCTGTGAAAACAGCTTAACTCTGAATAACTGACTGTTCTTCCTGAACCGGGGGTGTGACTTCTCCGAGAGTCATTACGTTTTTAATGCAAAGGCACCTAAAATGCAGCTGAAGGTATCAAAGATACAAACATATGGAGTTAGTTTTACAATACTTAAGAAACTTTACAGGATGGAAGAGCTGACTATTCAGAATATCCCCTGGAAAAGTGAGTTCCCAGGGAAAAGTGAGTTCCCATGCAGGCAGACAATGTGCAAGTATTTCTTGGAAAGTTGAGATAAAACAGTCAGAGCCTTTGAAAGCAACACTCCAATTCATATATGTATATATCTATTTGAGACGGAGTCTCGCTCTGTCACCCAGGCTGGAGCGCAGTGGCACGATCTCGGCTCAGTGCAACCTCCGCCTCCCAGGTTCAAGAGATTCTCCTGCCTCAGGAAAATTGTCAAAATACCTACTTTAGTTCAGATACTATTAGTCACAATCCCATAAGATAATTTCTACTGATCTACTCTTACCTTTCAGCAATGCAATGAGACATCGGCCGTTATGATGGCCAATTAAACTACTGAGCAGGATTTTTACATCCCATACAGCTCTATGTCTACAGGGAAAAGTATGATAATAGAAAAGTGAGGACCTTACTAAATCAACTGGTTATTTGATGTGTTAATAACCATATTTTCTGAACTCAAAATCAGGATATGTGGTCTGGCTATGGCAATAGAATGTCTGAAATAGTTCATCTCTCCTGGAAAACCAGGCCAGTTACATTGTTTGACACTGTTATCAGTTTCAAAGATCTCTATAGTCCTCAGCCTCACACATTTGCTAAAATCACGGGTCAAAGGACCAGAGGGAACTGCTCTATACAACTCTATCTAACCCATGTATAGCTGGGTCAACAGAGATGTTGCTAAGACGCATGGATAGCTTTAGAGGATAAAAGTTTACTCCAAAACCCTCTATCCCATGTCCTGTCTTGCCCCTAACCCCCAGCAATTTCTCCCACCACTCCCTTTTCCCTGAGCCAGCGCGTCGATCCAGGTCTAACTCCATGCTGGAGGGACATGACAGCTGGCCCGAACCATAAACAGTGAAGTATGAAGTGGAGACAGCAATAGAACCAATGCTAGGTCAAATATATGTTGAAATTCCCCTACACAGAGGACATAACAAGAGGGTAGAAAGCTGAGAATATGAAAGGGACTAACCCGGCCAATGAGAGAGTACTTTCCATGGAAACAACCCAAGGGTTATGGCGAGCGCTGTTGAGGGCTGAGTGAGGAGCTCACCTCTACTCACCTTTTGCTGATGAGACTGCAGTTGCTAAGTTGCTAAGAAACAGCAGTCGCTCAACCTAAATTTGTGTCCCTGATTCGGCTGAAAGAGCCTCAGTGAACCAACACATCAACAAGGTCTGGTGGGAATCAAAGAGAAAATCAAGGATATCTCAGAAGATGAGCTGATAAAAACTGCTTGGGATGGGATGGATGACTCTGATCCTTACCGGAAAAAAAAAAAAAAAAGCAGAAAGGAAAAGAGAGACGCTTTGGGGAAGGAGCCAATACTAGGAGAAAGCTCCAGGATGAAAGGGGAGGGAGCCTTATTGCCACTGAGCCGCGTTCTGCCAGCGGTGAACATTTGAACCCTTCAGATCTGTGCGACTCTCATTTTACCTGCATGATGCTTAAATGGTTTCTGGAACATTCTCCTAGTTGGGGTATTTGTGAAGACAACTGAGGCACAGAGAAGCTGGATTGTTTTTCTTTTGGCTTCTTGAGCATAAACTTTGATATTTAATGACCTGTGATAGCTGCCGGTATCCTAGTAATACATAAAACCCTTGAGAAGCTATTAACTGTTTAGCCTTCCCAGGTCTTAGGGGAATATGTTTTCCATCTTTCAAAGAGCCTGTTGTAGGCAATTTGTAGGGTAAGATGCAAATATTCCCTTGAGTGGGCTGAGGCACTGAGCTAGGTTTCCCTGGAGTTCACCAGCATGTAAAAACAGATACAGGCTTCTCACAAAGACTGCACAGTCTGACATTTATTTTGAATTGGCTTCTTGGATCAGTTTATTAGAATTCTGATGGTTGCACGAAATGGCTTACAGTGGGAAGGAAGCTTTAAAAGAGACTTTAAAGAAGAAGCCACGTGGGCAGACAACAAGCTAGATTTTCTGAGCATCTATTATGTATATCGTCAGTCCTTGGTATACACAGGTCCCGCAGGTTTCATATCCGTGGATTCAACCAATAGCGATTGAAAATATTCAGAAAAATAAAAATAAAAAATACGATAATAGAAAATACAAGTTAAAAATACACAGCATGACAACTATTTACAATGCTATGTAACTGCAAATGCTATTGCATTGTATTAAGTATTAGAAGTAATCTACAGATGATTTAAAGTATATGGGAGGGGCTGGGCACAGTGCCTCATGCCTGTAATTCTAGTACTCTGAGAGGCTGAGGTGGGAGGATAGCTTAGAGCCCAGGAGTTGGAGACCAGGCTGAGCAACACAACAGACCCCATCTTTACAACAACAACAATTAGCCGGGCATGGTGGCACACGCCTGTGGTCCTAGAGGCTGAGGAGGGAGGACTGCTTGAGTCCCTGAGTTGGAGTCTGCAGTGAGCTATGATCACCACTGCACTCCAGCCTGGGGAACAGAGTGAGACCCAGAGTCTTAAAAAAATCATATGGAAGGATGTATGTAGGTTATATGCAAATACTGCACCATATTTTATATAAGGGACCTGAGTATCCTCGGATTTTGGTATCCATGGGGAATTCTGGAATCAATCCGTCGTGGATACCAAGAGACAACTGCGCATAGCTGCCTTGTTTGGCTCTGAGTGGATGATTGAAGATGGGTAAGAACCACTTTCAGAGCAGAAAGATCTGGAACTGAATTCCCACCCTGCCACTTTTTAGCTTGTGACCTTTGGCAAGTTCCTTAATATCTTAAAGCCCAGTTGTTTCACCCCTCTACCCTCATAATTCAGCTGGAAAGATGAATTAGGTAAATGAATGAATTAATTTCCAATGCACAACAGCCCTGTAAGGTACTATTCTCCCCATTTTCCTAACGATAAAACTGAGGTTTAAAGAGTTTACATGATTTGCCCCAGATCTTAAAAGTAGCTAAACTGGGATTCAAACTAATTCTGTTTGGTTTCAAAGACCTCACTCTTCCCACTACTGCCTGGTTAATTCTCATTCCAATCCTGTGAAGCCAGTATTGTGGAGCCCCACTGGTGAGGAATTGATAAGTCATGGCTGATGGTCCTGCCACGGCCGCTAATGCATGGCTGGACTGGAGTTCACACCCAGCCTGCCTCTCCTATGCTTTCCCCATGGCACAGCCCTGCTTCATGCAGGAAGGATGGGTTTGATAACATGACAAGTACATAACTGAGCACTGAGCAAAGTCTCCTGGAATCCAGAGAGGAGGATCCTGGTGGTCAGGGAAGACATCATGGGGAAGTAGGTCATGAATAGGCATTTTGGGGAAGGTGGAATTGCTGGGTCTGGGAATGTAAATAAATCACTGAAATAAAATAAAACGGAAATAACATCACTGTCCCTAAAGAGACCTAGATTTTACAGGGCCACCTCCAACCCCCTCGCCTCCCACAAGACACCTGTCTTGGGTCCCTGACTGGAACCCAGAAGCTTTGTTTCTAAAATACAAGTAACATATGTTTACCTCCCTCCCCCTAAATCACAGAGTACAGAAGTGTGTCAAGCAGAAGGTTATGATTCCCCTGTAATCCCTGATCTTCTCCCATGGGCTACTCCTTATCCTTTTGCTAAATGCTCCTCATTTTTCCTTTAACCTTTAAACACTGGATTGCTTACCTTAGGGTCAGTCCCCGATATTTGTCTTTGCCATCAACACTGCTGCCTTGCTGATCTCAGCAGGTTTTTTGGGACACCATCTGTACATTGATGACTTCCCTAGCCTTAGCCTGAACTCCCCGCTTATACAGTGAATTTTCTTACTCACTCTCTCACTTGGATACCAAAGGCATCTGAAACTTAACCTAACTCTTGATTTTTCCTCCCAAACCTGCACCTCTCCATCCTGTAAATGACAACTCCAGCCTTCCAACCACCCAGGTCAAAAATCTTCAAACTACTTGATTCCTCTCCCCATATCCAATCCCTCATTGATTCCTCTCCCCATATCCAATCCCTCAGCAAGTCTCATCAGCCATACTTTCAAAAGCCATCCAAAATCTGATGACTTCTCCCTCCTCCGTCTCCACCACTCCAGTCCTAGACATCATCGCTCTTCCAGTCCCCTTGTATCCACCCCTGCACCTATGGTCTAGTAGCCAGAGGAACTCCACCAAAATGTAAGTCAGGCCATGCCAGTCCTTGCTTGGAACCTTCCAGTGACTTCCCAAATCACTCAAATACAATCCAAGATCCTTCTGATGGCCAATGAGTAACGTTTATTGGGGAAAGACCCAGTTTACACTTGTTACCCTGACAATTATTAATGGTACCTGCTTTCACTCTCAAAAATATTCCAATTTAAACAATCAATTATATGGTTGCTCAACGAGTAAGGCCTTGCAGATTAAATCTCCGACCTTGTCTCCTATCTCTTTACCACCATTTCATTCCAGCTACCCTGATCTCCTTGCTGTCCTTCCAATATGCCAGGCATGCTGTACCCCGGGCCTTTGCATGTCCTCTACCTAAAACACACTTCCCTGCGAAGGTTTCTTGCCCTTTTTACTCAGATCTCTGCTCAAATATCAGAAGCCTTTCCTGATCATCCTATCTATAATAACACGCTACCTCCAGCCTATCACTCTCTTTCTAACTCTGTATTATTTTTCTCAATAGCATTTATTACCACTTGACATATTATGTGTGCATGTGTATAAAATCTATCTTCTCCCCACACATATACTTTGAATGTATGTTCCATGAAAGCAGGATTTTTTTTTTTTTTTTTGAGACGGAGTCTCGCTCTGTCGCCCAGGCTGGAGTGCAGTGGCACTATCTCGGCTCACTGCAAGCTCTGCCTCCCGGGTTCATGCCATTCTCCTGCCTTAGCCTCCCGAGTAGCTGGGACTACAGGCACCCGCCACCACGCCTGGCTAATTTTTGTGTGTGTGTGTGTTTTTAGTAGAGATGGGGTTTCACCACGTTAGCCAGGATGGTCTCGATCTCCTGACCTCGTGATCCACCAGTCTCAGCCTCCCAAAGTGCTGGGATTACAGGCATGAGCCACTGTGCCCGGCTGAAAGCAGGATTTTTGTCTACTTTTTTCATTATGCCCAGCACATAGGTACTTGTTCAACAAACAATGTTACTGACAATAGTATCCCTATAGGCAGTAGGGGAAGAACTTCAGAGTCAGGCGCTAAGACATCTAGCTTAATCTCTAAGCCTTGGTTTTCATCTCTGTGAAACAGCTATATTAGTAGTATTTCCCAAACGGGGTTATGAGGATCAAATGAGAGTGGCATACGGTAAATATTCGATAAATACGAGATGATAAAAACAATAAGAGCTAACACATTTAGCATTTACAATATGCCAGGCAGTGTCTTAAACATCTTACAAATTTATCCCTTTTAATTGTCATAAAAACCCTTTGAGGCTGGGTGCGGTGGCTCACGCCTAAAATCCCAGCACTTTGGGAGGCTGAGGCAGGTGGATCACGAGGTCAGGAGATTGAGACCACCCTGGCTAACATGGTGAAACCCCGTCTCTACTAAAATACGAAAAAAAAAATTAGCTGGGTGTGGTGGTGCCCGCCTGTAGCCCCAGCTACTCAGTACTCGGGAGGCTGAGGCAGGAGAACCGCTTGAACCCAGGGAGGTGGAGGTTGCAGTAAGCCAAGATTGCGCCACTGCACTCCAGCCTGGCAACAGAGTGAGACTGTCTCAAAAAACAACAACAACGACAACAACAAAAAAACCCCTTTGAGGTAGGTACTATTATTGCCTTCCTTTCACAGATGAGGAAATTGAACTTCAGAGAGGTTAAGTAACTTGCCACATGGCTAGTAAGTTGTGGAGCCAGGAACTCAAGGTCTTTGGTTCCAGAATTTGTGTTCTTTCTTTCTTTTCTTTTTGAGACAGAGCCTTGCTCTGTCACCCAGGCTCAAGTGCAGTGGTGCGATCTCGACTCCACCTCCCAGGTTCAAGCGATTCTCTTGCCTCAGCCTCTCGAGTAGCTGGGATTACAGGCTCCCACCACCAAGCCTGGCTAATTTTTGTATTTTTAGTGGAGACGAGGTTTCACCATGTTGGCCAGGCTGGTCTCGAGCTCCTGACCTCAGGTGATCTGCCCGCCTTGGCCTTCCAAAGTGCTGGGATTACAGGTGTAAGCCACCACGCCCAGCCCAGAATTTGTGTTCTTAACCACTATTCTGATTCAATTCTAAACTCTTCTTATACATGGACCCTTTTTTGTTTCCTAGAAATCCCAAGTATTCACCACAACCAGTGATCAGACATAAATAAGAAAAAAAAGCATCTCTTCTCCTTCTCTGCCTCCCCACCATAACTAATGTTGACAGTGCAACAACCTTCCATGCCTTCCTCCTTGCTCTCATACTAATAGAATTTATTAGTCTTTTATTTAAAAAAAATAGGCTGGGCGTGGTGGCTCATGCCTGTAATCCCAGCACTTTGGGAGGCCGAGGCGGGCAGATCACGAGGTCAGTAGATCGAGACCATCCTGGCTAACACGGTGAAACCCCGCCTCTACTAAAAATACAAAAAATTAGCCAGGCGTGGTGGCGGGCACCTGTAGTCCCAGCTACTTGGGAGGCTGAGGCAGGAGAATGGCGTGAACCCGGGAGGTGGAGCTTGCAGTGAGCCAAGATCGCGCCACTGCACTCCAGCCTGGGGGACAGAGCGAGACTCCGTCTCAAAAAAAAAAAAAAAAACAAAAACGGACAATAACAAGTGTTGGCAAGAACATAGAGAAATTGGAACCCTCATACATGGCTGGTGAGAATGTAAAATGGTGTAGCCGATTTGGAAAAATCTGACAGTCCCTCAAAACATGGAGTTACTATTTGACCCAGCAGTTCTATTCCCAGGTATACACCCAACAGAAATGAAAGCCTCAGCGCAGCATTATTCCTAATAGCCAAAAAGCGGAAACAATGCAAATGTCCATCATCAACTATGAATGGAGAAGCAAAATGTGGTCTATCCACACAACAGAATATAACTTAGCAATAAAAAGAAATGGACTGGGCACAGTGGCTCACGCCTGTAATCCGCATGCTTTGGGAAACTGAGGTCAGAGGACTGCTTGAGGCCAGGAGTTAGGGATCAGCCTGGGCAACATAGGGAGACCGCGTCTATACAAAAATGTTTGAGGCCGTAGTGAGCTATTGTCAGAGGTGCTGGAGCAACTCCACCTTGAATAGAGGCTGGCTAAAATAAGGCTAAGACCTGCTGGACTGCATTCCCAGTAAGTTAAGCCATTCTTAATCACAGAATGAGATAGGAGGTATAAGATAGGAGGCATAAGATACAGGTCATAAAGACCTTGCTGATAAAACAGACTGCAGGAAAGAAGCCGGCTAAAACCCACCAAAACCAAGATGGTGATAAAAGTGACCTCTGGTTGTCCTCGCTGCTATGCTCCCGCCAGCACCATGACAGTTTACAAACATCACAGCGACATCAGGAAGTTAACCCTATATGGCCTAAAAATGAGAGGCACGAATAACCCACACCGTTTAGCATCTAATCAAGAAATAAGCATAAAATGGGCAACCAGCAGCCTTCAGGGCTGCTCTGCTTGTGGAATAGTCATTGTTTTACTCCTTTACTTTTTTAATAAATTTGCTTTCACTTTACTCTACAGATTTGCCCTCAATTCTTTGTTCTTTGTTGGCAAAATCCAAGAACGGTAGTGGAAGGTGGAAGGTGGAAGGTGGAAGGTGGAAGAAGGTGGAAGGTGGAAGGTGGAAGGTGGAAGGTCGAAGGTGGAAGGTGGAAGGCGGAAGGTGGAAGGAAGGCAGAAGGTGGAAGGCGGAAGGTGGAAGGTGAAAGGTCAAAGGTGGAAGAAGGTGGAAGGTGGAAGGTGGAAGAAGGTGGAAGGTGGAAGGTGGAAGGCGGAAGGTGGAAGGTGGAAGGAAGATCGAAGGTGGAAGGTGGAAAGTGGAAGGTGGAAGGTGGAAGAAGGTGGAAGGTGGAAGGTGGAAGGCAGAAGGTGGAAAGCGGAAGGCGGAAGGTAGAAGGTGGAATGTGGAAGGTGGAAGGTGGAAGGAAGGTGGAAGGCGGAAGGTGGAAGGCAGAAGGCGGAAGGTGGAAGGTGGAAGAAGGTGGAAGGCGGAAGGTGGAAGGAAGGCAGAAGGCGGAAGGCGGAAGGTGGAAGGTGGAAGGTCAAAGGTGGAAGAAGGTGGAAGGTGGAAGGTGGAAGGCGGAAGGTGGAAGGAAGATCGAAGGTGGAAGGTGGAAGGTGGAAGAAGGTGGAAGGTGGAAGGTGGAAGGCGGAAGGTGGAAGGCGGAAGGTGGAAGGTGGAAGGTGGAAGCTCGAAGGTGGAAGAAGGTGGAAGGTGGAAGGTGGAAGGTCGAAGGTGGAAGGTTGAAGGTGGAAGAAGGTCGAAGGTGGAAGGCAGAAGGTAGAAGGTGGAAGGCGGAAGGTGGAAGGTGGGCGGAAGGTGGAAGGTGGAAGGTGGAAGGAAGATGGAAGGCGGAAGGCGGAAGGCGGAAGGTGGAAGGTCAAAGGTGGAAGAAGGTGGAAGGTGGAAGGTGGAAGAAGGTCGAAGGCGGAAGGTGGAAGGTGGAAGGAAGGTGGAAGGTGGAAGGTGGAAGAAGGTGGAAGGTGGAAGAAGGTGGAAGGTGGAAGGTGGAAGAAGGTGGAAGAAGGTGGAAGAAGGTGGAAGGTGGAAGGTGGAAGAAGGTGGAAGGTGGAAGGTGGAAGGTGGAAGGCGGAAGGTGGAAGGCGGAAGGCGGAAGGTGGAAGGCGGAAGGCGGAAGGTGGAAGGTGGAAGGTGGAAGCTCGAAGGTGGAAGAAGGTGGAAGGTGGAAGGTGGAAGGTCGAAGGTGGAAGGTTGAAGGTGGAAGAAGGTCGAAGGTGGAAGGCAGAAGGTAGAAGGTGGAAGGCGGAAGGTGGAAGGTGGAAGGAAGATGGAAGGCGGAATGCGGAAGGCGGAAGGTGGAAGGTGGAAGGTCAAAGGTGGAAGAAGGTGGAAGGTGGAAGGTGGAAGAAGGTCGAAGGCGGAAGGTGGAAGGTGGAAGAAGGTGGAAGGTGGAAGGTGGAAGAAGGTGGAAGGTGGAAGGTGGAAGAAGGTGGAAGGTGGAAGGTGGAAGAAGGTGGAAGAAGGTGGAAGGTGGAAGGTGGAAGAAGGTGGAAGGTGGAAGGTGGAAGAAGGTGGAAGGTGGAAGGTGGAAGGAAGGTGGAAGGCGGAAGGTGGAAGGAAGGTGGAAGACAGAAGGTGGAAGGCGGAAGGCGGAAGGTGGAAGCTCGAAGGTGGAAGAAGGTGGAAGGTGGAAGGTCGAAGGTGGAAGAAGGTCGAAGGTGGAAGGCGGAAGGTGGAAGGTGGAAGAAGGTCGAAGGCGGAAGGTGGAAGGTGGAAGGAAGGTAGAAGGTGGAAGGTGGAAGGTGGAAGAAGGTGGAAGGTGGAAGGTGGAAGGTGGAAGAAGGTGGAAGAAGGTGGAAGGTGGAAGAAGGTGGAAGGTGGAAGGTGGAAGAAGGTGGAAGGTGGAAGGTGGAAGGAAGGTGGAAGACAGAAGGTGGAAGGCGGAAGGCGGAAGGTTGAAGGTGGAAGGTGGAAGGTGGAAGGAAGGTGGAAGGTGGAAGGCAGAAGGCGGAAGGTGGAAGGTGGAAGGTCGAAGGTGGAAGAAGGTCGAAGGTGGAAGGCGGAAGGCAGAAGGCGGAAGGTGGAAGGTGGATGGTGGAAGGTACCAAAAAAAACAAAAAACAAAAATTAGCCGAGCGTGGTGGCACACGCCTGTAGTTCAGCTGCTCAGGAGGCAGAGGTGGGAGAATACCTTGAGCTTGGCAGGCAGAAATTGCAGTGAGCTGCCACTGCACTCCAGCCTGGGCACCAGAGTAAGACCCTGTCTCAAAAAAAAAAAAAAAAAAAAAAAAAAAAAAAAAAAAAAAAAAGAATAGGCAAATCCATAGAGACCAAAAGGAGAGTCGTGGTTCCAGTGCTGGAGGTGGGGAGAATTGGGAGTGACTGATAATGGGTGAGGTTCCTTTCTAGGGTGAGGAAAATGCTCTGGAATTAGGTAGTGGCAATGGTTGCACAGCCCTGTGGATATACCAGCACCAGTGAATCGAATACTCAGATGGGCACTGAGAATCTGAGGCTGGCCGACTTATAGCCTCTACTCCTCTTTCCACTTCAACATCTGGGGCTCTCCCTTCTCCCTACTTCCCAAAGCATCTCCACTCCCTGTTTAATTGTGACCATCCCTAGAGGGCTGGCAACAGGTTTCTTTCCAAAGCAGCTCTGCAGGGTTTGCCCCGCCCCTCCCTCTCATACCCAACCCCCTCCTCTTTGTACCCAGACCGTTTACTTATTAAACCAATTAAATTAAATGACTCACATTGCACCCTTGGGCATGAGGCGGGTAAACAGCTCACCAGAGTCTGACTTGCTCTTGAAAGGGCCCGTTTCCCTCCCAGCCCAGCCAACTCCCCTGACCAGCCCCCCAGCGTCCAACCCCCCCATGGAGTGTCTCTCAGGTCACAGTAGGAAGAGGATCGGGGGAGCTGCTAGCCCTTCCCATTGTGCTTTCTCACCCCAAGGAAGGCCACACCCCCTCAAAGAGTTGACACAATAGTCTTCTTATTCCACTGCTTACAAAGCCAGCAGGCAGCTAGCTCAGCATGGCAGAAATCATCTGGAGCCCTCTTGCCCGCCCCTTGCTGCTACATCTTACCCCTACAGCAGCACCAGCGCCATTTCTCTGGGTGCCCCATCCCTGTCAATGCCTGCTTTGAGCTGGATGCTCTGGAGTGTCATGCAGCTAACTAGGTTAGGCAACCTGGGTCCATCGCTCATCTTGCCTGGAGACGAAAGGGAATGGTTCCGATTATTTCTCCAGGCTCCAAGACCTGTGAGCTTTCAGTTCAATGAATGTGGACTGAACTCACTCGGCCATGGAAGGGAACAAAGGTATGCCAAACAAGGACTCAAGGAGGACACAGCAGGTCTCGTAGGGGCGAGTGGATAATTTTAGTGAAATGCAGCAAGGGATGAAACAGGGTATGTGTGGAATAGAGATGTCCTGGCCTCCTCTCTTTCTTGCTCCCACCACCCACAGCACACTTCTCTGCCTTGCTGAGCATGGCACTGGGTGGGGTCACACATTAACAAGTCTGGCAAGATCTTCCCTGGGCCACGCTTAGAATAACCCAGCTCCGCTCTCAGCACCTCCTTCCAAACACCACCTCGGAGGCATCCCTCCTGACAGTCTGGAATCCAGGAGGGAAGTGTGATTTGAGTCAGATCCTGTCCTGGAGTGGAACCGCATGCTCTTGCCACCCCCCTACCCAGGCATTTCCGGCTTTGTGTATTTATAAGACTCTCTTGAACTAGGTACCAGCAAATAGGAGCAGAGACCTGATTTAGGTCAATGAAATCTGCACTGGGGAGAGTAAAGACACCCTGAGAGCAAGTTGGTATTTTTTCTCCTATTCCGTATCCGGGTTTCAGTATCATTTAAATCCCCTAGAAAGCCTCCCTCTCTTCCCATTCAGTGTTGCTTCCCAAGTTTCTCCTGCCCTGGAAATCTCCTTTCCTCCTGTCCTCTCCACGCGCATGAGTTTCCTAAAGCACAGTGGCTCCAGGCCACCTTCTAATGTTCATTTATGATTAAACAGCTGCATTTTGCAGAGCACTTGTCAGCTGTTAACAAGCCCATCCATCCCCTCCTAGGCGGGATCTGAGCTCTCAAAGGGGGCTGGGGGTGGGGCGAAGGTACAGCAGTAGGTTAGTAGGTGCAGGTGTGCAGGGGTCCTCCGCCCCATCAGCTTCAGACACGTTGTCCATCATCTTTGAAGTGTTGGATGACAGGCAGTGATGGGGAAAGCAGTGTTGTCTGAGTGTGTCTGTCTTAGACACCTGCTGGGTAGGAAAAACCAGTAGAGTGTATCTCCACCACTCCTAAGTGGGGCACCTCCCCAGCAAGGCTGTTAAAGGTATGCGCCTCTGTCCAGGCATGAGTCACACGCTGTCCTGCCAACCTCACAAGGTGCATGAGAGGAAAAGACCCTGGTTCCCTGGCTCCTTACTGAAAAATAATTGTGTATGAAAGGCCTCCTGGGGCACTTTGTAGCATGAGACAAAGAGAGTTGTCTAGTTCTCCCTTACTTCGGCTGAAGTGGTAAGTCTGGGAGGGTCAGTCCTCAAAGTAGTATGTTTGTAATCTCTGCTTGGGCAAGAACAGCCTGGAGCTCTGCTGGAAGGGCCTGTGCAAATCAGAGGTCAGAGGGAAAAGGTAATGGGTGAAGTGTTGAACATGGGGTTTGGAATAGTGACAAATATTAAGTGAGAGGAATAAGGCCGATCGGAGGCTGTGCCCAATTCTGGGGGACATCTGCAGAGAACCAAACCTCGGGTATAATTTAAACATTAAAAAGCTGTTTTATTGCTTGAGACCATGAGTTTGAGACCAGCCTGGGCAATGTAGTAAGACCCTATCTCTATAACAAATTTTTAAAAATTAGCCAGGCATGGTGGCACACACCTGTAGTCCCAGGCACTCAAGAGCCTGAGGTGGGAAGATTGCTCAAGCCTGGGAGTTCGAAGCTGCAGTAAGCCATGATTGCATCACTGAACTCCAGCTTGGGTGGCCTGGGTGATGGAGCAAGACCCTGTCTAAAAAAAACAAAAGTAAGTTGTTTCAAAATATGCACTGGACCTTCTGAGGTAACAGAGACACCTTGAAGGATCTGGAAGCTTTCTCTTCATTAACGAATATGAATTGGATGTCCCCCTAGGGACAGGTCTGGGCTGGCAGGGCCAGCGGAAAAGACAGTAAGAGAAGACATTCTGTCTCCACTGGCTGTGGGACCTTGGGCCGAGTCATTTTTCAGATCTCTTCCAGTTACAATGGATGATCATGAGAAATTTCTTTCACAGGTTAGTATCAACGCTCTACTCAAGCACTCCTGACAGGTGTCCACCAAGCTACTACTGGATTTCCAGGGGCAGGTGTCCACCAAGCTACTACTGGATTTCCAGGGGCAGGTGTCCACCAAGCTACTACTGGATTTCCAGGGGCAGGTGTCCACCAAGGTACTACTGGATTTCCAGGGGCAGGTGTCCACCAAGCTACTACTGGATTTCCAGGGACAGACGTCCACCAAGCTACTACTGGATTTCCAGGGGCAGGAATGTTCCGCATGCCACAGTCACGGGCCCTACAGCTGGAATGCTGCTACCTAGTGCTTTTCTTTGGTAGGGCCTCCTAGAATAAGCCCTACCCTTTTGTGAGAAAGTGCTTCCACCACAGATGTAAACTCTTGTATGTAAACACAGAGCCACTCGCAGGGCGTAGGGTGTGGGGTGAGGGATGTAGGGTGGAGGGCGTGGGGTGAAGGGTCGCCACAACAGCAGTGCCCCAGGCCACGTGGCTCCTTTTCTCTGAGCTCTGTCAGGTCATTTACATCCATGTTCTCTGTTCCCACAGTGTCCAAATTCCAAGACAGTGGAAGCGTCTGTCTAATCCACCAGACAGCACCCAGGCCCAGTGACACTTCCAGACGGGGGCTCTGTGCCAAGGGCAGTGTAAAATGATGGGGTAAAGCCACTCAACAGAACACTGTGGTGAGTTAAAAGGGTGTGGAAGGCCACACACACTAACCCAGAAAGGTGTTCAAAACATATAGTTATGTGAAAAAAGGTTGCCATATATATCACAAAAGTGACACTATCAAAAAAACGCTTAAATCTGTCATGGCCAGTAGGAACTTAGGGAGACCCAATGACTACAGAGGTCTAGGAACAGAAAAGGGATATCTGAAAGGAATTCAGGATACAGTATGAACTTGAGTTAATAATAACATCCGATATTGGTTCATTAATCATGACAAATGTACCGGGGCTTAATGCAAGATGCCAATAATAGAGGAAACTGGGTGTGAGCAAAGTGAGAGCTCTCCAGACTACCTTTGCAATGTTGGGTAAATGAAAAACTATTCTAAAATTAAAAATTCATTTAAAAATGCACTTGGCCGGGCACGGTGGCTCACGCCTGTAATCCCAGCACTTCGGGAGGCCGAGGCGGGCGGATCACGAGGTCAGGAGATCGAGACCATCCTGGCTAACACGGTGAAACCCCGTCTCTACTAAAGATACAAAAAATTAGCCGGGCGTGGTGGTATGTGTCTGTAGTCCCAGCTACTCGGGAGGCTGAGGCAGGAGAATGGCGTGAACCCGGGAGGCGGAGCTTGCAGTGAGCCGAGACCGCGCCACTGCACTCCAGCCTGGGTGACAGAGTGAGACTCTGTCTCAAAAAAAATAAATAAAATAAAAAATAAATAAAAATGCACTTGTAAGTATAGGAGCCTCTATGTGTATGTGTACAGGCATCACAGAGGCATAGAAAACACTTAGAAGGCATATTGAATTTTTTATGGTGCTTACTTCTGTGAAAGCACCTTTTAATATTATATACCTTTGAATTTTAAAAAATAGAAATAAAATGTTTTTAAGTAGAAAAAAGAGATGGAAATGAAAATATAGGAAGATAACAGTTTTAAACTTCTCTGTATTTCATTGTCCCTGTGATTGAAAGAGCAGTGGGCTAGAAGTCAGGAGACCAAGGTTTTGGTCCTTGTTCTTTCACTGGCTTTGTGATCCCAGTGACCTCCTGATCCTTGGTTTTCTTAGTTATAAAATGATGATATTTAAGGACCATTGTAAGTGTTACACTCTATGATTTGATAATAAACACACACAAATGAAGAACGATTTTCCTGTTGCTAGCAGATCCATCATGGATGCCTGAAATAATAAAGCCTGCCTAATGAATTTAAAATAGTTCCTAAAAAAAAAAAATCTGAACTGCATAGAATGTTTCAGGGACATACCTATAGGCATACTGTACCTGTGCTGTATTAGAGGGTAAAAAAATGAGACAGACAAATCGGGTTACAATCTGATTTATAAGAAGAGTATCAGCTGATGCTTACCTGGCTCAGATCTATGCAAATGAAAGAAGACAAAAATAGATGGATGGAGTTGCAAATGGCAACTCTCCCACTTGTCACTGATCTAGGGCTCTTCATGGGAGAGGGTTTAAAATCCTTGGTGGGTTCCACAGAGCTTTGTCTCCAGCTCCTCAGTCTCCTCCCCCAACTCCTATCAACCCCAGAAGCAGGATAATTTGAGAGGTAGACCTATTCAGACCCCTATCTCTCTGCAGACAGCAATCCTGGGCCCCAGCAACATGAAACAAGGGTCTTCAGGACACTCTCCCCCATGACAATGAAGTGTGGCAGGGAGACAATACTTCATGCAGTGGGAACATTCTGAAAATGGACAGGAAAGCATGAGAAAGGCCAGAAAATGCAAAAGCCAAACTCAAGGATGGGGCAAATGTTCCCCCAGGCAAATCTCAGCAAGCGCCAATTCTTGATTTCAGGTTTCTCCAAAGCAATTCTCCAATCCAAGATGGATCAGGGTTCAAATGGCTGGGCAGACGGCCCTTCCTTTCCCCTCTGGGCTTAGGGAGTCCAGGGTTGGAGGCTGCAGTGGGAACAGAGGAAAGGGGGCTGCTGTAAGAGCCGCTGATGCTGCTGTCAGTTCTCTGGGCGAGGTTGGCCTGGTGGTCACTGTCCCTCTGCTCTTTCACCAGCTGTTAGTTAATTCTAGGAGGAGAGGGAAGCCCCAAGTTGTCTCAAAACAGAGCTACCAAATAACTAATTAATTCACTCATTACATAGTATAGAACATCTGTTAAAACCTCTGGTGAGGCCAGGCGTGGTGGTTCACGCCTGTACTCCCAGCACGTTGGGAGGCCAAGGCAGGCAGATCACAAGGTCAGGAGATTGAGACCATGTTGGCCAATATGGTGAAACCCTGTCTCTACTAAAAATACAGAAAACATTAGCCAGGCGTGGTGGTGTGCACCTGTAATCCCAGCTACTCGGGAGGCTGAGGCAGGAGGATCGCTTGAACCCAAGAGGCGGAGGTTGCAGTGAGCCGAGATCGCGCCACTGCACTCCATCCTGGGCAACAAGAGCGAAACTCCATCTCAAAAAAAAAAAAACCTGTGATGAATTCTTTTTAAGACTACATTTTCACACAAGGGTTTTTGTGGGGGAGGGCAGAAGGGTTAAGAGACAGAAGGGTTAAGGGAATTAAGGGCAGAAGGGTTCAGAAAGAGAAGATTTGACAACATGGTGATGATAATTAATAACAGTATGTGGGGTTTTTTTGTTTGTTTGTTTTTTTGACAGAATCTCACTCTGTTGCTCAGGCTGGAGTGCAGGGGTGCAATTTAAAGCTCACTGCAGACTCAAATTCCCGGGCTAAAAATTAGCCAGCCATGGTAGCCCGTGCTTACAGTCCCAGCTATTTGGGGGCTGAAGTGGAAGGATGGCTTGGGCCCGGGAGGCGGAGGTTGCAGTGAGCTGAGATCACACCACTGCACTCCAGCCTGGGCAACAGAGTGAGACGCCATCTCAGAAAAAAAGAGTTCGGGGGCGGGGGGGCGGCTGCGGGGTGGAGAGAGGAGGCTGGATTTGAGACACGTTTCATGATTGTATAGAGGTGAGAGGACTAGTGGTCTTTATATTTTACTTAAATTCTGGTGTATAGTATTGGATTTCATTTTCTTTTTTTTTTTTTTGAAAAATTGTGTTTTTGTTTTTGTTTTTTTTTTATAGACAGGGTCTCGCTGTTGCCCAGGCTGGAGTGCAGTAATGCAATCTCAGCTCACTGCAGCCTCGACTTCCCAGGCTGAAGTGATCCTCCTGCCTCAGCCTTCACTTTTCTTTCTTTTTAAGCAATGAGCATGTGTTACTTTAACACTTTTTTTTTTTTAATTGAGACAGAGTCTCACTCTGTCTCCCAGGCTGGAGTGCCTTGGCATGATCTCGGCTCACTGTAACCTCTGTCTCCGAGGTTCAAGTGATTCTCCTGCCTCAGCTTCCCAAGTAGCTGGGACTACAGGCGCGTGCCACCACACCCAGCTAATTCTTGTATTTTTGGTAGAGACGGGGTTTCACCATGTTGGTCAGGCTGGTCTCGAAATCCTGACCTCAGGCAATCCACCCACCTCAGCCACCCAAAATGCTGGGGTTACAGGCGTGAGCCACCATGCCCGGCCACTTTTACACTTTTAAGAAGAAGGCAGTAGGTGGTCAACAGTGTCAAATGCTGCCAGGTGAATGGGAGGCAGCTGTTCAGAGATCAGTGGATTGGGGAACTGAGGTCCACCCAGGTTCACAGACCTTAAATGACTTGCTCTAGTCATCACGAGCTTATCTGTATGGTAAACAGTAAGAAAGGAGGGCTTGGCTGTTAGGAGTGCAGGTGGGGGTGGAGGAGCAAAGCTGACTTTGGCATCTTTCATCCAACAAGCAACAAGTTCCTTAAAGACATTAATTCACTGCTCCACACAGCAAAGAGGCGTGAGCAGTGAGCCTGAGGTTCATTTTACAGGTCAGAAATCTGAGATGCAGACAGGAAAAATGCTTTATGCAAGAGCCTGCGGAGGATTTGACAGCTGATGGCAGAGAAGTCACAGCTCCCAGGAAACATGGGCTTTGAGGAGGGAGGTGGCTGTCAACAGAGTGAAAAAGAGGCTGTGTGAGTGGCAGCCATGGCTTGGTGGCTGGGGCAGAGTTGAGATTGTGAGGTGTGGTCACTGAGCGGATAGGTGTGTCGGTGAGAGAACAGGTATGCAGGGCTGGGACTGTAAACCAGGGAGGCTGTGGTCATGTGAGTCACTGCGCACACGCTCACAATCCCCAGGATTTCCTTGCTGGGAAACAGGGTAGAAAACATCAGCCAGCAGCTGCAAACCCAAAACTTCCTATTATTGCCTCTGTTGAGTCACTGCATCTTGTCTAGCTGCTAGTTCCTACTCAAGAACTTGTTTAGGAGGGCACAGTGGCTCACACCTGTAATCCCAGCACTTCGGGAAGCCAAGACAGGAGAATAGCTTAAGCCTTGGAGTTCGAGACCAGCCTGGACAACACAACAAGAACCTATCTCTACAAAAAATAAAAATAAAAAAATTAGCCAGGGTAGTGGCTCACGCCTGTAGTCCCAGCTACTCTGGAGGCTGAGGTGGTAGGATTGCTTGAGCCCAGGAATTAAGGCTGCAGTGAGCTATGATCACACTACTGCACTCCAGCTTGGGTGGCAGAGCAAGACACCCTCTCAAAAAGACAAAATAAAATAAAAGAACTTGTTTAAACAAAAAGGAAAAAGTGCTCACGTGTCACTCCTCCTGAAATAATAGCAAGGGTCGCTACCCTCTGCAAATCTGTGCTAAGAACACCACTCACTGCCTTCCAGATTTTAACTTCCCTTGCTTCATGTCTTTCTTGGCCTCCCTCTTCCTCAGTCTTTCTCTTAACATTTCATCTTTCACCCGCCTGTTTCTCCTTTCTCTTTCCAATCCCTTTGTATCCGTCTCTTAACATGTCTCTCAGCCCTGTGTCCCTACACCTCTTGCCTGTCCTCATCATTTGGAACCAATGCAACACTGGAAGCAGACCCCTAAAGCTGTGATATAATATTTTACCTTCAAGGGAGGCCCCAGAGCGTATAATTAGGAGGCAATGAGCGCAGCTGCCAGGCAGAAGAGGCGCTTAACTACGACAGTTGCTCCAAGTCAGAGCACCTGATGCCGAGGGCTGCAGGACGCTGGGACACAGGAAGCCCTGTCAACAGGTGGTCCACACAAGGTCAGCCAACTGGGTCCATGCCCGGGGGGAATGCAATGGAGAACACCCTCATAAACAAGTTAATCTGCCTAGCTCAGATCTCCACCTCCTGGGAAGGCAACTCAATCCTCATTCTGTGTGTCTGGTTTATCCTGAAGCCCAGCAAGAGGCTCAGGCTTGTTCTCCCCTGTCCTGTGCTCTCAGCCTTAGGAGAGGCCTAGATCCCACCTAGGAGACGGAATGAAGTCTGTGACAGAGGCAGCAATAAAGGGCGAGGGGAAGGCCCTGCCTCAGCTGGCCCAGGCCCACTCATGGATTCACGTGAATCCATCAAGTCACCCTGGTGGACTGAGCACCTGCCGTAAGTACAGTACCGCCTGCACCGGTTCTGTGTGAAGAAACACAGGCAGAGATGACCGACAAGAGAACAGCATGGTTCCCAGATTCAGCTCTTAATCAGGATCATCACAGGGCACTTGGTAAAAACAATGATTCCTGGACTCTACCCAGACCTCCTGAATTAGAATTTCTCATTCTAAATGTAGGGGCATCTGTATTTAACAATCTCCCTAGTTGAGTGGCCAACTGGGCACCACCGACTTTTGGGACCCAGTGGGTCATGTCACTGTGCAATCCTCAGCCTCTAGTTCTCTGACCCCTATTTCTTTTTCCTTTTTCTTATTTTGAGACAGAGTCTCACTCTATTGCCCAGGCTGGAGTGCAGTGGTGCAAACATAGTTCACTGCAGCCTCGAACTCCTGGGCTCAAGTGATCTTCCCTCCTCAGCCTCCCGAGTAGCTGGGACAACAGGTGTGCGCCACCACACCTGGCTAATCTGATCCCTATTTCTCCAAGCCTTTGTATAAAGATAAGGTACAAAGGATGCTGTTTTCCTGTTTAGAGTGTAGAATAATAACAGTAGCCTTATCTCAGTTACACACTTACATTTCACAACAACCCTGCAAATAGATTAGTTTTAGTAGTAGTATTCCTTTTTATGGAGGAAAGACCCTCTTTTATGGAAGAAGGAAATAAGCTGAGAGACATTGATTAAGTAATTTGTCAGTAAATACTTAGCCAAGTAAAAAGTGGGGCCAGCGCAATGGCTCACGCCTATAATCCCAGCACTTTGGGAGGCTGAGGGGGGTGGATCACCTGAGGTTGGGAGTTCGAGACCAGCCTGGCCTATATGGTGAAACCCTGTCTCTACCAAAAAGTACAAAAATTAGCCGGGAGTGGCTGGGTGAGCCTGTAATCCCAGCTACGCAGGAGGCTGAGGCTGAGGCAGGAGAATCGCTTGAACCTGGGAGGTGGGGGTTGTAGTGAGCCAAGATCTTGCCACTGCACTCCAGCCTGGGTGACAAAGTGAGACCCTGTGTCAAAAAAAAAAAAAAAAAAAAGCAGTGGAGCCAGGATTCAAATTCAGATTTATCCAGGGGTGAGTTCAAAATGCTTACAGCACCATAATACGGGCATTGAGCACTGAGAATGGATGCCAGCCCTGGCCTTGAAGCACGGTCCTAGAGACACACTGTAGCCAGGCATGACCCCATTCATTGCTGGATAGTATGAAGGCCTGGTGGGTCCCGGGTTGGGGCACCCACGGGATTCAGGGCAGTAGCTATTTACCTCCCAATACAGAAATATTTCAGTATTTCAGCATAAGTGGAATGACCGGAAGGTGTGTACCAGCCGAATGTCCATACTAGAAAGCCAAGGTTCTGCCCACTGCATCATTCTGCCCAGCTCAGTTATCCTGGCTCCCACCACCTGCCACTGGAGCCCTGTTACATGCAGGACTAGGCTCAGCAGAAAGCCATTAGAGAAACCAAGCCACAACCACAATTTAAGGCATCAGAACCTTAGATGTGATCCTCCCATGAACCTCCTGTTGAAACTTGCTTTCAGAACCTTTATCCAGGTTGATAAGTGAAAGATAAGATTTTAAAGAGTTGCTTCTGGCTGGGCGTGGCTCATGCCTGTAATCTCAACACTTTGGGAGGCCAAGGCGGGAGGATCGCTTGAGCCCAGGAGTTTGGGGCTGCAGTGCGGTATGATTGCTCCACTGTACTCCAGCCTGGGTGACAGAGCAAGACCCCAACTCTTAAAAAAATTAAACGTAAAAAAAAAAGCTGCTTCTCCTAAAAGTTTGTGCATCTGCTGGAGGTGAAAGCCTTAAGTTAGAAGTTGCAAAATCCTAACGTTAGAGGATGCTGTGCTATCGAACAAGAGAGCAACAAGAGAATGGCCAGCAAGCCTCGGCAAGAGCAGCCCAGGGAGGCAGGGCTGGGAAATGCTGGTGCTGAAAACAAGAAAAATAAAACAGCTGCCTCCTGACTTTAGCTCACTGTATTTTAGAAAAATTTGAGCCAACATTTAAAACTTGGGAAATTTCACATAAAACCCTCAATTTCTTGTTTCTCTTGAAAAGTAGGGCAAATGGGCAAAACAGGGCCTATAACCAAATGGAAAGTAAGCGCTGGAGCCAATAAAGTGACCACTCCTTTATTCATTCACTTAACAAATATTGTTTTGTTTGAGTGCCTACCACGGGCTAGGACTGTTCTAGATAGTGAGAGCACGGGCTCCACGGGCTAGTAGATAGTGAGAGCACGGGCTCCACGGGCTAGGAGTGTTCTAGATAGTGAGAGCACGGGCTCCACGGGCTAGGAGTGTTCTAGATAGTGAGAGCACGGGCTCCACGGGCTAGGAGTGTTCTAGATAGTGAGAGCACGGGCTCCACGGGCTAGTAGATAGTGAGAGCACGGGCTCCACGGGCTAGGAGTGTTCTAGATAGTGAGAGCACGGGCTCCACGGGCTAGGACTGTTCTAGATAGTGAGAGCACGGGCTCCACGGGCTAGGACTGTTCTAGATAGTGAGAGCACGGGCTCCACGGGCTAGGACTGTTCTAGATAGTGAGAGCACGGGCTCTCCCCTTGCACCACAGTCCTCATACCTCACACAGAGTATGTGTTCACACTTATATCTGCTTCTTTGACTGAAGCTACCTGCATGGATCTTAAGTTTTTGACTGCCCTAAATTAAATACACAAAGGTAAGAGTGACCACAGCCAGGTAGGCAATTTCCATGATTCCACCTGCTCACCAGCTCAAACTTCCTGAAGGGACAGCACCAATCCCTAAATGCCCCTCTATCCTCCCCCAAAACTCTCATCTCAAATTATACATTATGAAGGGCTCTGGGCCCTGCTCTAGAATACCCCACCAGATTTTGTGTCCTCTCTGTATGCCAAAGCTCCATTATCCTGTCCCCAGATCCACCAACTTGCCATTCATCATTGGATTTCCCAATTCTACTGTCCAGCTGACACCATCATGAAGATTCTTTCCAGGGTAGGGCAATGGAAACTGTGAGGCCACAGTCTGCTGGCTTTGGACGCTCCCAGCCCTGTACCATGCACGAGAATGGTGCTCTCTGACCCACGGTGAAAGCCCCTGGCTGTCCAGCGTGCTTGAAGGAACCTCTTAAAGACAGACGCGGGAACATCCAAAAAGACAAAGTTATAAACGCTGCTTTATCAAAGGTAAATTCCTCCACCTTCGTCTTCCAGGTCTTCCACCAGCTAGCGTCGCCCCACATACTGCTTTTTCTCAGCTTGTCATTCCAATCTGGAACTTTTCTTCCTTCTATGATGCCTGTTCCTCCTGCCCCAAGACCATTATCTTATACACACAGGGATCCTTGTCTCCTAAAGCTAGTAAAAAACTAGCAATGTGGGTGTGGACAACACACAGGAATCAGAACAAAACAAAAACAGGAAGTCAACTAGAGATGGGGCCACAGATGGAGTTATTTAAATTAACCGTGGTCCAGAGGGCATCATTCTAGTGCATGGTAGAGGGTTTGGAGCATCCAAAGCCAGCACACAGTGGCCTCTCAGTGAGCTGCTTCTGAAGTGTCTGGGCTCTGGGTGACAACTGGACTTGGGCGGACATGGTGGAGAGGTAGCTGGGGAGGGATAGCATCTCATTCAAAATCACCTCTCAGCGGCAGGAAGAGCCAGTGACAAGGCTGGCTTCATGATACGCAATCAGAAACAGCATCGAATGGAAAGACAGAAAAACAATCTCTCTTCAGGGGCAACTGTGGGGCACTGCCAAGGTACTAGTAAGCCCAGGAGACAGCATGAAGAACTTCGCAACCGACAGGGCAGTGAAGGGGCGTGTGTGTATAAAACTGGAGAAGTAGAGGAAGGTTTGTTTATTGTTTAGTCACTGAATGGGAAATCAGGGGTGGGTTTGGAAGCTGTGGGTGGGGAGGCATCAGAAGAGACTGAGAAATCGAGTGTGTGTCATACCCAGGAGGAGACTTTAGGAATCCAGTGGCTGTAAACAGGCTAGGAAGTGGTTAGGGTAAAGAATCAAAACACTTTCTAGAGTGGCTGTGCTACTGAACAGGAGAGCAACAAAAACAGCCCAGGGATGCAGGGCCTGGGAATGCTGGTGCTGAAAACAAGACAAACAAAATGACTACCTCCTGACTTAGACACAAAGAGCGGGAGGTCAAGCATGAGGAAAAGTGACCACCTGGCTCGGTGCTCAACAACAATGAACAAAGCCGGTTCTCCAGAAAGTTAAACAGAGTTACCACGGGACCCAGGAATTCCGCTCCTGGGTCTATACCCAAAAGAAATGAAAACAGATATTCAAACAAATATTTGTACACCAGTGTTTATAGCAGCATTATTCACAATTGCCAAAGGTGAAAGCAACCCAAATGTCCATTGACAGATGAATGGGTGAACAAAACGTGGCATATCCATACAATGGAATATGATTCAGCCTTAAAAATAAATGAAGGGGCCAGGTGCAGTGGCTCACGCCTGTAATCCCAGCACTTTGGGAGGCCGAGGCGGGCGGTTCACCTGAGTGAGAACAGCCTGACCAACATGGAGAAACCCCGTCTCTACTAAAAATACAAAATTAACCAGGCATGGTGGCACGTGCCTGTAATCCCAGCTACTCAGGAGGCTGAGGCAGGAGAATCGCTTGAACCCGGGAGGCGGAGGTTGCAGTGAGCCGAGATCGCGGCATTGCACTCCAGCCTGGGCAACAAGAGCGAAACTCCGTCTCAAAAAAATAATTAAAAAAATAATAATAATAAATGAAAGCCAGGAGCGATGGCCCACGCCTGTAATCCCAGTACTCTCAGCGGCTGAGGTGGAAGGATCGCTTGAGGCCAGGCGTTTGAGACCAGCCTGAGAAACACAGCAAGAACCCGTCTCTACAAAAAATTGAAAGTGAAGGAAGCTGAGTGGGAGGATCCCTTGAGCCCAGGAATTGGAGGCTGCAGTGAGCCGTGATCTGTACTGCACTCCAGCCTGGGCGGCAGAGCAAGACCCTGTCTCTAAATAAATAGAATAAACGAATGAAGTACTAACATGCTACACATGGATGAATTTTGAAAACGTCATGCTAAGTGAAAGAAGCCACACACAAGACTGGGTAAATCCACAGACGCAGAAGGCAGAATAGAGGTTGCCAGGGTCTGAGGAAGGGGAAGGAGTGACTGCTTAACGCGCATGGGCAGAGTCTCCTTTAGGGGTGACGGAAATATTTGGGAACTAGACAGAGGTGACGGTGGTACAACATTGTATATGTACTAAATGCCGCTGAATTGTACACTTTATTTTTTTATTTTTTTTGAGATGGAGTCTTGTTCTGTCACCCAGGCTGGAGTGCAGAGTGCAATATTGGCTCACTGCAACCTCCGCCTCCCAGGTTCAAGCAATTCTCCTGCCTCAGCCTGCCAGGTAGCTGGGATCACAGGTGTGTGCCACCACGCCTGGACAATTTTTGTATTTTTAGTAGATACGGGGTTTCACCATGTTGGCCAGGCTGGTCTTGAACTCCTGACCTCAAGTGATCTGCCCACCTCGGCCTCCCAAAGTGCTGGGACTACATGCATGTGCCACCGCTGAATTGTACCCTTTAAAAGTTAATGTTACATGAAATCCAGCTCAATTTTTTTTTTAAGAGTAAATGAAGACATCCAGGGAGCCCAGGGACCAAGGCTGCTGGATACCAGAAAAGAAAAGTGAGAGCTAGAGATGGACAAGGGACTACATTGCTACCATTTGTTCGCGAATTCCACAGCTCTGGATCTTTTTCTGCCATGATCCTGGACAGGGGACATGGCATGACACATATATGGGCATATTTAGGGTTCTCTGCAACTCTGAAGGAGCTAACAAATTCCAACCTTTTATGTACCCCTCAAGAAAGTGTATTGGAATACAAGGGAGGAGAATGATGTGAATCTGCTTTTATATTTATAGATGTGCACATATAAACACAAATATATACTGTCAATAAAGTTTAATACATGTAAACTTTTCAAATGTATATCATTCATGAACATTGATCTTCTTGTAATTCTTGGTAGCTGAGCACCTGCTGCACTCCTCACACTACCTGCAACACAGCAGAGCTGCAGACCCGGCTTCCATTATTTCATGGGGATACTTTTCTAAATAAAGATAAGAAAGCTACCCAAGGGCCAGACTTACCCCTGAGCCCAGCAGAGTCAGGGCTACCATTAACCCATCCAGTGTCTTTGTGCCTTCCCCTCAGGCACGCAGTTTGGCAAGTGAAGCTCATGCTAGAGTCTGGTCCGCATTCACCCCCTAAGAAGGGAGCATCTCTGCAGTGAACAACCTGCATAGCTGTACACAACAGCCCCAAGCATAGGCCTAGAAACACAGCAGGTACTTCCAAGTGCTGAAAATAGGAGGCAACCTTAGAGGTAATTTTACCTCACCTATTGCATGCCTGAGGTCTAGATGACCCTTTTGTTTCTTACGGTACGTTTGGCGGAGGGTACATTGATCAGCTGAACTAAGGTTTACAAAGAAAGTTAGGGGGACTAAGGGGAAAAAGAACGACCCAAGAATTCAGGAGGAAATGAGAAACCTCAAAGAGAGCAACTGGAAACCCCTCCCCAGGAAACTGAACCCCTAAAGCAAACCCTTTTAGGGGGCAGACCTGAGGTGACTAGGAGCATGGGTTCTGAAGTCAGATAGACCTGGTTTCAAATCCTGGCTGTTACAGTGTGACTGTGTAACTTGAGACAAGTTATTTAACCTTTCTGAGCTTCTGTTTATTTAATCTGTAAAAGAGAAGGAAGCTCTGAGATTGAAATGAGCTGCCACATACAAAGTGCATCCATTGTGCCAGGAACACAGAAAGTGGTCCACACATTCTTATTATTTAATAGTAAAATGCCGGCACTGTGCTTACGCTATGCAGAGCCAGAACAAGAACTCCAGGCCTCCTTTTTATACCCAGGTTTCCTCACTTGTAGCTAAAGGGGTAGAGGCTTTTCACATTTTCAACCTAACGAGTGAAACCTGAGACTAAATCCGGACAATGCTCTCATTAATGATTCTGTTATCAAAGAATACATAAGAATAAAGACTCCCCCCCGCACACATTAGGCCCCAGTCAGCCTTTCCAGTTTACTCCCCCCATCACTGCCTCAGGAGCCTGGTGCTCCAGTTTTTGGTGTGCATTGATTGATAGGGCTGGTGACAAGGGGACAATCTGTGGGTCTTCTCCTACACTCCTGTTCCAATGTCCCAGCGTCCAGTACTACACGGGTCTCTGAGATGGGGAAAACCATATGCTCAGGAAATTCTCCGAAGCCATACAAGTTATACCTGGGTGCTGGCCTCAACACCTTAAGCTATGGTCCCACCCAATCCTGCATGACTACTATGGGATGGTAGAAAATGGAGGAAGAGGGAGGGAGACTCCAGCGCTCATACTCCTGAACTCTTGGCTTCTAAGTTCAGTGTGAGAGCTGGTTAAGCAGAATTTAGTTTAATGTAAGGGGTTGGCTGTTTGGGACCCCAGATGCAATGTGAACGCTGACTGATGAAGCTAAGAGTCTTTACATTTAAGAACGGACAATGAGACCTTTTCCTTTGTTTCTTGCTTTTTTTTTTTTTTCTTTCAAGGTATTATACAAGGTCTCACTCTGTCTGCTGCCCAGGCTGGAGTACAGTAGCACGATCATGGCTCACGGCAGCCTTGACCTTCCGGGCTCAAGCAATCCTCCCACCTCCCCACCTCAGCCTCCCGAGTAGCTGGGACAACAGGCGCACACCACCACACCCAGCTAATTTTTGTATTTTTTGTAGAGATGGGGTTTCACCATGTTGCCCAGGCTGGTCTCAAACTCCTGGGCTCAAGGGATCCTCCTGCCTCGACCTCCCAAAGTGCTGGGATTACAAGCATGAGCCACTGTGCCTGGCCAACCAGGCCTTTTTCTAATGATGACCTATGTCATTAAAAATGAGAACTTCATTGAGGGAACCTCACGCTGAGTGAACTATGGAGAAGTGTGGACTGCCTTTCCAACACGGACTCTACTGCTGATTGGGTGATCAATTTCCAGGATATTAATAAAACTCACCCCCTACCTCTATCTATTGTTACTTTTCATTTTTTTTAAACTGCCTCCAAATCTGCACAATTCATGTTTTAATGAAATAAAAACTGTGTCTGAGGCAACATAAAAAGCAAATGAATAAAAGCAGGAACTGCTAAGGAAAGTGGCTGAGATGAGATGCTCTCATTGTTTTCAAAATCTTGCTAGATAAAATGGTGAATTATATCCTTCTCGTGAAAAACCAAAAAAAAAAAAAAAACCATTATATTTCAACACTGTACAGAAGGTCTTAGTTCCTTACAATAAGGAATAAGTAAGAGTATGTTGAGTTTTGAAAGAAACTGCCAAACTGAATTCCAAAGTGGCTGTACCATTTTGCATTCCCACCAGCAATGAATGAGAGTTCCTGTTGCTCCATGTCCTTGTCAGCATTTGAGGTTGTCAATATTTTGGATTTTGGCCATTCTAATAGGTGTGTAGTGATATCTTATTGTTGTTTTAATTTTCATTTCCCTAATGACATATGATCTTAAACAGCTTTCCATGTGTTTACTTGCTATGTTTATATCTTCTTTGGTACTGTCTGTTCAGGTGCTTTGCCCATTAATGGGGTTGTTTTCTTATTGTCTTTGTATGTTTTGGATTACAATCCTTTATCAAATATGTCTTTTGCAAATGTTTTCTCCCATTGTGTAGACTGTCTTCTTGTTCTTTTTGACATTGTCTTTTGCAGAACAGATTTTACATTTAAGGAAGTCTAGCTTATCAATTGTTTCTCATGGATTCTGACTTTGGTGTTGTCTAAAAATCTAAAGTCACTGGCATACCCAAGATCACCTAGGTTTTCTCCTATGTGGTTGTCTAGAAGTTTTACAGTTTCAAATTTTACATATAGGTCTTTGAGTTGATTTTTGTAAAGGGTGTAAGAACTATGTCTAGGTTTTTTTTTTTTTTGCATATGTGCACCACTTGTTGACAAGACTATCTTTACCACATTGCATGTCTTTGCTTTTCTATCAAAGACCAGTTGAATATAATTTATATGGGTCTATTTCTGGACTCTCAATTCCATTCCATTGATCTACTTATCCATTCTTTTGCCAATATAACAGTGTCTTCATTACTGTAGCTCCGTACTCTCTTGAATTCAGGTAGTGTCAGTCTTCTGACTTTGTTCTTTGCCTCCAACACTGACTTGACTTTCTGGGTCTTTTGCCTCTCCATATAAATTTTAGAATCAGTTTGCCAATATTCACAAAATAACTTGCTGGGGTTTTGATTGGGATTGCATTGAGTCTGTAGATCAAGTTGGGAAGAACAAATGTTTTGACAATATCGATTCTTCCTGTTCATGAACATAGAATATCTCTTTACTTAATTAGTTCTTTGATTTCTTTCATGAGAGTTTTGTAGTTTTCCTCATCTAGATCTTGCAAATATTTTGTTAGACTTATACCTAAATATTCCATTTTGGGGGGATGCTAATGTGAATATTAATGAGTTTTTAATTTCAAATTCCACTTGTTCATTGCTGGTATATCAGAAAGCAATTGACATCTGTATCCCTGTATCCTGCAACCCTTCTATACTTGCTTATTAGTTCCAGTTTTCTTGTCAGTTCTTTCAGATTTTTTATATAGAATATCATGACATCTGTGAACAGTTTTATTTCTTCCTTCTCAACCTGTATACCTTTTTTTCCTTTTCTTGTCTTATTGCATTAGATAGGACTTCCAGTATAATGTTGAAAAGGAGCAGTGAGAGGTGGCTTTCTTGCCTTGTTCTTTTTTTTTTTTGAGACGGTCTCGTTCTGGTGCCCAAACTGGAGTGCAGTGCCATGATCTCCGCTCACTGCAACCTCCGCCTCCTGGGTTCACACAATTTTCCTGCCTCAGCCTCCCGAGTAGCTGGAACTACAGGCACCCACCACCACACCTGGCTAATTTTTTTTTGTATTTTTAGTAGAGACGAGGTTTCACTATGTTGGCCAGACTGGTCTTGAACTCCTGACCTCGTGATCTGCCCACCTCGGCCTCCCAAAGTGCTGGGATTACAGGCGTAAGCCACCGCACCCGGCCTATTGCCTTGTTCCTGATTTCAATGGGAAAGCTTTGAGTTTCTTACTATTAAGTATAATGTTAGTTGTAGGTTGTAGATACTGCTTATCAAGTTGAGGAAGTTCCCCTCTATTCCTAGTTTATTAAGAATTTGTATCACAAATCAGGCTGGGTGTGGTGGTTCATGCCTATAATCCCAGCACTTTGGGAGGCCGAGGCAGGCAGATTGCTTGAGCTCAGGAGTTCAAGACTAGCCTGGGCAACATGGCAAAACCCCGTCTCTACAAAAATACAAAAATTAGCTGGGCATGATGGTGCACGCCTGTAATCTCAGCTACTCAGAAGGCTAAAGAGCAAGGATTGTTTGAGCCCAGAAGGTTGAGGCTGCAGTGAGCCAAGATTGCACCACTGCACTCCAGCCTGGGCAACAAAGCAAGACTGTCTTAAAAAAAAAAAAAAAGAATTTGTATCATGAATAGGTGTCAGGTTTTGTCAAATATCTTTTCTGTATCTATTGATATGATCATGTAATTTTTCTTTTTTTGCCTATGTGATTAATTACATTAATTGATTTTTAAGTGTTGAACCACCCTTGCATACCTAGAAAAAATGGCCATGATGTATAATCTTTTTACACATGTTGGATTCAATTTGCTAATATTTTGTTGAGGATTTTTGCATCTATGTTCATAAGAGATATTAATCTGTAATTTTCTTTCTTGTAAGGTCTTTGTCTGGGTCTGGTATTAAGGTAATGCTGGCCTCATAGAATTAGTTAGGTAGTATTCCCTCTGCTTCTATCTTCTAGAAGAGATTGTAGAGAAATGGCATAATTTCCTCCTTACATGTTTAGTAGAAATCATCTGCAGACCCATCTGGGCCTGGGGCTTTCTGTTTTGAAAGGTTATTAATTACTTCTTCAAATTCCTTAGTAGATATGACTATTCAGATGGTTTATTTCTTCTTGTGTGAGTTTTGGCAGATTGTGTCTTTCAAAGAATTGGTCCATTTCATCTAGGTTGTCAAATTTTGGGGTGTAGAGTTGTCCGTAATTTTTTTTTTTTTTTGAGACAGTGTCTCGCTCTGTCACCCAGGCTGGAGTGCAGGGCATGATCTCAGCTCACTGCAACCACCACTTCCCAGCTCAAATGATCCTCCAGCCTCAGCCTCCTGAGTAGCTGGGACTATAGGCACAAGCCACTATGCCCAGATAATTTTTGTATTTTTTGCAGAGATGGGGTTTTGCCCAGGCTGGTCTTGAACTACTGAGCTTAAAGTGATCTGCCCACTTCTGCCTCCCAAAGTGCTAGGATTACATATGTGAGTCACCATACCCAGCCCATAATATTCTTTTATTATACTTTTAATGTCCATGAGATCTGTAGTGATGTCTCCTCTTTCACTTGTGACATTAGTAATTTGTTTTTTTTTCTTAGTTAGCATGGCTTAGAGGCTTATCAATCTTACTGATCTTTTTAAAGAAACAGCTTTTGGTCTTATTAACTTTCTGTACTGATTTCCTATTTTCAATTTCATTGATTTCTGTTCCAATTTTCATTATTTCTTCTGTTTTTGAAATTTAATTTGCTCTTTTTTCCTAGTTTTCTAAGGTAGAAGCTTAGGTCATTGATGTTAGATCTTTCTTCTCTTCTAATATAAGCATTCAGTGTTATAAATTTCCCTCTAAGCACTGCTATCACTGCATCCCACAAATTTTAGGTTATATTTTCATTTAGTTCAAGATTTTTACATTTCTCTTGAGATTTCTTCTTTGACATAAGTGTTATTCGAAAGCACATTTTTAAATATCCATATATTTGAGGACTTTCCAGTTATCTTTCTGTTATTGATTTTTAGTTTAATTCCATCGTGGTCTGAGATCAGACATTGTATAACTCTATTCTTTTGTATTTGTTAAGGTGTGTTTTACCACCCCGAATATGGTCAATCTTGGTAAATGTTCCATGTGAGCTTGAGAAGAATTAGTAATCTGCTATTGCTGGATGAAGCAGTTCATAGATGTCAATTATATCCAGTTGACGGATGGTGCTGTTAAGTTCAATTATGTCTTTACCAATTTTCCGGCTGCTGCATCTGTCAATTTCTAGAGAGATGTTGAAGTCTTCAACTCTAACAGTGGATTCATCTATTCTTCCGCTTTCTTTTTATTAGTGTTAGCATGGTATATTTTCCTCCATTCCTTTACGTTTAATCTATATGAGTCTTTCTATTTAAAGTGGTTATCTTGTGGAAAATATACAGTTGGGTTTTGTTTTTAGATGCACTCTGACAATCTCCATCTTTTAATTGGTTTATTTCGACCATTCACAGTTAAAATGATTATTAAAATACCTGGGTTAATAATATCTATCATATTTATTACTATTGTCTATGTATTGCCCTTACGCTCTCTTTCTATTTTTGTCTTCCTTTCTTTTTCTGTATTTTGTGGGTTTTTTTTTTTTTTTAAGTTCTGGGATACATGTGCAGAACATGCAGATTTGTTCCACAGGTATACATGTGCCATGGTGGTTTGCTTCCCTTATCAACCCATCATCTAGATTTTAAGCCCTGCATACATTAGGTATTTGTCCTAATGCTCTCCCTCCCCTTGCCCCCCCACCCCAACCCCTGACAGGCCCCAGTGTATGATGTTCCCCTCCCTGTGTCCATGTGTTCTCATTGTTCAACTCCCACTTATGAGTGAGAACGTGGTATTTGGTTTTCTGTTCCTGTGTTAGTTTGCTGAAAATGACGGTTTCCAGCTTCATCCATGTCCCTGCAAAGGACATGAACCCATTCTTTTTTATAGCTGCAGTCTTCCGTGGTTTTAAGCGAGCATTTTAATGATTCCATTATTTCTCTCCTTTGTTAGCATATCAGTTATACTTTTTTTTTTTTCCAGTGGAGCCCTAGAGTTTACAACATACAAGTAAACCACATCTGCTTTCTTTTTTCTTTTCTTTCTTTTCTTTTTCACAGGGTTTCACTCTGTTCCCTAGGCAGGAGTGAAGAGGTGCAATCATAGCTCACTGCAACCTTGGGCTCCTGGGCTCAAGCAGTCCTCCCACCTCTGCCTCCCAAGTAGCTGGAGCTACATGCATGTGCCATTGTTAAAAAAATTTTAAAAATTTAATTTTTAAATTTTTTTGTAGAGATGGGGTCTTGCTATGTTGCCCAGGCTGGGACATCCACTTTCACACAACACTATACCACTCCACAGGTAGTGCAAGTACTTTACAATAACAAAATATTCCTAATTCTGCCTATTCATCTCTTGCATTAATGCTGCAATTCATTTCACTTATATATAAGCATACATCAGTATATATGAGCATACATAATTGAATACATTGTTATAATTTTGAATAAACCTATCTGTTAGATCAATGAAGAATTACAATTTTTATTTTACCTTCAGTTATTCATTCTACAACATTCTTCTTTTCTTTATGTAGATCCAAGTTTCTGACGTATCATTTTCTTTCTCTTTAAAGAACTACTTTTAACATTTCTTGCAAGGCAGGTCTACTGGCAACAAATTCCCTCAATTTTTGTTTGTCTGAGAAAGTATTTCTGCTTCACTTTTGAAGAATCATTTCACAGGGTTCAGAATTCTAGGTTGATGGGGTTTTTTTTTTTTTTCTTCTTCTCAGCTGTTTAAATATTTCACTTGACTCACTTCTTGTTTGCATCTCAAAGTGCTAGGATTACATACGTGAGTCACCATACTGGCCCATACCCGGTTTCTGAGAAGTCAGATGTTAATTCTTATCTTTGCTTCTTGATAGGTGTTTTCCCCCTATCTGGCTACTTACAAGTTTTGGGTTTTTTGTTTGTTTTGGAGACAGGGCCTTGCTCTGTTGCCCAAGCTGGAGTGCAATGGTGTAACCACAGCTCACTGCAGCCTCAGCCTCCTGGGCTCTAGTGATCCTCCCACCTCAGCCTCCCAAAGTAGCTGGGCGCATGTCACCATGCCTGGCTAATTTTAAAATTTTTTTTTGGTAGAGACAAGGTTTTACTATGTTTCCCAGGCTGTTCTTCTTGGTCTTCTTCTTCTTTTCTTTCTTTTTTTTTTTTTCAAGATAGAGTCTCGCTCTGTTGCCCAGGCTGGAGTGCAGTGGCACGATCTCGGCTCACTGCAACCTCTGCCTCCTAGGTTCAAGTGATTCTCCTGCCTCAGCCTCCCAAGTAGCTGGGACTACAGGCATGCGCCACTACACCGGGCTAGTTTTTGTATTTTTAGTAGAAACCAGGTTTCACCATGTTGGCCAGGCTGGTCTCGAACTCCTGGCCTCAAGTGATCTGCCCGCCTCAGCCTCCCAAAGTGCTAAGATTACAGGTGTAAGCTACCACACACGGCAAGACTTTTTTTAAATCTTTGACTTTCCTTAGTTTGAATATGGTCTGGCTAGGTATTGTGTTTATTGTTTTATTTTGGTGTTTATCCTGCTTGATGATTTCTGAGCTTCTTGGATCTGTGGTTTGGTGTTTATCATTAATTTGGGGAAAACTGTCAGTTGCTATCGTTTCAAATATTGCTTCTGTTTCTCTCTTTTCCTTCTGATATTCCATTATGTATATTTCACCTTTTGTAATTGTCCCACAGTTCTTGGATATTCTGTTATGTTTTTGTCTTTTTTCTCTGTGCTTTTCAGTTTTGAAAGTTTATGTCGTCATATCCTAAAGCTCAGAGATCCTTTTCGTAGCTGTGTCCCATCTACTAATGAGTCCATTGAAGACATTCTTCATTTCTGTTAGAGGGGTTTTGATCTCTAGGGTTTCTTTTGATTCATTCTTAGAATTCCCATCTTTCTGCTTACATTAGCCATCTGTTCTTGCATGTTGTCTACTTTTTTCATTAAAAATTTTAATATATTAATCATCATAGTTTAAAAAAATGTCTGGCCTCTCTAACACTTCTTCCATACCTACTCTGGTTCTAATTGTCCAGTCTCTTCAAAATGTGTTTTTTCCCTTTTAGTATGCCTCGTAACTTTTTGTTGAAAGTGATGTGCTGAGTAAAACAAATTATGAAAAGGGCCTTTAGTGATATCGTGGTTAGGTGTCCAGGAGCAGATGCATTCTATAGTTTTATCTCAGTCTTTCAATGAGCTTCTGCCTCTGGACTGTGATCTACATCAGACTTCTCCCCACTCTAGATGGGACAGGATGACCAGAAGGGGCTGGTGTTGGGTATTTCCCCTCCCCTAGGTAGGTTAGGACAGCAAGTCAGGCTCGTAAAATAGTTTCCCCTGAGGGCAGGCCTTGTTAAGAAAAACAGAATAGGCCGGGCTTGGTGGCTCACACCTGTAATCCCAGCACTTGGGAGGCCGAGGCGGGTGGATCATGAGGTCAGGAGTTCAAGACCAGCCTGGCCAAGATGGTGAAACCCCATCTCTACTAAAAAGACAAAAATTAGCCGGGTGCAGTGGCAGGCACCTGTAATCCCAAGTACTCAGGAGGCTGAGGTGGGAGAATCACTTAAACTTGAGGGGTGGAGGTTGCAGTGAGCCAAGATCACGCCACTGCACTCTAGCCTGGGTGGCAAAGTGAGACTCCGTCTCAAAAAAAAAAAAAAAAAAAAAAGAATATTTTGGTGTATTTCAGAATGCTTTCTTTTTCCCTCCCCCTGCTGGAAGTAGAAGGGGATTTTTCTCCAAAATGTACAGGGAGGACTTGGTAGGCTCCTAGAGGTAAAACTCACACAAGCTTGGGACTGAGTCCCCTGGAATTTTTAATTCTCAGACTTGTTCACACTGAGCCTCCAGTAATTCATCAATTACAGTTTAGGTTTTCCTGCCTAGACACTGGTTTCTGCAGAGGTTTCTGCTCATGGATTTCTGCTTTGGTAAGTTGTGATTCTCTGCATCTGCCTACCTGTCTCCCCAGTTTTGGGGACAGCAGTTTTCCTTCTCACCTCCCTTCTCTGAGGAATCTAAGAATTGTCGATTTCCCAGTCTGTTCAGCTCTTTACTTGTGGTTAGGACAGAAGGGCAGAGATTCTGAGCTCCTTACATGGTAGACCAGAAGTTGACTAGGTTTAAAAATCAACTTTTTAAAGTATAATTTATATATAATAAAATGTATCCATTTTACACGAACAGTTCCGTGAGTGTCGATAAATCATATGCTTGTATCGCCTCAGTTATTTTTTAAGCTTCCTAGGCAATCCCATTCGTAGCTGAGGTTGAGAATCATTGTTGTCATTCTCAGTCGCCAGCCGAAGCCTTGGGTCTATCGACCCTGAGGTCATTCACATATTTCTGGGTCTTGGTTTCTTCACATCTCTTGCTCCTAGTGGAACATCTGTAAACACCACCCCACCATGGGGGTCCCAGTTTGCTGGTTCCTAATGTCATAGAATCAGACTCCAAGTAGAGATAGAAAATGTATTTGTGTGGTCAAGTGATTAATCTACCATTCACATATCTACTGAGCCTGATCCATTTCCCATAGCTGGTTTCTCCCTCCTTTTCTCTCAACTTTGCTGCCCTTGGACTGTAAGTACATCTTTCTTCTCAGTGCCCACGCTTGCTGGGGATGTAGCAGCCTCCTCTCACATCAGGCCAGGCTTGTCCTGTCCCTGGCACATCCGTGCTTGTTTCCTCTGTCTTCATCCTCCCTCATCATCTAAGTCCTCTGCATCATACACCCCAGTTCAAATCCCACCTCCAACACCACGTCTTCCTCCTCTATGCCAGAATTCACTTCTCATGAGGGTGCTTCTGGGTGCTGGGGAGAACATGCCAAAGGGATGTGTTATGTGTGACGTGTATATTTTGTCTATGCGAGAACACCATAGCTCTTGGAATACCAGTTGGACAGCGTTCACACTTCCTTGTATCTCCTGAAGCCCACATACACCACAGGATGGACCTGAGTTCAGAACACACCGGAATTCACACCATACATACCACTGGAAAGGTCTGGGACCATTACTGGGAGGAATTTAGCATCCTCCAAACCAAAACGAGTGGTTTTTTTTTTTTTTTAATTTTTCTCCTCTTTCCTGTAGACTTCATTGTCTCCTTCCTTCTCTGTTTCTTTTCCCATTTCCTGACTTGTCCTGCCTAATCCTTGGGCCAGCCTGGGGCCAGGCGGCATCCAGGTCATTGCTTAGCTGTGTTCTCTCATCTCTTCATGACCCTTTATTTCTCAGCTCAGCTCATCTGGAGAGAAAGTGTACACCTGAGGCTCTCTACCTTGACTGCCCTTCAGAGTCACCTGGAGAATGATGCTGGGCTACTCCTCCTCTCAAATCTAACTGATTGACTTGGGGTGAGGTCTTACACGAATAATTCTTAAAGCTAGAGTCCTTAAAGCTCCTCAGGTACTCCAGTGTGCAGCCAGGCCGAGAACCACTGTGAAAGCTCAAGGATTTCAAAGCCTCAGCCTTCTCAGCAAAGGGTGATGGCCCCAGAGATAACCGTGGCACGTGCCAACAGGATGGCATTGCTTGCATTAGGGGTGGGGTAAGGACAGGTACTTCGTATCTCTTACATCTCAGCCTCAGAATGACCGTCACTGACAAGTGAAAGCCAGCACCTCGGGGAAGGCAGGGCGGAAAGAGATGTGTAACTGGAGGATGCTAAGAGCAGGGAGGCAGTCTGCCTGTGAAACAGGGATCGTGTGCTCCTGATGGGGTCAAGGAACGATTAGAGAAGGTGTCACCTGAAAAGTCGCTGGTACGGGATTAGTTCCTCATAAATGTCAGCTTTTATGCTGATATAGTGCTTTCATATTCAAATTATTTGGACAAGAAGGAGCAGCAAGTAAAGTTAGTTCCACTTTATGAACTGGGAAACAAATTAGAGAGATTTAGTAACTTTCCTGCCTTTTTCTCCCCTATCCCACCCCAAGGCCAGCTCACTGTGCAAGTCAACTCGCCCCTCCACCATTGCAGTGTCATGGCTAAGATGTGAGCACTTGAATCTGACTGCAAAGAAGATTCACCATGAAACTCTGAACAAGGTAAGTACCTCTGAACTTCAATTTTCTCACCTGTAAAATGGAAACAATAGAAAGTGTCCGTTGTGAGGATTAAATGAGATCACATGTGCCACGTGCACATAACTGGGCTACTATTTATTGTGGGGGACAGGGTCTCACTATGTTGCCCAGGCTGGAGTGCAGTGGCATGACCTCAGCTCTCTGCAACCTCTGCCTCCCGGGCTCAAACGATCCTCCTACCTCAGCCTCCTGAGTAGCTGGGACCACAGGCACACACCACTACACCCAGTGAATTTTTTGTATTTTTGGTAGAGAGGGGGTTTCACCATGTTGCTCAGGCTGGTGTCAAACTCCTGAGCTCAAATGATTCATCTGCCTTGGCCTCCCAAAGTTATGGGATTACAGGTATGAGCCACTGTGTCCAGCCAAGCTGGGCTGTTACTATAATAGCTTTGCCATGGTTCTTACCACCCTGCCTTGTAACAGCAAAGCTACTTGTCTTTCTCCTTACCTAACTCCACAGGCCACTTTTCTCTAGCTGTCTCACTTTTCTTTCTATATTTATCAATTGCTATTTAAAAGAAATATGCATCTAAAGGAATATATAGGATGGTTTAAAGAATAACACCTACAACCGTGCATCCTGGCTTATGTCCATAATCCCAGCACTTTGGGAGACTGAGGTGGTAGGAGTGCTTGAACCCAGGAGTTCAAGACCAGCCTGGGCAACACGGTAAGACCCTGTCTCTCCAAAGGGAAAAAAAAAATTAGCTGGATGAGGTGACATCCACCTGTAGTGCCAGCTACTCAGGAGGCTGAAGTGGAAGAATCACTTGAACCCAGGGGGTTAAGGCTGCAGTGAGCCATGATCATGCCACTGCACTCCAGCCTGGGTGACAGAGTGAGATCCTGTCTCCAGAAAAAAAGAGAGAAAAGAAGAATAACACCTGTGTACACTTTCTTTCCTTCTGAAATGGGGTCTCACTATGTTGCCCAGGCTGGAATGTGGTTGCAATTCACAGGCTCTATCATACATCACTTCAGCCTCAAACCCCTGGGCTCAAGTGAACCTCTCACCTTAGCCTCCTGAGTAGCCGGAACTATAGGTGTGTGCCACGGTGCCTGGCTGCATATGCTTAAGAAACAGACACGTTTTGAAGCCCTCTGTGCCTCTCTCCAATCACATCCCCATCTCTCTCACCGGAAATAACGACCTTCCTGAATGGTTTCCTTGGTTTTCTCTTTACCAAATACAGACGAATCCCCACAACTTTTTTCATCATTGTATCCTCCAAATATTGATCTTTATTGGAACTCAATAAATGTTGGATAAATGAAGGGATGACTGTCCTAACAGAACTTAAAACTGGGATTTTGACTTACTAGCTTTTTAACCTTGGACAAGCCTCTTTCAGCCTCAGTTTCCTCATCTGTAAAAGGAGAGCACAGATTCAATGCTCTCTGGGTTCCCTTCCAGCACAGGTCTATGATTAGCCAAGGAGATGTTTCCTGAAGCTTGGACTTGGCATACATGGACTGTGGCAAGCCACTGACGGACGATATCAGAGCTTCCCCACTGGTGTGCTGTGGCTGCTAGTAGGCTCCAAATGGTAACGTGTCCCAAAGTATCAGCCCTCAGTGCTTGGAGCAGCAGAATCTGAGGGCTGGCAACATCCAACCACAAACCTCTTTATACCCCTATGTGTGTTACAAGTATCTTTTCCTGTCATTTTCTCTGTGTACTAACAGGAAGGAGGTTGAGAAGCACTCAATTAGATTATTGGCTCGGGGTTGAGTGGGAGGCTGGATTTAGCCTATAAACCCAGAACGATTTGGGGACACCCTTTTCTTCCTGTTGCCCCTACCTGCCCCATTTCAGAGGCCCACTGACCTACCATCTAAGATGCCGTATCAATGTTTTCTGGTCTACAAAGCCACCTAGAAAGAGGAGATGGAGGACAGAAATATCTTGATGCAAGAGGGAGGAAGGAAGCACCCTCTGTGCAGAGGGACCCTCATCCAGGCTTCCCCACAGCTGAGGCTGAGGCAGGAATATGCCCCCAAGAGCAGACCTGGAGCGCTGTGTCCAGGGCTCCCTGCAGGGCGGCTGAGACTCCCCCCAGCCATCCAGCCCAGCTGCCTGGGCCCAGCCACAGCTGTTGGCAAAGAGTCTCCAGGTCTAAAATTAGCTCCGCTCTCCACCCAGGCAGCTCCACCATGCACTCTGGCAGACAGGGGCCCTGCGGTGAGGTAATGACTGGGGCCTGTCTGCCTGGCCTCAGGACAACACAGGGTTAGGAGAAGGCAGCACAGAGCAAAGTCCCACTTTCCCACCATGGCCAGCCTCAGCTGGGCACTGGAGAAACCACGAGAATCAAGAGTGACTGGATGTGGGCAGCTGGACTCCTGATTTGCTTCTGGTTTTCCTCCATGTCTGCACCCATGGTGCCTACCCCGTCATATCCTAAGGCACACCAAGGAAAGGAAAGCAACCCTTCACTGAGAGCTTGATGTGCTAGCTTTTCAACTTGCTGCCACGGCACTGTGAGGTCAGGGCCATTATTCCCATTACACAGAACGCCACGGGGATGCTCATCCCCTTAGTTGACCTAAGCCAGTGACCCTGGGAGGAAGCATCCAGAGTCCCACCCCTCTTCTTTGGAGGGGAAGTCTGCTTCCTCCAGGGGCACCTCTGGTGAAAGCTCCCTCCCTCCCTGAGGCATGGCCATGACTCACTAACTCCCACCTCGCCTTCCCTCAGCGTCTGATGGTCTTTGTGGTGGGAGCTGCCAAAATAAGCAGCCAATTCCATGGCCAATCCCTGGGCAGAAATCCCTCCCACCCCTGGGCTAAGCACACAGCAGTGTTTCTGTGTTGGCTGCCGAGCAGGCAGGGAGAGATAGAGGCAAGGCTGAGAGGGACTGGTCCAGTCCTTGGCCTGCAAGGGCAGAGGAGGAGGCTGTGACAAAGATGACCACGGTCACCAGGGCCTGGGGAAGTGCCCCCAAGTCCCTGCGCCTCTCCCGCCAAAGGCTCCCCAGAGATGTCTAAGGACCATCGTCCATGACCCATGCAATTGCACCCCTCCTCACAGCCCCCGCCTATGGAGCCCACCCTTTTATTCTCAGGTGACAGGAGGAGGGGTGAGGACAGCCGCGGTCCCGGAGATAAGGCTGGGCCTGGGTCCCACTCCCCGTCCTGCTTGAACGAGAAGGCGAGGTCACCAATAGGAACCCAGGCATCTCCCCAGGGCTCCTTATCATAGTCTTTCTCCAGCCACGGCCAACTCAGAATCCCCAGTGCTAAGGCCAATGCATTTTCTTTGGGAATAATGTCAGTCAGGGGGACCTCAGGAACCAGGCCGTCAAGCCTTCCGTAATGTCAGGGTCAGAGGGACCTCAGGAACCACACCGTCAAGCCTTCCGTGTTTACGGAAAAGGAAACTGACGTCCGGGGGCAGAGCTGACCTGCTCAAAGTCACAGAGCCAGTTCCCACAGAACCAAGACTGGACCCCACACAGCCTGAATCCCACAAGAGTATTCTTACCCTAACCATATGCTTAAGAGAAAAAGGACTTATGTTTTTTCCTTTTTAATTGGTCAGTTCTGAATAGAACTCCCCATCCTGGCCGGGCGCGGTGGCTCACGCCTGTAATCTCAGCACTTTGGGAGGCCGAGGCGGGCGGATCACGAGGTCAGGAGATCGAGACCATCCTGGCTAACGCAGTGAAACCTTGTCTCTACTAAAAATACAAAAAAATTATCCAGGGGGTGGTGGCGAGCGCCTGTAGTCCCAGCTACTCCGGAGGCTGAGGCAGGAGAATGGCGTGAACCCGGGAGGTGGAGCTTGCAGTGAGCCGAGATGGCGCCACTGCACTCCAGCCTGGGCGACAGAGCGAGACTCCATCTCAAAAAAAAAAAAAAAAGAACTCCCCATCCTGGTTGGTTTTTTTTTAATTGGTCAGTTCTGAATAGAACTCCCCATCCTGGTAACAAACTCCAGGATCCACTGCACTTACATGAGCAAAAACGAGAGAGAAATCACCCGACCACTAAAGGCCTCAGTTGGACACGGTGTTCCCCTCCAGCCTAAATACTCTATGATTCTACAACGTGGCTTCTGCCGTCCTCCTGCTGCGGCACGTCTCAGTTAACACAATTCACCAGTAACTCTCCCTGTTCCTTGGCCAAACGTGCTGGTTTCTTCCCAGGTATCATTCTTCCAGACTTTTTATCTGCACCTGACACAGTTGCTCAACTTCCCCCTTATCGAGAGTCCTTAGAAGTAAGATCCTGTCCCCCATATTTCCCTGACTTCACTTTGTTTCTCTTCTTGGCTGTTAGGTGACCAAAGGTCCCCTAAGTATATCCCCTTTTACTGCTGATGACCAGATTCAAAGTCCTACTGCCCCTACCCAGTTTGGCAGTCCAAGAACAACAGTTCAGGGAAGGGATCTGGGCAGAGTGGGGCAGTGACACCATCAAAGCCACAGCCATCACTGAACACGGTGGCACGTGCTTGTAACCCAGCTACTCTGGCGGCTGAGGTCGGATGATGGCTTGAGCCCAGGAGTTTGACACCAACCTGGGCAACATGGTGAGACCCTGCTTCATTTAAATAATAATAAAAAAAAAGCCACAGCCATGAAACAAAATACCTTCACCAAGAGTCAGGTCACTGCAGAGAGACTCTAGGCTGTCTCCTGTGGCCTGCTGAGCTTCTGAACTCTGCTACATCCCCTACCTGGAGCTGAGTCAGAAGCCTTGATTCCTTCAGGACTTAATAGGTTTGTCTGTGCCAGCTTCCTCTTGCCTTAGTTTCCCCTCTCTATAAAGGAGGCTGTAACCTCTGTCTTCCCAGCGAACTCCAGGATTCATCACGCTAGGTGGGTGTCATTTTCCACTTCCATTGTCCATAAGGACACCTTCCCAGATGGGTGGAAAAGGACCAAACTTCCTTCAGGGAGAAGAGCAGTAGCAACCTCTGATCCTGAAGGTAACCACAGCTGTGACTTCCCAGGAGAAAGGTTCTATGTAAAAACAGGGTACTGTTGTTTGCCTGCCCTTCCACCCCTTCCTTCCCAAGATTGGTTCGTGAAAACCCTGCCGGCTGGAGAAAGTGTTCACCACCCTGGAACTTTCCCAACCTTCTTAGAGATACAAAGGATCAGAAAAAGATAGAAAAACCCTTTCTTAAGGATTTTTTTTCCTGTTGAAAAAGCTGCTAGAAGAATCATCACTGAAAATATCACAACCAATTTCTATATCCCAGAAACTGAACTTCCCTATTCTTTTTTGTATTAACAAGTACCTTGGGTAGTTTTTGCCCATTTCTTTTTCTCAAAATGGTAAATGTTGACTTCCAATTTGATAGCTCTTGCTTCAATCAATAAATACTTCCCTAAAACAGACAGGTGGTATTTCCTAAGCAACCTAATTAAAGCTTTACTACTGGAGAATTTTCTTTATGCAAATATTTTTTCAATTTTCATGCATCAAAGCAAAATTGAATTCTCATTCAACAAGCTAAATCAGGCTTGAATATTTTTTTTTTTTTTACCTCCTCTAATTTTTTTTTTTTTTTTTTTTTTAAAGACAGAGTGTCACTCTGCCACCCAGGCTGGAGTGCAGTAGTGCGAACACAGCTCACTGCAGCCTTGATCTCCTGGGCTCATGCGATCCTCCCACCTCAGCCTCCCAAGTAGCTGGGACTACAGGGTTGGGCCACCATGCCTGGCTAACTTTTAAATTTTTTGTAGAGATGGGGTCTTGCCATGTTGCCCAGGCTGCTCTAAAACTCCTAGGTGCAAGCAATATGCCCACAGCAGCCTCTGAAAGTGCCAGGATTGCAGGCATTCTGAACCATTGTGCCCCCTCTATAATCTTCCAAACATGTTCTGAACCTATTTGTTGCTACCTCTCTGCCACTTTTCTTTAATCTGTTACCCATTTCACTTTTTACCCTCACACTGCCAGTAATGGACTTCCATTTGCTAAACAGAACTAGGATTATGAAAATATCTGCCCTCATCAACTTGTATATTTCTACACAGAGAGAAGAATAACGGATAAGACAGCAATGTTTTAAATACATCATGAATCTGTCTACCAAAGGGCTTCATCATTCATGTGTTCCAGGATTCTTCTGATCTAAAATCAACTTCATCTATTCATTATTTCCCATCCCTTCTCGATTCAAGAAAGTGAGAGAGGAAATCATGACTCCATTTGCCTTTTATTTAAGAAGCTGTACACTGGAATGGGTTCCGTTTCTCAGGACGGGAGTGTGCAACAAAGGAACCTGTTGGATGAAGAATGTCGAGCCTTGGCCTTTCTCGTGCAATGTGAAAATTCAATTCAACATCAACAATAACTTCTTTGCAGGTTACTCTCCAATATCAATGTCAATGCAGGGTGTCAGTGCATGGATCACCCCTAAAGGCAGCTGAGTTGGGAACATGCATGATCCACCCCCAACTGAGTGGCAATAACTTCAGCTAGTTCACTGGTAAGAAAAAAATAGATCAATAGACTTGAGGTTGGTCTATATGCAGGCACAATATACTACCAGATTGTTAGGGCAGTTAGAAAAAGAAAGGATCTTCCCTGACCTCGTGAAACTCAGATGTTAAAAGGAGGCATCCTCAGCAAACAAAAAGGGAATGAGCGAAGGCAGAGGGTGAGTGGCATGGTGTGTTGTAAACAATAGTCTAGGCACCAGGAGTCCTATAAACTGCTATATGGGCAGGTTGATTAAAGCTCTCCAGGCTTTCAATTCTTCACTGGTAAAATCAGGAGGCTGGGTAAATAGATAACCTTTTTAAGGGGCAGCTCAAGTCAATTTGTAGTGACTGCCTGGTGAGAAATGTTGAGAAAATTCTGAGGCTGCAGCTGAGCTCGGTAAAAGAATTTCATGTTCTATTGGAGATGTCTGCCATGGGCCTAGAAGAAGAAATGCAGATATAATCCATTTCAGAATTTAAAATCTCTGGACTTCTGCTTTGCTTTTGGTTTTCTTCCATGTCTGCACCCCTGGGGTCCACCCTGTCCTAGGATTCTTTGATATGTGAAAGTCAGCATGCTAAAACCAATCAAAACAGGGACAGAGGGTATTGAAAAGCTGATTAAGTTATAATAAACAATGGCGCCTAACATCTACTGCATGTATCTTCAAATCAACATTCAATTCTGGGCACATACTAGGCGCTCAGATAAGCATTTATTTATTTATGAGGCAGGGCCTTGCTCTGTCACCCAGGCTGGGGTGCAGTGGCGTGATCACAGCTCACTACAGCCTCCAACTCCTATGCTCAAGCGATCCACCTGCCTCAGCCTCCCAAGTATTAATAACTAGCATTACAGGTGCACACCACCATGCCCAGCTAATTTTTCTTTATTTTATTTTATTGTTTGGTAGAGATGGGGGTCTTGCTATGTTGCCCAGGCTGGTCTTAAACTTCCGGCCTCAAGGGATTCTCTTACCTCAGCCTCTAACCTCTAAAAGCACTGCGATTACAGATGTGAGCCACTGTGTCCAGCCATCAGCTAACATTTATCAAACACTATGTATTAGAAACTGTTCTAAGTACTTTATCTGTATTATTTCACTTAATTGTCACAACAAAAACACAATGAGACAGGTACCATTAATAGTCCCATTTTACAGAGAAGAAACTGGGACATATTGAGGCTCAATAATATGCTCACTGAGGCGCAGCTGACTAAGGACAAGAGCCGGGGATCAAAGTCACGTAGTCTGACTTCAAAGCTTCTCACCACTATGCCATGGTAAAGGAAGGAAGAAATGGAGGACCAAAGACAGCAGCAGATGGCCTGGAGGGCACAACAGCAATGCCAGAAGTTAAGGCAGCAAGGATGGCCATGTCCATACGGAGGAAACACGGGCACAGCGAAGCCTGCGCCGACCCGATTCTAAGGGAACTGCCTGCCTCTTCCAAGCATTCCATCAATGCTGTGGGGAGAGTGAAGCAAACTGTCCTAACCAGATACTCTGGAGCCATCTTTGGCTTCTCTAGCAACCTAGCTGGGACACGCAAGACCAACCCAGATGAAGTAGGAATGAAAGAAAGTCAGTGATCAATTGTAAGTTTCAGAAAACTTAGGTGCAACACAAGTTCCAGAAAGAACGAAGTCAGCTGGTTCTAAAATAATTGAGGAAGGCTTCAGGGAAGAGATGAGAGAGAAGGATAAGCAGAGTTTTGAAAGACAAGCAGAGGGATGTCATGAGACTGGAAAACAGCAGGCACAGGGCGAAGAGGAGGCGCGGCAGAGCCCAAGGGAAGACCAAGCCCAGGGAGGAGACCCCACCTCCGGTTCTGCCGGGACAGGAAGTGAGGGTGAAGCTACTGCTCTCTGGATGGCTGCTTCCAGATGGATGATTTAAACACTCTTCTGCATCTCCCAGCAGCAGGGTTCTTCCTGGCTCTCTTTCTCCCACCTAACATCTGTCCCCTGCAACTAGAGCAAGGAGATTTAATAAGGAGAATATTCCCAAGTCATCAGACTCCAAGAACATACCAGGCACTGGGTAAAGCTTCAGGCAGAGTTCTTAACTAGGGATCCATGTATAGGGGTCAGGGGACTGTGTACCTCCTCCCAAAATAGTATGCAAAATATACAGGAGACGAGCAAACTTCTGGGGAAAGTGTAACCGTTTCTTCACCAGATTCCTTTTTTCTTTTCTCTCTTCTCTTCTTTTCTTTCTTTTTAGATAGGATCTCACTCTGTCACCCAGGCTGGAGTACAGCGGTGAGATCATAGCTCATTGCAGCCTCAAACTCCTGGGCTCAAGTGATCCTCCCACCTTAGCCTCCTGAGTAGTTGGGACCACAGGCATGCACCACCACACTTGGCTTTTTTTTTTTTTTTTTTTTGAGACAAGGTCTCCCTCTGTCACCCAGGCTGGAGTGCAGTGGTCAATCTTGGCTCACTGCAACCTCTGCCTCCCAGGCTCAAGTGATCTTGAGCCTCCCGAGTAGCTGGGACTATAGTAGTGCCACCACTTCCAGCTAATTCTTATATTTTTTGTAGACAGGGTTTCACGATGTTGCCCAAGCTGATCTTGAACTCCTGGACTCAAGTGATCCACCCATCTCAGCCTCCCAAAATGCTGAGATTACAGGTGTGTGCCACCATGCTTGGCCTGGGCTAATTTTTAAATTTTATGTAGAGACAGGGTCTCGCTATGTTGCCCATGCTGGTCTCAAACTCCTGGGCTCAAGCCATCCTCCTACCTTAGTCTCCCAAAGTGCTGGATTGCAGGCATGAGCCACCGTGCCTGGCCTCTTCATCAGATTCTTACGGATGTATGTGATCCACAAAAGGTTAAAAATCTCTCCACAAAGAGGGGGAAATGCCCAGGTCCAGTATCTAGAAATTTACAATCTCATGGGGGAAGACAAACAGACAAAAATAACTCTGATCCAATGCTAAGGTTGATAAGTGTACTAATGGACGTGCGGAAAAAGTGTTGTGAGGGAGGGGACGGGGTTAGTTCCAGTCTGGCTTTCAATAGGACATCCCCCATCCCCCCATACTGGTTTTGGGATCTGGGTTTGTGATGAAGAAGAAAGCCACGATCATTTTCTGCCCAGCCCAGACAGTCTTTAGCCAGTACCTCTTTCTCAAGCACTCCTGGTAGAAAACTCCAAGTCTGAGGCTGACTCTATTCCTGCCAGTGAGGTGAAGGAGGACGTTGTTTTCAGGACAATGGATTAGGAAGGAGACGCTTATCCTGAAAACCAGCAATGACTCTGTTCTACATTTTTTTCCTCTTCTACCCAGCTCCCATTCTCCAAATTCCTGAGGTCTTTGTAATCCTGACACCCTTTTGGTGTCATGTCCTCCAGCCCTGAGTTATCTGTCTTAGGACTGTCACTTCTGGGAGAGCCCCCTCATCCTCCAAGCTAGTCCCTTTGTGCGATTATTGCTTCTTTTTCTTCCCAAATAGCATCACCATCTCAAATCCCGATCTGTTTGTTTACGCGATTATCCTCTGTCTCTTCCTCACCAGAAATGTATGCTCTGTGATGGCAAACTCTTCCAACTTCTTGTTCCCCATGATCTCCCTAACACCCAGAGCATAGCCTGGCATATAACAAGTGCTCAGTAAACACCTGCTGAATGAATGTCTGCCTCCCCACCCTTTGCATTCTTCTGTAGGACCACCATGGTACTCAAGCTCCAGAGAGGAAAGTACAAGGACAAATGAAGGCATTTTTTTCTCAGGAGACCATTTCTGAGATGCTGGATGCACAAGACAACCCTTAATTAAATGATTGTGGCAGAGTACAGCCAGAGACCCACGTATGAAACCCACAACTTTGGTATTCCATCACCTTCTCCATCAACCCTACTGCCAAACTCTGTCACTTCCTGCCTTGACATGTCTCAGCTTTCATCTGCCACTCCTTCCGGCTAGGCGCTCACCACCCACCCTCTCGGTCACTGCAGTAACCACCTCACTACATCCTAGCCATCCTGCAAACTTCCAACAGCCTAATCAACCTACAGTCACAAGTTCCTGGGATGTAGAAGGGGTTGGTAAGTATTTAAAGGCAGTGGGGTGGCTCACGCCTGTAATCTCAGCACTTTGGGAGGCTGAGGAAAGAGGATTGCTTGAGCCCAGGTGTTCAAGACCAGTCTGGACAACATACTGAGGCCCATCTTTACAAAAAGTTTAAAAATTAGCTAGGCATGGTGGTGTATGCCTGTGGTCTTAGCTACTAGGGAGGCCAAGGCAGGAGGATTGCTTAAGCTGAAGAAGTCGAGGCTGCAGTGAACCACTAGACTCCAGCCTGGGTGAAAAAGCAAGATTCTGTATCCAAAAAAAAAAAAAAAAAAAAGTGTTTGAACAATTAAAGTACAAATCAGTGGATGAAAAAAAGAAAACACTCCCTCCATATCAAACTCCTGCTTTAAACAATTTATGTTGGCTAGACACAGTCACAGTGGCTTGTGCCTGTAATCCCAGCAGTTTTGGAGATAGACGCAAAAATATTGCTTGAGTCCAAGAGTTTGAACCAGCCTAGGCAACATAGTGAGACTCTGTCTCTACAAAGAAAATTTTAAAATTAGCAGGCATAGGTCGGGCGCGGTGGCTCACGCCTGTAATCCCAGCACTTTGCGAGGCCAAGGCCAGCGGATCATGAGGTCAGGAGATCGAGACCATCCTGGCTAACACTGTGAGACCCCGCCTCTACTAAAAATACAAAAAATTAGCCAGGCGTGGTGGCGGGCACCTGTAGTTCCAGCTACTCGGGAGGCTGAGGCAGGAGAATGGCGTGAACCCGGGAGGCGGAGCTTGCAGTGAGCCAAGATGCACCAGCCTGGGCGAAAGAGCGAGACTCCGTCTCAAAAAATAAATAAAATAAAATAAGCAGGCATGGTGGCATGCACCTGCAGTCTTGCCTACTTGGGAGGCTGAGGTGGGGTGATTGTTTGAGTCCAAGAGTTTGAGACTGCAGCGAGCCATGATCATGCCACCAAACTCCAGGCTGGGCAACAGACTGAGACACTGTCTCTAAAAATAAAAAACATCAGTTAATCAATAAAATAAATGTATGTTGCTCCCTACCAAGTCCAAACTCAGCAACCTGGCCCTCAGGAGAGTCCACAATGAGGTTGCAACTACCATTTCATCTTCATCTCCTTCAAGCCTCTGCACTACAGAACTTGTGTTCCCTACAAAAGTTTGTATTCCCCAGACTTTCCACTTAGCTTATGCTATATTCCTCAAATGGAAATATTCACCTTTGCTTAGACACACACACCCGAATAACAACAGCCTGCTGTCGCTGGAGGAGGTATTAGAAATTCAAGCCAGAGGACTTCCTTTTGGAAAATACCCACAGCAAAATATTAAAAATGCTAGATGAAGTATGACAAACTGCTGTTTTATTTACATAGTAAAGCCCTCCACAAGGTAAGAGAATCTCCAGCAGCCAAATTTGAAGATGTAAAAATCAGAGCAGTAAGCAGATGCTAACATATTGGCAGCCTCTTGCAACCAACAATTTTAGATAATTAAATAAATTTGTTTTAAATTTTTTAAATGCAGAAGAATGATGTAGTTTATTTATATTTATTTATTTATTTATTTTTTATTATTATTTTGAGACAGAGTCTTGCTCTGTTGCCCAGGCAGTAGTGCAATGGCATAATCTTGGCTCACTGCAACCTCTGCCTCCCAGGTTCAAGCAATTCTCCTGCCTCAGCCTCCCAAGTAGCTGAGATTACAGGCATGTAATCTCATGCCCAGCTAATTTTTGTATTTTTAGTAGAGACGGGGTTTCACCATGTTGGCCAGGCTGGTCTTGAACTCATGACCTCAGGTGATCCACCCACCTCGGCCTCCCAAAGTGCCAGGATTTCAGGCATGAGCCACCGTGCCCAGCCTATTTATTTATTTATTTATTTATTTATTTATTTATTTATTGAGACAGAGTCTCACTCTGTCACCCACGTTGGAGTGCAGTGGCACAAAATCAGCTCCCTGAAACCTCCGCCTCCTGGGTTCAAGCGATTCTCCAGCCTCAGCCTCCCGAGTAGCTTGGATTACAGGCATGTGCCACCACGTCCAGCTAATTTTTGTATTTTTAGTAGACAGGGTTTTGCCATGTTGGCCTGGCTGATCTCAAACTCCTGACCTCGAACTCTGCCTGCCTCAGCCTCCCAAAGTGCTGTGATTACAGGTGTGAGCCACCGCGCCCAGCCACAATGTAGTGTTTAAAAACCCAACAAATTTGAAATAGAACAAAATAAAACTTACAGATATGAAAAATACAGTCACTACACTGGGCACGGTGGCTCACGCCTGTAATCCCAGCACTTTGGGAGGCTGAGGCGGGCGCATCACCTGAGGTCAGGAGTTCGAGACCAGCCTGACCAACATGGCGAAACCTAAAAATACAAAAATTAGCTGGGCATGGTGACACATGCCTGTAATCCCAGCTACTCGGGAGATTGAGGCAGGAGAATGTCTTGAACCTGGGGGACGTAGGTTAGAGTGAGCCGAGATCGTGCCACTGCACTTCAGCCTGGGTGACAGAGCGAGACTCCATCTCAAAACAAAACAAAACAAAACAGTCACTAAAATGAAAAAATGGGGTAGCGGTCTCTCCCTCCATTTCGTTCCCTCATTTCTCTACCCATTTTCTGTGCCTGTGCAACGTCCCCTGCCTTCTGCTATCGGAAGTCATTCACCTGGGACGTGCTGCCCATCTCCACTGCCCTTTCCCAGGCCCTCTACTCAGCTGAAATGGGAAGAAAGGAGACCCGGGACAGAGAGTACGTATTGCGCTGTGTGCCTGGTCCATGAGGGAATCCTCCACGTCCTCATCCTCCTGCCCACCTTTGCTAAGAGGTGCTGGTGAGCAGTCGGGACCAGCTGGCTGGTGAGGGAGGTGTGCGTGAGCACACACTGCACACATTCGTTTGAACCTGGGCTTGGCAGGCAGGGTGGAAAGCAGTGGATCAGAGGATTTGTAAGAAGATCTCAGCAGGGAGGCCTTTAATCTTTTAGGCAACTGCTTGTACGGAGACCATGTTGTCAGAGATGACCTTGGAGGCGAAAGCAGTCAGAACTATTGGGAGAGCTGCCACCTCTCGGTTCAGGCGACTGAGCCTTGAAAGACCAGGGCCAGATGTCAAAGATATTCCCTTCCGACTGTCCCTTTCACCCCTTAGTGACGTGCGCAACTTCCAAATCTACTCCTGCAAGGAAGCATCTCACTCCAAAGATTATGGAACTGAAGCCCTCAAAAGGACAGGAAATTAGTTACAGGTAAACTGATTTCCTGTAGACAGGAAACCAGGCAAATTAGTTACAAAGCTAGGATGTACACTGGCCATGCACGGTGTACATTAACTGGCCATGCGCGGTGGCTCATGCCTGTAATCTCAGCACTTTGGAAGGCTGAGGTGGGAGGATCCCTTGAGCCTAAGAGTTCAGGACCAGCCTGAGCAACATAGTGAGACCCCATCTCTAAAAACAAAATTTTTTAAAAATAAATAAATAATGAGATAACTGCCAGGTGTTCCTGCCTTTTAGTCCCAGAAATCCCAGTGTGTACACAGGGGTATGCAGCAGAGTGAGAGGCTATCGCTTCCCAGTTGCTGTGCTTCTGTGTCCTGGTACAGCCCCCCAGACAGCTCTCGTTCTCCGCAAAATCCTTGACTCCTAACCTGGCCCCCACCCCTAATATAAATCTTTGCCTGGGATGGAAAGATGCAGGCATTGCTGAACATCATGGAGGAAAAAAGTGATTGAAGAATGTGTATTTGGTGGCAAGTGCTGGATATGGATGGCACAGTAATGCTGGGGTACTGGACACAGCTGTGTCATGGGCTGAGAAGTTTAAGAAGCACTGGAAAAAGGGCCAGTTGAGGAATGTGTCTATTTGTCCCCTCCTGCCCAGCCATTCTCTAATTCCTATCAGACTGAGAGGGAGGAGATGGGAACCAATATTCATTGAGATCCTAATATGTGCTCGGCTCACTAAACCTCATTTAGTCATAAGGAAAGTTCTACGGGAACAGCATTATAGCTCCACTACCCAGACAAGGCTCCCGAGACTTACAAAGGAATAAGTACCTTCCTACAAGGTCTCACGATTGGTGAGTCATGGCGCTTGAACTGGAACCTTGCCCTGCCTTCAGACTCCACAGTTTTTCCAGGAATTATCAATGCTTTTCAGTCCACTCAGAGTCTGCCACAAAAAGTAAATGCTCCATAAACATTCTGCTTTAAGTTTAGAATGAATCACTTCTGCAGCCACTCAAGGTTTACAAAATAAATAAAAACTGCAGAATACACAACGTTCAATTTCCTGAGCATTTATACATAAAGTCTTTGGTCGGCCTGGAATGTGGTTTCTCTATTTCCACTCCCACCTCTCTCTATTCTCGTCCATTTGTGGGCCCTCTTCCTGGGTCGTGTGGCCACAAAGCAGAATGTGAGCTGTGCAGAGTGAGACACACACATAGCCTCTGCTAGGCACCACGAGAACACAATTTCAAAGAAGAAATGGGTGGAAGAGACACATGAAGTCTATTCCCTGGGCAGGGATTCTCAGCTGCTAATACAGGGGCTAGGTCTCTAAATTAGTTTGTGACTTTATGCATCCAAAAGCCACAGGCTGGCAGCAGCCATAGATCTTCATGTTGAGGTGTCCTTGCTGGTGTGAGGAGCTGGTGTGAGACCTTTGCAGGGATGGGTGCCCACATGACACACCAGGTTTCTGGCCTTCCTGGCCAGTCTCTCGGCTGTTCTCTCGGTAGTGTCAAGGATGCCTCCAATTTTATTGAATTTGCCTTGTATGGTGTCACTGTTTTCAACAAAAGTGGCTCAGTCCCCAATATCTGTCAGTAAATTCTAAGCTTTTGGTAGTCTTCTTATATGGAAAGACGTAATAATTTATTTGTGGATGTGATTCAACTTTTCAGTACCTAAATAAAGACCCCCAAAAAGGTCAGGGCAATACTTTTTTGGCTTTTTAAGTTTTTAAATCCAGACTTTTTGTCTAAGGCATCCTGGAATCCAACATCTGCTTATCACTGCTTATTACACTTCATTTTTTCAACAATGTCTAGGTCAGAGTGGTGACATTTTAGGTGATTGTTCATTTCTTCTTCATATTTGTATGTATACCATAGCACTTTTGTTGATTTATTTTATGCCTTGATTTGGTCCAGGAAAAACTAAAGTAGTTTACAATGACCATATAAGATAAGATGACATAAACTGGAAGTAGTTAGTTGTGGGAGTGGGGAGATAAAATAAAGGTACAGTCATAAAATTAGTAGAAAAATACAGATCATAAAATCCTTTACACTTTTCTCCAGGTGAAGAAAAAACTGAACCCTAAAGCTTCCTAGTAACCAACACGACGAGAGAAATCTGAGTGATTATGCAACTTACGTGACCAATAGAAATTAAAACAAACCGCTCAAGAGAAGCACAGCTGTTTCTAAGACCAAGACCAGAAGAAACATGTTTAGAGCGTTCTCATACAGGAATGAGCAACAGTTCTCAACTCCACCCTGGCAGGGTGCTACTGGAGAATTCCAGAGGCTACTATGTATCCTGCAGTCTTGAGGCCCCTGGTCTTCCTTGGCCTTAGGTTATTTTGTTAGTGATGCTGTGGTGCCTAAAGGCAAAAAAGTGCTTTCGCAGGGTTAATGTGGTCCAGATACACAGCTGTTGTCTAGTATAATAAGCATGGATTATTTTTATCCCTATTTTATTTTGTTTATTTATTTATTTAAGACACAGTCTTGCTGTCACCCAGGCTGGAGTGCAGTGGCGCCATCTTGGCTCACTGCAGCCTCTGCTTCCCAGGTTCAAGCGACTCTTGTGCCTCAGCCTCCCGAGTAGCTGGGACTACAGGCACACACCACCACACCCAGCTACTTTTTGTAGTTGTAGTAGAGATGGGCTTTCATCATGTTGGCCGGGCTGGTCTCGAACTCCTGACCTCAAGTGATCTGCCCACCTTGGCCTCCCAAAGTGCTGGGATTACAGGTGTGAGCCACCACACCTGGCTGCATTATTTTTATCATCATAAAGAATATCATTTTAAAATGAGGCCGAGCACAGTGGCTCACTCCTGTCACTGAGCCCAGGAGTTCAAGGCTGCATAAGCTAAGATCACACCACTGCACTCTGGCTTGAGAGACAGAGTAAGACTCAGTCTCAAAAAATACTTTCATTAATTTAATTTAAAAAATTGCTAATAAAAAAAGAACCACAATCTGTATTATTCCATTTATATAAAATATTAAAATATGCTAAACTAATCTATGCTGATGGTAGTGATTCATAGCACCGCCCCCACCGGGGTACTGGGGTACTGGTAATACTCTGTGTCTTCATCGTGGTGCTCCCAACACAGGTATTTTCAGTTTGTGAAAACTGCTCATCAAGCTTTCCGTACATATACTTGAAAAAAAAGAGGAACCACAGGGACGATTTGCATGTTTATTTTCTTAAAAGTTGGTCAGTATCAGGCCTTTTGTAGTTATGAAATAAAGAACATATTGAACATAAAAATAAATTATATACTAAAATATTACAAGAATACAAAGAATATTCATTTTTGCTCATCCAATGGATACTTCTAAATTCAAAGTAGCACTTGTTAACTTGAGTCTGCAAAAATTTAAAGATCTGTCACACTTTGCTCAGAATATACAACACATGCAGCCCAGTGCCCTTTAGAGCCACTATCCGACTATTCTCACCTCTTCCACTCGCATTTTTGTATAGTGGTTAACATATAAATCTATTAATTATGTGAATCACAAGGTCAAAGAATTGTCTGAAAACTCCAAATGTCTGGTTGGCCTAGTTGAGACCACATAATCTTTACATATAACGAAAAGTGCTTGTGGAAAATAAAAGCGTAGTTTTTGAGACTGGTGGAACGCTGCAGAGGAGAACTAGACAGCGAGCGGCCAACTCCAAGAACAGCCTCTAGGACCCCTTCCAAAGCAAACTCTGCTATGTCGGCTGCTCTGCTCTGCTCCACAAAGCTCAGCACTAGAGGGCAAGCCCAGGCTCCATGGCCTGGAAAATTACTGCAGCGTACTTACCAGCCTCTCCAGAAGCCAGCACGGAAGCACTTTCAGAAGACCTTGTGCTACAAAGCAGTTATAACCATGCACAGCGTCTGAACAACTCCCAGGACAGGGAGTGGCAGGCAGCCCCAGCACCATCAAGCAGGGGAATGGGACCTCAACTCCCAGGACAGGGAGTGGCAGGCAACCCCAGCACCATCAAGCAGGGGAATGGGACCTCAACTCCCAGGACAGGGAGTGGCAGGAAACCCCATCACCATCAAGCAGGGGAATGGGACCTCAACTCCCAGAACAGGGAGTGTGGCAGGCAGCCCCAGGACCATCAAGCAGGGGAATGGGACCTCAACCCCCAGGACAGGGAGTGGCAGGCAGCCCCAGCACCATCAAGCAGGGGAATGGGACCTCAACTCCCAGGACAGGGAGTGGCAGGCAACCCCAGCACCATCAAGCAGGGGAATGGGACCTCAACTCCCAGGACAGGGAGTGGCAGGCAGCCCCAGCACCATCAAGCAGGGGAATGGGACCTCAACTTGAGGGTCCCTGGGTAGTAGGCAGGGTAAAGATGGCAGATGTGTTGCTGAGGTTCGCCGGCCACATCAGCACAGGGACTGAGAGACCAGGGAAAGGAGAGACTCTAAATATGGGTAAGGTCACCTATTGTCAAAAACTGCATTCCTCGTATAGGCAATGCCCAAAGAAAATACGCTTATGATTAAAAAAAAAAAAACCATTGATGTCTTATCGCTTATCTTCTGTATTTGTATTCAAAGGCTATTGTTGTGTATATGTATTATGGTACAGGGAACAAGAATTCCTAGGTTCTATTCTTGGATCAGTCCCTGATAAACACAGTATCTGCCAGTGGAAAATATCAGGTGCTTGGAAATTCAGAGCTGACACATTCATAACGAGAAGGTACTTATCTGAGCGCCTAGTATGTGCCCAGAATTGAAAGTTGATTAGAAGACACACATAGTAGCCTGGTGACTGGAATATCAGCATAAAGAGCGATAAACCGGACACGTGAAAAGGAGCTACACGAGAGGTAAACCACGTGAAAAGGAGGTTCCCTGGGACAGAGAGGCACACACCCACCAGAGCTGCATGAGACACAGTCCCTGCCCACAGGAGCACACGAGGCGGTTGTGCTTGCTGCTTCACTGGGTTTCAACTCCATGCCACACTATCCCTCCTCTGCCCACACATCTGTCTCATTTGCTTCTCCCTCTCTCCCTGCCTGCATCTCAGATTACTGCTGTGCCCTGCATTACCTCTCTCACTGGAGGGTTTGTATCCTTTCCAAATCAGAACGGCTGTGGTGGCCAGAGCTGCAGTCACTGCCTCACACCGCGGGTGTGCCTCCCTCAGCCCACTCGAGTCAGCCAGAAGTCACAAAGGCCAACCAGAGAGATGTGGTACAGATAGAGGTAAGGCAGCGAAAGCCAACGGCTTCCTGAGCTTCAGAATACTTTGGGATCCAGCAAGTAATCCTGGCACTTAAATGGGAGATCTAAAAGGAGCCAGCACATGCCATCCTTCTGTCTTGGATTTGCGCCCAAATGTCATCCCTTGGCTCTGAGATATTTCATCTCTAGAAACCATTTTTTTTTTTTAAGTAGAGTCTCGCTCTGTCACTCAGGCTGGAGTACAGTGGTGCAATCTCAGCTCACTGCAACCTCTGCCTCCTGAGTTAAGCAATTCTCCTGCCTCAGCCTCCCCAGTATCTGGGATTACAGGTGTGCGCCACCATGCCTGGGTATTTTTTTAATCTTTTTTAGTAGAGATGGGGTTTTGCCATGTTGGCCAGGCTGGTCTCGAACTCCTGACCTCAAATGATCTGCCCGCCTCGGCCTCCCAAAGTGCTGGGATTACAGGTGTGAGCCACCACCCCCGGCCTCTAGTCCAGAACTCTGCCTTCAGATAGAATCTTTGCTGATCCAATATGAACAAATGGGTATATAACTTGTGAAAACCTGCCTAATTGGAGAATCTTTAACTTCCAATAACAATTTGTTCCCAGGGCTGCTTTTCAGCCAGTACACACCAGGATAGCCGTACCACTTATTAAAACACTGAAATCCTTAAGCATGTGTTAGTACAGTGGCTGCCCCAGGCCCTCTGAGTGTCCCACTGCCACCCGGACCCCTCCCCAGGACAGCTTCACGACCCAGCAGCTAAAGAGTTAATGTTGGGCTCAACAAGGGGACTCGTCAGGACCCTGTTCCAGAACCACCATGCCACACCAAAAGTATTGTTACCCTTACCCGTCCCATTCTACAATGCTGCCGTATTCTAAAACTTTCAACTGCTTTCTGCTAGCTACTGAATAAATGCCACTCTTTAAGGTCTTTATTCAGCCTTCCACATACAGCATCATCCTCTATTCTTCTTATACCCTCTGTTTCACCAAACTCAGCTGCTCAGTATTCTCAAACATAAACTTTCCCCGACTCTTGGTCTTTGTTGACGTAACTCTTTCTGTCTCGAATAGCCTTTCTGTATCCACCAAAATCTTACCAACTCTTCAAAACGTCCCAAAATGTCACCATTTCCATGAAATATTAGTTGGGAGAGCTGTGCCCCCATTTCAAGAGGTGTCACAGAAACATATGCGTCCTATGTTTGCAAAACTTAATGACTGCTTTATATTACAACCATTTTGATATAGGCACCTTAGCTTTCCTCCTAAATGAAGCTGTAGATGCTAGAAACCACATCCTGGTCATCACACCTACACGGCCTGGCACAATGCCTGGCTCGAGGTATGCGCTAAGTAAATATTTGTGTAAATGAATGCGTGAACAGTCCTAATTCTTTTGTCAATTTTCTATTTGTTAAGGATTTTGGTTGTTTTTCTCTGAAGCCACTCCAGTTGTGGTTGTATCTCCTTCTGCATATGGAACCAAATTGCACATCATCCACATCTTAAACTACTGGGTTATTTCACGAAGATAAAGAAGGAAATATGCTCCCCTGTCATTACTGGTAACCCTGGAGTTTGTGACTGCCATCTCTCCATACTCTTCTTCCAGCACCAGATCCAACACAGGGACAGGCAAATGAAAGGTTCCTGGTAATGGGGGCTGGCCTTCCAGATGACAGGGAGCTGGTGGGTGGTGGAGTGAGTTGGCAGGGATTGCTAGAGAGGGGAGGCAGGGTGGCTTGCTGGAAAGCAGAGCCAACAAGCTGGTTCTGGTTGCTGTGGTTGAGGCCAGAGGTACAGGCCTGGGAGGTGCAGTTTTACTACCCTGGTTCCTGTTGGTATCCAAGAGTGTGGAGGTGGGAATGCTAGCAACCCCCTTCCCACCTCTCCTTTCCTAATGCCTCCTCCCTGGCTCTCCCTCCAGAGGAATAGCTCTGAGCTGAGAATGAAACCTATAGGAAAAGAGGGAACTTTGATGCAAGATGTCTGGGCTTCTTAACAACAAAAAAGGATGGGAGACAAGGAGGCAGAAACCACAGCTCCAGTCTAAATCTTATTCCACAGGGAAATCGAGAGTAGAATATAACGGGACAGCGCAGGACAAAAAGACACCCTGCACAATAGATGAATTTCAGGGTTCTAAGAGGAGAGAGGAAACAAGGTGCATCAGTGTGTGAGCTTAGCCTCCTGTTAAAAACCATGAGTAAGGAAACGAAGTCAATTCTGGCATAGAGGCTGGGAAGAGTTTTCTGGATAATTGGTTTGGAAAAGAAAATAAAAAATAAGGAAACCCAGTCAGAGAGTTAAGATTCTTCTGGGAGGGGAACCCAACAGACTCAAGAATTGATGGCTCGGAATGAGGCGGCCCACGGGAGACAGAGGCAGAGGTCGAGGGCCAGAGTGTCAGATTATGACTGTGGCAAACTAGATCCAGGTTTGGGGAGAAAACACACCGGAGGTAAAAGAAAAGTGAGGAGAGGGAGAAAGGGAGGTTACTGATTCCAAGGTCACAAAGCAACTGCCTTTCTCTCTGTTTTTAATTTGTGCACAAGATCCCACTGGCTAAACAAAATGATGGCTACACTGGGAGGAGGTGTCGCCTCCCAGGCCCCCACCCACACACACTCCAAAGGAGCTCATCCATTTGGGCCTGAGTGGCCATGGCGGGGGAGAATAGATTCACTCTCTGTCTTTCAGAAGGAAGAACAAGGCCCAGAGGAGGGAAGAATTCACTATGGGCGGCAGATTTTGGTCATCAGAGGAAGGGGCTCTGCTGCTTGGAGTCGTGGCCCCGGGGTGGAAGCTATGGCTTCCTGGTGATGTGCTGAGCTCTCTGGCCCTGGAAACGCTTGCGTGCAGATCAGTCTTCGTATCCAGACTGAAAGACACCTTGGAGATCATTTGGACCAAAGGCCTCATTTTCACCTGAGAAGCTGTCGTTTTTCCCTTGATTCCCCCGCTAGTTAGTGGCAGAGCCAGTCTCCTCTAACTCACAGCCGGAATGATTTCCATCACCACAGAAAGGTTAGGCCATAAATATACATTTCCAACCTGAACCAGCTCAGCGACTGTCCCTAGTAATTCTCTCTCTTTGGCCACAAGAGAAGGCACAGCACCACACCCAACTCTGGGTAGAGAAGCTGACACGACGACAGGTCAGAGTCAGAGTATCTTCTCAGCTGCTTGCTCAGCCACTCTGTCCGAGTTTCCCCAAAGCGGGAGGAAAGTGAAGGCATGGGAGGCCACGTGCCAGAACTTTGAACCTCGGCTCCCCGGGCTTGCGTTGGGCACCTGGTAGTAACGGGAGTTTCTCCATTTCTTTTCCCAACTATTACAGGATCTTTTACGGCCCCTGTCACTGTCAGTTTTACTTTGTTAGGCCCATCCACAGTACGTTGAAAACCACCTCGCACAGCCATACCTATTGATGTAAAAAGGCAAAGAGACCACGCTCTCCTGTTTTCCTAGGAGGAAACTGAGGCACGGAAATATTAAGTGGCTTTGGCTAAGTTAAAAACAGAAGTAGGAATCTACCTGCTGCCCGGTCCACTGTGCTGTCCATCATCTCCTTAAACTGGGGAGTTTGGTAGATTTGCTCAGGGTTCAGAAAAGTGGCAGAAGGGGCGGCCCGAACAGGAGAAAGAGGGCGCAGCGAGGAGGTGGGAGATTCAAAGAGCCGAGGACGGAGGCTGGGAGAGGAGCGACGTATGGGAAGCGGGGAAGAGACGGGACTCTCCGAGGTATGGTAAAAAAGAACCCCCCTAGAAGATGCAGCAGGAGAGGAAACGGAGTGAGCCAAACAGAAGGCGGTGGGCAAAGTTTGGGCTGCGCGGACTGGAGCGCGCGCCTGGGTGTGGACGGCCGAGGGCATCCCGCACCCGAATCCCTAGCTCGCGCGTGGACCCCACGGACCTCCTCCCCGGGAACCGCAAGCCCGGAGCGGCTGGAGGGGCCCGGTCTCCGCCAGCGTCTCGGCGGGACGGGCGGGGAGCCTCTCTCCGGGTCGCTCTCCGAGGGGAGACGCGAGGAGCCCCCAGGGTGCCCCGGACCCACGTGGCCGGCGGGCAGGCCCGGGCTCGGGAATTCTGCGCTCGGCCCCGCGGCTTCCCCCGCCCGCAGCTCTCCCCGAGTACGCGCGGGGCGACGCCGGGCACCTGAGGGAGAAATGGGTGGGAAATCGGGTCTGAGGATGGGATGAGAGGCGGGTCCCCCCAACGCAGGAGCCGCCGCCGCCGCCCACCCCCGCGCCCTTCGCCTCCCCTGGGTGCTACTTACTCCGGTTCAGGGGGTTCCCGCCGACCTGGGCCGACGCCACCAGTTCCAGATACAGAGTCCAGAGCCCCACAGACACCACGGCGAGCGCCAGCAGCAGCCGGAAGCGCCTCCGCAGCAGCTTCACCGGGCGCAGGAGCAGCGGGGGCCGCGCGGCCCGGGGGCTCCCCATGGCGCTGCGCCGAGGCGGCCGCCGCCAGCGCGGGCTCCAACCCCCCGAGCCGCCGCCCCCCGGCCGGGCCCCGCGCCCAGGGCGCCCCGCGTCCCGGCCCAGCGTCTCAGGGCTGCGCCGAGGCCGTCTCTCCCGGCCGCTCTCCGGCGGGGCTCGGGCTCATGCTCCGGGCGCGAGGGGTCTCCGGGCTGCGCGGGCGCCCAGCAGGTCTCTCCGGGAGCCGAGCCCGGCTCCTCCTCCGCGCGTGTGTTCCGCGCCGGGCTCTCCTCCCCACGCCTCTCCCGTCGCAGGCTCGCTGCCGCCCTCCCTCCCTGCGCGCCCGCCCTCACTCGCTGCCCAGAAGGAGGCTTCCCCGGCGCCCGCCCGCCTGCCTCCGCCCGCGCCCCCGCCAGCCCCGGACCGGGCTCCGGGCTCTGGGCTCTCCTGCTCGCGGAACCTGGCCCGCCCCCGGCCCCGCCCCCGCCCCCGCCCCGGGCACAGGTGGGCTCCGCCCCCGAGAAGCCAGGGACGCGAAGAGGCCATTCGGCTTCCCTAGGGGAGCGAGAGGTGGGGCCAGAGAACTGGTGCCTGGTGCCTCCCCCGACTGGGAACGGGTGGGATGAGGAGGGGGCGAGTGATGATGCGGACTCTGGGTGACCGAGGGAAACCGAGTCACCACCCAGGCGCCTAACGGTGTGGTTTTAGGCAGAAGCGAAGTAGAGGCTGGTTTGGGCGACGCCCAAGGCTTTAGCCTCAGAGCCTTTCGTCGCCAACAGCAACGACCCGACTCCCTGCTTGACGAAACCAGTAGGCGTGAAATATCACGGGAGCCACTGGACGCTTAACGCAGACATAGCTTCGTTTTCCAGTTGAGATTTGAAGACCTTTCTTCCCAGCCTGAACCACATCTCCGAGAGGCGCTGGGGAAGTCGTACAGCCCCCACGGTGAACCCCAGCAAGCAGTTTTCCCCAGACTGGGCTGGAATGGCTGTTTGAAGAGAGTAGGTGTTTGAGGGTTCCGAAAAAGAATTTTAAAAAGAAAAGAAAAGTATTCACTCTTAGAGTTGAAAAGATCAGCAAGATAAGCCAGGCACAGTGGCTCACGGCTGTCGTCCCAGCACTTTGAGAGGCTGAGGCAAGAGGATCTCTTGATCTCTGGAGGTCAAGGCTGCAGTGAGCCGTGATTGCGTCAGTGCACTCCAGCCTGGGCAACACAGCAAGACCCTGTCTCAAAAAAAAAAAAATCAGTATTCCAGTCCTCTGCCTTCAGGCAGGTAAAGCATTATTATCTGATTTAAATTAGATAAAGTATCAAGGGGCAGAATAACTGCCCCAGGTCACTCAGCAAGTTATACTGCAGTTTTCTTTTCCATTATCTCTTCTGGGAAAAATGGTCAGGAGACTATGGGAAAAGTGAAGGATCAAAGTGTTCCTGGACATTTTAAAATCAAATGAATATCACACAAGTACTGTTCCAAGACAGAGGTTCTCACAGAATTGAGAACTATGTTTCCCTTCTCTCTGTTCTCACCTCAGTTGGATATTCAATAGTTTCTACAGGACTTTTCCTAATTAGCCTCCCCAACTCCAAGCTTCCCATCGCATCCTGTCCACTACCACCAGATGGTCTTCATAAAAAGCCAGGCATGGTGACACACACCTGTAGTCCTAACTTACTCGGGAGGCTGAGGTGGGAGGAGTGTAAGGTTGTAGTGAGCCACAATCATGCCACTGCACTCCAGCCTGGGTGACAGAGCAAGACCTTGTCTCAAAAAAAAAAAAAAAAAAAAAAAAATCCCGTATGTAGTCACACACCTGCTCAAAAATATTTAATGGCTTCCAATGCTTATTGATTAAGATACACACTGTAAATCCAGAATTCAGGGCCTTCCAGAACCTTTTCCAACTTTATGTGACCACATGAAACCTGCTCCAGCTAAAACGAGTTTATTCACTACCCTCCAACACATTTTCTTTTCTAGTTGGTCAACTTGTACCCTTTATCCAAGGTCCATTTCAGATTCTATAAAGCTTTCTTGGACCAGCCAAGTCCTAAGCAACTCCTTCCTTTCTGGAGCTTTAGTAGAACTTGCCATCTGTCTCACCATCTGATATGTTGGAACTTACTTGGAGTGTGTGAGTCTTGTTTTCCCAACCTCACTGTAAGGCTTCAAAAATGGGAGCTGCATTTCCAGTGGGTGGTACAATGTCCACTTAGCACTTAGGAAGGTTTGAGGATGGGGGTAGCACTTTGAGCAAACATCTTCCAGAACTTTCACTGCAGTTCTTTAGCAAAAAGGGTGAATCCAAAGGACAATTCTCTAATTGTAGCCCCTGGGAAAGGTCTCTGTGAAGTTCCAAAGCCACAGATTCCTGTACTTCTCATGTTCTTCTTTCTTTCCACAAGTCCAAGATAGGAGCAGCCAGTGTGTGCACGGCCTGTGCAAGCTCGGCTGAGTCAAGTGGGAAGTGACCGGGCCCTGTAAATAGAGTCCCTCTCTTACTAAGGGCAACCCAACTGGATTTTAGGTTGAGTCACTTTTAACACTTTGTCATGGAAACAGGTGGCAGCCTTGCCACAATTCTCTCCTCAAGACTGAGAAAGCTCATGCAATCACTTCGGTCAACCAAATGCTTGAAGCATCTATTATGTAGGAACTGGGAGAGATCTAAAACAAGAAGCATGCTGTTTAGTTGAGGAAAAAAGATAGTCCACAGGAAAAGAAATCTGACAGTTTAAAGGCCAAATTTATGGTCCAAAGAGATTAAGAAGAAGAAGGAGATCACCCTGTACCTCTTGATTTTTTATCCTCCTCTTATTTCTACTTTGTTTTTATAACTTGAGAAGATCATTACTTTTCCAGCTTATGGTGAGAGGTGCCAGGAGTCGAAGAGAAAAGAGGCCAGGACATTCTTGTGGCTCTCCTCTCTCCCTCTTCTGTTCCCTTCTCTTCTGTGGGTGACGCCTTGGCACTGAGATATCCCTCACATTCAGACCCCGCTTTCTCCACATCCCTTTTTGACTCCTGGTGATGTCACAGCAGGGGAAGATCTGAATTTTGAGACCCAAATTTCCCAAATAGCTGAGCTCCAGAACTAAGTATGTGGATTGAGGTATCATGGTGGCATAATATATTGTCACAAATGTCCATTCATTGTCAGTGTCAATTTGCCTGGCTACTCACCAGTTCTTCTGATGGTTTTCACTGTCCTTTCACCCTCCCACTTCAGCTACAGCACCTGACCCAGAATAGCCCAGGGTCACATTGTACAAATTGCACCCAAAAGGAAAAATATTTTCCACCATACACCTGCAATAATGGTAGAAGGGCCCGGTCTTTGCTTGGCCAGAATATCAGAGGCAGAGCAGGTCAAATCATAAAGTTTCTTCTCCCAAATTACAGAGGCATTGTAAGAGAGGTTGACCAAAGTTTTCTAAAATGGGCCAAGGTTAGCACAGGGACCAGAAAATTCTGGATTGTGGAGAATTCAGAAGGGAAGAGTTTAGTGACCTATAGGTATGGTCTGTTGTATGCAGACCAAGTCTTATTCTACTCTATAGGGATGTCAAAATATACTAAGTAACTCCAGTGACCCCTGTGCCACCCATCCTTTTTCCTAAAACCTGACACCTACATTATAAGGTAGCAACTTTGAGCTTAGAGAGCATTTTTACATCTATATTCCATGTGTTTTGTTTCTCACAACCATATGAGAACAACAGGGGAGGTAGCCTCCTCTATTTACAAATAAGCTTTGCAAGCCTCAGTTTCTTCACATGACCAATAAGTGATAGAATCAGAACCGGAACCAGATCTTTAGCCGCTGGTCCTCTTTCCATTGTACCCAGAGACTTCTTCCTTCTCCAGTCTGACCTTCCATATCTATATCCATATCTGTATCTATCTATATCTATATCTATATCTATATCTATATCTATATCTATATCTATATCTATATCTGTATCTATCTTATCCCTGTCTATATATACCTGTGTGTTTGTTGGGCAGACTGTGTTCCATTCTTTGAGAGAAAAGAACAGTGCTGGAAATATCCACAAAGACATGCTCTCCAAGTGCCGGGGTCATTTTGGCAAGCATTTATTTGTTTTATCTCTTTCAACTCATGCAAATCACGTATCCTGGAAACTGTCCTTTCACTGATTCCATTTCATAGATAAAGAAATGGGCTCGGAGATGTTAAATAACTTGCTCAAGGTCATCTACATGACCCATCTCTTAGGACTCAAACTCAGGCTTTCTAACTTCAGATCCAGGGCTTTTTTTCCTTTGCACATGTTCCTCCCCTGGAAGTTCCCCTGCAGAAGTATATTCACTCTGGAAACTCTGAGCTCACCTTCAGCACATCCATAACTCACTCAGCCACATGATAATTCTTCTCATCCCCTCCCCCCTCCCCCCAACTCCGTCACCAATGCTGCCTGCTGTGCTCTTTACAGAAGAGATCCTTTTTCCTAGCCCTCCTTCCATGAGTCCATCTTTTACAAATCTTTCTGCATGGTTTGCTACTATGGAGGCCAATCCCAGAAAAGGATGGATGCCCCCCACTGAATGCTTCTTATTAGCCACTTCTCTTGCTTTTCCAGAAAGCTGGGCTCTTCTGTTTGGCTGATGGAAAGAATGGTATGAGCTCTGGCAAGATCTCAAGCCTCAGTTTCTCCATCTGTGGTCGTACGTAATTTTACAAACTAGACTGGGAAACAGATGAATATCCCTATAGAAGCATCCCTATAGAAGAACATGTTCAAGATTGCATGGTAAAGTGTCAAAGGAATCAGATGAAAGGAGTTAAAGAAAAGATGAAGAAAGGGCGTAGACGTTATGCTGAGGGTCAAAACAAAGCTCATCAGCTGGGAAAAATCCCAGGGCAATTCACATACTTCATCTCACTCCCAAGCAAGTGAGTTGCTGATATAGTCCTCAGCAGACGGTGAGAGGTGACCCAAACCAGAACTATGTGCTTTGAAGTTCTAAGTTTGGCATCTATTGCTAGGCCTTGCTTCCTCTTCCAATCTGCATTATGAATGCCTCCAAATTATTCCAACGTCTCTTTCTGCCTTCCTCCTTCAGGGAGAAGGATTCCCCAGCAAGTCAAGAGACAATCATCCAGGTCAAAAAAATTATCTTTGACTTGTTCAGGCTTTTCAGCTGAGAAATACCAATTATTTCCTACCACTCAGGTTTTCTTTGTTGCTGGCAAACCCAGAGGGAGATAGTGTGAACAGTGCTCTTGGTTGCTCATTAGTTGGTGCTGAGGCCATCTACACGAGCCTCCCCAAAGCTCTACCTCCTGTCTGTCTGACCACTAAACCCCACTAGAAAGACATTCTCTCACCCTTCTCTAGAAAGGCACTCTTCTGTCTGCACTCTGCAGTCTTCTGCTACAGATGCTAGTGAGAGGATGTGTAGCTGAAGCTAAGGCATAATGACCCACAGCTCTGAGTAGCTTCTTCCCCACTCCCAAGTCATGGCACATGTTTGATGTCTGGAAGCTGTGTGGCTCACCATGGTGCCAGGGTAGTGTCATCCCTCTGAGTGAAGTCTTAGTGCTAACTTCTCTTCTCCCAAGGACACATCCCACAGGCTTGGTCCCTACAAGTTTGAGCACACACAGATGTGTATTTGAGCATACACAGATGTGTGTCTCAGCATTTTCAGAACAGGGCATAGGTCCCTAGGACTCTGAGTGAAGCTGGATTTCCTACCGCTATTCTCTCTCTTTCATCCTGAAGAAAAAAACTCATATGCACCCTTCACTCCTGACTTCACAGTTTCTCCAACCCCTAATAGGGCTTCTAAACGACCACATCTTTTCTGCATTTGATAATCTGTACTCCTTCTATAGGCTTCAGCCCAGAAGCCATTTAATAAATACTCTGTAGTAATCGAGAATGTCCTTACTCCCCATTCACATGAGGTTCTGTCAACTTGAAAGCCCACTCATTTAAGGAGGCTTCCCCTAAGAAAACAGAAATGGTCATGCCGGGCGCCGTGGCTCACGCCTGTAATCCCAGCGCTTTGGGAGGCCGAGGCGGGCGGATCACGAGGTCAGGAGATCGAGACCATCCTGGCTAACACGGTGAAACCCCGTCTCTACTAAAGATACAAAAAATTAGCCGGGGCCTGTAGTCCCAGCTACTCCGGAGGCTGAGGCAGGAGAATGGCCTGAACCCGGGAGGCGGAGTTTGCAGTGAGCGGAGATGGCGCCACTGCGCTCCAGCCTGGGCGACAGAGCGAGACTCCGTCTCAAAAAGAAAAAGAAAAAGAAAAGAGAAAGGGGGCGTGGATGTTCTTCCCTTGCCTTGAACACGGTTGAATCCACAGCGGGGAGCGCTGCAGGCAGCCCGGCCGAGTGGAGCGCACGGCCGTATTAACCTAGCTCACGGCTTGGCTTGGGAAGAACAATGGTCCCAAAGCCGGTACGTGCGCAGAGTGCCCCAGAACAGCGCAAGTGCTCAAGCCCCAGACAGACTCCCTGAAAAACTTCTGTCTCAGTTCCTAGGTCCAGGCCTGTGAACTCTGCCGCGAGAACGCCAGCCCTTCCACTTAACACTCAGTCACTGTGGCGTCTCCGCAGAGCGTCTCGGTTTCCAGACGGGGATGCTGGCGCTGATGACGGGCAGAGCCGCTGGTTTCAGGTTTCTCAGCCGTGTTATCTAAGGACCGGCTGCTTGGGAGTTGATCAGGGCTGGTTCGAGAGAGAGGCAGACGCCGTCTTTTCCCCAGAACAGACTCCTCTTTGAGCTCTGCCGCCACCCGGACTGGGGATGGAAGAGAGAAAACAAAAATCCCCACTGTATGTGGTTCTCTGGAATTTAACTCGGCCCTGGAGAGGAAAGAGCAGCGTCGCCTCTGCACCGCAGCGCCCCCTGCGGGCGGCAAACCCCCCGCTCGGCCCCGGAGAGGAAAGGGCAACGTCGCCTCTGCACCGCAGCGCCCCCTGCGGGCGGCAAGCCCCCCGCTCGGCCCCGGAGAGGAAAGGGCAACGTCGCCTCTGCACCGCAGCGCCCCCTGCGGGCGGCAAACCCCCCGCTCGGCCCCGGAGAGGAAAGGGCAACGTCGCCTCTGCACCGCAGCGCCCCCTGCGGGCGGCAAACCCCCCGCTCGGCCCCGGAGAGGAAAGGGCAACGTCGCCTCTGCACCGCAGCGCCCCCTGCGGGCGGCAAACCCCCCGCTCGGCCCCGGAGAGGAAAGGGCAACGTCGCCTCTGCACCGCAGCGCCCCCTGCGGGCGGCAAACCCCCCGCTCGGCCCTGGAGAGGAAAGGGCAGCGTCGCCTCTGCACCGCAGCGCCCCCTGCGGGCGGCAAACCCCTTTAACGCGGAGCTGGGGCAAGACTGGGAAGGGGTTAGGGTGAGAACAAAAATGACTTCTGACCCTCTCCGCAGTAGTGGAGGCTCCCATCTCATTCCTAGGTAAAAACTCCGAGTGAAGGAGTGTGATTTAAAGTCAGTTTGGTGGCCGGGCACGGTGCCTCACGCCTGTAATCCCAGCACTTTGGGAGGCTGACCCCGGGTGTTTCAGACCAGCCTGGGCAACATAGCAAGACCCCATTTCTACAGAAAATAAAAAATAAAATAAAGTCAGTTTGCAAGAACTGATTGAAACAGAACATCCTCACTGGCTAAGCTATAAAGAAAGAAGATGAACCCAGGTTAGTGATTTGGGACAAGGACAGTTGGTGAAACTGCATAGTCATGAGGTGAGGTTTTCTGGGTTTTTTTTTTTTCCTATTCTCTCATATATTTGCCACCTACACGGTGTGTGGGGTGGTAGAGGGTGGTCAAGACGTGTATTTGTTTTGTTTTGTTATGTGTTTTTTTAATCTGTCATCCAGGCTGGAGTGCAGTGGCACAATCTATGGCTCATTCCCGCCTCAGCCTCTTGAGTGGCTGGGACTGCAAGCATGTACCACCATGCCTGGCTTTTTTCTTTTTTTCTTTTTTTTTCGAGACAGGTCCTGCTCTGTCACCCAGGCTGGAGTGCAGTGGCGCAATCTTGGCTCACTGCAACCTCTGCCTTCCGGGTTCAAGCAATTCTCGTGCCTCAGCCTCCCGAGTAGCTGGGACTACAGGTGTGCGTCACCACACCTGGCTAATTTTTGTATTTTTAGTAGAAACGGGGTTTCGCCATGTTGGCCAGGTTGGTCTCAAACTTCTGGCCTCAAGTGATCTGCCCACCTCCCAAAGTGCTGGAATTATAGATGTGAGACACCGTGCCCAGCCCTTGGCTAAATTTTTTAACTTTAATTTTTTGTTGAGATGGGCTATGTTGCCCAAGCTGGTTTCAAACTCCTGGGCTCAAGCAATTCTCCCACATCAGCTTCCCAAAGTGCTAGGATTACAGGCATGAGCCACTGCACCCCACCAAGGCAGAAGAATCTTTTAGAAGCTCCAGGGCACTGAGCTTATGCCTGTAATCCCAACACTTTAGGAGGCTGAGATGGGATGACTGCTTGAGCCCAGAAGGTGGAGTCTGCAATGAGCAGTGATCTGCACTGCATTCTAGCCTGGGTGACGGAGTGAGACCCTATATCTAAAATTAAATACATAACAAATATTCTTCTGCCTTTATGAGGATTCTGCTCTTCAGCCAGGCATCTTACCCTCAAAAGGGGGCTGTCAGAGCAGGCCAGTGGGAGATGTGCATGGTAAAGCCTTGCATTGTGTTATCCCATGTGTTATCCAGGTGTTTATAGGAGACATTTCACACTCTGAATTTTCCTTCAGTGAATTTACAAAGTGACCTCAGAGACTTCACATCAGTCTCTGAATTATTTTTTTAATCTAGGTCAGATGTCCTTTGCTCCACATTTTCAGATCACCGTGTTATCTCAGCTTTCTAGGCTGAATACATTGCTTTCAGGAAGGTTTTCCCTTAAATGCCATAGTATTCTCGAGGGAGATTTCTGCAGCCTTTAAAGACCTGTAGAAAAGGAAACCCCCAGCATTCTCACCATAGGGGAGAGTCATAGGTGGCATCACAGAGAGGAATGCCAACACCTCAGGAGAGGATGTGGGTGTCTTGTGAAGAGAGCCCGAGTCAGAACTCCTGGAAACACTAACACTGGTGGGACAAGCAGAAGCAGAATCAGTGACCAGGAGCAGGCAAGTGCACCAGGTGCAGAAGTCAGACTAGGACAGAGACCTAGGAAGCAGGGAGAGCCAGAGGCAGTGCCAGTGCATGCGTGGGCAGGCAGCAGGCTCATGATCAGCGCTTAGGAGGCAAGGGCAGGAGACTGGGTGGGAAGCACCCCGATAGGAGAGGGGTGAGGGGAGTTAGAGGGCGGCTTAGTCCGACTGACTCAAGGTGAAATATAGAATCTAGCCTGGTGCCATGCCTCACACCTGTAATCCTGGCACTTTGGGAGGCTGAAGCAGGAAAATCACTTGAGGCCAAGAGTTTGAGACCAGCCTGGTCAATATAGTGAGACTCCATCTCTATGTAAAATTTTAAAATAAATAAAGAAATAAAAGTGGTGGGGGGAAGAAATACTGAATCTCAAAGATGAGGACAAAGTAGTCAGGCTTCAGGAAATGAGCAGAGAATACGTAGAGAAAGAAGAGTTTCCTAAGGTCATTTTTTGGGGGGAAGGAGTTCATTGCTTTGACAGAAACAAGCAAGAGAACCTGTTTGCACACCGAGAACACAGCTATTTTCCACAGAAGCTTATCAGGTGCTGGCCCAGCCTAGGGAGTGACACAAGAGATAAGGCTAGGGTAAGGAACCGCCTCTCTAAGTAAAAAGAAAAACCCAGGCACACCAGTTCAATCTGCACTGATTACTGAGCTTTGGGCCAAATGAAATCTCACCAAAATGTGCATGACAATACTACTTAGGCTCATTCCTATTTGGGATCCCTCTACTTAATATTTAATTATCCTTCCCAAATGCCAAGGCAAGCTTGCCAATTAAGAGGCTCTGGAAGAGTCAACACAAGCAATATTGAAATTGTTCATTTAAAATCGCACTGCTGTTGTTAAATGCTGTTGTGAGCCAAAAGGGAAGGAAAATGTCACAAGTCAACACAAGGCTAATCACAAACATTGTGGTCCAATCCAGAATTACCAGGACTCACTAGCTGCAGACTAGTCAAAAAGCAGTGAGTCAATGATTGGAGATAAACTGGGCAAAATGTGCATAAAATCACTGTATTATTTCTTAGAACTGCATGCGAATGTACAATTATCTAAAAAATAGAAAGATGAGCTGAATCATCGAGGAGAATAAATATTTGTCCAAACTGAAAAAAAACCATATTTGGCAGCAACTCAAGATGCATCTATTATAATGACATACATATATGACATATATGTAGATATGAGTCTATTCTGTTCATGTGTCAACACAACACAATTTATTTATTATTTGTATATTTTATTTTTTATTTTTTTAGAGATGGGGTTTCACTCTGTAGCCCTGGCTAGAGTGCAGTAGCCTGATCATAGCTCACTGTAGCCTCGACCTCCTGGGCTCAAGCGATCCCCCAGCCTCAGCCTCCCAAGTAGCTGGGGCTATAGGCGTGCACCACCACACCCAGCTAATTTTTTCTATGTTTTGTAGAGATGGAGTCCCACTATGTTCCTAGGCTGGTCTCAAACTCCTGGCCTCAAATGATCCTCCTGCCGTGACCTCCCAAAATGCTGGAATTACAGGCGTAAGCCACTGTGCCAGTCTTAATTTTTTAAAAAATAGACTGGCTGGCTCAGTTTGAAAAAAAGAGGTCATGCAGCTGAAGAGGCAAAGAGAAAGAGAGCTAATATCTGCAAACAAAAGAAATCATAGCTGCCACTTGGAGGTTGAGCTCCCAGAAGGCTGTTCTGGCAAGGATGGTGGTTTCTCAGTGACAATCTGATCCACAGTCTCCCACATAGGCACCTGCATTCACTTACGATGTGAATATTCTCATCTAGTAGTTTCCCCCAAGAAGGGCATCATCTCCAAAATGAGGGATTTCCTACACACAAGAACACGGGTGCACTGTGATGTCATCATAAATGTGAGGCAATTAAGTAATTAATCTCCAGAAGTCTAGGTTGTGTTCACAGTTGCTTTTTGTATGGCTAACTTGAAAATAAGCTACCAAGTAGTCCAGGAGTGGAATATTTCACAGCTTAAGCCGATAAAGCAATGTTTTCACGTAGAGATTTAAAGCCCCCTTTCAAAATGTTTTCTTTGCAAGGCCTCCCTTCACTTTGCAGCCAAACCCTCCTTCCAGCTCTATCTCTTCACCTGCCTTTTTTTCTGCTGGTCTGCCTATTCTAGATCTTTTTTGGCTCTGTGCCCTTACCTACTTAGGAAGTTAGAAGGGCAGATGAAGCAGACTATGACTTGCTGCGATTCTAGGCATTTTCTCCCTGGCAGGCAGTTCAACTCAATAAATCGTCCATCAAGAGCTACTCCTAATGAGTCTATCACTTGTCTCTTGTCAGCTCCCTCCAATCTTTCCAACATTCACTTTCTCCTCAAGCTCCCCATCACATCTATACCCTATCTCACTTTCAGTGGAGGGTTTAACTTTATTTCCTCTGTGAAAACAGGGTACTTGCCCCTTTAGAGTTATTATACCAACTCATCTGCTTTTACTGCACCCGTCAGTACCAGCGCTCATTCCCCCAGCATCTTACTTAGAAACACCTCTCACTCTTCCATCTTCAGTTCCTTCCTCTGGCCTTTCCCTTTCAGTCTGTGAATATGGTTAAGTCTTCCCCAGCCTAAAACTATCGAAACTCCTCTCCTTGGCTTTATCAACTTTGAAGCTATTTCCCATTTTCCTTCTGGCCTCATCCCTCAACCTAATATAAGCCAACTTCCATCTCTATTTCACTGAAGTTGCTTTAAACTCACCTGCTGCTAAATCCCCAAACCTCAATTCTAATTTACATGGTTCTTCTAGAGCGTTTGACAATGCTCCCAACCACTGGCTTCTTGAAGTTCTCATTCCCTGAGTTTCCAGAACACTATGTTCTTGTTATTCAGACCATTCCTTTCTTACTGGCTACCCCTTCTCTTACTGTTAAGGTTTCCCCTCTTTGGCCGGGCGCGGTGGCTCACGCCTGTAATCCCAGCACTTTGGGAGGCTGAGGCGGGTGGATCACGAGGTCGGGAGATCGAGACTATCCTGGCTAACATGGTGAAACCCTGCCTCTACTAAAAATACAACAAAATTAGCCGGGCGCGGTGGCGGGCGCCTGTAGTCCCAGCTACTCGGGAGGCTGAGGCAGGAGAATGGCGTGAACCCAGGAGGTGGAGCTTGCAGTGAGCCGAGATCACGCCACTGCACTCCAGCCCGGGCGACAGAGCGAGATCCGTCTCAAAAACAAACAAACAAAAAAAAAGGTTTCCCCTCTTTGACCCTCTTCTCTTCTTTTTCTGTATGCTTTTCATCTCGGATCTCATCCACATCCAATTACCTTTTATATGTTAATAATTCCAAGTCTTTAATACTAACTTATCTTCCAGATCTCTATTCCCAAATTTACTAGAAACAGGCTGCTTCTCCTATACATTGAAGCTCACTTAACGGTGTCACTGGACACGTGGTACCTCAAGCCAGAAACTCTGAAGTTAGAGAATTATCCTTTTTTTTTTCCTTTGAGATACGGTCTCACCCTGTTGCCCAGGCTGAAGTACAGTGGCACTGTCATAACTCACTGCAGCCTCAAAGTCCTGGACTCAAGCAATCTTGCCTCCTTAGCCTCCTGAGTAGCTAGGACTACAGGTGTGAGCCACTGTGCCTGCCTAATTTTGTTGTTGTTGAGACGGGGTCTCACTATGTTAGCCAGGTTGGTCTCAAACTCCTGGGCTCAAGCGATCTCCCCACCTCCTTAACTCTTCCCTAACTCTCACATCTCATCCATCACAAAGATAGGATGACCATTCTACTCCTAAATGATTCTGTCCCTTCCTCTTTATTCTCAATGTCTCCCTTTAGCTTAGGCCCTGAGTTTCTCTTCTGGATGAGGACAGCAGCCATCTTCTTCCTTCTGTTCCTAGATGCAGTGAGTGATGATAGTGCAATCTGCTGTGTTGCAAATATTACAGTAAGTCTTAGTAGCCCAACTAACATGGTGTGGGTGGAGAGGCAGCGAGAGTCATAAGACTGGACCAAAAATAACATAGCCAGAGGCTATTTTATTTTGTGAAAAATCACATAAGTTTCATGGATAAAAAGGTGATTTATTACCAAGTTACTCATATATATGGTTAAAAGAAAGTTTAAAATGCAAAGGAAATGACAATGATGGCGCTTTTCAAAGATCTTTGGCACTATGCTTTGATTTGTTCCTGCAGATACTGCAATAAATCCTAGTATTAAGTGATTGTGCCTTAGCTTGATCTCAAGTACAAAGATTTACCAGGAAATAAATATTTCATATATTTATTATTTCATGGTAGTTTTTACTCCCCCCCCCCCACACACACACACTTTTTTTGAGACAGGGTCTTGCTTTGTAGCACAGGTGCAAACACGGCTCACTGCAGCCTCAATCTCCCAGGTTCGAGTGATCCTCCTGCCTCAGCCTCCCAAGTAGCTGGGATTACAGGTGTGCACCACCACGCCCAGCTAACTTTTGTATTTTTTGTAGCTGGGTTTTTGCCATGTTGCCCAGGCTGGTGTGGAACTCCTGGGCTCTAGCAAACCTCGGCCTCCCAAAGTGCTGAGATTACTAGATTACTGGTGTGAGCCACTACACCTGGCCCCCTTGCCCCTAATTTTTAAGAAATGAGTTTGCATTTCAAATTATTTTTCATGCATGACTTCATAACACAAAATATTTGTTTTTCTCCAGTTTTAAGTAAACCCAAACATTTTCAATTGATTCAAAGGGTCTTGGAATATTTAACAGGTTTGCATAATTGTATTAAGTGAAATTTCATGCCATTTATGTTGTGTATTACATAACTGTCTCCTGTACTTGCATTTCCCCAAATATTCTGTTCTTCCTTGCCTTCATACATGTTGTCCCTCTGTCTACAAGGTCCCACTTCTTGTCTGTCTCCAAATTCACTTTTGAGGATCAGTTCACATGTCTATCCTGTACACCCATAGAACTGCACTTCATTACTGAGTTTTTTCTATGTTTATCTTCCCCACCAGCCTTTGGAGCACAAGTGTTTTAGTGTTCTCTGTAAACTTAAGATCTAGCATAATTTCTAGAACATAAAAAGCACTTAAGGAGGCCGGCGCAGTGGCTCATGCCTGTAATCCCAGCACTTTGGGAGGCTGAGGCGGGGGGATCACGAGGTCAGGAGATCGAGACCATCCTGGCTAACACAGTGAAACCCTGTCTCTACTAAAAATACAAAAAAAAAAAAAAAAATTAGCCGGGCCTGGTGGCGGGTGCCTGTAGTTCCAGCTACTTGGGAGGCTGAGGCAGGAGAATGGCATGAACCTGGGAGGTGGAGCTTGCAGTGAGCCGAGATCACGCCACTGTACTCCAGCCTGGGTGATAGGGCGAGACTCCGCCTCAAAAAAAAAAAAAAAAGCACTTAAGGGGCCAGGTGCAGTGGGATGCTTGTAATCCCAGTGTTTTGGTAGGATGAGGCAGGAGGATTGCTTGAGGCTAGAAGCTCGACACCAGCCTTGGAACATAGTGAGACTCTATCTGTACAATTTTTTTTTTTTTAAATTAACTGGGTGTAGCGGCATGCCCCTGTAGTCCTAGCTACTTGGGAAGCTGAAGGGGGAGAATTGCTTGAGCCCAGGAGTTCAAAGTGGCAGTGGGTTTTGATTGCACCACTGACTTCTAGCCTGAGCAACAGAGCGAGAGACTTGTTTCTTAAAAAACAAAACAAAACAAATAGCAAAAGAAATAAATTGCTGCATGAAGAAATGAATGGTATTAAATACATCATGGAATCTGATTGGCAATGGTGAGCAATTGGTAAGTCAATTGAAGCCAAAATACAGATAACAGCTCATTGTAACTGAATACCTACCATATGCTAGGCACCAGACTAAGTCATTTCATGGAGGTTTTTTTTTTTTTTAAATTGATATAGGCTGGGTGCAGTGGCTCGCGCCTGTAATCCCAGCACTTTGGGAGGCCGGGGCAGGAGGACTGCTTGAGCCTGGGAGTTCAAGACCAGCTTGGGCAACATGGCAAATCCCTGTCTTTACAAAAAAATACAAAAGTTAGCTGTGCATGGTGGCACATGCCTGTAGTCCCAGCTACTCAGGGGGCTGAGGTTGGAGGATCGCTTAAGCCTGGGAGGTTGAGGCTGCAGTAAGCCAAGGTTGCGCCACTGCAGTCCAGACTGGGTGACAGTGAGACCATGTCTCAAAAAAAAAAAAATTGATATATAACCCACATACCATAAAATTCACCTTTTTAAAGCATTCAATTCAGTGGTTTTTAAAGTACATTCACAGTTTGGCAAAAGAAACCTTGTACCCATTAGCAGTCACTCCTTATTCCCCCCTTCTCAGCCCTTGGCAACCAGTCATCTGCTTTCCATATGGATTTGCCTATTCTGGACGTTTCATGTGTATGGGAATCGTACAATATGTGGCCTTCTGTTTCTGCCTTCTTAGCAAAACGTTGCAAGGTTCCCCCTTGTAGTAGCATGTATCACTACATCATTCCTTTCCATGGCTGCTAATGTTCCATCATATGGATATACCGTATCCTGTCTATCCATTCACCAGCTCACGGACATTTGGATGGTTTCCACTTTTGGTCTATTATTAATAATACTGCTATGAACATCTATGCAGAAGATTTTGTGGGGGTGTATATTTTTATTTATCTTGGGTATATACTTATGGAGTGGAATTGCTGGGTGATATGGTAACTCTAAACTTTTCGAGGAACTGCCAGACTGTTTTTTGAAGGGGAAGCACCGTTTGACATTCTCGTCAGCAATCTATGAGGCCTCTAGTTTCTCCACATCCTTATCCAGTTGTTGCTGACTTTTTGACGACAGCCATCCTAGTGAGCGTGAAGCGGTATCGCATTAGTTTCCATTTCCTTAATGATGCTGAGCATCTTTCCACGTACTTATTGGCCATTTGTGCGACTTTTTTGGAGAGATGTCTATGCAGATCCCTGGCCCATTTTTGAATTGGGTGTGTGTTTTTTTAATTTAGTTGTAAGAGCTCTTTATATACTCTGGATACTAGATTTTCTCTTTCTTAATCCTCACAGTCACTCTGCTGAAACAGGTAGCTTTTTGTCTCTTTTACAAGCGAAGAGACTAGAGCCTGGAGAATTTTAGTAAGAGGTGTGATTGAATCCAGATCTGTGATTCTCCAAAGCCTGTACCCTTTCCACTATTTTATGCTGCTTCTTGGTGACAGAGTTTTAACCAATTGTGAGGTTTGAAGAGTGGCCACACCAGTGGGTGGTTAATATAAAGATGAATGTTATTGGAATTGAGACCAGGATGTTAGAAACATTATCAACTGATTGCTGAAGTCAATGGTAGTAGGTCTCAGAGTCATTTGTAAGTAAGTTGGATTATATGATATTTAAGGTTGCTTCTTACTCCAAAATTCTCTGATTTAATAAGCCTTTTTGTTTTGCCAGCAACAACAAAAGTAATAGTCAGGAAAAGCCAATTCCCTAAGTATTAGGACAGAAGGAAGAATCATGCACTTCTGTAAATCTCTCTGAGGCCTGGGAGCAGGGCACTCTTAAGAATTTTTGTCCCAACTGATCAATGAAAAAAACTGATCTGCTATCACAGGCTTTTTCTTTTTTTTTGAGACGGAGTCTCACTCCATCACCAGGCTGGAGTGCAGTGGCGTGATCTCGGCTCACTGCAACCTCTGCTTCCCAGGTTCAAGCAATTCTCCTGCCTCAGCCTCCCGAGTAGCTGGGATTACAGGTGCGTGCCACCACGCCCAGCTAATTTTTCTATTTCTAGTAGAGATGGGGTTTCACCATGTTGGTCAAGCTGGTCTCAATCTCGTGACCTCGTGATCCACCCACCTCGGCCTACCAAAGTGCTGGGATTACAGGCATGAGCCACCATACCTGGCTGATCACAGACTTTCTCAAGAAAGGTAACAGCTTCTGCGTGCAGTACAATCACCACCTTCCTTTACACATTGTTAACCATTTTAAATATGAAAACCTGGGTTCTCTCCTTTGTCCTGGGTAAATCAGAATGATGCTATCTTAAGCAAAGACCAACTTACTATCAAGAGGCTTTCTGGGTATGGAAACAACTATTTTGTCCCAAATGCAATTTGCCTAAAAACGGATGAAGTTTTAGTGTCATCCCCTTCGTACTAGCTTTGTTATCTCCAACACTAGATGATTTCAAAGGAGTAATTTAAAAAAACTTGTGGGCTGGGTGTGGTGGCTCACACCTGTTATCCCAGCACTCTGGGAGGCCGAGGCGGGTGGATCACCTGAGGTCAGGAGTTCAAGACCAGCCTGGCCAACATGGTGAAACCCTGACTCTACTAAAATAAAATAAAATAAAATAAATACAAAAATTAGCCGAGCATGGTGGTGAGCGCCTGTAATTACAGCTACTTGGGAGGCTGAGGCAGGAGAATCACTTCAACCCGGGAGGCGGAGGCTGCAGTGGACCGAGATCACGCCACTGCACTCCAGCCTGGGTGACGAGAGTGAAACTGTCTCAAAAACCCCCCAAAAAACCTTGTACACTTGCACAAAACTGCAGAGGCCATGGGACAAGAACGTAAACTGAGCTGCGTGAGTCATTAACGAAGCATAAATATAGTATTGAGAAGAAGTTACAGAAAACTCAAAGAAAATCTTTTGAGTGAAATATTTTATTGAAAATAGTTAATTTAAAATATATACATCATTTTTCAAAAGCCATGTGACTGATAAAAATATCAAACTTTCCATACAAGCATCATCTCAGCTTCATCCCCTCGGCAAAGTGTCTCCCGAATCTTTCCAGATGGACATTTCGTTTGAGTCTCTAGCGCCCTCTGGTGAAACACCATGAAATTGCCCAAAAACGTAATTCAGGCTCTGCTCAGGACGGAAGGTGAAATAGCAGAATGAGCGCCTATTTCAATGTGACAGGTTGTGATGTGCTGCCTTCTCCCCGAGCTCAGGAGAAAGGCAGCCTCTGTGAGTGCTTCTCTCTCTTTAGGGAAAGTATTCTTCCCATGGACACTCAGCCAAGCTTATTGCAAAATACCTTCTTCCTAAGTTTTCATCATCACTGCCTTCTGAAAAAACAAAAACCGGTCAATACAGACAGGATAAATAATGAAAGCCTCCAAGTCATTCAGGACCAGGCCCCTACTCCTCGCAAGTGTTAAAAGGACAGCAAAAATGATAAAGCAAGCTGAGTATGCAAGAAAAGCTTTCCTAGTGGTCCCCGATTCTTCAAGCTGTCTTTACAATAATGAATACCACCACTCTAGTCAACTCAGGTTTACATTTTCTGGCAGCAGATGACCTTGTCCTCAGGTTTCAAGAAGCACACCTCTTCTAAATGGGGGCCATTTCCAAAAGTAGACATTAACAGAGTCTAAGTTCATTCTCCAGACCAAACACTTTCGACTTAAGATTCTTCAGTTCTCCTTGTATCTTATGTGCCCGTCTATTGCTGTCACGGACCTCACACAGAAGGGCAAGATCCTGGTTTGCCCGGGCATTAACTGTTGCCTAGGGGTTTGAAAAAAAAAAAAAAAAAGAAATGATGATGGCATATGCCAGGGGAGCGATATCAGTCAAAAAGACACAGCTATGCTAGCTCCTTTTTGTGAGATTTTGAGTACATAGGATAAATTCCATCCTTTGTTCAGTGGCTAACTAAAGAAGGAAAATGTAGAATTAAGGCAGAAATCTCATGAAAATCCTTCCCATGCAATAAAGGAGGCTTGAGGTAGAGATCAATGCACCATGAAAGAGGAGTAAGAGAGGCCAGGATAAGCGACACTACTGGTAAGTTTGTCACAGAATGAAAGCGCAACACTACTGGTAAGTTTGTCACAGAATGAAAGCAGGCGTCTCCTCTTTTCTGCAACTAACCTTGTCTGGAACACAGGCTAACTGGCTAAATCTCATTAAGAAGACTCTTGAGGCGACTTGTATTCTAAAGAACTGTGTCTGCTGGAAAAAAGTACTCTATCACTCAATTACTCACCCTCCCCAACTGTAAGACAGACACGATTCTTTAATCTACTTCTTGAATTAGGAGGGATGACAATCTGTTTAGCTTACATCGAAGTATGAATGATGCAGTCGTTCAATGATTTCAGGGTCTTTTTATTTTCCCTCTAGCATGTTCTTGAACTAATTTTCAGGGAGGCTTGAAGATGGTGATCTGTTAGTGTTTACCAGCAGGGAAACAGCACATCCTTCTTTTCAGGGGCCCTCGTGACCATGTTCCCTCACTTACACCTCTTCTCTCCCTCGTGGCAATTCAGGACCAGCAATTACCTTATACAACATTTGCTCCAAGTCTTTCAGTTTCTGTCGGAGAACTTTAATATCTGTCTTAAAGCCTTCTACTTCCAGGATACGTCGACGCTCCAATGCCTCATAGCGTTTTGTCATTATCTGTAAACGCTTCCCCATCTTGTTAGTGCGATCCTAAATATGGGGAATGGGAAGGCATTTACGAAGGTGAGGGAAGCGTCTTCCCCAGCCATCTGCACTTCCTATTCCATTACAAGTGGCAGATAATTTCGTACCTTGAAGATCTCTCTCCTCATTCCCTCTTCCTCACGAATTCGGGCAAGTTCTTCTTCTAAGGAAATGCACTGCTCTTGGTACATATTGGACAGCTTTTTCTCTTGTACTAACTTATCTTTTAGGGACTACAAGTCAAAGGGACAAAAAACATTAACACTCAGTTCTACAATTCAGGTAATTCAAGTAGCTTTTAGGCAAAGAAAGAAAGAAAAGAAGGGATTTCCAGAGGTACAAAATGAGTTAAGGAACCAGATGACAAGGAACTTTGAGGAACATCTGAAAATCTACTTCTAGACCAGTCTCTTAAGCCCTTTTTCTAAAGTGTACACAGTAAAAATTAAAACAAATATTTTTGGCTCTGGGAAGACTCAGATAACGGAGCTCAGAAGCTGTCCCAAGGAAGACATTACAATATATGTTTTGGGCTACATTTCTAAAGTTCTTCTTTAAAAAGGAAGAAATATTAACAACAACGCTTATTATACATGCCCTATTGAGCAGTTAAAATGATCTTTTAAAAACCCAAATCAGATCATGTTACTTATTTCACACAACCCTTCAAATACATAACACTATTGAGAGCTAAGTTCACACTCCATACGATGATGCACAAGGCCCTCCACAACTGGCTGCTGCCAATGCTGGCTTCTTAAAGAGCATACCACTTCCTCCTTATTTATTCCTCTACAACCATGATGACAGCCTTCCATTTCCTTGAACATACTCCAGGGCCTATAAACTTGCTCTTCCCTCTGCCAGGAATGTTCTTCCTCAAGGTCTGTATGGCAAGCTTAGTCCCATTTTTCAGGTCTCAGCAGAAACACTAGATATAAGAGAGTGTCCCTGTGCATTCCTTCTATTAATACAATGGACTTCCAGCAACTACATATAATTTTCATGTAATTCTTTTATTCCCTTAATACCGCATTTTATAATCTATAATTTTTTCTTTTTTTTTTTCTGAGACGGAGTCCTTGCTCTGTCACTGGGCTGGAGTGCAGTGGCGCGATCTCGGCTCACTGCAACCTCTGCCTCCCAGGTTCAAGCAATTCTCCTGCCTCAGCCTCTCAAGTAGCTGGGATTACAGGTGTCCGCCACCACGCCTGGCTATTTTTTTATATTTTTGGTAGAGACAGGGTTCCGCTGTGCTGGCAAGGCTGCTCTCGAACTCCTGACCTCGTGATCCACCCACCTCTGCCTCCCAAAGTCCTTTTTTTTTTTTGAGATGGAGTCCCACTCTGTCGCCCAGGCTGGAGTACAATCGCATGATCTCAGCTCACTGCAACCTCTGCCTCCCGGGTTCAGGTGATTCTCCTGCCTCAGCCTCCCGAGTAACTGGGATTACAGGTGCCCACCACCACGCCCCACCAATTTTTATATTTTCAGTAGAGACGGGGTTTCACCATGTTGGTCAGGCTGGTCTCGAACTCCTGACCTCAGGTGATCCACCCGCCTTGGCCTCCCAAAGTGCTGGGATTACAGGTGTGAGCCATCGCGTCTGGCCTAATCTATAATTTTCTTAGTTATTTGCTAATGTTTCTGTTTTTTCTCACCCATTAAAATGTAAACACCATGAGGGAAGACCTTGTTTAGATTACTGTAACTCTAGGGCCTAACCCATAGTACGAGTGCAATAAATATTTATGTTTTTTTGTGTTTGTTTTGAGACACAGTCTCGCACTGTCATCGGGGCTGGAGTGCAGTGGCACAGTCTCGGCTGACTGCAACTTCTGCCTCCCGGGTTCAAGCAATTCTCCTGCCTCAGCCTCCCAAGTAGCTGGGATTACAGGCACCCACCATCATGCTCAGCTAATTTTTTTTTTTTTTTTGTATTTTTAGTAGAGACGGGGTTTCACCATGTTGGCCAGGCTGGTCTTGAACTCCTGACCTCACGATTTGCCCACCTAGGCCTCCCAAAGTGCTGGGATTACAGGCGTGAACCACTGTGCCCGGCCAGGAGTACAATAAATATTTGTTGAATGAATGAATGAATGAATCAACAAGTCTAATATTTTGAATCCCCAAATACTACAACGATCAGCTGCTCTTTGAAACCTAGTTCTTGAGGCAGCTGCTACCAGAGCTTCCTGGACTGAATGGATCTTACATTACAAATTGTAGGTTCTTTGGAATTCCTTCAACTCTCCCAGAAAAATAAACAACTTCGTTACGACATAAGGACATTACCTTAATATATTCACTTTGAGCATGGTGACTCTCATGCATAACGGGCAACACTTTTCCAATTTTATCTTCTTTCTTCTTACACTGCACCCTATATTGCTTAATCTTTGACATCAAATTATCTTTTTCAAGCATCCATGACTTCTCTTTATTTTGGTTTTCAGATCTGAGTTGCAGAAAATCTTTGGTGCTCTCATAGAGCAGTTCTTGGGTGTGGTGAAGACTAGGAAAGAAAGTATAAATGCAGACATGAGGATGCGCACACAGCACACCTGAAAGCAAGGATTATTCCAAAATGGAAGAGAGTGGTTCTTTTAAAATGGTGTGATATATAAATTTTGTAAAATATTAGCAGGTTTAAAAATCTGATCACTGGCAATCTTACATGTTTTACTGGGTAAAGTATAATGTATCTACCCATGCTCACTGGTTCATAGACTGGTCTTTACAGGTACTTTCCTGAGTGCGAACTTCAGATTATATGATTAGAAGGACTACAGGGATATTTACACATAGCCTGCGTTAACTATGGACCATTCCTAGGAATAAGACAAGGAAGAACTAAATCACGGTGTTCTGACAAGTTAATACAAATTCTATAGTATCAAAAACAGCTTTGCTTTTGTGTATGCTGTGCTCCATGTAGAACTGCCTATATCAAAATCTTATCCTTTGTTTATTTTAAAAAGAACTTTTTTTTTTTTTTTTTTTTAAGACAGGGTCTTGCTCTGTCACGTAGGTTGGAGTGCAGAGGCACGATCACAGCTCACAGCAGCCCTGACCTTCTGGGCTCAAGCAATCCTTCTGTCTCAGCCTCCTAAGCAGCTGGGACCACCTCCCAGGGTGTTTGCCAGCTCATTAAAAATTTGTGTGTGTGTGGAGATGGGGTCTTGCTATGTTCCTTAGGCTTGTCTGGTCTGGAACTCCTGGGCTCATACACTCCTCTCGCCCCAGCCTCCCAAAATACTGGGATTACAAGTGTGAACCACTGCACCTGGCCTACTTTTTTAAAAATCAACTTCCTGTATGAAGTCATTTCCAACAACTTTAGCCTATTTTAATTCCTCCATTCTCTGAAACTCCATCCCAGGTTAATGTTCCCTTGTCTTATAATTCAACACTTGCTCATCTGTCATATTTTAACTGTCAACATGCACTTTTTCCCAGCCTGAGTGAAAGCATATACCTTATTTATTATTTTTGCCCCAATGCCATGAGATTGTCAAGGATAATACTAACTACTGGACATACACAGGCAGTTAACAGATTCATGGTGACTATTTCCTGAAATTTAGGAATAGACAACGTCTCTATCTTTAAAAAACAATATCCCTGGAAGTTAGCAACTCATCAGTTTAACATTACCACCCAGAAAAATGCTATACTGAATGATCTGGCTGCTTGCAAGAGTATTAAATACCATGAAGCAATCACTGTATTTTTCTACCAAACAAATAATGTGAGATCCACTTATTTTCATGAGTAACAGAGTGCACAGATAAGAGGAAATGACAGCAGAGTGCCAAGCACACAGTAGAGTAAATGTCACAAGGTGAATATATACAGTCAGGTATGTGTGCATGTGTATGTAGAGAGAGATTGATTCAATTACCACAAGGGTCTCTCTCACTTTCAATGAGTTATTTTATTCTGTCTTACATTATCTTCTCAATCTCAAACTGGGAAACTATAGGCTTGTTAAAATACAAGTAGCTTGAAAGTGATACCCAAAGGGCAGTCATTAACGGCCCTGGATTTCATGCCCTTCTTAGGAAGATCCATCTAATGGAAGGAACCGATCATGTGCTCAGATATGCAGATAACGCTAAACAAGGAAGGTTACTGGTATTCTGGAAAACAGATATAAAATTACAAATTACTATGACAATATTAAAATATCTGTTCCTTAAAAACAAAACCCATTGAAATGTCAAGATGCTATACTTAAGTGCAAAAATACTAAAAATAAAAATGAAGGTGGAGAAATACTGGCCAAATGCAAACACATTATACTATGTTAAAAGAAACATAGCAGACCGGGCGCGATGGCTCCCGCCTGTAATCCCAACACTTTGGGAGGCTGAGGTGGGCAGGTTACCTGAGGTCAGGATCGAGACCAGCTTGGCCAACATGGTGAAACCCTGTCTCTACTAAGAAGGAAATCCCAGCACTTTGGGAGGCCGAGGCGGGCAGATCACGAGGTCAGATCGAGACCATCCTGGCTAACACGGTGAAACCTTGTCTCTACTAAAAATACAATTAAAAAAAAAAAATTAGCCGGGCGTGGTGGTGGGCGCCTGTAGTCCCAGCTACTCAGGAGGCTGAGGCAGGAGAATGGCATGAACCCGGGAGGCGGAGCTTGCAGTGAGCCGAGATTGTGCCACTGCACTCCAGCCTGGACGACACAGCGAGACTCTGTCTCAAAAAAAAAAAAAAAAAAAAGACAAAGGATCAGCAATAGGAACAATTTAAACAAAGGAATAGAGTTTGAATTAATGTACTAAGAATGAGAGTGCAAGGCTGGGCACAGTGGCTCATGTCTGTAATCTCAGTGCTTCAGGAGGCTGAGGTGAGAGGATTGCTTGAAACCAGGAGTTTGAGACTAGCCTGGGCAATATAGCAAGACCCCATCTCTACAAAAAATAATAAAAATAAACCAGGTTTGGTGGTATGCACCTGTAATCCTAGCGACTTGGAAGGCTGAGGCAGGAGGATTGCTTGCGCCCAGGAGTTCAAGGCTGCAGTAAGCTATGATCACACCACTGCACTCCAGCCTGGGCAACAGGGTAAGACCCTGTCTTTACTGGAAAAAATGAAACAAAACAATCAGACAGGAGATATTTTCCTGAGTGCTAACTTCGGGTTATATGATTAGAAGGACTACAGGGATATTTACACATAGCCTGCATAAGTATGGACCATTCCTAGGAATAAGACAAGGAAGTACTAAGTTGTGGAGTTCTGACAAGTTAACACAAGTTCTGTAGTATCAAAAACAGCTTTGCTTTTGTGTATGTTGTGCTCCATGTAGAACTGCCTATATCAGAGAGCAGAGAATGGACTTGAGGGGGTTTTTAGGCTTATAATTCATAGGGTTTGGAATTAAGGAATAAGAAAGTTAAGAGTTGAAGATGATCCTGTGGTTTCAAGCTTGGGAAACGGAATACATGTGATACCATGAAACTAGATGAAACACAGAAAGAAGTAGGCTTGAGACGGGGATGGGAGCATTTGGAAACGGAATACATGAGATACCATGAAACTAGATGAAACACAGAAAGAAGTAGGCTTGAGACGGGGATGGGAGCATTTGGAAACGGAATACATGTGATACCATGAAACTAGATGAAACACAGAAAGAAGTAGGCTTGAGACGGGGATGGGAGCATTTGGAAATGGAATACATGTGATACCATGAAACTAGATGAAAAACAGAAAGAAGTAGGCTTGAGACGGGGATGGGAGCATTTGGAAACGGAATACATGTGATACCATGAAACTAGATGAAACACAGAAAGAAGTAGGCTTGAGACGGGGATGGGAGCATTTGGAAACGGAATACATGTGATACCATGAAACTAGATGAAAAACAGAAAAGTAGGTTTGAGACGGGGATGGGAGCATTTGTTGGGAGAAACAACAGCGTGGTTTCAGTAATGGTAAATCTGACATGCTCAAACACATTCAACTGAGGATGTCCTTATGGCATAGGTCTGGCCACTGGAACCAGGCAAAAGGGTGAAGGGGTTAGATAGGTAGAAGAACCAAGAAAGACAGGTGCTGCAGAAATCAAGGGAAATGAATTACAAGGAGGGGCTGATCAGTGATGCCAAACATGCAGGAAGATACTAAGTATAATAAGGACTGAACTGAAGAGATATAACTGGTCTCAGAAGTTAAGAGGTAGGCCAGGCGTGGTGGCTCATGCCTGTAATCCCAGCACTTTGGGAGGCTGAGGCGGGTGGACCACCAGAGATTGGGAGTTCTAGATCAGCCTGGCTAACACAGTGACACCCCGTCTCTACTAAATATACAAAATTAGCTGGGTGTGGTGGCACATGCCTGTAATCACAGCTACTTGGAAGGCTGAGGCAGGAGAATCGCTTGAACCTGGGAGGCAGCGGTTGCAGGGAACCGGGATCACGCCACTGCACTCCAGCCTGGGCGACAGAGTGAGACTTAGTCTCCAAAAAAAAAAAAAAAAGAAAGAAAAGTTAAGAGGTCAATGGTGACCCCAGAACCCCAGAAAGGGCATGTTTAGTAAAATGGTGGGGATGAAGTCAGACTGCAGACAGGTAAAGAAAGGTAAGCAGGTTAGGAACAAAAACAATGAGGACAGAGTTTGCCATTTTTTGTTTTTATTTTTTCAGATTTTAAAAATAACCTTTTTTTTTTAAAGTATGTGCATTATAGGAAACTAAAACACACAAGAAGCAAAGAACAAAGTCATCCACAATCAGAAGCACTTTACAGTTTGTAAACTGTAAAGTTTACAGGACGTTCTACGTCCTGCGTGTGTGTAGACACAACATCCAATTTTATGGGCTTGAGATCGTACAGTATGTATCATGCTGTTTCACACATCATAGATATTTACCAATTCAAAATCCCAAAGCTATATGAGTATTTTGATAACCAAGAATACACTACACCAACTCAATCTGTTAGAAAAAAATATAATCCTGCCTTTCTTGGGACAAAAATTTCATAGAAGCCAAAAATGATAACATGTCTCTAGATAAAAGCACCGGCAGAGTTCTGATTAAAATACTGAGTGTGCAGTTTTTTTTAGATATGTAAACTCATGTTTTCCATATTCATGAAGGGGCAAACAAAAGAAAAGGGTCTTACTACATTGAGTCAGATAGTATATCAGTGGATAAAAGAACACTTTTTTTTTTTTTTTGAGACAGGGTCTCACTCTGTCACCCAGGCAGGAGCGATTACAGGCGTGAGCCACTGCACCCGGCCTAAGAACACTTCTTAGCCACCAGAAGCAAGCTAAAACACCAAAATGGATTAAAAGGAGCACGTGAAATACTCATCAGCTCTTCAACAGCACGCCTGGAAAAGCGAGGTACTCACCTACGTAGAGGCGGGGGTTTCTGAGGAAGACAGTCTTTTCAAGGCTCCCTTTAGTTCTATGACCCGCTGTTGTTCAAGTACAAAATGTTAACTTTTAAGTCACTCAGAAAAATACAATACCCGTTAGGTACAGCTTTCTTAGACACTCACTTTTTGGTTAGCTCTTTGATTTTGTTCTGATTTCTCTGGTGCTGAACTTGTATTTCCTCAAGGTGAATCCGTCTGTCCTCGATGAGCCCTTCAATTTGTTCTCGAGAAAGTTTGGTCTGCTCTCCCAGCTGAGCCTGCAGTGCTTCCACCTAGACAGGCCAAAAAGGGGTGAGGAATCCAGCCCTACTTCCACTTACTTCATACCTCTAGGAAAAGTGAGCCTTTCTCCAGAAAAATTAAAAAACAAACACAAACAAAAACATCTCAATCCTAATCCTCTTGTTCATTTCAAGACAAGGTCTTGCTCTGTCCCCCAGGCTGGAGTGCAGTGGGCGTGATCATAGCTCACTGCAGCCTCAACCCCCTGGGCTCAAGCAGTCCTCCCTGCCTCAGCCTCCAGGACTACAGGTGTGTACCACCACACCCAGCTAATTTCATTTTTAATTTTTGTAGAGATGGGGTCTCACTATGTTGTCCAGGCTGGTCTCGAACTTTTGGGCTCCAGCAATCAACTCGCCTTGGCCTCCCAAAATGCTGGGATTACAGGCATTACTATGCCCAGCCCAGTTCCTCTTAATGTCTTATAAATGGGGTTAGGCTATACAAGAGTAGATTCTTTGTCCAAACGAAACCCAGCATCTACAACACACAAACAAAGCTACAAAATCCAGTTTTCTCACCCTGTGATTTTTGCCTTTTCACTATCTCCCTTGACTGTCTCCCTTTAAGACACCCTTCCTGCACAGAAGCAAAATGACTCTTTTCTTAGTTTTTGGTTTCAAAAAGCAGAGCAAAATGAATATAATGTAATTTCCTTCTCTGTGTCTGGTTGTCATGACTCCACATGGAGATACTGGCCAAAGGTAGAAACTGTCATTTAAATCAACAGAGATTTAACACAGTAAGGACAGAAACTTTAGTGCAACTAGATGAAAAATCATGGTTCCAAATGACACATAACCAGGAGGTAAGAGAACAGTTCATTACTTTCCTAGACTTTGGAACCTAAGCACTAAATAAATGAATATACCATCAAATGTTGATCTATCAGCATAGACAAGCTTCCCTCTGCAATCTCTGCATATCCCTAGGCCAGTGAATTCTTACCTTGTAATGGTTTTGGTGGATGGGGCTTAGTATATTGAATTGAAGGTTCAGAGTAGCACCTTAAGAATGTTCAAATAGAAAAGGATGGTTTCAAAATATAAGCTCTTAGAAATTAGGAACAATCTCAATTTTCTTAACCACATGATGCTTAGATGTAACCTGTGTGCAAGGAGATACTTATCACATGACACTGAGGGTATGTGACATAGAGCTGCACCTGTGGATAAAAGCCATCTTGGTCTGCCAAAATACATTCTTTACCTGTAGGATGAGTGTCTGTATGTCTCTTTGGTAATGCTCAGAACTTTCTTTTCTCTCTCTCGATGGTCTTCTTTTGCTTATTTTAGGATCTAAAATAGAAAACAAAATCCATCAAGAAGATTTTACTCAGCTTTTCTGTGTGCTATTGAAATATCAGTATTTCCCACGCAGAGGAGTTCAGATTCATTTACCTGTAAGGGTAATGAAGGGGTTCTCACTAATGAAGGGATTCGGAAGACAAAGGGAAACATCATAATCATAGTGCTTAACTTTTCAAATAGGAATCTCTATAAGGGAACTCTGCAGGATGTCACCTAAATAATCATATTCATCTTCTGGCAGAATCAACCACTAAATTTTCCTTAGAATCAACCACTAAAATAGTTGTGTCTATTTTCTTAGTAAATCCTATTCGATCAGAATAAGGCCAGGTGTTGTGGCTCATGCCTGTAATCTCAGTGCTTTGGGAGGCCAAAGCAGGACAATCACTTGAAGCCAGGAGTTCAAAACCAGCCTGAGTGACATAGTGAGAACCCCTTCCTACACAAAGTAAAATACAATACAATAAATTAGCCAGGTGTGGTGGCATATGCCTGTCGTCCTAGCTACTCAGGAGGTTGAGGTAGGAGAATCGCTTGAATCTGGGAGGCAGAGGCAGCAATGAGCCAAGATCGCGCCATTGCACTCCAGCCTGGGCAACAGGAGCAAAACTCTATCTCAAAAGAAAAAAAAAAAAAAAAAAGAACTGAGCAAAATTTAATTCCTTGGATGATTCAAGAAGCTCATTAAGACATTAGACCACCAAAGGCATCATTATGAACATCAATTATCACTGTACAGTAGGAAAACATTTCCAATTGTGTGTTCTGTTTTTTTTTTTTTTTTTTTGGAGATAGTCTTGCTCTGTCACGCAATGGCACGATCTCAGCTCACTGCAACCTCCGCCTCCCAGGTTCAAGAAATCCTCCTGCCTCAGCCTCCCAAATAGCTAGGATTACAGGCGCCTGCCACCACACCCGGCTAGTTTTTTGTATTTTATGTAGAGATGGGGTTTTGCCATGTTGGCCAGGCTGGTCTCGAACTCCTGACCTCAGGTGATCCACCAACCTCAGCCTCCCAAAGTGCTGGGATTACAGGCGTGAGCCACCGCGCCCAGCCTGCACTGTGATTTTCAATTCTGCATTGATGAGAATTTCTAATAGGTTATATGGTTGTTACCTGCTTTGAAAGCTGAAGATTCACTCTGCTCACATTCACCTACAGCCTGGATAGTCTTTTGGAGAATGGTGACCTGAAGAAGCAAAAACTGGTATTGAAGTAGCCTTCCTATAAACGTAATATTTTACTTTTCAGCCTTAGTTCTGCAGATTGAACACTAGAAGTTAAATTAGTCAAAACTGATATGATCATATAAGGATGTCATGCACATGACAGACCACACAGGCAAAGTAGCAAACTGGATAAAACCCTGTGTTGACAATATAAACTTAAAAAGGTAGGCCAGGTGTGGTGGCATGTGCCTGTGGTCCCCGCTACTCAGGAGGCTAAGGTGGGAGGATTGCTTAAGCTTAGGAGCTTAAGGCTGCAGTGAGTTATGATCACTCCACTGCACTCCAACCTGGGCAACAAAATGAGACTTTGTTTCTAAAAAAATAAAAATAAGGCCAGGTGCGGTGGCTCATGCCTATAATCTCAGCACTTTGGGAGGCCAAGGTGGGCGGATCACCTGAGGTCGGGAGTTCAAGACCAGCCTAACCAACATGGAGAAACCCCATCTCTATAAAAAATACAAAATTAGCCAGGCGTGGTGGCACATGCCTGTAATCCCAGCTACTCAGGAGGCTGAGGCAGGAGAATCACTTGAACCTGGGAGGCGGAGGTTGTGGTGAGCCGAGATTGCACCATTACACTCCAGCCTGGTGTACAAGAGCGAAACTCCATCTTGAAAAATAAATAAATAAATATAAATAAATAAACAAAATTGCAGGGCTATTTAGTAATATATGATTAAAAACAAAAACAAAAACAGCTTGGGGCACAGTGGTGCACCCCTGTAGTTCCAGCTACTTGGAAGGCTGGCTACAGTGGAAGGATGGTGCTTAAGCCCAGAAGTGTGAGTCCAGCCTAGGCAACATACCAAGACCTCAGCTCTAAAATTTTTTTAAAATTTTTATTGTTTTTTTAAAAGCAGCTCTTTGGTGGGTGTGGTGGCTCATGCCTGTAATCCCAGCACTTTGACAGGCCAAGGTGGGCGGACTGCTTGAGCTCAGGAGTTCGAGACCAGCCTGGGCAACATGGTGAAACCCCATCTCTGCAAAAAATACAAAAATTAGCTGGGCGTGGTGGTGTACACCTGTAGTCCCAGCTGCTTGGGAGGCTGAGGTGGGAGGAGTGCTTGAGCCCCAGAGCGGAGGTTGCAGTGAGCCGAGATTGCGCATTGCACTCCAACCTATGTAACAGAATGAGACTTTGTCTCAAAAAAAAAAAAAAAGTAGCTCTTGGCCAAGGACCTTTAGAAAACAGAAGTATACGTATACAGATATGTATAAAAATGCTCAGGAACTGTTTATAGAAGTGAAAAAATAGAAATAGTATACACAGACACATAACTATTTCTATAGGAATGAAGAAAGAGATGGAAGTATATACACCAAACTATTACTAATGGATTATCTCTGGGGTATAGGATTATGAGAACCTGCCACTTTTATATGATAGATTACTATACTCTGTGTTTGTTTTTAATAAAGACCATGGATTACATTTGTAATCAGTATAAACAAAGATTTAAAAAGAAACTTAAGCATCAAAACTTGCTCCCACACATAGTCTGCTCCTGCTTTCCTCTCTGTCTCAGCTAAAACAGCCACCCCTCTGTGCTTCAGGTTTCTAAACATTGAAATGGGGTAAATAATGCTACTTCCCAAGGTTTTCGAAGAAAAATGCTTTAAAAACTCAGGCAAACAAGGCACTGTGATGGCTAATTCTCCATCTGCCTTCTCCAGCGGATACTAAAGTTCTTCTGATGATGGGCCTTAGCCTGTGACTTGTAAAGCCACACTCACCATGCTACACCAAAGATTACTTACTTTGTGAGGAGGCTCCTTACAAAAATAGGTCACTTCTCCAGCATCTGTTCCCACAAGAGCCAAGAGATTCTGAATCTTTTTCTTGTCTTCTAGCTCCCTGCAATTCTCATGGAAAGCAAGCACATATTATTAAATGTCCCAAGTAAGTAACCTTTTTCTGTTTAAAGGATCTCCCTTCTATTTTTTTTTTAAAACAATTGTAACCCCAAATTAAAACAGTAACCTCAAATTAAAATTGAATAGTTTGTATCTAGACTTCAGCTCTACTTCGTAAAACATCAGGTATTTCCATTCAGAGAAAAGGGGCCAGGGCACTTCTTAGCTAATTCTTTTTTTTTTTTTTTTTTTTTTTTTTGAGACAGAGTCTCGCTCTGTTGTCCAGGCTGGAGTGCAATGGTGCGGTCTTGGCTCACTGCAACCTCCGCCTGCCGGGTTCACGCCATTCTCCTGCCTCAGCCTCCCGAGCACCTGGGACTACAGGCGCCCGCCACTATGCCCGGCTAATTTTTGTATTTTTAGTAGAGACAGGGTTTCACTGTGTTAGCCAGGAAGGTCCTGATCTCCTGACCTCGTGATCTGCCTGCCTCGGCCTCCCAAAGTGCTGGGATTACAGGCGGGAGCCACTGCGCCCGGCCACTTCTTAGCTAATTCTAAAAGGGAATGGTAGTGGCTGCTGAGGGTTACTGCTCAGATCTTGCTCTTCGGGGCTGATGGGCTCATTCTGCCAACTGCCAGGAATGCTGCCTGCTGATAGCTTGTAGTTGAATCCCCAGACAAGGGAACTGCCTCACCCAAGTTTCTGCCTCTCATTCCTCAGGGACAGCCCATATCCAGTGCCTGGTCAATGAGGAAACACAAAAATCCAATCCCCTTGCTCAGTTCAGGATATCTCTGAAGAGCCATCCCAGCTTCAGAGATCCCTATCGTGTTGGACGAGGCCTGCTGCAACTGAATCCCAGTTTAAGTTCCCTCACTTCCCAATAAAATTCCTGCAAGCAAATCTCCACTGTACAGTCTGTTTCCCAGAGAACTCAACCTAAGATAGCTTAGGTCTGGACTGGGCCAAGGAAGCAAACGCTAAAAAGGGATTTCGGGCCGGGTGTGGTGTTTCATGCCTGTAATCCCGGCACTTTGGGCTGAGGCAGGCGGATCACCTGAGGTCAGGAGTTCGAGACCAGCCTGGCCAACATGGTGAAACCTTGGTCTCTACTAAAAATGCAAAATTTATCTGGGCGTGGTGGCGTGCACCTGTAATCCCAGCTACTCAGGAGGCTGAAGCACAAGAATCACTTGAACCCGGGAGGTGGAGTTTGCAGTGAGCCAAGATTGCACCACCGCACTCTGGCCTGGGCGACAGAGCAAGACTCTGTCTCAAAAAAAAAAAAAAAAATTAATTAATTAAAAAAAACAACATAAAAAGGGATTTCAGAGCGACTTGATATGGAGATGGTTTACAGAACGTGGCGTTTCTAGCAGCAAGGTAGATGGGTAGTCAACAGAGTATAGCTCAAACAATAAAAGATAAGTCAAAGATGGAAAAGAGGCTGAGGGCTGCACCCCAAACAAAATCACAATCTCTGACTCGTTTTTCAGGCCCGAGTCCGTTTTTTTTTTTCTTTCCGAGGCAGAGTCTCGCTCTGTCGCCCAGGCTGGAGTGCAATGGCATGATCTCAGCTCACCGCAACCTCCGCCTCCTGGGTTCAAGCAATTCTCCTGCTTCAGCCTCCCGAGTAGCTGGGACTACAGGCGCATGCCACAATGCCCAGCTAATTTTTGTATTTTTAGTAGAGATGGGGTTTCACCATGTTGGCCAGGCTGGTCTTGAACTCCTGACCTCGTGATCTGCCCGCCTCAGCCACCCCAAAGTGCTGGGATTACCAGCCCCAAGTCAGTTTTAAGTCCTAGAGACAATTACCTAAAGAAGAGGCTGGAACTCCTAGAAGGTAAGACCCTGCGACACCACAGAGTAGATATTCATGGTAATGATTCCCCACATCCTCCAAAGGGTCTATAGCCATTTATTCAAGTAACTGTATACTGGGGAAGAGGAAAGACCTGGGCATTTTAAGGACTGCTGGATACAGGGTCTAAGCTGACACCGACACCAGATAACGTGAAGCATCATCATGGCACTGGGGCACGTGGGGACCATGGAATAAATGGAATTGTGGCCCACGTCCAACTCACAGCAGGTCTACTGGATCCACCAAATCAATGGGCATTTCTTCAGTTCCCAAATGCTTAAAATGGACATACTAGGTGGGGGACAGTACCTCCAAATTAGCTTCTTGGCTTCTGGGGCAAGCTAAGTGAAAGCCTCAGAAACTGCCCCTCCCTACCCAGTCAAGACGATCAATAAAGACCTAAAGAATGCAGAGGTGGAGGTCCTTATGAAAGCCTCATTTCATTCCTCAGTATGACCCATACAAAACCAGATGGATTCTGGAAGATAAGAGTAGACTACTACCCAGTAGGTCCCAATTTCAGTCATTGTGCCAGATGTAGCACCTTTGCTAGAAGAGAATTACTTAGTCTCAGGCACATGGTAAGTGGCCACTAATTAGGCAAATGGATTCTTTCCTACCCCTCAAAAGACCAGAGGCAGTTCACATCATGTGACATGGACAGCAGTGTGCTTTTATAGTCTTTCCCAGGGCCATGTTAACGCTTTTACTTTCTGTCAATACAGTATAAAAGAATCTGGGCTGGGCGCGGTAGCTCACACCTGTAATCCCAGCACTTTGGGAGGCCGAGGCGGGTGGACCACGAGGTCGGGAGTTCGAGACCAGCCTGTCCAAAATGGTGAAACCCCATCTCTACTAAAAAGTACAAAAATTAGCTGGGCGTGATAGCGTGCGCTGTAGTCCCAGCTACTCGGGAGGCTGAGGCAGGAGAATCACTTCAATCTGGGAGGCGGAGGTTGCAGTGAGCTGCGATCACGCCACTGCACTCCAGCCTGGGTGACAGACTGAGACGCCATCTCAAAAACAAACAAACAAACAAACAAAAACAAAAAAAAGAATCTGGATCTGGCTACTCCACAGATGGCCAGTAGCTCACTACTGATGATATCGCGTTAAATCAGACGGCATGAACAAGAAACAGCAAGTGCACGTGGTAAGATACGTGTGCTCGGGAGGGTTGCAGATGAACCTTACGAAGCACATGAGTGAAGTTTTTAAGGCTGTGATCCAGGTATCCCAGGATATTCCCTCCGATGTAAAGATCAAATTATTTCACCTGGTACATGCTACCACCAAGAAGGAAGCACAATGCCCGAAAGGAGACTTCAGGTTCTGGAGACAACATACTCCGCATTTTGGAATACTGCTCTGACCTATGTATCAACTGACATGGAAGGCGAGCTTTCGGTGTGGCCCAGAGTTGAAAGGATGCTCTGCTGCTTGGGACATCATTTGGCGGATCCTATGGTGTCTGTGGTGGCACAAGGTACCAGGTGGAGTTTACGGCAAGCACCACGACAAGAATCCTAACAGACCCTCTGAGAATCTGGAGCGAGACCATGCTGTCTACAGCTGAGAATGACAACATTTGAAAACCAGCTTCTGCCATGCTAGTAGATCCTGCTAAAAACGGAGCACTTGACCGTGGGACACCAAAAACCCACGTGGCGAGGCTGGGTGCGGTGGCTCACGCTTGACATCCCAGCACTTTGGGAGGCTGAGGAGGGCAGATTGCTTGAGCTCAGGACTTCGAGATCAGCCTGGGCAATATGGAAAAACCCTGTCTCTACAAAAAATACAAAAATTAGTCAGGTGTGTTGGCTCGTGCCTGTAGTCCCAGCTACTTGGAAGGATGAGGCAGGAGGATCACCTGAGCCTGGGAGGTGGAGGTTGCAGTGAGCCGAGATCGTGCCACTACATTCCAGCCTGGGTGACAGAGGGAGACCCTGTCTCAAAATAAAAATTAAAAAAAAAAAAAAAAAGAAAGAAACCATGTGGCTAAGTCTTCTCAACAAATGATGTTGAGAAAACTGGACATCCACATGCAAAATAATGAAGTTGGAACCTTACCTAATGCTGTATACAAAAATTAACTAAAAATGGATCAAAGACCTAGACGTAAGAGCTAAAATAATAAAACTTTCAGAAGAAAACATAGGAGAAAAGTTTCCTGACAATGAATCTGGCAATGATTTCTTGAATGTGATACCAAAAGCAGAAGCAACAAAATAAAAAAATACATAAATTGAACTTCATAAAAATTAAAAACTCCTGGCTCGGCATAGTGGTTCATTCCTGTAATCCTAGCACTTTGGGAGGCTGAAGCAGGAGGATCACTTGAGGTCAGAAGTTCAAGACCAGCCTAAGGAATATAGTGAGATCTGCCCTGTTTCTACAAAAAAATGAAAAAAAGAAAATAAATTAGCCAGGCATAGTGGTGCATGCCTATAATCCCAGCTACTCCAGAGGCTAAGGCAGGAGGATCACCCTGGCCGACAGAGTGATACCCTGCCCCTAAAAAAAAAAAAAAGAGGAGAAAATAAAAAGGCAATCTATGGAACAGGAGAAAATATTTGCATGCATCTGTATATCTAACAAAGGTTTAATATCCAGAATATATAATGAACTTCTATAGCCAGGCACGGTGGCTCACATCTATAATCCCAGCACTTTGGGAGGGTGAGGTGAGGATCACTTGAGCTCAGGAGTTTGAGACCAGCCTGGGCAACATCGCGAAACTCTGACTCTACCAAAAATACAAAAATTAGCCAGGTGTAGTGGCACATGCCTGTAGTCCCAGCTACTCAGGAGGCTGACATGGGAGGACAGCTTGAGCCCAGCAGACAAAGGTTGCAGTGAGCCGTGATCACGCCACTGCCTGGGCGACAGAGCAAGACCCTGTCTCAACAACAAAAAAGAACTTCAACTCAACAACAAAAACAACCCAATTATTAAAATGGGCAAAATATTTGAATAGACATTTCTCCAAAGAAGATATATAAATGGCACAAGAAAGATGCTCAACATTTAAAAATGCAAATCAAAACCACAATGAGACTCCCTCACACCCATTAAGACGGTTACTATCAAATAAACAGAAAATAAGGCTGGGCACAGTGGCTCACGCCTGTAATCCTAACACTTCGGGAAGCCAAGGTGGGCAAATCGCTTGAGCCCAGGAGTGTGAGACCAGCCTGGGCAAAACGGGGAAACCCCATCTCTTCAAAAGATACAAAAATTAGCCAAGCACAGTGGTGCGCACCCATGGTCCCAACTAACTGGGAGGCTGAGGTTGGGGGGATCATCTGAGCCTGGGAGGTTGAGGCTGCAGTGAGCTGTGATCATGCCGCTGCACTCCAGCCTGGGTGACTGAGCAAGACCCTGTCTCAAAAAAAAAAAAAAAAAAACAAAACAAAAAAAAACACAAAAAACACAAAAAACACCCAGAAAATAACAAGTGTTGGCCAGGCATGGTGGCTCATGCCTGTAATCCCAGCACTTTGGGAGGCTGAGGCAGGAGGATTGCTTGAGCTCAGGAGTTTGAGACCAGCCTGGGAAACATGGTGAAACCTTGTCTCCACAAAAAAAAAAAATATATATATATATAAAAATTAGCTGGGCATGGCAGCACATGCATGTAGTCACAGCTACTTGGAGGCTGAAGTGCAAGGATCACCTGAGCCTAGGAGGTAGGTAAAGGCTGCAGTGAGGCAAGATCATGCCACTGCACTCCAGCCTGGGTGACAGAGTGAGACCCTGTCTCAAAAAAAAAAAAAAAAAAAAAAAAGGCTTAAAAGAAAAAAAAAAGAAAATAACAGGTATTGTCAAGGATGTGGAGAAACTGAAACCCTTGTGCACTGCTGGTGGGAATATAAAATGGTATAAACACTATGGAAAATAGTATGGCAGTTACTCAAAAAAATAAAAACAGAATTACAATGTGATCTACTGCTGGGTATATACACAAAAGAATTAAAAGTAAGGTCTCAGCCGGGCACAGTAGCACACACCTGTAATCCCAGCACTCTGGGAGGCTGAGGCAGACAGATCACTTGAGCTTGGAAGTTGGAGACCAGCCTGGGCCACATGGCAGAACCCTGTCTCTACAGAAATTACAAAAAAAATTAGCCAGACATGTTGGCACACACCTGTAGTCCCAGTTACTCAAGAGGCTGAGGTGGGTGGACAGCTTCAGTTTGGAAGGCGGAGGTTACAGTGAGCTGAGCTCCACTGGTGGATGAATGGATAAACACAATGTGGTACACACATATAATGGAATATTGTTCAGTCTTAAAAAGGAAGAAAATTCTGACACATGCTACAACATGGATGAACCTTGAAGACATTACGCTGAGTGAAATAAGCATAACAAATACTGTATGATTCCACTTACGTGAGGCACCTAAAATCGTCAAATTCATGGAGACGAAAAGTAGCATAGTGTGTTCCAGGAACTGGGGTAACGGGGATGTGGGAGTTACTGTTGAATGAGTATACAATTTCAGTTTAGGAATATGAAAATGTTCTGGAGTTCAATGATGTTGACAGTTGTGCAACAACGTGAATATACTTAATGCCACTGAACCGTACACTTCAGATGGCTAAAATGGTGAACTTTTTGCTATGTGTGTTTTACCCTCTCACTCCCAGCACACACACACAGAAGAGCACTGTAATGGAGCATGGAGTGTGCTGCTATGTGTGTATTTACCCTCTCACTCCCAGCACACACACACAGAAGAGCACTGTAATGGAGCATGGAGTGTGCTGCTATGTGTATTTTACCCTCTCACTCCCAGCACACACACACAGAAGAGCACTGTAATGGAGCATGGAGGGTGCTGCTATGTGTGTTTACCCTCTCACTCCCAGCACACACACACAGAAGAGCACTGTAATGGAACATGGAGGGTGCTGCTATGTGTATTTTACCCTCTCACTCCCAGCACACACACACAGAAGTGCACTGTAATGGAACATGGAGTGTGCTGCTATGTGTGTATTTACCCTCTCACTCCCAGCACACACACACAGAAGCGCACTGTAATGGAACATGGAGTGTGCTGCTATGTGTGTATTTACCCTCTCACTCCCAGCACACACACACAGAAGAGCACTGTAATGGAGCATGGAGTGTGCTGCTATGTGTATTTTACCCTCTCACTCCCAGCACACACACACAGAAGAGCACTGTAATGGAGCATGGAGGGTGCTGCTATGTGTGTTTACCCTCTCACTCCCAGCACACACACACAGAAGTGCACTGTAATGGAGCATGGAGTGTGCTGCTATGTGTATTTTACCCTCTCACTCCCAGCACACACACACAGAAGTGCACTGTAATGGAGCATGGAGGGTGCTGCTATGTGTGTTTTACCCTCTCACTCCCAGCACACACACACAGAAGAGCACTGTAATGGAACATGGAGGGTGCTGCTATGTGTGTTTACCCTCTCACTCCCAGCACACACACACAGAAGAGCACTGTAATGGAACATGGAGGGTGCTGCTATGTGTATTTTACCCTCTCACTCCCAGCACACACACACAGAAGTGCACTGTAATGGAACATGGAGTGTGCTGCTATGTGTGTATTTACCCTCTCACTCCCAGCACACACACACAGAAGCGCACTGTAATGGAACATGGAGTGTGCTGCTATGTGTGTATTTACCCTCTCACTCCCAGCACACACACACAGAAGAGCACTGTAATGGAGCATGGAGTGTGCTGCTATGTGTATTTTACCCTCTCACTCCCAGCACACACACACAGAAGAGCACTGTAATGGAGCATGGAGGGTGCTGCTATGTGTGTTTACCCTCTCACTCCCAGCACACACACACAGAAGTGCACTGTAATGGAGCATGGAGTGTGCTGCTATGTGTATTTTACCCTCTCACTCCCAGCACACACACACAGAAGTGCACTGTAATGGAGCATGGAGGGTGCTGCTATGTGTGTTTTACCCTCTCACTCCCAGCACACACACACAGAAGAGCACTGTAATGGAACATGGAGGGTGCTGCTATGTGTGTTTACCCTCTCACTCCCAGCACACACACACAGAAGTGCACTGTAATGGAGCATGGAGGGTGCTGCTATGTGTGTTTACCCTCTCACTCCCAGCACACACACACAGAAGTGCACTGTAATGGAGCATGGAGGGTGCTGCTATGTGTGTTTACCCTCTCACTCCCAGCACACACACACAGAAGTGCACTGTAATGGAACATGGAGTGTGCTGCTATGTGTATTTTACCCTCTCACTCCCAGCACACACACACAGAAGTGCACTGTAATGGAACATGGAGTGTGCTGCTATGTGTATTTTACCCTCTCACTCCCAGCACACACACACAGAAGAGCACTGTAATGGAGCATGGAGGGTGCTGCTATGTGTATTTTACCCTCTCACTCCCAGCACACACACACAGAAGTGCACTGTAATGGAGCATGGAGTGTGCTGCTATGTGTATTTTACCCTCTCACTCCCAGCACACACACACAGAAGTGCACTGTAATGGAGCATGGAGGGTGCTGCTATGTGTGTTTTACCCTCTCACTCCCAGCACACACACACAGAAGAGCACTGTAATGGAACATGGAGGGTGCTGCTATGTGTGTATTTACCCTCTCACTCCCAGCACACACACACAGAAGTGCACTGTAATGGAACATGGAGGGTGCTGCTATGTGTGTATTTACCCTCTCACTCCCAGCACACACACACAGAAGTGCACTGTAATGGAACATGGAGGGTGCTGCTATGTGTGTTTACCCTCTCACTCCCAGCACACACACACAGAAGTGCACTGTAATGGAGCATGGAGGGTGCTGCTATGTGTGTTTACCCTCTCACTCCCAGCACACACACACAGAAGTGCACTGTAATGGAACATGGAGTGTGCTGCTATGTGTATTTTACCCTCTCACTCCCAGCACACACACACAGAAGTGCACTGTAATGGAACATGGAGTGTGCTGCTATGTGTATTTTACCCTCTCACTCCCAGCACACACACACAGAAGTGCACTGTAATGGAACATGGAGTGTGCTGCTATGTGTATTTTACCCTCTCACTCCCAGCACACACACACAGAAGTGCACTGTAATGGAACATGGAGTGTGCTGCTATGTGTATTTTACCCTCTCACTCCCAGCACACACACACAGAAGTGCACTGTAATGGAACATGGAGTGTGCTGCTATGTGTATTTTACCCTCTCACTCCCAGCACACACACACAGAAGAGCACTGTAATGGAGCATGGAGGGTGCTGCTATGTGTGTTTTACCCTCTCACTCCCAGCACACACACACAGAAGAGCACTGTAATGGAGCATGGAGGGTGCTGCTATGTGTGTTTACCCTCTCACTCCCAGCACACACACACAGAAGTGCACTGTAATGGAACATGGAGTGTGCTGCTATGTGTATTTTACCCTCTCACTCCCAGCACACACACACAGAAGAGCACTGTAATGGAACATGTAGTGTACTGCTATGACTCCTTCTTGTGACCATATCTCCCAGGAGCTCAGTTTTTCTCTGAAAAATGACACTTGGCTGAAGGGGGCTTCTTCTCCCAAGTTTACATACCCTCCCTGGGGACTACCTGCATCCTATGACTGGTCAATGTGGGGACACAAAATTCTCAGTCCTTTGCTGCCGAAAGACCACCCTATCCTTAGTGCTCCCTATGGGGGTTGGTTAAGGCTTCTGTTACCACAGTATCCGTTCATATTCTACCTCTGCCCAAATCTGCTCATAGCTATTATTCCAGAGAGCTTCTCCAGTAACTACCGTGAAGGCAAATCTCCATCTCAGAGTCCACTTCCTAGAGAATACAACCTAAGAGAATTAATGTGGAGAAATGTATCTTTTTAAAAGTAATTTAAAGGGCTGGGCATGGTGGTTCACGCTTGTAATCCCAACACTTCGGGAGGCTGAGGTGGGCGGATCACTTGAGGCCAAGAGTTCGAGACCAGCGTGGCTGACAGGGCAAAACCCCATCTCCACTAAAAATACAAAAATGAGCTAGGCCTTGTAGTGCACACCTGTGTTCCCAGCTACTCGAGAGGCTGAGGCATGAGAATCGCTGGAACCAGGAGGTGGAGGCTGCAGTGAGCCAAGAGAGCGCCACTGTACTCCAGCCTGGGCAATAGAGTGATACTGCCTCTAAATCAATGAATGAATGAATGAATGAATGAATGAATGTAATTTAAAGTTAAACTCCAACATTTCCCTTCTCCTATTTGGTACCTGATTCTCAGTCGGTCATTTTCTGAGTAGAGGCGTAAAACATGTTCCCGTTCCTGGAAGAGGCAGACCTGCATATCACTTAGAGCTTTCTGCAATTCAGCAATCTCTTCCTCCCTCTGCTGCAAATCACATTCAAGTTTATGCTGCAAAAAAACCACAATAAGATAGTTGAAAGACACTGGGTTTCAATGGAGTATCTCTCACTGGATAGGGAGGAGTCTACTCATGTAGAAATATTCCAAAGTAAATAATTTTGCCAATACAGAATTCAAATGACAGCAATAGGCATGTATAGACTGGAGTTTGTTTGTTTTTTTATTTATTGAGACCAAGTCTTGCTCTGTTGCCCAGGCTGTAGTGCAGTGGCACGATCTCAGCTCACTGCAACCTCCACCTTCTAGGTGATTCTTGTGCCTCAGCCTCCCGAGTAGCTGAGATTACAGGTGCATGCCACCATGCCCGGCTAATTTTTGTATTTTTAGTAGAGATGGGGTTTCGCCATGTTGGGCAGGCTAGTCTCAAACTCCTGACCTCAAGTGATCCACCCGCCTCAGTCTCCCAAAGTACTGGGATTATAGGCACGAGCCACCATGCCCAGCCTTGACTGGAGTTTAACAGCTACAGGATGAGTGTGAAGTTTGCATTTAACATCAAAGCTCTCACATCTTCCTTTTACAGACTATAGAATCCAGAATGCTGTACGACTCACCTATTCTATCCACACTTTTTTTTTTTGAGACAGAGTCTCACTCTGTCGCCCAGGCTGGAATGCGGTGGCATGATCTTAGCTCACTGCAACCTCCACCTCCCAGGTTCAAGTGATTCTTCTGTCTCAGCCTCCTGAGTAGCTGGGATTACAGGTGTGCACCACGCCCAGCTAATTTTAGTAGAGACGGGGTTTCACCATTTTGGCCAGGCTGGCTTGAACTCCTGAGCTCAGGCAATCCACCCACCTTGGCCTCCCAAAGTGCTGGGATTACAGGCGTGAGCCACCACACCTAGCCTATCCACACTTTTTTAGTAATGTTTCCTATATCATAAGCATTATTATGACATGCAGGAAAACAAAGATGAAAAGATACGATTCCTGTCTACAGAGCTACGGAATTTCATGGGGAGAGAGGCAAATGATTAAAATAAAATAATTACTTCATGAAAGCATGCATGGTGAAATGGTGTGGGGGAAAGCGTGGCAGGAATAAACATTCTGAGATCTGTTTGGGAAATCAAAGCGCTACCACCCAAGAGCTGACACTTGACAGATGAACAGAAGATGGGTAGAGAGAGAAGCAGACAGTTGGTACTCCAAGAAAAGAGAACTGTAAATAAGAACCATGAGAGAGCCTGATGTTGTCAGAAAGGAAGACAATCTCATCACATGCTACAACACAGACGAAACTTGAGGACATTATGCTAAGTGAAATAAGTCAGTTACAAAAAGAAAAACTACAGTATGATTCCACTCTATTCTAAATAAATCCTGCTCTATTTTTTTTTTTTTTTTGAGACAGAGCCTTGCTCTGTCGTCCAGGCTGGAATGCAGTGGTGTGATCTCAGCTCACTGCAACCTCCACCTCCTTGGCGATTCTTCTGCCTCAGCCTCCTAAGTAGCTGGGACTACAGGTATGTGCCACCACGCCTAGCTAATTTTTGTATTTTTAATAGAGACAGGTTTTGCCATGTTGGTCAGGCTGGTCTCGAACTCCTGACCCCAGGTGATCCGCCGGCCTCGAACTCCTGACCCCAGGTGATCCGCCGGCCTCGGCCTCCCAAAGTGCTGGGATTACAGGCACGAGCCACCATGCCTGACAAATCCTGCTCTATTTCTAATTCATAGAAATAGCAAGTAAAATAGTGGTTACAGGGAGTGTGGGGAGAAATGATCTGTTTAATGGGATGGAGTTTTGGTTTTGTAAAATGAAAACGTTCTAGAGATCAGTCACACAACAATGTGAATATACTTAACACGCCAGGCGTGGCAGATCACTTGAGGCCACGAGTTCAAGACCAGCCTGACCAACATGGCAAAACCCCATCTCTACCAAAAAAACAAAAATCAGCTGAGTGTGGTGGCGCACCCTATAATCCCAGCTACTTGGGAGGCTGAGGCAGGACAATTGCTTAAACCCAGGAAGCGGAGGTTGCAGGGAGCTGAGATGGCACCACTGCACTCTAGCCTGGGTGAAAGAGCCAGACTGCCTCCAAAAAAAAAAAAAAGAAATATATATATATATATATATATATATATATATATATATACACACACACACACACACACACACACACACACACCCCCACACACCCACAGACTCACACACACACACACACATAAACACTTAACACTACTCAACTGAACACTTAAAATTGGGCAAGGTCATTAAAAATAATTTCATAAAGGCTGGGCACAGTGACTCACGCCCGTAATCCCAACACTTTGGGAGGTTAAAGTGGGAGGATGGCTTGAGCCCAGGAGTTCAAGACCATCCTAGACAACAGAGCGAGATTCTGTCTTTACAAAAAATAAAAAATTGGGCAGGGTGCAGTGGCTCACACCTGTAATCTCAGCACCTTGGGAGGCCGAGCCAGATGGGTCATCTGTGGTCAGGCGTTCAAGACCACCCTGGCCAACATGGTGAAATCCAGTCCCTACTAAAAGTACAAAAATTAGCCGGGCATGGTGGTGGGCGCCTATAATCCCAGCTACTCAGGAGGCTGAGGCAGGAGAATTGCTTGAACCTGGGAGGCGGAGGTTGTAGTGAGCCGAGATTGTGCCACTGCACTCCAGCCTGGGTGACAAGAGCAAGACTTCATCTCAAAATAAAATAAAAAATAAAAAATTAGCTGGGCATGGTGATACATGCCTGTAGTCCCAGCTACTTGGGAGGCTGAGGCAGGCGGATTGCTTGAGTCCAGGACGTTGAGGCTGCAGTGAGCTATGATCGCACCACTGCACTCCAGCCTGGGCAACAGGGCAAGACCCTAACTCAAAAAACAAAAAACAAAAAACCCAGAGGTCTATAGATACATACATAATGTGATAAAAATATTTATTACATTTTTATTAACATATTATTATGTTAATAATATCAACATATTATTATGTTAATAATTATGTTAATATTAACATATTATGTTAATAATTATGTTAATAATATCAACATATTATTATGTTAATAATTATGTTAATATTAACATATTATTATGTTAATTATGTTAATAATATCAACATATTATGTTGATTATATTAACATAATATTATGTTGATTATATTAACATAATATTATGTTGATTATATTAACATAATATTATGTTGATTATATTAACATAATATTATGTTGATTATATTAACATAATATTATGTTAATAATTATGTTAATAAATATTAACAACTGATTCAGAGAAAGGGAGAGCATACAAGTCCACAGTGGAACTCAAAAGGTTGGAAACACTTTTTTTGTAGAATCTACAAAAACAATTAGGCTGGGCACGGTGGCTCACACTGTGTCCCAGTAAATGTATTCAGAGATGCTGCATCACTGCCATCTGGCAACCAGCTCCCATCCTGAAGCTATCCAGGAGCCCAAATGGAATGAATTACCCTGTAATTCATTGTATACATACATAATGTGATAAAAATGACAAGTAAACCTCCAAAAAACAAAAGCCTATTAAATTTGGACAAGTACAAATATTTCAGTACTGCTAGAGTGAAAAGTGTGAGGCCAACTGGGGATGTAAGAGGCCAGAGGCAGGTACTGGCAAGGAGGACACCGTCACAGTTTAGACGCAACTCAAGGGTCTGTGTGAGCATCGTGGCCAAAGTGAGGTGGGTGTGGGAATGGATTAAGTAATATTTAGGAAGCAGAATCAACAGGACTTGCCAAATGATTCGGTTTAGGGGGACTGGAAGAACCGTAGGCAATGATGCCATTTGCCAAGACAAAGAATAAAGAAAAAGTTAAGGCATGAGAAACGGAGGAAGGCGAAATGGTGGCAGTACATGTGCGGGTGGGGAAGGGAGGGTAGAGAAAGGAGCCTCAGGAGAAAAGTGAGTCAGGGTTAGTTATTTAACAGTCATCATCCCGTATGCAGAAGTGTAATACAAGGATAAAACAAGGTCATTTATAGTAGAATCTGGAAGAACTCTGAAATTTAAGAGTAAGGAAAGAGAGTTGTTAATGGACACTGAGATGAGCTGATCAGAGAGGTTAGATAGAAATTGTGAAAGAAAAATGACACAGAAATCAAGAAAGGAGGCCAGGCTCACGCCTGTAATCCCAGCACTTCAGGAGGCCAAGGCAAGCGGATCACAAGGTCAGGAGTTTGAGATGAGCTTGGCCAACATGGTGAAAACCCACCTCTACTAAAAATACAAAAATTAGTTAGGTGTGGTGGTGGGCACCTATAATCCCAGCTATTTGGGAGGCTGAGGTAGGAGAATCGTTTGAACCCGGGAGACAGGGGTTGCAGTGAGCCGAGATTGTGCCATTGCACTCCAGCCTGGCAGACAGGGTGAGACTCCGTCTCAAAAAAAAAAAAAAGGAAATCAAGAAAGGAAGAAAATTTTAGAAAAAGAGAGGTCAAAAGTGACAGACACTGCAAAGGGCAAAAAGAGAAAAGTTTGGTAAACAGGTATTTGGAGACCGCAGACGGCACGGTTTTAGTGGCATGGCAAGGACCGAGATGAAACTGCAGTCAAGACATTTCCCAGCTGGGCGCGGTGGCTCACGCCTGTAATCCCAGCACTTTGGAAGGCCGAGGCAGGCAGGTTGCCTGAACTCAGGTGTTTGAGACCAGCCTGGGCAACACAGTGAAACCCTGCCTCTACTAAAATACAAAAAATTAGCCAGGTGTGGTGGCGTGCACCTGTAATCCCAGCTACTCGGGAGGCTGAGGCAGGAGAATTGCTTGAACCCAGGAGGCAGAGCTTGCAGTGAGCTGAGGTTGCGTCACTGCACTCCAGCCTGGGCGACAGAGCGAGACTCCGTCTCAAAAAAAAAAAAAAAAAAATCCCATTCAGTGAATGGGAAAGTCAAAAGATTCTGGAAGTGTGACTGGGAAAAGAAAGAGCCATTTATATAAAAAGAGTAGCTAGAGAGGCCGGGCGCAGTGGCTCATGCCTGAAATCCCAGCACTTTAGGAGGCCGAGGCGGGTGGATCACGAGGTCAGGCGATCGAGACCATCCTGGCTAACACGGTGAAACCCTGTCTCTACTAAAAAAATACAAAAAAATTAGCTGGGCATGGTGGCAGGCACCAGTAGTCCCAGCTACTCGGGAGGCTGAGGCAGGAGAATGGCGTGAACCCGGGAGGCGGAGCTTGCAGTGAGCTGAGATCGCGCCACTGCACTCCAGCCTGGGCGACAGAGTAAGACGCTGTCTCAAAAAAACAAAAAAACAGGCCGGGCACGGTTGCTCACTCCTGTAATCCCAGCACTTTGGGAGGCCGAGGTGGGCAGATCACGAGGTCAGGAGATTGAGACCATCCTGGCTAACACGGTGAAACCCCGTCTCTACTAAAAGTACAAAAAATTAGCCAGGCATGGTTGCGGGCGCCTGCAGTCCCAGCTACTCGGGAGGCTGAGGCAGGAGAATGGCATGAACCCGGGAGGCGGAGCTTGTGGTGAGCTGAGATCGCGCCACTGCACTCCAGCCTGGGCGACAGAGCGAGACTCCGTCTCAAAAAAAAAAAGAAAAGCAACCAGAGAAAAAACAAAGGAAGGAAGAAGGAGATAGATACGGATGGAGTAACGGTGTGCAGATGGCAGAAAAGATGTTGAGAGAGGAGGGCTAAGAAGGGGTTGCAGGCTAGAGGTGAGGGTATGGCACAGATGTGGAAGGAGAGGAAAGCCAGTAAGGATAGGTGAGAAGACTGCTGTATAATGGTTGAGGGTACAGCTGAATTTGTTTACCATCGATTCATTCTGTACTGATTTGTGACCTTTCTACAACAGTGTTCTCAATCAGGAGTGACTCTGCACATCCATACACCCATTCCAGAAACATCTGGCAATGTCTGGAGAGATTCTTGATTGTCACAGCTGGGGGTGTTGTGTTACTGGCATCCAGCGGGTAGAGGCCAGGGATCCTGCTAAACATCCCATCACGCACAGGACAACCCCTCACAACAAAGAATCATCCAGGCCAAAATGTCAATAATGCCGAGGTTAAGAAATCCTGCTATAGGAGAACACGTGGCAGAGAACTGGATGATGCCACAGCTCAGTTTTTGCTATGCAGGTGGAGCAGAAGAATAATTGAGCAAGGGGTCATTTGCAGGCACTGCAGTTACTACTCAAGTAAAGCATCATGGGGTTTAGGTTTGAAGGACTTGATATCAGAGCTATATACAGCACTCAGAAAACTGAAAAGTCAGGAAGCTATGGAGGTAACAAAGAAGTTAAGGACTACTCAGGTACAAGGAGATGAAAGAACTAGGTATAAGAGATATGGAGATGTCAGAATTTAAGATTTGAGAGGAAGGGCAGTTTTGGGGGTTATGATCCAAGGAGGGCCTGAAGGGGCAATAGCTGGGCTGGGGAATAAAAAAGGAGTATTTTTATAAAACATCTGCTTCTGATATAAACTGGCACTTGTAGGGCATCTCTAATTTATGAAGACTCCATCAGAGTTCTAAAGCAGCAGCATCGTTTCTTTACCTGTCCTTCACAAGCTTCTTTGTAGAGTTCCAGTTTCTTCAGCAAGTCCTCATTTTCTGCCTCACACTCAGCCATCTTCTTTTGATAATATTCCAGGAGCTCCTTAGAAGGATGGAGTTTGGCCAGACGATCTTCGGGGGAAGGCAAGGGGGTTGACTCCAGTGAATCTGCCATTCCCCTCCTCTTGGTGGGACCACTGACGGCAACACCACGTTTGGAGACAACTGTTCGCCTACGTGAAATTAGAAATGATATATTCATCACACTCTGCGAAAGTTTATGAGTTATAACTTCCTAAATAAAAGGGGGTTTTGTGTTCCCAAAGTGCTTATAATTAAGGTGCTCATAAATTTGGAAGTTTGGACAGGCATAGTGGCTCATGCCTGTAATCCCAGCACTTTTGGAGGCCAAGGTGGGAGAATCACTTGAGCTCAGGGGTTCAAGACCAGCCTGGGCAATATAGTGAAACCCTGTCTTTATTTAAAAAAAAAAAAATCTTGGCCGGGCGTGGTGGCTCACACCTGTAATCCTAGCACTTTGGGAGGCCAAAGCAGGCAGATTGCCTGAGCTCAGGAGTTCGAGACCAGCCTGGGCAACATGGTGAAACCCCGTCTCTACCAAAATACAAAAATAAAAAATGAGATGGGTGTGGCAGTGCACGCCTGTAGTTCCAGCTACTCGGGAGGCTGAGGCAGGAGAATCGCTTGAACCTGGGAGGCAGAGGTTGCAGTGAGTCGAGATCATGCCATTGCACTCCAGCCTGGCGACAGAGCGAGACTCTATCTCAAAAAAAAAAAACAAATTGAAAGTTTGATATTACAGGATAGTAAATAATTTTATTAATTATCTTCCAAGTACTAATGGTTTAAAGCTGGATTCAAAATACATGTTAGAGCCAGGAATGGTGGCACAGCTGAGTAGCTGAGCAGTCCCAGCTACTCAGGGGGCTGAGGTGGGAGGATCGCTTGAGCCTAGGAGTTCCAGTCCAGCCTGGGCAACATAGCAACACCTTGTCTCTAAAGTAAAAATAAAATCCATTAGAGACGAAAAAGATAATTTAAAAAAACAGAATATAAACTAAGGGAGACCATGTAGTAACAATTAGAAAATGTAGTACCATAAGACATATTGCAGGCCGGGTGCAGTGGCTCATGCCTGTAATCCGACCACTTTGGGAGGCCAAGGCGGGCAAATTAGTTGAGGTCAGGAGTTCAAGACCAGCCTGGCCAACATAGTGAAACCTAGTCTCTACCAAAAATACAAAAATTAGCCGGGCCTGGTGGCACGCGTGTGTAATCCCAGCTACTCTGGAGGCTGAGGCAGAATAATTGCTTGAACGCAGGAGGCAGGTTCAAGTGCCGAGATCACGCCACTCCAGACCAGCCTGGCCAACATAGCGGAACCTAGTTTCTACCAAAAATACAAAAATTAGCCTGTAATCCCACCACTTTGGGAGGCCAAGGTGGGCAGATTACTTGAGGTCAGGAGTTCAAGACCAACCTGGCCAACACAGCAAAACCTAGTCTCTACCGAAAATACAAAAATCAGCCGGGCCTGGTGGCACGCGTGTGTAATCCCAGCTACTCGGGAGGCTGAGGCAGGAGAATCACTTGAATCTGGGAGGCAGACGTTGCGGTGAGCCAAGATCATGCCATTGCACTCCAGCCTGGGCAACAAGAGCAAAACTCCATCTCAAAAAACAAAAAAAAAACAAAAATAGTACAGAAGAAGAGAAACCCTCCTGTGAAAATAAATCCAATTTGGTTGTCTGCAATTTATAACATAACAAAATAGTACAGTGGAGAAACTATACCAGAAGCTCTGAGTTATAGTTAATATATGTGCTCACTTGTAATAAATAAGCATGCAGAGATATTAAAATCTGTCAACTAGCATGAAGAAAAACTTAAACATTTTCCCAGTGATTAAAAACTTGTGAGAGAAATACTAGTTTACTTAACATTTCTTTTTTTTTTTTTTTGAGATGGAGTCTTGCTCTGTTGCCCAGGCTGGAGTGCAGTGGCGTGATCTGAGCTCACTGCAACCTCCACCAACTGGGTTCAAGCAATTCTCCTGCCTCCGCCTCCCAAGTAGCTGAGATTACAGGTGCACACCACCATGCCCAGTTAATTTTTTTTTTTTTTTTTAGTAGAGACGGAGTTTCACCATGTTGGCCAGGCTGGTCTCAAACGCCTGACCTTGTGACCTGCCCACCTCAGCCTCCCAAAGTGCTGGGATTACAGGAGTGAGCCACCGTGCCCGGCCAACATTTCATATTTTCTAAAGGGGATGTCTCAGGCTGGGCACAGTGGCTTATGCCTGTAATCACAGCACTCTGGGAGGCTGAGGTGGGAGGATTGCTTGAGTGCAGGAGGTCAAGGCTGCAATGAGCAATGATTGCACCACTGCACCCCATCCTGGGCACAGAGTGAAACTCTGTCTCAAAGAAAAAAAACTTTAGGAAATATGTTTCCAATACCTTTCCAGTTCCTATGCTTAGACTAAGGCTATACAAGTCTCGATTTCTTAACAACTTGAAAATAAGCAAATGTCTTACTTTCTGCAGACAGGGGTGTGTGTTGGGGTAAAGTTCATGCTGTCTTTTTCACACCTATCAAATACACAAAAATTCATAATTACGGGCCACGAATAGAAAAATAAAAACAGTACAGGATTAGACTGGTTCCCTCTTCAACATCATCATATTTGCTTCTTGGAAAGAATCTGATGTTTTAAAATGTAGTTTTTTTTTTCTTTTTTTTTTTTTTGAGACAGTGTCTCACTCTGTTGCCCAGGCTGGAGCTGGAGTGCAGTGGTGTGATCTCGGCTCACTGCAACCTCTGCCTTCTGGGTTCAAGCGATTCTCCTGCCTCAGCCTTCCAAGTAGCTGGGACTACAGGTGTGCACCACTACGCCTGGCGAATTTTTGTTATTTTTAGTAGAGACAGGGTTTCACCATATTGGCCAGGCTGGTCTCGAACTCCTGACCTTGTGATCCACCTGCCTCGGCCTCCCAAAGTGCTGGGATTACAGGCGTGAGCCACCACGCCCGGCCTAAAATGTAGTATTCTTTAAAGTATCTCCAAATCCTGAAATTCATGCCTTTTGAATTTTCAAAAGGTACTCCTCATAATTATTTTCAAATAAAAATCAGAATGGCATTGAATATTTAAATGGATAAGCACACAAAGTAGAAAAGTCTCCTTGTTATCTGCAACAACACAAAAACAAATCTACAATCTTTTCCTTGAAGTTATAGGATAGGAGGAGAAGATGCAGAAAAGTCTCTAATAAGCAAGAAACAGTACATAGAGCGAGGTGCAGTGGCCCGTACCTATAGTCCCTGCTACTCAGGAGGCTGAGGAGGGAGGATCCCTTGAGCCCAGGAGTTCAAGGCCAGCCTCACCAACATATTGACTTCCCCTGCCCCCACTCCCCTCTCCAAAAGCAGAAGTAGTAAATAGAAATTAAGGCAGAGTACCCACTATATCAAATTTAAAATGAATATAAAGCCACTGATGCTATCTTTATTTCGCGTACTTTCTCTATTATCTTAAGCAAAAGAAAAAAAATTACTTATAAACTTTAAAAGGCTCTTCATAATCTCCATCTCAATTGATAACCCAAGATCTTGAGCTCCTGTACTTTAAGCAACCTTATTATAGAAATTTTCATGAAGATAAACCTCATGGCTGGAAAGGGAATGCCATACCATGTTATATGATTGACAGAGACAGAAGGAGAGAGGGAGAGAGGCTGATTTTTTTATTGCTTTGGTGAAAACTTTCTTATCAAGCATTCGCTGTCAATCCACTCTGATTCTGAGCAAGTCAGATGATGTTCTGTTATGTCCTTCTACCTGGTATAATCTATTTAAAATCTTCAGTCCTGTGGCCGGGTGCGGTGGCTCATGCCTGTAATCCCAGCACTTTGGGAGGCCGAGGTGGGTGTATCACAAGGTCAGGAGATTGAGACCATCCTGGCTAACACGGTGAAACCCCATCTCTACTAAAAATGCAAAAAATTAGCCGGGTGTCGTGGCAGGCACCCGTAGTCCCAGCTACTCGGGAGGCTGAGGCAGGAGAGTGGCGTGAACCTGGGAGGTGGAGGTCGCAGTGAGCCGAGATTGCGCCATTGCACTCCAGCCTGGGCAACAGAGCGAGACTCCGTCTCAAAAAAAAAAAAAAAAAAAAAAATCTTCAGTCCTTTGGGAAAGAATTTTGTGTAAAAGTATGAAAAGAGATAATCACCACTGTTACTTCCATATACCATTTTCCTGCTCAGAACCCCACAGTGCCTCTCTCCCTGACTCCGTCAAAGCTTTCTTTGTTTGGCTTCCAGGACACCTCTTCCTGGTTGTCCCCTTTTCTTACTGGTCATTACTCATTGCCTTGGTGATCTCCTGAAGTCTCACAGTTTTAAATAGCATGTGCACATTAGTAGTTTTCAAATTGATGCCTCAGTCCTTACTCTGCCCTCCACTCTAGACTCACACATCTAACTGCCTACCCCGTCTCTCCATGGGGATGTCCAGCAGGTCTCCCAAGCTCGCCAAATATAAAACTGAGCTCCTGATACATACCTCCCACCACAAAAACCTGCTCTTCTCTCAGAATTCTACATTCCAATAAATACTAATTCTATGCTGCCAGTTGTTTATGACAAACAGACAAACTTGGTTTAAGAAATTTTACTCCTCTCTTTGTCTTACATGCCACACACGACCCATTAGCAAATCCTACTGGCTAGCTCATCCAAATATCTAGAATCTGACAACTACTTATCACCTATGCCCTCATTGCCCTGGTCCAGTCCACTGTTTTTGCTTTTGTTGTTTTAGATACAGGGTCTTGCTTTGCTGCCTAGGCTTGTCTCAAACTCCTGGCTTCACTCAATCCTCTCCCCTCAGCCACACAAGTAATAGGATTATAGGCATGAGTCACTGCGCTTGGCTTCCAACCCACTGCTATCTGTTGCCCAGATGACGACAACGGTCTCTTAACTGGTCTCCTCGTTCCACTTTTGTGTGTGTGAGACAAAGTCTTGCTGTGTCATCCAAGCTGGAGTGCGATGGCGCAATCTCGGCTCACTGCAACCTCTGCCTCCAGGATTCAAGTGATTCTCCTGTCTCAGCCTCCCGAGTGGCTGGGAAGACAGGCACATACCACCAAGCCTGGCTAATTTTTGTATTTTTAGTAGAGACGGGGTTTCACCATGTTGGCCAGGCTGGTCTTGAACTCCTGACCTCAGGTGATCCACCTGCCTTGGCCTCCCAAAGTGCTGGGATTACAGGCATGAGTCACCACGCCTGGTCCCCCTGTTCCATTTTCAACCTCATCCCTTATAATGTATTCTCAACACATTAATATATATGTGTCAAAACACAAAACTCCTCTGCCCAAAAGCCTCCAATGACTTTTCATCTTACTCAGAGGGTCAAGGTCTTTAAAATTGCCGACAAGGTCCTGTATGATCTGGCCAACCTCATTACTTCTGTGACCTCACCTACTACTCTTATCCTTGTTCACTGCGGTAAAAACACCGGCCTCTTGGCTGTTCTTCAAACGTGCCAGGCACACTTCTACTTCAGAGTCCCCGTACCTACAGTTCTCTTTGCTATGATGTTCTTTCCCCATTTATCTATGTGGCTTACTCCCTCTCCTCCTTCAGGGCTAAAATGTCACTTTCTTGATGAAGTCTTCCCTGACCACTCTACCAACCTCATCCCTCTTCTCTGTTTTACTTTTCTCCATTAACACTTACAACCTTGGCTAGTTGAAGTGGCTCACGCCTGTAATCTCAGCACTTTGGGAGGCCAAGGCGGATAGACTGCTTGAGTCCAGGAGTTTGAGACCAGCCTGGGCAACATGGCAAAACCCTGTCTCTACAAAAAATTAGCCAGATGTGGTGGCACATGTCTGTAGTCCTAGTTAAACAGGAGGCCGAGGTAGGAGGATCGCCTGCACCGGGGGATCAAGGCTGCAGTGAGCCATGATCACGCCATTGCAGTCCAGCTGGGGTGACAGAGTGAGACCCTCTCTTAAAAAAAAAAAAAAAAAAAAGTTGAACACTTATAACCATCTAATATTTAATGTCTGTCTCTCCACACTGGAATATGCAAACTCACTAAAGGCAGCGGGTTTTTATCTATTATGTTCACTGCTGTATCCCTAGTAACATAAACAGTGCCTGGCTCATACTAAGTGTATATGTATATATATACAACTCTCAATATGAATTTGAAAGACTGTTAAACATCCTTTTCTTCTGCTGGCCAGTCTATTCAATCTAGATTTAAAAATCTGTTTCTGCTTCTCTCATCCCATTTGTTTTCTTCTACAGCCAACCCTTCAAATACGCCATCTTTCTTCTAATTCTCTCCTTTAAAAGACTACTCTCCTCCTCCAAACTCACCTCCTTCCAAAATACGTCTCCAAATTGGGTCAATGTGCCTCTTGTCCAAATAACCTAGAAAATAAAGTTATTGGATTGGCATGGAAGGATTATGGGTAACATTTTTTTAAAAAAGCAGCTTTATGGAATGTAATTTGTGTACACCATTAAACTCATTCAAAGTGTAAATTCAATGATTTTTAGTATATTCACAGATACGTGTACCTATCAGCACAGTCCATTCTAGAAGTTTCGTCACTTCAAGAAAAAAACCCTGTGTCCTTCAGCTATTATCCCTGTCTCCCAGTCCTAAGCAACCACTAACCTACTGTCTCTACAGATTTCCCTATTCTGGACTTTCCTATAAATGGAATCACATAGTATATGGTCTTTTGTGACTGTCTTGTTTCACTTAGCATAATGTTTTCAAGGTTCACCTATGTGGTACCATGTATCAGTACTTCATTCCTTTTTGTGGCTGAATAAAATTCCATTGTACGGATATGGGTGACAACTTAAAGTTAAATTTCACTGTTTCAAAGCCATTTAAGAGTAATTTGAAGCGGCTGGGCACAGTGGCTCCTGCCTGTAATCCCAGCACTTTGGGAGGCCGAGGAAGGCGGATCACCTGAGGTCAGGAATTCAAGACCAGCCTGACCAACCTGGAGAAACCCCATCTCTACTAAAAATACAAAGTTAGCTGGGCATGGTGGTGCATCCCTATAATCCCACCTACTCAGGAGACTGAGGCAGGAGAATTGCTTGAACCTGGGAGGCGGAGGTTGTGGTGAGCCAAGATCGCGCCATTACACTCCAGCCTGGGCAACAAGAGCGAAACTCCGTCTCAAAAAAAAAAAAAAAAAAGTAATTTGAAGCTTTGAAAGACCCTTCTAACAACCTGCAATCCCTCTTCTCCTTCATAGTGACTGTCCTCACTGTTGCACATGTCTACGAAAAGTTGTCTACACTCACCTCTCTGGCTGCAAGACGGGGCCTTGCTATGTTGCCCAGGCTGGCCTTGAACTCCCGGACTCAAACAATCCTCCTCCCTTGGCCTTCCAAAGTGCTGAGATTACAGGCATGAGCCACTGAGCCAGGCCTCGGGCTTCTACTATGACATCTAACCAAGCTCTTATTGGTCAGCAGACATCCAAATTAATAAATTCAATTGCTCTTTTCTGTTTCTATCCTCCTCCATCCAATAGTTACTCCTTCACTTGTATTCTTAATTAGATAGTGCCAACTACCTATTTATTTATTTATTTTTTGAGACAGAGTCTCACTCTGTTCAGCCCAGGCTGGAGTGCAGTGGCACGATCTTGGCTCACTGCAACCTCCACCTCCTGGGTTCAAGTGATTCTCCTGCCTCAGCCTCCCCAGTGGCTGGGATTACAGGCACCTGCCACTGTGGCTAATTTTTTTTGTATTTTTAGTAAAGACAGGGTTTCGCCATGTTGGCCAGGCTGGTCTCGAACTCCTGACCTCAGATGATCCACCCACCTCTGCCTGCCAGTGTTGGGATTACAGGCGTGAGCCACTGTGCCTGGTAGTGCCAACTACCCTTTAAAAATATATCACTTTGGGACCGGACCTTGGCATGGCCAGGCCATGGCAAGACCCTGTCTTTACCAAAATTTTAAAAATTAGCTGGGCACAGTGGCAATGTAGTCCCACCTGCTTGGTGCGAGGATCACTTCAGCCTGAGGGTTCAAGGCTGCAGCGAGCAGTGATCGTGCCACTGCACTCTAGCCTGGACAACAGCGCAAGACCCTGTCTCAAAAAACAATTAAAATAGGCTGGGCACAGTGGCTCATGCCTGTAATGCCAGCACTTTGGGAGGCCAAGGTGAATGGACTGCTGGAGGTCAGGAGTTTGAGACCAGCCTGGGCAACATGGTGAAACCCTGTCTCTACAAAAATTACAGAATTAGCTGGGAGTGGTGGCACGTGCCTGTAGTCCCAGCTATTCAGGAGGCTGAGGCAGAGGATTGCTTGAGCTTGGGAGGCAGAGGCTGCACTGAGCTGAGATTGCCCCACTGCTCTCCAGCCTAGGTGACAGAGTGAGACCTTACCTGGAAAAAATAATAATAAAAATAAATATTGCTTTGTAGTTGAGAATGTGGGCTCTGATATCAGACTTGGGTTTGAGTCAAAGCCCTGCCTCTTATTAGCTGTGTACCTCAGGCAAGTTATCCTCTCTAAATTTCAGTTACTTCTATGTCATAGGTTGGTGTACGGATATAAGGCCGAGGGACAGTGTTTGACACATATATAAGCACTCAGTAAATGTGGACTATTATTATTATTGACAATTTTACTCCCTTGGCTCAGAGGTTCTGTCTTCAAGTTTCTTTATCATTTCCTCTAACCATTTCTTTGGGAACATCATTATTCCTCCTGTTTTTATTATTAACTCTGTCATCTAAAACACTACATGGCATACAGTAAGTAACAATTACATGTTGAATAAATAAACGACATCTCTTTCAACCTCTTGATTTGAATTAACAAAAATGTAGTGGACATTTTCACCCATAGTCCCACTGGCACTTGAAACGTTTAACTTAAAAAAGAAATCACTCAAGTTAGGTATTTTTTTAGCATCTCAAAGCTAACATTTCCTAAACCTAACACATCATCTTTTTATCCAAACATGCCCCTTCTGACTTTCCTATTTTAGTTACTAATTCAGCGTTTCCAAGCAACCGGGAGTTGGCAACTTAAATTCATCATTTGATCACTCATTCTTCTGAACCTCCTGTCTAACCATATGAATATCTTGTATATTTTATCTCCACAATGACCATGTTAATTCAGAGTCTCAATACTTCTTACCCACACCATTACAACACCTTAACGGTTCTACCTACTCCTTGCGTCTCCTGGACCATTTTCTTTAATAAAATACATCAGTAGCACCTCATAGCCTAAAGCATTAAATCCAATTTGTTAGCCTAGAATTCATGGCTTTCTACATAAGGGCCAAACCTAACTTTCCTGCCTTATTTCTCTCTACTCTCCTAAATGTACCGTTTCCAGATAACTTTCCTGCCTCCATACCTTTGTTCATGAGCTTCCCTCTAGCTGGAACACAACTCCCTCCACAACCCTCATAATTTCACTTAACAAAATCTAGTCTGTACATGAAAACTCATCTTAAATACCACCTCCTTTTTCTCTTTCCTGAGTCTCCCCATCCAAAATGATTTAGCAAAAATGATCTAAGTGCAAAAGAACTGCCTTTGAAATTATCTACAAGTCAACATATTAGAGTGCTTTATTGCTATCGTTTCTCCCATGCTAGCGTGCGCTCCCTACAGACAGAAATCGCGTCTTACTCTTCATTGCCTCTTCCAAAGGAACAATGCCTTTGTTTATAGGTAAATTAACGGGTTTCAGCTAGGGTCTCTGCACCTATCTCCAATACCCTTGCTTAGATATATTCTTATAGCTTGTCTACTAACAATTAACATTTGTGTAGCACTTTGAATTTTTTTCTTTTAGCCACGTGACAAATCTGTACAATTTATTATCCCAACAACCGTTCAGTATTTTCACTATCCCTTATTTCACAAATGAGGAAACTGAGAGCTAGACCAGCGTGGGGTTAGAGTACACCGGAACGCATCTCCAGGGCGCCCGAATCCCGTACTCCTTTTCCCACTTCATCCCATTCTCGACCGCCTCACTGCTCCAGGTCCCAACGCTCCAGCACTCCTGAGGTCTCTCCCTTTGCACATTGGAGCTTTCCTCCTCCGGTCCCCAGCCCCTCCACGGACACCACATTCAGGCTCACGTCCTCTCCTCCGCACTGCTTCCGCAGTTACTTCTCCCTAACCAGATTTTCTTCCCAAGGCTTCTTACCTAACCCCTTCACCCCAAACCCGAAACTCTATACTCACGACACACTAAGACTCCGAGTCAGGGAACGCAACTGAAAAACAAAAGTCAAACCAAGGAGCGGCGCGGCGCCACTGAGCGTCCCTGAATCCGTGCAATCGCGAAGAAGTTTACATGGCCCTTTGGAATGCGCACCAATGGGAAGGGCCTTCACACAGAGGCCCGCCCCCATCTCGCCCCTCCTCGCGGTGCTCCCGACCGCGCAGAGGTCTCTGGGAAATGTAGTTTTCTTCTGCCTGGAGCTCTGCGCGGGGCGACGCAGCTGGGCTGCAACCCGCTCCTCCAGGGACGGGTAGTGTGACGTTTGGGGTCAGAACGCACCACTTTCGGGCACCCCCACTTAAGATTGCTCAACTGCTTTGAGCTCAGGTACTTCGCGTTCATGGTACATATATGTTGTAATTTCCAAGCTTGTCTCAAGAGATAAAGATTCTAAGAAAAGTTTCTTCTTCCATGACCGGGTGGCCTAGAGCCAGGATAGGACCTGAGGTTCAGTTTCTACGGTCAGGGGACTATGTATTAAAATTCTACTATTTGTTCCATAGCAAACACTGCTTCCTTTTCCGGAGAAATGTAAGACACTGGGCTTTAATGATAAAAGCAAGTTCAAAATCCATTATGGTCTTATCTTTCCAGAAAGCAAGGTGTAAAGGTGGGGGAAAAGCACTTTCGTCTCAGAATTACAGCTACTGGTATGGAAAAGCTGGGGCCCTTCGCTGGTGTGAGTCCTAAGGATGTCTAAATGGAACGTGCATCTGCTACAGGCTCGCACTTTCCTTTATTGCGCTTCCCAGGTAACTGTTTTTACAAATGTAAGGTTTGTGGCAACTCTGCATGGAACCAAATCTATCTGCGCCATTTTTCCTACAGCACAGGCTTACTATGTGTCTCTGCACCACATTTGGTAATTTTCACAATATTTCAAACTTTTTCATAATTATTGTATATGTTATGCTGATCTGTTATCCTTTATATTACTATTATAATTGTTTAGGGGCACCATGAACCATGCCCATATAAGATGGCAAACTTAATTCATAAATGTTGTGGATGTTTTAACTGCTCCACAGACCAGCAGTCTCCCTGCCTTTCTCCCTCTCTTCTTGCCTCCTTATTCCTGTGATACAACAATATTGAAATTAGACCAATTAACAATCCTACAGTGGGGGTTCAAGTGAAAGGAAGAGTCACACATCTCTTACTTTAAATAAAAAGCTGAAAATGATTAAGCTCAGTGAAAAAGGCATGTTGAAAGCCAAGACAGGATGAAAGCCAGTCTTCTTGCACCAAAGTTAGCCAAGTTGTGCATGCAAAGGAAAAGTTTTTGAAGGAAATTAAAAGTGCTACTCCAGTAAACACAAAAATGATAAGAAAGTGAAACAGACATTGCTGATATAGAGAAAGTTTGAGTGGTCTGGATAGAAGATCAAACCAGCCACAGCATTCCCTGAAGCCAAAGCCTAATCTGGAGCAAAGTCCTAACTCTTCAATAAAATGAAGGCTGAGACAGGTGAGGAAGCTGCAGAAGAAAAGGTGGAAGATAGCGGAGGCTGGTTCGTGAGGTTTAAGGAAAGGAGCTATTTCCGTTACTTAAAAGTGCAAGGTGGAAGCAGCAAGTGCTGATGTAGATGCCGCAGCAAGTTATTCAGAAGAGCTAACTAAGGTAATTGATTAAGGTGGCTAAACTAAACTACAGACTTTTGATATATATGAACCAGCCTTTTATTGGAAGGAGATGCCAAGTAGTACTTTTGTAGCTAGAGAGAAGTCAATACCTGGCTTCACAGCTTCTAAGAACAGACTGACTCTCATGTTAGGGGCTAATGCAACTGGTGACTTTAAGTTGAAGCCAGTGCCCATTTACATCCCTGAAATCCTAGAGCCCTTAAGAATTATGTTAGATATAGTCTGCCTGTGCTCTATAAATGGAACAACAAAACCTGGATGACAGCATATATGTTTATAGCATGGTTAACTGAGTATTTTAAGTTCACCGTTTTATGTATGTTTTATTTTAAGTCCTACTGCTCAGGAAAAAAAGGATTTCTTTCAAAATATTACTTCTCACTCACAATGCAACTGGTCACCCAAGAGCTCTGGTGGAGGTATGCAAACAGATGAATGTTGCTTTCATGCTTGCAAACACAACAGACATTCTGCAGCTCATGGATCAAGGAGTCATTTTGACTTTCAGGTCTTATTAAGAAATATATTTCAGGCCGGGCACGGTGGCTCACATCTGTAATCCCAGCACTTTGGGAGGCTGAGGTGGGCGGATCACCAGGTCAGGAGATCGAGACCAGCCTGGCCAACATGGAGAAACCCCCGTTTCTACTAGAAATACAAAATTAGCTGGCCATGATGGCGCATGCCTGTAATCCCAGCTACTCAGGAGGCTGAGGCAGGAGAATCACTTGAACCTGGGAGGCGGAGGTTTCAGTGAACTGAGATCGTGCCATTGCACTCCAGCTTGGGCAACAAGAGTGAAACTCCGCCTCAAAAAAAAAAAAATATTTCATAAGGCTATAGCTGCCAGACATAGTGATTTCTCTGGTGGATCTGGGCAAAGTAAATCGAAAACCTTCTGGAAAGGACTCACCACCATTCTAGATGTCCTTAAGATCATTTGTGACTTGGCTTGGTGAGATGTCTCACACCTGTAAACCCAGCACTTTGGAAGGCCAACGTGGGTGGATCACTTAAGCTCAGGAGTGCATGACAAGCCTGGGCAACATAGAAAACCTTGTCTCTATAAAAAAATACAAAAACTAGCCAGGAGTGGTGGCATGCACCTGGCTACTTGGGAGGCTGAGGTGGGAGGATTGCTTGAGCCTGGGAGACCAAGGTTGCAGTGAGCCGAGATTGTGCCACTGCAGTCCAGCCTGAGTGACAGAGCAAGACTGTGTCTCAAAAAAAAAAAAGTAAAAATATATTTAATAAAAAAATTTTAAAAAGAACATTTGTGACTTATGGGAGGAGGTCAATATCAATAATAACAGGAGTTTGGAAGAAGTTAATTCCAATCCTCTTGGATGTCTTTGAGGGGGTTCAAGACTTCATGGACGAAATAACTGCAGATGCTGTGGAAGTAGCAAGAGAACTAGAATTAGAAGTGGAGCCTTGGGAGGCTGAGGCAGGAGAATCGCTTGAACCCGGGAGGCAGAGGTTGCAGTGAGCCCAGATCGCGCCACTGCAGTCCAGCCTGGGCAACAGAGCAAGATTCTGTCTCAAAAAAAAAAAAAAGTGGAACCTGAAGATGTGACTGAATTGCTGCAATCTCATGATGAAACTATGGATGAAGAGTTGCTTCTTATGAATAAGTAAAGAAAGTGGTTTCTTTAGCTGGAATCTACTCCTGGTGAAGATGCTGTGAACATTGCCAAAATGACAACAAAGGGTTTAGAATATTCCATAAACTTAGTCGATAAAGCAGTTGCAGGGTTTGAGGATTGACTTCAACTTTGAAAGAAGTTCTACTATGGGTAAAATGCTATCAAACAGCATTGCATGCTACAGAGAAATCTTTCATGAAAGGAAGAATCAATCAATATCATGAAAGGAAGAATGAAAACAACTTCATTGTTGTCTTATTTTAAGAAATTGCCACAGCCACCCCAGCCTTTAGCAATCAGCACCATGATCAGTCAGCAGCCCCCAACATCAAGGCTAGACCCTCCATCAGTGAAAATATTATGACTTGGCTTAGACGATCATTAGCATTTTTAGAATAAAGTATTTTAAGGCCAGTCGCGGTGGCTCACGCCTGTAATCCCAGCACTGCAGGAGGCTGAGACGGGCGGATCACGAGGTCAGGAGATGGAGACCATCCTGGCTAAGACAGTGAAACCCCATCTCTACTAAAAATACAAAAAATTAGCCGGGCGTGGTGGCGGGCGCCTGTAGTCCCAGCTGCTCGGGAGGCTGAGGCAGGAGAATCACTTGAACCCAGGAGGCAGAGGCTGCAGTGAGCTGAGATCGCGCCACTGCACTCCAGCCTGGGTGACAGAGCAAGACTCTGTCTCAAAAAAAAAAAGCATTTTAAATTAAGGCATGTAAATTTTTTTAAAGAAATAATGCAAACTAGAAATAATGCACTAGACTACAGTATCGTGTAAACACATAGCTTTTTTTATGTACCAGGAAACCGAAAATTTCGAGCAATTTGCTTTATGGTGATATTCACTTTATTATGGTGGTCTGGAACTGAACCTGCAATATCTCCAAGTTATGCCTGTACTCCCAAACCTGCTTTTTTCTCCCTTGTGATTTTCTCTGTTAATTACATTAATATCTTCCCAAACATCTCGGCTCGGTATCTTTTGTCTATTTCCTTTCTTTTAGCCCCTGCAATTTTTAAAAAATCAAGTCATGGTGAGCCTGTCTTCATATATATCTTCCTATTTATTTCCACTATGTGTCTTATTACCTTTCACTTGGTCTATTACCATAGGCTTCTAACTGGGTGTTCTTGCCTCCAATCCATTCTATAAAAGGTGATTTTTGTCCAGGCTGGTCTTGAACTCCTGACCTCGTGATCCACCCGCCTCAGCCTCCCAAAGTGGTGGGATTACAGGCATGAGCCCCATCTCTAGTAAAAATACAAAAATTAGCTGGGTGTGGTTACATGTGGCACATGCCTGTAATCCCAGCTACTCAGGAGGCTGAGGCAGGCGAATTGCTTGAACTCAGGAAGTGGAGGTTGCAGTGAGCTGAGATCACGCTGTTGCACTCCAGCCTGGGTGACAGAGCGAGACTCTGTCTCCAAAAAATTCAATTCCGGGTCTGTCACACTCCTGCTTATAAACTTTGATGACTCCCCACAGACTAGAGAATGAAGTTCAGACAGTAGTATGGCATTCAAAGACTGCAGCTATCTGACCCCATTTGTCTCTATTAGAAGAAATTGATGTGGTCATCTCCTGAACACAGGACGCACTTTCCAGCTTCAGTTCACACTCTTCCTTTTATCTGGATTGGCCCTTTCAGTGCATCTTCACTCAAAATTCTTACGAGAGCCAACTCAAATACTACCACTTTTGTAAAATCTTGACTTATCTCCCTAATTGGAAATACAGTTGTCCCTTGCTCAGTATCTGCTAGGGATTGGTGCCAGGCAATTCCTGGGTACCAAAAGGCATAGATGCTCAAGTCCCTTACATAAATGGCATATTATTTGCATATGACCTATGCACACCCTCCCGTATACTTCAAAACATCTATAGATTACTTATAATACCTAATACAATTTAAACAGTTGTTTTTCTTCCTTTTCCTTTTTTATTTATTTATTTTTTCAAGAGGGAGTCTTGCTCTGTCCCGCAGGCTGGAGTGCAGTGGCATAATCTCAGCTCACTGCCACCTCCGCCTCCCAGGTTCAAGCGATTCTCTGGGCTCAGCCTCCCAAGTAGCTGGGATTACAGGCACCCACCACCACACCTGGCTAATTTTTGTATTTTTAGTAGAGATGGGGTTTCACCATGTTGGCCAGGCTGGTCTCGAACTCCTGACCTCAGGTGATCTGCCCGCCTTGGCCTCCCAAAGTGCTGGGATTATAGGCGTGAGCCACCTCGCCTGGCCAGTGTATTGACTTTTTTAAATTTCAAAATGTATTTATTTTCTTTTATTTTTTATTTTTTAGAGACAAGGTCTTGCTGTGTTGCTCAGACTGGACTCAAACCCCTGGGCTCAAGCAATCCTCCTGACTCAACCTCCTGAATAGCTGGGATTACAGATGCATGCCACTGCACTTGATTTACTGTATTGTTTTATATTTTTTATTTATTTATTTATTTTGAGACAGAGTCTCACTCTGTCGCCCAGGCTGGAGTGCAGTAGTGTGATCTCAGCCCACTGCAACCTCTGCCTTCTGAGTTCAAGCGATTCTCTTGCCTTAGCCTCCCAAGTGGCTGGGACTACAGGCATGCACCACGACGCCCAGCCAATTTTTGTATTTTTAGTAGAGATGGGGCTTCGCCATGTTGGCCACTCTGGTGTCGAACTCCTGACCTCAAGCAATCTACCCACCTCGGCCTCCCAGAGTTCTGGGATTACAGGCGTGAGCCAGCACACTCGGCCTGTACTGTTTTTTAATCTGTATTATTTTTATTATTTATTATTATTTTTATTGTTTTTTTTTCCAAATATTTTCTGTAGTTGGTTGGGTTCGTAGATACGGACTCTCTAAATGAGGAACCCACATATATGGAAGGCTAGCTGTAATCCCTCCTGATTGGATATTCATTTAGCAATTTGTCCTTTTATTTTTATAAAGTAGCCTCTATTCAAATGTCACCAATCTGGCTGGGTGCAGTGGCTCATGCCTGTAATTCCAGCACTTCGGGAGGCCAAGGCAATAGGATTGCTTGAGCTTAGTAGTTTGAAACCAACCTGGGAAATACAGCCAGACCCTCTCTCTATAGAAAATAGAAAAATAAAACAAAATTACCCAGACGTGGTGGCACACACCTGTAGTCCTAGCTACTCAGGAGGCTGAGGGAGGAGGATCGCTTCAGCCCAGAAGTTTGAGGTTACAGTGAGCCAAGATAATGCCATTGCACTCCAACCTAAGTGAGACAGAATGAAACCGTGCCTCAGAAAACTAAGAACAAAAAACAAATGTCACCAATCTGTGAGCCCTTTGATGATCACCCAAGCCCCCTTACTTTCTCCACTTTAAAAAAATCTTATCATCACTAAAATAGTATATATTTATTAGCTTGTGCTTATTCTTTTGTCTTCCCTTTCTACTAGTGAGCTGTATGAGAGCCGATACTTTGTCTTTTTTTGTTGTTCACTGTCATATATCCAGCATCTGGAAGAGTGCCTGGCACATAGAGATGTGGAATAAATGTTGAATGCATGTATAATCCTCCTCCCTACAGGTGTGCTGCCTCCCCCCATTAGATTGCTTTTCTTCCATTCTATATCTAAATTAATGCATCATCATTCATTACAATGCCAAAGAGTCATTCTCCAATTCATCACTCTCTCGCAATCACACAACATCAAATAGATAATTTTTAAAAATCACACTGGTGGCAAAGGATCAAACAAGAACAATGCTTGAAGGTCATTGGAATGCCACAGTGGAAATTCGTATGAGAGAAAGGGCCTAAACAAGAGCAGCATTGACCGTGGTAATACTAAGATGCTATTTGCCATGTTCACTTTGACATTTGCATGGATGGTACAAAAGCAACAGTGGGTAAAACGCTGGTCCCTCAGCATGAATCATGGTAGTGACACCAAACCATACTTGGAGTCTTTGCCTTCATTACATAGATTTCACTGGGGAAAGCCAGTGTCATTTAAGAATGCCCTTCATAAAGGAGTAAAAATTATTAACTGTGATAAATCTGGACCTTTAAATATGTCTTTTGTCTGTGCGATGAAGTAAGAAGAACACATAACGCACTCAGTTGCATACAGAGGGTTTTCTCGAGGAAATAATACCAGCTCAACTAGCCACTTTTTTCACAGAACACCAGAAGGACTAACAGACAAACTATGGTTGTTCAGACTTAGATACGGCAGATCTTTTCTTGAAAATGAACAAAGTGAGTCAATCTCTTCAATGAAAACAACTAATGGTATTTGTTGGCAATAATAAAATTTGAGCTTTCAAGTGAAAATTATAATTTTGGAAAACTTGTTTCTGTCATCATGAGTTTGACAACTTCCCAATTGCCTGATAAATTGATGGTGATATTTTTGTAAATTTTTTTGATATTATATAATAATACATGTCAACATTAGGAAAAGCCGTATAACTCAGTGAACCAGTATTTTCTAAATGACCAATGCATGATGTTACAAAAGCATGACTGGGTAAAAAAGTCCATTCAAGGACAAGATTGGCTGGACGCAGTGGCTCACGCCTGTAATCCTAGCACATTGGGAGGCCGAGGCAGGTGGATCACCTGAGGCCAGGAATTCGAGACCAGCCTGGCCAAAATGGCAAAACTCCGTCTCTACTAAAAATACAAAAATTAGCTGAGTGTGGTGGTGGGTGCCTGTAATCGCAGCTACTCAGGAGGCTGAGGCAGGAGAATTGCTTGAACCCAGGAGGCAGAGGTTGCAATGAGCTGAGATCGCACCATTGCACTCCAGCCTGGGGGAAGGGCGAGACTCTGTCTCAAAAAAAAAAAAAGGACAAGATTGACTACCATTTTAATGTAACAGTGTAAAAAAGTTAACTGATAAAGTTTTAGATTCCAAATTGTTAGCCTTTAAGAAATTACAGTCATCTGAGAAGGTTATTAAAATGCTTCTCTGCACTACGTATGGTGGCTCATGCCTGTAATCGCAGCACTTTGGGGGGCCGAGGTGGGAGGATCCCTGAGCCCAGGAGTTTGAGATCAGTCTGGGCAACATAGCAAGATCCCATGTCTACAAAAAAATTTTTTTTAATTAGCTGGGCATAACGATGCACACCTGTGGTCCTAGCTACTTGGGAGGCTGAGGCAGGAGGATTGCCTGAGCCCAAGAGTTGGAGTAAGCTGGGGTTGTGCCACTGCACTCCAACTGGGCAACGGAGTGACACCCTGTGTCTAAGAAAATAAAAATTAAAAAATAAATAAAATGCTCTTCCTTTCCCAACTACATATTTGTGTGGTGCTGGTTTTTCTTCATATATTCCAACCAAAAGAACATATTGTAACGGGTTGGAGAAACAGATATGATAATCCAGCTCGATCCTGCTAAGCCAAATGTTAAAAAAAAAAGTACAAAAAATGTAAACCAATGCCACTCTTCTCACCAGATTTTTTTGTTTTGGAAAATATAGTTATTATTTTTAAAATGTATTTAAATATAAAAGTTTTATATTGAAATGAATAAAATATTTTAAACATCTTAGGTTTAATTTCTAATATAGTAAACATCAATATGTATTATGCATATAAACAAGAACTTTGGGGGTTCTCAATAATTTTTTTTTTTGTGAGACAGAGTCTTACTCTGTTGCCCAGGCTGGAGTACAGTGGCACCATCTTGGCTCACTGCAACCTCCGCCACCCAGGTTCAAGCGATTCTCCTGCCTCAGCCTCCTAAGTAGCTGGGATTACAGGTGCCCACCACTACGCCCGGCTAAGTTTTGTATTTTTTAGTAGAGATGCGGTTTCTCCATGTTGGCCAGGCTGGTCTCGAACTCCTAACCTCAAGTGATCTGCCCGCCTCGGCCTCCCAAAGTGCTGGGATTACAGGTATGAGCCACCGTGCCTGGCCTCAATAATTTTTAAGAGTAAAGGCGTCCTGACACCAAAACAGTTTGAGAATCACTGGTGGAAATTATTCTTGAATTAAAATGACATTTGTTTAAGAATTCAGTAATTTTGACTTTTCCCTCTCTGAAACTAACCCTAATTAATCTGATTTTGTGAGGTTTTATTGCATTTTTTAAAAATCCAGGGACCACGGTCTAGCCAAATGATTATCAGATCTAAGTATTCATTTTAGTCTATTTTAACACTCAGGATAATAAATTTCAGATAAATAATACTCTAATTTTTTTTTTTCTGAAAAGTTACTGTCAAGGATTGTTTAAGTAATGCAAATGATCCTTTTAAACTACAGTTATACTCCACTGTTCTGACCAGAAACCCAAATACTATTGACTCAGTTTAACATTGTGTGTGCAGAATGCCCTCATAGAAGCTGATGAAACACAATTTGGATTTTTACAACAGTGATTTTCAAAGGGGTAAGCATGAGAGGTGGGAGTGGGGTTCATGTGCCCCCCCTGAGGGAAGCATCAGAATGTGAGGTGGTTGTAACTACAGAAGTTTCTTCTGTTCGCACCAGAGATGTTAATATTTGCTGCCCTTCTATTCACTGTCTTCTCTTACAGACTTCCTGCTGTTGTAAGCAACCACTACAGATTTCTCAGAAGTACTGTGGCAAATAAAAATGATTGAGAATCATTATACATTTTCTATTCTACTAGAGAGACAGTTTAAAATAAAATAGGTAAGTATAATCTGAAGAAAATAACAGGAAATAAATAGGACCAATCAAAGCTTTTAAGGATTTGTGCTTATACTGAGGTTCTATCAGGTTCTCACGCTCTGTTAATTTGAAAGCAAAACCATTACATTTAATTGAATGTTTAATAAAATGAATTATCAGTGGCTTGTTTTATTCGGAATTCCATTATTTCTTTTTCCGAATAATATAGTTTTCCAGATTTAAGTGGTAAAAATCAAAGACTTTGTTGTAAATTTTTTTTTTTTTGGAGACAGAGTCTCACTCTTCTTGCCTAGGCTGGAGTACAGTGGCACGATCTCGGCTTACTACAACTTCCACCTCCTGGGTTCAAGCAATTCTCCTGCCTCAGCCTCCTGGATAGCTGGGATTACAGGCGCCTGCCACCACGCCTGGGCTAATTGTTGTACATTTTTAATAGAGACAGGATTTCACCATGTTGGCCAGGCTGGTCTCAAACTCCTGACCTCAGGTGATCTGCCCGCCTTGGCCTCAAAAAGTGCTGGGATTACAGGCGTGAGCCACTGCACCTGGACATAAATCATTATAATAATTGTATGGAATTATTATGAATCACAGCGTCCTGTGTCTACACCCCTTTGTAATGTGACATTGTCACTCTTCTCATAAAAAATTGGAATTTTCCCACTTCTTGAATCTGGGATGGTCTTATGACTTGCTTTGACCAACAGAATATGATGGAGTGATCTTGTACATTTTGGAGTCTAGGCTTTAGGTCTTTGCTTCCACTCTCATCTTCTTAGAATGCTAAGACCACCATGCAGTGGAAAAGCTCCATCTACCAGAAGATGAGAAGCCATGTGGAGAACTAAGACTTCCCAGCCAATAGCCAGCACCAACTGCCAGACACGTAAGTGAGGCCATCTTGAACCCTCCAACCCTAGATGTATTCACGGTTCTCCAGAGAAACAGAACCAATAAGATGTGTGTGTGTGTGTGTGTGTGTGTTTATAAAGATATTTATTTTAAGGACTTGACTCACTTGATTATAGAGCTTCCAAGTCCAAAATCTGCAGGGTGGGTTGGCAGGCTGGAGGCCAGGGAAAAGGTGATGCTACAGTTCAAGTCTGAGAGCCATCTACTGGCAAAATTCCTTCTTGCTCATGGAAGGTCAGTCTTTTGTTCTATTCAGGCCTTCAGTTGATTGGATAAGGCCTACTCACATTATGGAGGGCAATCTGCGTTATTCAAAGTCCCCTGATTTGTTACTCAGAGGTGAGAAAAATCATGGTGTACTAAAGTCACCACAAAAACTTCTGTAGATCATATGGAGAAGCAGGAGAGATGAAGCTGGAGAGCAAAGCAGCAAATCAGCAATTAAAAAAGATGTTTGGAGTTGTTGAGTTTGGAGATGAAAAGTGACAAGATGAATTCTGGATTTTAGACAAAGCAATCCAACGTGTGGATGGAGAGGGATTTGAGAGGAGAAATCAGCTGTTGTCAGTAAGAGTATTTAAATTAGGATACTGGTAACGGGGATGGAGAGACACACGATTATACATGGGAAGTGAGAGCAGAAAGAATTAGGATTATTTCTTGATTTTTTTTTTTTTTTTTTTTTTTTGCTCAGGCAACTGAATAGATGAAGTCATTAATGGAAACCAGGAACACTGAAGAAACAGTGAACAATTAAAGTACTTTGAGTTATCAAAGTGAGATGTCCTGCAGGTAGCTAGACGATACTGGCTGGTAATTCAGGAGAGCTGCTGCGTCCTGTGTAAAAGGAAAAGCAATTCATGGATGGTGGCTAAAGCCAGCTGGCAGGATTTAGGGGATGGGTTAGACCTGCACTTGTTTTGATGGAGAAGAGGCGGGTATAAAGTGGCAGAGTGAGATTACTGTAAAATATCTGCATTCAAAGGGCTAAAAAAAGAGAAATGCTGGAAAGGCTACTTGCTATAAACGCAGCAGGGTAGGTTAAAACAAATTACGAAGCACGGGCGGTGAGGCGCGGTGCTTAAGATTAAGCCCGGCGTGTTTTCGAGTGCACTGATACACAAAAGGGAAAGGGACCCTCCTCACCGGAAGCACAACCTCTGCCCTCTGGGGCATTACACATTCCTCCGCGCCGGAAGAAAGCGTCACGTCGCGTCGCGCCTCGCCCCGCCTCGTTGCGCCTCGCCCCGCCTCGCCCCGTCGGCTTCCCTCAATCCGTACCTCTAGTAAAGAAGAGCTTGTGCCCCTCCCCGACCCCTTACCAAGGGCGAGCTGCGTGGAGTCGTTGGACTGGGCAGAACTTTGGCGGGCAAGGAGACAAACAGCCACACTGTGCTGCCGGGGAAGAGAAGAAGAAGGAAAGGCCAGACACACAGGCGTCGTGCAGCTGCGGAAGGATTCCGTTTCCTGCAGGGGGCGGAGGGATTTGACAGCACGGTAACTTCCGGAAAAGTCCTGAACCTCAGTGGAAAAGCCTTGCAAGAAACAATAACAAACGGGAGGAGGAAGCGATTCTGGGGTTTCTGTGTTGAACGGTTCTTGTCCGCGAAGATGCGCTTCGGCCTCTGTCAGGGGACTTGAACGGGCTTAGTGGGCTTCAGCCAGCTTTTCTCCACCGGTTCCCCACGGGGACCCCCCCCCCCCCCCGGCCGTTGCAATGGCGGGCGTGGGGCCGGGGGGCTACGCGGCGGAGTTCGTGCCACCGCCAGAGTGCCCCGTCTTTGAGCCGAGTTGGGAGGAGTTCACAGATCCGCTCAGCTTTATCGGCCGCATCCGGCCTTTGGCGGAGAAAACCGGCATCTGCAAAATTCGGCCGCCCAAGGTACCTCAGTCTGTGAAGAGAGAGGGGGAGAAGGAAGAATGGGGGAGTCCGTACACTGGGTTTAGCTTTACTTTTCTGATCCTTGTCTCGTTTCATATGTACTCTCTTTTGAGACAACTGGAGCCTGTTTCTGGATGTTTTTGCCTCGGTTTCTTTTGTGGTCTTATGTAGACACGTCTGAAAGCGAGAAAGTGGTGTCTCTTGGGCCTCTTCCGCCTAGAACTTGGGAACTGATACTTTTCTCTCAGCCGTGGGCCTAAAGCCTTTCGTTAGCCGATATGGTGTTTAAAGTACAGTATTATGACGTGACGTATTCTTCCCTCACGTATCCTCATTATGGTTTGATAGTCGGCTATCTCTTTATTCAAGACCTGGTTGGATCAAATATTTGCAGGCCTCATCTCAGGGCTAGGGTTTCTGAAAAGGTTATCTGAGCTCTAGTCTCACCGGATGGTATTACTAGACAAGAACTCCAGACTAATTATTGCCGCAGTGAAAAAGTCTTAGCGGGGAAAGAGAAGGAGCAGCAATAATTCTAAAATTTAGAGGTTTAGGAAAAATTGGTTTATAGTGGAGGTGGAAGGAAATGTTGAAATCTCTTGACGTAGGGAACTCAAGATCAACGATTTTAGAATCACAGTTATTGCAGATAACTAGGTTTGCCTATAAGGTTAATTATAATCTCACCTTTGAGGTAAGGAAAACAGATACTATCCCTTGTGTGGAGGGGATTAATGCCCCAAGAGGTTGAGTGATTACTCAAGGTCAAAGGTGTTTTTCTTTACTCATTAGACCAGTGCTTTTTAAATGATGTTGCTGGACCACTTGCACCAGGGTCAACTGGATGCTTGTTTAAATGCAGATCTCTAGTCTTGTTGTGGAAGTTCTGGAATCTGCTTTTCTAGCAACTAGTCTCAGATGATTCTCATGTAAGTTGAGGTTTTCGAACCATTGCTTTAGTCGTTGCTTGTTAAAGGCATTTTGCTTTATGTTTTGTCTAGTATTAGTAATGATAAAATATTAAGCACTGTTAACCAGTGTTGCTTTTTAAAAAGCATCTGCCGTCACCACTGACTACCACAGAGATAGGCACCGCAGCGTATTAAAAACTTAAATGACAGCGAGGAGGAACTAATTTAACACCTATAGATTGTTTGCTTTAATCTTTGAAGCCCTGACAGGTAAATAAAGTCCGCCTTTTACAGATGAGGCTAATCTGGATAAGTTAAAACACCAAATGTGTGATCTTGGGCAAGTGGCAAAGTGTATTTTGAACCTAGATCAGTTTTTCTGATTCTGAAACAGACGTAATGCTCTCACTATGTTGAATGACTTTGTTTAAGGTTATAGACTACTCATTTCAAGCAGAGGATTAACAAATAATTGCTATGATGATACGCATTGCCATCCTCCAAAAACTTCCATTTAACCCTTTTTTCTATCATAATTACCTAATATTAACAAATCTTAAGCATTGAAGGTTTTCCTAAGTCATATTTTTATCTACTCTTGAATTTATTAATTAGAAATTCTATTCACGGTTACTTTGATTAAAAAAAGTTTTTTTACTTAAAAAAATGCTGAAATAATGCTTTCTCTTTATGTCACATTATTGAAAATAAATCTTGTTTACAATCAGAATTTAATTTTAGTTTTGGCAGATTTCTTCAGTTTCCAAGGTAAGACTTTTTTTTTTTTTTGACTACTCAACGTTTTAAAATAGGTTTACTGTTATTCTGTTATTTAGGCCAAATCAAACTATGTTATTTAGACCCCACTTGAAATATGCTATCTAATTTTAGTTATATCACAGTCTGGAAATTGTCCTTGTTCTGCGTGTTTTTTGAATATTTGGGTTCCCAGAAGCTGGGCTTTGAACAAAACATTTGTGTAACATAAAGTGCTCTGTCACATTACACATAACATAAAAAAAATCGTTTAAATAAATAAGTTCTTAAAAGTTTCTTTTTAATCTTAAATTTTACCCTTTTTAGTTTAAACACAAGTTTTTTTTTTTTGATCTTGGTAAACCTGAATGTTTACTAGATACTGTTTTGTGGTACATGACCTCATTGAATTCCACTTGAGTAACTTGGGAAAGCATAATTGTGGGAGGTAAACGGTGGGACTGGTTTGAAGAGGATTGCTTCTCTGAGCAATACAGGTTGAGCATCCATCCCTACTTTAAAAATTCCAAATCCGAAATCATCCAAAATCTGAATTATTCTTTTTCTTTTTCTTTTATAGAGATAGGGTCTCGCTCTGTTGCCTGGGCTGGTCTTAAGCTCCTGGGCTCAAGCGATCCTCCTGCCTCAGTCTCCCAATGTGCTGGGATTACAGGTATGAGCTACTGCACCCAGCTTGAACAGATTATTTTTTTCATTGTATTAATGGTATGGTATATTTTTTCTGTTAACTACTTAAGTGGAAATAAGTGTAAGGAAATGATTGTTTATTGGTAGCATGTAAATTCACAGTCAGGAATGATGGTGATGCCAGACAACCACAAATTGTCCACACTGGTGGCTGAGCTACTGACACCTTTCTTTTCTGACGGTCCAGTATACACAAGCGTTATGCACCAGATTATTAAAAATATTGCATAAAATTACCTTAGCCTATGTATAACTTTATATGAAACAAAAGAATTTTGTATTTAGGCTTGGTTCTTTCTCCAAGATATCTCATTATGTATATGCAGATATTCCAAAATATGGAAAAATCTGAAATCCAAAACACTTCTGGTTCCAAGCATTTCAGATGAGGGATACTCAACCTGTATTAAAATTATTTTATCGAAAAGAATTGCTCATTCTGTCTCTATAATAAAGAAGACTTGTAAGTTAGTCTATTAGCACCATGATTTGTGGCAAAACCCCCCTTTAAGGGAATAATTAATGCATTCCTTGTTTACATACCACTGTGTTTTTTTAAAAAAATCTTTCTATTTAGGACTGGCAGCCTCCATTTGCCTGTGAAGTAAAAAGCTTTCGTTTCACTCCAAGAGTCCAGCGCCTGAATGAACTTGAGGTAAGTGTTTTGTCACTATTTCTGCTTCCTGATTCATTCTTTATATTAGGGCTGTAGGTAGAGAACTTTGAGAAGCTCATGTACCACAGCCTAGAGTTTGTGTTAATTGGTATTGAATGGAATAGTTACTTGATGTTTGGAGGAAGAGTATGATTTTTTAAAAACTGTGCAAAGTTGTTATGGTTTTTCCATTTAACTGAGAAATGTTCAATGCTTAGCTTCAGAGACTTAGAATTCTTAAATTCTACTTTCTCTAGTGTTTCTTACTCTACTAAAATTTTTGTTAATCTTGGAAGATTTCTTTCTCCCTCGGTTCTTGGAAAATGGATTTTTAAATCCTATTTTAAAACCCTAGTTTTCAGAGTTTGTTTTGTTTTGGTTTGGTTTTGGTTTTGGTTTTAATGGAACTTTGCCAGGAGTGTTAATCTGATTTATTAAGATTTTAAGTATTACTTTTTAATTACTTTAAGTATTATTTTTTAATTACTTTAAGTATTACTAATTTATCTTAAATTTTCTAAATGGAAGTGTACGTTTTGCTGTTTTTTCTGTTTATGGGTTTTCAGAAGGTTCTTCATTGTGATATGAAAACTTTTAGAGTACAGAAGGAAAATTATTGATAGCAAAGGTTTATTATGTCATTCTGAAGTTTTTTTTCTTTTCTCCCCAAAACATTTCTGAGAGTTTAATACATACTTTTTTTTTTTTTTTTTTTCCAGAGAGTCTTGCTCTGTCACCCAGGCTGGAGTGCAGTGGTGCGATCTCGGCTCACTGCAACCTCTACCTCCCGGGTTCAAGCGATTCTCCTGCCTTAGCCTCCCTAGTGGCTGGGATTACAGCGACCATGCCCAGCTAATTTTTGTATTTTTAGTAGAGACGGAGTTTTGCCGTGTTGGCCAGGCTGGTCTGGAACTCCTGACCTCAGGTGATCTGCCCGCCTTGGCCTCCCAAAGTGCTGGGATTACAGGCGTGAGCTACCGCGCCTGGCCGCAATGCATATTTTTTCTTTTTAGTCTCTTGTAATTAGATACTTGACAAAGCATATTAGTATCAGTGAGGTATAGAGTTGATGCACCTAAAGTGTGCATGTTACATATGGATGAAATGACAGAACGTTAGAGACTGAAGAGAATCCGATCTACTGAATTTTCTGATCAGCATAGAGTTAAACCAACTTACAAAAATTGTTTTGGTTGCTAATATGACAACTTTTTACATAAATCAGAGTAACTTTTTTGCCTGAATAAATATAGTTTATTAGAAGTCTTTTGCCTCTTTATTATTGGCTAGTTTTACTATTGGCTAGTTTTACAGGGTTGAAATAAGCAATAATGAAAAAAAGTCTTTGAATTTCTTTAGAGAAATGAGTACCTCTATTACAGCTGTCCCAAACCTTTTTGGCACCAAGGACTGGTTTCATGGAAGACAGTTTATCCATGGATGGATGGGGGTATGGAGGATGGTTTTGGGATGAAACTGTTCCACCTCAGATCATCAAGCATTACTTAGATTCTCAAAAGGTGCTCACAACCTAAATCCCTCACACGCAGTTCACAATAGGGTTTGTGGTAATGCTTGCCCGGTTGGTTGCCCACTGCCGCTGCTCACCTCCTGCTGTGTGGCTGGGTTCCTAACAGGCCGCTGATGGGTACTGGTCCACATCCTGGGGTTTGGGGACCCCTGCTCTGTTATTCTTATTCATTTCAATCATAACTTAGTTCTTCTGTATTTTAATAATCTTAGGCAATGACCAGAGTGAGATTGGATTTCTTGGATCAACTAGCAAAATTTTGGGAACTTCAAGGATCTACTCTGAAGATCCCTGTGGTAGAGAGAAAAATCCTGGATCTGTATGCTTTGAGCAAGGTGAGGCTCATACTGGTTTAGAAATTAGAGCACAGGCTTGTGAATTTAGGAATATCAAATAGATTTGGTAGGAAACATTGCTTCCAATAGAGGATTTGTTTGACAATGAAATGCACTAGCTGGGTATGGTGGCGCATGCCTGTAATCCCAGCTACTCGGGAGGTTGAGGCAGGAGAATTGCTTGAACCCAGGAGGCGGAGGTTGTGGTGAGCTGAGATCGCGCCATTGTACTACAGCCTGGGCAACAAGAGCAAAACTCGGTCTCAAAAAAAAAAAGGACAATGAAATGCACATTTGAATAAATGGAAATGACAGTTCTCAAAGTTATCTTTAAAACTTATTTTATATTTGTTGAGATCAATATTTAATTACTAAATATTAATATTTATCAGGCTCTGTGATATACAATATGCAAAATAAATTACTCTAGCCTGCTAATGTTATCTTGTGCTGAGTGTACAATGTTCTGTGTTGAGCTTGTCATCTTTTTTTTTGTTACTTAATTGAAAATTTGGGCCAGGCACGGTGGCTCATGCCTGTAATCCCAGCACTTTAGGAGGTTGAGGTGGGAGGATCACTTGAGCCTAGGAGTTAGAGACTAGCCCAGGCAACATGGTGAAACCCTATGTCTACTAAAAATACAGAAAAGCTAACTGGGCATGGTGGTGCACACCTGTAGTCTCAACCACTCAGGAGGCTAAGGTGGGAGGATCACATGAGTCCGGAAAGTCAAGGCTGCAGTGAGCTGTGATTGCGCCACTGCACCTCAGCCTTGGCCACAGGAGTTAGACCCTGTCTCAAAAAAAAAAAAGAGAAAATTTGGCATATTAAAGAAACTCATGTTTCTCAGCATTCTTATGTGTGGTATATATTAGTTTTGTTAATACGTGTATGTAGTGTTAATGGCTGACTGAGGCCATCATTATTCAGTAGGATGACCAAACAGCTCAGAAACTTAAGGGTGAAGAGTTTAGACAAGTTTTTGCTGAAATTGTGTTAATTTTTTAACATTATATTCCCTAATGTGAAAAAAAAAAACTAACTGACCTGCAAGCTGAGATTATAATAACCTTGAGATATGTTTTTTTCTCTTTTTTTTGAGATGGAGTTTTGCTCTTGTGTCCAGGCTGGAGTGCAATGGCCTGATCTTGGCTCACTGCAACCTCTGCCTCCCAGGGTCAAGCAATTCTCCTTCCTCAGCCTCCCGAGTAGCTGGGATTACAGGCATGTGCCAACACACCAGGCTAATTTTGTATTTTTTAGTAGAGATGGGGTTTCACTATCTTAGTCAGGCTGGTCTCGAACTTCTGACCTCGTGATCCGCTCACCTTGATCTCCCAAAGTGCTGGGATTATAGATTACAGGCGTGAGCCACCGCGCCCGGCTAAAATATGTTTTGTTACTACAATAATACAAATTTATTATTGCTTAATTATCTGGGAATTTTGTAAAACAACTTCTTCTTGTGGCCTTTCATATCTTATAATTTATATACTATTTTGAAATAAAAATTTATTCTTATTTAAATTGCAGTTACTTTTAGAAGATTTCACTTTTTTTTTTTTTTGAAATGGAGTCACGCCCTTGTTGCCCAGGCTGGAGTGCAGTGGTGCCATCTCGGCTCACTGCAGCCTCCACCTCCCGGGTTCAAGTGATTCTTCTGCCTCAGCCTCCCGGGTTCAAGTGATTCTCCTGCCTTGGCCTCCCAAATACCTGGGATTACAGGTGCCTGCCACCACACCTGGCTAATTTTGTATTGTTAGTAGAGACAGGGTTTCTCCATGTTGGTTAGGCTGGACTCGAACTCCTGACCTCAGATGATCCACCCGCCTCAGCCTCCCAGAGTGTTGGGATTACAGGCGTGAGCCACCATGCGTGGCCAGGAAGATTTCACTTGTAAGGAAAAACATGAGAATAATTCGTGGCATGTGGTGGCTCATACCTATAATCCCAGCACTTTGGGAGGCTGAGGTGGAAGGATTGCTTGAACCTAGGAGTTCGAGACCAGGCTAGGCAACATAGTGAGACTCCATCTCTACAAAAAATTAAAAAATAAATAATCCTGGCATGGTGGTGGACTCCTGGAGTCCCAGCTAATCAAGAGGCTGAGGCAGGAGGATTGCTTGAGCCCAGGAGGTCAAGACTGCGGTGAGCTGTCATCACACCACTGCATTCCAGCTTGAGTGACAGAGCAAGACCCTGTTTCCAAAAAAACAGAGTAACCATATTTAAATTATCTTTTATGATACATTTTAAAATTAGTGTCAGGTCAAAATTCTCTTACTAAAAAATTTGGGAAGTACGGTCTTACGCTAAAATACAGCTTGAGACTTTTTTTAATCAGTCAGGTAATGATGTTAGTAAGTAAGCACTGTGTCAAGAATTGTCTAGTATAGTTATATGAAAACCTATGGTACTAAAGAACAAATTATGCTAAATTTGGGTGGTGGGTTTCTTCTTATAGGGAACTATTAGGATAAAAATTCATCTTAAGAATGCTTTTTTGAAATTTTTATTCAATCAAAACTTACCTACTAAGTTTTGCTGTATGATGCTGTTTAAGATTCTGAATGTGTTTGACTGTAGTATGAATAAAATACAAAAAAAATTTCAAAAATTGGCTCGGCACTGTGGCTCATGCCTGTAATCCCAGCACTTTGGAAGGCTGAGGCGGATGGATCACCTGAGGTCAGGAGTTTTTGAGACCAGCCTGGCCAACATGATGAAAACCTGTCTCAGCCGGGCACGGTGGCTCATGCCTGTAATCCCAGCACTTTGGGAGGCTGAGGCAGGAGGATCACTTGAGGTCGGGAGTTCGAGACCAACCCAACCAACATGGAGAAACCTCGTCTCTACTAAAAATACAAAATTAGCCGGACGTGGTGGCACATGCCTGTAATCTCAGCTACTTGGGAGGCCGAGGCAGGAGAATTGCTTGAACCCGGGAGGTGGAGGTTGTGGTGAGCTGAGATCACGCCATTGCACTTCAGCCTGGGCAATAAGAGCGGCACAACTCCGTCTAAAAAAAAAAAATAAAATAAAACCTATCTCTACTAATTATGCAAAAAATTAGCCAGGTGTGGTGGTGGGCACCTGTAATTCCATCTGCTCAGGAGGCTGAGGTAGGAAATCACTTGAAACCGGGAGGCAGAGGTTGCAGTGAGTTGAGATAGTACCACTGCACTCCAGCCTGGGCAACAAGAGTGAAACTGTGTCTGAAAAAAAAATTTTTTTTTCAAAAATTATTTTATCATTAATAGCAATATGTTGTAGTACTCTTTAATGAAGCTCTTTCTACTTTTTTTTTTTAGACAGAGTCTCACTCTTTTGCCCAGACTGGAGTGCAGTGGCACAATCTTGGCTCACTGCTACCTCCATCTCCCAGGTTCAACCGATTCTCATGCCTCAGCCTTCTGAGTAGCTGGGACTGGGATTAAAGGTGTGTGCCACCACACCCAGCTAATTTTTATATTTTTAGTAAAGATGGGGTTTTTACCATGTTGGCCAGGCTGGCCTTGAACTCCTGACCTGAAATGATCTGCCCACCTTGGCCTCCCAAAGTGTAGGGATTACAGGTGTGAGCCACTGTGCCCGGCCAATCTTTATCTCTATTTTATTTTCATAAATACCCTAAGGAATTTGCTAGAGTAAGTATTAATAGTATGAGTAGTAATCTATTGAAACTTTCTCTGTCAGTGATTTTCCATTTAAAAGGTAAACCTTAGGTTTAATCTGATGGTAAGTTAAATTGCATTTTTTTTTTTTTTTTGGAGACGGAGTCTCCCCCATCACCCAGGCTAGAGGCGTGATCTCGGCTCACTGCAACCTCCCACCTCCTGGGTTCAAGCGATTCCCCTCACTCAGCCTCAGAAGCAGCTGGGACTACAGGCGCACACCACCACGCCTGGCTAATGTTTGTATTTTTAGTAGAGACGGGGTTTCGTCATGTTGGCCAAGCTAGTCACGAACTCCTGATCTCAAGTGATCTCCCATCTTGGCCTCCCAAAATGGTGGGATTACAGGTGCAAGCCACCGTGCCCGGCTGCACTTTTCTGGTTTTCTAAAGTCATAGGATTTCAAAATAGGGAAGGGGCTTTTAGAGGTAACCTAGTCTGAATACTTAGTTGTTCACAATTCTCCTTATAACGGTCATCCAGAGTGTTTAACTCCATCTTGAGAAGCTGATTTCCTTTTAAGGTTCATACTACTAATAAAGTACACTTTGTTTAAATATTCAGAAAACTTATTGAAAATATGTTATGATTAAAGGTTAAGTGTGCTTATCTGACGGTTTATTGGAATCTTGTCTTTGTGGGTTTTTTTAAGTCCTCATGGACATCTCTTTCCCCAACCTGTGAGAATGTTTGCAAAACTGAGATTTAAAGCTAAAAGGCAGACAAACTTTGATTTGTAGTTATTTTAGTTTATAATACTTTGTTCCCTAAATGTCATTGTGAGATTGCTGCTTCTCACGTTAACTTTTTTCTTTTACATTGAGGTGTAACTTACAGTGTAATGCACAAATTTCAAGCGTACAGTTCAATAAATTTTCATATGTGTACACCTGTTTTGTAGCCATCACGCAGATCAAGATATATAACATTTTTATAGCACTCTAGTGGGTTGTTTCATCTCCTTTCCAGTCAATACTTCTTCACAAAGGTAATTTATTCTGACCTTTATCATTGGGTGACTATTTATTTCATTAACATGACATTTTATTCTAGCAAGAGGCTTGGGCTGAAAACTGCAGAAAATACTGAGAGTTGAGATGTTTTAAGGTTAGGTGTGCCCTTTTTTAAAAAAAAGATTATTTTTGGCTGACAGTTTGTTGGCATCTATTAAGTTTTTTTTTTATATATGATTTGAAAATACTATGATTCCCATTGCTTTTTGATGGGAAGCAAATTTTCAGTCTTCTGAGTCATTAAGTCATCAGCATGATGGTTTCCTGTTTTGATTAAATCACTTCATCTTTCTCCCTATTATTTTTGATAATAAAAAGTATTACTTGGAATGCCTGTAATTTAATAGACTTCTATATGAATAATTAGTTTTTTTTTTTTTTTTTTGAGATGGAGTCTCACTCTGTCACCCAGGCTGGAGTGCAGCAGCACGATTTTGGCTCACTCTAAGCTCCGCCTCCTGGGTTCATGACATTCTCCCGCCTCAGCCTCCCGCGTAGCTGGGACTACAGGCGCCCACCACCACGCCCGGCTAATTTTTTGTATTTTTTAGTAGAGACGGGGTTTCACCCTGTTAGCCAGGATGGTCTCAATCTCCTGACCTCGTGATCCGCCCGCCTTGGCCTCCCAAAGTGCTGGGATTACAGGCGTGAGCCACCGTGCCTGGCTGAATAATTACAGTTTTTATAACCACTTCAGCAAGAAGCATTCAGTCTAGCCCTTCTTGTTAAAACATTTTTATTTTTATTAAAGTAGTACACTTTTAAAACACAAGGCTTTGGCTGGGTATAGTGGGCTCATACTTGTAATCCCAGCAGTTTGGGAGGCCGAGGCAGGAGGATCATTTGAGCCCAGGAGTTCTAGATAAACTTCCTGGTCTAGACATAGGGAGACCCCGTCTCTACAAAAAATTTAAAAAGATTAGCTAGGTGTGGTGGCATGCGCCTGTAGTCACAGCCACTTGAGAAGCTGAAGCTGGAGGATCATTTGAGTCCAGGTGTTTGGGGCTACAGTGACCTCTGATTGCACCACCTGGGCAACAGAGTAAGACCCTGTCTTTAAAAAAAAAAGGGGGCTTAAAATGAAAATCAGCATCTCCCTTCATCTCCACCCCCATTCCTACTCCTCAGAACTAATCACTTTCAGTTCTTTTAGCTGTTTCTGATTTTGATCTTCATATTTCCAAGTAATATGCTCATATTGCTGTTTCTTCATTTCTCAGTTTTAAATATCATATACTGATTTCCTACTGTTAAAGATGGAGAATGGGTGTAAGAGAATGGGTGTAAATCCTCCCATACTTTATGTCCGTCATCCCCTTCTAGTGTAGTTACATTAATTTTTATTAATCTAAAATTATTACTGTGAAAAATATATTTTCAAACTTTCCAGTAGAAGTATACATCTCTCAGTATGCTTCTACCCATCAAATAATCTATCAGCTTTATTTTCTTGGAGCCATTCTTCCTGGATTCTTTTTTACTCTCAAATCTTGACTGGGTGTTTTTTTAAGGTCACCTGTCAGTCTGGAAATTCCTTTTACTGCCATCATTCTGGGAATTCCTTGGCCTCTTTTCCTTGTTGTAAGTCTTCCTTTTACTTGGTTTACTCTCATTTTGGTGAAACATTTCTTCTGCTAATTTCATGAGAAAGATGGTTAATGGGATATACATTTTTTAGGACCTTTTGCTTGTGTACAAATGTTCTGCTCTTAAACTTTATTAGTAGTTTGGTAGGGTTTAAAAGTCTAGATTGTAAATCATTTTACTTCAGTATTTTGAAAGCTTTACTCCATTGTCTTGTTGGTGAGAAGAACGATGCTATATTAATTCTTGTTTTTTTGTGACTTTTTTTTTCTTGAAGATTTAGGATCTTATCTTTATTCCCAGGGCTTTGAAATTTCACGGTGATATGCATTGGTATGTGTTTATTTTCATTCACTGTTTTTATGGCTCTCAATAACCTTTCTAATCTGATAACTCATTTCTTTCAATTCTTCTAATTTTTCCTGTATTCTTTGATAATTTTGTGTACTTATTTTTTCTCTTCTTTTTGACTCTTTATTAGTTAGATGTTAGACATGTTAGGCTGGTCCTTTAGTTTACTTACCTATAGCTTTTTTAGTTCAACATCCCTTCTCTTCAAACTCTGCTGAGAGTAAATCTCCAGTTTTCTGCTGGGGTTGGAGAGGGATAGTTGCCTGGAAGAGGTCTAAGTGCTTCTATACAGGTTTTCACAATCCTGTTCTCTGCTGCATTGCCACCCCTAATTTTAGAGGTACTGCTGCTACTTCTTAAGACTTTTTTTTTTTCCTTGTTTTAGAAAAGGGAGGAAGGGGACTCCTCTGAAGCCTTTCCAGGTTCTATGTTGCAAAAGCTTCTCTGGCTTTCCTCTGTTGTAAGGCACTTAAACTTGTAATTTTTGTTTGTCTGTTTTTGTTATTGTTTTGGCTTATCACTATCTTCAAAATATTGTCTACATTTGTATTTGGTTCCTTTCTTGGTCTATTTGACCTCTTGAGAGGATGCCTTTTTGTTTCTTTCCTGTCTTTTTAGTGGATTTTTTTAGAGGGAGCTTTTAAGTAGAAGACTGTTCTTTAGGTATGTTAAAACTGTCTCTAGATGTTCCCAAGATGGCCGAATAGGAACAGCTCCGGTCTACAGCTCCCAGCGTGAGCGACGCAGAAGACGGGTGATTTCTGCATTTCCAACTGAGGTACCAGGTTCATCTCACTGGGGCTTGTTGGACAGTGGGTGCAGGACAGTGGCTGCAGCCCACCGAGCGTGTGCCAAAGCAGGGCGAGGCATCGTCTCACCTGGGAAGTGCAAGGGGTCAGGGAATTCCCGTTCCTAGCCAAGGGAAGCTGTGACAGATGGCACCTGGAAAATTGGGTCACTCCCACCGTAACACTGTGCTTTTCCAATGGTCTTAGCAAACGGCACACCAGGAGATTATATCCTGCACCTGGCTTGGAGGGTCCCACGCCCACGGAGCCTCGCTCATTGCTAGCACAGCAGTCTGAGATGGAACTACAAGGTGGCAGCGAGCCTGGGGGATGGGTGCCCACAATTGCTGAGGCTTGAGTAGGTAAACAAAGCAGCCCAGAAGCTCGAACTGGGTGGAGCCCACCGCAGCTCAAGGAGGCCTGCCTTCCTCTGTAGACTCCACCTCTGGGGGCAGGGCATGGCCAAACAAAAGGTAGTAGAAACCTCTGCAGACTTAAATGTCCCTGTCTGACAGCCTTGAAGAGAGCAGTGGTTCTCCCAGCATGGAGTTTGAGATCTGAGAACGGGCAGACTGCCTCCTTATGTGGGTCCCTGACCCCCAAGTAGCCTAACTGGGAGGCACCGCCTCGTAGGGGCAGCCTTGACACCCACATGGCCGGGTATCCCTCTGAGACAAAGCTTCCAGAGGAAGGATCAGGCAGCAATATTTGCTGTTCGGCAACATTCGCTGTTCTACAGCCTCCGCTGCTGATACACAGGCAAACAGGGTCTGGAGTGGACCTCCAGCAAACTCCAACAGACCTGCAGCTGAGGGTCCTGACTGTTAGAAGGAAAACTAACAAACAGAAAGGACATCCACACCAAAATCCCATTTGTACATCACCATCATCAAAGACCAAAGATAGATAAAACCACAAAGATGGGGAAAAAGCAGAGCAGAAAAACTGAAAATTAGAAAAATCAGAGCAGAGCACCTCTCCCCCGCCAAAGGAACACAGCTTCTCGCCAGCAACGGAACAAAGCTGGACAGAGAATGACTTTGATGAGTTGAGAGAAGAAGGCTTCAGACGATCAGACTTCTCCGAGCTAAAGGAGGAAGTTCGAACCCATCGCAAAGAAGCTAAAAACCTTGTAAAAAGATTAGACAAATGGCTAAATAGAATAACCAGTGTAGAGAAGTCTTTAAATGACCTGATGGAGCTGAAAACCATGGCACGAGAACAACTACGTGATGAATGCACAAGCTTCAGTAGCCAATTTGATCATTTGGAAGAAAGGGTATCAGTGATTGAAGATCAAATTAATGAAATGAAGTGAGAAGAGAACTTTAGAGAAAAAAGAGTAAAAAGAAACAAAGCCTCCAAGAAATGTGGGACTATGTGAAAAGACCAAGTCTGTGTCTGATTGGTGTACCTGAAAGTGATGGGGAGAATGGAACCAAGCTGGAAAACACTCTGCAGGATATTATCCAGGAGAACTTCCCCAACCTAGCAAGGCAGGCCGACATTCAAATTCAGGAAATACAGAGAACGCCACAAAGATACTCCTGGAGAAGAGCAACTCCAAGACACATAATTGTCAGATTCACCAAAGTTGAAATGAAGGAAAAAATGTTAAGGGCAGCCAGAGAGAAAGATCGGGTTACCCACAAAGGGAAGCCCATCAGACTAACAGCGGATCTCTCGGCAGAAACTCTGCAAGCCAGCAGAGAGTGGGGGCCAATGTTCAACATTCTTAAAAAAAAAAGAATTTTCAACCCATAATTTCATATCCAGCCAAACTAAGCTTCATAAGTGAAGGAGAAATATAATCCTTTACAGACAAGCAAATGCTGAGAGATTTTGTCACCACCAGGCCTGCCCTACAAGAGCTCCTGAAGGAAGCACTAAACATGTAAAGGAACAACTGGTACCAGCCACTGCAAAAACATGCCAAACTGTAAAGACCATCGATGCCAGGAAGAAACTGCATCAACTAACGAGCAAAATAATCAGCTAACATCATAATGACAGGATCAAATTCACACATAACAGTATTAACCTTAAATGTAAATGGGCTAAATGCTCCAGTTAAAAGACACAGACTGGCAAATTGGATAAAGAGTCAAGATCCACCAGTGTGCTTTATTCAGGAGACCCATCTCACATGCAGAGACACACACAGGCTCAAAATAAAGGGATGGAGGAAGATCTACCAAGCAAATGGAAAACAAAAAAGGCAGGGGTTGCAATCCTAGTCTCTGATAAAACAGATTTTAAACCAACAAAGATCAGAGACAAGGCCATTACATAATGGTAAAGGGATCAATGCAACAAGAAGAGCTAACTATCCTAAATATATATGCACCCAATACAGGAGCACCCAGATTCCTAAAGCAAGTCCTTAGAGACCCACAAAGAGACTTAGACTCCCACACAATGATAATGGGAGACTTTAACACCCTACTGTCAATATTAGACAGATCAACGAGACAGAAAGTTAACAAGGATATCCAGGAATTGAAATCAGCTCTGCACCAAGCAGATCTAATAGACATCTACAGAACTCTCCACCCCAAAGCAACAGAATATGCATTCTTCTCAGCACTGCATCACACTTATTCCAAAATTTGACCACATAGTTGGAAGTAAAGCCCTCCTCAGCAAATGAAAAAGACCAGAAATTATAACAAACTGTCTCTCAGACCACAGTGCAATCAAACTAGAACTCAGGATTAACAAACTCACTCAAAACCACTCAACTACATGGAAACTGAACAACCTGCTCCTGAATGACTACTGGGTACATAACGAAATGAAGGCAGAAATAAAGATGTTCTTTGAAACCAATGAGAACAAAAACACAACATACCAGAATGTCTGGGACACATTCAAAGCAGTGTGTAGAGGGAAATTTATAGCACTAAATGCCCACAAGAGAAAGCAGGAAAGATCTAAAATTGACACCCTAACATCACAATTAAAAGAACTAGAGAAGGAAGTACAAACACATTCAAAAGCTAGCAGAAGGCAAGAAATAACTAAAATCAGAGCAGAACTGAAGGAGATAGAGACACAAAAAACCCTTCAAAAAATCAATGAATCCAGGAGCTGGTTTTTTGAAAAGATCAACAAAATTGATAGACCACTAGCAAGACAAAAAAGGAAAGAAGAATCAAATAGACGCAATAAAAAATGATAAAGGGGATATCACCACCAATCCCACAGAAATACAAACTACCATCAGAGAATAAACACCTCTATGCAAATAAACTAGAAAATCTAGAAGAAATGGATAAATTCCTGGAGACATACACCCTCCCAAGACTAAACCAGGAAGAAGTTGAATCCCTGAATAGACCAATAACAGGCTCTGAAATTGAGGCAATAATTAATAGCCTACCAACCAAAAACAGTCCAGGACCAGATAGATTCACAGCCAAATTCTACCAGATGTACAAGGAGGAGCTGGTACCATTCTTTCTGAAACTATTCCAGTCAATAGAACAAGAGGGAATTCTCCCTAACTCATTTTATGAGGCCAGCATCATCCTGATACCAAAGCCTGGCAGAGACCCAACAAAAAAAGAGAATTTTAGACCAATATCCCTGATGAACATCGATGCGAAAATCTTCAATAAAATACTGGCAAACCAAATCCAGCAGCACATCAAAAAGCTTATCCACCATGATCAAATGGGCTTCATCCCTGGGATGCAAGACTGGTTCAATATACGCAAATCAATAAACGTAATCCAGCATATAAACAGAACCAAAGACAAAAACCACACAATTATCTCAATAGATGCAGAAAAGGCCTTTGACAAAATTCAACAATGCTTCATGCTAAAAACTCTCAATAAATTAGGTATTGATGGGACGTATGTCAAAATAATAAGAGCTATTTATGACAAACCCACAGCCAATATCATACTGGATGGGCAAAAACTGGAAGCATTCCCTTTGAAAACTAGTACAATACAGGGATGCCCTCTCTCACCACTCCTATTCAACATAGTGTTGGAAGTTCTGGCCAGGGCAGTCAGGCAGGAAAAAGAAATAAAGGGTATTCAATCAGGAAAAGAGGAAGTCAAGTTGTCCCTGTTTGCAGATGACATGACTGTATATTTAGAAAACCCCATCATCTCAGCCCAAAATCTCCTAAAGCTGAAAAGCAACTTCAGCAAAGTCTCAGGATACAAAATCAATGTGCAAAAATCACAAGCATTCTTATACACCAATAACAGAGAGCCAAATCATGAGTGAACTCCCATTCACAATTGCTTCAAACAGAATAAAATACCTAGGAATCCAACTTACAAGGGATGTGAAGGACCTCTTCAAGGAGAACTACAAACCACTGCTCAATGAAATAAAAGAGGACACAAACAAATGGAAGAATATTCCATGCTCATGGATAGGAAGAATCATTATCGTGAAAATGGCCATACTGCCCAAGGTAGTTTATAGATTCAGTGCCATCCCCATCAAGCTACCAATGACTTTCTTCACAGAATTGGAAAAAACTACTTTAAAGTTCATACGGAACCAAAAAAGAGCCCACATTGCCAAGTCAATCCTAAGCCAAAAGAACAAAGCTGGAGGCATCATGCTTCCTGACTTCAAACTATACTACAAGGCTACAGTAACCAAAACAGCATGGTACTGGTACCAAAACAGAGATAGAGACCAATGGAACAGAACAGAGCCTTCAGAAATAATACCATACATCTGCAACCGTCTGATCTTTGACAAACCTGACAAAAACAAGAAATGGGGAAAGGATTCCCTATTTAATGGTGCTGGGAAAACTGGCTAGCCATATGTAGAAAGCTGAAACTGGATCCCTTCCTTACAACTTATACAAAAATTAATTGAAGATGGATTAAAGACTTAAATGTTAGACCTAAAACCATAAAAACCCTAGAAAACCTAGGCAGTACCATTCAGGACATAGGCATGGGCAAGGACTTCATGTCTAAAACACCAAAAGCAATGGCAACAAAAGCCAAAATAGACAAATGGGATCTAATTAAACTAAAGAACTTCTGCACAACAAAAGAAACTACCATCAGAGTAAACAAGCAACCTACAGAAGGGGAGAAAATTTTTGCAGTCTACTCATCTGACAAAGGGCTAATATCCAGAATCTACAAAGAACTCAAATTTACGAGAAAAAAACAACCCCATCATAAAGTGGGCAAAGGATATGAACAGACGCTTCTCAAAAGCAGACATCTATGCAGCCAACAGACACATGAAAAAATGCTCATCACTGGCCATCAGAGAAATGCAAATCAAAACCACAATGAGATACCATCTCACTCCAGTTAGAGTGGTGATCATTAAAAAGTCAGGAAACAACAGGTGCTGGAGAGGATGTGGAGAAATAGGAACAATTTTACACTGTTAGTGGGACTATAAACTAGTTCAACCATTGTGGAAAACAGTGTGGTGATTCCTCAAGGATCTTGAACTAGAAATACCATTTGACCCAGCCATCCCATTACTGGGTATATACCCAAAGGATTATAAATCATGCTGTTATAAAGACACATGCACACATATGTTTATTGTGGCACTATTCACAATAGCAAAGACTTGGAACCAACCCAAATGTCCATCAATGATAGACTGGATTAAGAAAATGTGGCACATATGCACCATGGAATACTATGCAGCCATAAAAAAGGATGAGATCATGCCCTTTCCAGGGACATGGATGAAGCTGGAAACCATCATTCTCAGCAAACTGTCACAAGAACAGAAAACCAAACACCGCATGTTCTCACTGATAGGTGGGAATTGAACAATGAGAACACTTGGACACAGGAAGGTGAACATCACACACCGGGGCCTGTCGTAGGGTGGGGGTAGTGGGGAGGGATAGCATTAGGAGATATACCTAATGTAAGTGATTAGTTAATGTGTGCAGCACACCAACGTGGCACACGTATACATATGTAACAAACCTGCACGTTGTGCACATGTACTACCCTAGAACTTAAAGTATAATTAAAAAAAAAAAAAGTCTCTGTTCCCAGCTGTTTTGGTCTTGAGCGATACTACTTTTTGGTCAAGTTTTGATAAACGGCTTGTCTTCATTGTGTTCAATTCAAGTGCATGCCATGTATCTTTTTATAGAGCATGGTTCATAGTGATATTTCTGGGGACAGTGTTGTGATATAGTACATGGCAAATATTTGGAGTAAATGGTTTGTATTTTATTTTTAATTTTTATTTATTTTTGAGACAGAGTCTCGCTGTGTTGCCCAGGCTGGAATGAGGTGGCATGAAACCAGCTCCCTGCAATCCCCGCCTCCTGGGTTCAAGTGATTCTCCTGCCTCAGCCTCCCAAGTAACTGGGATTACAGGTGCCTGCCACCACGCCCTGCTAATTTTTGTATTTTTAGTAGAGACAGGGTTTCACCATGTTGGCCAGGCTGGTTTCGAACTCTCGACCTCAGGTGATCCACCTGCCTCGGCCTCCCAAAGTACTGGGATTACAGGCATGAGCCACTATGCCTGGCCTGGTTTGTATTTTTAAATTATGTATGATAATCTTTGAATCTGCCAGCCAAAGAAAAACAGGTATTAGGTTTTGTGTGTTTTTTGGTTAGATTGTTAGAGTATTGTATGCGTGGAGCCAAAGTAATGGTTTTGTTTTCTTTGTGAGATAGTTTATTCCTTTGTCATGGCCGTATCCTGGCTGCTACTAATCACCAGAACTGGGTGGGACATCATGACTGGATCCATGCAGGTGTATCATAACTAATGGAAATTTAGCTTGAAATGCTTTGAATACAAAGCAGATTATTATGTCAGAGTGATTATTGTATTGGATAGTAAAGATAAGAGGGCTTCTGTTGCCTCCCTGAGTTCTTTTACTTCTCCCTGCTTGTTCACTTTGCTTTAGCCACACTGGCTTCCTTATTTTCCTCAAACACTCTAGACATGCTTCTGACTTGGAGCCTTTGCTTTGTCTGTTCCCTTTATATCTGCTAGTTAACTACTTCACTCCTTTCAAGTCTTTGCTTAGATTTCATCTTTATAATAAGGCTTTTTGCAATCGTTTAATACTTCAGATTATCTTTACCCTGTTACCTGGAGGCCCCTTGACTGCTTTTTAATTTCTTCTACAATATTTATCCCTTCAAAATTTATATATTATGTTCATTGTTTATTGTCTGTCTTCCTCCACTAGAATGTAAGCTCCATGAGGACAAAGATCTTTGTTTTATTCATAAAATGTGACAAAGATCTTTGTTTTATTCATAAATGTATCCCAGGTACCTAGAATAGTAGCTGGCAGTATAGAAGCACTGAAAGTTACCTGTTGAATGAAAGGCACTCTAATCCATCCAGTTGCTTCCAGACAGCCCTCTATCTAAACCATTTTCATTGTGTCTTTCTCTGTACTTTGAAAAATAATTTTTGTCTCTGTATGATTTTCCCCTGATTGATTGTTTGAACAGAGAGGGCTTCTTTGAGGGTGTGATAGGAGGAGCTGAAGAACTAAAGAGATGTGTTCAACTCTTGTGCATATGAATTTGTGTTTCTACCAAGCTTTTAGATCATTCACTAGAGGAAAATTGTACTTCGGCCATAGGTTCATCTTTGTTTATAATAACATCATAAAGCACAAGAGTTGAAAACATTTCCTTCACTTATTTTTAGTATGTGTACCCTCTCCTCCATTTGTCCACACTCATAGACATTTGTAATATAGCAACATTGGTATAGTACTTTATCCTGGTGCTTTTCATATTTTATTTTATTTGTCCTCACAGTAGCCTCATAACGAGGTGTAGGCACCGTTGTTACTATTTTGATGATGGTGAGGAAATTGAATTGCAAGGTATGTAACTTTGCCAGGGTCATGTAACTGTGTTTTGTCTGTTTGTTTTTTCCTTGAGACAGGGTCTCGCTCTTGCCCAGGCTGGAGTTCAGTGGTGCAATCTGGCTCACTGCAACCTCCTCCTCCCGGGTTCAAGCGATTCTCCTTCCTCAGCCTCCCTAGTAGCTGGGATGATAGGTGTGCACCACCATGCTTGGCTAATTTTTGGTATTTTTAGTTGAGACGGAGTTTCACCATGTTGGCCAGGCTGGTCTCGAACTGCTGACCTCAGGTGATCCGCCTGCCTCAGCCTCCAAAGTGCTGGGATTACAGATGTGAGCCACGACGCCTGGCCAAGGTCATATAACTAGTAAGTGACAGAACTGAAATTTGAATACTGGCAGTCTGGCTCGAGTCTTCTTTTCATCTTTTTTTAAAAAATTGTATATGTAGCATCAACATTTAAAAATACACAGTTGAGTGGCATTAAGTACATTTACAGTGTTGTACAGTTATCACCACTATATAGTTCCAGGACTTCTCCCTTCCACCACTCCTGGCAACTTCTATTATGCTTTCTGTCTCTATGAATTTGCTTACTCTATGTAGCTTATATAAATGGAATTATGCAGTAGTCATCATTTTGTCTCTGGCTTATTTTATATTTTCAAAATTCATTCATGTTTGGGATGTATCAGAACTTTCTAAGGCAGAATAATATTCCATTGTATTTTATTATACTACATTTCGTTTATTCATTTATCTGTTGATAAACTTTTGGGTTCTGTTTTGACTCTCAAGAGTATTGCTGCTGTGAACATTGGTGTGCAAGAATCTGTTTGAGTCCCTCCTTTCAGTTCTTTGAGTATATATCTAGAAGTGAAATTGCAGCATCATATGGTAATTTTATGTTTAACTTTTAACTTTTTTTTTTTTTTGAGACAGGGTCACTTGAGACAGGATCAGCCAGGCCAGAGTGCAGGGGTGTGATCATGGCTCGCTGCAGCCTTGATCTCCTGGGTTCAACTGATCCTCCTGCCTTGGCCTCCCAGGTAGCTGGGAACTACAGGTACACCACCTGCCTGGTTAATTTTTTTTTTTCGGAGATGGAGTCTCACTCTACTGTCCAGGCTGGAGTGCAGTGGCACAATCTCAGCTAACTGCAACCTTTGCCTCCTGGGTTCAAGTGATTCTTGGGCCTCAGCCTCCTGAGTAGCTGGGATTATAGGTGTGCACCACCACGTCTGGCTAATTCTTTGTATATTTTTTTAGAAGAGATGGGGTTTCACTATGTTGCGCAGGCTGCTCTTGAACTCCTGAGCTCAGGCTATTTGCCCAGCTCTGCCTCCCAAAGTCCTGGGATTACAGGCATAAGCCACCCTGCCCAACCTGCCCAGCTAATTTTTAAATTTTTTTGTAGAGATGGGGGCCTCACTATATTGTCCAGCATGGTTTGAAACTCCTGGGCTCAAGTGATCCTCCTGCCTTGGCCTCCCAAAGTGTTAGAATTACAGATGTGAGCCACTATGCCTGGCTTTAACTTTTTTTTTATGTAGTAAGATACAGTAGTATATACTCAATCAAATAGGAGAAACTGAGTTTGAACACTGTGTCACAGTCCCCTTTATTCTCAGTGAAATTGAAAACTGCCTGTACAATCGTGTCACTTAATGACAGGGATATGTTCTGAAAAACATGAGGATTTCATTATTGTGCAAACATAGAATGTACTTATACAAACCCAGATGGTATGGCCTACTGCATACCTAGGCTATGTGGTATAACCTGTTGCTCCTAGACCTAAAGGTGTACAGCCTGTTACTCTACTGAATACTGTAGGCAGTGTAACACAATGGTAAGTATTTGTGTATGTATCTAAACACAAAGGTTCAGTAAGAATATGGTATTATAATCTTATGGGAGCACTGTCATATATGCGGTCTATATTTGACCAAAATGTTATGCAGTGCATGACTGTATTTTAGAGCCTAAGAGATGTATAGTAACAGCTCCTGGACGTTAAGGAGCTTTGAAATATGTATTCTGTAGAGTGCCTGGCTTGATGTGACCATTCAGCCAAGTTAGCCAATTTATCTCATCGTTTTCTACCTTAATATATTCTGTACTCCGTATCGGTAAATCTACTGCAACCTAATCTTTTTCAGTGTTCCTTTATGATCTTCCATATAAAACTCTTGCCCTTTTGAAAAATTATAGCCTGTTTTTCACAACTGTCCTCTGTATTCATGGTTTGATTGACGTTTTTGTTAAGTTCTGTAAGTTACTTGGTTATTTCTAATTTCAGGATTTATGTTTATTTTGTATTATATAACATTTATTTTCATATCTATTTTTTATCTGTTTTTATTCTTATTTCATATTGTGAGTTCCTTAAGTAGGTAGTCTGTCTGTACATGTGTTTAGTTTTCTCACAGTGCGTACTGTACAGAGTATTCATTAAATATTTTTGAATGCTTGGTTTGAAGGTAGGCATAATGTTAATTACATTTTAAACCTCTGAAAAGCATTGTTTCTATTTCTTACTCTAAATGTTGACAAGTGTCAGTTTGGTTAGATACTCATTGAAAGGAAATTTGAAATTTAAGCCCTGAATAATTTTTCTATTTAGTAGACAAGACTTAAGAGTCAAGATGCTTGAATTTGCCTTTTTTCTCTAAGCAACTTTTACTTTCTTTTCAGATTGTTGCCAGCAAAGGAGGTTTTGAAATGGTCACCAAAGAGAAGAAATGGTCTAAAGTGGGTAGTCGCTTGGGATATCTGCCAGGAAAAGGAACTGGGTCTCTTTTGAAGTCACATTATGAAAGAATTCTCTACCCATATGAGCTTTTCCAGTCTGGTGTGAGCCTTATGGTGAGATGCATTATTCTTTTTAGAAAAAGTTGATAAATCCAGTTTGCCCAAGTACAAACTTTAGACTGTGTTTAACCCAAGTTAGCAGGCACCAAAATTTGGGGAAGCAAAGTGTATATCATAGTGTAAAAATCATAGCTGTTTTTGATGGTTTACAAGATAAAGAATAATGGAAATGAAGAATGTTTTCTTATTTATTTAAAATAAACCTTTATGACTGAAACTTTTTGAAAAAGTCCTGTTTGTTTCATGAATTTTTCTAAAACAGCTTTATTAGTTATGATTTATATACCATAGAATTCACCCTTTGTGGGTGCACCGTTGGTAAGCTTTAATACATTTCTACATTTATGCAGCGATCACTGTGATCCAGTTTTAGAGCACTTCCACTAGCCCCCAAAATTCTCTTGTTCATTTGTAGTTGGTTCCTGTACCACCCCCACACACAGGCAATTCCTGACCCGCTTTCTGGCTCTGTAGTTTGTCTTTTCTAGAACTTTCACCTAGATGTAATCATACAATATGATTTTGTGTCTGGCTTTTTTCACTTAGCCTAATGTTTTCAGAGTTCAGCCATGTTGGCTGGATGCGGTGGCTAATGCCTGTAATCTCAGCACTGTGGGAGGCTGAGGTGGGTGGATCGTTTGAGGCCAGAAGTTTGAGACCAGCCTGGGCATCATGGTGAAACCCTGTCTCTACTAAAAATACAAAAAATTAGCCAGGTATGGTGGTGTGCGCCAGTGGTCCCAGCTACTCCAGAGACTGTGGTAGGATGATTGCTTCAGCCTGGGAGATGGAGGTTGCAGTAAGCTGAGATCCTGCCACTGCACTCCAGCCTGGGTGACAGAGTGAGACCCTGTCTCAAAAAAAAAAGTTCAGCCATGCTATAGCATGTGTCAGTACTTTATTTTTATGGCTGAATAATATTCCATTGAATGGATATACCACATTTTGTTTATCCATTTACCAGTTGATGGAGTTTTAGATTGTTTCCAGTTTATGGCTATTATGAATAATGCTATGAATATTCATAGACAAGTCTTTGAGTGGACATATGTTTTCATTTCTCTTGGGTAGGTACTTGGGAGTGGAATTGCTGGGTTATATAGTAAGTTTATGTGTAAATTTGTTTGTTTGTTTTTTTTTTTTTTTTTGAGATGAGACTCCGTCGCCCAGGCTGGAGTGCAGTGGCGCGATCTCGGCTTGCTGCAAGCTCCGCCTCCTGGGCTCACGCCATTCTCCTGCCTCAGCCTCCCGAGTAGCTGGGACTACAGGTGCCCACCACCACGCCCACAGAATTTTTTGTATTTTTAGTAGAGACGGAGTTTCACCGTGTTAGCCAGGATGGTCTCGATCTCCTGACCTCGTGATCCACTCACCTCGGCCTCCCAAAGTGCTGGGATTACAGGTGTGAGCCACTGCGCCCGGCCGTTTATGTGTAAATTTTTTTTTTTTTTGAGGTGGAATCTTGCTGTGTCGCCCAGGCTGGAGTGCAGTGGCGTGAACTCGGCTCACTGCAGCCTCCGCCTCCCGGTTTCAAGTGATTCTCCTACCTCAGCCTCCTGAGTAGAGTAGTTGAGACTACAGGTGCATGCCACCACCCCCAGCTAATTTTTGTATTTTTAGTAGAGACAGGGTTTCATCATGTTGGCCAGGCTGGTCTTGAACTCCTGACTTCAAGTGGTCCACCCACCTTGGCCACCCAAAGTGCTGAGATTATAGGCGTGAGCCACCGCACCCGGCCTGTGTAAATTTTTAAGGACTGCCAAGTTGTTTTCCAAAATGGCTGAATCATTTTACTTTCCCACCAGTAATGTAGAGGCTTCTAGTTTTTCCACATCCTGGTCAACACTTGGTATTGTCAGTTTTTTTAATTATAGCCATTCTAGTTAGTTGTATAGTGATACCTTATTGTGGTTTTAATTTGCATTTCTCTAATGACTAGTGATGTGCCTATTTTCATATTCATATTAAACATTTGTATATCTTGGTGAAGTGTCTGTTCAGATCTTTTTTTAATTGGGTTGTTTGTCTTATACTTGTGAATTTGTTATACAGTTTGTGTACAACTCCTTTATCAGGTAAATGATTTGCAGATATTTTCTCCTAGTCTGTTATCTTTTCATTTTTGTACTGGTCACTTTTTGAAGAACCATTTTTTTATTTCTTTTTTCCTTCTATGGATTGTGCTTTTGGTGTCATATTTAAGAAATCTTTTCCAAGGTCACAAAGATTTTCTTCTTTGCTTTAATGTAGAAATTTTACAATTTCGGCTTTTATATTTTGGTCAGTGATGCATTTTGAGGCTTTTTTTGTGTGTATAGTATGAGGTGAAGATGTAAGTTTATTTTTTGGTGGGGAAGGGGGTATATGAATATTGAGTAGTACCAGCGCCATTTGTTTAAAAGGCTATCCTTTTCCCACTGATTTAGCTCACCACCATTGTTGGAGATCAGTTGACCATAAATGTGTGGGTTTATTTCTGAACTCTGTTTTTGTTGCACTGATTTATATGTCTACCCTAAAACCAGTACTACATTGTCTTGAGTACTGTAGCTTTATGGTAAATGTTGATATTCAGTAGTGTAAGTTTTTTGTTCTTTTTTTCAAAATTTCTAAACAACTTATATTTCCAAATAAATTTTAGGGTCGGCTTTCAATTTTAACAACAACAAAAAGCCTGCCAGGATTTTGGTAGGGATAGCTGTATGTCAGTTTGAGAAATAATTGCGGTCTAGTTTTAGGGATTCATTGGCAATTTATTACTTTTACACTGATTCTCCAGCATGATTTCTTATCAGTGAACCTGCTCTCTTTCTGTGCTCTGATCTTTTAGGGTGTGCAGATGCCTAATTTAGATCTTAAAGAAAAAGTGGAGCCTGAGGTTCTCAGCACTGATACCCAAACTTCCCCAGAGCCAGGCACAAGGATGAACATTCTGCCGAAGAGAACAAGACGTGTGAAGACTCAGGTATCAATGTCTTGGGCTTTTTTAAATTTTTAAATAAAGATGTAGTCTCCTGATGTTGCCCAGGCTAGCCTTGAACTCCTTGGCTCAAGTGATCCTCTTGCCTCCGCCTCTTGAGTATTGCTGGTTGGTATGCGCTGCTGTGCCTGGCTCATGGGCCATTTCTCGTGGGAGTTTTAAATGCATGAACTGTGTGGAACAGTTACCTGGTCACGGGAGGCCACTCATATACTGTTGTTCTTTAAACCTTGAGCCATATTTTTCATTTACCTTTGAGATGAATGGAGAATAAATTGTGAAATGTGGCGTAATTTGATTTAGAAAGTTCTTTGTTAATTTTTTAGTAGTTTTTGACAGGGATGACAAATAAGAGGGTGACCCCGGATACTGTAGTGCCAATTTTATAGACATGCTGGTGAATTCTAGTGCATTTTATTTTTATGGTTAGCAGAAGTGAGATGAATAGGTTTTATTTTTCACCTGCCATTCCTTTAAAAACCAGAGTATAAATTTCTTAGTGTCTGAGCCATTCCAGTTTAACTACTGTAGTGTTCATGTAACCTAAAATAATTTCAAAGCCTAATACATCAGAAGAAAAATGCCCTAATTTATTTTTTGTCTGATTCCCCCCTTCCCCTGTTTATTTCTTCCTTTTGTTTCTTTCTTTTCTTTTTTTTCCCCAAGCTTTGCTTCTCTTTCAAACCCCTGTTTCCTTTTCTCTGTGGTCTTTTAAGTTTTTTAGTAAAGACAAGTTTGGAGACTGAGAAAGTGAGGTGCCCTTAGAACTCCTAAGATTTAATCCATGTACGTTAACATATAGATAGACAGGAAAAGCACCTTCACGGAATCCTAATCATTGATTTTAACGTTTAAGGAAACAATGTAGTATAGAGATGGGAATGATTAGCATCAAAAGTGGGTGTCAGAGAAGCAGGATAAAACTGCTGTTAACAAGAGACACTGAATCTGGGGTTGTGTAGAGGAGAGGTCTGGAGAGGCAGACTATTAATACTTCATCTTGCTTTTCTACAGATCAGGGACTATCTCTCCGTTATGCCATTTCTGCCTTTCTTTTTCTGAGTTTATGTTTTCTGAATACTCAGCTTCTTAGGTACCTTTTGAAAGTAGAAAGGTAGGTATCCTGGATAGGAATGTGACTTTCATGGAAATTCATTGGAAAGTGATAACCTCATTATGAATTAGTAAACTCTGGTTTAGTCATTAAGTCATTTTTATTAGTGTGATTGGTCTCAGAAGTTCTGATCATCTTTGGGTATACAGTGATTTGGGTAAACACTGATTGCTAGTCCCTTTGACATGGTGATTCTGCTTTGAAGAGTTGCCCCAATTGCTCCTGTCCATCTAACCAATCACCAGCTTGTGATGAAATTTTTTTTGATGTTCACCTTGAAACCATGAAGATGTCTTGCCTATTCCTAATGCTTTTCTTTATTATAAAAATGGGGACTACAGGCCGGGCATGGTGGCTCACGCCTGTAATCCTAGCACTTTGGGAGGCTGAGGTGGGCAGATCACGAGTTCAGGAGATCAAGACCATCCTGGCTAACACGGTGAAATCCCGTCTCTACTAAAAATACAAAAAATTAGCCGGGCGTGGTGGTGGGCACCTGTAGTCCCAGCTACTCGGGAGGCTAAGGCAGGAGAATGGCATGAACCTGGAAGGCGGAGCTTACAGAGAGCCAGGATCTCGCCACTGCAGTCCAGTCTGGGCGACAGAGCAAGACTCCGTCTCCAGAAAAAAAAAAATGGAGGGGGGTGCTGCATGGAATGCTTTTACCCTTTGTGATAGTTGTCACTGTATTCAGATTGGTTGATAAACTATTTCAGGATTTGAAATTAAGAATTTTTTCAACTCCTAATTTGTACTTAATTATTCTGTTGAATGTCTGTCGTTCATTCCTAGTTTTCTATTTCAGAAAGAAAATAAAGGCTTTCTGGTAGAACTTCAGCTTCTTGCCCCGTACACAAAACTACTGGTATTCATACTTAGTCTTTGTCTATCTCTGTGGGCAAAGTGTACCTTTCTCTTCAAGGATAATCCCTCCTCTTCCATCCCTTCTGGCATCTTTAGTGATTTCAGCATACTGAGAAATCTTTCTCTCCCACCTACTCTGTCTGTTGAATTCCATTCCTCCCAATATGTATTTAAGTCTCTATCATCTTAAACATAAAAGCCCTCTTCTTACATGATGCCTTATCCTTGCCTCTTTTCACACAGAAGTTTCTTGACAAATAGTCTTTATTGTCTCAGTTTCCTCAACATCTGTTTAGTTTTTATACTCTATAATCTAACTTTGAGCTAAGTAATTTTATTGAAACTGCACTGTCCAAGTTACCACTGAGTTTTTAATTGTCAAATTCTGAGATTCTCCTTTTCATTTCATATCTTAATTGATCTCTGGTCATGTATATGTTTAATGTGGTTGGTGACTCCTGTCCTTGAAATTGAGATTAACTTGATTTTTCTTTCATTTGTGTGATACCTTTCTCTTCTGGTTTTCCTCCTTATATTCTGACCACTCCTTAGTCATCTTTGTTATCTCTTTTCTCTTCCCTTTATTTTGTATCTTTGGTCCTTTTCTATCTTCACTCTCCTTAGCTGTCTCATCTGCATGTGATTTCAAGTACTGCCTGTAATGCTCAGAACTCTCAAATCTTGTCTTTTTTTTTTAAGACAGAGTCTTGCTGTAACTCCCAGGCTGGAGTGCAGTGGCATGATCTTGGCTCACTGTGACCTCTGCCTCCCGGGTTCAAACGATTCTCCTTCCCCAGCCTCCTGAGTAGCTGGGATTACAGGCACATGCCACTATGCCTGGCTCATTTTTTATATTTTTAGTAGAGACAGGGTTTCACCATTTTGGCCAGGCTGGTCTCAAACTGGCCTGAAGTGATCTGCCTGCCTCAGCCTCCCAAAGTGCTGGGATTATAGGTGTGAGCCATCACACCCGGCCCAAATCTATCCTTTTCTTTTCATCAGGGGTGTGTGTATGTATACATGTGTACTCCTTATTGGCTACAGCATGGTTATGCCAAATTCAATACATCTGAAAGATAATGTATTATCACCTCTTCCTTCCTTCCTTGTTTCCTCCCTCCCTCCTTTCCTCCCTCCCTCCCTCCTTGCCTCCCTTCTCCCTCCCTCCCTTCTTCCCTTCATCCCTTCCTCCTTCCCTCCCACTCCCCCCCACCCTTTTTTTTTTTTTGAGGCAGTGTGTGGCTCTGTCACCCAGGCTGGAGTGCAGTGGCGCAGTCTTGGTTAATCGCAACCTCTGCCTCCTGGGCTAAAGCCATCCTCCCACCTCAGCCTCCCAGGTAGCTGGGACCATAAGTACATACCACCACTCAGCTAATTTTTGTATGTTTGTAGAGACAGGGTTTTGCCATGTTGCCCAGGTTGGTCTCTGGGCTCGAGTGATCTGCCTGCCTTAGCCTCCCAAAGTGCTGCGATTACAGGCATGAGCCACTGTGCCCAGCTGTAAAAGCCTTTGAATGAATCAAATGAATCAAACTCCTTGATTTCTTTATTTCCCTATATGCCATGTCCAATCTTTAAACAAGTGCTGGCTGCTATTATGTCTGAAGTTTTTCCTAGGGATCCTGGTTCATTTATGTATTTGAAATGGTATTTAGAAACCATGATGTGAGCACACGGTGTGCTTGTTCCCACTGGGATGTCATTGCTTCTAGGCTCTTTTAAATGGTCAGGGCTAGAAAATAAATTTTTAAAAAGTGATGACTTGATATTTTGCATTCACACTCTAATCCAGCTCTAATCCAGCACCACAGTTCTTTTGGTTTATCTTCTAGTTTTTTCCTAGTGTTCTGAGTTGGGAGTTTAATTTTATTCTTTTGTTTTTATTGAAGTGTTTAAGACTGTAAAATTTCCTGTGATCACTGCTTTAATTTGTTCTAGAGATCTAATATGTAGTCTTTTTATTGTTTTTTTTTATTTTTTATTATTTATTTATTTTTTTGAGATGGAGTCTTGCTCTGTCGCCCAGGCTGGAGTGCAGTGGCATGATCTCAGCTCACTGCAATGTCTGCCTTCCGGGTTCAAGCAGTTCCCTGCCTCAGCCTTGTGAGTAGCTGGGGTTATAGGCACCTGCCACCATGTGTGGCTAATTTTTGTATTTTTAGTAGAAGCAGGGTTTCACCATATTGTCCAGGCTGGTCTTGAATTACGGACCTTGTGATCCACCCGCCTCAGCCTCCCAAAGTGCTGGGATTTACAAGTGTGAGTCATCATGCCTGGCCTTTGTTATTTTTTAAGTAGAGAGTTAAAATGTTCAGGTGGAAGGTCCTTTTTAATTTTGTTATTTTGAGTTTTAGATCAAAGAATGCTGTTTTATTCTACTTTTTGGACCTTTATTGCTTTTCTGAAAAGGTTGTTGTAAGGACTAATTGATTAAAGTACTTAGATATGGCATATACTATTTACTCAACATATATCAGCTTTATTGTTATATACTCTGCTTTAATAATGGTAAAGAATGTGTAGTGTTATATTTATTGTTCGACTAACAGTAGAAGTTGGTTAGTGTAACCAAATCAGTCTACAAAAGTTTAAAGATAAATATTGAAATGGCATTTAGGTTTTGTACTTATATGATCTTTTATTAGTCTAGATTGCATACATCATTTGTTATGTAACCACAGACTTATAAAGTAGTCTGTATTTTATCCTGGGTTATTTTCATGCTTATTCTTTATTTACACATTTAAAATAAATTTTGGCTATTAGTCTATATTCAGAGAATATGGTTAATCTTAATTCAAGATTGAATACCAGAATCTGTCAGGATGCTCTCACTTTCAAGTATTAGAACTTAAACATTAAACAAGTATTAGTAGCTTAAACATTAATAACAAATTTTTCACATAAGCACACATTTTTACATAAGATTTTCAGAGGTAAGTAGCTCTAGGATTGGTGAAGGGCCCAGGCTCTTTCCATCTTTCTGCCTTGCTTTCTTCGGTGTGTGGGTGATAAATTTCCTCCCAGTTGTAGTATGGCTGTTGCAGAGTCTAGCACCATGTTTTCACCAGACGGAGTCCTTTAGCAGGAAGGAAGGGAATTGGGGCAAAAGGGCTTTTTTTTTTTTTTTTTTTTTTTTTTTGAGACTGAGTCTTGCTCTGTCGCCCAGGCTGGAGTGCAGTGGTGCAATCTCAGCTCACTGCAACCTCCACCTCCTGGGTTCAAGTAATTCTTCTGCTTCAGCCTCCCAAGTAGCTGGGACTATAGGCGTGCGCCACCATGCCTGGCTAATTTTTGTATTTTTAGTAGAGACGGGGTTTCACCATATTGGGCGGGCTGGTTTAGAACTCCTGACCTTGTGATCCGCCCGCCTCGGCCTCCCAAAGTGCTGGGATTACAGGCATGAGCCACCGTGCCCAGCCTCCAGAAGGACTTATTCTTTAAGATGCTTTCCTCTTTTTTTTTTTAAAGACAGGGTCTTTTTGTGTCACCCAGGCTGGGGTGTGGTAGGACAATCATGGCTTGCTGCAGCCTTGAACTCCAGGGCTTCAAGTGATCTTCCTGCCTCAGTCTCCTGGGTAGCTAGGACTTCAGGTGTGTGCCAACATGCCCAGCTAATTTTTTTTTTTTTGGTAGAAACGGGGGTCACTATGTTGCCCAGGCTGGGAGAAGCTTTCCCATTGATGGATTGATTCAGGGTCTCGCTTGTCTGTCACCCAGGGTGGAGTGCAGCAGCGTGATCTCGCCTCACTGCCTCAACCTCTCAAACTCAAGTGATCTCCAGCCTCAGCCTCCCAAGTAGCTGGGACTACAGATGCACACCACCATGCCTGGCTAATTTTTGTACTTTTTGTAGAGATGGGGTCTCCCCTGTGTTGTCCAGGCTGGTCTGTAACTCCTGAGCTCAAATGATCACCTGCCTTGGCCTTCCAATGTGTTGGGATTACAGGTGTGAGCCATTGTGTCTGGCCATTCGCCTTTTATTAGAAGATGGCAGTCTTTCCCAGGGGCTTCCAGTACAATTTTTTAATGTCATCACCAACAAAGAAAAATGAGGTTAGTGTGATTGGCTTAGGACAGTCACAGTTCATGTCCTGAGATGCCCTCTAATCAAATACAGGTGTCCGGTAGGAAGTTAGAAGTGGGGATTTCTATTGTGTGATAACCAGCAGTGTCTGTCTTTAGACAGCTTGAGAACTATGCTTTTATGAGTCATACACGAGTTTTATTTTGTGGAAAGGAATCTGGGTGTTGAATGGTGTTTTGGTGACCGTTTTCAACTGTGGTAATGAGGCAGTGAGTGGATTTACAGAAAAGAAATCCAATAATTTGTTCTTCCGTGTTGAAGAGGATTCTGAAACTTTCCTTGGGTAAAAAAATTAATGCATGAATCAGCATGATTATGCTAATGTGAATTTTGCTTATTTTTTAGTCAGAATCTGGAGATGTGAGTAGAAACACGGAACTGAAGAAACTTCAGATTTTTGGGGCTGGGCCCAAGGTTGTGGGCTTGGCAATGGGAACAAAAGATAAAGAAGGTAAAATTTGTTGTTTGATCATGAAAAGAGATAAGGTAGAATATGATTGTAAAAAAACTCAAATGATACTTGAATTGCAGTCTGTGCTGGGAATTTCTTAAGAATTGTAAAATCGCAATGTGGTTCCTAGGCAAATCGCCTTTTTTAATGCCAGATCTCTTAAATTTCAGGTGTGAAGAGCAATGTTATGTTGAATTTTTATGATTTTGGAAGAGAGGATTTTCCTTCTCTGTGTAATATATGACACACAAATTTATTGCAGTTTCTGAAGGCTGGTTTATGAGAGAATGATGGAATTAATGGTTCTTACCTCGTGAGCTAAAGCTTGTAACTCTTAGTATCGACATACACTGGGAGAAGTTTAGAATTTTAAAATTCTAACCATAATTTTAATTTTTAAAGTAATTGCCCTTGATATATTATGTCAGTTCATTTGAATAAACTGTTTTCTTTAGTAAGTCTGTTACTCTCGGCTTCACGTTTGGAAGTTTTTTGTCAGTAGGACTGCTCATGCAAAGATCAAGTTCCACTGTTCTCTCTATGTAACATGTCAATTATAAAACTGTTTAACAAAGATTAGGCTGGATATGTTTTGACTATATGAGAACTTAATGAAATGCTACAGTCACAAAGACTAATTACTGTGTACTTAGATGTGTAAAGTCATACAATTCAGATAGTGGACTGAACTCTAGAAGATTAAATAATATTGTTCCATCTCTCTTAAAACATCCCATGTAATAAGACTTACTAAATACATTGTAATAATAATATTTCCTTTTTAAGAATTAAGTACTTTATTTTTGTTACTCTTGTAATTATAGTATTGGCTGTCAACAGTCTTAGAAATTAGTCCCTAATTTGGGAGTTCCTCCAAGTAATACCTGCAGGTTGTATGTAGTACGTACTGCATACACATACAACATTAATGGGTAAGCTCTCTGGATCTTACGTGACTGGATTAGAATCTTAAATTTGCCTTGCTGTATGATTTTGAGCAAGTTACTAACTTTGCTGTACCTCAGGTTCTTCATCTTCAGTGAGAGATAATAAATAGTATATCTACCTCTAGATAAACAGTTGTAAGATTTTAACTAATTTAAATAATTTTAAATAGTGTCTGGTCCATAGTAAGCTCTCAACATTGGTTTTTACTATTATTGTGTAACTTTTTATTTCAAGATGAGGTCACCCGAAGACGAAAAGTTACCAACAGGTCAGACGCATTTAACATGCAAATGAGACAACGGAAAGGCACTCTCTCTGTTAACTTTGTAAGTGTTTTGGGGTCTGTCAGGAGGGAAAGGATTTATTTTTATTATAGTTTTGCACTTTCTATCCTGATATATCATGGTATGTGTTTAGTTAGCTCGTTTGGTTAGAAGACTTGATGGCACATCTGTGAAGTTACAGCTTTTGTTTATGTTGTTAACCTGGCTCTGTCCTACATACGTAGGCTGCTTCCTGTAAGTCATACACCTTATGGGGAACCAAGTGAGAGCATGAAAATGAATCTGTGTAAGTCGTTGAGTTCTATTATAGACAGTCTCAGTATTCATTCTCTATCAAAGAGGATTTGTATATGGGAAGAAGGACATGGTATTTTTAAAAATACATGTAAATTGATTTTCAAATGCCCTAGATTTGTAGTCTTTCCTTTTTTTTTTGAGACGGAGTCTTGCTGTTGCCCAGGCTGGAGTGCAGTGGTGCGATCTCGGCTCACTGCAAGCTCCACCTCTCGGGCTCATGCCATTCTCCTGCCTCAGCCTCCCGAGTAGCTGGGACTACAGGCACCTGCCACCATGCCTGGCTAATTTTTTGTATTTTTAGTAGAGACGGGGTTTCACTGTGTTAGCCAGGATGGTCTCAATCTCCTGACCTCGTGATCTGCCCACTGTGGCTCCCAAAGTGCTGGGATTACAGGCGTGAGCCACTGTGCCTGGCCTGTAGTCTTTATTCTAACAACTTGATACACCTTTATTAACTTGCTATTAACTTGCTTGTAAAAACTCTGGAAGGAAATTTAGGGAGTTTTATGAAAAGCTGTTTAAATACAATTACTTGAAATAGACATTCAGGATTTAAGTTATGTTTACTTTTCAGTTGCATTATTTTGTTTATTTCAGCTAAGGAGTTCCTGGTAAAAATTTATTATTTATTATAGAAAATAGACTTTCATTTATTTTTTTTTTAACAGGTTGATCTCTATGTTTGTATGTTTTGTGGTCGGGGAAACAATGAAGATAAATTGCTTTTGTGTGATGGATGTGATGACAGCTATCATACATTTTGTCTAATTCCTCCACTACCTGATGTGCCCAAAGGAGACTGGAGGTGTCCTAAATGTGTCGCCGAGGTACACGTCTAACCTCTATGGATCCTTTTTTAACTAAAAATAATAATACATGCATATACACCTACATATAAACATATTCCCAAATATGTTTCCTTTTGTCATTCTGTCTTCATTATGTAGTGTTTAAAATTTCCAGGACTTTTTTTTTTTTTTTTGAGATGGTGTCTCACTCTGTCGCCAGGCTGGAATGCAATGGTGTGATCTCAGCTCACTGCAACCTCCACCTCCCGGGTTCAAGTGATTCTCCTGCCTCAGCCTCCGAAGTAGCTGGGACTACAGGCGCGAGCCACCACGCCCAGCTAATTTTTGTATTTTTAGTAGAGACCATGGTTTCACCATGTTGGCCAGGATAGTCTCGGTCTCTTGACCTCGTAATCTGCCTGTCTCGGCTTCCCAGAGTGCTGGGATTACAGGCTTGAGCCACCATGCCTGGCCAATTTCCAGGACTTAAAATATCTATATTGAATGGAAATGTAACAATTGTATTGTGGTAGCTTGCCTTTCAAAGATTCTTTTTCTAACTGTTGGTTAGGTCATTCTGTTTATTGCTGCAGATAATGAGACTTGACTTAGAATAAATATTGCTGGGCAACAATAAAAATGAAGAAAAACATAGTTTTTTCTCTATTAATTAAAGTATAACTAGACATGAAGCTGTAGAACTTGGGATTTATGCATCCAATTTCATGCTATTAAATAAACTGACGGTATCTTTTATTTATTTAGTATTTATTTATTTACTTTTTTGAGACGGTCTACAGCCTCTCGCTCAGTCTGCAGTGCAGTGGCGCGGTCTCAGCTCACTGCAGCCTCTGGCTTCTGGGCTCAGGTGATACTCCCAGCTCAGCCTCCCTACAGATGTATGCCACCACGCCCAGCTAATTTTTGTATTTTTTGTAGAGACAAGGTTTACCATGTTGGCCAGGCTGGTCTAAACTCCTGGACTCAAGTGGTCCACCTGCCTTGACCTTCCAAAGTGCTGGGATTACAGACACGAGCCACTGTGCCGGGCCCTGATGGTATCTTTTAGCTTGCCCCAATTTTTACTTGACTGTGCTAAATTTTTCTTAGTGAAAGCTTACAGTGTTGTCATTGTCGTGAAATGCCTTGTCTGTTTACTTATTTTAACAAAATGCTGTGATAGGACATTAAAGAGAAGGAGTTAGCTGGGTGTATGTAAATGCATTCAAAGGTCTTTTATGGCCTTTGAATTATCACTTATTTACTATTCTCCAGGTTGAAAGATTCAGAGGCAGTTCTACTCTAAGTGAGTATTTGTGTTAAGACATTGGTCATAGTGATTGGCAGTGTGAACAAACTATTCTCTTAGTCTGATATCCTCACAATCCAGTGGCTATCCCCTTATCCATTACCTTTCCTTCCTCCATGAACATTTGTTTCCTCCATGGCCAAAACCACTGGGTATGCCAAGAATGTTAGGCATCCCTAGGCATGATTCCAAGTCAGTAGTCCTTTAGATGCTTGTCTTAGTGCCAGAACTTAATGCTACCTCTGGATCTAAAGCCATCTTAGTACTACCTTCCTATTGGAAGGCTGTGACAGTGAAGTTGAGGCTCTAGAAAATAACTTCCTGATACGGTATTGTAAGTAGCTGATATTTGTTTTGTTGTCTAGGGTTGACTGGATTTACTTTACCTAGGGAAATGATCAAAGAATTTAGTAACTAAGAGCCTTAAAGCTTTCTTCAGTTTAGTTTCAGTAAGTTAATCTTACATATTTTTTCTTTCCAGGAATGTAGCAAACCTCGAGAAGCCTTTGGATTTGAACAAGCTGTACGAGAGTATACACTTCAGAGCTTTGGAGAGATGGCAGATAATTTTAAGTCTGATTATTTTAATATGCCAGTCCATGTGAGTAAGCTATCTTTTAGGTCGGTCCGGGGAGGTACAAAGATTTACCTGAGTACAAAGCCTTCAGTTTCCTCTTTTTTTTTTTTTTTTTTTTTTTTTTTGAGACGGAGTCTTGCTTTGTCGCCCAGGCTGGAGTGCAGTGGCACAATCTCGGCTCACTGCAACCTCTGCCTCCCAGGTTCAAGTAATTCTCCTGCCTCAGCCTCCCGAGTAGCTGGGACTGCAGGCGCCTGCCACCATACCCAGCTAATTTTTGTGTTTTTAGTAGAGATGGGGTTTCACCATATTGGTCAGGCTGGTCTTGAACTCCTGACCTCAGGTTATCCACTCGCCTCGGCCTCCCAAAGTTCTGGGATTATAGCCATGAACCACTGCGCCCAGCCAATTTTTGTATTTTTAATAGAGACGGGATTTCACTCTGTCGCCCAGGCTGGTCTCGATCTCCTGACCTCAAGTGATCTGCCTGCCTTGGCCTCCCAAAGTGTTGGGATTACAGATGTGAGCCACCACGCCCAGCTGTCTATTTTGATGCTTGAATTGTTATTTTAGCCCTGTATGAGTAATCCTTTACAGAAAAGCGTAAAGTATTGGGCAGTTGCTGCTTTTCTTTAGTTATTTTTACTGTGGGGTTTGCTTCTTTTCCTAGGATATCTTAGGCTTTTTTAGTCCCTGTCAAAAAAATTTGCTATAGTTATTAAAATCTAGTGTTGCTTTAAAGACTTGAAACCAACCCAGATGCCCATCAATGATAGACTGGATGAAGAAAATGTGGCACATATATACCATGGAATACTATGCAGTCATAAAAAAGGATAAGTTCATGTCCTTTGCAGGGACATGGATGAAGCTGGAAACCATCATTTCCAGCAAACTAACACAGGAGCAGAAAACTAAACACCCCACGTTCTCACTCATAAGTGGGAGGTGAACAATGAGAACACACGGACACAGGAAGGGGAACATCACACACCGGGGCCTGTCCGGGAGTAGGGGGCTAGGGGAGGGATAGCATTAGGAGAAATACCCAATGTAGAACTTAAAGTATAATTAAAAACAAAAAGAAAATGAAATTTTGTGTTAAAATCATAAAAGGCATAAAATAGAAGCTATTAAAAAAATTTAATCTTGCTGTTTACATTTCCTTGTTCCTCCTTGATTTCCTAGTTCATCTTTGTCCGTACTTGGGAAACAGTTTCTTTCGGAAAAGGGCAGCACAGTTCATTATGTTTTTCTGAACGTCCGAGTTGTCTCAGCTTTTCCCTGTTCTCATTGGAAAAAGCTAGGATCTCGGTCTTTACTGCTCTAGGGAATCAGAAGATTTTTAATCTCATCATGGGTTTGTGTTTACTTGATCCTGTGTATTATGTTATATGGGTTATAGTTATAGTGGTTTAATAATTTGTCATCTTTTTTTTCCCTGTGTAGATGGTTCCCACAGAACTAGTAGAAAAGGAATTTTGGCGGCTGGTAAGCAGCATTGAAGAAGATGTTATTGTGGAATATGGAGCAGATATCTCCTCAAAAGACTTTGGAAGTGGATTTCCGGTGAAGGATGGGCGGAGAAAGATTCTGCCAGAAGAAGAGGTGCAGATTTATCCAAACTTTTGCTTACCCCCAAGCTGATTTAGCTTTTGCATTGAAAACTATCTTAAGGGATCACATTAACTTAAAATATTAAATACGTAGGATTTGGCAGTATAAATAATCTTCAGTTTTGAAAACGAAGAATTCAGAATACTTTGAAAAATTATTTAACTCTTTTTTTTTTTTTTTTTTTGAGAAGGAATCTCACTCTGTCACCTAGGCTGGAGCGCGAGCTTAGCTCACCGCAACCTCCACCTCCTGGGTTCAAGCAATTCTCTTGCCTCAGCCTTCCGAGTAGCTGGTATTACAGGCACCCGCTATTATGCCCGGCTAATTTTTGTATTTTTGTAGAGACAGGGTTTCACCATGTTGGACAGGATGGTCTTGAACTCCTGACCTCAGGTGATCTGCCTGCCTCGGCTTCCCAAAGTGCTGGGATTACAGGCGTGAGCCACTGTGCCTGGCCATTAACTCAGCATTTTTTTTTTCCTTTGAGAGGAGTTTTGTTCCTGTCGCCCCTGCTAGAGTGTAGTGGCACGATCTTGGCTCACTGCAACCTCCACCTCCCGGGTTCAAGCGATTCCCCTGCCTCAACCTCCCAAGTAGCTGGGATTACAGGCATGCACCACCACGCCCAGCTAATTTTGTATTTTTAGTAGAGATGGGGTTTCTCCATGTTGGTCAGGCTGGTCTCGAACTCCCGACCTCAGGTGATCCCCTGTCTCGGCCTCCCAGAGTGCTGGGATTACAGGCGTGAGTCACTGCGCCCGGCCAGCTCTGCATTTTAAAACTAATTTAAGCTGAGTGCAATGACTCACACCTGTAATCCCAGAACTTTGAGAGGCCAAGGTGGAAAGGTTGCCTGAAGCCAGGAGTGACAGAAGAAAAACCTGTCTCTTAAAAAAAAGGAAAAAAAAAAAAGCTAATTTAATTAGTTCAAAATTTTAACTCCAGTTTAATATTTTTGCCTAGTTCTTTCTGTTATAAAATCCAGGATGGGCGTGGTGGCTCACGCCTGTAATCCCAGCACTTTGTGAGGCCGAGGTGGGTGGATCACGAGGTCAGGAGTTCAAGACCAGCCTGGCCAAGATGGTGAAACCACGTCTCTACTAAAAATACAAAAATTAGCCGAGTATGGTGGTGGGCGCCTGTAATCCCAGCTACTCAGGAGGCTGAGGCAGAGAATTGCTTGAACCTGGGAAGCGGAGGTTGCAGTGAGCTGAGATCATGCCACTGCACTCCAGCCTGGGTGACAGAGCGAGACTCCGTCTCAAAAAAAAAAAAAAAAAAGTCTAGAAGATGGCTGGGCGCGGGGGCTCACACCTGTAATCCCAGCACTTTGGGAGGCCGAGGCCAGTGGATCACCTGAAGTCAGGATTTTGAGACCAGCCTGACCAACATGGTGAAACCCCGTCTCTACTAAATATAAAAAATTAACTGGGCGTGGTGGCACATGCCTGTAATCCTAGCTACTTGGGAGGCTAAGGCAGGATAATCACTTGAATCCAGGAGGCAGAGGTTGCAGTGAGCCGAGATTGCGCCATTGCACTCCAGCCTGGGCAACGAGGGTGAAACAGTATCTCAAAAAAAAAAAAAAAAGTCTAGAAGCTGATTTTTTTTTTCTTTTCTTCAACTCACCTCACTGAATGCGTGTTTTTTCCCCCTATAACGAGTTTGACACCATAAGGTTTTTTTTTTTTAATTTTTTATTTTATTACACTTTAAGTTCTAGGGTACATGTGCACAACATGCAGGTTTCATACATAGGTATACATGTGCCATGTTGATTTGCTGCACCCATCAGCTCATTTACATTAGGTATTTCTCCTAATGCTATCCCTCCTCCAGCCCCCCACCCCCTGACAGGCCCCAGTGTGTGATGTTCCCCGCCCTGTGTTCAAGTGATCTCATTGTTCACTTCTCACCTATGAGTGAGAACACGTGGTTTTTGGTTTTCTATCCCTGTGATAGTTTGCTGAGAATGATGGTTTCCAGCTTCATCCATGTCCCTGCAAAGGACATGAACTCATCGTTTTTTCTGGCTGCACAATATTCCATGGTGTATATGTGCCACGTTTTCTTAATCCAGTCTATCATTGATGGACATTTGGGTTGGTTCCAAGTCTTTGCTATTGTGAATACTGCCGCAATAAACATACGTGTGAACGTGTCTTTACAGTAGCATGATTTGTAATCCTTTGGGTATATACCCAGTAATGGGATGGCTGGGTCAAATGGTATTTCTACTTCTAGATCCTTAAGGAATCGCCACACTGACTTCCACAATGGTTGAACTAGTGTACAGTCCCACCAACAGTGTAACAGTGTTCCTATTTCTCCACATCCTCTCCAGCACCTGTTTCCTGACTTTTTAATGATCGCCATTCTAACTGGTGTGAGATGGTATCTCATTGTGGTTTTGATTTGCATTTCTCTGATGGCCAGTGATGATGAGCATTTTTTCATGTGTCTGTTGGCTGCATAAATGTCTTCTTTTGAGAAGTGTCTGTTCATATCCTTTGCCCACTTTTTGATGGGGTTGTTTGTTTTTTTCTTGTAAATTTGTTTGAGTTCTTTGTAGATTCTGGATATTAGCCCTTTGTCAGATGGATAGATTGCAAAAATTTTCTCCCCTTCTGTAGGTTGCTTGTTTACTCTGATGGTAGTTTCTTTTGCTGTACAGAAGCTCTTCAGTTTAATTAGATCCCATTTGTCTATTTTGGCTTTTGTTGCCATTGCTTTTGGTGTTTTAGTCATGAAGTCCTTGCCCATGCCTGTGTCCTGAATGGTATTGCCTAGGTTTTCTTCTAGGGTTTTTATGGTTTTAAGTCTAACATTTAAGTCTTTAATCCATCTTGAATTAATTTTTGTATAAGGTGTAAGGAAGGGATCCAGTTTCAGCTTTCTACATGTGGCTAGCCAGTTTTCCCAGGACCGTTTATTAAATAGGGAATCCTTTCCCCATTTCTTGTTTTTGTCAGGTTTGTCAAAGATGAGATGGTTGTGGATATGTGGTGTTATTTCTGAGGGCTCTGTTCTGTTCCATTGGTCTATGTCTCTGTTTTGGTACCAGTACCATGCTGTTTTGGTTACTGTAGCCTTGTAGTATAGTTTAAAGTCAGGTAGTGTGATGCCTCCAGCTTTGTTCTTTTTGCTTAGGATTATCTTGGCAATGCGGGCTCTTTTTTGGTTCCATATGAACTTTAAAGTAGTTTTTTCCAATTCTGTGAAGAAAGTCCATTGGTAGCTTGATGGGGATGGCGTTGAATGGATAAATTACTTTGGGCAATATGGCCATTTTCACTATATTGATTCTTCCTATCCATGAGCATGGAATATTCTTCCATTTGCTGTGTCCTCTTTTATTTCGTTGAGCAGTGGTTTGTAGTTCTCCTTGAAGAGGTCCTTCATATCTCTTGTAAGTTGGATTCCTAGGTGTTTTATTCTCTTTGTAGCAATTGTGAATGGGAGTTCACTCATGATTTGGCTGTTTGTCTGTTAATGATATATAAGAATGCTTGTGATTTTTGCACATTGATTTTGTATGCTGAGACTTTGCTGAAGTTGCTTATCAGCTTAAGGAGATTTTGGGCTGAGATGATGGGATTTTCTAAATATACAGTCATGTCATCTGCAAACAGGGACAATTTGACTTCCTCTTTTCCTAATTGAATACCCTTTATTTCTTTCTCTTGCCTGATTGCCCTGGCCAGAACTTCCAACACTATGTTGAATAGGAGTGGTGAGAGAAGACATCCTTCTCTTGTGCTGGTTTTCAAAGGGAATGCTTCCAGCTTTTGCCCATTCAGTATGATATTGGCTGTGGGTTTGTCATAAATAGCTCTTATTATTTTGAGATACATTCCATCAATACCTCGTTTATTGAGAGTTTTTAGCATGAAGGTTGTTGAATTTTGTCAAAGGCCTTTTCTGCATCTATTGAGATAATCATGTAGTTTTTGTCATTGGTTCTGTTTATGTGATGGATTACGTTTATCGATTTGAGTATGTTGAACTAGCCTTGCATCCCGGGGATGAAGCCAACTCGATTGTGGTGAATAATAAGCTTTTTGACGTGCTGCTGGATTCGGTTTGCCAATATTTTATTGGGGATTTTCACATCGATGTTCATCAGGGATATTGGTCTAAAATTCTCTTTTTTTGTTGTGTCTCTGCCAGGCTTTGGTATCAGGATGATGTTGGCCTCATAAAATGAGTTAGGGAGGATTCCGTCTTTTTCTATTGCTTGGAATAGTTTCAGAAGGAATGGTACCAGCTCCTCTTTGTACCTCTGGTAGAATTTGGCTGTGAATCCATCTGGTCCTGGACTTTTTTTGTTTGGTAGGCTATTATTGCCTCAATTTCAGAGCCTGCTATTGGTCTGTTCAGAGATTCAACTTCTTCCTGGTTTAGTCTTGGGAGAGTGTATGTGTCCAGGAATTTATCCATTTCTTCTAGATTTTCTAGTTTATTTGTGTAGAGGTGTTTATAGTATTCTCTGATGGTAGTTTGTATTTCTGTGGGATTGGTGGTGATATCCCCTTTATCATTTTTTATTGCATCTATTTGATTCTTCTCTCCTTTCTTTTTTATTAGTCTTGCTCGTGGTCTATCAATTTTGTTGATCTTTTCAAAAAACCAGGTCCTGGATTTAATTGATGTTTTGAAGGTTTTTTGTGTCTCTCTGTCTTTCAGTTCTGCTCTGATCTTAGTTATTTCTTGCCTTCTGCTAGCTTTTGAATTTGCTTGCTCTTGCTTCTCTAGTTCTTTTAATTGTGATGTTAGGATGTCCATTTTAGATCTTTCCTGCTTTCTCTTGTGGGCATTTAGTGCTATAAATTTCCCTCTACACACTGCTTTAAATGTGTCCCAGAGATTCTGGTATGTTGTGTTTTTGTTCTCATTTGTTTCAAAGAACATCTTTATTTCTGCCTTCATTTCGTTATTTACCCAGTAGTCATTCAGGAGCAGGTTGTTAAGTTTCCATGTAGTTGTGCGGTTTTGATTTGAGTTTCTTAATCCTGAGTTCTAATTTGATTGCACTGTGGTCTGAGAGACAGTTTGTTATGATTTCTGTTCTTTTTCATTTGCTGAGGAGTGCTTTACTTCCAATTATGTGGTCAATTTTAGAATAAGTGCAATGTGCTGAGCAGAATGTATATTCTGTTGCTTTGGGGTGGAGAGTTCTGTAGATGTCTATTAGGTCTGCTTTTTGCAGAGCTGAATTCAGGTCCTGGATATCCTTGTTAACCTGTGTCTCATTGATCTATCTAATATTGACAGTGGGTTGTTAAAGTTTCCCATTATCATTGTGTGGGAGTCTAAGTCTCTTTGTGGGTCTCTAAGGACTTGCTTTAGGAATCTGGGTGCTCCTGTATTGGGTGCATATATATTTAGGATAGTTAGCTCTTCTTGTTGAATTCATCCCTTTACCATTATGTAATGGCCTTCCTTGTCTCTTTAGATCTTTGTTGGTTCAAAGTCTGTTTTATCAGAGACTGGGATTGCAACCCGTGCTTTTTTTTTTGCTTTCTATTTGTTTGGTAGATCTTCCTCCGTCCCTTTATTTTGAGCCTGTGTGCGTCTTTGCACGTGAGATGGGTCTCCTGAATACGGCACACTGATGGGTCTTGACTCTTTTTCCAATTTGCCAGTCTATGTCTTTTAATTGGGGCATTTAGCCCATTTACATTTAAGGTTAATGTTGCTATGTGTGAATTTGATCCTGTCATTATGATGTTTGCTGGTTATTTTGCCCATGAATTGATGCAGTTTCTTCATAGCATTGATGGTCTTTTCAATTTGGCTTGTTTCTGCAGTGGCTGGTACCAGTTGTTCCCTTCCATGTTTAGTGCTTCCTTCAGGAGCTCTTGTAAGGCAGGCCTGGTGGTGACAAAATCTCTCAGCATTTGCTTGTCTGTAAAGGATTTTATTTCTCCTTCACTTATGAGGCTTAGTTTGGCTGGCTATGAAATTCTGAGTTGAAAATTCTTTTCTTTAAGAATGTTGAATATTGGCCCCCACTCTCTTCTGGCTTGTAGGGTTTCTGCCGAGAGATCCGCTGTTAGTCTGATGGGCTTCCCTTTGTGGGTAACTTGACCTTTCTCTCTGGCTGCCCTTAACACTTTTTCCTTCATTTCAGCGTTGGTGAATCTGACAATTATGTGTCTTGGGTTTGCTCTTCTCAAGGAGTATTTTTGTGGTGTTCTCTGTATTTCCTGAATTTGAATGTTGGCCTGCCTTGCTAGGTTGGGGAAGTTCTCCTGGATAATATCCTGAAGAGTGTTTTCCAACTGGGTTTCATCCTCCCCATCACTTTAAGGTACACCAATCAAATGTAGATTTGGTCTTTTCACATAGTCCCATATTTATTGGAGGCTTTGTTTGTTTCTTCTTACTCTTTTTTCTCTAACCTTGTCCTCTCACTTTATTTCATTAATTTGATCTTCAATCACTGATACCCTTTCTTCCACTTGATCAAATTGGCTATTGAAGCTTGTGCATGTGTAATGAAGTTCTCGTCCCATGGTTTTCAGCTCCATCAGGTCATTTAAGGTCTTCTCTACACTGTTTATTCTAGTTAGCGATTTGTCTAATCTTTTTTCAAGGTTTTTAGCTTCCTTGCGATGGGTTTGAACATCCTCCTTTAGCTCGGAGAAGTTTGTTTTTACTGACCTTCTGAACCCTACTTCTGTCAACTCATCAGTCATTCTCCATCCAGCTTTGTTCCATTGCTGGCAAGGAGCTGCCATCCTTTGGAGGAGAAGAGGCACTCTGATTTTTAGAATTTTCAGCTTTTCTGCTCTGGTTTCTCCCCATCTTTGTGGTTTTATCTACCTTTGGTCTTTGATGTTGGTGATCTACAGATGGGGTTTTGGTATAGATGACCTTTTTGTTGATGTTGATACTATTCCTTTCTGTTTGTTAGTTTTCCTTCTAACAGTCAGGACCCTCAGCTGCAGATCTGTTGGAGTTTGTTGGAGGTCCATTCCAGACCCTGTTTGCCTGGGTATCACCAGTGGAGGCTGCAGAACAGCAAATATTGCTGCTTGATGCTTCCTGTGGAAGCTTCGTCCCAGAGTGGCAGCTGTCTATATGAAGTGTCTGTTGGCCCCTACTAGGGGTGTCTCCCAGTTAGGCTACATGAGGGTCAGGGACCTACTCGAGGAGGCAGTCTGTCCATTCTCAGAGGTGAAATGCCGTGCTCTCTTCAGAGCTGTCAGACAGGGATGTTTAAGTCTGCAGAAGTTGTCTGCTGCCTTTTGTTCAGCCATGCCCTGCCCAGAGAGGTGGAGTCTAGAGGCAGTAGGCCTTGTTGAGCTGCCGTGGGCTCCACCCAGTTTGAGCTTCCAGGGTGCTTTTTCTACCTACTCAAGCCTCAGCAATGGTGGACGCCCCTCCCCCAGCCAGGCTGCTGCCTCAGCAGATTGATCTCAGACTGCTGCGCTAGCAGTGAGCAAGGCTCTGTGGGTGTGGGACCTGCGGAGCCAGGCATGGGAGAGAATCACCTTGTCTGCCAGTTGCTAAGACCTTGGGAAAATTGCAGTATTTGGGCGGGAGTGCCTCGTTTTTCCAGGTAGTCTGTCATGGCTTCCCTTGGCTAGGAAAGGGAAATCCTCTGACCCCTTGTTCTTCCAGGGTGAGGTGATGCACGCCCTGCTTCAGCTAGCCCTCTGTGGGCTGCACCCACTGTCCAAGCAGTCCCAGTGAATGATCCAGGTATCTCAGTTGGAAATGCAGAAATCACCCGTCTTCTGCGTTGAGCACGCTGGAAGCTGTAGGCCGGAGCTGTTCCTATTTGGCCATCTTGGAACGCCCCTCCCCAGGTTTTTTTTTTTTTTTTTTTAAATCACATTTTAGGCCAGGCACGGTGGCCCATGCCTGTAATTCGAGCCCTTTGGGAGGCCGAGGCAGGTGAATCACTTGAGGTCAGTAGTTAGAGACCAGGCTGGCCAACATGGTGAAACCCTGTCTCTACTAAAAAAATACAAAAATTAGCTGGGCGTGGTGGCGCTTGCCTGTAATCCCAGCTACTCTGGAGGCTGAGGCAGGAGAATCACTTGAACGTGGGAGGCGGAGGTTGCAGTGAGCCGAGATCATGCCACTGCACTCCAGCCTGGGCGACAGAGCAAGACTCTGTCTCCAAGAGGAAAAAAAAAACACATTTTATTGGTAGGTCCAGAAATAAGTTTCCTTCAACACCTGAGTGGGTAGATTGTCAAATATGTGTTTAAAGTGTAACATATACATACAGTTCTATCACGTAGGAGATGACCTGTATTTGTAAAGCTGAATTGAGATGGTAATTCATTTCTTTTCTCTTTACTTTGATTCTTGACACTTTTTCTTTCCCCCTATAATTGGCAATAATTTATCTCCTGTTAAAAGAGTTGCACATGATAAAGTTGCATAGTACAGAGGATATATAAATAAAAGTATAGCCCCTGTAGCTTTATTATGGTTACTGTTTGCTTGGTGTATCTTTTTCCATTCTTTTATTTTGAAGCTGTTTGTGTCTCAGAATCTGAAGTGTGTCTCTTGTAGATAGCATATAATTGGATCTTGCTTTTTTTCCTAAGCTGACAGTTGCTTTTTGATTGTTTAGTCTGTTTACGTTTAATGTAATTATTGCTATGGTTGATTTATGTCTCCCATTTTGCTGTTTTCTGTGTCCCATGTCTTTTTTTCCCCCCATTTCTCTCTCTCTCTTTTTTTTTTTTTGGAGACAGAGTCTTGCCCTGTTGCCCGGCTGGAGTACAGTGGCACCATCTTGGTTCACTGCAGCCTCCACCTCCCAGGTTCAAGCAGTTCTCCTACCCCAGTCTCCTGAGTAGCTGGGATTACAGGTGCCCACTACCACACCCAGCTAATTTTTGTATTTTTAGCAGAGATGAGGTTTCACCATGTTGGCCCAGCTGGTCTCGAGCTCCTGACCTCGTGATTCGCTCACCTTGGCCTCCCAAAGTGCTGGGATTAGAGATGTAAACCACCACACCCAGCCTCCATTTCTCTATTATGGCCTTTTGGTGTTAGCTATTTTTAGTTATAACAATCTAATTATTCTGGTTTTTTTGGCTGTGTGTTTGTGATTTAGTTTTTAGTGTTATTTGGTTCTATCCTCATGTTACTGATTTTTTTTTTCCCTCTTGTCATGGTAGACCACAAGTTAGGATAACAAAGTTAGGATAATATTGATTAGAGAATAGACTTTGGGATTTACCAAGGGAGAAAGAGAATGATTATAACAGGATGGAGAACCTAGATTATATGGGGATGGTTTTTATAGGAACAGTTCAATGTTGGAATGTATACATGTTTAATGTCACTGAATTTTAAACCTGTTTGTATAAGTATCTATAAAGAAATGTATCAGCCTGAATGTCTTCACACCCTTCCATTGGCAAATGGAAGGTAGTGATCTCATTATTAGAGAGAGACTTCATTTTTTAGCTTTTGCCTTTTTCTGAATTTTCTGTTCTGAATTTTTAAATTGTTCTTGAGCAGATATTTACATTTTCTGAGGTTTTACAGATCACAGAATTTTTAAAGATTATTTTGTATCAACCCTAAGTAACTAATATTAAGAATGTAAATAGTAATCCTGCCTCCATTATTGAATTTTGTATGAATTTTATGAAAACATACTCATTTATCTATTTCTGCTTTTACTCCAACTTCATGTAAGAATGTGGAGACATGCAGGCTTATAACCGTGTGTTTGTTAGATAGGAGCAGCTTTTGACCTTGATAGTGATTATTAGATGGATGGTCTATGCATGTTTTGTTCCTGGCTCTTTGATGTTTTCTGTTGTTGAGTAACATATTACTTTTAACCTTAGTGGCTGAATAACAAATATTCATTATCTCATAGTTTCTGTGGGTCAAGCATTTGTGCTAATGGTTTTTTTTTTTTTTTTTTTTTTTTTGTGATGGAGTCTCGCACTGTTGCCTGGGCTAGAGTGCAGTGGCACGATCTCAGCTCACTGCAACCTCTGCCTCCCGGGTTCAAGTGATTCTTTTGCATCAGCCTCCCTAGTAGCTGGGATTACAGGCACCCACCACCATGCCCAGCTAATTTTTTGTATTTTTAGTAGAGACAGGGTTTCACCATGTTGGCCAGGCTGGTCTCGAACTACTGACCTCATGATTTGCCCGCCTTGGCCTCCCAAAGTGCTGGGATTACAGGCGTGAGCCACTGTGCCCGACTGATAATGATAGTTTTTTAATGATACTTCTAGCTTGGAGTCTCACATGAGGTTGCCATGGGATACAGTCTCTTCAAGGCTTGGCTGGGGCTAATGGATTTGCTTTCAAAATGGCTCACTCACAGGTTGTTGCCAGGAGGCCTCAGATTCTAACTATGTAGGCCTCTACATAGGGCTTTTGAGAGCCAGATGGAGTCGCAATGTCTTTTATAACCCAACTTCAAAAGTCAGACTTTTTGGCCAGGTGCAGTGGCTCACACCCATAATCCTAGCACTTTGGGAGGCTGAGGCAGGTGGATCTTTTGAGTCTAGGAGGTCCAGAATATCCTGGGAGCAACATGGTGAAACCCTGTCTCTACAATAAATACAAAAATTAGCTGGGTGTGGTGGCACACGCCTGTAGTTGGAGCTGCTTGTGAGGCTGAGGTGGGAGGATCACTTGAGCCTGGGGAGGTTGAAGCTGCAGTGACCTGTGATCATGCCACTGCACTCCAGCCTGGGTGGCAGAGTGAGATCCTGTCTCAAAAAAAAAAAAAAAAATCAGACTTCTTAATATCTGCAATATCTTATTGGTTACATAGGTCAGTCCCCTTTGGTGTAGGTGGAGGTTATACAAGGTTCTGAATTTCAGGAGATGAGAATCATTGGTGTTGGAGGGTGTATTGGCTGGCGGCCTGTATTATTTTTTATGTAACATAGGTGTTTGCACAGCTGGCCTAGTATAACTTTTATTTGTCTTCCAACTGTGACTCTTTGAGTTAAGTAATTGTTTTTGGATTAACTTGTTGGAATTATTTTGCTAAATGTCCTAAGTTTAAAACTTTTCTCTTTTTAGTTTTAAATAGATCGAAACATTGATTCCCAGGCATTAAAGACATCAACCAAAGTATTAAGAGACAGGCAGTGAAGCCTTTTTTGTTGACTGGGTTGCAGATTTGCTGTTTATTCTCTAAGCAAAAATGTTTTACTCAGGACTCTGTTTTTGTTATAAGATGATAGGAGAGAACCCATTTATGACAAAAGGATTTTAGGGACTAATTAGACAAAGTGTATGAAATTTTCAAACTTTTTATACTTTATATAAATTTATTACTCTCTGAAAGTTACTCTGGTAAAATAGCAGATAACTACCAGCTTTTCACTGGGAATTATACATTTGTGTTGAGCTTCTGTGATATGAGTTACCCTTTTGGTATCTGGTAACACACCTCTCTGGTATCTTTTTTTTTTTTTTTTTGAGATGGGGTTTCGCTCTTGTTGCCCAGGCTGGAGTGCAATGGTGTGATCTCGGCTCACCACAACCTCTGCCTCCCGGGTTCAGGCGTTTCTCCTGCCTCAGCCTCCCGAGTAGCTGGGATTACAGGCACGCACCACCACGCCCGGCTACTTATGTATTTTAGTAGAGATGGGGTTTCTCCATGTTGGTCAGGCTGGTCTCGAACTCCCAACCTCAGGTGATCTGCCCTCCTTGGCCTCCCAAAGTGTTAGGATTATAGGTGTGAGCCACTGCGCCTGCCGGAAGTTGTGTCTTATGAATATAGTGTGCTCTACCAACAGGGCTTCTGAGAAGTAAAAGTAAGTATAGGACTTGAAATGTTGGAAAGATTTTTTTCTGCTTGTCCTCCTTGTTCCGTATTGTCATTGACTAAATTTTGTTAATTCATTTTTAAAGCTTTCTATAGGATAGGACTCTTTGCATTCCCACTACAGCCATTCTTGCTTAGGTCCTTATCACATGTTGAGATGATACTGTGGTTGTATATCGATGTTGTATGACTACAGTATCATCTTGTATTGGCTGTCTCCAAGACCATTCCCAGGTTCAGTGATATTCAGGGAGGACTCATGCTTATGATTTATTACAGTGAAATAATTCAAACAAAATCAGCAAAGGGAAACAGTGCATGGGCAAAGTCTAGAGTAAACCAGGCACAGGCTTCCCAGGGTATTCTCTCAGTGGGTTACATAGGGTGTGCTTAATCACACCAGTAACAAATTATGGCAACACGTGTAAAGTGTTTAGTGCTTTACATGTGTGTTCATTAGATACTCAGTGCCGAAGGCTGTTATTGGGGCCTAGTGACATGGGCACCCTTTGTGAATCACATACCAAAATTCCAAACTCCTAGAAGGAAAGCAGGAGTTCGGCATAAACCACATTGTACAAATAGTCTGGGGCATTGTGAGCCACTCTTATCATTTAGGGGAAGTTTTATATTAGTGTAGGGAATTGTTACCATTCAAGTGTCTAGATGCCAGCCATGGGCCAAACTTTTAGTAGGCCTTTCAAAGGACACCAGTCTCAGGCCTGCTGTGTTTAACTCCTTTGTGCATACTGCTGCTCTCTGCAGTCTCTCTAATATATTGCTTTCACTTAACATTTAAAGATTGATGGGTCAGTGGGAATTTATTATGCAATTTTGTCTACTTTTGTTTACATTTGAAATTTTACATAATTAAAAGTTTAGAAATAGGCTGGGCACGGTGGCTCATGCTTGTAATCTCAGCACTTTGGGAGGTCAGGGCGGGCAGATCACTTGAGGTCAGCAGTTTGAGACCAGCCTGGCCAACATGGTGAAACCCCATCTCTACTGAGAACACAAAAATTAGCCGGGCATGGTGGCAGGTGCCTGTAATCCCAGCTACTCGGGAGGCTGAGGCAGGAGAATCGCTTGAACCCAGGAGGTGGAGGTTGCAGTGAGCTGAGATTGTGCCACTACATTCCAGCCTTGGCAACAGTGAGACTCTGTCTCAAAAAAAAAAAAAAAAGTTTAGAAATATTTGATTCTATGTTTATCATATTGTTTCGTTTTTCAAAACTTATGTTTCCCTTTTGAATATAGGATAAATCTCAGATTCTCAGTCCAAAACTTAAGATTAAAGATCTCATCTTTTTTTCTAATGTTATTTCCTGTGTTTTTGCGTATGACTCTTCCATTCTGCCTTTTCACCAGCTAGACTAGTATATTCTCTCTGTAATTTACCTTTTACATTCTTGTAGCTCTTCCTCCTAGAATGTTTATTCAAATCTTATCTATCCTTCAAAGCTCAACACAATTTCTTCCTTGCTGTGAAGTTTTCCTAACAATCTTTATTAGTCCATTCTTGTACTGCTATAAATAAATACTCGAGGCTGGGTAATTTATAAAGAAGAGAGGCTGTACAGGTTCCACAGGCTGAACAGGTAGCATGGCTGAGGAGGCTTCGGGAAACTTTCAATTATGGCAGAAGGTGAAGGCTAAGCAGGCACGTCTTACATGGCCAGAGCAGGAGGAAGAGAGAGAAGCGGGAGTTGCCCCACACTTTTAAACAACCAGATCTCGTGAGAACTCACTATTGTGAGAACAGCAAGGGGGAAATCTGCCCACATGATCCGGTCACCTTCCACCAGGTCCCTCCTCCAACATTGGGGATTCCAATTCAACATGAGATTTGGGTAGAGACACAAATCCAAACCATATCACAATCCAAACCCATGATGATCACTGTTTTATTGTCCTCTGAAGAACTGTATTTTCTCTTCTATATGTATTTGGAATTTTATATATGTTACCTTGTATTGTAACTTTTTTTTTTTTTTTGAGATGGAGTCTCGCTCTGTTGCCCAGGCTGGAGTGCAGTGATGCAATCTTGACTCACTGCAACCTCCACCTCCTGGGTTCAAGCACTGCCTCAGCCTCCTGAGTATCTGGGGCCACAGGCATGCACCACCACGCTTGGCTGATTTTTGTATTTTTACTAGTGATGGGATTTCACGGTGTTGGCCAGTCTGGTTTCGAACTCCTGACCTCAAGTAATCCACCAGCTTCGGCCTCCCAGTGTTCTTTTTGTTTGTAGACCTTGTCTCTTCAATGAAATTCACTATTTTTCAGCCAGCCAGCTGACCAACCAATCACAAAACATATTGAGTAATAACCTGTTGAGATTCTTTTATTTCCTTTTTTGTTAGCCTGTTGAACTTTAGGAATAGATCTGTCATTTCTTATTGGAATTCTTAGTTAAACCTGTGTTGGACTTTGTTATTCCATCCTCTGTGACTTTTTTTTTTTTTTTTTTTAGTGAGACAGGGTCTCACTCTGTCTTTCAGGCTGGAGTGCAGTGGCATGATCTCGGCTCACAGCTTCAATCTCCCGGGCTCACGGGATCCTCCCACCTCAGCATCCCTAGTAGCTGGAACTACAGGCGCACGCCACCACGCCTGACTAATTTTTGTATTTTTTGTAGAGATGGGGTCCCGCCATGTTGACCAGGCTGGTCTCAAATTCCTGGGCTGAAGTCATCTGCCTGCCATGACCTCCCAAAGTGCTGAGATTACAGGCATGAGCCACCATGCCCAGCTTCTCTCTATTTTTTTTTTTTTTTTTTTTTTTTTGAGATGAAGTATCGCTCTTGTTGCCCAGACTGGAGTGCAATGCCGCGATCTCGGCTCACTGCAATCTCTGCCTCCCGGGTTCAAGTGATTCTCCTGCCTCAGCCTCCCCAGTAGCTGGGATTACAGGTGCCCGCCACCATGCCCAGCTAATTTTTTGTATTTTTAGTAGAGACAGGGTTTCACTATGTTGGCCAGGCTGGTCTCAAACTCCTGACCTCAGGTCATCTACCCACCTCACCCTCCCAAAGTGCTGGGATTACAGATGTGAGCCACCGTGCCCAGCCCGCCTCTCTGTGACTCTTAATTACAGTTTGATAGTTTATATATTTCTGTGCTGCCTTATAGATAATCTCCTCAAACATGTCTTCTAGTTCACAAATTCTCTTTAGCTTTGTCATTGGCTCTTTAACTTCTTACCTTGAGGGTTTTTTATTTTTAACTTGTATTATAGAAACTTCTAAACAGTAAGCACAATAATGACCCTACCCCCACCCCTGCCAGTTCCTGACATCCACATTCAGTTATCAACTTTTTAATAGCAGATTCTCATATCTGCTTCTGCATTCAATCTGTTATGATAGCACATACCATCTTTCCCCTGGAAAACTCACACTGTACTCCTGCAAAAATGTAAGTGAAAAAGACAAATAATGTCTTAGAATTATTGTGAAAATAGTTTGACTTAGTGGATCCTCTGGATCCCATTTTGAGAACTGTTCTCCATAAGGATGATAAGCACTTTAAGTCATAGCCTCATATGGCTGCAGAGATGGATGTTTGAAAGTCCTTCTCCGGTGCCAATATCCAAGTAGAAGCCCCTGTGAAAACTCTTGCAACAGCTTCCTTTTTCATTATGGCTTGCTTCCACTCTGTTTCCAGAAACTGGGAATTCCCTTTTCTTTTGGGTTCACCTATGAAGTTTTTTTGGTTATTGTTATAATTTATCCAGTATTTCTAGGTGTGTTTGTATAATGGTTAGGAGTGATGGTGGTGACTTTCTGCATCCTGTCAGTCTTATTGTTATAATTTATCCGGTATTTCTAGGTGTGTTTGTATAATGGTTAGGAGTGATGGTGGTGACTTTCTGCATCCTGTCAGTCTTATTGTTATAATTTATCCGGTATTTCTAGGTGTGTTTGTATAATGGTTAGGAGTGATGGCGGTGACTTTCTGCATCATGTCAGTCTTCATTGTTGTCACAAGTTCAAGATTATGTATATTGTATTTTGTCTTTACAGTATCTAGCACCATTCTATCAATATAGTAGTAAACATTTTAGGAAATTATGCTACTGGCTATAAAATAGAAATAGTGATGTTGTATTAAGATGGGTCTCATACTGTTTTCCTGATTGGCTGGAGAATAACAAGAATTGCTCATGTGCTTTGGAGTAAACCAGAGGTATCTGAAATAAAGGGAAATCTAAATAGAACATAGACAGAAGGTAGGATTAAATGTTTAGTTATATGAGTTACATGTAGTGGATAGCAAAGAGCACAGATTGTATGCACTAGACTATTATAAATATTATAAAAAAATTTTCTGGGAAGACTCCCTTGGCATTTCTATTGAGCACTTTTCATTTCTGATCTTTCATTTACAGTTTTTTCTTCTCTTATAGGAATATGCACTTTCTGGTTGGAATTTGAATAACATGCCTGTCCTGGAACAGTCTGTTCTTGCACATATTAATGTGGACATCTCTGGTATGAAAGTGCCGTGGCTCTATGTGGGAATGTGCTTCTCTTCTTTTTGCTGGCACATTGAGGATCACTGGAGTTATTCCATCAACTACTTGCACTGGTATGTACAGTCTAAAATACAGCATGCATGAACTCTACTAAAGTCTAGTGGATTAATGATGCTAGGTTTTTGATCTTTAAGGTTTATAGACAGAAGTATATTTAAGGTTTCAATAATTTCTAGCCTTGGCCTATTTCTTTGGGTAGTAAAATTGAACTCAGTGAAGCTATTTAGAAGTATCCTAGAGAGCACTGACTTATTTTGATCATTGTGGGGATAATTGAAATGTCCATTATTCACATGGACCTCTGAATCAAGGTCATGTGTCAGCATCCTTTGGGACAGTGCTTACTTTTCATATAGTGTCTTTCCCGTTTGAAGGTGTTTTCACTGATCCGCCTTACAGAGTTCATGTGCTGAGTTGCTTTTTTAATTGTGGTGATAAGTTTGTATCTGCCTATACATACTACTATTTACTTACCTCCTATTGTGAACAACAGCACAGGTTTATAAGATGGTTGCCAGAATTCAGGGCATATAATCTGACCATGGAATAAGACAAGTTAATTATAATTTGGTGGATTGGAATCAGATACCCTAGCCTCATTGGTACCATGTTCTGCCTAGCTAAACAGTTACTTCTTTTGCTAGGGGGGAGCCAAAGACATGGTATGGTGTGCCATCTCATGCTGCAGAGCAACTGGAGGAGGTGATGAGAGAGCTGGCCCCCGAGTTATTTGAATCCCAGCCTGATCTTCTGCATCAGTTAGTTACCATCATGAACCCCAACGTGCTAATGGAGCATGGTGTGCCTGTGAGTCTTTTGGTGTCTTCCTTCAGTTGTTTGTTTGTTTGTTTGTTTTTTCTTTTTTCTTTTTTTTTGAAACAGGGTCTTGCTCTGTTGCCCAGGCTGGAGTGCAGCGGCACGATGATTGCTCATTGCAGCCTCAGCCTGCTCAGCTCAAGCAGTTCTCCTGCCTCAGCCTAATGAGTAGCTGGGACTATAGGAGCACACCACCACCCCCGGCTAATTGTTGTATTTTTTGTAGAGACGAAGCCTTATTGTGTTGCCCAGGTTGGTCTCGAACTCCTGAGCTCAAGCAGTCTTCCCAACTCGGCCTCCCAAAGTGTTGGGATTACAGGTGTGAGCCACTGCACCCAGCCAGTATTTTTAATTTAAAGTTATTTTAGCTTTTGATTAGATAGAATCACAACATATGCTTTGTTTTGTAACTAGAAATGAGTCATATCATCTTTTAGCCAAATTAGAATTCGTACTCTGCAGGGAACAACTTTTATCTGATTAAGAAGGGGAGTGTTAAAGTATGAATCATTCTTTATGTACAGCTACCTATTCATATAACCTTCTATTTTCAGTAAATATTACATCCTACTTTGAACAAAAATCTCATATTCTTTGTTATCTCTATTTAACCAAAGCACAGGTATTTTAAGTGGTGGCTCTAATCACTAATAAGGATGCTTATCCTAATAACTAATCACTAATAAGGATGCTTATCCTAATAACTAATAACCAATAAGGATGCTTATCCTAATAACTAACAACTAATAAGGATGCTTATCCTAATAACTAATCACTAATAAGTTTGCTTATCCTTATTTTCTCATGTAAAGATTTCTTAGCTTTTAATACATGAGATAATGAAATAAAAATATACTGCAAATACCTTTTTCACTTTTCAACCTAAGTTTGAAGATGTTTCTCAAATTCAAGCTAATGCCTGATAAAGTATAAATTTAACAAGTTTACTATAGATAATCAAATATTCATCATAACCTTAAAGAGAAAGTAGTTTAACATTTATAATGTTACTTTGTTTTTAAATAATAAATTTATACCAGAATCTGAGACTTTTCAAGAGACATACAGTATTATTGTAAAACAAAGTGAGATTTCAGGAAAACTGATTTTGGGGACATCTCATTGGGGATGTCTCATATGCCATGTGAGTTAATTTAGTTAGTTCCAAAAAATTATCCAAAAGTAGTAGGAAATTCTATTCTTTGCCACTATTTACGATACAAGAATAAAACAAATTCTCTAAATTGTAAAAATTGTATCAGTTTAAGAAACTCGTAGCTCGTTGAGAGTAATGTTTTTTTCTTTGAGAATTTCTTTTGGCTGCTAATTCTTGTCATGAATTATAATCTATTATCAGTGACTATTTTAAGAAGGTAGAATTCTGGCTATTTCTGATATCATTTTCTGATATGTGTAACTTAATGCTTTATTGTTTTCAGTTTTAGAAAATGCATCTGAAATTATCTAATAAAATCTGTCTTCCTCTGTTTGTTATTTTTATTTTTTATTTTTGTATCCCTGTTCCCAATTTGCATTTAGGTGTACAGGACCAATCAGTGTGCTGGCGAGTTTGTTGTGACATTTCCTCGTGCCTATCACTCTGGATTTAACCAGGGCTACAACTTTGCTGAAGCTGTGAACTTCTGTACTGCTGACTGGGTCTGTTCTATAGCAAGTGGCTGTTGTACGTCTACTAACCCCCCTATAAATATAAAGCAGCTTAGTTGCCATATTTGCTTAGCTGGGCTCAGGGTCGGGTTCATCAGTATTTTAGTGGAGACTGGAGTGGCTATTGTAGTTTAGAAAGCTAAGTAGATTTCCATCACATTTTTTATTTTGAAGATTTTATAGTTCTTCTTACCCATTTATTATTTTCCTCATTCTGTTTGAACTTGCTTCCTTCACTTCCATTCTATTCCTTCACTTTCCCCTTCCCCCATTTCCTTCTTTTCTTCCTTTCCTTCTCTCCTTTGCTTTCCTTCTTTCCTTTATTTTGACTCCCTCCCTTCTGGTCAGATGCTCAGAAGAGAGAGACTGTTTGAACTTATAAATGGTCAGTCGATTCTTTCTGAATCCTTCTTTTCTAAGGGAAGACACAGGTTGGTGCAAAAGTAATAGTGGCTTTTGCCATTGAAGATAAAGGTTGGTGCAAAAGTAATTGCAGTTTTAAACCCACAGCTAATTTTGCACCAACCTGTAGTTTTTTTAGCCTTTGCTTTCTCTGAGCATTTTGGGACTTATTAAGGTGATCAGGCTTATACAGATAATTTCAAGTATTCTACCATATTTTCAAATACGTAGCTCTGTGATTTTTACAAATTCCTTAATTTTTTTTTTCTGATAGACAACTAGGTGATTTTACTAGTCTTGTCATTTTATGTTTTTTCTGTTCCTTTTTTTAATTTTAAAAGAGTATAATATTGAGATCTCTGCGCTATACTTTTATGTAAATGATAATGCTAGGTAATTGCTATTTTGCTTTTGTATGAAGTAGATAATCAAAAAGTATTTAGTGGCTGTTATGTTGCTTGGGAGAAGACTATACAGTATATTTATGATACACACTGACTTTATTTTCTTGTATTGGTGCTGTTTTTGTTGCTTCTGTTAACATTTTGGGGGAAATCCTTTAATGTTTTCTGCTGGCACCTTAATTTATTAAATTCCATGATTAACCATATAGAGATTGTTTTTGTTTCCTTTGCTAATGAGTAAAATGATACAATGAATAGTCTTACTTGCTCCAGTAATTTTGAACTTTTTTCTTATTAGGCTTTGGAAACAGCATAATTTAGCAAGAACAAGACTAGGCTTAGGATTTTGCCTTGGGCTTGAGCTCTGTTTCTAAACATTCAATCAGCATTTATTGAGTGTTTATGATACATGGTAATTGGCTAGGTGTAGGGTAGAAAATGGGAGGATTTAGATAGGAGCTGGAGATAGTTTCTGCTGTTCCCATTCTCTCTGTTATTGGTATTTGACCTTGGGCAGCTTTTAAAATTTCATTGGGCCTAAGTTTTTTAGCTGGTATGTAAAGATGCTGATAGATTCACTTAATAACCTCAGACAAGTTAGAGGATATGTGTGGAAGCCCTTGACACTCTTTAGAAGAAGGGTGTGATATAAATTAAAAGTTATAGCAGTTTTATCTGTGGAATAAATTAATGGGACTAATGTTTATAAGTTACAATGGATAATCACTTCTATTTTATGTGGCTTCCTCACATATTATAATAGTTAAGAACTGCAAATCCCACAGTATGATTTTTTTCTTTTGCTTGTTTTTGTGTTGAGGCTCTGAGAAATTTTTAAAGAGTACGTATTTAAGATATGAAAGAGTTGTGTGTTGTTAATAGACAAAATAATTGCTAATCATAAGATATATATATATACACACACACACACACACACACACACACACACTTTTTCCTTTGGAAAGTTTTTTCTTTGAAGAGTATGGAAACACTGCATAATTCAGAGATAGCCTCAAATTTTCTTTGCTTTCTCTGATTCCTTTCTGCCTTTCTCAAACTGTAGATGAATTCTAAAAGGCTCTTAAAGGTCCATTTTCTTATTTTTTCTCTTTTATATTACAAATCCAAACAAAACTCCTTTATCCAAGTTCTTCTGCCTGAGCATAGGAAAGAAGTTGAAGTTGGAGTGCGTATATACGTGTAGGGCATAGCTATTGTTGTAATTTGGTTTGTAGCTTGATAATTATGGAAATTTTCAAAATTTATTTTAAAGACTGTAACTGTTCATTTATGAAAAGTGATCAGTTATTTATTTCACTGTTAGGGAAATAAAGTATATAATTTTATAATTTCACTTTGAATTATCTTTCTGCCAGACTTGTTTTTAAAATAATTTCTAGATGCTAAAATCTAAATTGTCCTTTGTTTTGGTTTTTGCAAAAAAAACTAAATGTCAGCCAATGTGGATTGCTTAAGTATTACTTTTTCCCCTTTCCTATTTTTTTCTTTTTTTTTTCTTCTAATAACATCTGTTCTTTTTGTTCTATGGAAATTTGAGTGCTGAATACTTCCACTTAACCCTTTTTGGCCTGAACTTATTTAATTATTTATTTTTACAATATTTTTCTTTTTCTTGTAAGGGCAGGCTCATGTTAAACTGGTCTAAAAGAGTTTGCTGCCTCAGTTATATACCAAAGAACTCCTTCTTGATATACAATAAATAGAAAATTAGCAGTTTAGGCCAGAAATTTAGCATCTCAGATTATGGGAATTTTCTGTGGGAAAGCCTTTGAAACTCTGGCTGGGTCTTACAGGGTTAATATTTACAGTTAATAGAATATTGCCTCTTTATATTTAAATGGATTTGGTATTCTGTCTTCTTTCTAATAAAAGGGAGGACCTGGAGGGTAAGTAGTGGTTCTGTGCTGGGATATGTTATAAGCGAGTTATTTAATTTGGAAATCTCATTTTCAGTTGCCCATTGGACGTCAATGTGTAAATCATTACCGACGCCTAAGGCGCCACTGTGTCTTTTCACACGAGGAACTAATTTTCAAGATGGCAGCAGATCCAGAATGCTTAGATGTGGGGCTGGCTGCCATGGTCTGCAAAGAATTGACTCTCATGACTGAAGAAGAAACACGATTAAGAGAGTCTGTTGTACAGATGGTGAGTTTGCTGAGCACATTTTCTATGTTTGATACTGCTTATGGGATATGCTAAATAAACCTATAGGTAGAATTTTCATCCCTTATCCCCTAGGAGTTGAGCATAAAGATCACTGATTTGGAGAAGATTTTATATTTTTATAATTGACATATTGATTTCTCCAGATTAAAAACGTTTTAGGAATCTTGTCATCTCTAGGTTTTTAAAACAAGTCCTATCAGAATTTCTTAGGTATATATTTACATTTTAAATCTTCTACATACAGTATTGTTTAAACAAGAAAATTTAAATCATTTTTTTTTTCTGAGCTTTCTGTTGAATAAGTTATGTTTCTGGAAATTACAGACTGTCAGTTTGAATTAATCTTTTTCCCTCCCCTTTAAGTAATTTGATGAATAGGAAGGATGGACTAACCCCAAGGCTGGGATTTAGAATACTTAGAATAAGCTAAGCATCATCACATTGAACTGGGTAATATATGAGAAAATGTGTATCTTCAGCATCATCTTGGCCTGTTCTAATATTTCCTACATAGCTAGCTAGCTTCATTAGGTTTACACCGTGCTTCCTCCTGTTTTTGTATCATGTCCCTCCTCCCTCTCTGCCTGATATTCTGCTCTGTTTTTAAAACAGCTTTGTTGAAGCATAATTGATGTGTAATAAACTACATGTGTTTAATGTGTACAATTTGATAAGTTTTGACTCTGTATATACCCATGAAACCATTGCTGCAGTCAAGATAATGAATATATCTATCACCCCTAAAAGTTTTTTCATGCCCTTATATGGTCCTTCCTTCTTGCTCTGTACCACCTTTTTGAAAGATGGGTTCTCTCTCTGTCGCCCAGGCTGGAGTGCAGTGGCACAGTCGTAGCTCACTGCAGCCTCAAACTTCTGGGCTCAAACAATCTTCCCACCTCAGCCTCTGGAGTAGTTAGGACTGCAGGTGTGTGTTACCATGTCTGTCTAAATTTTTAAATTTTTCGTAGTGGTGGAGCCTTGCTTTGTTACCTAGGCTGGTCTCAAACTCCTGGCTTCAAGCAGTCCTCCTGCCTTGGCCTCCCAAAGTGTTGGGATTACAGGCATGAGCCACCACACCTGGCCTGTGTTCTCTTTTTGTTGTTTTTGAGACAGAGTCTCACTGTGTTGCTCAGGCTGGAGTGCAGTGGCACGATCTTGGCTCACTGCAACCTCCGCCTCCCAGGTTCAGCGATTCTCCTGCCTTAGCCTACCAAGTAGCTGGGATTACAGGCATGCGCCACCTTGACCAGCCAGTTTTGTATTTTTAGTAGAGATGGGGTTTTACTATGTTGGCTAGGCTGGTCTCAAGCTCCTGACCTCAAGTGATCCACCCACCTTGGCCTCCTAAAGTGTTGGGATTACAGGTGTGAACCACTGTGCCCGGCCTATACTTGTATTCTTAAAATTCTTATTTTGATTATATATTTATTTAAAATGGGATTCTTTTTCTCATTGCCTAGAGTCTTTCTTTTGAATTTTGAAATTTTAAGTACATTGGTGGAGACTCATGAAATACGATTTTGTGCTATGTCCTCAGTATTTCAGATTTAACCTGAATGGGACATTATTTCCCTTGTGCTTTGATAATTTGAATGTCCCATCTCCTGATCCTCTACCATGTTTCTTTGTGCTACTTTGATCAAATTTCTCTATAGACCCTTCTTTAAACATACCTTCCACCTATGCCCTTGTTCCAGTTACTTATCCCTGCCCTTTCTTTGCATTATGAACTTGTCTTTCCTATTTTAAGAAAAGTTTTCATTTTACCTTTACTAAGAATCTTCAGTGGTTTTCCCGTGGTCAGCAGTCTCATGTCCTCTTTATCCCTTCATTATCATTGTCATTCTGTTCCCATCATACTTTTGAAAGTCTCAAAGTTCACCAGTGACACACTGTATTTCAAAATCCAATGGTTTCTTTTCTTTTTTTTTTTTTTTTTTTTTTTTTTTGAGACAGAGTCTAGCTCTGTCACCCAGGCTGGAGTGCAGTGGCGCGATCTTGGCTCACTGCAAGCTCCGCCCTGCGGGTCCACGCCATTCTCCTACCTACCTCAGCCTCCCGAGTAGCTGGGACTACAGGCGCCTGCCACCACGCCCGGCTAATTTTTTGTATTTTTAGTAGAGATGGGGTTTTGCCTTGTTAGCCAGGATGGTCTCGATCTCCTGACCTCGTGATCCGTCCACCTCGGCCTCCCAAAGTGCTGGGATTACAGGCGTGAGCCGCCGTGCCCGGCCAAAATCCAGTGGTTTCTTTCTGTGTCTTCTATCCCCATGACCTCTTTATTGCACTATATATTGCTGCTGTTGTTTCTTTACCTAACATTTGCTCTACTGTTTTTTTAGTCTCTTTGATTGTATTTGGCCATCATTTCTAGTTCTTTCTCCTTATATCCCCAACAATGGGTGCAGGGTTCAGCCTTTGACTGTTTATTGTTGTTATTTTGTGCTGTTTATCTTGGAATTCTCATCTAAGGGTCTTAAGTCTTTCAGCTATTACCTTGTGGTTTCAGTTCTCACTTCTTATAGTTTCCTCCTATTACATTACACACAGGAATTACTATCACTGTGAAAGAGGCTGTGTCCAGCCACTCATTTGTAATCTGTGTTTCCAACATGTGTATTGCACATTTCTATTTAGATTTTTATCATCTCAGTTTCAGCATCTGAAATAGAAAATCTCCTTCCTCTCCACCCTTCACAAACCACTTTTCTTTCCTAATTGCCTCATCTTAGTAAGCGCCAGGACCATCGTGTAAAAACTTAGCGTGATCTTGACTCATACGTTTCCTTTTTATTTTTTTGAGATGGAATCTCACTCTGCCACCCAGGTTGGAGTGCAGTTGCACGATCTCAGCTTACTGCAACCTCTGCCCCCTGGGTTCAAGTGAATCTCCTGCCTTAGCCTCCCGGGTAGCTGGGATTACAGGCGTTCACCACCTTGCCCAGCTAATTTTTGTGTTTTTAGTGGAGACAGGGTTTCACCATGTTAGCCGGGCTAATCTCGAACTCCTGACCTCAGGTTATCTGCCCTCCTCGGCCTCCCAAAGTGCTGGGATTACAGGCGTGAGCCACCACACCTGGCCTCGTTTCCTTCATAGTTATATGTTACCTAGTTTTTTGTTTTGTTTTATTTATTTATTTGAGACAGGGTCTCACTCTGTTGCCCGAGTTGGAGTGCAGTGGCACGATCTTGGCTCACCTGCAGTCTCCACCTCTCAGGTTCAAGCAATTCTGCGTCAGCCTCCTGAGTAGTTAGGGTTACAAGCATGTGCCACCACACCCAGTAATTTTTGTATTTTTAGTAATGACAAAGTTTCACCATCAAGCTGGTCTTGAACTCCTGACCTCAGGTGATCTACCCACCTCGGCCTCCCAAAGTGGTGGGATTACAGGTGTGAGCCACGGCACCTGGAACAAAAAAAATATATTTTTTCCAGAGTGTCTTTTAGGATCCGATCCTTGGAGTACACTTTGGGAAATGGTATAAAATTTCTTGAAGCAGCCAGAAGTGTCTCAGTTGCCACATGAGCATTCCCTTGAGAACAGCTTTGCCAGTTGTTCTGAAGCTGAGTAAATTCTTATAAACTAAGAAATACGTGCAATGCATTTTGAAACTGTTTTTACGTTAAAATAATTTTTAAAGAAAATACTAAATGCCAGTATAAGAAAATGGAAAGATAAGAGAATATGGCCAGCAGACATCTAGATTAAACTGATATCAAAAACAGTGTATGATGAAAGACCAGAATTGTGCCTGCCAGTGAATAAATTATCAGGTTCCCACCTTGTTTACATGAAGAGAGTTTGCTCTTATTGCAGAATTGGGTTTACAAGTAACTTGCTCAATCAAGTAAGCAGAAACTGTAAAGTTATATAATAAATGGAGGTGTTTGGTAAAATGCACTTCATATGCTCTTACATTCTTTTTTTTTTTTTCTTTTTGAGATGGAGTCTCGCTCTGTCACCCAGGCTGGAGTGCAGTGGCGTGATCTCAGCTCATTGCAACCTTCACCCCCCGGGCTCAAGTGATTCTCCTGTCTCAGCCTCCTGAGTAGCTGGGACTACAGGCATGCATCACCACGCCCGGCTAACTTTTGTATTTTTAGTAGAGATGAAGTTTTGCCATATTGGCCAGGCTGGTCTTGAACTCCTGATCTCAGGTGATCTGCCTACCTCGGCCTCCCAAAGTGCTGGGATTATAGGTGTGACCCACTGCACCCTGCCTGCTCTTACGTTCTTGGCATACTGAATTTGTCTTAACTTTCTTTTTGATGTCATGCTGATATTATATTTTAATTTGCACAATTTACTTTATACTTCTTTGTCCTTACATATGTTTGTATATGTCAGTGTTACTTTTGGATAATAGATTACTGATTTATTTTGCTCAAGGATGTAATTGGGAGGAACTTTTGGTGTATAGCCGGCCACCCCCAAAATGCCTCCCAATTACAATTTTCTTCCCTTCTCTCAAAAAACTGTCTTGACTTTTGTGGTAATCGCATTCTTTTTTTTTAGAGACAGGGTCTTGCTATGTCGGCTGGGGTTGGAGTGCAGCAGTACTATCATAGCTTACTACAGCCTGGCCTCAAATGATCTTCCCTCCTTAGCCTCCTGAGTAGCTGGGACTACAGGCATGCACCACCATGCCTGGGTAATGTTTAAAAATTTTTTTGTAGGGATGCTCACTTTGTTGCCCCGGCTGGTCTCAAATCCCTGGCTTCAAACAATCCTTCCGCCTCAGCTTCCTAAAGTGCTGGGATGATAGCCATGAGCCACTGCACCCAGCCCATGTTTCTTTATAGTTTTGTCACTCAAATGTGCATCCTTAGATACCAAACTTTAATCTTGCCCATTGAAAAAAATTTAGCAATGATTACTTTTAGGAAGTATTTTGATGTTGTGCCATTGTACCTTTCATGTTTATACCTTTAAGTCAGAGATTTGTCTATAGAAAAAAATGTAGTAACTTAAGTTTTTTGATGCTTTAAAGACTAGAAAGACTTGATCTAGTGAAATAAATTATATTTCAGGGTGTCCTGATGTCAGAAGAAGAAGTGTTTGAACTTGTTCCTGATGATGAGCGGCAGTGTTCAGCATGCAGAACCACATGTTTTCTCTCTGCTCTCACATGTTCCTGTAATCCTGAGCGGCTTGTATGTCTCTACCATCCAACTGATCTGTGCCCCTGCCCCATGCAGAAGAAATGTCTTAGGTATCCAAAAGTATTTTGTAAAACTTCCATTACCTTTTTTTAAAACCAAGTTTTAATGTTATTTTTACTTATTCCCTTACTTTACTCCTTTACTCTGGACTTCTAAACTTCACTGTCTACTTCTAGGCTTGAAGACCAGTCCCTTAAAGTTGGCCCTAAACCTGGCAGCTGAAATTAGTTTATCAGTTGATTTCACATGTTCCTTGTCTCCCTGAATTAAGAAGTGTGGGCTGGTTTGATTTTCTCTTTATGTGAACTAAGATCCCATTCCCTTGGCCATTGTATTTTCCTTAAGCTGGTTATATTTAAAACTTTATTTTTAAGTTATTGTTGGTTTTTGAGGTTTTTATTTCTGTTTTCTTTTTTTTTTTTTTTTTTTTTTTTTTTTTGTAGATATCGCTACCCATTAGAAGACCTCCCTTCTCTGCTATATGGTGTAAAAGTCAGGGCACAGTCCTATGACACTTGGGTCAGTCGTGTTACAGAAGCATTGTCTGCTAACTTCAACCACAAAAAAGGTTAAATTTCCTTCTTTTGTATGCATATACTGAATTGATTGTCACTTTAAAAGAGGCTTTGTTTTAGTTTTATGTTTTTTCCTTCCGTAAAAGAAAAATCCTAGGCTTCCTATGAGATTTGAGATTAATGGGTTGATTGAATATAGACTTAATTTTCTATTTGAGAATCTTGTTTGAAATGAAAAAGCTGACATAAAATGGGCCGGACATCTGACTTGCAGTAAATTTATTATGTATGTTGGGAACCCACTATTACCAGTAAGACTGACACTGAAGGCTTCTTTGGAAAGAGAAATTTATTTACCTGAGAGAAACTGTCTATAGGGATTATAAATGAGCACCTGGTTGTTAGCTTTTATTGTGTTGGTGAGATTTTCACAGCTGTTTGTTTCTACTAATTATTATATTTCTACAAGTAGGTTGGGGACTCACTTGAGTGAGGTTGGTGAAGATTTTAGAATGGCTTTTTGTGTCTATGGTTATTGTATATGGCTCTTTATTTAAATTTTTACAGATTTGATTGAATTGCGAGTAATGCTGGAAGATGCTGAGGATAGGAAATACCCAGAGAATGATCTCTTTCGAAAACTCAGGGATGCTGTAAAAGAAGCTGAGACCTGTGCTTCTGTGGCTCAGCTGCTTCTGAGCAAAAAGCAGAAACACAGGTAAACCTAAGAAGAGTTTAATTCTCCAGTGTTTTCCTGTTTCTTTCAGAGTAAAAACCAAAATTTTATCCGGCCTGTGAAGCCGTACATTATCTTTGACCTCTTGTTGCCATGTCTCTTGCTTCCCCAGTAATGCTCCAGTTTTATCTCCTACTATTCTCCCTTCTTTCTTGCTCCAGCCTGCAGTGTTCTTTCTCTTGCTGTTCTTCATACATAGCAGGCACATTTTTGCTTAGGACTTCATGCTCTCTTTACTCTGCTTGGAGTTCTCTTCCCACCGTATCCAGGTGGCTTGTTCCCTTACCTACCTCTTTGAAGCCTTTGTTTTCAAATGTCACTTTGTTGGCAAGGGCTTTTCTGACAAGCCTTTATAAAATTGCAGTCCTCTTACCCTTCTTTGATGCTTTGTTTTTCTCCTAGCTTTATCACCTTCTGATACACTAATCTACTTATTTTATTAATTATCTGTCTTTTCTCCCCCATCCCCTACTAGAATGTACACAAGACTAGAATATCAGGGATTTTTTTTTCATTGCCATATTTCTTGTGCTTAGAACAATGCCTGGCACACAGTTGTGCAATAAATATTTGTAAATGAACAAATAGAAACTCTAGGCTGAAGGCAGGTGGCAGCAAAGGGTAACCTTGATGGATGCAGAGGACCCTTGATATAATAGAATTCATAAGTATTAAATTTTCTGTGGTATTTAAATGTGTTGTAGTAATTCCAACACATTTCTTCTGTCTGAATGGCTTTTCTCTAGCAGTTCACATTGGGTTTTTAAATTACTTTGTAAATTTTTTATTTACCATTTTGTTAGATAACTTTTCTTAGAGACATTGATCAGCAGCTCTTAACTTGTCATTGGGTCAGTGACCCCACTTGGAGAAACTAGTAAAAGTTTAGGAACCCTCTTAGAAAAATCATGTGCACACAAAATTTTGAAGCACTTTCAGAGGGTTCATTGTCACCTAAGGCAGGTTAAAGGCTCTTTCACATTTTAACCTTCTTGAGATACAGGATTAAGTTTTATCAATGAACTTAATATTCCAACTATGAGGAATTTATGTAATGTTTGAAATGTTTAATACTTGTAGATCGAAGGAACTGTAACTTGGAGAGTTGAATCTTTGAGTCATTAACTGAATAACTCAACTGTTTTGAAGTGGTCACCATTGTGGTGTTATCCTTCAAACACTGGGATTCTAGGATTGCTTAGGTTTGAATTCTGAAGAGACTAGGAGCCCTTTTGATATCAGAATGACTGAATTTTTCTTACTTATATCTCAATATTATTTCACATCAGACAGAGCCCAGATAGTGGGAGGACTCGGACCAAACTGACAGTGGAAGAATTGAAGGCCTTTGTCCAACAACTTTTTAGTCTTCCGTGTGTCATCAGCCAAGCTCGGCAAGTAAAGGTGGAGTATTACATCCTTTTTTTGGGTAATGTCCTTTGTGACATGGTCCACTGTTCTGGGTTTCACAGAATGGTATATCTAAACTAGTTTTTTGCTCTGATTTTTTTTTTCTCTCACATATATGCTGCTATTTGAGGTTCTTTAGTAGGCAGTTTTTTGGTTTTGTTCTTAGCCATTATTCCCCATTTAAAATTCTGTAACTAAGGCTGGTATGAAATTATTTTTTTCTATATTAATTTTAGTTCAGAACCCCCATTTAACATAGATGTAATTGAAATGCAAGAAGTTAGTTAAAATAATCTGCATGTATCAGTGTTAATAATACGTGAGCTTTTAAAAAGCTTAATGATCGCTTAATGAATATGTAAAATCTTAAAAGTATGTATCAAATATATTAATCTCCATAGTTAATGATCTTTTGATAGTTTGGGGTGTTTTTGTGTTTGAGGGGTGGGTAGGGTGTCTAAAATAGTGTTTTTTATTTTTGTTTTTGTTTTTGAGATGGGAGTCTCGCTCTGTCGCCCAGGCTGGAGTGCAGTGGCGAGATCTCGGCTTACTGCAACCTCTGCCTCCTGGGTTCAAGCGATTCTCCTGCCTCAGCCTCCCGAGTAGCTGGGATTGGAGGAATGGGCCACTATGCCCAGCTAATTTTTATAGTTTTAGTAGAGGTGGGTTTTCGCCATGTTAGCAGGCTGGTTTCAAACTCCTGACCTCAAGTGGTCCACGCGCCTCGGCCTCCCAAAGTGCTGGGATTACAGGCATGAGCCACCGCACCCGGCCTAAAATAGTTTTTATCAAGGTTATCAACTTGTAGAATCTATGGTCAGTTGTGTTCTTGTCTTACTCCATTTCATAAGAGCATTTTGATAGTTGACTACTCTTTCTTGAATGCTGTTCTTTAAGCCCCTGTGACACCACACTTTCTGGGTTTTTTCTTAGCTCATTGGCAGTTCTTCTTCTCTTACGTCTTCCTTGCTGCTTGTTTTCTCTTCGACTTGACTTCTAAGTGTTGGAGTATATTAGGAGTCTCGGCCCTTTCTTCAGGTGCCCCCACTTCTGATACCTTATTTGCCCAGTGACATTAAATATCACCTATATCCTGTTGATTCAATCCCACATCTCCAGCCCTGGATGCCTTTTTTCCCTGCAGACTTGTATGTCCAGCTGCATACTCTGGATTTCCATTTGGTGGACTAAAAGGCATCTTAAAGGCTTTTTTTCTTTTCTTTTCTTTTCTTTTTGAGACAGCGTCTGGCTCTGTCATCCAGGCTGCAGTACAGTGGTATGGTCTCGGCTCACTGTAACTTCTGCTTCCCAGTCTCAAGCAATCCTCCCACCTCAGCCTCCCAAGTTGCTGGTGCACTATAGGTGCACACCACCACGCCTGGCTAATTTTTGTATGTTTTGTAGAGACGAGTTTTTGCCATTTTGCCCAGGCTGGTCTCAAAACTCCTGAGCTCAAGCGATCCACTTGCTTTGGCCTCCCAAAGTGCTGGAATTACAGACATGAGCCACCACGCCTTTTAATGAACCAAGTGAATCAAACTCCTTGATTTCTTTATTTCCCTTATACCCCGTGTTCAATATTTAAACAAGTGCTGGCTGCTATTACCTCCAAAATATATCCCAAAGCAAACCGTTTATTGTCCTCTCCGTTGCCTAAACTATGCTCTACACCACTGGAATGTGCCCCTTGGATTACTCCCAACAGCCTTTCAGCTGCTTTCCCTTCTTTTGCTCGTCTGACATTTTATTTTTTGTTTGGTAGCCAGAATGATAATCTAAATTTTAAATCAAATCACATCACTTCCCTATGGTAAAAATTCTCCAGTGGTTCCCCAAAGCCATTTGAATGAAATTCAAACTCATTGTAACCTAGAAGATACTGTGTAGTCTGACCTCTGCTTATTTTTTAACAACATTTCTCCATCATCATCCACTTGTAGCAACACACCAAGCTCATTCTTCTTTAAAAGCGTTTGCAATTATTATTTGCCCTGCCCGAACCGTTCTTCCTTCAGATCCTCTTGTAGTTCCTCCCCAACCCTCAATTTAGTTTCAGTTTGTCTTCTGTGACTACCAATGACATTACTAAGTAATATGCCCTTCCCCACTCTGGTCATTCTCTGTTGTGCTGCCCTATTTTATTTTCAGAGCGCTTGACACTAACTGAAACATTTTATTCCTATGTTCACTGTCTGGTCATCTGCATTAGAATGTATGTTCTCTGAAGACAAGGACTATTTTATGTCTTCTTTAATACTGTGTGCCTAGAAAAGTGCCTGCATCTAAGTCAGCAGTCATTAAATATTTATTGAATGAATCAACTATATTTTAAAAGTAGGAGAATAGCTAGAAGTAATTACACAAAAGCATATTTATTAATTTAACTGTCATATCTGAATATTTGGTGTTATGATGGTGAGATTATAAGAGTCTAGAATTGATAGTTTGCCTTGACTATGTCTATTTCATACTCTTTTGTATGTTTTAAATTTGTTTTTCTGATTTTTATTTCTTTTGACCTTTTCAGAATCTGCTAGATGATGTGGAAGAGTTTCATGAACGTGCTCAGGAGGCCATGATGGATGAAACCCCAGATTCTTCCAAACTCCAGATGTTGATAGATATGGGCTCTAGTCTCTATGTGGAACTCCCTGAATTACCACGACTGAAGCAAGAGCTACAACAGGCTCGGTGGTTGGACGAAGTAAGACTGACCTTATCAGATCCGCAACAAGTCACTTTGGATGTCATGAAGAAGCTGATAGACTCTGGGGTAGGGTTGGCACCCCACCATGCTGTGGAGAAAGCAATGGCTGAACTACAGGAGCTCCTTACAGTCTCTGAACGATGGGAAGAAAAGGCTAAGGTCTGCCTACAGGCAAGGTGAACACATTTTGGTGACAGTTGCCTCTTTAACAACTAAGTCAGAAGGTAGAGTGGGAAGAAGGAACTTAAAAGCTTATTTCATTAAATGACTTTTTTTTTTTTTGCGTTTAGGATTTTAATGTATAAGTAGCATTAGTTAAGTTGTGTAGGTGGGAAAGGTATTTCCTGATGATCCAGGGCCTGAAGGAAACCGGGAGATTCTCCTCTCTCCCTGCTTTGGCAGGCAGCTCCTGGAGAGGTGCAGCTCCCGGAGAGGTGCAGGTCAGTGGCAGTGGGTACAGACAAGCTGGAGAGTTTCTTGCTGGGCAGGAATGCCCACAGGCCATGCCTTCTTCAACCCTCAGAGCACCTCATTGTGTCTGGACCCACGCATGGGGTAGCGTTGCTAGAGAGTGGAGAGTGGGTTCTCCTGGGTCTGGCTCCGACAACTGGTTTTCTGTGATGACATTAAATATTTAATTAAATGTTTTGTGCCTTCCCTGGCCAGTCGCTAAGTTATCAAATGGGGCTACATGTAGACCGTTTCAAATATGTGCAAACTATTGTGCAGAGTACTTTGTTAGGTACTTCATGTTATACACAGTAGTATTTTGTTTAGAGCCTATGCTTAGTGATACTATAGTTAGGAAGTAAGAAGTATAAAGCTCATTGTAGTACCTTATTAATGTTAACCGAAAGGTAAGGAAAAATATTACAGGGATTCAGAGGGGGAAGATCATGGTGAGCTTGGGTGGTCAGTAGAGAAGCTTCAGAGAAAAATAAGAACTTAGGTAGAGCCTTGAGGAATGAGTAGGATTGAAGTGGAAGGGAGGTAAGAGAAATTTCAGAAACTGAGTTTAAGGAATATTTAGGGCGTGTTCAGGTGACAGAAAATAAGTGGGTTTCCCTGGAGTGGAGGATTCATGTCGAAAAGTATTGGGAGATGAGAATCAGGCAGGAGGAGAATGTTGAGTGGCTGTATTAGCATCAGCACCCCATTGGACTTAATGAGATTTAAATAAAGTGTTTATATCTGACTGTATGTCAGCAAATTTGGCTGATAATTAACGGTGGTCCTTGTGAAAGCATTTCTCTAGCAGCTAAGATTAATATTTATATAATTTCTATTGTGAGGATGAGGAAACTGGGGTGCCTGGAGAGATCACATAGTTACTGAGTGACACAACTGAAATTTAAAGTATCTTCCACTTCATTTCAATACCTCTGTGTACTTAACTACTTTGCCAGCCACTTACTTTGGATGCATTTTGGTAAGAAAATATTTAGGTGATTTAATTAGCACAGCTCTGAGAAGCCTCTGTGTACACTGGATATTTTGCTATCCAGATGCCATGCAGAATACATACTAAAATTTATTCATAGCTTTTCCTGTTGGAACTGTTCATATTACTCAGTGTCTTCAGACGAATGACAGTTCCAGGAGGTGGGAACATATTAAGTGGACAAAGCTAAATAACTTTGGAATGTAAAACTATGATTTTGATAAACGTGGCGCACCTGGTAGTAGGCCACCAAATGAAATTTCGTGGTAATAATAGTTAAAAACTTTGTTTTCCCAGTCTCTGATATTTAATCAGTCACCAGGTTCTGATGACTCTGTCTCCAACATGTCTTTCATATCTCTCTTTCAAATTCATTGTCACTGACCTAGTTGTAGTCCTCTTATATTTTACCTTGATATTTGAGTTTGGTAAGTATTGATGGAGAACCTGCTACATGCCAGGTGCTATTTCTAAATGCTATGTAGACAGTAGTGAACAAGACACTCAAAGATCTCTGCTTTCATGGAGCTACCGTTCTAGTAGAGAGAGAGAGAGAAATAAATGAATGAATTTCAAATAATTAGTGTCATGAAAAAAGTAAAACTGGTAAAGAAATAGAGGATTATGTGGTTGGTGGAAATAGTGGGAGTTAGACTCTTCTAACTTCTGTCAGAATTATCTTTCTGAAACACAGCCTTAATCTTCTTGATCTCTTAGTATTGGTTATTAACTACTTACCATTATTTTCTTGAGATTCTTCCTTTGCCTTTGGCCTTCTCTCTACCTCTAAAATAATGGTTTTCCTTGAGATTCTGGCATAGATGCCTTTCTTTTCTCACTCTGTACAGTCTCTCTGGAAATTTCATTTAATTTCTTGGCTCTGTTTGCCTTCTTTATACTGAGTAACTCCTAAATCTTCATTTATAATATAGATTTCTTTCATAAATATCATCCGCCTGTTAGATTCCAGGCGGATGTCCCACAGATACCTGAAAGTCCCTGTATCCAAAATTGGACTCATTAATGTCTTCTCATAGCCTCCTCCTTTGTTTCTTTATTCTTTAAATTATACCATCTTTCACTCATTTGAACAAGCAGGTACTTTGGTAGTTAGCTTTGACTCTTCCCTTCTTCTTTATCCTCAAACTCAGTCATGCTGATTATATTTCCCCAGTGCTTCTCACTTTCTTTCATTTTTTTTTTTTAAGTCTGCATGTGGATTTATGTTATACTCATTCTTTTTCACCCCACCCTGCCTTTTTTTGAGATGGAGATTTGCTTTGTTGCCCAGGCTGGGGTGTGCAATGGTGCCATTTTGGCTCATGGCAACGTCCACTGCCCAAGGCTCAAGCAATTCTCGTGCCTCAGGCTTCCGAGTAGCTGGGATTATAGGTGCATGCCACCATGCCCAGCTAATTTTTTTATTTTTTGCAGAGATGGGGTTTCGCCATGTTGGCCAGCCTTGTCTTGAGCTCCTGACCTCAAGCAATCTGCCTGCCTCCGCCTCCCAAAGTGCTGGGATTACAGGCATGAGCCACTGTGCCCAGCCTTTTACCCTCATTCTTGAAGGACTTTTTTGCGATAGGTGTAAAATTACTGGTTGACAATTATTTTGTCTTAGTACTTTGGATATATCATTCTCTCTGCTGTTTTGAAAAGAATCTTTTCACTTGGACTGCTTGTAGGATTATTCCTTCTTTTTCTCTCATTCCACTCAGGCTGCTGTCGTAGCTTGCCTAGACAAGACAAGCTTGCCTAGAATGTCTGGTCTTACCCCTCTCTAATTCATTCTCTATACTGCCACTAGTACTTTGTTAAAATACAGGTGTAACTTTCACTCCCTTACTTAAATCCTTCTCTAGTTTTCTGTTGCCCTCAGGATGAAGTCCAAATTCCCTAACCTGATTTATAAGGCCATCTGTCATCTAGCCTCTTGCTTAATTATATATCTAGTCTTATCTCTTGCTATTCTTCCTCTTGTATTCTATGTTCCAAACATTGTGATTTTTCCTCTCAGTTCCTCAAACATCTGTGTTCTTTCTCTGCATCTTTGTGCATGTTTATTTTATTCTCCTGTGGAGCACTCTTATTTTCAGCCCATCTCCTGTGGTGTACCTCTACCAACCCTACCCTGCCCCTGGCCCCAGCTTTCCAGATTAAGTCTTGTTCAGAAAGGATGGGAAAGCTTAGACATCACTTTTGGGAAGTCTTCTTTCCCTGCCAAGTCAATTAGGTTCTCCTAGTATGTATTCCAATAGCACTTTTACTTTCATTTATCATTACACTTACCACAGAGCATCATAAACTCCTTATGAATAATCTTCATAAGATTAAAAAGTTTCGTGAGGCTGGGCACAGTGGCTCACGCCTGTAATCCCAGCACTTTGGGAGGCTGAGGCAGGAGAATCACGAGGTCAGGAGATGGAGACCATCCTGGCTAACACAGTGAAACCCCGTCTCTACTAAAAATACAAAAAATTAGCCGGGCGTGGTGGCGCATGCCTGTACTCCCAGCTACTCGGGAGACTGAGGCATGAGAATCGTTTGAACCTAGGAGGCAGCGGTTGCAGTGAGCTGAGATTGCGCCACTGCACTTCAGCCTGGGTGACCCCGAGACTCAAAAAAGAAATAAATGAAAGGTTTCATGAGGCAAGGACTGTCATTTTTGCTCATGAGCAATTTCCAGGACCTAGAACAGTGCCTAACACGTAGTAGGATTCATGGATGATGAACGATTTCAGCCTCAGTACCTTCCCATTGCTTTACATGATGAAGTCCATGGCTCTCAGACTCTGCATCTTTCTTCCTGCCAGATTCCTTTTTCCTGCCCCACTCTTTTTCCACCCAGCCCCTGCCTCCAACCCTCCACATCACCCCCTAATCGCAAACTGAACCATGAATGCTTTTCAAGTGTTTCTCCATGCCTTTGTTCATTATATTCCTGGTTTCTTTAACTTCTTTAACTTTTCGTTTGGACAGAATCATACTAATATAAGGCCTACTTCAAAGCCTTTCTCAACTCTCCTGGGCAGAATTAATCACTGCCTCCCATAACAGTGAGTTTATAGTAATTTGGTTTTAGTTCCCAGTAGAAGCATAATTCTTATCTTCTATTGTGATTCATTGAGGATAAGGTCTATGCTTTATTCATCTTTGTGTAACTAATGTTAATGAATGTAGTTTAAATGTACATTGTCAACATTAATGGATTTCTAGTCTATTGTTTTCTATATTGCTATCCAATGTGCATCTCTGACAATTTCAGGTACTGTAGACAAGTAGAGTAGAGGCAGTCTAGTATAGTGAAAGGATCATGGATCTGACCCTCATTCTGAATCAGTATTTCAGATGTGTCCTTTATTACACTAAATGACCGGGGAAAATAACTTTTCTTTGAGTTAAAGTTTTCTTATCCATAAAAATTTATATTTTATTTTATTATAAACTTATGTTTATACCTTTTCTTATCTGTGAAGTTTTCTTATCTGTAAGATGGAAAAGAAAGATACTAGCTGCTTTGCCTCCCTTATAGGATTGTGGTAAGAATTCAGTGAAATCATGTAAATGAAAGTTCTCTAAACATTCTGAAATGTTACTTAAATGTTGATTTCTCATGCATCCTACTCTGTTTTTATTGTTCTTTTAGACCGAGGCACAGTGTGGCAAGTTTAGAAAGCATTGTGAATGAAGCCAAGAACATTCCAGCCTTTCTACCCAATGTGTTGTCCTTGAAAGAAGCCTTACAAAAGGCTCGAGAATGGACCGCTAAAGTGGAAGCTATTCAGGTAAGAAGACTTTTGGATTATCCCACCTATCAGGTAATGCCTGTTTCATGGATTAATCTTTTAAACTATTAATTCTTTAGAATAGAATAATCATAATACAAACGATCCCTAACTTAGATCGATTTGTGATTTTTAGACTTTATGATGGTGCGAAAGTGATATGCATTGAGTAGAAACTGTGTTTCGAAATTTGAATTTTGAACTTGTGCCAGGCTAGCAATATGTGGTATGACATTCTCTCACAATGCCGGGCAGCAGCACTGAGCCACAGCTCCCAGTCAGTCATGCCGATGTAAGTGTTCTGAGCACCTTTAAGGTAGGCTAGGCTAAGCTGTGTTTCGTATGTTAATTTTATTAAATGCATTTTCAAATTACAATATTTTCACCTTACGACGGGACATAACCCTGTCGTAAGTTGAGGAGCATCTATAAAATAATTCTAGTAAAGTTCACTTACTCTTTCGTCTGATTTTATAATTTAGAATAATTATTACCTACTTAAATATTACTTGTTTTTATTGACTCCTTGCTATGAAAGATGATGGAATTAGTTATTTAACTCTTAAGCAGTAGGGAATTTGTTACCTACTGTATTCTTCAAATTTTTTTCCATGTGCATAAATTACTTTTAAAATTAGAGGCAGAAAAATAAAATGAAATTAACATTTACTGAGCACCACAGTACTCTTGCTACTATTCTAGATGTTTGGGAGCAGGCATGTAAGGGAAGGGTATAAAAATAGGACTTATGGTACAAAATAGGGTATAAAAGTAGAGTCTTCCAAATACATATTTTCTAGTTGGAGAGACGTATTTTACACATCTGTAATTTAAAACAGAATGAAATAAGTGCTAGATAGAGATAAAAGTGTACTCGAATCATAAAAACCGTTAAGCAGCACTTACAGTGTTAAGTATATAAATACTCTTAATTATAGAACTGTACTCAAAAAGAAAACCAACTTCCACTACACTGCTGCCCCCAAACGGAACGTATTCTGGGTGTCAAGTTCTTTTTTTTTGAGACAGAGTCTTGCTCTGTCGCCCTGGCTGGAGTGCAGTGGTGTGATCTTGGCTCACTGCAACCTCTGCCTCCTGGGTTCAAGCAATTCTCCTGCCTCAGCTTCCCAAGTAGCTGGGACTACAGGCGCATGCCAGCACGCCTAGCTAATTTTTGTATTTTTGGTAGAGCCGGAGTTTCACCATGTTGGCCAGGCTGGTCTTGAAGTCCTCACCTCAGGTGATCCGCCTGTCTTGGCCTTCCAAAGTGCTGGGATTACAGGCGTGAGCCACCGCGCCTGGCCTGGGTGTCTTCTCTTTTACTTTCTTTTCTGTTGAGTTTTTCTGGGACCTGCTTAGCTGCCCCTGTTTCTTTTCTGTTTTTTTGAATTATTTCTGTTTTTATCTGGACAGCTTCTATGTTTGATGCGTTTTTGACCTGGCTCAGGCAGTAGTTGTTGTCTTCGAATGTCTGAGAATCTTTAATTGGCTGTTTTATTTAGAATTGAAGGACTAAGTCAATAAGTATAGGTAACTATCATGTGTTTCCTCTGTAATTTCAAAGGGCTGTCTCTCTACCAGGTGGGGTTTCACCATGTTGGCCAGGCTGGTCTCGAGCTCCTGACCTCAGGTGATCTGCCTGCCTCAGCCTCCCAAAGTGCTGAGATTACAGGTGTGAGCCACCACGCCTGGCCTGCTAACTGTGTTTATATATGTCTGTGCTTTAGATTGTCCTTTGAACTGGTTGTTATATCTACTGGTACTCTCAATTAATAAATAAAATCATTGATGACATGTTCATTAAAAAAATAATTTACACAAACTTTAAAAAATAGGACATTGGAAGTTATATTAATTCAAGAGATGGAATTACATTCAAAGAATAATATTTAATAAAAGAACTAACACTAAACTTTGTAAGGTCTTTCAACAGTATATTGCCAAACCCCATAAGAGAACTCAAATTGTGAGAATCTACTTTGGTTTTTCAGAGTGGCAGCAATTACGCTTATTTGGAGCAGCTTGAGAGCTTGTCTGCGAAAGGACGCCCTATTCCTGTGCGTCTTGAAGCACTGCCGCAAGTGGAATCACAGGTAGCAGCAGCACGGGCATGGAGAGAACGGACTGGGCGGACGTTTCTTAAGAAGAATTCTAGCCATACATTGTTACAGGTACTTGAACTTCAACACTCTCATAAGCAGCTGATAATTTAAGTAGTAATAGTATTGGTGAGGGTTATTTTCAGTTTATCTGATTACCATTATACAAGTGATTCTTACTAGGTAATATCAGATGTTGACTTGAAATCTGGAACCTTGGGCAGATTCATTTCCAGTTAATCTTGTGCTGTCCCTAGAAAAAGCAGTCGGCCTTGGCTTGTTATTGGACTCTAGTCATTGAAATCGTTTTGTTCTGTTTTTTTGAGACAGGGTCTTGCCCTGTCGCCCAGACTGGAGTGCAGTGGTGCAGTCTCGGCCCACTGCAGCTGTCGCCTCCTGGGCTCAAGTGATCCTTTCACCTCATCCTCCCAAGTGTCTGGGACTACAGGCATGCTACACCATGCCTGGCTAATTTTTTGTATTTTTGGTGGAGATGGGATTTCATCATGTTGCCTGGGCTGGTCTTGAACTCCTTTGAGCTCAAGTGATGCGCCCGCCTCAGTCTTCCAAAGTGCTGGGATTACAGGTGTGAGCCACCACGTCCAGCCTATCATTGAAAGATCGTATTTCTCCGAAGCACAAATTTGTATATTCATCATCCCTTTCATCTTGAGCAGTTGAACATAGTAGTTAAGAGCAAAGGCTTTGGAATGAGATCCTTTCAGGTTTGAGAGTGGACTCCTTAATTGCTAACCCTGTGTCCTTGGGCAAGTTATTTCCTTCCTGAGCCTCAGTTTCTCTTGTTTATAAAATGTAGATATTAATACCTACTACATAGGGTTGTTGTGAGGAATGAATTAGATCATGTGTATAAAGTCCTTAAGAAAGTGCGTGGGACATGGTTGAACAGTCAACAAATGGTTCCTTTATTATTTTTACTTTTAAGATTATTTTCAAAACCAGAGTTTATAATGGTGGTTTTATTTTTGTAGGTGCTGAGCCCCCGGACCGACATTGGTGTATATGGGAGTGGCAAAAATAGGAGGAAAAAAGTAAAAGAACTAATAGAAAAAGAAAAAGAAAAGGATCTGGACCTGGAGCCTCTGAGTGATCTGGAGGAAGGATTGGAGGAAACCAGAGATACAGCCATGGTGGTAAGAAATTACCTAGCATCTTGAGTTTGCTTGGTGAATACAAAACTCTGTAGAGATATTAGCAGACTCACAGTTTTTATGTTTTTAACTTTTTATTTTCATATACTTTGGCTTTATGATTATACATATTTCACATTAAAAGTAAATATTTATAATCAAGATATACAAAAAGTTTAGTATTCTGCTCTTTTCCCAAAATTGTCTTTTCCATACCTCTGTTCTTTATTGTTGTTTTAATAGTTGTCTGCTGTTCCATCAAGTTGTCCATAGTTTGCTGAGTACAGTAAGTCCTCACTTAATTTTATCAATAGCTTCTTGCACTGCAACTTTAAGCGAAGCAATGTATAATGAACCCACTTTTACTACAGACTGATATAAACAAGAGTTAAGTTCCTGCAGCATATTTCTGGTCACAAAAACATCATCAGACTTTTAAAATAAAGACCCCAAACACTTCTGATATTAAACACTGAGAAAATTCGAGCTAAACCTACATTTAAGAAAGAGTAATAAAAACGAAATAATTATCCAGTTTTTGGTAAATTAGTGAGTGACAGTGGCATTGGCCAGGAATTGATTTTTTTCTCATCAGTGTTATAATGAAACTACACTGAACGTAAAGATGTTATTTGAGGACCTGCTGTAGTTTTCTAATTTTGAGCATTTTGCCTGTTACTAAGTTTCTTATTGTAAGTAATAAAATGAACTTCTTTTATAACCTTTTCCTTCTTTTAAATTTCCTAGACTTGACTCTTAGGAATGTAATTACTGGGTTAGAATTTAATATAAGCATTTTATGACTCTTATTACTATTGTGTTTTTCAAAGGAATTATACCAGGCTACAGATTTCCATCTCTTAATGAGTGTTAAAATATTTGTAGTTGATGAGAATTATGCTTTTTTGGAGGATAGGAGGAATGTGTTAAGATTACTAGGAGCCTGAGGAAATGGAAAATAAATACGAATCTGGACAATAAAAGTAGGGAATTGCATGTGATATAGCTCTTTCTGCCTACAAATGATTCTGTTTTGAAGCCAGTGAAAATATTCTCTGATTAGAGAGCCTGCCTAACAAGTCAATCTTGCTAGACAAGTAGGACTGGAAATTATTTCAAAATTGTTTCAAAGCTGCCAGTAGTTTAACAAGAAAATGCACTGACAGTATTGATAATTAAATTTGTTTGCCTTTATTTACTTTGTTAAAATGAGTTTCATAAAACTCTGTTGTTACAACTGATCGTCAAGTTTTGTTATTCTACTTATACATGAAGAGGCTTTCCAGAGAGAAGTAAATTAATTTGTGTAGGACTTGCCCCAGGGAATGAATTACGAGGTGATAGGAAACTAATACTTTAAGAGTGTTTACCTTGTGCAAGGTACCAGGTTAGGCACTTTCATATGTTATCTTATTTAATCCGTAAAACAGCAAAATACGGTTGGTAGTATTCTCATTTTTCAGAAAACGGACGTTCTGAAACTTGTACCCCATATTAACAGTCTAAAAGTACAAGAGCCAGGCTTTGTACCCAGGTTGCTTGATTTCAAGGCATGCCATCTTTGTACCGCACCCTACAGAAGAGGCCAAAGTACTGTACTGATGTACATGATCAAATATGATAGCACTTTGCCCATTTCACACTTGAGGAATGTTTGCATGGAAACCGCCAGGGGCCCCACATTTTAGGAAACTGTTTATAACTGATAACTTGGGAGAAAGATCCCACAGCCTTGAGGATTTGGTATTTTGGGGGGTATATTGCAGTGACTCTTTTCAATTAAATGTTTGTCTTGTACAGGTGGCAGTTTTCAAAGAACGGGAGCAAAAAGAGATTGAAGCCATGCATTCTCTCAGAGCAGCCAACCTAGCCAAGATGACAATGGTGGACCGCATAGAAGAAGTAAAATTTTGCATTTGCCGCAAGACAGCCAGTGGGTTTATGCTACAGTGTGAGCTCTGCAAAGACTGGTTCCATAACAGCTGTGTTCCTCTTCCTAAATCAAGTTCCCAAAAAAAAGGATCCAGCTGGCAAGCTAAAGAAGTAAAATTCCTTTGCCCTCTTTGTATGCGGTCTCGAAGGCCCAGGCTAGAGACTATTCTGTCACTCCTGGTATCCCTTCAGAAGTTGCCCGTACGGTTGCCTGAAGGAGAGGCCCTGCAGTGTTTGACAGAACGTGCTATGAGTTGGCAAGATAGAGCGCGGCAGGCTCTAGCCACAGATGAACTATCCTCTGCCCTGGCCAAACTATCTGTGTTGAGCCAGCGTATGGTGGAACAGGCGGCTCGAGAAAAAACTGAAAAGATCATCAGTGCAGAACTCCAAAAAGCAGCTGCCAATCCAGACTTACAGGCAAGTTTAGGATTTACATTCTTTTTCTATTTCATGGGATATGTCAGTGTATAAATAGTAAATTGAGTCTGTCTTACCAATTGATTAGGAAAATAACAGTAACTTGTCAGCAATTATCCATTGCATTCTCCTTCAACATACACTATAGCACTTTTTTTGGATACGTACTTAGTGAAATATTCTTGGTAATATCATTCAGGTGGACTTTGGCATCATAATCAAATAATTTGATTTCTACTAACTGTTGAAGAACTCTGTTAGCCACTTTGCTTATTCATTACATTTTGGTGATCTTAAGCACACATTAATTACCCTGTCTGTTTAGCATGTCTTGCTGTTCATCTTGGAATTATTTGTTGTTTAGGGACACTTACCTAGTTTCCAGCAGTCTGCTTTTAACCGGGTGGTGAGCAGTGTGTCATCTTCTCCTCGACAAACAATGGACTATGATGATGAAGAAACAGACTCTGATGAAGACATTCGAGAGACATATGGCTACGACATGAAGGTAGTTACATGGACAAGCTGTGTGGGTACATACCTGATCATTGGGTTTGTTTAAAAAAAAAAAAAGCTATTGAACAGTGATGTTTGAGGCCTGAAAGTGAAAGAGAAAACTAATCATTTATCTGTTCTGAGTTTTTAGTCGTAGCATTTTTTCAAAACTCAAAACATTACAGGTTGCTGAAACAATTTTTTTTTTTTTTTTTGGAGATGGAGTCTCGCTCTGTCACCCAGGCTGGAATGCAATGGCGCGATCTCTGTTCAGTGCAACCTCTGCCTTCTGGGTTCAAGCAATTCTTGTGCCTCAGCCTCCCAAGTTGCTGGAATTACAGGTGCATGCCACTCTGCCTGGCTAATTTTTGTGTTTTTAGTAGAGATGGGGTTTCGTCATGTTGGCCAGGCTGGTCTTGAACTCCTGACCTGAAGTGACCTGCCTGCCTCGGCCTCCCAAAGTGCTGGGATAACAGGCCTGAGCCACCACGCCAGGCCTGAAACAATTTTTAAAAAATAGAATTAAAAAATCTGTATTTGTTTTACTCATCTTATAATCCCTTATGGCTTAGAGGAACTAGAAAAACAATATGTAAAGCTTTCTTGGCCAATTTCAGTTTTTCAGATTTTTTTCTTTGAGTTGTGAAAGTCTGTATACAGTTAAGTTTTAAGAATTCCATTCTAGGCTTGGTGTGGTGGCTCATGCCTGTAAACCTAACAATTTAGGGGAGACTGAGGTGGAAGGATCACTTGAGCCCAGGAGTTTGAGACCAGCCTGTGCAACATATTGAGACCCCCATCTCTACAAAAAATACAAAAATTAGTTGGGTGTGGTAGCACACACCTGTAGTCCCAGCTACTTGGGAGGCTGAAGTGGGAGGATTGCTTTGAGCCTAGGAGGTCGAGGCTGCAGTGAGCCATGATTGCACCACTGCCCTCCAGCCTGGGCAGCACAAGACCTTGTCTCAAAAAAAAAAAAAAAAAAAAAACACTTCCATTGCTAGAGTCTTTTGCTCTGCTTTCTCGTCTGGATGGTGCTAGATAGAATGTCACATTCGGAGATGGGTAATATAATACTTGGGCCCAGGTTAGAATTTGCTGAGTTCCAGTTGCAGATACAACAAATTATTTACCATCAATGTGATTATTTTGGTAATGACACGTTACTGGTGGTGAAGAGAAGGTTTTGACAAGTTTGTTTTGTGTTGGATCCAGTTGGCTTTTCGTTAGCCCTTTTTGTCAGGTGCAAGCCCTTTGCTTTTTAACCTAGTAATAACAATGTGATTAGGCAGAGACCCTGCCAGATTACAGTCAATCCATTGACTTGTTTTATATGATTCTTAGTTGCTTTGTTTAGAATCTATTCTTGTAACCTGGGAATTCCTACTCTGATACAAAAGGCTGCTTCCAGAGAACAAGGGGAGATTCTGTTCCTACCCCTTCACTATCTTTTATTTGTCTTTTCAGCTTGCAGATCAGCATGGTACTGCTCATTAATCTCATCAGCATTAAAACTCCTAGGATATAAAATTAAAACCATCCATCATAGACGCTCGTAGATTCCTCTGCTGGGAAATATTTTTTCTCAAGATAGAAATGGGAATTTTCAGTTATGTGACTTAAAGACTTGAAAACAGTTGAAACTTGAATTAGACTGTTCAAATAATCTTTTTTTATATTAAAATATCTTATTATATGGTAGATTATTATTTTTCAGTTTTGAAAGTTTTGTGAACAGATGGCCAAGTTTTGTTGCACTGATTTTCAAGGGCTGATTGAGGGCCATTATTAAGAAAAGAGGCATTACAGTTGCGTACAGTTCTTGAATATCATCTTAGTGTACTGCTAAATCCCATTATGAAGAATTCATTGGCAGTCTGCTGAAAGGTACACTAGCTTATACCACACACAGCGGTACATTCTTAAGCACGTTGTTATCCAGAAGTTAATGACTATCTTTGTTTACGAAGTTGTATATAGGGTGACTAAGAGCAGCTGAAAAGAAATGCAACCCATGCCAAGTATAATTAGCTTTTTCCTTGAATACTGGAATCACCCGTTTACCCTAGTTAGAGGCCTTTGATATTTTTGGTGGTTGCTTTCTAGCACATTAGCTATCAGCCACTCTTCTAGAATTGCTTAACATGATGGGCTTTGCTTGAAAGCAGACTGGTAACCTATGAAAACATCACAAGTATTGATGATTTTCAGGACTAGGGATCACAACTGCAGTTTCATATGGTTGGATGGAGTAGTCTTTTTGTGGAGGAATTTATATGAGAATCTTAGCTTACTGTCTCTTTGGTAGTGGGTATTGGCAGGGTAGAAAAATAAGATTATGGATTTTCTAGTGTTAGCAATGTATTTGACAGCTGAGAAGAATGGTGGCAAGACTTATGGTAATTCAAGTTCAAATTTACTTTGCAGTCAGATGCTCTACCACTGAGCTATATACCCCTGCCAATTTACTTTGATGTTGATATCTTTGAATGAAAAAAAAAAAAAAAAAAAAGCCTATACTCTTGAGCATTTTCCCACAGAGCAAGCGATAATTGTATAATGAAAATTTTATTTGCCGGTTTATTTGCATTTGACCTGGTGGTTTTTTCCTTTGTGTGATGTCCTCTGTTGTGACCATAAATTCATAACTTAAAATACTTTGAACTTAGTATTCTTGCTTGAGGAAGAGCCCCCTCTTGGTTTAGGAGGAGGGGTAGGTAATTATTTAGTAAAATAAAATCAGTCATTTTATCTTAGTTACCATCCAGAAAATCATTACTTACGAGGTACATATTTAATGAAGCAAAGTCTGTCCTGCATCTTTTGGGATTGTGTCTATGTAGGTGAGCTTGTGGAAACTAATTTCAAGGAGAATCATAGACCTAATCAGAGCTCACTTAACATTGCAAGGACTTTAAGTGTAACAATGAGATTAATGGGCAGTACCAAGCTGATCTGCAAGCTGAACTTATTTTTCCCCCTCATCACTGTTATAATGAAATGAAAACAACTTTATTCAAAGACCTGCTACTATACTTCCTTTTGCTTAAAGGCAGTTTCTAAGAACCTACCAATGACATTACATGAAGACTTACTGTAATCTATATATTGTCAGTCAGACATATACTTGTATTAAGAGCAATTGGTAAGATTCTAGGTTTGAAAACCTGTAGAGAGGATTAAATGGTTTGTGTCCTTAGGCTGTCACATCTAAATTTATCTTCCCCTCCTTAACTTGTTGGTATAGGAGTTATTATAGGTTGTAGACTATAGAAGGTAGATTACTTAACCATAATTTTTTTTGTATTATACTTTAAGTTCTGGGGTACATGTGCAGAACGTACAGGTTTGCTACATAGGTATACACGTGCCATGGTGGTTTGCTGCACCCATCAACCACATTAGGTATTTCTCCTAATGCTATGCCTCCCCTAGGCCTGCACCCCTGGACAGGCCCTGCTGTGTGATGTTCCCCTCCCTGTGTCCATATGTTCTCGTTGTTCAACTCCCACTTATGAGTGAGAACATGCAGTGTTTGGTTTCCTGTTCTTGTGTTAGTTTGCTGAGAATGATGGTTTCCAGCTTCATCCATGTCTCTGCAAAGGACACGAACTCATCTTTTTTTATGGCTACGTAGTATTCCATGGTATATATGTGCTGCATTTTCTTCATCTATTCTATCATTGGTGGGCATTTGGGCTGGTTCCAAGTCTTTGCTGTTGTGAACAGCACTGCAGTAAACATATGTGTGCATGTGTCTATAGTAGAATGATTTATAATCCTTTGGGTATATACCCAGTAATGGGATTGCTGGGTCAAATGGTAATTCTAGTTCTAGATTCTTGAGGAATTGCCAGAGTCTTCCACAATGGTTGAACTAATTGACACTCCCACCAACAGTGTAAAAGCATTCGTGTTTCTCCACATCCTCTGTAGCATCTGTTGTTTCCTGACTTTTTAATGATTGCCATTTTAGCTGGTGTGAGATGGTATCTCATTGTGGTTTTGATTTGCAATTCTCTAGCGACAGTGATGATGAGCATTTTTTCATATGTTTGTTGGCTGCATAAATGTCTTCTTTTGAGAAGTGTCTGTTCATATTCTTCGCCTACTTTTTGATGGGGTGGTTTTTTTCTTGTAAATTTGTTTAAGTTCTTTGTAGATTCTGGATATTAGCCCTTTGTCAGATGGATAGATGGCAAAAATTTTCTCCCATTCCGTAGGTTGCCTGTTCACTCTGCTGATAGTTTCTTTTGCTGTGCAGAAGCTCTTTAGTTTAATTAGATCCCATTTGTCTATTTTGCCTTTTTTGCCATTGCTTTTGTTGTTGTAGTCATGAAGTCTTTGCCCATGCCCATGTCCTGAATGGTGTTGCCTAGGTTTTCTTCTAGGGTTTTTGTGGTTTTAGGTCTTACCTTTAAGTCTTTAATCCATCTTGAGTTAATTTTTGTGTGAGGTGTAAGGAAGGGATCCAGTTTCAGCTTTCTGCATATGGCTAAGCCAGTTTTCCCAACACCATTTATTAAATAGGGAGTCCTTTCCCCATTTCTTTTTGTCAGGTTTGTCAAAGATCAGATGGTTGTAGATGTATGGTGTTATTTCTGAGGCCTCTGTTCTGTTCTATTGGTCTGTATATCTGTTTTGGTACCAGTACCATGCTGTTTTTGTTACTGTAGCCTTGTAGTATAGTTTGAAGTCAGGTAGTGTGATGCCTCCAGCCTTGTTCTATTTCTTTAGGATTGCCTTGGCAATGCGGGCTCTTTTTTGGTTCCATATGAAATTCAAAGTAGTTTTTTCCAGTTCTGTGAAGAAAGTCAGTGGTAGCTTGATGGGAATAGCATTGAATCTGTAAATTACTTTGGGCAGTATGGCCATTTTCATGATATTGATTCTTCCTACCCATGAGCATGGAATGTTCTTCCATTTGTTTGTATCCTCTTTTATTTCGTTGAGCAGTGGTTTGTAGTTCTCCTTGAAGAGGTCCTTCACATCCTTTGTAAGTTGTATTCCTAGGTATTTTATTCTTTTTGTAGCAATTGTGAATGGGAGTTCACTCATGATTTGGCTCTCTGTTTGTGTGTGAATGGCATATAGGAGTGCTTGTGATTTTTGCACATTGATTTTATATGCTGAGACTGCTGAAGTTGCTTATCAGCTTAAGGAGATTTTGGGCTGAGATGATGGGGTTTTCTAAATATACAGTCATCTGCAAACAGGGACAGTTTGACTTCCTCTGTTCCTATTTGAATACCCTTTATTTCTTTCTCCTGTCTGATTGCCCTGGCCAGAACTTCCAACACTGTGTTGAATAGGAGTGGTGAGAGAGGGCATCCTTGTCTTGTGCTGGTTTTCAAAGGGAATGCTTCCAGTTTTTACCCATTCAGTATGATATTGGCTGTGGGTTTGTAAGTAGCTCTTATTATTTTGAGATACATTCCATCAATACCTAGTTTATTGAGAGTTTTTAGCATGACAGGCTGTTGAATTTTGTTGAAGGCCTTTTCTGCATCTATCGAGATAATAATCATGTGGTTTTTATCATTGGTTCTGTTTATGTGATGGATTACGTTTATTGATTCACGTATGTTGAACCAGCCTTGCATCCTGGGGACGAAGCTGACTTGATCGTGGTGGATAAGCTTTTTGATGTACTGCTGGATTCAGTTTGCCAGTATTTTATTGAGGATTTTTGCATCGATGTTCATCAGGGATATTAGCCTGAAATTCTCTTTTTTTGTTGTGTCTCTGCCGGGTTTTGTTATCAGGATGATCCTGGCCTCATGAAATGAGTTAGGGAGGATTCCCTCTTTTTCTGTTGTTTGGAATAGTTTCAGAAGGAATGGTACCAGATCCTCTTTGTACCTCTGGTAGAATTCGGCTATGAATCTGTCTGGTCCTGGACTTTTTTTGGTTGGTATGCTATTAATTACTGCCTCAGTTTCAGAACTTGATTGGTCTATTCAGGGATTCAACTTCTTCCTGGTTTAGTCGTGGGAGGCTGTATGTGTCCAGGAATTTATCCATTTCTTCTAGATTTTCTAGTTTATTTGGGTAGAGATGTTTATAGTATTGTCTGCTGGTAGTTTGTATTTCTGTGGGATTGATGGTGATACCCCCTTTATCATTTTTTATTGCATCTATTTGAATCTTCTCTCTTTTCTCCTTTTTAGTCTGCCTAGCGGTCTATCTATTTTGTTGATCTTTTCAAAAAACCAGCTCCTGGATTCATTGATGTTTTGAAGGGTTTTTCATGTCTCTATCTCCTTCAGTTCTGCTCTGATCTTAGTTATTTCTTGCCTTCTGCTAGCTTTTGAATTTGTTTGCTCTTGCTTCTCTGGTTCTTTTAATTGTGATGTTAGGATGTCGATTTTAGATCTTTCCTTTCTCTTGTGGGCATTTAGTGCTATAAATTTCCCTCTACACACTGCTTTAAATGTGTCCCAGAGATTCTGGTATGTTGTGTCTTTGTTCTCATTGGTTTCAAAGAATGTCTTTATTTCTGCCTTCATTTCTTTATGTACCCAGTAGTCATTCAGGAGCAGGTTGTTAAGTTTCCGTGTAGTTGTGTGGTTTTGAGTGAGTTTCTTAATCCTGAGTTCTAATATGATTGCACTGTGGTCTGAGAGACTGTTTGTTATTATTTCCATTCTTTTGCATTTGCTGAGGGGTGTTTTACTTCCAATTATGGGGTCAATTTTAGAATAAGTATGATGTGGTGCTGAGCAGAATGTGTATTCTGCTGATTTGGGGTGGAGAGTTCTGTAGGTGTCTATTAGGTCTGCTTGGTGCAGAGCTGAGTTCAGTTCCTGGATATCCTTGTTAATTTTCCATCTCATTGATCTAATATGGACAGTGGGGTGTTAAAGTCTCCCACTATTATTGTGTGGGAGTCTGAGTCTCTTTGTAGGTCTCTAAGAACTTGCTTTATGAATCTGGGTGCTCCTGTATTGGGTGCATATATATTTAGGATAGTTAGCTCTTCTTGTTGCATTGATCCCTTTACCATTATGTAATGGCCTTGTCTCTGATCTTTGTTGGTTTAAAATCTGTTTTATCAGAGACTGGGATTGCAACTCCTGCTTTTTTTTTGTTTTCCATTTGCTTGGTAGATCTTCCTCCATCCCTTTATTTTGAGCCTATGTGCGTCTTTGTGAGTAAGATGGGTCTCCTGAATACAGCACACTGGTGGGTCTTGACTCTTTATCCAATTGGCTAGTCTTTGTCTTTTAATTGGGGCATTTAGCCCATTTACATTTAATATTGTTATGTGTGAATTTGATCCTGTCATTATGATGTTAGCTGGTTATTTTGCCTGTTAGTTGATGCAGTTTCTTCATAGCGTCGATGGTCTTTACGATTTGGTATGTTTTTTCCAGTGACTGGTACCGATTGTTCCTTTCCATGTTTAGTGCTTTCTTCAGGAGCTCTTGTAAGGCAGGTCTGGTGGTGAGAAAATCTCTCAGCACTTGCTTGTCTGGAAAGGGTTTTATTTCTCCTTCACTTACGAAGCTTAGTTTGGCTGGATATGAAATTCTGAGTTGAAAATTCTTTTCTTTAAGAATGTTGAATATTGGCCCCCACTCTCTTTTGGCTTGTAGAGTTTCTGCGAGAGATCCGCTGTTAGTCTGATGGGCTTCCCTTTGTGGGTAACTTGACCTTTCTCTCTGGCTGCCCTTAACACTTTTTCCTTCATTTCAACATTGGTGAATCTGACAGTTATGTGTCTTGGGTTTGCTCTTCTCAAGGAGTATCTTTGTGGTGTTCTCTGTATTTCCTGAATTTGAATGTTGGCCTGCCTTGCTAGGTTGGGGAAGTTCTCCTGGATAATATCCTGAAGAGTGTTTTTCAAGTTGGTTCCATTCTTCCATCACACAGGTACACCAATCAAATGTAGATTTGGTCTTTTCACGTAGTCCCATATGCATTGGAGGCTTTTTTCGTTTCTTTTCACTCTTTTTCCTCTAATCTTGTCCTCTCACTTTATTTTATTGAATTGATCTTCAATCTCTGATATCCTTTCTTCTGCTTGATTGATTCGGCTATTGATACTTGTGTATGCTTCACGAAGTTCTCGTGCTGTGTTTTTCAGCTCCATCAGTTCATTTATGTTCTTTTCTAAACTGGTTATTCTAGTTAGCAATTCCTCTAACCTTTCCTGAAGGTTCTTAGCTTCCTTGTATTGGGTTAGAACATGGTCCTTTAGCTCAGAGGAGTTTGTTATTACCCACCTTCTGAAGCCTACTTCTGTCAATTCATCAAACTCATTCACCATCCAGTTTTGTTCCTTTGCTGGCGAGGAGATTTGATCCTCTGGAGGAGAAGAGGCATTCTGGTTTTTGGAATGTTCAGCCTTTTTGTACTGGTTTCTCCCCATCTTCGTGGATTTATCTACCTTTGGTCTTTGATGTTGGTGACCTTTGGGTGGAGTCTCTGAGTGGACGTCCTTTTTGTTGATGTTGACACTACTCCTTTCTGTTTGTTAGTTTTCCTTCAAACAGTCAGGCCCCTCTGCTGCAGGTGTGCTGGAGTTTGGTGGAGGTCCACTCCAGACTCTTGTTTGCCTGGGTATCGCCAGCAGAGGCTGCAGAACAGCAAAGATTGCTGCTTGTTCCTTCCTCTGGAAGCTTCATCCCAGAGGGGCACTGGCCAGATGCCAGCCAGAGTTCTCTTGTATGATGTGTCTGTTGACCCCTGCTGGGAGGTGTCTCCCCGTCAGGATGCACGGGGGCCAGGGACCCACTTGAGGAGGCATTCTGTTGCTTATCAGAGCTCGAATGCTGTGCTGGGAGATCCGCTGCTCTCTTCAGAGCCGTCAGGCAGGGACATTTAAGTCTGCTGAAGCTGCGCCCACAGCCGCCCCTTCCCCCAGGTGCTCTGTCCCAGGGAGCTGGGGGTTTTATCTATAAGTCCCTGACTGGGGCTGCTGCCTTTTTTTCAGAGATGCCCTGCCCAGAGAGGAGGAATCTAGAGAGCAATAGTAATTTTTTTGTAGGTTTATTATCTCCGTGGATTGTTTTTGACCTTAACACTCTCTTTTGTCTTGAATCTGTAGTCATTATATTCCTGGACAGAACGAGGTCTGGCTGCTTTTTCTCTCAGTCCAATAAGGAGATGCAGACTGACTGGGAAAGAAGGGAGTTAATTTCTGCAGCTGGTTATGGAGTAACTCACCAGACCAACTAAAAGTTACAAGTTTTTTTCAACGCTTGTATTCATTCTAAATTCTATGTCTGTGTGTAGGAGGTGCACCTACAAGCCAGAATGTTTCATTCAAACTGTATCTAATCTTCAGGTAGGGTCCAGGGTCTGGAAAGCTTTCTCTAGAGACTTGGAAAAATTTCCTTATCTTAAGTGGGCCCTGGTACAAGGTGTGTGTAAGAATGCCTTCATAACTTTATCAGGCTTTAGGGTCTTAGAAAACCCGGGTGAAAATCTTAATGGGTTTGTTTTCACATTTCAGCCCTTGTACGAAGGCAGTAGTTTCTCCAGTTATTTACTGTTTAACTTACACATTCATCAGAATTATAGTAATGTGTTAGTAGAAACTGTTCTGGTTGCTCATGGAGACCTGGCCTGCCACAATTACAGTTTTTCTCCCCAATGGACATTTTCTATCTTATTTAACATCAGATATTTAATTTTAATCTCATATTTTTAGTATATTAGAAGCTTTAACCTGAAAGCCTCCATTTTGGGCCTTGTCATAAAATAAGTTAAATGACTCTAATTCTGAATACTTCTCTTTGTTTCTTCTTCAGGACACAGCCAGTGTGAAGTCCTCTAGTAGTCTTGAACCCAATCTTTTTTGTGATGAAGAGATTCCCATCAAATCCGAGGAGGTGGTGACCCACATGTGGACAGCACCTTCATTTTGTGCAGAGCATGCTTATTCTTCTGCTTCTAAGAGTTGTTCTCAAGGTATTACTCCTTTAAAAAACTGTGGGGAACATAAGCAGAAAACCAATGAGAAAAAGCATTATGTTAATCAAGACTGTGACTCCATTTCGAGTGGAGTACAATGGTTGGCCATGAAATACTAATGGAACCTGAAAATGCTGTTTTCTTTTGGAAAAGCCAATCCCTGTTTGCATTTTCTGTCATCACAACCTGAAAACTTACATAGAGTTTTAGAGTCCTAATTAGAAGAACTTGAGGGGCCATCTAGTCCCATGCCTCAGTTCTAGAAAATTCCGGATAGGTAGTCCTTCACCCTCTATGTGGTCATTATCAGGTGTTGTGGAACTGCTGCTTTTTAAGCATATTTATTCTGGTTTTGGGTAACTTTAATTGTTAGAAAGTTCTTCCTTTCCTTGGAGGGTGATTTTCTCTGTGATGTTAATTTTTCTGTCCCTCAGCAAAAACAAGTCACATTACTTTAGGTCACAACTCTGGAAGATGGAGGGTGTTTATCTCTTTATAATAAAATTCAGGATTTTATGGAACTGTGTATTATTGTCTGTTCATTAGAAAGACAACCAGTTATTTATATAAGGCAGCCAAATGCTTTATTAAATGCTTAATCTTTTGGTATACTCTAAAATGGAGAGATTCTGGTTGCTCGCTCCCCTTGCCACACGATAAAGACTCAGTAGAGATTAATGTTCAGGATAAAGAACCACTTTTTTTTTTTTTTTTTGAGATGGAGTTTCTGTCTTGTTGCCCAGGCTGGAGTGCAATGGCGTGATCTTGGCTCACTGCAACCTCCCCCTGCCTAGTTCAAGAGATTGTCCTACCCTCAGCCTCCCGAGTAGCTGGGATTTATAGGCATGCGCCACCACGCTTGGCTAATTTTTTGTATTTTTAGTAGAGATGGGGTTTCACTATGTTGGTCAGGCTGGTTTCGAACTCCTGACCTCAGGTGATCCACCCGCCTCAGCCTCCCAAAGTGTTGGGATTACAAGGGTGAGCCGCCACACCCGGCTGGAAGAACTGTTTTTTATTAATAACCCCAAACCATTTTTTTTAGAGTGGGCCTTGGAATTGTTCATCTTTTTGGTCTGTATTTGTTTCTAATTCTGTTTACATTTTCATACTGATATAATGAATCCAGATATCTGAAGTTAGTATTGGGGGATGGGGGGCTAGTCTCAATATTTGCTTTGAAAACATGTTTTTTCCATAGTTTTAATTTTTTTTGCTTTGTTTTATGGTATTTTTTGGGAAAGGTTCTAGCACCCCAAGGAAACAACCTCGGAAGAGCCCTTTGGTGCCCCGAAGTTTGGAACCTCCAGTGCTGGAGTTGTCACCTGGAGCTAAGGCACAACTGGAAGAACTTATGATGGTTGGAGATCTCCTGGAAGTATCTCTGGACGAGACTCAACACATATGGCGGATTTTGCAGGCCACACACCCACCCTCTGAAGACAGATTCTTGCATATCATGGAGGTGTGGATTTAATACTTATTTAAACAGTGGTTAAAAACTAGAATGCCTAGGTTCCTTAGAGGTATCATAAATGTTGGCAAAGGGGTGGCTGAGGGCAGTAATCTGGCTGGTCTACTTTCCCACTTCAGCCAAAGAAATTGGGCTTTATGGCTTGCTGGCTTGCCTGCCTCCCTGCCTCCCTCCCTCCTTCCTCCCTCTTTCTTTCTTTCTCTCTTTCTCTTTCTTTCTCTCTCTTTCTCTTTTTCTTTTTCTTTCTTTTCTCCTTTCCTTTCTTTTTCTTTTTTCTTCTTTCCTTTCCTTTTTCCTTCCCCTTTCTCCTTTCCCCTTTCCTTTCCTTTCTTCTTGTAGGACACCAGAGATTTGATTTATGGCTTTCTTTTAAGCTTTTAGGTAGTATCTAAGTTGAAAAAAAAAGGCCATTTCTGCTAAAAAGAAGCGGGGAAGGGCAAGATTGATAACCATCCCGTTTAGAACAACCTCTGTAGCCCAGACTCCCATTATTGGAGGGCTCAGAGATAGGGGAAAATATATAGTGACTATGAAAAGAAGCACAGGGATGGTTAAGTAGTAGAAGCCTGGGGGGGAGAGAAGGTCCACATTCATATATCACACTTACATAGCAGTTCCATGAGCTCATTTGATGAGATGATGGTACCATATCCATGAGCTCATTTGGTCCTCACCACTGTCTTGAAGAGGAATGGGTAGGGGAGCTAGAGGGCAAGTATTTTACCCATTCTGCATATGAAGAAAGTAAGTATGAGAGGTGGAAAATTAAGGTCACACATCCAGTAAAAAATAAAGAGATCTGGATTCTAAGTCTGCCATTTGACTCTTTTCTTTTCATTCATTTTCATGAGTATTCTTTTCATTAGTTTCCTTCTTTCCATGTAATGGAATGGTGCCATGTCACCAACAGTTGATACAGATATATTTAGCATATGCTATAGTTTGTTTTTGTTTTGAAAGTCAGATCTAGGTAGCCTAATTTAGATAGTGTTTTCCAGTCTGCAAAGCATTTTCTTCACATTCATTATCTTACCCAATCCTTTTTCTTTTACTGATAAGGAAGCACAAAGTATTAAGAGGTTAAATATCTTGTTCAAGATGTAATAGACTTAAGGCACTTATAATCCAGTGTTCTTTTGGATTCTGCTGATTCTTAGGTTCCTGTCAAAGATTTTCAAGTGTCAGATCTGTAGAAAAATGAGTTCTCAAGGGAATTATTAGGTTTATGTTATGTTTCTTCAGTATTTCTTTCTCTTATTCCTCCTCCTGTTCTTTCTGTTACTAGATACACTTTTACCATTAAAATTTAAAATGTTTATTACATTGGCACATACTAGCAACAATATTAAAAAGCTGAAAACAAAAATGACAATTTTTTTTGCTTTGTCACATGAACTGTTTTCTAGCCCTTGGCAAAGTCACTATATATTCTGTGTAATGAGATCATGGATACAATTTTATGTTTTTCTGACTTTTTAAAAATAACTACCAATACTTTTATTATTATGAAGATCCCAAAAGTTATTAACATAATTTAGTACAGTTTGCTTTTTGTGTATGTTTTCATCTCTAACAGAGATGCTACAGACTGTTAATATATTATGCTAACACTGATTTTTTTTTTATATGCCCTTTTTCTCCTAGTAAGCTAGTATAAGTTAAATATTTCATTTCGGACTTGTGATCTTCTACTGTTATCTTCATTGAATAGTATACTTACCTTCTTAAAATGTCTTTTGAATATCTTTAGAATAACATAAATCCCCCCCCCCCCCTTTTTTTTTTGAGATGGAGTCTTGCTCTGTTGCTCAGGCTGGAGTGCAGTGGATTGATTGCGGCTCACTGCAACCTCCGCCTCCCGGGATCAAGCCATTCTCCTGCCTCAGCCTCCCAAGTAGCTGGGACTACAGGCATGCACCACCACGCCCAGCTAATTTTTGTATTTTTAGTAGAGTCGGGGTTTCGTCATGTTGGTCAGGCTGGTCTTGAACTCCTGACCTCAAGTGATCCACCCGCCTCGGCCTCCCAGAGTGCTGGGATTACAGGCCTGAACCACTGTGCCTGGCCCATAAATCTTTTTTATTGTAGCATAATGTACATAACATAAAGTTTACCATTTTAACCCTTTTTAGGTAGACAATTCAGTTACATTAAGTAGATTGACAGTGTTACGCAACTGTCACCACTATTCATTTCCTGAATTTTTTAGTTATCCCCAACAGAAACTATACCCACTAAACAAATCTCCATTTCTTCTTCCCTTCAGCCTCTGGTAACCTCTGTTCGACTTTCTGTCTCTCCGAATGTGTCTATTCTAGGTACCTCATATAAGAGAGTAATACTGTTTTTTAACTGTCTTGCTTTAAAATTGTTCCTAAATTTATATTTTTGAAGGATGACAGCATGGAAGAGAAACCACTAAAAGTGAAAGGAAAGGACTCTTCAGAGAAGAAACGGAAACGGAAGCTAGAAAAGGTAGAGCAACTTTTTGGAGAAGGAAAACAGAAGTCCAAGGAGTTAAAGAAAATGGACAAACCTAGAAAGAAGAAATTAAAATTAGGTGCAGACAAATCAAAGGAGCTGAATAAACTGGCCAAGAAACTAGCAAAAGAAGAAGAGAGAAAGAAAAAGAAGGAGAAGGCTGCTGCAGCCAAAGTTGAACTTGTGAAAGAGAGCACTGAAAAGAAAAGAGAGAAAAAGGTGCTGGACATCCCCTCAAAGTATGACTGGTCAGGAGCAGAGGAGTCTGATGATGAGAATGCTGTGTGCGCAGCACAGAACTGCCAAAGGCCCTGCAAGGACAAGGTGAGTTCCAACTGTTTATAGTCAAGCATGAGAGGTCAAGGAGCAACAGTTGTGGAGACACATGTTTGATATCAATGTGTAGTATGTTTTTGGTTCTAGGATTTGGACTTCCAACATAATGTCTTTTGTACAATTTCTATAAACTGTTTTGAATAATGAGGCTCTTAGTGTGCCTAGTAGAAGTGTTGTATTTCAAAAATCATATACTTAATGAACATAATGAGACAGGAGCAGAGAGAAGCTATGTGACATTCCCTGGCAAACAGTGCATTTCATATGCAGTGGGCATAACAAGTTTCAGAATAATCTTGTGCCTTCCCTATAAGGTGACTCAGAGAACTAAATACCTTGTCGGATAGTCACAATGGCCTGAAAAAAATCCTGGGCCAGTATTGTAAGAGCTGTGGCAAATTGCATTAAGATGGTATTCCAAAGACTTGAAACTTTTAGTCCATATCTTACACTCAGAGCTGTGGGCACCCTCCTAAATGGAATATGATTTTCTTCAAATCTTTTGCAACAAATAATTCAAACCTATAAATGCATTATTTTAGGCCAGGCAAGGTGTGGCTCACGCCTGTAATCCCAGCACTTTGGGAGGCCGAGGTGGGCGGATCACCTGAGGTGAGGAGTTCGAGACCAGCCTAGCCAACATGGTAAAACCCCATCTCTACTAAAAATACAAAAAATGAGCAGGGTGTGGTGGCGGACACCTGTAATCTCAGCTACTTGGGAGGTTGTGGCAGGGGAATCGCTTGAACCCAGGAGGCAGAGGTTGGAGTAAGCCAGGATGGCTCCATTGTGCTCCAGCCTGGGCCACAAGAGCAAAACTCTGTCTCAAAAAAAAAAAAAAAAAAGCATTGTTTTAAAATTTCCAACCCTAAATTTTAAGTATAGTAATTCTCTTATGGCCGTTCTTTAAATATAATGTTGACAGTATGAACTTCTGAGAGTAATAGTCAGACTTTATGAAAAATTCCAGTTGTTTAAATGATTGGAGGCACCTGTTACGGCTCTTATCAAGAATATTGATAAATCTGTAGTTTTAATTTTATTATGCTCATTATACTATTTGATATTTAGAATTCTAATAGTGCCTCAGTTTGAAAATATAAACAGTAAATAAAACTGCATCACTGTTCCCTATAGGTTATGCCCTCACTTTTTCAATGAAATACTTAAACCTTTTTAGAGCTTGAAGGCACCAACAGGTTACTTTGTTCAGGCTGCTCATTTTACAGATGATGCAACCAGGACTCAGGGAAGGTAATTATGTGACCAAAGTTACAGAGCTAGTTAGTAGCAAAACCAAAAGTAGAACCCTAGATCTTGGCTGTCAGACCAGGTTCTCTCCACTAACACCTTACCCCATCAATAATTGAGATGTAAGTACAAAAACACATTCCAAAACTAAATGACACATATTTAAATGAGATGTATTAGGGGTATTCTATTCATTTTTTGGAATGTGCATAGTAAAATATATATCCTATAGTCTAATCTTCCAAGGCAGACAGCTATAAATATTTTAGTGTTTCCTTCCAATTTTTTTCTATGGCGTTTGTTTTATATCATTGTCAGACTGTTTACTGACTTGCATCTGTTCATTTTATAAGCATCTTCCTATATTATAAACATTTTAAAGCATTTTAATATATATGTGCATATTATTTTTATCTTTAATTTTGAATTTATTTCCATCTGAGTTTGTTTGTTAAAGAGGCTGATGAAGAGTTAACTTTCTCTTTGGGTATCAAAGTGTAGCAGTTCATTATTGGCAGAACCTTCTCCCTTTTCTTCCTTAATTTTATGGTAGTTTAAAGACTAGCAGCAAGGTAGGATGTTTCCTTTTTAAACTTTCCTGACATTCTTTCTATAATGTTTACATCTATCATGAGCCTTTCGTCTTATTTTTATACTCTTTCTCCTTATCACTTAATCTTTCCCCTCCCTTCTGCTCAGCATTTAAATAGGATTCAGTTCATCCATTATTCCTGTTGTCTTCTTATAGCAATATAAACACTTAGGCCGTTTTTTTTTTCATTTGCTATGAAATTGTCAAATTAACAGGTGCCCTGCCTATTCAAAGGGTTATGATGATAAGACAAAACAATCTCTATGAAAGCACTTGTTAACCAAAAAATGCAACGTAAGTGCTAAGATGTGATCATTATTTTTGAAGGAACTGTGAGATTTGCTCCTAATATTATAGGTATTTTTTAAACAAAATCTTTAAACAAAATCTAGAGTTATCATCTACATTTTGATGGAGCAAAAGGAGATTTGGCTGAGTGCTCAGAGAAAATGTCTATTTTGAACTGTTACGATACGTAAAGGTGAGCAACGTGTGCCCCACCCTATGTTGTTAGTTTATATAAAATAGTGTTTTATTTCTATAACGTGTTTCGTTTTAAGCAGAAGTTATTTCAGATTATAGATATTTTGCCTGTTACTGCTGTTTTGCAGTTTTTATGGTTCTACATGTTTGTTCCTGACATTGATTTTGCTAAATAAAAGTTACAGTTCTATAAAAATTTCTGTAAAGAATGTTAAAACTTTCTCAGTGTTTAGTGTTTCTCTGAGAAAACAATTAATATACAGCACACATCTTTAGAGCAAAATAAGAAAAGAATGCCTTTGCCAGCTGCAGTGGCCCATCCTGGTAGTCCCAGCTACTCAGAAGGTTGAGACAGGAGGATTGCCTGAGTCCAGGAGTTCAAGGCTATAGTTAATGTGCTATGATCGCACCTGTGAGTGCCCCACTGCACTTCAGTCTGGGCTACACAGGAGACCCTGTCTCAAAAAGAAAAAGATTGGCAAGATGATGTAAAAAAAAAAAAAAAAAAAAAAAGAAAGAAAGAAAAAATCATGCTTTTTAGCCCAGTTTGTTCTTTAAGATACCATGCAGCAAAAAATAACTTCCAGGGTTCACTTGTTTTTAGGTGAATTCTCTGACCAGTAATTACTATTATTTCTCTAACTAATAATTACTGGGACTTTTCCCCCAAAATATGCAGATTAAATTTTTTTTTTTTTTTTTTTTTGAGACAGGGTCCTACTCTGTTGCCCAGGCTGGAGTGCAGTGGTGTGGTCATAGCTCACTGCAGCCTTGATCTCCTGGGCTCCAGCAGTCCTCCTGCCACAGCTTCCTGAATAGCTGGGACTACAGGCACACACCACTATGCCCACCTCTTTTTTTGAGAAATGCTCTTTTAAAAATTAAAAGAAAGATTAAATGAGGCTAGTTAAATGTGCCTAGCCTCAGTTTCAAGATGTTTTAGAAAAAGGAAGACAATACCAGAATAATGTAAAAGATTTTGAAAAAATAATTTTTCCTTTGATTATTAAATTAATGTCAAGCTAAAATTAATATTAACAAAACTTTTTAAAAAATTAATTTTGAAGTTCAGAATCTTTTTGTCTCTGAACTCTTTATTCAGTCTTATTGGTACCAAAGATAAAACAAGTTAACTAGAAAAAATATCAAATTCTCTCAGGCTACTAATTTAAGTAGTATTTTTCTTCTGTATTAGAATAAATATTTAATAATTTTACTTATGAAAATAGTCTTTTTCTCTTCACTTTTTTTAACCCTCTTATTGTTGGCCTTTTCCTTTACCCATTCCTACTTCCATGAGAAGTTTTGTGTGGTAAATTAAGAGACTATGAACTCTCATTTTTACTATTTATTAGCCACTCTGATTTAAGATTTTCATGGGGGTGTTGCCTCAATCAAAGTATTTGCATTTCCAGCGGCTTTACTAGTTCATATCTCCTTTTAGCACAGATAAGCAAAGGTTAAGTTACCTAAATGTGTGTAATACACACACACACGCGTGCACGCGCATGATGTTGAGCTAGAGTGACTAACTGTCCCAGTTTCCCTGGGACTTTCCCAGTTTTGGCACTGAAATTCCCACATGCTGAGAAATCTGTCATTCCTTGGCAAATTGGGAGGATTGGTCACTGAATATTGAGAGCACCAAGAAAATATACACAAGGATTCTGAACATATGTTGTAGTTCACTTAGTGAATTGTTTTCCTTTTTCAAATCCAGCTTTTGCTAGGAAACTTGGGGTGCAAAAGATATTAAATGCCAAAATAACAAAAGCTCAGTTTAATTAGTAAGCTAAGAATATCACTAAATTACCAGATTTTCTTTTTTCCCAGTGCAGTACTATTCTCTAAGAAATGAACAAAATATACTATGCCAAATATTTTTTATTAAGTGTGAATATGAAACCATACAGCAAAACATGAATATTAAACTAATATTTCCTCTTTTTAATATATTTCTTTTTGAAACAGACATTTCCCCCAGATCTAAACATAGTAACCTATTTGTACTGTAATGTAAAATCTCCTATCATTTAATATTTGAACAGTTCATAGCTGTGAAGTTTAGTAATTATTTTTGTGATTCACTAAATACATCTCCTAGAAATAATGAAAGGGGGGGAAATGACAATTTATACAGTTATCCAAATTCTGTGTTCTTGAGTTTTCAGGATACTACATAGTCTGTTGCCCCTGTGTCAAAATCATCTGTGGATTCAGTTGACATCCCAAACTTTAGTTTGCTTTATGTTGCTGTGGGCCTTTCACACAAAAGTAGAACTCAGAGTTGATTGTTAGTAGATGAACATGATAAAAAAGATATTGGTAAAGAGAAGGACTATTTTTTGCTTGTTCTATTATCAGGCTAAATTGTTATATAACCTGTAGTCTAGGTTAGAATTTGTGTACCAGTATCTCAAGGAAGGTTATATACTCTTTTGAAATGGTAGAAGATCTGGGCTTAGGAAGGGACCTTTAGTCAAAATCACAAAAGGGAAAGTATTGTCTTATTTGTAAGAGAATTTTGGGAAATTGTAAGCCAGTGAGTATAGTGCAAACACTAGATTTAAAAAGACATGGGACACTTTTCTTTGTAGCAAATACTGATACATTAATAACATTCTTATCCAATGGATTAGCATGAATGGGGACTAGACTGGATTAAGAAAGAGGGTTGGAGGTGTAAGGGTGAAGGTAACTGTTGGTTCACAGGTACCATTATAAAAAGCATGGTATCTCAAACCTGGGCAGCACAGAGAACCACAGTTTATCTATCCAGTTCCCTTTACCAGTCCCAAACAGCCAAAACACTCACTCTGAGTGCACGTACTCTACAGCTAGCATTTTGTGTTTTTACTGCTTGCAGTACTTTAATTTTTACATTTTGCACAGATGCCATTATTTCCCCCTTTTTTTTTTTTTTGGTCTCTGATTAGTTTGCTACAATAGGAACATTTTGGTGAGTTTTTTTATTGCACAGACTTCAGAAGCTAAACAATCAATTACAGAACAAAAATCAGTTTAGGAAGGTATTGTTAAGTTGCTCTGAATTTACAGGAAGTGATATCACAGAGGGCCAGCAATGATCGGATTTAGAATATATGAGAATCACTTGGGAGCTGATTAAAAATGTAAGCTTCTGGCTTGTACTCCCCAGATATTCTGAGTTCATAGGGTGATGGGTCCCAGCTACATTTTAAACAAACACAATAGATGATTCTGATGCCAGTGGTCTACACACTTTGAAAAGCAGTGCTGCCGACAGTTGTATCAAGGTGCAGAACGTTTTGTGTAGTGTAGGGTAATGAGTAGAGCCATGAGACCATGACTGGAAAGTGCCTCCAGTATCCTGGGCAGTGAATTAGGTGTTTTGCCATACATTATTTCATTGGATCCTCTCGGTAATCTTGTAATTAATGTCATCTCCATTTTCAGATGAGGAAATTGAGTCACTCAGGTTAAATGACTTGCCTGAAATGATACACACTGGAACTCAGAGCTTCTGAGTTGAGTAATCTTGATGTTAACACAATATTGTCTCTTAAGATCTAGAACTTTAGCATAGGAACAAAACAAGTAGAATATCATTTTGACAAATTATTTTTCCCACCCCTTATTACAAGCCTAAAACTACTGACGTGACTACTGTGGTTTTGACAGTTTTTTATAGGACATGGAAACTAATTTTGAAAACTACTCAGTTGCTATGAATGAAACTCATTTACCTAGCCAAAACCTCCTTCATCTGTTCTTTCTCTTAAGTTGTATAGAGGTACTTCTTGGATCCCTTTCTATTCCTTACTTTGATATCTGGTAAAGCTCATGGTTTTAAGTGGCTTCTTAACGTTACCAATGAAATGACCAACCTTGGTATTGAGGTGAGGAAGAGTAGCTCTTTTCATCTTAAATGTTCTTGTCTGCCATGACATTAGCTGTAAAAACTACCACAATCAGCCTTCAAATATAAAAGCCAAAAGTCACTTTATTGTTAACTCTTAAGTCCAAGGCTTAAAGTCACCAAACTACAATCCCTTCCTAGCCTCCTGTAATCACAGTATTGTCAGAAGGGTCAAAGTTTGACACCTGCCACTGACCTATCAGTTTTTCAGATTTTAATTTTAAACCCCAGAGTGATCTATTGACCTGTGTCTTTGACTGTTATAATTGGTTAATTTGTAAGATTTGACATCTGATATTTGCTAACTTTTTATAGGGAGTTGTATTTGTAACGGAAGAAGAGAAGAATAAAAAATATTAGTTTTAAAAGTGGCCTATGTGACTGCTTTTCTAAAAAGGTATTTAATGCTCTTAGTACTTTGGCTTATCTCTTTGAAATAAAGCTAATACACAGGATTGCCTTCACATTGTTGTACTCTTCCTTTCTTGATTGATAATTGCATTGTCTTAGAGCCTAGAAATTGTTAATATTAGCTAAAACTACTTGGCTGCTCTATTAGAAGTTCCCTTTTTGTCAAATTTTTCTCAAACATGTTTCTGCCTCACAAGGAGCCCCAGGTATTCATGAGGTAATGGAGTACCTAAGAGGCCTAATTTTGTGGACACACTATGGTGAAATATAATTTTGGGGTATTAACTTCTCAGCTTCTTTCTTTAAAAAATAACCCCATAAGAAGTCATTGCCTATCTAGACATCCCAGTTGTTTGCTATTGTTTAAGCCAAGAAAGCTCTTTGGTTTGCTTTTATTCTAGGCTTAATGTTTATGTAACCTAAACATTCCCCAATCTTGTTTCCTACAGGTAGACTGGGTACAATGTGATGGTGGCTGTGATGAGTGGTTTCATCAAGTTTGTGTGGGTGTATCTCCAGAAATGGCTGAAAATGAAGATTACATCTGTATAAACTGTGCAAAGAAGCAGGGGCCAGTTAGCCCAGGTCCAGCACCACCTCCTTCCTTCATAATGAGCTACAAACTACCAATGGAGGATCTTAAAGAGACCAGTTAGCAGATGCTTGGTTAGTTTGGGACATGGGGGGACATGGACCACATTGAGACCTTAGTCATCAAGTAGAGTGGTTTATATCCACTTGGAATGTTGCTTCCAAAGATGAATGGCCTTCAGAGAAAGTCCCCTTAGTGCTGGCTTCCTCTTTGCATGGACTCTGTGGGTTACATTCTCTATCAACATATCTATGCAGAGGGTGTCTTCTTTGGTACAACAGCCAATATTTCATGTCTCCTTTGAGTGTGGTTTACTGCATTAAGGCCAGATGCTTAATTGAGCTCTAGGGTGGCTGGTTAGTATTAATACATTGGTGTGCTAACAGGGCATATAGGATGTGGCTTTTGTCCAGCTGATAGTAGTTAGAGGCTTACAACTTAGGAGCAGCACCAACTGAAGGTGCTAATTGCTTGGATCTCCTTCATTGGGATAGTTGGAGAGGGATTGGAGTACCACTTTCCTTCCACTGTTACCTGGTACTTAATGCCCTAAAGATACAACTAGGAGTAACAGGGCCAAAGTTATTTCTGTTAGACGTCAAGGAATGGTATCACAGTCTATTGACCTCAGCGATTTGTGCTTGTTTGTGCTAGAAGAACATCCCAAATAGGAGAACCTCTCACAAGCTGGGGCAGGTCACCTTATCTTTGTAAGATGAGGATATCATCTAGATCAGAAATCTGACTAGATTGGATTCTGAGGAGAAGAACCTACTACAAGGCAAGGAGCCGTTTTTTGGCTTTGAAAAGTCTTGCTGTCTTGGGTCTACATTTTAGGGAAGAGCAGGTACATGGATCCAGGCTTCTGCCAAAAAAAAAAAGAGAAGAAGATGACGATGATGACCAGTCGTACTATCTTACTGAGCCACAGTGATGCATGCTTTTCGGGGAAAACTTCATTCACAAGTATTCCAGACACCAGGCTTCAGGCATGGCCATGAGCAAGACCAGCAAATAACAGCTTTTTGCCTTGCAGCCCTGACCCCAATGTCTGCTGTTTCCAACACTGGTGATTTCTAACTACGGCCCACAGCAGATGCTGTTGAATAACACCATGGCTTCATCAGAGGATGTGGGGTTGTAGTACCTCTGGGTGATGAAGTTGTTTTAGTAAATCCATTTTTAAAAAAAAAAAAGGACTTGTTTTTACTTTTTTCTAAATGTCTCTGACTACTGACTGTTCTATACATAGATTATTTTTCCTTTTTTAATATACATATATGAATATATAAATATATATATTTACTGTTACCAGCAGCATATGACAGAGTTTCAACATCAAAAATCCATTTGGGGGCTTGCTTTTTCTTTTTTGCTTTAAAAAAAAAAATCCCATTCCTTCTTTGTAGTACAAGGAGTTAGCACTCCCTCCTCCATCCCAGCCTGACCAGATCTTCCATTTTGCTTTTGTTCATATAGATAATTATATGTCCTTTGTGTGTTGGGACTTGTCCCTGTCTGTTGGGAAACTTGGTCTCACTCTAGTCTGTGCTGGCTCTTTTTTCTTTTGTGTGTGAATGTTTGAAACTATGGTGCTGTGTCCTCTTCCCTCCTGTTGTGTTCTCTGTTCTTCTTAAGGTATTAGGTAAGCTGTATGTAAACTCTTATTAGAAGGGGACTAATTTTTTTTTAAAGGACAAAAAAAAAAATGACTAAAAATAGTGTTTTGTCATCACTGTCTGGTGTCTTTATTTTGGTTTAAAAAAATCTGTGGTTTGACTTAAATTCATCAGTTTTCCTTTTAAAGGGGGGATTGGGGTGGACCTAGCAACAGCTTATAGTTTCCTCTTCCCTTTTTGCCCCAGTCTCTTTTAAAGAACTGTCTTCTAGTAACTAGAAGTGAAATGTACTGTCCAGTTACAGTTTGAGTGGGTATGAGATTTAACTCAAAAGGAATCTTACAAAAAAAAAGATGTTTTCTTATAAAATCCAATTTCTGTAAATGTTTTCTCTGAAGTTCATACTACCTACTTTTTATTCATTCTTAATACTGTATAACATTTTGAGTGTTTTGACTTGTTCAGAGGTTTGTTAGTGTTGCTGTGCATATGTCTTGAGGTCTCATCTGAAGTAAGTTTGTGTATGATCGAAGATTTCAATGGATATTGCAAGGTAACTAATTAACTGATTTCATAAGTTTTCGTTTTGCCAAGCTAACGATTATCAATTAAGAATTTCCTCTGGTTGATGTTATACAAGAAAGCACAATATTTTTTGCCTGTTGATCTTCTTTGTAACAGTCTTCAGATATTTGTGGGTTAAAAATTGAATGTAATTTTAAGTGACAGATGCCTGGAATACATTTAAAATTTTTATTTTTCCTTCCTAATCATCCATTAACTATTCCACTATCAGTGGAGAGTCATGAGGATGCTGAGAAAGTATGAATAGCTTCCTGTCACCTTCTGACGTTTTGAAACTTAAATATGTCTTTTCGTTGATACTGTGGGATTTTCTGTATTTACTTGACAGTCATGGAGGATTTGGTATGACTTGACCACAGGTTTAGACCAAGGCTGAGAAGAACAGAAGGGAGAAATTAATGGCAAAACAAAAAATACACAAATCTGCGGTTTTGGAATTAATGAAACAAGATTCATCTATTTAAAGAAATGTTGGTGTTCTAATACAAAGCATTATTTTCACTTAGAGAAAATTACTTACTTGCTCCCTTCTGTATTGTAATATTTTGTATTAAGACATGATTTAAAATGTCTTTCTACCCTTATCTCCTCTAAACTGCAACTGAAGTTGCAATTCTTCATCATTAGTATTTTAACTCTGGCAAAGGTTATAGAAAGAAAAATGGAAATATGGTAGGCCTGTGGTATTCTTAAAAGCTAAGTCATTAGAACTATGCAGATCCCCAAGTTTAAAAGTACAAATACAGCACCAGTAGTTAGCTTTCTAGCTGGGGGAGAAGACAGGAGATTTTTCTTCCACAGATGTTTATTTTGCTTCCTGATAGGTACTGCAGCAAAGCCATGTTGATGTGTAGATGCATGACTTCCTCACTAAGCTGCTGCACACCAGCTTTGCCTGCATGATTCAAATTTGTGCCTCAGTAAAATTATAAATTATTGCATGTCATACCTTGAATAATGGAAACGGCAAACATTAAACCTGTGATTACCCATAATGTACTTTAATAATAAAAAACATGGCAGCCAGGTGCAGTAGAGTGCACCTGTGGTCAGGAGGCTGAAGTGGGAAGATTGCTTCAACCTGTGAGTTTGAGTCCCGCCTGGTCAACAGCGAGACCCCATGTGTCTGTCTGTCTCTCTCTTTTTTTAAAGGACAGAGGCTAAGCTGTAAGGTTAGCATGGTTCTGCCTGGGCTTTGCTTCTGTGCTTCTGTGCAGGCTGAGCTGTAAGGTTAGCATGGTTCTGCCTGGGCTTTGCTTCTGCGCTTCTGTGCAGGCTGAGCTGTAAGGTTAGCATGGTTCTGCCTGGGCTTTGCTTCTGCGCTTCTGTGCAGGCTGAGCTGTAAGGTTAGCATGGTTCTGCCTGGGCTTTGCTTCTGCGCTTCTGTGCTAGCAGGTGCCCACAAAATGTCTTTTTGAATTTCTTAATTTTTGGGTTCTGGATGCAATTCGTGCACGCCAAGAAACTACTTGCTTGTCAGTATTTTAATTCTGTAGTACATGTGTGTGAATATCAGCCAGTACTTACAGTAGGAGGATGAACAGAAAAACTGAGAAGACCTGTCTTTCAAAAGATGGGTTTATCCACTTTTTAAGGGAAAAAGTGACAGTTTGGCATGGGATTTGAAAAGTGGAAATTGTGGAAAAATTGAGCTGTTGAAGTCCCACATATAACCAGATTTAATAAAGCTTCACATGTGAATTAGCTCCATATGTGTGTAGAAGGTTGCTTTTATAGCAGGTCCTTAAGTACTCCTTTTGAAATTCCTCCTTTTTTTTTAAGTCATACCATTACTTCTTTGGATATGAATGTCCCAAGTGGTATCTCCTACTGTAGTATGAGGAAGAATGGCTGTTAATGTATTTTTTGAATTTTGGTCTTGTCTTGGCCTGGATCATATCCAGTCACCACTATGCAACAAATGATGTGCACTGGGCAAGGATATGATGGGTTATGAAAGCTGTATCTTGTTTGTTTTTTCTTTTGCAGTACTCCAAGTGGTCTAAACAGGAATGTCTTGTAAAACCTCAAGACTCCCTATTGATTATTCCCTTACATATTTATTTACAATTTATCAGGGTAATTGGTGGTGCCTTATGAAAAGTATAACTCGATTTCTTGATCTTTGAGCATGTTTTGTGTTTCTTGTGTTTTCTAAAAGAATATTAGATATGGTTAATTGCATTACATCTAAAAGATTTAAAAAATTGTGTGTATGCTCAGGTTCCCCACACCCATACCCACCCTAACCCCTGTCATTTACATTGGTGGCAACTTTAAATGGTAACCAAGCAAAAGTACATTTTGATAATGAGTATTGATAATCCTGAGGAAAACTAGTGAGTATATGGGAGCCACCTTTGACCTGTGCCAAAGCAGTTTCTAATTTCATTTGCTAACTATAAAATAAAGAACTGAGCCAAAATAATTTGATCAGTGGTGTGATTAGCCTATTATCATTGCTGAGAATAGTGTTTTTGGAGTGTGAAGTGATTCCTGAAGATTTCACCTGCCTTCTGTTTCCAGCAAGAATCCAGTGATGACCAACACATTTCCTCACTTTTGGTTCTTGAGAAGTTTATCCCTTTGCAACAAACCATTAATAGGGAAAACAAGGAAATGCTTTCCCTTTCTCTTTGGCTTCTTAAAGCTCACAACCAATTCAGACCCCAAGTTACTTCAGAGAAGCAAATGGCACCTTTTCCCCATTGCCAAGGATCCCAGCTTATGCAGATATGAAGGACGGATCATTTCTGAAAATGTTAAGACTCTGCTTGCAGTGGACTTGGCCTCAGTTTCATGAAATGTGTAACTCTGTATGTGTATGTTAGGAGGAGGGTTGGTTGAAAGAGCGGGGGCAGGGAGGGGAATCTGATTACCTCTTGGGAAATAATTTTCTTGCCAACAAAAAGATACACTTGAAGTTTCTTAAGGTGGCAAGTCCATTAAAAAAAAAAATTGTGTTGGACCCTCCCAGTTTAGATCAAGTATTTCTTGGGGGTCTTGCTATTGTGGTTGATACCAATAAATGGAAGATCCAGAATATTTTCATTTAAAGCTCAACCATTAATTGGAACATGGTGAAACATTGTACACATTGTAAAAGTAGGGAACAGTACAAAAGAATGGAATCAAATACTATATTATGTGAATAAACTAGAGTGATTTTGGAATTTCACTCTCTTCACCCCTTCTCACTTGTATGTTCTGTAAAGTGTATTTCTACTTTGGTAGGAAGAAAGACTTGATTTAATATTTCCTTAAAGTTCCATGAAATTTCTTTATTAGGCAAAGCTTTTCCCTAGCCTGATCTCTGGAGCTAGGTTGTGTATCTTGTCAGTGGGGAGGGGGAAAAGGCACCACAGGAAGAAGCTTTAGAAATGGCTCCGTGGCCCACCTTGTATTGAGGAGCCCTTTTGAAGTTGTCAGGGACGTAGGATGAAATCAGAATGTCCTTTAGTTTCAAAAAAGGTTTGCAGAAGCCCCGATGAGAATCTTAGAATTACGTCCCGTAAAGAACACTGGATTTAGGAATAAGAGAATTGGGGTTTTAGCTTCTATGTTTGGCCCCTTAGGTTAGTTGCTTATCTGTTGTGGACCTTGGCTTCCTACCACATGCAAGTTAGTGACAAAGAAAAAAGTTACAACCCTCCCCTTGACAGGGTAAGACATAGATGATTTCTAAGGATGTTTCTTCCTAAAAAGGTTACAGAATTTAAAGACGACAATAGAGGCTGTATAGTCCAAATCCCCATTTAATGAGCGAAAAATTGATTCGGCACTCCTGAGGACAGAACATACAGTGTCTGTACTGACTATCTCTTGGAAAAATCTAAGTATTGGTCACTAACATGTATTGGAACTCGCCTATAGACTTCCCTCTGCTGGGGTCTGAATTTTGCAGCATTTTCAAGCACTTTCACTTATGCCCTGGGGCTAGCAAGTCGGCATCTCTATTCCATTCAATGCTGAACTCCATGGAGGTAAGGTGAGAGTGTTAGACACATTTTGACAAACCTAGCCTAGACGTTCAGTCATCTATGGGCCCCTTCCCTCTGCAAATTATGCTGCTCTGTTGAGACCAGTAGGCCACCTGGGCACTGGCAGCTTTAGTCTTTCTGACCTAGCCCTACCATCCTCTCTAATTGGGGCTAAACTTCATTGACAACGCAAAACAGCAAATCACTGATGTTCTCTTTGGAACCTTGAATAACAATTCAAACTCATCTCGTCTTGGTCACTTCCCAGGACTGGTTTTGTCATAGAAACATCTCGTTTCAGAGTTCAGTTGAAACATTGAGAGACTGGTTTGATTCACTTTGCTTCTCATCCCTATAATGCATTGCTGCCATCTGAAACAGAAGCCCATCCAGTCACCAGGCCTCAAATTGTTACCTACTTTCCTCAATTCATTTTACCTTTGCTGCTGTCCTTGCCAGTTCTTCGCATTATGGAGATTTTCATTCCCTATTCCTTTGTAAATATGCTTTTCTGGTTTTTCATTAACTGGAAATTGACTCTCCCTCAGCCATACTTACCTTAGGACTATTTGAAGTGGAGAGTGTTCATTTTCTCACTTTACTGCTAGTAAATGGATGGATTACAGGGTCTGTTGCCCCTGTATTCTTGATTGCCATTGCTACACCATTGTTCTTCTATTTTGAGGCTTCTGCTGTTGAGCTGCACCATCTATCCTCCTCACTCATCTCTGGTTACTACTCGTCATTTATGGAGGGGACTTCGATGATGGGCATCTCTTTCCCTGGTGCTGCCATCATTGTGGGCAATTTCATTAGTCATGGATGACCTTAACAATTTCTGGACCTCCATCTCCACTAGTCATTTTTTACTCCATTTAGCAAACCAATTTTAAGTCCACACTTCGGACTCATCAGAAATTTATTTTCTGAAATGTACAGCCTAATTTATTCTATGATTTTAATGTCTTTTCCTTTAATCTCTTCCTCTCAGTATACTTACTCTTTGACCTCAAGAAGCCTCCAATTCCTTAACCAACCTTTTCCCCCCCCCCTCTGTCAGTTTACTCTGGCTTTACCGCTTCCCCATTTAGCATAGACTCTGGCCTGTCACTCTGGCTCTGCAGAACCTTATCCGTGGATCAGTTTGGCCATCTGACTTCTTTGATTTCATGGGCTGCTGCATGCTACTGAGTATATACCATTGGTTGGTAGCACCACAGATTGACTCAAGTAGGCAGGCTCTTGAAGCAGTTTAGCAGCCCTGGCGGTCCAACCTCTTCCGTTCTTAAAGACTATTTCAGATTTTCACCTCTTGTCAAATACTCAGCCTGTCACCTCTGCTGCCTCAGCAGAAGCCTACCCTCCTAACGGGTAAATTGAACCTAATAGGAGAGCTTCTAAGCTTCTTCCTTAGTTATCTATATCATCATCCTCATCTGTCCCAGAAGAGGTGTCTGTCCTCTGGTCAACACTATGAGAGTATAGGTGAATGAGCACATCAGTGAATCCTATCCCATTGTAACTCCTTAGAGACCTTGTTCTATCAATCAGCCCTTTATCTTCAGTATCTCTCATTTAGCATATAATTTCAAGCTCTGTATTAAATAGGAGTGCTCAACTACATATTTTCCCTTAAACCTGTCTCTGTTTCCTGTTCTCTTTTTCTTCTTTGTAGCCAAGCCTTACCTCTTCTCTGTATTTAGGTTTCAATCACTCCTCAGCCAGTTGTAATCTGGATTCTACCCTCATTTCACTGAAAGTTTCCCTATTGAAGTCAGTGAACTCCATATTGCTAGAAGTCATTTGTATTTGACCTCTCTTCAGTATGACATTGTTGTCCACTTCTTTTAAAAAACCCCTCCATTGGATTCTTGGCCACTACCGTTTCCTAATTTTTCTTCTTTTTAGCTGCTCTTTAATCAGCCTCCTTGAAATGGTGTAATTGGGGGCTCTTCTCTATATAACATGGGTGCCCCAGTCCACTCCCAATTACTTTTATTCATTTGAATAAAAGTATCACTTGCCCACGGGTTGTTTCTGAGCTGTTTAATCAACTGTCTGTTAAACATTTCCACTTGTATTTTTTTAACCTATTAAATGTTATTTCAATAGGTTTTTGGGGGACGTCGTGTTTGGTTACATGGGTAAGTTATTTAGTGGTGATTTCTGAGATTTTGGTGCACCCATTACCTAAGAAGTGTACACTGCATTCAATGTGTAGTCTTCTCTCTCTCACCCCCTTTCACCCTTCCCCCCAAGTCACCAGAGTCCATTGTATTAGTCTTATTTTCATCACCGTGGGCGTACCCTGTGGGATGATGTTAAACGTACTCTAGACTCTGTTGGCTATTTCTCTAGAGTTAGACCTCTGGAGACTTCTCAGATAGCTCATGGGTCTCTGGCCTTGCCCTGAAATTACTGGGTTCTCAGGGAGATGCTGGAGATGGCGGAGGCTCCTCACTCTTTGGGTCCTCCTGTGGCTCATTTTGATTGAGTTCCTCATTCAGCTGGTCGCAGTGGCCGGATAGTGTGGCCTGCTCCCTTCCTCAGGTTTTCTTGAGGCAGTGGTCTTTTTTGTAGAGGCTTTTTTTTTTTTTTTTTTTCCCTGGAACTCCCTTGGAGGTCTCCCTTCCCTTTCAAGGTTGTCTTGGGAACCTTGATAGTGCTTCTGGACCTAGGTTGAGACAGGGCCTTTCTCTTCATTACTTCTTGGGTATTGGTGGGTGGGTGGTTGACAGCTAGGCTGGAGGCTCATGGTTTCCTGGTTATTTTCACCAGCATCTCTCAACAGTCTCAGCTCGCTCATTCTTAAGATGTCAGCTTAAATGTTATCTCTTCAGAGGCCCCCATGTTCTCTCTTGCAATGGCCTGTTCTATTCCATTAGGGGACTTTGCCATATATGGCATATTTGTGTAAAAGTTCCATGAGAGCAGAGGTTTTGTTTCCTTTATCCCTCCATACACAGCAACTGGAACAATACAATGCATAGAGTAAACATGCAACAGATAACCTGAAGGAATGCTGTTTCATGCCTTCATTCCTTCCTATACATTATTGCTCCCCTAATGTTCTCTGTGTTTGGACTGCCATAACCTCATCTACCTTTTCTCCTTACTACCTTCTCATTCTTCAAAATTCAGCTCATCCCCAAATTCCTCTGAGAAGTCCTTCAGGTTGTTCCTCTCCATCTAATCTGAATAAGATGTCCTTTCTTGGAGCTCTAATAGCGTTTAGACTAGACACTGGTCCTCAGAGTGAGGTTTCTGCATGGACAGCATCACCGTCATCTGGGAATTCATTAGAAATGCAAATTATGAGGCCCTACCCTAGACCTCCTGAAACAGAAACTCTGGGAGTGGGGCCAACAACCTGCGTTTTAACAAGCCCTGCAGGTGACTGTGACGAACACAAAGTTTGAGGACCACTAGAATATAGTCACTGTAGAATATATCTCCAGGATCTGACACAACGCCTAGAGCAGGATTATTGTGAAGATCGACCTGAAATCTATCTTCCTGTAGCCTCATCAATCCTGGTTGAGAATATGAAAAACTAGTTGAGTTGCATCTCTGTTAGGCAGCTTTACAACATTTGAGGATAGCGATTATCTCTACTTCTCCACCTCTCATCCCTAGCTCCTCTGGTTTAATGTCTTTTTTTTCTTATGTGCTATAACTTTGAATCCCTTCACTTTCTTCCTTGGACTTACCTGGACAATTCCAACTTACTTCATATCCATCTTAAGTGTATATTCAAAATATCCTTTTAGCTTTTAACCTACAATTCTGAAAGGTGGAACTATACATGTCTGTAATCACCCCAGCAAGACAGAGTTCACAATGAACATAGTTAGAATTCCATTTGTACAGTTGGAGGTGTTCCTAGGTGGGCGGATTGCTTGAGGTCAGGAGTTCAAGACCAGTCTGGCCAACATGACGAAACCCCGTCTCTACTAAAAATACAAAATTCAGCCAGGTATGGTGGCATACGCCTGTAATCCTAGCTACTTGGGAGGCTGAGGCATGAGAATCAATTGAACCCGGTAGAGGCGGAGGTTGCAGTGAGCCGAGATCGCGCCACTGCACTCCAGCCTAGGTGACAGAGGGAGACTCTGCCTCAAAAACAAACCATCCCTGTCGCTCCCATCCTAGACCAATCTAATTGCAAGTATCTCACAGGGAGCCCAAGTATCAATGTTTTTTTGAACAGCTTTATGGAGGTATAATCTATATACCATAAAATCCACTTATTTTAATATATGATTTTAGTAAATTTAAAGACTTGTGCAGCCCTTACCACATCATACAAACCAGAATGTTTCCATCACCCAAAAAGAAACTTCATGTCTATTTAGTCACTCCCTGTTTCTACTCCCAGCTCTAGGTGGCCATTAATCTGAGTATCTCTAGATTTGTCTTTTCTAGACCTAAACATCAGGTTTTTGTTTTTCTGCAGCCAGAGTTGAGAACCATAATTCTAAATGCATTATGAGAAATAATGGTTTTTAAAGATTATATATAATATTTTACGTATTTTCATATTTATGACTCCCATCCTTACAGTGAATGCGTCTATCACCAGTAAGACAAAGATCATTAATTTGATAATGGAACTTAACAGACCATTCTTTCCTTTTATACATTTTAGTATCATATTCAAAATGGCCTCCCATTCTGTCCCCAAGTTATTTTAAAACATCTCCAGTCTTGCTTTTTTCCCCTTTAGCTCATAAATGAATAGTGCTGGAAGATATCTCAGGAGCATTCTCCCTGAGATGATGTCTTCAGTAATGATCGCACGTATTGGTGTTGATTCCATCCTTGAAGTTACTTTCCTTTATCTTTCACAGTGGTGTTTCTTCACTAGAGGTTTTGCTGTCTGATTAACTTCTCTGCCAAATAAATGGACTTTTGCTTCATAGGTACACAAACATTTCTAAAACTTTTTTTGGAAAATATATTTCTTTCTTAAAAAAACAAATAGTGCATGCACATTTTTAAAAAAATAAATAAAAAATAATCTACCCCAAAATGACCAGTTAAGATTTACTTTCAGACAACTCTGTGCATATTTACATATGCTTATATACAACTATGTACACCTTTGCATAGATGAGATCACACTCTATGTACTGCTTTGTAACTTGCTTCTTTCACTTAATCCTGAGAACATTTGTACATGACCATAGATATAGATTTGTATTGTTTTTAATGGCTGTATAGTTTTGCATTATACTGAATCTTGATGTTTAAGAGCTATGTATATTGAGGACATTATTTCTTTGTCTTGTGTTGCAAATTTTTTACCATGTTATTATTAGTCTTTTAACCTTATTTATAGTTTTTTTGTTATAAAAGTTAAGTTTTATGATGTAAACTTAATCTCTTTGATTTTATAATTCCTGGTTTTCCCGACGTGCGTAGAATGACCTTCCCCACAAGGTAATAAAAATACCTCCATGATTTTGCTTAAAACTTTTATGCTTTATATTAAATCTTTGTTACATCTTGAATTGATTGGTGTGAAGAATGCCAAGTTTCTTTATTGCTCTGTTGACTACATTTAAGTTTCTTAAATGGTTTGCATGTCTGTGCATGTGTACATATAGTCATTCCAAAACCTCTAATGTGCAAACACAGCTTTACAAATGTGTATACATTCAGTATTTACTGTATTTGTTACCTACTGCTGCATAACAGTATTACTAGAGACTTAGCAGCTTAAAGCAACACACATTTATTGCCTCACAATTGCTGTGTCAGGAGTCAGGGCACAACTTTGCTGGTACCCTGCTTCAGGGTCTCACAAGGCTGTCATCACGGTGGTGGTTAAGGCTGTGTCATATCTGAAGTTTGAGGAAGAATCTACTTCTGAGCTCATGTGGTTGTTGGCAGCCTTTAGTTCCTTTTGGGTCGTCGGAATAAAGGCCTTAGATTTTGTTTGGCCACTGGCCAGAGGTCACCTTTAGTTCCTTGGCCCCTGCGCTTTCCCAACATGGCTACTTGCTTTCTCAAAGCTAGCAAGACTAGGTTACAATCTTATGTAATGTAAACATGTATGTATAATCACATACATCCTGCCACCATTGCCCTATTCTATTGGTGAGAAGCAAGTCCCAGGTCCTGCCCATGCCAAGAGACGATCACAGAAGGAAGTGAACACCAGGGGAGGCAGGGATTGCGGGAGGCCACCTCTGAGTTTGTCTGCTATACTCACGCAGAATGTGCTGCATCATACAAAGACTGAAGTGCCTGAGAGCATAAGCTAACTTCCTTCGGCTTAATATAGGCTGGTGCAAAAGTATTGTGGTCAGTGGCAAAGACCGCAGTTAGTTTTGCGCTAACCTGTAAAATTCACTCTATCCATACTTTCCTATTCAAGTTAGATCAAAAAAGGTAAGTGTAATGTCTTTTTTAATGTTCATGAGAAGAAATGCAGTAACTTTTTACACTTGGGCTAACATTTTATAAGCTGCTGCAGTTTGAAGTATTTGTAACTGCCCTTTGGCCAATATCCTGCATTCAGTAGAACAAATTTACTTCTTAGGAAAATAGAAATCTCCAAATCTTGTCAACTGTGTTCCGGGTTCCTTAACTCTACTGATTTCTCCTCTGAACACCCTCCAAATGGTTCATATCCCTTTTTGTATCTATACAAAGCATTCTTTTAGTCTTCAAATTACAATTCTGTCTGAAGGAATCAGATCTTGAATTTTAAAATTTATAGTATTCACAGTGTGGATGGTTAAGTATCTTTATGAATTTGTTTCCTCTCTATACATATTTCTTCTACAGCCTGTGCTTTTGGAAGCTGTCAGCAAAAATTGCTGTAATTTCCATCGAGAAATGGAAATGTGAGGATTTCCTCATCATTGAAATTTGTCCTTTCCTGTGCCTCACAAGAATTTCTGTTTTGTTCCTAGGGATGGATACATTGGGGGTTTTGTAAATTGGTGGTATGCGTGGTATGAAAACATAGGAGGCAAGAGAAGAAACTGAAAGCAGAATTGAGAGTTTTAAAGTATCTGATCCCAAGTTTGTCACCTAGGAAACAATGATTTCTTTCCAAGATAATGGTATTGCCATCGCTGCTATTGACAGGTGACTCTTCAGACTTGTTTACAACTCCGCAAGGGCATGGATCCGTGCTGGCTCTGTGTGTGTGTGTTTTGCAGTTCTTGTTTGGAAAATGTGTAATATTCTAACTGCTGTAGGTTCTGTGGATTAATACATACACATCTTAAGTCCTGTCTTACAATTACATAGCCCTAAGATTTTCAGGTATCCTAACGTCAACTTTTCTATGCTTCTGTTACCACTAGGATAGTATCTACACATTTCTAAAAGATGGCCTGCACAAAAAATGTATTTTGGAAACATTATGTATAAATTGCCTAGTTCTGTCCTGGTTTTTCTAATATTATGAATTAAGTTACCATTGTATGATAAGTTGTGACCAAGCAAAGGTTTTTCTCATTTGCCAGATGGTTGTAGTGGGAGGTATTAAAGCTCTAGGAGATGACAAGTGGACAGGACCGAGCGAGAAGGAAATGGTGTGCTGAGTTCACCTGAAAGCCTCAGTTCCCAAGCTATTTCTTTGCTAAACTGTGTTTTTCCAAAGTTGTATCTACACCTTCTCTGGTTTGCAAAGAGGGGACAAAAGAGGGAAATTTTATACATATAAAATCTAAAGAAGAGAGATCTGATAACTAAGGTCAAGATACAGGGAAGGAATAGTAGATAATAAATAGTGTTAGAATATTTTGATGGGTAAATATGAGATGTTATAGAAGAAGCTGGAATGAAATGTGAATTTCGATATTAGAGCCTACCTAACAAAAATTGAAGTAGACAACAATCCCCCTTCTTCCCCCCTTTTCAAGTCACTCCTCTCCAAGTGAACAACAGCACTGCTTTTTTGGCTACAGAAAGCAGCTGAGGCTCAATCCCAAAGCAGCAGCAGGCTCCGGTCCAAAGTGCAAACCAAAAGAAGCAGCAGGAGGGGTAGAACAGAGTCATTACCAAAGACTGAGTACAGAATAAAGTGATTTATGAAAACCAGCATGGAAGGGCATGCTACAGGCTAAAGCCGGACTCAGGAAGGCCTGTTGTGAGGGAGAGGGGAAATCCACAGCCCGGCATGGGAGAAGAGAACCATGGGCACAGAGTAAGTGGGAAGACGGAATAGTGAGTGACCCACGGCCATACTCTACCATTTCTTTAAAGAACCGGCATAGGTTCCCAGAGCAGAAAGCCGGCAAGGATTCCTCTTGAATTCATGTTTGAAAAATACCCTCACGCTGAAATTACTAAACAAGATGGTAGTGTTGCTGTTTACATGGAAAGCTGAGTTCAGGGGCGGATCTAGATTTTGTAGGTCTTGAAGCTTAGACAATTTGCGGAGGGTCCCCTTTACGGAAAATGGCAAAAAATTAAGAATTCAAAACTAGGTACAGGGGATTGGAAGGCACCCATGCAAGGGGGTCCCGAAGCTTACGTTGAATTAACTGTGAGGTGAATCTGTTTGAGTGGAGCAGAAGGAGCTGGGGCAGACAGACATCCAAATCCTAAGTGTGTCACTTCTTAGCTTTGGAATCTTGGGCAGTTTAATTTTCCTGTCTGTGAAGCTCAATTTCTTACCTATAAAATAGGGATAATGCCAGTCTTTCTGGCTTGTCAATACAGACTAAATGAGAGAATGTATGTGAAGGTTCCTAGTACATGCCATGACTGCTAATCTGGATGACTTTATGTGGTGCTAAGTTTTGGTAAGTATGATTGTTGATGAAAAGTGGATATCAGCCAGGCGCGGTGGCTCACACCTGTAATCCCAACACTTTGGGAGGCCGAGGTGAGTGGATCACGAGGTCAGGAATTCGAGGCCAGCCTGGCCAACATGGTGAAACCTCTACTAAAAATACAAAATTTAGTACAAAATTTAGCACAAAATACAAAAATTAGTCAGGCATGGTGGTGGGTGCCAGCTACTTGGGAAGCTGAGACAGGAGAATCATTTGAACCCGGGAGGCAGACGTTGCAGTGAGCCAAGATCATGCCACTGCACTCCAGCCTGGGCAACAAAGAGCGAAATTTCGTCTCAAAAAAAAAAAAAAAAAAAGAAAAGAAAAGTGAATATCGATTATTCTGGTCATTATTGTTTGGAGCTCTGATTCCTGGAGATTGAGGAAATGTTTAAAGTATCTGCCAAGTGAGCTAAGCACTCCTAGGCTCTTATCTATATTCAGGGGGCAGATGGTACTCTACTGTCTTCAAGAAGCTTACAGACTAGAGGTGCTAGTCTGGGCTATAGTCATTGGCTGTTGGGAATATAAGAACTCTTGGAATAACTCGAGTTGCTGGATAGAAAGAACTGTGGCCAGAGCAGTTACAAGAGGGATGATCAGACCAGCAGTCTCTTTCTTTCCAAGCCTGAGATCAGCTGTGGAAGACCCAGAGCTGAAGTGAAGCCTGGGGATGACCCAGTCTTACTCTCTTGTTTTATGCATGAAAAACAGAGTCCTAGAAAGGCAAAATGGATTGCCCAAGATTATGTGGCTGATTCGGGTCATATCCAGGACTAGAAGTTTGGAGTTCTGCTTCCCAGGTACATTTTTTTTCATCACACTGAACTTTGCTCTAACTCATTCTCCATTTATGCCCCTTCTTTAGTTTTCCTTCTCCATTGTCCACCTAGCAGAACTCTATGGAAGGCCACCCTGGTCCAACAGTCGGGCTGCAGGACCTTTAGGCTTCTTTTGCCTGTTAGTCTGACGTGTAGGTAGATCTCTCTCTGTTGCTGAATTTCTCCATTGGTGGAAACCAAGGGTTCAGTTGACACTACAGAGCTGTGGAAGCAAGCAGCACTTGCAGCCAGCAGGCAGGCAGCGGAAAGGGGCCGTGAGGGAGCTTTGGACACCAGTACTTGACAGGGATGTTCAGAACCTGGAGAGCTTCCAAAGGAGAGCAATGAAAACAGTGGGTGGGGATGAGAAGGAAGAACTCTTAGGAAAGATAAAAGGGTTTCAGATTATTTATCTTGGAGAAGAGAAGGCTGAGAGTGTCTTTGAAAAGGAGTTTCAGATATAAGACCAGACCAGCTGTAGTACATCTTCCCTGAGGATGGACTAAGAAATTAGCTAACAGCAGCAATTAGGCTACAGAGCTTTTCAAATTTAGCTGCCTATTAGAGACATCCAGAGAGCTTTTTAAAAAATCCCAATGTTCAAGTTTCACCTCAGAACAATTAAATCAGAATCTTCTCTTTAGGAGTGGGCGTTAAACATCGGTAATTTCTTTAATGTTTCCCGGGGTAGCCAACATTGATTTCTGATTCAGAAAATTTAAAATTTTAATCTTATGGAATAACTGGGAGGAAAATTGCACAATGATGTCAAACTATGCTAGGAAAAAAAATATTTTTTTAATGGAGGGAATACGGATAAGATATAACAAGAGCGGGTAAAGTTGGGATTGGGCTTAGTGTGAAGGAGGAGAATATAGGGAAGAGGGGGTGAAAACCCGTGGCCAAGGCCTTGAGAACAGGTAGAGGGGCCTTCCTCCCGCTACAGTCACCACTTTCTGTGACGTCAGTTCACTCCTCCGAGTTTATGTGGCTGTTATGGCTGAGAAAGAGAAAAGAAGCCCCTGACAGCTGGAAATTGGACAGACACTATCAGTTAGGCTTTGTATTGCTAGGAGCTGCCCTGGTGTTTGTTCTCACATGTCAATGTCAGGCAAGGCCACTCTGTGATCATGGTGGATCCAGACACAAATAAGATCACCCTGTGATGATGTCTGAATAAAGACAACAACGTAAACATTGTCCAAACCACACAAGCGATCGAACATCTTTTGCCGGCTAACACAAGTGACTGCTCCTTCCTTGCCAATCACAGCTTTTCACTTCACTTCGTTCTCCTGCTTTCTAGACAAAATCCATTAGGAAACCTAATTATAAAATTACTCCTCCTTCCTCACAGCATCCAATCCAAAGCAAAGCCCTGCTTCCTGAAGCCTCCTGAAAATCACCTAACAGAAATTCATCCGATAACAAGTCCTCAGCGACGCCCTCTGACTGAGACACCTCACAGTTTACATTGTGTGCACTCTCCCTTGTTGCCACGAGTAATGAACCCAACTTGTGTGTTCCTCGCGGTCTTTGGCTCACGGGCATTGACGGCACAGTTTGAGCAGGCTGTGTCTGTTTTTTCTTGTTTGGGGAAACAGGACAGATGAGAGCTGCCATGTTTCCCAGTCATGGGAAAACAATCATGTTTCCCTTCTGGGTCCCCTCTCTCTCTGGGCTGAGACATGAGAGATGAGATTCCGGCCACACTTTGCATTCCTCATCAGTCAGCTGTGTGATCAGTGCATCAATATATTTTTCTCATCACAAATAACGTCCTGCAGTGGTGGTTAAAAATGTTTAGGATAAAAGACTGTCCATCGATTGAAGTTGCTCTTTTTAAATGTCACTCTGCCCTAATCCCTCACCGCAGCTCCATAGTGTCAGGGTGTCTCCATTCACTCAGAACCCCTGCTCACTAACTGTTCATCAGCCAAGAGCTTCCCACTGAGACTAGTTACATAAGTGTTGCAAACTGTATGTACTCTGAGAGTCAGACAAGAAATCAGGGAAACAGGGATTGGAAGAAACAGGATAAAATTGGGAAATAACTGCAATTACTTTTCTAGAGTTAAAGACAAAAGGTATGATTTTCCTTAATAGGGCAGAGTAGTAGGAGAGAATTGTGGAACACATTGGGATAGGAAGAGAGCCTTCTGATTAGATTTTTAAAGTATTATTCAGGTCTGATGAGATTTTCAGTGAAAGCAACATTTTTCTTGTCATTTTCGTTATTCACCTCTTTCCTAAGAAAGTTATGTTTAATCCCACGGGCCAGCAATAGCCAAAATAAACAGTACTAGAGCTGTGCTTTTTAGTGTTTTTCTTGTCTTTTTTCCTCCCCCTCTAGACTTAAAGTATAGATAGCATGGTAGCTATAAGTAAATAATGGACTTTAGAATTCTACAAACCTGAGTTCAAAACCTGGGTCTACCATTTACTAGTTATGTGGCCTAGCAAGTAATTTAATTATCTCTAAGCCTTTGTTTTCCTGTCTTTAAATGGTCATGTCAGTAATTCTTGTGTCGTAGGTTTGTTCTGAGGATAAATGCGATGGTGCCTGTGTAGCACTTAGCACCACGTCTGGCACATTTGAAATGCACGACAAACGTTACTAATGGTAATGGTTGACGTCATTAATATTCTTTGTCATAAGTCTTGTTTCTTTCAGATCTTGGGTCTGGCATGGTGGCTTACGCCTATAATCCCAGTGCTTTGGGAGTCTGAGGCAGGATTGCTTGAGGCTAGGAGTTTAAGACCAGCCTGGGCAATATAGCAAAACCCTATCTCTATAAAAGATTAAAAAATAATTAGCTGGGCATGATGGTGCAAACCTGTAGTCCCAGCTACTGGGGAGACTGAGTTGGGCGGATCCTTTGAACCTGGGAGGTTGAGGCTGCAGTGACCTATGATTGTGCCACTGCACTCCAGCTTGGGCAATAGAATGAGACCCTCATCTCAAAACAAACAAACAAACAAACAAAGAAACAAGAAAACAAATTGGAGTTGATAGAATTTAGGTGAATTATCCCATCTGGGATCAAACAGAAAACGCTTCACAGTTTTCAGTGACACCTCTGGTTTCCGCACGTAACATCCCAGAGCTTTTCACAGCAGGGTCAAGTACTTGGGCTGTAATAGAGTGTAAACAAAAATCTTCAACAACAACAACAAAAAAAAAAAAACCAAAAAAACTTTATTTTAAGCTAATTTTAGACTTACAGAAAAATTGCAAAAATAGTACAGAGAGTTTCCATCTTTCACTCAGCTTCCCCTAACGTTAGCATCTTTCACAACCATAGTACAATTGTTAGAACGAGGAAATTAACATTGGTAGAGAACTATTAAACTAAAGACCTTATGCAACTTTCACCAGTTTTTACATTCATGTCCTTTTCTATTCCAGGATCCTATCTAGGATCCCATTCAGGACCCCACATTGCATTTAGTTGTGATTTTCCCTTAGTCTCCTGCAGCCTAAAACACTTGCTCAGTCTTTGTTGTCTTGTCTGTCTTGTCTTTCATGACACTTTTGAAGAGTAGTGATCGGTAATTTTGTCAAATGCCCCTCACTTTGGGTTCGTCTTATGTTTCTTGTGATTGAACCGCATGTTTGGCAAGAATACCACAGAAATGTTGTGTCACTCTTAGTACATCATATCCATGGTTCATGATATAGAGAGATATTGATGTCTTATTACTATCTTATTACTGGTGATGTTGACCTTGGTCATTTGGTTAAGGTGGTTTCTGCCTGGCTTCTCTACTTCAAAATCACTATTTTTCCCTTTGTAGTTAATAAATATCTTGGGGGAGACACTTTGGAATTGTAAAAATTCTGTTCCTCCTGGAACTTTCACCCACTAGTTTTAGCATTCATTGGTAGATCTTGTCTGCAACAATTATTATAGTGGTGTTTGTCTAATGGTGATTTTCTGTTTTTCTCTTTCCTTCTACATTTATTAAGACTTCTTTTTCTTTGAGATGGGGTCTTGCTGTGTTGCCTCAAACTCCTGAGCTTAAGTAATCCTCCCACCTCAGCCTCCCTGAGTAACTGAGATTACAGGTGCATGCCACCATGCTCGGCATCCTTCTATATGTATTAATTGGAATTCAACTGTAAGGAAGACTAGTCCTTTTATCCCACTTATTAACTTGTTGGTTATTTGTATCAGCATGAACTTATTAGTGAACTTTGTTCTTTGGGCTACAATCCAATACTATCATTATTCATTTTGTTGTTCAAATTATTTCAGTTATAGCAAAAGCCATAATTTGTTGTTTAGTCTGTTCTACTTGCTCTTTTCTTTTCTTTCAGTGTGATGTTTGAAAAGGGATCCAAAAAGTCAACAGGTTTCTGACTCCTGTGGTTAAACAGAACTATATCTCTTAATTTAAAGGTCTCCAGAGGAGAACCCACCACTTCCTTTGCCACCTTGATGTTGCTCAGAAATGTTCTTTCTTGAAACAAATCGTGCTGCTTTTAAAATTTGTTTCTGTGAAATGTCAAACTAGAAAAAAATTTTATTTGTTCTTATTCCACTCCTAGTAGAGTCAAACAATTTTTGGGAGAGCGTATCATGGCGTACTGTCATTTAAACATACCTGGGATCAACTTGGTACAAACCAGGACTCCTAGGCCTGCTTTTTGCGTGGTTCACTTTGTTTTATACAATCCTGTTGTTGGAAGCACAGCCTTCAATTATCCTCACTGACAATCTCTAGTGAGTCTTAAAACTTATGCAGCCTCTTGAGTAAGAACTGTTGAATACGGATTCTGTTGTTACCTGTTTTCAGGTTTCTTGACTTTGCACCCAGCAGACCAAAGGATGATGGCAACGTGAGGTAGATGCAAGGCTAGTCATGCCTGTTTTGTGTGGAACCCCAGACGGGAAGTTGTGAGGGACTGTCGCCAACATTTATCTACCAGTGGTTCTCAAGCTTTTTTTTTTTTTCTTTAACTTTTGTCAACCTAAGCAGGACAAAAAACCTACCATAGCCATTCCCACTTTATAGAGGAAAAAGAAATTGGGGATAACAAAGATTTGGAGAGGAATAAAATAGGAGTCAACATGGTAACATGGCAGCAGTTATGTAAAAACAAAAGAGTTGGTAAGTAAAGCCAACATTCCTTCATACAACAGCAGCAGCTCACAACCAACTCAGGATAAGCCTGATGATGTCCTTATCACTGACAGTCTTTCCTGGAAGCTGGAAATTGCAACCGTTTGCATATGTGAGGACACAGAAGGGGCTGTGCAACATTGCCAAAGGCTGAATGGTATCTGAGAAAACACCCGTTATCTGGTAATTTTAGATTACAAATGCCAAAGTTTATAATGCATAGTAGGCCATTAGTAAGTACCACTCAGTGATACGTAAAAATGGAAGTCAATAGCACTGCTTTGAAGATGGTCTTTTTTTTACATGAGTTTGTAGGCTGTCTCAGGACGCTTTTGGTTTATTGCTTTACAGAGCTCAGTCTAACAGATGAAAGCTTGAAAGGGGAGAGGAACAGGGGCCGCTGAAACATAAGAATAATAATTTCCAAGAAGCTTCTGGGAAGCTCTCCAGGTATTACCATGCAGTGTTTCCATGCCCCTACCCCATGCCCTTGAGTTAGATGAGGGATCAAGGAAACGGAAACTACCTTAGACTCTTCGATCCGTCTTTCTTTCCACACTTCTCCGTCATCTCAAGATGTCTCTATCACCTCACTCACTCATTGCCGCATCCCCTACCTAACTCATTCTCACAGTCTGGCCAGAGCCCAGCTTAGCTCAGGGGTCTCTCAGTCCCGTCTCCTTCAAGAAGACTTCCGGGCTCACTGCTCACTGTGAATAATCCCTTAAGGATGAATAACAGCTGCCATTTACAGTTAGTCATCATCTCCTGAAATCTCAAGCTAGACAGTGGCATACGTAGGACTCAGACCCCACACTCTCTGGTGTCAAAGTCTGAGCAGGTTTCCACTACATGTACTGTGCTTCAGCACATGGCTGAGGTGGGACTCTGCCCTGTCCTAGACTCCAGGCTGAATGAACTACTCTCACAGCCGCCTCTGTGGGCTGTTCCTGCAGAGAAACGAAGCTCCCTGGATGACCTCGGCCTCGCGCTCACCGCCTGCTCCTTCCCTTATAACAGCTTTAGGGCTTTGCTTTATTTTAAACGTTGGCACTTCCTTTTCTCTATTGATTTAAAAAATATTTTAAAATTCTAGCATATTAAAAAATCTAAACAATATTGAAAAAGTGGGGAAAAAATCTCCCTTACTGCCATCTCCTGATCTCAGTTCCACTCTACAAATGTAACTACTATTAATCATTTAGCGAAGATTTTTTCAGACTTTTTCTATATGTGTATAAATGTCTGTGTATGTTTGGGAAGTTTTTCTGACATCTCAGAGTTCTGTATCTATGTATCTTTGTTCTAAATCATCGTCCATTCCACATTGCAAGCTGCGAAACGGTAAGATAAATGTATTTTTAAATTAATCTACACAGCACCTGACCAAAGGAATACCTATTCTTGATGGATTTATAGGAGCACTTGTGTTGGAGACAGGGGTGGGAGGCAGGATCCCTCCAGAGAGACCCTGAGCTCACCAGGTGGGAAGCGCACATGAGCTCCGGGGAGGAGACCACACTTCATAAGCTCACCAGCAACTGGCCCGACCTGCCAGGGCGTGCACACTCCCCAGACTGCGAAATCACTCATGTGTGGGTTGTCCAGTGGCCGAGGGGAGGGGAGGGGAGAAAAGGGGAGGGGGAGGCACAAGGGTGGAATGTGGGCTGGGCCAAGTTTAGAATTTCAAGTGCCACAGAGGCGTTCTGGAACCACACTTTAAATAGCCAGCACCTTCTCCTTCCCCCTTAGATAATTCTTCTCCCCTGACTGGACCTCTGGCAGCAGCTTCACTAAGGTTCGAAATGTTTTCTTCTCTTTTTTTTCTATTTCTGCGTCTCAGACTGCAGGTTGGTGGGATCCATGGGACTTACAACCAAAGGACTTTTTTCTTACCCTCGCCTAGAAAGTACGCTTCTGACATGTATGTGTGCAAATGCAAAGATTATGTGCTATTTTCTTGACTTTCTGAAACTTGGGTGGCTGTTGACTTAAGTGACACTGTGATTTGGAAAGAGAGAGCCCTAGATTGAGAGGAAAGACAACTGGATTTAACTCCAAGAAAACAAAGTCTTTCTTCTCTGAGAAAAGAGAACAATGATCAACTCTGACAGGACTGAAAGAAAACAAAAATTTGAGTACCTGTTATTCTATTAAGTGTGTATACATATGTATATTTCCTCATTTAATTCTTATAGCTAAGTATATCCTATCTATCATCCCCACTTTTACAGATGAACAAACTAAGGCTCAGAGTCATTCATTAACTTCTCTGAAGTCAGACATTGGTATGAGAAAAAACTAATGTTTGAACCTGGCCTCATCTGACTCTACAGCTCATGACCTTTCAGACACAACATGCTACCTCTGAGAAGCAGCTCTAATGAGGCTAAGGGAGCCAGGAGAAGGCTACTGTTTCTCCTAGGGTCTGGGAGGGTGGAGAAGGGAAGGCTTTCCATCACTGGGAGAGATCCATCAGCTGGTAAAGGGAGGGGAGGCCAGCACAGTCAGTACCTTAGACAACCTTCCCAAAAGGACTGAGGAGCCCTCTTGGGACCAGTTACTTGAGTTTCTCCTTTGTAGAAAGGAGCTCATTCCCTAATTTATCAGATAAACATAGATGCCTGCTGTTCCCTGACTTTTTTTTTTTTTCTTTTTTTTGAGACAGAGTCTCGCTTTGTTGCCCAGACTGGAGTGCAGTGGCGCGATCTCGGCTCACTGCAACCTCTGCCTCCTGGTTTCAAGCGATTCTCCTGCCTCAGCCTCCTGAGTAGCTGGGATTACAGGTGCCTGCCACCATGCCCAGCTAATTTTTGTACTTTTCGTAGAGACGGGGTGTCACCATGTTGGCCAGGCTGGTCTCAAACTCCTGACCTCAGGAGATCCACCCGCCTCGGCCTCCCAAGTGCTGGGATTACAGGCGTGAGCCATTGCACCCGGCCTGTTCACTGACTTTCTAATTTTCTGGGTCAGAGCCAAAGTAGAGTCTGTGGCCAGAAGAGGTTACTGCTGAGAAAGTTCTGTTAACATGAACTTTGCTTGAGGCTTAGAAAAAAGTCCATCTGCCTCCTTCTCCAGAAAAGAGGCCACTCTGCAAAATCAAGGCAGAGTCATTAGAAGATGCTTTTAGTAGACACACCAGTGAACCTAGGCAGCCAATGTAATCAAAGGGATGGAACTGAAAGAGCAGGGGCAGAGTGGGTTTAAGTCCTGGCTGTGCAAGTTAGTAGCTATATGGCAGCAGCAGTCACATTATTTAACCTCTCTGAGCTGCAACTTCCTTATTTATAAAGTGGAGGTAATAATGCTTACATCTCAGGGTTGTTGTGAGAATTAAATGAAAAGAATGTATGTGAAGTGCCTAGTCTATAGTAGTTGCTAACTAAATGTGGGCCACGTCCAGTCATCCTCAATCCCAACAGTGGTCTGGAATGGGCCATTTCTGACAGTGAATGGTTAAAACTGTGGCTTTTTATTTATATCATCTTCTCTACTGTCACAGACTCCTAATTTGTCATCACCAAAAAAGAAAAAGAGCGCATAGTAAATCTCTGCCTTACGCTGATTTCAGAGAGACATAGAAGGAGTACTTAGACCACCTCATCTTACTCACAATTCCTGGTCCCACTCAACCTCTCCCAATCCTTTGACAGGATTTTTTTTTAAAACCGGCTTTTATTTTTATATTACAAAAGTAAAACACATTTTTGATGTAATTGTAGAAAATATAGATAAGGAAATGTTCCTATAACCCAACTGCTGAAAGAAAAACATTTTCATGGCTATCCTACTCCTTCAATGCCTATAAATACTTTATAAAATATTTGTCAAGCATGATCATATTGTATGTACTGTTTTTTACTATATATTGTGAGCACCCTTTTGTGCCGATATACTTGTTTCTATAACACAGGTTTTAATGATTATATATAGTAGTCCATTATATGAATGTGCCATAATTTATCAACATATCTACCATTTTTGACAATTTATGTACTTTCCGATTTTTCGCTGTTATGAACAATAAATATCCTAATGCTACACCTTTCACTCACAATCACAATTATTTCCTTAGCATAAATTCCTGCAAGGGAAATTGGTGGCTTTGAGGACATGTAAAATCCCATCCTTTCAACGTGTCCCAGCATACAGAGTAAACAGACTGAAGCACATGCTAATCCCGACGAGGCTGACTGTAGGGTGGCAGGGAGAATTTAGACAGCACAGCGGCCCATGAACTCCTCCATGTCTGCAATCCTCAACCCAAGAGGGCCTTATAGTGGAAGCAAAGGCTGTCTGTCAGTACCAACACTTTCTTCCTGAAACAGGAAAGGAATATATGTTTTCAGTAGCTGTCACCCAGCTTCTACCAATGAGAACTGCTAAGGAGGACATGGTCTACAGGGAAGGGAATAGAAATTCACCTCTTCCAGTGCATTCATTCCCTTATGGATTTGTTGGTAAAAGCAGGAGGAGGGGTTTCCTTCTGGGGTTCCCAACAGTAACAGAGCATCCCACTTGTTTTCCAGGTGGGATGGATAGCAGGGTCTCAGGCACAACCAGTAATGGAGAGACAAAACCAGTGTATCCAGTCATGGAAAAGAAGGAGGAAGATGGCACCCTGGAGCGGGGGCACTGGAACAACAAGATGGAGTTTGTGCTGTCAGTGGCTGGGGAGATCATTGGCTTAGGCAACGTCTGGAGGTTTCCCTATCTCTGCTACAAAAATGGGGGAGGTGAGATGAGAGCCCTTGTGCCACCCCACCCACTCCTGGAAGGAGGATACTTCCATCTCCTGCACTTACGGCCCCTCTGGGGAGTCCCATAGATGTATAGAATTCTGGAGGTAGGAGGACGCTTAGAGGTCATTAAGGACACTCTGTAAGAGACTAAGACCTAGAAAGGTTACGTGACTATCCCAGGGCTCTTTCTATTATAACGTGGCATCGTAGAAATATGAGCACAAGCTGGAACCAGGTGGATGAGAGTTTGGATTCTGGCTCTGCTACTTAACACTCTGTGTGATCTTGGACAAGTTACTTAAGCTCTCAGAGCATCAATTGCCGCTCCTGCAAATTGAGATAATAATGCCTGCCTTTCAAGGTCATTGTAAGGATTAGAGACAATGTGTGTAAAGCACTTAATAAATAGTAGCTCTGCTGATGATGACGTTGATAACCAAACTGTTCTGTGGTCTTAAGTAATAAATAGTAGCTCTGCTGATGATGACGTTGATAACCAAACTGTTCTGTGGTCTTAAGTAATAAGTAGTAGCTCTGTTGATGATGACGTTGATAACCAAACTGTTCTGTGGTCTTAAGTAATAAGTAGTAGCTCTGCTGATGATGACGTTGATAACCAAACTGTTCTGTGGTCTTAAGTAATAAATAGTAGCTCTGCTGATGATGATGTTGATAACCAAACTGTTCTGTGGTCTTAAGTAATAAATAGTAGCTCTGCTGATGATGACGTTGATAACCAAACTGTTCTGTGGTCTTAAGTAATAAATAGTAGCTCTGCTGATGATGACGTTGATAACCAAACTGTTCTGTGGTCTTAAGTAATAAATAGTAGCTCTGCTGATGATGACGTTGATAACCAAACTGTTCTGTGGTCTTAAGGTTCCCCAGCCTTGGTCTTGTGTCTTTTTCCTACTTTGCTGGCACGGTGAGGCTCCCTAAGCCATCCATTACCCAGCCCCTTCTAGTATAGGCTCTCTTTTTAAAAATTTCGCAGCACAAATGTGTGCATGTTGTAGGGGGAGCATGACCTCCAGCTCTTTACTGTGTCATCATTGGCTTCTCATTCCCCTCTCTTTCAGCCCCCTGGGGTAACTCTGCTATCCCCACAGCAGTGACAGAAATTTTGCAACCACTAACCCACAGTCAGGGAATTTTGTATCTCTGTGGGAAGCCCTAGCTAGAGGGATTTCCCAACTACTGGAGGGTTCTGGGTGACCAGTGGGTTAGGAATATCTCCTTGCTTATGGGTAAAGCTTGTAGGATTGGGGCTCCCAGGTCTGATTTTGTAGTGAGACTGCAGCCGGGACTGGAGGAATGTGGAATACAGAGGTAGGTCACCAGGGAAAATGATGAGAGGAGTGATAAGTTCATGGGCTACAGGATTTGAGGTCCTTTAAAGCAACACCTATCCTTTTGCAGGTGAGTAAGAGCTGCCGAACGCATCCAGCTTGAGTCTCACAATGATTTTAGAGAGAGAAAGCATTCAATACAGAGGGGAGGTGTGGGAACTGGGGGAGAACACGAGAGATGCCCTGGGCCCATGGAGTCTGGTTCCCAGGTCTGTGGCAACTGGGGATTGTCCCTGGGTTGGAGGTTAACTTGAATGTTTCCAGAGGGATGAAAATGGGCTGTCGTGTCCCTTCCTCCTAGGAATTTCTTTCTGGCCAGTGGCCTGAAATCATAGGACTTTGCTCAGTTTGCACTGTGAGGGAAGAGGGAAGGTCTACCCACTTTTTACCTAGTGCCGAACGCTCCACGTGCTTGTTTAGGAATTTAGGCCTGAGTACCCTCCCTTTGGAGAATCAGGAGAGACGGAGCTGGCCCAGGGTGAAAGCTGGAGGCTGGGGGACTAATCTGGCATTGGGACTCTGGGTCTGGAACCTGGTAACCAGCTTAGCTCCTCACATGGCAGAGAGATTAGGAGGTGAGCAGCTTTCCCCAAGCCTCTCTGGAATTGGGTAAAGGTTGGCCTGGGAATTAGCAGGAATGGCACGAAGAGGTGGGAGAGATTGCCTTCCAGGTCTAATGCAAAGCACTGGGCTGACAGGGGAAAGTGGAGGGGAGCAGTGACTGGAACGTGGGGGATGAGGGACTCTCCCCGGTCCTTTGTCTGGCAATGTTTGGGTCCCAGGGCTGCGTGGTGAGTCTGTGTGGGTCTGGAACGTGTTGACTGTGTCTTGTGTGGGAACGCAGAGTACCCACAGCCCTTGGTCATTCACGTGGGTCCTGTGTGGGGAGGTGGAGGCAGCAGGGCGGCGGCTGTGGTCTCCTTCTCCCTGGGTAGAGCCTGCCTTCCAGCACTCTGATTCTGGTGGAGAGTCCTGACATGTTTGGGAGTCCTGCCATCCAGTCAAGTTCTCTTTGTTTAACCCTTACACTACCTACCCGTAACTTCTTCCCTTATCAAGCACAGGGCCTGAGCACTCCTCGCCCCCATTCGCTGATGGATGACAGCAGCTGGAGGGGAATGTTCTGAGGGACTGGGGAGCTGCAGGCAGGGGCCCAGGTTTGCTCTGGAGGGCACGAGTCACCCAGGACCACTGGCTGGGTTAGTGAAATGGCTCCTTTGCCAAGGTAAGCGGGCTGATCAAGGATGTGTGTGGTCAGTAGAGGAACCTGGACCTGCCTATTTTTCTGTTTTTTTTTTTTGGTGTTCTCAGCAGTTTAAACTTTCTGTCATCAGTTAACTCCTCTCACCTCCCACGCAAAGCAAACTCCTACAGAGAATGGGCCCTTAAACTTCATCTTGTCATTCTCCTGTCTCTTTGCCAAAGAAGAGACTGCTGCCTCTTCCTGAAAGGACCCTTTGCTGCTGATGTGGGAAGGAGGCTGGGGAGAATGGAGACCCTGTAGATTGGTTGGACCCCTTTCCTCCTGGTTTAATGCTTTTATTTGAACTCACCATTCTCAGACTGGGGCCTTGGCTCCTGGGCATGGGAAGAGTGTTCTGAGCAAGGACGCTGGGATACTCCAGGCTGTGCCATCCTTTAGTAACGTACCCGACTGGCCTGCTCCTGGGCCCTTTCTTTAAATTCACAGCTCCAAGTAGCCACTCTTGTGCTTGGCGGGGAGGGGAGGGCAATCAAGGAATTGGATTCGTAGTAGTATTTGTTTAGTGAGAAGCTCAGGGATGAAGAAGTCCTCAGAGCACAATTTTAGTTCCAAACTAAAAATGTAAGTGACATCTTCTTTGGTTTCTTCCAGCGTCAACATGTGGTAGATCTAATTTGAAATGAGTTCCAGAGCTGAGGCAAGGCTATGATAGAACACAAGGCAAACAGCTGAAAACTGTAGTCAAAAGGCAGGGAAGCTGAGAAAGTGATTCAAAGAAGCCCATCTGAAATCGGAAGCAACAGGGACGCTTTTAGGGAGGTGAGTGAGAGGGATGCCCGCCTCCACCATCTCCTGGGTAAATAATCTCCCTGCTGTCCAGGACCTGCAGCTGATCCACCCCCAGGCACCTGCTTCATCCTACTGGCTTTATAATTTCCAGTCTCTTTCCATTGCCTCGGCGCATACTCAGCCAAGCCCTGAGCCTGTGTCATTCACCAGCAAATACTTACTGAGCACGTAGCAAAAGCCAGGAACTGTTCTAGGTGGTTGGGATACATCTATAATCAAAACGGACCAATTCCCTGTCCTCATAGGGCATACATTCTAGAGGAGGGAGACAGACACTACACAATAAATGGGATAAATGAGTAAATTAGGTAGCATTCCAGAATTAATGAGTGCTATAGAAAAAGAACAAGGAGAGCTGGGTAAAGGGGATCAGGAGTGTGGGTGTGGGTGGTGGCAATTTTTAAAAGGGTGGTCATTGAGAGCATGTGAGCAAAGCCTTGCCAGGAGTGAGAGAACTGGCCATGTGGATATTATGGGGTTGGGTGAAAGTGCTTTCCTCTAGGCAGAGGAAACAAAGGTTGAAACGAAGCAAGAGTCTGGCTGGCTTGTTTGAGGAGGACTCAAGCCTGGAGCTGGGCAAGTGAATAGAAGGTAAGGTCAGGGAAGTAAATGGGCTGGGGACAGGGAGAGGGGCAGATCAGGTATGTCAGGTTGGCCACTCTCAGACTTCAGCTTTTGCTCTAGTGACATTCAGATGCAGGGCAGGGTTTTGGGCAGCAGTAATCTCACATTATTTCCGCCCCCTCCAAGATGGAGTCTCGCTCTGTCACCCAGGCTGGAGTGCAGTGGCGTAATCTCAGCTCACTGCAACCTCTACCTACTGGGTTCAAGTGATTCTCCCGCCTCAGCCTCCCCAGTAGCTGGGACTACAGGCGCGCGCCAACACGCGCGGCCAATTTCTGTATTTTTAGTTGAGACGAGGTTTTGCCGTGTTGGCCAGGCTGGTCTCGAACTCCTGACTTCAGGTGATCTGCCCACCTTGGCCTCCCAAAGTGCTGGGATTACAGGCATGAGCCACTGCGCCCGGACAGTCATCTTACATTTTAAAATAATCTCTCTAGCTGGTATGTTGAGAACTGAGTATAGGGGAGTGAAGGCAGAAGCTGACTGGTTATAAGGCAAAAATCTTGGAGTCATCCTTAATTTCCTCCACCTCTCATAGCTCTTGACTCTACCCAAACACCCAGGTCCTGGGAGCTTCAGGACCTCTCCAGCTCCCTGGACCCTGGTTGCTGGCAGAGCGAGTAGCTCAGCACCCGAATGCCTGGGACTAGAGCCCCCGCGATGAGATGTGCAGGACCCGACCACTTCTCATCCCCTCCACTGCTAGCACCCATCTAAGCAATCCGAGAGTTTTCACCTGAGTGACTGGAAGGAAGGAGCTGCCATTCACTGAGACGTGGAAGGCCATGAAGGGAGCAAGGTTTTGTGTTTTGTTTTGTTGTTGTTGTTGTTTTTAATAGAGAGGGGGTTTCGCCATGTTGGCCAGGCTGGTCTCAAACTCCTGGTCTCAAGTGATCTGCCTGCCTCGGCCTCCCAAAGTGCTGGGATTACAGGCATAAGCCACTGTGCCTAGCCCCAGAGGAGCAGGTTTTGAAGGGAAAGTAAGGAGGTGAATTTTGGGAAAGTTGAGTTGAGGTATCTATCAGATGTCCATGTGGAAATGGCAACTGGGCAATAGAATGTGAGTTTGGGGTTTGTGAGAGAGATCTGGCTGGAGGTGTGTATTTGGGGATCATTAGCATTTTGATGGTATAAGAAAAGAAAGTAAGGACCTTTAGTGGGTCTGGGAGAAGATGGGAAACCAGCAGAGGAGACAGAAAATGAGAAACTGGTAAAGCAGGATGAAAACCAAGAGAATGAAGTGTTTTGGAAAGTCGAGTGAAGAAATTCTATCAGGGAGGAGGGAGAAATTAACTGCAGCAAAGGCTGCAGATAGGTTAAGAAGATGAGGAAAGGAAATTGATTGTTGGTTTTAGCAGCTGGGAAGTCATTGATGATAAGAGCGGTTACAGTGGAGGGCTGGGGACAATGACTGATTGAAATGGATTTAAGATAATGGGGGAGATGGGAGAAAGGAATTGGAAATAGTAAATGTGGGTTATTGGGGCAAAATGTGGGAGTAGGTAAAATCCACCCCTTCCTTGTGTATTTCCCTTCTGGGCGGAAGGGGGCCATGTGAGTCCTGCGTAGCAGTGACAGTGTGCCAGTGGCCAGACTCCTCGGGGGTGGGGCCCTGAGCTGGCGAGGCGGCTGAAGAAGCTTGACATTTGAACTATTCCTCCAGCCCTCCACCCTCAGCTGCCAGGAGGGAAAGCAAATACGATTTTCTACTAGGGCCTGCCCAGTTAAAGTTCCAGTCATGGGACGAGGAGATGCTGGATAACGCAGGAGGCGTGATGTGGGAAGAAGGTAGCGGGAGAGGGTTCTGGTCATAGGACTGTCCATAGCCAGCGGGGAATTTAAATCACCTTCCTGCCTATCTCAGCCCAGATGAAAAAACCGTCTGCCAACATTTTCACTTAATTTCTAAGTCCAGGTTGCTGAAATTTCACTCGGGGCAGAAGTTACCCGTGCCAAGAACCTTTTAAGTTTTCCACTAGTCTCAGGACACCAGCTGGAGACCATCTTTTGCGAGGACTTCCTCCCTGTCCCCTCCAACTCCTCTTCAGAGCCTCAGTCTTCCCATACCTAGGTCCTGGGTGCTTCAGAACACGGGCCTTCAGCTGAGACCTCTCCAACTGCCTGGACCCTGGCTGCTGGCAGACCAAGTTGCTCAACACCCAGAATTAACTTGGGACTGGAGTCCCCATGTGAGGCCACGACAGGAGGCACACAGCAGGACCTCTCAGAAGGGCCTGGAGGGGAAAGATCCCTCAGCTCCAGCCTGTAAAGAAGGTGCACTGGGATGCCCACACAAAGAGGATTCCCTTGGCAGCAAGGAAAACCATTAGCCCTGTGCTGTTTATAGATAGCAGAGAATAAAGAGAAATAAGAAGCACTGTTCGTGTGTTCATATAAAAGTAATGGTTAATTTAGCAGTGAGTGACAGTGTGTTACCAAGTGTAGTTAATGACTCAGGGCCCACTGTTGGTCAGGCTCATGCCGAGGACAGCACATAACTCCTCATGGAAGCTCCTCGCTCTTCTGTTGCTCAAGTGGAAGATCGTCAGTTTATGCCGTAAGAAATTGGCTGGAACGTTACAAGTGACACCACAGAGCGTGCTCCTTTTGAGAAGGGGGGCCAAGAGAGTGATTGCTTTCTGGGACGGGGATATGGTCTCTCCTATCTCACGGAGAAAATGCCAGCACATTTTAGAATTTTTGAGGAGACTAGTATGGATGATATGGGGGTGCAGGTTACTGTGAACTCCACCCCCCATCCCCAGGACTAACTTCATCTTTTGATGGTGGTACCTGCGGAGGGGAAGAGGCAGAATGCCCTTCAGCACTCCTCAGTCCGTACCTGGCCCCCTTGGCTCCCTCCCACCCCGACCCCTCTCACACTTCTAGGGCCTGTAGCCCCTCCTTGCAGGTGTGGACTTTGTCCCTCTTGGCAGGCTGCCAAGGAGCTCAACGAGGCAGAGGAAGGAGGTGGGAGCAGCTGACCACGGGGCCCAGAGTTAAACATTGGCTTGGTTTATAGAGAAAGAGCAGGAAGCATGAATATGGGAAGGGGCTTGGGCTGGGCCCATAGCTGTTTCTTTCTGGACTGGGCTCTCCACAGTGACTGTTCCTGTCAGCTGCTGGGTTCTATCTTTCCTGTTTTCCTTCCTGCTCAGCAAACCTTGGGTTGATTTATGGACTTCTTTGGCTGAATTGTTTGCTACCTTTCCTTCTTTGTCCTCATGATCAAGTCCCCCTTAGTGCCTGAATTATGGATGTGTAGAATACAACCTTGAGAAGTGGGAGGTGAAGAACTGGAGAACTGGGTTCCTCATTAACTTACAATAAACCACACATAGTTAAAGTGTACAATTTGATAAATTTTGACATATGTATATACGCATGAAACCACTGCCACAATTGAGATAGTAAACATGTCCATCACTTCCAAAACAGTTACTCCTGTCTCTTTCTAATTCCTTCCTCCCAACTTCACTCCTGCCATCACATCCCAGTGCAATCAATAATTATGCTAAATGCAAACTAAACTAGTTTGTTTTTCTTAGAATATTATATAGATGGAATCATACAGTGTGTTGATAATTATGAAAATTGTGATACCACCATACCTTAGTTTGCGTTTCTTAGAATATTATATAAATGGAATCATATGGTATGTTGATAATTATGATACAGCATAATTATTTAGGGTTTCATTTATAGTTTTCATGTATCAGTAGTTTATCCTTTGTTATCGAGGTATCTTCATATATTCTAACACACAAGTCCTTTATCAGAAATGCATTTTACAAATACTATTTTTTTCATTCTGTGTTTTGTAATTTTCCTTTTCTTTTTTTTGAGATGGGATCTCACTCTGTCACCCAGGCCGAAGTGCAATGGTGCAGTGCAATGGTGCAGTCACGGCTCACTGCATCCTTGACCTTCTGAGCTCAAATGATCTTCCCACCACAGCCTCCCAAAAGTAGCTGCGACTATAGGCATGTGCCACCATGCCCGGAAAATTAAAAACTTTTTTTTTTTTTGGTAGAGACGAGGTCTCACTATGTTGCCTAGGCTGATCTCAAACTCCTGGGCTCAAGCGATCCTCCAGCCTTGGCCTCCCAAAGTGCTGGGATTACAGGCGTGAGCCACTGCACCTGGACTGTTTTTCCTGTTTCTAACAGTGTCTTTAGAAGAGAAGGCGTTTTAAATTTTTATGATGTCTGGTTTATAAATTATTTATTTTATAAACCATACTTTTGATATCATATAAAGAGATCTTTGCCTAACCCAAGGCCTCATATTTTCTTCTAGAAGATGTATAGTTTTAGGTTTGACATTTAGCTCTATGTTTCATTTTGGCTTAATTTTTGTATACAGTGAAGATATGGGTTGAAGTTCATTTCTGGGGGGTTGTATGGGTATTCACTTATGCCAGCACCATTTGTTGAAAAGACTATCCTATTTCCAATGAATTGCCTTTATACCTTCATCAAAAATGAGTTATTTGTATATATGTGGGTCTGTTGATGAATTCTACTCTGTTCCATTGATCTGTTTATTTTGACACCAGTACCACACTGTGTTCATTACTGTGCTTGAGGATAATATAAATACCAGGTGGAATTAAGTACTTCAGTTCTTCTTTTTCAAAGGTTTTTTTTTTTTGTTTTTTTTTGAGACAGAGTCTTGCTCTGTTGCCCAGGCTGGAGTGCAGTGGCGCGATCTCAGCTCATTGCAAGCTCCGCCTCCCGGGTTCACGCAATTCTCCTGCCTCAGCCTCGCGAGTAGCTGGGACTACAGGTGCCCACCACCATGCCCGGCTAATTTTTTGTATTTTTAGTAGAGACAGGGTTTCACCGTGTTGGCCAGGATGGTCTCGATCTCCTGACCTCGTGATCCACCCACCTTGGCCTCCCAGAATGCTCCCAAAATGCCTCCCAAAAAGAAATGAGCCACTGCGCCAGGCCCTGTTTTTAGGTTTTTTTTTTTTTTTTTTTGGGGGGCTATTTTGGGTCCTTATCATTTCCAGATGAATTTTAGAAAGAATTTGTGAATTTCTACAAAAAAGTCTGTTGTGCTTTTGATTAGGATTGTATTAAATCTATAGATCAATTTGGAAAGAATTGACATTTTAATGATATTAAGTCTTCTGATCCTGAATATGGTATGACTCTCCATTTATTTAGCTCTTCATTAATTTCTCTCAGCAATGTTTTGTAGTTGTGAGTGTACATATATCTTTCACAACTTTTGTCAGATTTATTCCTAAGTATTTAATATTTTTGATGCTATTGTAAATGGTATTATTTCCTACATTTTAATTTATGGTTGTTTATTCCTAATACATACACAATTGATTTGTGTATGCCCATCCTGTATCCTGCAAACTTGCTAAACTCACTGATTGGTTCTAATAGGTTTTTTTTTGTGTGCATTCCAAAGGATTTTCATTGTAGAATATCATGTCTTCTGAGAATAAAGCAGTGTTATTTTTTCCTTTTAAATCGGAATAACCTTTAATTCCTTATCTTGCCTTATTGGCTAGATTCTATGGCTAGAATCCCCAGTACAGTATTGAATAGAAGTAGTAAGAATAGACACTTGTTTTATTCTCAATCTTAGCAGTCTTTTACAATTAAGTATGATGTTAGCTGTAGGGTTTTTTTGTAGATGCCCTCTATCAAGTTGAGGAAGTTCTCTTCTCCTCATCATTGCTGGGAGTTTTTATTAGGAATGACTGTTGGATTCAGTCAAATACTTTACTGTACCTATGAAATGATCATATAGTTTTTCTTTTGTAATTTGTTAACAGGATGAGTCACATTATTTATTTATCCATTTATTATAACAGCTGGAGACTACAACACTATGTTGATTTTTTAAAATGTTAAACCCACTTTGTATCTCTGGGATAAACATTACTATATAATATATTGTCCTATTAACATATTGTTAGATTTGATTTCCTAAAATCATTTAGAATTTTGGCATTTATGTTCATGAAATATGTTGATCTTTAACTTTCTTTTCTTATAATGTATTTGTCTGCTTTTATTATCAGGGTAATGCTCACTTTATAAAATTGGTTGGGTAAGCATTCCATCTTTTCAATTTTTTGGAAGAGTTTGTGTAGAATTGCTGTTATTTCTTCCTTAAATATTTGGAGGATTCACCACTGAAGTCATTTGAGCCTGGAAATTTTTGTGGGATGGGTTTAAACCAAAAATGAATTTTCCTTAATAGTTATAGGGCTATTCAGACTGTTTCTTTTTGAGTGGGCTTTGGTAGTTACGTTTTTTATTTTACCTAAATTGTTGCACTTACTGGCATAAAGTTCTTCATATCTTTTCTTATTATTGTTTTAATATCTATAGAATCTTTACTGAGGATACATCTCATTTGTCATGCTGATAATTTGTGTCTTCTAAAATTTTATCAATTTTATTATCTCAAAGAACCAGCTTTTGGTTCATGGATTTTCTCTGTTGCTTTCCTGTTTTCCATTTTATTGATTTCCACTCTGATTTTTATTTCCTTTGACTTACTTTGGCTTTCATTTGCTCTTATCCTTCTCATTTCTTTCTTTCTTTTTTTCTTAACTACACCCTCATTTCAGCAATAATTTCTGATTTCTTAAGGTGGAAGCCGAGGTAATTGATTTGAAACTTTTCTTCTTTTATCATTTAGTAAATCTCCTAGGTACTGCTTTAGCAGTATGCCACAAATTATGATACTGGGTTTCATTTCATTCCATTCAAGATACTTTCTAATTTCTCTTTTGATTACTTCAGTAGAGCCATAGGCTATTTAGAAATGTGTTACCTAATTTCCAAATAGGTGGCAATTTTCCAAATGTCTTTCTCTGATAGATTTCTAATTTAGTCAGAGAACCAATTTTGTATTACTTGGATGCTTTTAAACTTACTGAGATTTGATCTCTGGTCCAGGATATGGGCCCATCTTGGTGGAATATTCCATGTTCATTTGAAACTAATGCATATTCTGCTGTTGGACTGTTGGGTAGAATGTTCAATAAATGTCAACTAAGTTGAGCTGGTGGATATAATTTTCAAATCTGTTATATCCATACTGATTTTCTGTATACTTATTCTATAAATTATTGAGAGAGGGCTATTAACGTTTTTAACATTTATCAGGAATTAGTTTATATGTTTCTCTTTGTAGTTCTGTCAGTTTTTGCTTCGTGCATTTTGAAGCTCTGTCATTAGGTGAATATGCACTTGAAATACTGATTGATTAATTGACCCTCTTGATTAATTGACCCTTTAATCATTATGAAATTACCTTCTTTACCCTTGGTAATATTCTTTGCTCTGAAGTTTACTTTGTGTGACATTAAGATAAACTTTACAGATTTATTTTGAGTAGTGTTAGCATGGTATATCTTTTTTTTTTTTTTTTTTTTTCCGAGACGGAGTCTTGCTGTCGCCTAGGCTGGAGTGCAGTGGTGCAACCTCGGCTCACTGCATGCTCCGCCCCCCGGGGTTCACTCCATTTCTCCTGCCTCAGCCTCCCAGCATGGTATATCTTTCTATCCTTTTACTTTTAACCTCTTCATGTCTTTTTTATTCAAAGTGCATTTTCTTAAGGCAGCATATAGTTGAGTCTTGTCAGGTTTTAAAAGCCAGTCTAACAATCTCTGCCTTTTATTTGGGACGTTTAGACCATTTGCATTTAATACGATTATCCATGTAATTAGGTTTAACTCTATCATCCTATTATTTGTTTTCTCTTTGTCCTATCAGTTATTTGTTTCCCCCTTCCCTCTCCTCCTGCTTTTTTTTTGGAATAATTGAATATTTTTTCTTATTCCATTGTTAGCTTTCTTCTTTTTGTTGGCTTATTAGCTGTAACTTTGTTGTGTTATTTTACTGATTGTTTTAAACTTTGTAGTATACATCTTTAACTTATCACACTTTATCTTCAAGTGATAATGTACCACTTTATATATAAGAACCTTAAAATATTACAATTTCATTTCTTTCCTCCTAACCTTTGTGCTCTTCTTATACATTTTTATATGTTATAAAATCAATATTACATTGTTTTTATTTTTGTTTAACCAGTCAATTATCTTTTAAAAAATATTTGAATAATAAGAAAAACATTCTCTATGTTTATCTATGTAATTACTATTTCTAAAGCTTTTTATTACTTTGTATAGATTCATATTTCTATCTGGTGATATCATTTCATTCTCCCTGAAGGAGTTTCTTCCACATTTCTGGTAGTTCAGTTCTACTTGTGGTAGATCCTTTCAGGTTTTGCATGTCTTAAGAAACAGTTATTTCACTTTCCTTTTTGAACAGTATTATTGCTGGGTATAGAATTCCGGGTTGACAGCTTTCTCCCTCCTCCTTTATTGCTTCAGCAAATGTGCTTCCTTATCACTGTCTTCTCTTTTGCATTGTTTTAAATGAGAAATTTGATGTTATTCTTATCTTTGTCTGTACATATGTGTCGTTTTTCTCTGGTGACTTTTAAGGTTTTCTCTTAAAAGCTCCATATTCCGGTTTAAGTAATGTGATTATGATGCACCTTGGACTAGTTTTTTTTCATTTTTTTTTTAATCTTGGTGTTTGTTGAACTTTTTGGATCTATAGGTTTATAGTTTTCATAAAATTTGTAAAATTTTCAGCTATTATTTCTGTAAGCTTTTTCTCACCCTTTTCTTTCTTTCACAGACTCCCATTACATTAGGCTTTTTGAAGCTGTCTCACCACTTAGGCATACCTGTTCTTTTTAAAAAATTTCTTTTTTCTTTTCTTTCTTTCTTTTCTTTCTTTCTTTTTTTTTTTTTTTGAGATGGAGTCTCACTCTGTCACCCAGGCTGGAGTGCAGTGGTATGATCTCAGCTCACTGCAACCTCCACCTCCCAGGTTCAAGTGATTCTCCTGCCTCAGCCTCCCAAGTAGCTGGAATTACAGGCATGCACCACCACACCCAGCTAATTTTTGTACTTTTAGTAGAGACAGGGTTTCACCATGTTGGCTGGGCTGGTCTTGAACTCCTGACCTCAGGTGATCCACCTGCCTCGGCTTCCCAAAATGCGGGGATTACAGGCATGAACTACCATGCCCAGCAAAAATGTTCTTTTTTCTCTCTGTGTTTTATTTTAGATAGTTTCTATTATGGTTCAAGGTCACTGATCTTTTCTTCTGCTCTGCCTACTAACATTAATCCCATCCAATGTATTTCTTTAAATCTCACACACTGTAGTGTTCATGTTCAGAAGTTTTATTTGGGTCTTTTTCAATATCTTTTATATCCCTAACTTTTGGAACACTTGCAATACAGTTATAATAACTTTTAAATATTCTCATCTGCTAATTCTAACATCTTTGTAAATTATGGGTCAGGTTCAATCTCCTTGCTATGAGTAACATTTTCCTGATTCTTTGCTTTCCTGGTAATTTTCGATTGAATACCAGACCTGGTAATATTTTTGCTTTATGGGTTGCTGGATAATTTATTTATTTATTTATTTATTTTTGAGACAGAGTCTCACTCTGTTGCCAGGCTGGAGTGCAGTGGAGCGATCTCGGTTCACTGCAACCTCCATCTCCCGGGTTCAAGCAATTCTCCTGGTTCAGCCTCCCAAGTAGCTGGGACCACAGGCACATGCCACCATGCCCAGCTAATTTTTGTATTTTATTTATTTATTTATTTATTTATTTTTACTTTTATTTTTTGAGATGGAGTCTTGCTCTGTCACCCAGGCTGGATTGCAGTGGCACAATCTCGGCTCACTGCAACCTCCGCCTCCTGGGTTCACGCCATTCTCCTTCCTCAGCCTCCCAAGTAGCTGGGACTATAGGCACCCACCACCACACCCGGCTAATTTTTTTGTATTTTTAGTAGAGATGGGGTTTCACTGTGTTAGCCAGGATGGTCTCGATCTCCTGACCTCATGATCCACCTGCCTCAGCCTCCCAAAGTGCTGGGATTACAGGCTTGAGCCACCGCGCCCAGCTAATTTTTGTATTTTTACTAGAGATGGGGTTTCACCATGTTGGCCAGGATGGTCTCGATCTCTTGACCTCGTGATCTGCCTGCCTTGGCCTCCCAGAGTGCTGGGATTACAGGCGTAATCCACCACACCCTGCCTTTTCTTTCTTTCTTTTTTTTTTGCGACAGAGTCCCACTCTGTTGCCCAGGCTGGAGTGCAGTGGCACGATCTCGGCTCACTGCAACCTCTGCCTCCCAGGTTCAAGCAATTCTCCTGCCTCAGCCTCCCAAGTAGCTGGAGCTACAGGTGCGTGCCACCATGCCAGGCTAATTTTTGTATTTTTAGTAGAGACAGGATTTCACTATATTGGCCAGGCTGGTCTTGAACTCCTGACTTGGTGATCTGTCCACCTCAGCCTCCCGAAGTGCTGGGATTACAGACGTGAGCCACTGCACCCGGCCAATTTCGTATTTCTGTAAATATTCTTTAGCTCTGTTCTGGGATCAGTGAAGTTACTTGCTCTTTTTATATCTTGCTTTTAAGATTGGTTAGGTAGCAATAGAAGTGTGCTCGGTCTAGGGATAATTATTCCCCGTTACTGAGGAAATGCCCTTCTGCGTACTCTGCCTAATGCCTGGTGAATCTTGAGATTATTTACTCTGGCAGTGTGTGAGCACCATTACTTTTAATCATTTTGAATGGTTCTTTCCCTCACCTCAGTTTTCTCACACATATGCACTGACTAGTACTCAGTTGGAAGCTTGAGGGGGACCCTCTGCAGATTCTCCTGTCTGTGCAGTTCTGTCTTCTCTGGTACTCTGTGTCCTATGAACTGTGCTGTCCACTTTGCCAGCAGATGACAGGTCCATGGTAGGGAAAATACCAGTATATCTGGCATCAGTAGTCTTGTCTCCGCCAATGCTTATAAAAACAGAAGGAGACAGATTACTAGCTTAGTTCATTTTGTGTTGCTACAACAGAACACCTGAGATGGGTAATTTATAAGGAACAGATATTTATTTATTATAGTTTTGGAGGTTGGGAAGTCCAGGGCAAGCAGTCCACCTCTGGTGAGGGCCTTCTTCTTTGTGTCAGCCCATGGCAGAAGGCAGAAAGGCAAGAGAATATTCATATAAAAGACAGAGAGCCAAATACACTTTTTTTTTTTGGACAGGGTCTTGCTCTGTCACCCAGGTTGGAGGGAGGGCAGTGGCACAATCACAGCTCACTGCAGCCTCGAACTCCCAGGTTTAATCAATCCTCCCACCTCAGCCTCCCGAGTAGCTAGGATTACAGGCACACACAGCCATGCCCAGATAATTTTTTGTATTTCTTTTAGAGACAGAGTTTTCCCATGTTGCCCAGGCTGGTCTTGAAGTCCTGGGCTCAAGCGATCCTCCCACCTCAGCCTCCCAAAGTGCTGGGATTACAGGCGTGAGCCACTGTGCCTGGCCCAAACTCACTTTTATAACAAACACAGTCTCACAGTAATAACATTAATCCATTCATGAGGGCAGAGCCCTCATGACTTACATCTTATTAGGCTCCACGTCCCAACACTGTTGCATAGGGAATTAAGTTTCCAACCACGAACTTTAGGGGATACATTCAAACCATAACAATGACTGAAAGGGCATCTGATTTCAGCTTACTAAAAGACTACCTGACGTTAAGAGCAATGCTTTCTTTGAAAAGAATTATAGACTGTGGGCTGTGCCAATGCTCCTAGACATCCATTATTTAATAAGCTCCTTGTTATTGCCACAAGTTATGTGTTAAGCAGTAATTGTTCAGTGGGGAACAAACTTTAATAGGTATAGACTGAAACTGCAGTGAAAAAAGGCAAGAGGCTGTGTAGATCTTAGATAATGGGGTGACTCTTGATCTCTGCTATGTTCCAAACATCTAGACAGCTGTCTCCTGCAGTTTTGCATGTTCTCTGCCTCCGAGATTCTGACTGGCAGTATGGGTTGGTAATGGGAGGAGGTGAATGCAGACCATGAGGAGAATAGTCCCAGGAAATGAACAGCCTGTTTTCTAACCACAGGTGCCTTCTTCATCCCCTACCTCGTCTTCCTCTTTACCTGTGGCATTCCTGTCTTCCTTCTGGAGACAGCACTAGGCCAGTACACTAGCCAGGGAGGCGTCACAGCCTGGAGGAAGATCTGCCCCATCTTTGAGGGTGAGTAGCTCTGTACCTGACTCCAAAGCGTCTTCATTCGTGGTTATAAACCTTGTTTGGAATGACTTGAGTGATTAGTAGCAGTTCTGAGGTTAAGATAAGATCCCGAGTCTCTATGCTAAACCCTTGGTTTGTGGGCTGCATACTGAGCTAGTCAGCTGATCTATCAGAGAATGGGCAAGAAACAGCAGTGAGGATGGGGCAGAGGCTTTAGGTTAGGTAAGTAGAGTGCAAAGCCACTTTAGCCATATGTTTTAAACACATAACAATGTTGTTGTATTTTAAGACATATTTAAATCAATTATAAACATTTTAAAAGAGAACTTTAAATGAGAAAAAATTATTTCATTCATAGTTCTATCTTGGCCGGGCGTGGTGGCCCATGCCTGTAATCCCAGCACTTTGGGAGGCCGAGGCAGGTGGATCACCTGAGGTCAGGAGTTCGAGACCAGCCTGGCCAACATGGTGAAACTAAAATACAAAATACAAAAAATACAAAAAATTAGCCAGGCATGGTGGTGGGCACCGGTAATCCTAGCTACTCAGGAGGCTGAGGCAGGAGAATCTCTTGAACCTGGGAGGCAGAGGTTGCAGCGAGCCGAGATTGCACCACTGCACTCCAGCCTGGGTGACAAGAGCAAAACTCCATCTCAAAAAAAAAAAAAAGTTCTATCTTGACACAAGTATTTAAAATTTACAGTATTTAATTTCATTATTTCTCCATATATAGGATTTTCTTTACGTTTTTATTTTGAAATAATTATAGATCCACAGGGAGTTACAAAAATAGCAGTTTCCCTCAATGGTAAATTGAACTCCCAGCCTCAGACAATCCTCTCACCTCAGCGTCCCGCATAGCTGAAATGACAGGTGCACGCCACCGCTGTCCACCGTTCCTAGCCCAATTCTGCAGTTTCCCCGCAGGCATTGGCTATGCCTCCCAGATGATCGTCATCCTCCTCAACGTCTACTACATCATTGTGTTGGCCTGGGCCCTGTTCTACCTCTTCAGCAGCTTCACCATCGACCTGCCCTGGGGCGGCTGCTACCATGAGTGGAACACAGGTATGGTCCTCACCCAAGGGTCCACTTCCTCCTCTCGTTCTGCCACATTAACCGGAATTGGGCTTGTCACTATATCCCCGCTTAACACGGACACACCAGAAATCACCCAAGTCGACCATGGAGAGCTTATGTCAAGAATAAGATCAAGAATTCACCAGCGTCACAGGCAAATGTCAGGAACTTTTTAAAGAAAAAATTAACATATTCAATGAGAACTGACCACTTTTATGTTGTTTAGCCATTTGCTTAAATCAATTTGAAATATGGTTAGTTTGATATATGGATATATGTTTTGTTCATTCATTTGTTTCGCGTATCTTCTCTCTGGTACGTTTTAGGTCTTTCAAACTTGCAATTCATCTGGACTTGCTTGTCAGGGGTGGCAGAGGCGGGAGAAAATCCACGTATAAGTGGACCCGCACAGTTCAGATCCATGTTGCTCAAGGGTCCACTGTGGTTTATAATAGCAGTTACAGTCACGTGTCGCTTAATGACAAGGGTACACTCTGAGAAACGCGTTGTTGGCAATTTCGTCCTTGGATGAACACAGCACAGAGTGCACACCCACATGGCCCAGCCCATCGCACACCTGGGCCGTCTGCTATAATACTGTGCCGAACACTGTAGGCACTTGCAGCACGATGGTAAGTATTTGTGTATCTAAACATAGTGCAACATAGGAAAGGTACAGTAAAGATGCCGTATTTTATAATCAAATGTGAACACTGCCATACAGGTGATCCACTGTTGGCTGAAGCGTTGCTATGTGCTGCATATCTGCAATTTCTCCTGTGCTTATACGACTACCTGAGCCACCCATGGCAATAGAAATACTGAGTCTAATGTATAAAAAGTAACAACAACAAAAATATCTAGGGCAATGCTGTCCAAAAGAACTGTCTGTAATGATGAAAATGTTCTTTGCACTATCCAATATGGTAGTTCTTAATACCAGCTACATGTGGTTATTTATTTATTTACCTTTCACGGGCAGTCCCACTGAACCAGTGTAGGTTTGGAGTGACTCCTATGTGTGGTTATTGAGCACCTGAAATGTGGCAAGTGGTCTGAGGAACAGAACTTTAACATTTGCATTGAATGTTAACTTAAACAGCCACAGGTGGCTCGTGGCTGCCCTGTCGGACGGCATGGCTGGAGAGCACGGTGGACGCTGTTCTGCTTGGATTCTTGGCACATCCCTCTCTCCTTGTCCAAGTATCTTCCAGCACCAGTCAACAAGGCCCTAGCCCTTTGAAGTGGGCTAGCCATGATTAATTCTTTCTTTTTTATCTTTTTTATTTTTATTTTTTTGAGATGGAGTCTCGCTCGGTCGCCCAGGCTGGAGTGCAGTGGCGCGATCTTGGCTCACTGCAACCTCCACCCCACAGGTTCAAGCAATTCTCTGCTTCAGCCTCCCAAGTAGATGGGATTACAGGCGCCTGCCAACACGCCCGGCTAATTTTTGTATTTTTAGTAGAGACAGGGTTTCACCATTTTGGCCAGGCTGGTCTTGAACTCCTGACCTTGTGATCCACCTGCCTCGGCCTCCCAAAGCGCTGGGATTACAGGCGTGAGCCACTGTGCCCAGCCCAATTCTTTCTTGCTCAGATAAGTTAATTCTGAACTGGAGTTTGAATCCTTTACTTGCCCGGAAAAGCATTTTTGCACGGTTAGGATGATATTCTTCATCCCTTCATGACCTGACTCCTGTCTGTGTCACCACCTCACCTTTACCTCTCTCACCTTGTACTTGATGCTCCCCTTCCAGGCACGTCTTTGTGCATCACTGCCACCACCTCCATTCCACCGTTATTTTTCAAAGGGAAAGTAAACCTTGGGGGTACCTCCTCCGACACCCCAGGATGGCATTAGGTTCTTGTTAAATGTGTCTGGTAGCACCTGCACCGGCCCCGGCCCTGCTCCTGCACTTCCCTCACTTTTCATCTGTTTGTTGATTTGGTTTTCCCACTAGTCATCAAGATCGTGAGGGCAGAAAAGGTGTCTTTATCTCCACAGCTTCTGTGCCTAGCACAGTGCTGGCTCTATCGTAAGCACTCAAAAATATTGATCGAATGAATCAAGGTTTAAAGATCTGTTTTATTATAATTAGTCTGGGGGCGGTGGCTCACGCCTGTAATCCTAGCACTTTGGGAGGCCGAAGCCAGTGGATCGCCTCAGCTCAGGAGTTTGAGACCAACCTGGGCAAGACGATGAAACCCCATCTCTACTGAAAATACAAAAAATTTGCCAGGGGTGGTGGTGCACACCCATGGCCCTAGCTACTTGGGAGGTTGAGACAGGAGGATTGCTTGAGCCTGGGAGGTGGAGGTTGCAGTGAGCCGAGATTGTGCCACTGCACTCCAGCCTGGGTAATAGAGAAAGACTTGGTCTCCAAAAAAAATCTGTTTTATTATACTTCTTTAGCTTTATATATATTTTCTTTTCTTCCTTTTTATTTTTTTAAATATCTATGTGTACTGAGACCACCCTTGACAACCAGCCTGTCAGACAGTAAAGATTTTATCCAGATCTCAGTGGAGTCCCTCTTGAAACAATTTTGTCAATTTTTGGTGGCCTAGAGCTTTTGCTTCAGGGCTTCATTAGGCCCACCTTCCTTTGGATTGCCTGGGGGTCTCTGGGACAATTCTGAGGCACATTAAATACCTGAGTATTATTTTTTGACATTGTTGACATCTCTCTTAGTGAGCCTGGTTTTACTCAGAGCCTAGCATTTGAATAGCACGAGACACGCTGTCCCGCCAAGATGAAATAATGCTTTTCTGGGTGCACTGCAGCGTCCAGGAAAGTGAATGGTTTAGTGGAGAGAGCACCTAGCTGGCCTTCAGTCACCCAGCAGATACTTGTTGAGCTCCTGCTATATGCCAGGCTCTGTTCTGAGCACCAGAAATATGGTAATAAACAAAAACAAAGACCCCACCCTCCTGGGGCTTTCATTGTAGCGATGGGAGGTAGACATAAACAAAACAAGTGAATAAGAAGTGTCTGCTTAGAAAGCAGCAGCACATGTCGTGTTAGAAGATGGGCTATGGAGGAAAATAAAACAGAGACTGTGAGTTTCATGGGTGGGATTGCAATTTTAAGTGGCATGGTCAGGAAAGGCCTTACTGAGATGCCCCTTCAGCATTGGTCTGAAGGAGGAGGGGGAACGAGTCATTGAGCTGGGGGACAAGAACTCTAGGAAGAAGGAACTGAGGAGGCACGGCATCTAACACACCCCACGTGTGCAGGGAACCGGGTGGACGTGGTAGAGCCGGTGGCTGAGGGGAATGGTGTGGGAATGGATCCAACACACCCCACGTGTGCAGGGAACAGGGTGGACGTGGTAGAGCCGGTGGCTGAAGGGAATGGTGTGGGAATGGATCCAACACAACCCATGTGTGCAGGGAACAGGGTGGACGTGGTAGAGCACGTGGCTGAAGGGGCAGGGAACAGGGTGGACGTGGTAGAGCATGTGGCTGAGGGAAATGGTGTGGGAATGGATCCAACACACCCCACGTGTGCAGGGAACAGGGTGGACGTGGTAGAGCAGGTGGCTGAGGGGAATGGTGTGGAATGCATCCAATATGGCCTTGAAGGCAACTAAAGGGGCTGCAGCTTTTTTCTTTGAGTGGGACGGGAAACCCACGGGAGGCCTTTACCTGGGGTGTGACATAGAGTGATCTAAGGTTTAACAAAATGGAGATTCCACGAGGGGAACAAGGGTGAAAACCGAAGGCCAGGTAGGAGCCGGGAGCTGATGCTGCCACCCTGTACCGGGTGGTGGTAGAGGTGACAGAAGGATCAGTCTGGATATTTTGAAGGTGGAACCCAGACAATTTGCTGACCTGGGTTCCAGCCTACACTTGGTCATTCATGAGCAGATACAGGCCATTTCTAAGAAGATCCACCGTCTTCATGGGCACAATGGGGAAAACAGTATCTGTCTTAATATTTCCCAGGATTATTGTATTTATCAAACCTAAAAAAGTCAGTACTCTTTGTAAAACTCCAAAGTCACACACAAATAATAAAGAGCACCACTTATTGAGCACTCTACATCCACGTTTTCATTTAATTTCTTATCAATCCTACGTAATGGATCTTACTGTCTGCATTTTAGAGACGAGCGAAGCAAAACACAGAGAGCTGAGTTATAACTTACCCACAGCTGCACAGTTCATACCCGTGGGGTCAGCATTCAAGCCAGAGCTTTCCAACCTGCGCTCTCGGCCACTCTGACACATCACTTCCCTCTTATTATTCCTCGAAGGTGGTGACTTTGCACAGGACGCTTACATAGAAATGTTAGCATGCCTTGAAGCAGCTGACCTGAAGAGCACCTTTCCTGTTGCCATCTGATCATGCTTGAGGAGAATGTATACCCAAGCATCTATGTACCCACATGTCCAAGTGTGCGGGAGAGAGTGAGCTGCATTTGTTGAGGTTATTACGTGTGGGAGGATGTTTTGTACAGATAACCTTAGCCTGGCTCCTGCCAAATACCTTCCTTCCCATTCTCCTAGAATTTCACCCCACTCTCCAGTTGTGTCATAGGCTGGCTGATGATTTTTCTCTTTTTTCCCTCCTCGTGACCCATGGGTAGAACACTGTATGGAGTTCCAGAAGACCAACGGCTCCCTGAATGGTACCTCTGAGAATGCCACCTCTCCTGTCATCGAGTTCTGGGAGTAAGTGAGACCCTTCCCCACCCACTGTGGGCCGTGTGTTCAGAAGAAGGGTATGGGGAGGAGTACACACCAAGGTCACTCTCAATGGACAGCAAGGGAAGAATTTCCACTAAGTGGCTTTTTTCTGTGGTGCCTATGTTTGTGGTTATTGCAGGACTGGTTTCAGAGATGAGACTTCTGCAGTTCTCCTGGGGCTGTGCCTGGCCTTCCTTGCCCGCACCCCCGCCCCGTGTTAGAGAGTGTGTGTGCATATGTGCTCTCACTCCGCACTTCCTCCTCCCTGTGGCTGCAAGAGTGTGGACTCTGACCCACCCCCTCCCCCCAGTACTGATATTCACCCAGGGCAAGAGTCCTGCTGTCAAAAGGTCCTGAAACCCTGGTTGGAAACATAGGTGCCTGCACCTCCTTCCCTTGGCTGGGGACAAAGCACTCAGAGCAAACTTACCTGGAACAGTCTCCATTCTCCACCTTTATGTCCACCTCCAGCTCTGGGCTAAGGATGGCCTCATGTGAAGAGAGCAGAGAAGCCTTTGGACAAGAGCCTGGAGGCAGGCTCAGCTCCACTGTCCCAGGACGGGGCCACAAAACTGAGGCTGGCAGAAAAAGTAAGCCAGGTTCAACCCTTCTCTCCCCAGGCGGCGGGTCTTGAAGATCTCTGATGGGATCCAGCACCTGGGGGCCCTGCGCTGGGAGCTGGCTCTGTGCCTCCTGCTGGCCTGGGTCATCTGCTACTTCTGCATCTGGAAGGGGGTGAAGTCCACAGGCAAGGTTCGTGTGGGGAGCTCCTGCCCCTCCCATTCCCGGACTCCTGCCCTCACTGGGGGCTGTCACCCAGGAGTTCTCTAAGCTGTGGCCCCGTTGAGGATGGGAGGCGATGACCCAGCGAGGATTTGATGTGGCTCCCTTCCTTGATTCTCCGCCTCTCCTAGACTCACATACTTCTGGTTTTTGGGACTGGAAGAGAGCGAGAAAGGCAGGAAGGACACCTCCAGGGTAATCTGATCTTGGAACTGACGATGGGTGGGCACATTGCAAATTGAACACAAGTCATGGTTCCCTAATTCATACAACAGTTCTTTGGAAAAAGAATTCCATGAAGACTCTTCATCTCAAAATGATTCTTAATCAACTCAAGAATTCCAGGGGACTCTTTGCCCTGGAGCAAAGAGGGCATTCTGAATTCTCCTGAACTCTTGCCCTGGGGGCCTCTCCTAATCTGGCTGCCTGGTTGTGCTAAGCTAGTAAGCTCCATGAGGACAGAGGTCATGTGTCACAAATCTTTTCATATCTGACAATCCTTGCCATGAACGCTAAGCACACTTATTGGGAGAATGCCAAATGTCATTCAGCCACTCAACAAATATTTATTGAATATGTGTCAGGGGAGGTGGGAGCTTTTAGCTGGAGGGAGGAAGGGAAGAGGGGAGGCTGTGGCTCAAGGGATAGGGGAGATGGAACTATATCCGGGGAACCCGCTCCCAATATTTCAAAGTAGGTTCTTTCTATTTTCCATAAGTGTCGGCTGGCTGAGAAATAAAGAGAGACAGTATAAAGAGAGGAATTTTACAGCTGGGCCGCTGGGGGTGACATCACATATTGGTAGGGCCACGATGCCCACCTGAGTCTCAGACCAGCAAGTTTTTATTAAGGGTTTTAAAAGGGGAGGGGGTGTAAGAACAGGGAGTAGGTACAAAGATCTCATGCTTCAAAGGGCAAAAAGCAGATCTACTAATAAGTGTCTAACAAAGATCACATGCTTCTGAGGGAACAGGACAAAGGGCAAAAGCAGAATTACTAATAAGGGTCCAACAAAGATCACAAGGCAAAGGGCAAAAACAGAACTACTAATAAGGGTCTATGTTCAGCGGTGCACGTATTGTCTTGATAAACATCTTAAATAACAGAAAATAGGGTTCAAGAGCAGAGAACTGGTCTGACCACAGATTTACCAGGGCAGAGTTTTTCCCCACCCTAGTAAACCTGAGGGTACTGCAGGAGACCAGGGCATATCTCAGTCCTTATCTCAACTGCATAAGACAGACATTCCCAGAGCGGCCATTTATAGACCTCCCCCCAGGAATGCATTCCTTTCCCAGGGTATTAATATTAATATTCCTTGCTAGGAAAAGAATTTAGCGACATCTCTCCTACTTGCACGTCCGTTTATAGGCTCTCTGCAAGAAGAAAAATATGGCTGTTTTTGCCCGACCCCACAGGCAGTCAGACCTTATGGTTGTCTTCCCTTGTTCCCTAAAAATCGCTAGTATTCTGTTCTTTTTCAAGGTGCACTGATTTCATATTGTTCAAACATACGTGTTTTACAATCAATTTGTACAGTTAATACAATTATCACGGTGGTCTTGAGGTGAGGTGATGTACATCCTCAGCTTATGAAGATAACAGGATTAAGAGATTAAAGTAAAGACAGGCATAAGAAATTATAAAAGTATTATTTGGAAACTGATAAGTGTCCATTAAATTTTCACAATTAATGTTCCTCTGCCGTGGCTCCAGCCAGTCCCTCCATTCGGGGTCCCTAACTTCCTGCAACAGAACTAAACAGCTGTGGATGAGCTGGGAGCAGGAGGAACACTCCCTTGACCTTTTCTGAGGAGCTCTTGCCCCTGCCTCCTGCCCCTGCCTCCTGCCCCTGCTGCTTCCTCACTCACAAGCTCCTTGTCTCTCATTTGCCCATGACCAGGTGGTGTACTTCACGGCCACATTTCCTTACCTCATGCTGGTGGTCCTGTTAATTCGAGGGGTGACGTTGCCTGGGGCAGCCCAAGGAATTCAGTTTTACCTGTACCCAAACCTCACGCGTCTGTGGGATCCCCAGGTAAGAAGCCACAGACAGGAGCCCTCACGTGACTCCCAGGGCAACTGAGCTTCAGGCTTTCCCTGCACTCTGACGGGGAACCCCCGCACCTAGCACTACCCTAGGGTGTCCACAGTGGCAGCAGAGGTGCACCCTTCCTTCTCTAGACATCTGTTTGTTGCCGGAAAGGGGTCTCAATCCAGACCCCAAGAGAGGGTTCTTGGACCTCTCACAAGAAGGAATTTGGGGGGAGTAGAATAAAGCAAAAGCAAGCTTATTAAGAAAGTAAAGGAGGCCAGGCACAGTGGCTCATGCCTGTAATCCCAGCACTTTGGGAGGCCGAAGTGGGTGGATCATTTGATGTCAGGAATTCGAGACCAGTCTGGCCAACATAGTGAAACCCCACCTCTACTAAAAATACAAAAATTAGCCGGGTGTAGTGGCACGCACCTGTAGTCCCAGCTACTCAGGAGGCTGAGGCAGGAGAATGGCATGAACCCAGGAGGCGAAGGTTGCAGTGAGCTGAGATCGCGCCACTGCACTCTAGCCTGGGCAACAGAGTGAGACTCTGTCTCTAAAATAAAATAAAATGAAATAAAATAAAATAAAATGAAATAAAATAAAATAAAATGAAATAAAGGAATGAAGAATGGCTACTCCATAGGCAGGGCAGCCCCAGGGCTACTGGTTGCCCATTTTTATGGTTATTTCTTGATTATATGCTAAATAAGGGGCGGATTATTCATTAGTTTCCTGGAAAGGTGTGGGCAATTCCCATAACTGAGGGTTCCCTCCCATTTTAGACCATAGAGGTTAACTTCCTGACGTTGCCATGGCATTTGTAAACTGTCATGGAGCTGGTGGGAGTGTCTTTCAGCATGCTAATGCATAATAATTTACATATAATTGGTGGTGAGGCCCTGAAGTGTGGTTACCCGGTTATGCCCTGCCTCTGCCTCCTGGGCGCAGAGACCATCCTGCCGGGGGAGTGAGCGTGCAACCTAGAGCTCCTCCTCTAGGACCAGAGTTCACTTCTGTTGCCATCTTGGTTTTGACGGGTTTTGGCCAGCTTCTTTACTGAAACCTGTTTTATCAGCAAGGTCTTTATGACTGGTATCTTGTGAGGTGACGACCTCCTGTCTCATCCTGTGACTTAGAATGCCTTACCTCCTGGGAATGCAGCCCCAGTGGGTCTCAGCTTTATTTTACCCAGCCCCTATTCAAGCTGGAGCCGCTGTGGTTCAAATGCCTCTGACATGTTAGCAGCTGTTTGTGGTCATAAGGTGTCTGACACTGTCCCTTCTTGGGTTCACAGCTGCCAGGGAACCCAGGCAAATATCACTAGGGTAGTATTTCTAGTAATATCTCTCAAGGGCCATAAGTGTCACTCACAGTCCTTACTCAAGGGTGTCCTTCTCCCCTCCTCTCCCCACCCGCTTCGTACATTTATCTCTTGGGAGCTCATCTCCTACTGAGCTTCCTCTTTAATTCTTACCCCTCAATCTGCCTCCTGGTTCCCTCCCTCTGCCCATGTGACCCATGTCTAGGCCGCAGCTCCCTGGCCCTGCCCTCAGCCAGCTGGGCTAGTGTTAAGTTTCCCTGTCAGTTGTCCAGAGGCTCCGGGTCTCCTCCCCACCCTTCCTTCGTGGTCTGCACTCCCTCTACTACAGCGGGCTTTTTTACCGTCCGGGTAGGGAGGGGTGGTGTTGCCTGCTGCCTGAAGGGGGTTGGAAAGCAAGGCCTGGAATGGGCAGGCCCTGCCTCTGACAGGTCTCTTACCTTCCCCTCTTTGGCAGCCATCTGAAAGCTGGCAAAGCCAGGAGGTGTCGAGGGCCGGAGGGGTGCGTGGGTAAGCTCCGCCCCAGAGGCCCTGAAGTGTTGTTACCCGGTTATGCCCTGCCTCTGCCTCCTGGGTGCAGAGACCACCCTGCCGGGGGAGTGAGTGTGCAACCTAGAGCTCCTCCTCTTGTTGCTGGAGTCTCTCCATGTCTATGAAAGAAGCCCCAAGGAGACATAAGGGCGGGTGGCTCCCAGCACGTGGAAGACACACTGGGATGGCTTTCCAAACGTTTAAAATAGTCGGGCACCAGCATATTCACTGATGTTGCTGACAGGGAGCAAGAGAGGCGACAGGCACACTGAGGCTGGGAGCTCTGTGCACACAGGGGCAATGACTCCCCCTGGGGCAGAATGTCAGGCTATCCGGAAGCCAAACTGTCCTCAGGTCTCCTGGCCACTCTGGCCAGGTTTTGATTCTTTCATCCTGAGCTCTGCTGGGACGCTGTGGCTTCCAGAAGCAGACAGACCATGGCTATTCAGAAACCTCCCTGCAGAGTCAAGTAGCCCTGGTCCTGAGTGTTTCTCAATAACCTTCTGGTGGGATAGGAGCTTATCCTTCCCTTCTCCCATTTCTCAGACAGCATGGAGATACAGATTGCTACTGCCTCATGTCCACGCAGGGTACGAGGGCAGCGGTCAGGCTTTGGAGCCAAACTGTAGAAGCACAACCAGGGTCCTAGAAGGATTCCAGTGCACGTTCCTCATTGTAAGATGAGCACACTGTGGCCTAAGGTTGTGCAGCCAGTAATTATGGCAGACCAGGCAAAGGGTATCTTTGTTTTGTGAATCATAAGCCCTTTGACTTATCTGGGACCACAGGGTTGTGATGGATGGTAGGTGGCGAGCAGGAGTTGTAGGGGGAAGCTGAGTGGAGGGGAGGCTTTGAAGCCGGGTGAAGAGTTTGGCTTGGATTCCCCACACAAGAGAAAGCCACTGTGGTTCTGGAGGGGCAGAGTTGAGAACCAGTGGCTAAGCTACAAAGATCACCTTTGTCTGCGGGTAGGCCGGAGAGGAAGGAGGCATGATCAGGAAAGGTGACAGGCAGGTAGGCTGGCAGAGAAAAAGGACAGAGGGTCTTAGTGTTTCCACAACAGATTCATGGCTTTGTCCTGATCAGCTATTTGTAGCTAACAACTAGGGCGTGCTTACTCTGTCCCTGACATTGTTAAGAGGCTTACATGCATTATTTCAGCAAACGCTCACAGCAGATCAACAAGGCATCCCCATTTTATAGATTAGGACATTAAGGCCTAGAGAGCTTAATGCATGTTTTCATCCTCACATCTGCAACTGGGACTGGGTCTGAATGATGACGAATCCCATGCACTTTATGATCCACTCTTGGAGACGAGGTCCCTGGCCACTCACCTTTGTTTCTCTCACAGCTTATTCATTCAGCAAAAACCTGAGTGAATCTACTATGAGCACCTACTATGTGCCGGATCTGTTCCAGGTGCCATGTTTGGTATATAACAGCTTCCAGAAAACATAAAGAAGGTGGACCAGGTAGCTTTCAACTTCTGAGCATTAATGAGGCCATAAGTCTCTGTCTGGGTGACTGCAGGGACAAAGACCTCTTTCAGTCTCTACTCTGGGATACCATTCTTTCCATTCCAGCCAGCTTTGGGCTGTGCAGGGAGCATCTGTGTTCCAAGTGCTTTGGGGCTGTGGGGAGGGGGATGGCTCAAGTGCCAGGACTGGTCCTGAGCAGCCTTCTTCTCTGCCTGGTCCAAGTCTCATGCTGAAGCTAGGCCTTTGTTGTCAGTGAACAAAGCAGCACCTGCAGGGTGGGGGTGCTTTGCCAGAGCCCTAATTGAATCTAGTTGGCACTCCCCAGGAAGTGTGATCATTCTAACTGGCATTCGCCTGGCACTTGAGAAGGGTGCAAAATGTCTTCTCCCCGACACAGACCAAAGACGCATCTCTCTGCCAAGCACTGAGGCCGGTTGTGGGGAGCCAGGCAGAGACAACGCTGTGCTCCCCTCTCGTTTGCTCCCCTTTTTCTGCCAGGCTCGCTGTTTGAGGGGCAGGTTGCTGCCTTTCCCGGTATCCCCAGGCCTTGTCTCCTCCCCCTGGGGACTGGCCACTGGAGACCCAGGGCTCTGCTGGAGCGTGTGCTTTACTCAGACCACTTGTTTCTTTCCCGGGTCCTGGCCCTGTGCCTGTTCTACTGCACTTTAGGAGGTTGCTGAGGGCGGGGGATGGGAGGAGGACATCCAAAGAACCCTCGTGGAAGCTTTTAGATCCCTGCGTTAAGCAAGTCTAAGGAAAGGTTTGTTTAGGGAGGAAGCTGAAATCACCGATTAGAACTAGTCTTTATTTTAGTATTGAAATCCAATCTATGCCACCTCATTATCAATGAAAGATGAGTTGCTTTTTAAAATAATAGCAGCAGTAAACAGTGGCCAAAGCTAACCTTATTATGTCCCTCTTATTCGCCAGGCCCTTTGCTGAGTGCTTGACACAGTTCAACCCTGTGAGTTTGGGGTCAGCCTCATCTTACGGATGGAGAAACAGAAGCTTAGGAAACTTAAGAAACTTGCCCCGAATCACAAAACCAGCATGTGGGGGAGCGTGGGTTTTATCTCAAGCAGTCTTTTGATGACTGCTGTCTTATTTACCATGATAGTTCCCAAAGAATATGAATTACTTGAGAGTTTTAAGAGCTGCTTTTTATTATTCCAGAAGGTGAGATAGGAAACTAATATTTATTTATGTGTTAGGCATTTTACATGCATTATTTTATTTGTTATTATACCCATTTTCCTGATGAGAAAAGGGAGGTTCAGGGAGGTTAAGTGACTTGCCTAAGATCGCACAGCCAGTAATTAATAAGGTCAGGAATTGAGCCCAGATTAATGTAACTTCAAAGCTGTGCTTTTCCATTACACAACATTGCCTTCCTAAAAATAGTAGATAGATATTAATAATCCTGGGGGTTGGACTTGAGGCTGAAAACATCTTTCCCAGATCTTCTAGAGTCCCCTCTCCTCCTCCTTCCCCCCAAGACCTCTTTTACCTGCGTTCCACCCAGAATTTTTTACACTTATTTTTCCCTTGGTCGGCCTTCTGCCCTAGCCAGAGACAAATCAGAGCTTTATTCCAGAAACCAGGGCTCGTGGAGTGGGCAGGGAGTGGTCGCCTGTGGTGGGAATGGAACAGCTTGCTCTGACCCCGTTCTCTTCCCCATCCCAGCAGGCCTGTTGGGCAGCAGCTGTGTGGGGAGCTGGGGCTTGCCAAGCTCCCAGCGAGGGGGCTTTGGTCAAAGAAGAGTGCATTGACCCTTGCGCTCTGGGTTCTCAGCCTCCTGCCGCATTTTCCTTAGTTCTCATTAACCTCTCCCCCAATTCAGTCTCCATATGACCCCACTCCGACCTCCCACCCCTGCCGAGGCGAGGTAAATGGCCAAGTCACGATTTCTCTTATTATTCCTTCCCAAGCACAAGTTCACAAAGATGCCCGTATCAGGCTTGTGCCTCTGAATGTGTGTGGGCAGCCGCGGCGTGTTTCCTTGGTAATTCATGGCCCAGTCTGCACCCAGCGCACCGTCAGGCCTGGGAGCAAATGTCCAAGGCGCGAGGACTCCGGGCTCCCGGGACACACCCTGAATGACCTTTTTGGGAGGGGGCGCCCGACCTCATGAAGGGGCAGTACCCGTGGGTCCCAGGAGACGTGCATTGGTCCTGAGCCCTTACACCTCTGACCCTGGGGAAGCACTTTCTCTATAAGCTCAGGGCCTTTTGCCAGAAGGTCCTGCTCTTGAAGCTGCCAGTAACTTAGCCAGTGAAGCAGGAATGAGATAGAACCGAGTGACTTTCATGCCAACGTCAGTGAGTTTTCCTGAGATGACTATCTTTGCAGGAGCTGTGTGGCAGAGTTTTAGAAGAGAAAAAAGGATTTAGAACATCTTGAAGGAGCAAACAGACTGGCCAAGGCATCTCCTCAAAATTGGTGTGGCATCACACTGAAACTTTTCTTTTTTTAAACGGGGAGAAGTGAGACACTGCAGTTTGCAAACACCCCCTTGCCTGTCCCAGGGTCTGTCCTTCATTCCCTGTCCTTTTCTTGCATTTCATTCCCAGCATTTCCTGCTCTGTGTGATTTCCTCCCTGGCTCCAGCCCCTCCAAATCCTCCTCTGTGCTTCTTGCTGCTCACCCCTTGTCCCTGGTGGCACCTCCTGCCTCACAGACCACCTCAGGACAGGATTCCCAGTGAACTCAAGAATGGGAGGCTGGAGACATTTTCCCCTTTCCCCACCGTCTTCCTTGCTCTGTCCCTGGCCCTGCAGAATGGAGACATGATGAGAGGATGGGTGCCCTGGGTGCACCCCTGATGCAGGGGCCATAGGACAGCATCCCATACCTGGTGACCATTAGGATCACCCAGGAAGCTCGGAAAAGCATACGAGTTCTGGGTTCTCCTTCAGGCCTAGGGATTCAGTGTCTTGACTGGGGATGCTGGCTGAGGAATCAGCGTGATTCTGAGGTGGTCAGCCTGCTGATGGATCCCTCAGGCCTCTACACTGCTGAGAAATGTGGCCACTTTGGTAGGGGTGAGCGTGAAAGGAGGGAGCAAGGGGTAGGGGCTGAGGGTGGTGACCATGCCTAGGGAGGCAGGCAAAGACCAGGAAGGGACTGAGGAATTGGAGGCCTGATATTAGCGGAAGAGAGTGATGAAAGGATAGAGGGTTTTGTGGAAAGCAGGGGCCTGCTTGGGGGGGTTCTGGAATGAGGCTGAGCAAAAGACATGGACGGGTCATCCGGCGCCCTTTCCATTAGGAACACAGACACATGAGGAACACCTGCTTGGATGTCTGCGTCCATAGCGGGGTGCTCCCTGGTTGTGCTCACGTCGCCAGGGGCAGGAGCTCCTGGGGAGGGTCCTGCAGATCTGCAGGGTCGCTCGGTCCTGTTGCCTTGATGTTTTTTCTGTCTGGGATGTTATTCTAGCTGTTAGATCTAAATCATAACATGCACGGGCTGGGCGAGCCAGCTGAGATAATAACAATAACAACTGAACTCTATGTTTAGCTGGACTGTGATTTTTTTCCCTCCCAAGGAGTACAAAGCCCTTTTCAGAGGTGTTTCTGTTCGTCCTTTTGCCTTTTTGTGAGCCGAGAATTACTCTCCCTGTCTTTAGACAGAGGTTGCTGAGACGTGAGGGGCAAAGCTACATACTGGTGGTGGCCCTGCTATTAGGGACAGTGTTCCTGGAGACCCTGTGCCTGGATTCCTCCACACTGGTCATAGGAGAGAGTGGGGGCAGAACCTAGGATCAAAAACCTGACAGGAGACCTAGCTTCATTCTAGAGCCCTGTCCCACCCTCCTACACGCTTCCACCATGGGTCTTTTAGTCTTTTTCATTTTCTTTGAATGCCTAATGCCTGTTCTATCCTAGTAGTGCCCAAGAAACTTCACCTAGGAGTCCAGGGAGTAGAGCCCACTGGGGTGAGCAGAGGTAGCAGGATGCAAGTGTTGGCTGAGAACAGGTTTCTCGCCATCCCTAGCCAGTGTCTGGCTCAGCCACATGCCTGTGTCCGCCCATGGCTTGAATGGCCTGGCTTTCCTGGGAGTTCACCTTTCTTGCCCTTCCCCTTTGTAGGTGTGGATGGATGCAGGCACCCAGATATTCTTCTCCTTCGCCATCTGTCTTGGGTGCCTGACAGCCCTGGGCAGCTACAACAAGTACCACAACAACTGCTACAGGTGATTGGGGGCGTGGGGCCTGAGCCACACACCTGCATCTCTCTACTGTCCTTCCAGCCACGCTAGACGAGGGTGAGTTGGAGGGTGCATCAGCTCCTGGATCTGCCCCCCTGTCTACACCCCCATATCCAACACCCCAGGGCTACCAGGAGCTGCAAGGAGCCAACTGCAAGATGGACAGAGAATTGCATCCGAAAGGGTGGGATAGTTGTGATTGGCTGGGAGACCACAGCAGGGGTGCCTGGCCTCCTGGCTGATGTAGAGGTTAGTGGGCTCAGGAGTGCTGGGTAAGCAAGCCTGAGAAGCACCACAGGTCTTTGAATAATGTCGTTTCCTTATAACTTTGATGAGAGAAAAAAAACTGGTTTCATTATAGGTTGTTTTGCTTAAAATGGCAATTTGCGAGAATGTATCCATGATGTGAAGTGAGGTCCTACTGTGCACCCCAGTCTTGCTTGCTTGGTAAATCTGCCCCCAAAACTTTGAATCCTTGCCCCTTTTTCACACCATCTCCCTCACTTCACATCCTGTCCCCCTCGTTCTCTCCTTGCCTACCTGGTTTGTGCTCAGAAAATTTAAGCCAATTTTAATACACGCTGAAACACAGCTGAAGTGAAATCATATGGTGCCTCTCAAAATTGAATTCAGGCGACTAAGAGTTATTTGTTGTTTGGGATTACCCATTAGCATGCCAGATGGGATGATGGCAGAGTGGTGGCGTCCCATGCGGTGTGGACCTACGTGGTAGAGAGGGGCGGCTGTGTGGCGGTTTGTCACATCTAGATCCATGTTTTGCTTCCCTGGAGCCGCATTCTTTTAGGACTACCTTGATTTATTCCGTCCCTGGGCTGGTGGGGCCGAGGAGTGTCGGAGGAGAGCCAGTGCTTTGCGTGGTCCTCTGAATTCTGCCAGGTAGCCCTGCTCCGGCGTCCGTGAAGGGGCCAGGACAGTGTCCGCCAGGAGGGGCTGTGCTCCCAGACAGGAAGCAGGAGAGGTTGCAGCCCTGTTCTGACCCTGCCATTCCGCCCTCTCCTCACCCCTGCCCCACAGGGACTGCATCGCCCTCTGCTTCCTCAACAGCGGCACCAGCTTTGTGGCCGGCTTTGCCATCTTCTCCATCCTGGGCTTCATGTCTCAGGAGCAGGGGGTGCCCATTTCTGAGGTGGCCGAGTCAGGTGAGTGTTACTGGGGAGGCCTGGAGGCAGTGAGCCTGGTTCAAACCTCTGGCAGCAAGCGTCTAGAGGCGTTTCCATTGTGTCACCTGCACTCTGGGTGAGCTACGGCCACCATTCAGTGGATGCGTTCTGGGAAGACTTGGCGGAGAATTGAAACAGTCATTCCAGCTTTAAAGAGTAGGCCTACAGTGAACATTTTTCTTCCCATCCTTGGCTTCCAGTTCATTACCCTGGAAGCAGCCAATGTTATCTATTTCATGTTTATCCTTCCAGAAATAGTTTAGACATATATGAGAAAAAATATATATACAGACATATACATGCAATACATATTACTATTTCTATTTCTTGCCTCCTTCTTAAAAAACCAAATGATAACATATTATACACACTCTTCCGCACCTGGCCTCGTTTTGTTCACTATAAAATGAATCTCAAGGCGAAGTTTCCATCAGCAGATAGGGTTTCCCTCTTTTGTGAGTGACTGCCTTTCCACCATGCAGTGCTATTTTGCTGCTTTCAAATAACATCAAGGCCCAGGCCCCAGTCTGGATAAGCCATAAAATGTTTCTCTTGCTCACCTACTTTGCCCTGTAATAATATGATTTTTTTACCTTGGCATTCAGAAGCACGCCTGGGCCACACAGGATGCCAAGCCCTGGGCAGTGGATGTCTGTGATTCTCTTTAAGAACGATAGTGTCTCTCTCTCCCTCTTTTTTTTTTTTTTTTTAAACTGTTTGAGATAGAGTCTTGCTCTGTCACTCAGGCTGGAGTGCAGTGACATGATCTCGGCTCACTGCAACCTCCGCTTCCCGGGCTGAAGTGATTCTCATGCCTCAGCTTCCCGAGTAGCTGAGATTACAGGCATGTGCCACCACGCCCGGCTAATTTTTGTATTTTTAGTAGAGACAGGGTTTCACCTTGTTGGCCAGGCTGGTCTTGAACCTCTGGCCTCAAGTGATCCACCCACCCCAGCCTCCCAAAGTGCTGGGATTATAGGCATAAGCCGCCATGGCTGGCCCGTGTCTCACTTTCTAAGTGTTGACTGTACGCCAGGTGCTGGGCGAGGCACTCTACTCGTACCATGCAACGGAAACCTGCGGGCAGGCCCTGCACAACCCCCACCTCACCAATGTGGGAGCTGGGACTGGCAGAAGCAAAAGACCTCCGAGGTCACAGTGATGCTCTTCACTCTTCAGAGGAACTTCCCATGGGTGGACTCAGGCTTTATTACGTGCATGTTTTCCTGCCATATGAGTCAGTCGAGAGAAACATTCACGCGCCGCGAGGGCGTGTGTCAGCGGCATTCTGAAACCAGTGCCAGTGTAGTCATTGCAGGGTGACAGAAAGGGCTCCGGGCGCAGAGGTGGTAACTGGAGGCCAACTCTGGCCTTGGAGCGATTTTTTTGGTACCATCTACATTCCGTACAAATACAACGGAACATCGCGAGGAGCTGGGGCGTGATCGCTCCTCTTCCCACCAGGCCCAGCCACCTCCTTGCATTCTGCACTAGATCTGCTGCACAAACTTCTATGGCCTGCTGGCTTCTGAGCTCATTCTAGGCTTGAAACCTCAGGTCTGTGCAATAGATCTGGAGATCTGGAGTCGTTTTAGACCCACAGCCCTCTACACCTACCGTCTCTAGATTCTGTTCTTGCCAGTAAGAATACAGTGAGAGGTACCTTGGAAATGCAAGAACCAGATGGAGGTTGGGGTGGCTTCTCCTAGGTGAGGACGTGGTGGTGACAGCAACTTTGGGGTGAAGTTTCCTCTAGCCCCTGTTATTCTGTGGCCCCACGCTGGGAAGCCATGGGTCACCCACAGCCTGGAGCTGGCCCGGGCACTGGCCCGTGTTCCTCTGCTCCTTGTCGTAGGCCCTGGCCTGGCTTTCATCGCTTACCCGCGGGCTGTGGTGATGCTGCCCTTCTCTCCTCTCTGGGCCTGCTGTTTCTTCTTCATGGTCGTTCTCCTGGGACTGGATAGCCAGGTATCAAGAGGCAGCCACTCAGAGGCTGAGAGATGAGTGGGGGGGTGTGTGCTGGGGAGGAGGAGCCATGGGTGAATGTCAGAAGTGGATGCCCTTTTGGGGACACAGGAGCTTGAGGGTGAGTCCTGACCTAACCAGGCAAGGACAATAGCTCAGGGGACCTGAGACAGTGAGGCTGGCAGGGCTGATCCTGGGAGCGAGAAGCCAGCGCTCATGGACAGGGCATCTCGGGAGCTCTCCTTCCCTCCAATCCCTTTGCCCTGTCATCCAGTTTGTGTGTGTAGAAAGCCTGGTGACAGCGCTGGTGGACATGTACCCTCACGTGTTCCGCAAGAAGAACCGGAGGGAAGTCCTCATCCTTGGAGTATCTGTCGTCTCCTTCCTTGTGGGGCTGATCATGCTCACAGAGGTGAGGGCCTGGGAAGCGGGGGAAGGCTGGGGAGGAGGAGCCAAGTGACAGCTGCTACCTGTCAGTGAGGCAGATACCCTGGCTCCCGGTCAGGGCAGGTCTTCTGGGCTTCTGGACACTAGGACTCCCTCTTTTCCCCATCCCAGGAACGACAAAGTAGGCAGGTCCCTCCTCTGGCCTTTGGGCATGGACCACCCACCTCCAGGGATGGGTGAGGAGCCATTTGGCTCCACAGTAAGTGAAGAGGTATGTGGAGCATTGGATTGGGAGAAGCTGACTCTCCAGCAAGATCTGGTGATTTCCCAGGCAGCTGAACCAAGTTCTATGTACAAACTTCAAAGCGAGAAAGGGAGGCCTGGGGCTGGGTGACATTCTGTGGCATCTCAAGGGAGAAGGAGGGAGACGGAGCTTGTCAGCTTGACAGTATCAATGACAGCCCTTATCCTGATCCTTTCCCCAAAGAGTACACTCTATGTCTTGGGCTTCGTGGCCAGTGCCTAAGTGTTCTCAGATGTAATCTAACAATAGCTGTCTTATTTCATCTATATTCTGTCCCAAAAAATAATAAAAATAATTAGCGTCTCATATCCGCCTCATGCTTTATGGCTTACAAATTACTTCTCTTTTATGATCCATCTCCTGTGATCCTCACCAACTCTGCTCTGTGCCTCCACCGTGTGAAGCTAAAGGGCATAGGAGTGAATCTTTCTGTTTCCACTGGATAAACTTCTTTTTAAAATAATCTCCTCCCATGCAGGGCGGAATGTACGTGTTCCAGCTCTTTGACTACTATGCGGCCAGTGGCATGTGCCTCCTGTTCGTGGCCATCTTCGAGTCCCTCTGTGTGGCTTGGGTTTACGGTGAGTGACTCCTCCCCTAGGTCCCAGCATCCTCCTCTTGTCTAAGGGTCTTGGGGTCCTTAGACACGAAACAGACATCTACTGCTCGCACTTAACTTTTCCTGGGGCGCCTCCCTACCCAACCTCCAAAATCTTGCAAATCCTAAATTGCTACCTTTGGAAGGCCCTCCAGAAGCTGCCTTGCCCACAGTCTTGGTTATAGCTGTACCTAGACCACCTCAGGTGGGCCAGTATCCTGCCCTGTCCAAATGTTTTCAGCTTTTGACAACCTCGATAATCAGGAAGTGACTGCCTGTACCCAAGCCAAGTCCTGCTTGCTGCTGTTTATGCCTATGAATGCCAGGGAAGAGCTTTTTCCCAGCAACGACTTGAACAGACAGCTGTGATGTCATCTCTTTATGGGTCCCTGCCCATTCTGGTCTGTTTGTGGCCCCATCCTGATGTCCTGGGTGCCAAAGAATGACTTTCTCCTCCTTCCTTCTTCTTTTCTCCATGGTAGGAGCCAAGCGCTTCTACGACAACATCGAAGACATGATTGGGTACAGGCCATGGCCTCTTATCAAATACTGTTGGCTCTTCCTCACACCAGCTGTGTGCACAGTAAGATCATTTCAGGGATAAAGTCAGATGAAGGGAGGGAGAGACGGTGGCTAGCAGGGGTAGAGAAGCCGTTAGCCCTGCAATGGACTTCTCCCTAGGAACTGAAAATCATCTTAGATTTTCACTCATCCTCCTTTTGGATTCTAGAAAACTACAGCAAGATAGATTCTTCCTTTCCATTTCACAGAAGGATAAACTGAGGTCCAGAGCTGTCAGACGGTTTGACCAACACCACAGTGTGAGTCTAACGTCACAGGCCAGGACTGAAACCCGGGTGCCTTGGGCTGCTCATAAAAATGCTAATAACCACAGCAATCCTAATAGCAGCCGGTATAGAGCCCTGACTTTGTGCTGGGCACAAGGTGCTTTAACTCGTATTAAGTCATTTAATCCTCACAAGAGTCCCATAAAGGAAGTGCTGTTGTTACACTGGTGTTACAGATGAAACTGAGGTTGAAGAGGTTGTTAAGCCACTGGCCCAAGCTAGAAAGTTGCAGAGAACTGGGATTCAAACCCTGGCTCCAGAATGTGAGCCTGAAACCACAACGCGCAGCTTCCTTTGGCCTTGTCTCTTTGTGTCAGCTGTTCCCGAGCTCCCCACTGTGTGCCAGATATAACTGAGGAGCAGAGGGAGAAGGAGGCATGGCCTGTACCCTTGAGGTACTCATACCCCAAACTCACGGTGCAGGAGAGGTAGTAAATACCTCACAGCACGCAGTGGCCACATGATCACATCCTACCTGGGAGTCAGCTGCACGTAGAGGTGCCCAGGGGCACAGGGGCCCTGGAGTGACAGAGTACACTGCTGGAGGGTGTGGGTTTTGGGCAGAGTGTGGATGGAGAAGATTGGAGGCTGATTGGTCCAGAAGAGCTAGAGGGAATCCAGGCTTGGAGGGTGATTTCTGCCAGGCTGCTGGGGAGCGGGGGAGCTGAGGGCACAAGGCCCCCGCCCCCCAACCCCTTTCTCTTCTGCTCTCCCCCTCAGGCCACCTTTCTCTTCTCCCTGATAAAGTACACTCCGCTGACCTACAACAAGAAGTACACGTACCCGTGGTGGGGCGATGCCCTGGGCTGGCTCCTGGCTCTGTCCTCCATGGTCTGCATTCCTGCCTGGAGCCTCTACAGACTCGGAACCCTCAAGGGCCCCTTCAGAGAGGTAGGGCCTTTGCGGGCAGGAAAGCAGCCAGAGGGGCTGGGAGGCTTCGCAGGTGCCGACAGGTGGGCTGCCAGCCAGGGCGCACACCGTTGTGTGGAGGTGCCAGTGGGCCCAGCCTGGGTGTCAGGGAGCGATAGAGTGGCTGCTGAGAAGTCTCGGGAAGACACAGGGGGACTCCCAGACAGGGGCTGTGATGACAGGAGGGCAGGTTTGTGTGTGGGGAGGCAGCAGATGTTGGTGATGAGGGAAGCTGGCAGACCTGCCCCCGCTCCACCACCTGACAGCCACCTCTGCTATCCCCGCAGAGAATCCGTCAGCTCATGTGCCCAGCCGAGGACCTGCCCCAGCGGAACCCAGCAGGACCCTCGGCTCCCGCCACCCCCAGGACCTCACTGCTCAGACTCACAGAGCTAGAGTCTCACTGCTAGGGGGCAGGCCCTTGGATGGTGCCTGTGTGCCTGGCCTTGGGGATGGCTGTGGAGGGAACGTGGCAGAAGCAGCCCCATGTGCTTCCCTGCCCCCGACCTGGAGTGGATAAGACAAGAGGGGTATTTTGGAGTCCACCTGCTGAGCTGGAGGCCTCCCACTGCAACTTTTCAGCTCAGGGGTTGTTGAACAGATGTGAAAGGCCAGTGCCAAGAGTGTCCCTCTGAGACCCTTGGGAAGCTGGGTGGGGGCTGGTAGGTGGGGCGAGACTTGCTGGCTTCGGGCCCTCTCATCCTTCATTCCATTAAATCCACATTCTTCCCGCTGACTGCTAGCGGTTCTGTCTGATTTCTGCCCCCTGCCTGGCTGCCTTCACCCTTCCCCATGTTACTGTTGTGGTTTAGGACCCTGCCCCTCCCCATCCTAGCCTCCCCCATTGAGTTCTCACTGGGGCCCACTCAGCACGGTGATGGGGGCGGGTGGTGGGGCCAGGCTGAGAGCCTCCATCATCAGGCATGTGGACCAGAGGAGGCTGCCCAGCCTCTCTCCACATGTCCTCAGCTTCCTTCCTCCGCCTTTGTGCTGTGGAATAAGAAAGGAAATTGAGGGACGCATGAAGGAGACCCGAGTCCTAGCCAAAGGAGAGGGAAAGGCTGGTGGCAGTTTCCTCCTGCCCACTTTCCCTGCTGTGTCCTCGCCTACCCCCAGCGGCCAAAACTGCCTGTGTGCCCACCGAGGCTGGGCACGGGGGACGTGGGGGAGGGCCGGCTGTGACCACGCCCCAGTGCAGCAGGTTGGGGGGCCTTGGCAGAGGAGGGCACTGCCCAGCTCAGCCAGCAGAGGGACGCCACTTCCTTGGGACCGCCTCGCTCTTCTGAGGATAGGAGACACCGGATGCCGGGGCACCGCCAGATGTGGCCACGAGGGGGTGGTACTGCTATGGCCACAGCTCTACTGTCAGGGCCTGAGCTGCAGGGAGGAAGTCCACCCCCACTCGGGGTCAGTGGGCATGGGGGGGGGTGCCCAGAGGGTGCCACAGGTGTGTCTCTGCAGCCTTGCCTCTGCGTATGGGCATGGAGCCGGGCCCCACATATTTCTGGCTGTAGCTTTGTGTGTGGTTTTGGAAGTGGCTGAACACACAGCTACATCTCTCCCTGCCTATGCGCAGGCTCGGGGGCCTGCCCGTGTGCCCACCTTTGTTCAGATGGGTCTTCTGGTGCTGCCCTTGGTGTGTCCTGTGACTCTTAGGGCTGCAGTCTAAGGGTGCACAGGCTTCCCTGGGTGATCTTAGTTTTTCACATGTCCACTAGTGGAAAAAAATGCACTGAAATATTTGCTTGTCTTCAGTTTTTGACTTTTTGTCGTTGGAAGAGTTGGTGAAGATTAACGACAGCAGTCCTGCTGTATGTCAGCCTTGGCTGCCCCTTCCTGGAGAATGCTGCTCGGGCATTCCCCGAGGGTGCTGGGCTCAATCTCAGTCTTACCGGGGGAGAAATACATCTGCTGGAGAGGCAGGCCCGAACTCGAGATGCTGCAAGCCAGCAGCTCCATCCACCGGACACTGTTGACAGAACACCTCCCGCGTGGTGCCGTGCTGTGCTCGTGACATGCCAGGAGTAAAAACAGATACAATTTCTTAAACAGTGAGTGACAGATACCATGACAGAAAAGAGCAAAGAGCTGTGGAAAATAATAAGTGGGGTAGGGCAGGACCTCATGGTGCAGGTTGGGTTCTAAGGTTATAATACCTGTCTCCATCCGTATGACCAAAGTTGCCGGAACTGCCGGCCTCAGCGGGAATGTGGGACCCAGATGTGATCTGAGTCGCATCGAGGAGCTTCCTGATGGTGGAACACGGTGTGAGAGTCACCTATTGGTGTAAGAACCCGGAGGTGTGCTTCCAGAACTTGCTGCGTGTCTGTGCAGTCACTTGGAATTCAGGTTCTTTGCTTCGCAGTTGCAGAAAACGCCACGCACTCCTTCTCCAAGCAGGGCTTGTCGTAGGGCTCAAAGGAGGTAATGGGTGTGAGGGTCCTTTCCGTCACTTGGTGACACGTGGTGTGAGGTCATCAAACTGGAGGGAGGTGGCTGAGGGGGTGAGGCTCTAACAGCGCAGGTGGGACTGGCAGGCAGAGAGATGAGAATGCTGCTGGCTTGGGTCGGGGTCAGGGTTGAGGGAAGGAAGGAAGGAGTACCTCGGCCTTAGCCAGAGGGGCTGAAGCGACGGGGGTGGGGGTGGGGATGGGGGGGTGTAGGGCAGCCGAGTCAGTGACCTGCTTCCCTAGCCTGGAGGGGTGGGCGCTATATCTTAGAGTTCCCAGAGAAGAAGACCCAAAAGGAAGGGAGCCCTCTCTTGTCTGGAGGCCACACCTGTTAGAGAGGAAAGGCAAGCAGTGAGAGCCTGGGGGCAAGTTGAACAGGGAGAGCAGAAGCAGAGGTGGCGGGAGAGTTACAGACTATGCCCAGGGCTGCGGGAAAGCAGCTTGTTAGGCACTGAGCCCACCAGGCTGCGCGGGGCCTCAGACCTTGCCCACATGAACACCCAGGTCTCAGATCCACACACAGGCATGCAGGCACCAGCCCCTCCTTATCCTCAGAGACATGTGCACATGTGCACAAACTCAGAGACGCCACAGCCAGCTGAGCATTCTCCTGTAGAGGGGCTTGCAGGCCTGGCTTGGATCCTGGCCCTTTGACTTACTAACTGTGTGACCTTAGGCAAGCTAACCTCTCTGATCCTTAGTTTTCTCTTCCATAAAACAGGAATACTGCTACTTACATCAGTGTTGTTAGAGTCCAGCAGATGCTATAGGGACAGCTGCCCTGGGGACACATTCAGTCAAACCCATCCTATTTCCCATAGCTGCAGCCCCACCACATCGGACTGTCAGCATCACAGAAAAGTTCAGGAAGAGTTTAGAGATATCCTTGCTGTCCCCAGTCTCAGACTAGGTTGCACTGGGCTCCAGGAAGGAGGCTACACATTTATTGAGCTAAGCATTTTTTTTTTTTTTGAGACGGAGTCTCGCTCTGTCGCCCGGGCTGGAGTGCAGCGGCACCATCTCAGCTCACTGCAAGCTCCGCCTCCCGGGTTCACGCCATTCTCCTGCCTCAGCCTCCCGAGTAGCTGGGACTACAGGTGCCCACCAACACGCCCAGCTGATTTTTTCTATTTTTTAGTAGAGATGGGGTTTCACCGTGTTAGCCAGGATGGTCTCGATCTCCTGACCTTGTGATCTGCCCGCCTCGGCCTCCCAAAGTGCTGGGATTACAGGCGTGAGCCACCGCGTCCGGCCGAGCTAAGCATTTTCACTAGAAGGCAAGGAAGACGTAGTCCTAAAATAATCCTGGTCCTGTGGCCTGAGGGTGCTACTCCACACTCTTCACCAAGTGACAACACAGAGCAGTACTGTCCAAGATAAGCAGGACCTGAGTCATCTGAGCCCTCTGATTCTGGGGAAACAATGTCCTCCCAGAAAAGGGAAAACTGTAATCATTTTTCCCCCTTCAAGTTCCATTCATCCACTCGTTCATCCATCCATCCGTCCATCCTCCATCCATCCATCCATCCATCCGTCTGTCCATCCATCCATCCGTCTGTCCATCCATCCATCCATCCATCCATCCATCCATCCATCCATCCGTCCATCCATCTGTCCATCCATCCGTCTGTCCATCCATCCATCCATCCATCCATCCATCCATCCATCTGTCCATCCATCCATCCATCCATCCATCCTCCATCCAATGAACACTGAGTGCCTATTCTGAGGCAGAATTGTATTAAATGCTAGAGGCAGAAATAAAGAATTATGAAATGAGACCCCTGACATATAGATATTCATGGTCAGGGGAACAGTATGCTTCAGTGGAACAAGCATAGATTTTTGGAGCCAAGAGGCCCAGGTTCAAATCCCAGCACCATCACTTACTTGTGTGTGGCCTTAGGACAAATCACTTAGCTTCTATTTATTCACCCCAGTTTCCCGTCTGTAAAATGGGGCTAATAATTTTTACATTTCAAAGTTCTTAAGGGGATGAAATGAAGTAACATGTAAAACTCCTCGTCCGAGTTAGATGCTCAGGAAATAAGTCCTATTCCAGGCCCTCTGAAAGTATGGATGAGATTAGAAGATGAGGGTGGTGAGAACATTCTGTGGTGGCCAGTGGTTCCTACTGCAGCAAAGGTGATAGATTCATTCAGCTACCTGTCGTCTTCACCCTGCACACTCCTCAGTGTGGAAACAGCCCAGTCTCAGCTAGGCTTTCCAGGATGCCTACCTTTTGCAAAGATGAGAGTCTCTGGCCTCCAGGAGTTTACTAACCAGTCTGAATACCAAGTGGGTCTTGGAGGCTAGGAGAACTTGAGTGAGGAAGGGCTCAACATTAGAGAGTCTCTGGCCTCCAGGGGTTTACTAACCAGTCTGAACACCAAGTGGGTCTTGGAGGCTAGGAGAACTTGAGTGAGGAAGGGCTCAACATTAGAGAGTCTCTGGCCTCCAGAAGTTTACTAACTGGTCTGAATACCAAGTGGGTCTTGGAGGCTAGGAGAACTTGAGTGAGGAAGGGCTCAACATTAGAGAGTCTCTGGCCTCCAGGGGTTTACTAACCGGTCTGAACACCAAGTGGGTCTTGGAGGCTAGGAGAACTTGAGTGAGGAAGGGCTCAACATTAGAGAGTCTCTGGCCTCCAGAAGTTTACTAACCAGTCTGAATACCAAGTGGGTCTTGGAGGCTAGGAGAACTTGAGTGAGGAAGGGCTCAACATTAGAGAGTCTCTGGCCTCCAGAAGTTTACTAACTGGTCTGAATACCAAGTGGGTCTTGGAGGCTAGGAGAACTTGAGTGAGGAAGGGCTCAACATTAGAGAGTCTCTGGCCTCCAGAAGTTTACTAACTGGTCTGAATACCAAGTGGGTCTTGGAGGCTAGGAAAACTTGAGTGAGGAAGGGCTCAACATTAAGATGGTGGGACTAAGGCCAGAGGCAGTCAGATAAAAACAGGGAGGGACCAGGTAGCTCTTTTGGGGGAAAGTCAAACTGTACCCCCTGGGCCAGGTCAACCAGGCAGCTGTTCTCTGACAAGGTGAAGGAGAGGTGACAGGACTGCTGGGCTGTTGCTGTTCATCCTCACAGAAAGCATGTCACACTGTATGTGCTAAATATAATTTTTGAGGGAACCAACAAGGAAATTCACCATCTTGGCTTGTCTGATCCTCTCCCCTCTTTCTCCTTTTTATGGAGAGGCTGGTGTTTTGTTCTGGAGTAGCTGTAGCTAGGTGATCACATGGACTTTGATGTCCCCTCTGCAATAACTCTGTGGTCAATCCATGGTGGACCTGACATGCAGGGACAGGCCACACCTGAGCACCGGGGTAGCTCAAGTATGGATTCTGGCTGGGCCATGTCCTACTGTGCCACAGCTGACCCCCAGCCCGGCTTCTGCTTTCATAGAGGCAATGGGTCTGAGAGCTGAGACCTGCTCTGCCTTCCTCTTCATGTGGAACCCCACAGGAGAGGCTGAGAGGGGCCCGAGAGACATATCGTGGGGGTGCTTGATGGAAAACTACAGACTGAGAGTCTCACTTCACACCCCACCCCTGCTGGGAAGTTCTAAAATACACAGAGGAAGCACATGTAAAAGGAAATTTCCCTTTCTCCCTGCAACTTCCTCTCCCTTCATACCACCTAGAGCTGAAGAAGCACCTCCTTTGTCTTGAAGGAGGCACCAGCTATTCTGAATGAAGGGCGGTGGGACAGTGCTGTACCCCACACCAGGTGGGCGTGCTCAGGGACAGTGACCAGGACGCTGTTCTGGAGGAGCTCACTGGGCACACGGCATAGGGCACATGTATTCAAAAAATACCCTTCCCCATTGATAGCTGGCAGGCCACTCCAGACAAATTCTAGCTAGGTGCCTGGTGCTATGCAGTGACCAGAGGTGCCTGGGACCAGACACCCCACCATCCCAGCCTCTGCTTCCAGAGGACACACAACAAACACCCACACCTCCCCTTAAGCACCTATGATATCCCTGCACCCTCACAGCAACCCCGCAAAGTAGATATTGTGTTGTTACCTACCTTTGACAGACTGGGAAACCAAGGCTGACCCTTGCCTAGCTGTCGTGACTGATACATGATAGAGGAGGAGAAGAAACTCAGGTCTGTCTGGTCCCAATCCTGGGTCCTCTCTACATTGCTTCTTGAGGTACGCTCTGGGTGCTTTCTCTAGGAAAATCCCAAGGAGAAGGGTTGTGAAGGTCCAGGGCCTTGCCTAGAAGCCACAGAGGGCAGGTACTTGGTGGAAAACTCCAGCGTGTGATTCACCCTCCTCCCTTGCCCTCGTCAGTGAGGTCACCTCCCCTCCCAAGGTTCTCAGTTTATAGCCTGGAGTCTCTGGTAAGAGAGGGCTGTCCCCTGTGCTGCACATACCCGTCTCCTCATCCCTGGGAAGGAGATGGTTCTGGAGGGGGATAGGGGAAAAGGGGGAAGGGGGAAGGGCAAGGAGGAGGAGGAGGGGAGATGAGGTCAGGGTGTGAGTCTCTGAGCCCCTTCCCCTGCCCAAGGGAGCAGCAGCTCAGCCCAGCTCTGGAGGGGCCATCATGGGACTGTGCCCACGGGGAGGGCACCGGTCTGGAGACAGTGGGTTCACAGTGGGAGTGGGATGGGGGTGGGAGCGCTGGGGACAGAGGACTTGACTTCCTGAGGTTGGATGTTGTAATCTCGGTTCACAAACTTTTGGCCTCAGTCCCTCCTGCTGCTCCTGGTATTTCTCTGTCCTTTCACTCCCCAACACACACAGCCCCCGCCCCAACACATACACACACGGCTTCTTTCTGTCTGGGAGTCCCTGGACAAGTCACATGGGATTCTGCGCTGGGAGGAACAGGGTAAGGCGTGAACGTGGAGGGCAGTTTCCCTTTCAGGTCCCGGCTCTCTTGGCTTTCCCATAAGCAGCTGCCTTGGGACTCTCCTGGAGACCTGATGCCCACAGCCAAGCTGACCACAGGAGCCGGTGCTGGGGACTGAGGTGAGCGGGAAGTGGAGGGGCTGGCTCTGTCTTTGCAGTCTCCAACTGCTGCTCAGAGGGGCTGGAGGGATAGAGCCCTGGGAAGCGAGACTCTGTGGAACTGCGTGTCTGCAGCGGGGGGCAGGACCTGCAATAACCTCAGGCCAAAGGGCAAGTCTGATGCCCACGACTCTCAGGACAAGGGGTGCCCCCTAGCTCCGCCCCATCCAGCGTGGGAGCAGCTCAGTGATTAGCCTGTGGAGCAGGAAAGTCCAGCGATGGGCAGCTGGTCACGGCAGTGGGTGAAAGCAGGGGTGGTCATCTGACGAGGGGAGGGGAAGCAGGTGGTGCCCAGCAAGGTGGAAGGAGAAGTGGACAGGAGAAACCTCGGGGCATTCCCGAGGGCCCAGGAACTGCAATAAATGATCACAGGTGAGGGGTTCCTGCCCGCTGCCTGCCGGCTGAGCGTGACGAGCTGGGTGCCAGGCGCCTCCCAGGAGGAAGCTGTCTTGGCTTTGGGCGGTGGATGCTATGGGTGTGCTTGTACCCGAGGGGGGCACTCAGGGGAGTTGCAGGCAGCCACCAGCTGAGACCGGCACTCACGGGGTGTGAAGGACTACAGAGAGAGCCAGGTTTTGGTGCCATGCACACAGGTATGTGTGTGCGAAGGGACGTGACGGGAAATGGCACCAGTGTGTGTATGGGAATGGGTGTTGGTATGTGGGTGTGGACTGAAGCAGGGGCTGGGTGTCCCATCCCCCCGTGTGCAGGGTCTGAGCTATTCCTATGCTGGACTGGGGAGCAAAGGGGACAGAGCTGGGATCCCAGCAGCACATGGGCAGCAGCATTTCTGGTCTCGTCTGCACCTCTGCTAGCCCCAGCTGGGCCTCTGGCGACATGCCCAGCTCCTGAAAACAGACTTAACTTTGGACTTTCTAGTCTCTTGAAGATTTGCTCTCTGGGCAGCACCAAGCCCGGTGTGGAAATTGGTGTGTTTGCTTCTGGAGGGCACTGAAGTATGATGAGGCCCATCCCCCACCCCTCACCCCCCTGTCCCGGCTTAGCAAAGCAGGTGGGCGGCCTTGGAGGAGACTCGAGGGGCTGGAGAGGCGGCCAGCCGAAGCTGGAGGTGGAAGGGCACAGCGGGGGTGGGGTGTGTAGTCCTTTGCCTTTTAAAAGTAGCCCAGAAAGGAGAACTCAGTACAGCTTGTTTTGGTGTCTAACATCCTCTGGGCCATTTCTTCCCTGAGTCTAACTTAAATCCCTCTTGCTGCAGTTTAAGCGTGTTCCCTCTTGAGTTACCACGGCTCGGGGCCAGCTGTCCTTTTCACTTGCTCTTGCTTTCATTCTGCCGTTCTGGATTTTCATTCTGAACCACAAGTTACGCTCCTCCCGATTACTTTTTTATTTTCATTTTTATTTTTAAAAAATCATGTTGCGTCAGTGTCGGTTCACCAGCTCATGTTCTCTTTTTGCACTTCCCCTATTTCTGATGAAACCCAAATCCTGGGCCCAAACTGGATTCTGTGATTCGCTTCCCTGCCCCTGCGCCCCTCCGGCTTTCCCTTCATTTACTCCTTCCCCCAGCAAGCCTCCACTCTCCCAGCCCTTGAGACCACCTTGGTCCTGCCACAGCTGCCTGTGGTCTGGAAACAGTAAGGCTCATTTCTGACCACCGCCCTAAGGGCCCTTGTGCTTGGGGCTCGCCCTGGGATTAGCAACGCTATGGCCCGCGAGTAGAGGCGGTCAGTTCTCCGTCTCTTTATTGAGTCTTGTTTTTATCCCCTCACCCTCCGAAAACCCCTTTGAGCAGTGGTCTTTCTCTCTTCCAGGGAAACTTAGAGTTCAGAGAGGGGGTGTGATTTGCCTGAGGTCACACAGCAAGTTAGAGACCCAGCTCCACGACTCATTGTCTTGGTAAGTGTATTCTAGCATTGAGAACAGTGTCCCCCAGGCGCTGCAGGTGCCAGGCACTGTTCCTTAATCTCTTGGAGCTTCACTTCCTCACACATAAAGTGGAGCTAATAGTGACACCTAACTTCAGAGATTCTTAGGAGGATGCACTTCAATAATACGTAGAAAGAGTGCCTGTCTTTAACATACTGCTGACTCAGATGTCAACCTGTTGTTATTATCATTAACAGCTAGATCTGGATTAGAACTTGGGTTTCCTATCTGGTGCATTTTCATGCGTGTTTTCAAGCTCGCTCACTAGTTTGTTAATTTATTTGGTGATGATTCCAGGGTCATTTCTCAGGGTGCCTCATTCCTAATTCTGTAGCAACATCCACATTTGGGTTCAGATGTTACCAACTTCTCCCCTGGGGCCCAACTCCCCATTTTTTCATCCCCAGGCTCCAGTGCTCAAGGCCCCCATGGGTCTGATCACATACTCTGAACCCAGAGGCTCTCTTTCCTCCCTCTTTTCCCCTGCCTTCTCCCTCATAACAGAGACTCAAGGCCTCTGATTCCCACTGGGTGGCTATCCTCATCCTCCCTCCTGGGCTGAGCTTACAGTGGAAGGCTCTGAGTAGGTCCCAATACCAGAATTTCACTCTGACATGCTTTCCCATTCCTGGGATAACCTGCACCCTCCAAGTCACCTTCAAAAATTTCCATTACCTCAAATGGCTCCTGCCCACGCCTTTCTAACTGACTTGGGCTTGGGCTGTTGCCTGGGTTAAAAGGACCAGTAAATAAACACAGACTCTTCCTTAATAAAAAGAATCCCTGTTTCTCTAGAGCCTTGGAGGAGCGTGGGGCACTTGGTAGACCTGGTCGCTTTGATTCCCTCAATACCCCTCAGAGGTGAGGGGCTGCGGGATGGGTGCTCCCCTCTACAGCCTGGGGCACCTCCTCTTGGCAATTCCTGGGAATAAAGGCAGAGGTGGCCTCAGGGCGATTGTTTGTGTGTATGAGAGGGAGGAGAAGGCAAACATAGATTGGAGATACACCCTGACAGAAGCGGATTTGTCTCCTGGCAGTTGACAAGCAGGCCAAGGGACAGAGAGTAGAACTAAGAATGCCCCACGTCACTTTTCTGGAGGTCTAGGGAGCTTTGGGCTCTCTAGGAGGGCAGGGAGAAGGGAAGGGCAGTGACCTGCTGAGAGGGGCAGCCACTGCTGGGCCTCCCTTTTGAGGAGCCCGTCATTTGGTCACCTTGGGGGTCATCCGGAGGTGACTGCCAGCCAGGTGAGAACTGGTCTGGTGATCCCTTCTGGCACCAGGGCCCCCTAGTTTTTCTCAGGACAGAGATACAACAGAGAGAAGAGGAGCTGGGGCTCCCTCGAAAGCTCACACTTGCCCCTGGTGCCAATCGTTGTTGTCATCTGGCCTTGTTCAGAGGCCCCACCTTCTCTTTTCCTCCCAATCAGCTGCCCAGAGCTGCTGGCTCCCCTGTTTACTCTGAGCTGATCGATCACCTTAGCACACAGCTGGCTAGGAGAGAACCATGCAGTCACTTCGGCCACACCTGCCCGTTGACCCTTGCTACCTCGGCAGGCTTTGATCCCTTCTGACCTGGAGGCCAGAGGCTAGGCTGAGGTCACTCAGCAGACATCAAGGACCTGGGCAGATGGGCCGGCTGGGATGGTGGCGAGCTGTACAGATAAAAAGGGACATGAAAATGAAAAGCCCGAGCCTGAGTTTTCATCACGGTTCCACTCCTGAGTGGTCTTGGGTGAATCACTTCATCTGCCAAGGCCTGGATTTCCTCATCTGCAAACTCAGAAAACTAAGGTTTGCTCTTACAGTTACGAGAACGAACTGGAACTTTAGGTGTAAATGCCATGGAGCACTTGGGAAGAACAACAATATGCTGACAGCGGAGATCGGGATGGGAAAGCAGGGCTGGCGGGAGCATGTCGGGTTTTACAGCTAATTTCTTCTCTTCCCACCAGGCTTTGGCCCTCGTCATCCTGCCCACCCAGCGGGGCTTCCCAACCCACCACACAGCCATGGACGGGAAGGTGGCAGTGCAAGAGTGTGGGCCTCCTGCAGTCTCCTGGGTCCCCGAGGAGGGAGAGAAGTTGGACCAGGAAGACGAGGACCAGGTGAAGGATCGGGGCCAATGGACCAACAAGATGGAGTTTGTGCTGTCAGTGGCCGGGGAGATCATTGGGCTGGGCAATGTCTGGAGGTTTCCCTATCTCTGCTACAAAAACGGAGGTGGTGAGTTCACTTTGAGGTAGGCATGGTGGGGAGAGCTGTGTGCTGGCAGCTGGGCAGTGCCTACCTGGGCCCTCCTTCCTGGGCAGTGTGGTTTATAAAAGGAGGGCTATTTTGGAATTGGAGGACTTGAGTTTGAGTTCCAGCTCCACTACTAGCCTCAGCGTCCCTCTCTGTGAAATGGGGACAATACCTCCCAGGGTGACGGTGAAGATGAAACTGGGCAATGGGCAGGACCAAGAAATTCTAGTTTTTAACAAGCTCCTTCATGACTATGTAAAGGTCAATCATTGATAGAATTCAGTCATTCATTCAGTGAACATGATTGCAGGCCTGTCACGTGCCAGACCCGGCGCTAGGTGCAAAACAGAACACATTCCGTGTGCCACCCTCCGTGGGAGGATTCTGAGGAGTTGTACTGTGTCTGCGGCAGGTTGCGGACAAACGGTTCCGCGTGGTCTATGTCAAATGGTGATGAGTGGAGGGGTGAGACGTGACGCAGGGAGGAGGGATAGGGAATGCTAGGCGTGCAGAGGGGAAGGTGACATTTCAGCAGACTTGAAGGAAGTGAAGGCATGAGTGTCGTGGATGTATCCTGGATGGAGAACACTCTGACACAGGGAACGGCAGGTGCCAAGGTCCTGGGGGTGGAAGCTGCAGGCCTGTCTGAGGAGCAGTGAGGAGGCAGGTGTGGCTGGGATGGAATGAGAGAGGCAGAGAATAACCGGGTGAGGGCAGAGAGGTCACAGGGATCACTCAGGCTGAGGTTGGACAGGTCACAGGGGTCACTCAGGCTCTGTTCTGACTGAGATGGGAGCCACCGAAGCAATTTTGGTTGGAGAAATACCTTGCCTTTGAGTTTTTTTCAAGTTAGAGAAACATGATTTTATTATTTTTCAGCACTGGGTGTAAAAATTAGCAGTGGTGGGGAGGGGCCAGTTCCTTATTCTAAGTGCACAATTCAGTGGTTTTTAGTATAGTCACAGAATTGTGCAGCCATCACCACAACCACTTTTGGAACATTTTCATCATCCCCGAAAGAAATCCTATATTCATTCGCAGTCGCTCCTCATTCCCTCTCCCTGCCAGCCCTTGGCAACGCTTATGTGCTGCCCATCTCGATGGATCCCTATTTGGGCTATTTCACAGGAATACAATCGTTCAATGCGCCGTCCTTTGTGAGTGGTTAGATTCATTTTTTTTGGCCTTTTGAAATCACTTTTATTTTTCTTGTGGAAACAGTATATGTTTATTGCAAATATTAGAAACATTTCAGGAAGGTAGAAAGGAATACTCACATTTAGAGATAATTTGTTGAGAAAATCCTCCTAAACACTATTTATATTAAATCTGACCAATATTTACGGAGGGTCTACTGTGTATCTTGCTATGTGTTTTAAACCTTATAGTTGCGATCACAAGCTGCTTGAACTGACAACTCCTAAGAAATAGCGGTAGGCTTTCTTGGGCTGGCTCAGTCTCTGGTGCTGAGGCTGACCCTGGGCCAGAAAGTCAGGGGAGGCAAGATGAAGGGGCAGGGTGGTGGTTTCCTTCTTCATCCAGGGCCACCATCTCATGGCATATAGGATGTTAGGGCTGGAGATGGAGGTGCTCAGACTAAGCCCTCCTTTAGTGGAGGAGGATTTGCCCAGGACTGCAGAGGGCCTTGGAACCATTTCTGCGTCACGGCACACTCCTCACCCAGCCATCTGGGAGGGAGACAGCACTAGGGCCTGGGAGGCAGGGCCGCGGTGTCGGGCGCCCACCCTGCCTCTGTCCTGTCATGCTGGCTGCTGCTGTGGCTGTGGCCTCTGTCCTGGCCGTGGGGTGGGGTGGAGAGAGAGAGATGAGTACCCGCAGTAACATTATGGAATATCGGATCCGGTTACCTCCTTCCCAGCCTAACTCTTGGGAAAGACACCCTTTCTTTCATCTTTAACATGAGGGGGCCAAATGAGGTTGGGGTCCCCTTCTGGAGTCACTGGTCCTTGGGGGTCTAGAAATGTAGTAAAGAAGGGCCAGGAATTCATTTTCTCATTTCCAACAACCTAATGATGGATGGATGTGGAAACAGGATGTCACAGACTAGTCCAAATGTCTTTTATTTTTTTGCTTTAGACTGAACTGTACTAACTCAGAGTGATAATAAAGTTTATATCAAGCTGACCATAAGGCCTGATTGGCACTTAAATATAATTTTATTAATATATGCAGGGAAATTTATTGATTATTAATTAGTAAACATAGTTCTGTAGAGAAAAATCTTTCAAAAGAAACAAAAAAGAGTAATAAAACTATTGGTCTAATGAGGGCTTTGGTTATGAAAAAGAGGGGAGCCCCTGAACTAGAAATCACTCACCTCAAAAGAGAACTTTAGGAAGTTCCCATTATCCGGGTTGTGAGTGGTTCAGGAAAGAGCATGCAGCAGAGGTAAGGCACAATGTAGAGGTGTTGACACCAACCCCAGGCTTCAGGGCACCGTGTCGGTAAAGGTCCCTGTGGGACACACCATGTTGGTAAAGGTCCCTGTGCGACATCGCTGGGCCGCCCGTGCCCATAGCCTGGGCTGACACGAAGGAGACATGAAGCAGGGTAACCTTCCAAAGCAAGGCACTGATGAGGGAATTTGAGGGGAGGGTGTAGCAGTGTCAGCGTTCTAAAAACCCAAGGGTAGAGGACGCCCTAACGCGCTCCAGAAACAACCTCTTCATCTGCCCCTCGAAGGTCCAGACTTAGTGCCACCCTTTCAGGGAGGACCCGGTCTGAGCGAGGCCCAGCTCCAGGCCTCCTGAAGTCACCCCGTCTTCTGTGGGGCGGAAATCCACACTCCCAGGTGAGAACTGAAGCCACCTCCTTTATTGGAGGGAAGGACCTTCTGCACACAACAGGTGGGAAGGAGTCCCGTGGGCCACACGCCCTGACAGACATCCTGTAAAGTGCCTTCTGGGGAGGCCTTAGGCCGTGTCCCTCTACCGAGTGCTACCCCTCAGCCTAGGTCCTGGGACTTCCCAAGCCACTGAAACCTGAGTCAGTGGTGTTACTGGCACTGTGCTGACCAACACTCTAGTATTCCTAGGGTTGGAAAGGCAAACATGGGGTTCAAAGGGACTTTGGAACTCAGTGGAGAGTTACTGGCCTTTTGTGGCTCCCTGGGATCCAGAAGACAACCTTTTTCCTTCTCCCACATATTGCTGTCAGGAATGCAGATTGGTGCAAGAGTTTTGGAGAACAATTTGGAAATGCGTATTTAAAAAATGTGCATACCCCAAAGGTGGAAACAACCAAAATATCCATGAACAGATGAACAGATAAACAGAAAGTGGTAGGTTCACACAAGGGAATAGTACGTAGCCTTCAAAAAGAAGGGAATTCATGCTATGACCTGGATCAATCTTGGAGGCATGCATGCTGAGTGAAATAAGCCAGGCACAAAGAGATAAGCACTGTATAATTACACTTTCATAAGGTACCTAGAATAGGCAAATGCATAGAAACAGAAAGTAGAATCACACCTACCAGGGGCTGGGGAGAGAGGGGAATGGGGAGTTAGTGTTTAACGTGTACAGAGTTTCGGTCTGGGATGATGAAAAAGCTCTGGAGATGAATGGTGGTGATGGTGGCACAACGTTGTGAATATACTTAATGCCACTGAACTGTATACTTAAGAACAGTTAAAGTGGCTTATATTATGTATATTTTGTCATACACACACACAAAGAGAAAAAAAGTGCATAACTTTTGACTCAGGAATTCCTCTACTGGTAATTTGTACTAAGGAATGAATTAGACAAGTGCACGAGGATGTGGACAGTGGTCTTCATTATGACAGTGTTTCGGATGAAATGACCAAAAGTCCAATGATAACATACTGACGAAGTGCACTAGGATAGATACATAGAGTGGAACACTATGCAGCAATCAAAATGATGAGGTAGATATGTATTTACTGACATGAAGAGGTTTACGGTAAAAATTTAAAAAGTGGTTATCAAACAATGTATTTGATACATGATTACTTCTCACTTTTGCAAAAAAAGAAATACATGTGTGTGCTTTTAAGAAATCTGGAAGGATATACAATGATTTTTCCTTTCTTTCCCTCTGTACTTTCTATGTTTTCTACATAATAATATGGATATGAAGTATCAGAGGTATATAGTGTAGTGATTATGAGCTCAGCCTCAGGACTAGACTGCCTGGGCTTGTGCCTCAGTTTCCTCATTCATGCTTCGGTTTTTCCGTCTTTAAAGCGACCTCAGTTTTATTATCTGCAAAATGGGGATAACAGTAGAGCCTGCCCCATGGGAGGTTGTTTTGCAAGGACTGTGATGTTGATGAAGTACGTACAAGAGTGCCTGACATGAAGTAGGCACCAAATAAGCACTCAGCGTTCTCATGGTGTAACACGCAATAATCCATTCACCCTGAGATGAACTTCTCACTCGAGCTTTATGCCTTAGTGACTCCTACTGAAGTGGGTCTCCTGGGTGTGGTCTTCAGATTCCATTCCTGTGTAACCTGCTGGATGTCTGTTAGGCCTGGCCTCCCTCTGGCACCTGCAGGTTGGCACCTAATCACGTGATGGCCTTCTCTGCTGGGAGCCCAGTTCAGATCAGAACTGGGTGGAGGCAACAAACACCCTGAAAATTATTAGTGGGAAAATAATGCTTCTGAGGTGTTTGTGTTTGTTTTTCTCTAAAATGTACCAAGAGTTTAATAAGCATATCAAGTTATACAGAAGCCATGTGTTTATTCCAAAAATAATCTATTGACTAGATTTGTAAAGCACACTAAGAAAATAAATAGTGCATATATTAGAATTTCCACCTAAGTTTTCACTAATTTCCCTTCCAAGGCCTTTCTCATTCTGTGTAGGGTTCAGATCAGAACATTCCCACCTGTGCCTGCCTAACACTCAGGACTGCACGCAGGCAGGAGTGGGCCCTTGGAAAGTGTCAGGAGGGAGATTAAGAACAGGATGGTGGAGGGCGGGTTTGTTGGGGGAGGAGGGTCTGAAAGGATGGAGGCTGAGGAAGAGCCCGGGTGTGGCTCAGCCCTGCCTCTCTCTCTTCTGCAGGAGCCTTCTTCATCCCCTACTTCATCTTCTTCTTTGTCTGCGGCATCCCGGTGTTCTTCCTGGAGGTGGCGTTGGGCCAATACACCAGCCAAGGGAGTGTCACAGCCTGGAGGAAGATCTGCCCCCTCTTCCAGGGTATGTATCCTCCCCCACCTTCCCCTTCATGGGGCCGCCATCTTGCCTGCATCCCCCCATGGTCTCTCCCTGCCTACCCATCCGCTGCTTCACCCATCCGCTCACTCCCATATCCTGCGCCAAGTGCAGAATCAGGCTTCATGGGTGGGCCGGAGAGAGCCTGGTGGGGAAACACTGGCTCCCGAGCAAGCTGGGACCCTTAGCACTGATGGTGGGGAGGTGGGGGAGGCCAGTTTGGTGCTGATGCCTCTTGGGGCAACCATGGGACCCCTGCAGGGGCAGAAGCGAGGGGCTGGAGCCGAGTGAAGCTTGGCTTACCTATGGCTCTACTCACAGGCTCTGGGTGCTCCCGGGGTGCTGTGCCTCCGCCAGAACACAGTTTCCCCCTGTTCTGCCCTCGACCCCAGCAGTCGTGTAAATGTCCCGCTCAGCTGGGTCCTATGCGTAGGTCCAAGCACGCTCACGGACAGCACATGCAGGGCTGGCCTCTCTGGAACACACAGACGGCTTATGCGGGTGCCACGGTCAGGGTGAGCAAACGGAGCACTGGAATGCGAGAGGAGAGAGGTCGTGGCTCTTTCCTTCTTTTCCAAGTCAAAGAGGCGGCAGGGCCTGGCATCTCAGCGGGAAGCGCGTGCACCGCGCTGTGCTGGTGGGAGGTCCGGGCTGCCCTCCCCGCCCTCTGCCGGCCTCTCCGCCCGCCGCACTCCCCTCTCCCGGAGCTGCCGTACTGGCTCGAGGCGCGCCCCCGCGCGCCCCCGCGCTCCCCCGCGAGCCCCTTCTCCACCCAGCGCCGCCCCGGCCCCTCTCCCAGACAGCCCCACCAGAACGCCGGCCCCCGGCTCGGCCATCCCGGGTCCGCTTAGTTCACCGGGCTGACCCGGGGCTGCCGGACGGGCCGGACGGCCGCGAGCACAGCGCGTTCCGCCGCGGCACAGGGGCCGCTTGTTTGTGTGTTTTTTGGGTGTCTGTGTGCGCGCTCTCAACGCCCCGCCCGCTCCCCGCGGACCCTCTGCCGTCTGCGGGTCCCTCCCGCGCAGCGCCACGCCCACCCCCGCGGCGGACGCCCGGGCCGCCCCAACGCCGCTGCGCGGTGGAGACCGCGGTGGAACCCGTCCTTGCCAGGGTGGGCTCGCCGGGCCCCAAAGGAGAGGTTTTGTTCATAGTCAGCATTGATTTTTCAGCCAGGCTGTTCTGAAAGGTCCACAGTCCTTCGTTAAGTAGTGAGCACTTCGGGAGGCTGAGGCAGGAGGATCGCCTGAGCCCGGGAGTTCGAGACCAGCCTGGGCAGCATAGCGAGACCCTCCCCTTCTCCCGTCTCTACAAAAAAAAAGTTAAAATTAGCCGGGTCTGTCTGTGGTCCCAGCTACTCCGGAGGCTGAGGTGGGAGGATCGCTTGAACCCGGGAAGTGGAGGTTCCAGTGAGCCGAGACTGTGCCACTGCACTCCAGCCTGGACAACAGAACAAGACTCCATCTCAAAAAAAAAAAAAAAAAAAAAAAAAGAAAAGAAAAAAGAAAGAAAAATATGCTATGAATGGCTTCTCATGCCACTGGATAAACCCCAATGGTGCTCTTTGTGTAGCACCCAATACCCTTGTAACCTCAACTGGCAGCTTCTATGTGACTTTTTTGCTAACATTGATCTCTCTTGTCCCTCCCCATCTCTCCCCCACTCTGGAAGGCATTGGTCTGGCATCTGTGGTCATCGAGTCATATTTGAATGTCTACTACATCATCATCCTTGCCTGGGCTCTCTTCTACCTGTTCAGCTCCTTCACTTCTGAGCTGCCCTGGACGACCTGCAACAACTTTTGGAACACAGGTATCCATCATTTCAGCCCCTGGGATGTTGCCTGTTAGGGGCTGGGCTGCGGTGGCTGGTGAATCCAAGCAACGACGGGGAGTATAAGTGTAGCAGAACCTGCCTGGCAGCCAAGCCACGTGGGCTCCTGGGCAGCTCTGCTCCTTGGCTCCTCTGAGGCCCTCAGGCCAGCCACTCGGACGAGTCAGTGTGGTTGGGAGAACCCAGAGGGACTGTATTAAATGACTGCAAGGGTTATTGCCACTTACTCATTTGTGCGCTTAACAAGCACTTACTGGACACCTACTGTGTGTTAAACACGGTGCCAAGGGCTGGAGATTGGTACGAGGCTGAGCAAAAGCAGCAGGGACCCAGCCTTCACTGTGTTTACAGTCTGGTGGTAAGAACAGACAAATAAACACAACCACTACAAATTGTGATAGGTGAACGAAACTGCAGAAACCATAGAACAAGGGGAGGGAGAAGTGTCATCTGAGGCCTGAAGTGAGAGAGAGCCCAGCATGGGGGCAGCATTCCAAGCAGGGGGAAGAGCAGGTGCAGGGCCGCAGTCCCTTGGCCTGCCAAGTGGAGAGACAGGAAGTCAGAACGGGCAAGCGGGGAGAGTGCATTCCGTACCAGCCGCCCATGAGGGGACTGAGTAGATCTGAAGTCTGGATACTGTCTGAGGTTGGCAGGGCAGCCAGGTGAGCAGGCAGATTCACAGGGAACAAGAGCAGGGGGAGGAAGAGCTGGCCCTATGAGCCTCCTGATGCCCTGGAGAGTGGGGGCTCCAAAAGAAGCTCTTGGGGCTAGGAGTGGTGAGGACCACTAGGCTGCAAGGCCAGAGGGCCAGGGGGACTAGGGTATAAGAGCATCTCTCTCCATCTTGTCCCTAACCTTGTCCCCAACAGAGCATTGCACGGACTTTCTGAACCACTCAGGAGCCGGCACAGTGACCCCATTTGAGAATTTTACCTCACCTGTCATGGAATTCTGGGAGTAGGTGCTGGGCCCATTTGCCACATATGAAGAGGAAATTTGGATGTCTGAGCTGTGCAAGTCTGAATGTCTGGGGTGCAAGTTTAAGATTCTGTGTGTGCTTTCCAGCACTTCCTCCCCCGCCCCACTCCAACCCCACACATCACTGAGGCAGGGGAGAACGCTCTCACATCTACCCACACGGGTCCACGGAGACTCACATTTATCCGTCATGTCCACCTTCAGCCCCACATCCCTACCTCCATGCGTGTGTCTGCCCACACATGTCCAGTGGGGTGCTGGACAGAGTCTTCACAGCTTTAGGGGAGCTGAGTGTGCATGTCTCTTCCCACTGCCATGCTCGGTGGTGTCATGCCAGTAGCTTGAAATTGCCCAAGGCGGGAGTGCTCACATCAAGACATGGGCACACCCTCCACTCACACACTCACCCTCTCACCTGACAACGTACCCCTTCACATTACGTGTGCCCACACTCGTCCACCTGCATTCCCACGCAAGACTGCCTGTACTCTCTCACACTGAGCTAACCCCCACGTAGGCACCAATGCCCTCACACCTGAATGCCCTCACAGTACTGGACCCTCACACCCATGCATGCAGTTCCAGCACCCCATCACATGTTTAGAAACTAACACACTCAGCCCCTGCACGGGATACCCATGCACTTGCCCATCAACCTGCATGTATAAATATCTACTCTCTAAACGCTCATTTATACATTCCTCATCTCTCTCTCTCTCCATCTTTCTGTACGAGAAAAAAAATCTGGATGAGTTAGAAAGATAAAGATATGCATAGGATGATGGTAGTAGTTTGGTCTACGGGAACATGGCCTGACTGTGGGGGAGGTGGGGAGTGGGGGAAGCCCTGGAATATGAGATCCGTGGGGTCAGCTCTGAGAATCAGGAGACTTGCTGACAGACGCAAACTGTCCCCTTTAGCCTTTCCCCTCATTACTTATTTTTCCCAATCCTCCAGGAGACGAGTTCTGGGCATCACCTCGGGCATCCATGACCTGGGCTCCCTGCGCTGGGAGCTGGCCCTGTGCCTCCTGCTCGCCTGGGTCATCTGCTATTTCTGCATCTGGAAGGGGGTCAAGTCCACAGGCAAGGTGAGATGTCCTGCCTCCTGGGAAGCTCCCTTTGGCCCCCAGAGTCTACGGGGACACTTGAGGGGGACCCTCTGGAGAACTGATTTCTTTCTATTAAGAAACTACACTTCCTGAGCAGGGCAGGGGAGATGCCTAGTGAGAACAGGGGGAGCCACAGGAAGGCGGAGCTTAGCTCGATGCAAGGAAAGTCTTTCTTTTTCAATATGACTTTAAAAGTCCGGTTTACATAAGAATATTCAGGGCTGCCGGGTGCAGTGGCTCACGCCTGTAATCCCAGCACTTTGGGAGGCCGAGGCTGGCGGATCACGAGGTCAGGAGATCGAGACCATCCTGGCTAACACGGTAAAACCCCGTCTCTACTAAAAATACAAAAAATTAGCCGGGCGTGGTGGTGGGCACCTGTAGTCCCAGCTATGCAGGAGGCTGAGGCAGGAGAATGGCGTGAACCCGGGAGGCGGAGCTTGCAGTGAGCCGAGATAGCGCCACTGCACTCCAGCCTGGGCGACAGCCAGACTCCGTCTCAAAAAAAAAAAAAAAAAAAAAAGAATATTCAGGGCAAATTAGAAACAGAAAAATCTCATTGTTGGAGCTAATCCCTGCTGGCAGGTTGGCACTGCTAATCTCTGTTCATTTTTGCTGTGTTGCCTTCTGGTTTCTCTCATACGTATGTGTGTGTGTCTGTATCCATTATGTGTGGCTATGACATCATTAGGATCACACGCTCTTATGACTCACTTGTTGTTGTATTTAACAACATAGCAAGATAATTTTGAGTTTGAATTAGCAAACAGAACTGTCTTTGAGGTGGCGAGTTTCCAGTCATTGAAGGGGTTCCCACCAAGAATGGGCAACAATGGGCTTGTCACATAGACAGAATTCAGATTTGAGCATTATTTCCAACCCAGAGAGCCGGAGACTGTGCTTCATGCCTTTTTAAAGCCAGGAGTGGTCAGTAAACGGACTTCTCTGCTTGGCCATACACTGAGTCTGTTCCCGCAGCAGCCTTTCCCCTCCCTGAATTGTAACAAGTTGGTAATAGGGATGATGAAAGTGATCATCGTAGTAATAACAGCACAGACAGTACCACTGCCGCCGCCCAGGGAAGGAGCTGAGTTTGCTTAGTGGCAGAGAAGAACAGCCCGGAGCTCCGGCCGCCGCTGCTCCCCCAACCATTAGCCTGCAAAAGCACAGCCTAACTTTCCCCACAGATCACTGTGCAAATCTGGTCACTATTCCCCTGGGTCGCCAGGGGGCAAGGAGAGAACAGCCAGGATAAAGGATTAAGAAAGACCAGATTCTGGACTTTAAATTAGTCTTTGCCCTGATTTGATCATTACACATTATATACACATATGGAAATACCACTCTTTTTCATAAATATGTACAGATTATGCACATACGTACATGTTGACTAAAAATAAGAGGAAAAAAATGGTCTTGGACAGGTTATGGGCTGGAAGCCTGTACCCTGCCTCCCTCCCTGTCTTCCTCCTCCCCTCCCCACCCTCCCCCTGCTGATGTGTATCTCACACCCTGGGGGGAGCACAGACCCACTGGAATGTGTAAAGGGAGGTGTGGAAACTTTCTTGTGCTTAGCCCCTCTAGGCTGTCTCTGAGGTTGGGACTGAGCTCCGTGTGACTCGAGCTGCCTGTGGGGCGTGGCTGGAGGGCCACTGCGTCCCCACCAGGAGTGACCTTGGCCTGTCCCCCCACCTCCAGGTGGTTTATTTCACAGCCACGTTTCCGTACCTGATGCTTGTCATTTTGCTGATCAGAGGTGTCACCCTTCCCGGAGCCTACCAGGGCATCATCTACTACTTGAAGCCAGATTTGTTCCGCCTCAAGGACCCTCAGGTATGTACCGTGCTGGGACCACTTCCCCAGGTGCCTTCCCCACCCAGCCAGGTCTGTAGTTTTGAAAGTCTTGTATAGCTTTTTCCTTGGTTTAAAAGCAATAAATGCCCACTGGAGATAAATTAGAAAATATGGAAGAAAGCTATAAAAAAGAAACTAAAAAAATCTCTTGTAATTCCACCACTCAAATATAACTTTTTTTCTTAAAAAATTTTTTTTCTCTTACTTAGAGACAGGCAGGGTCTGGCTCTGTCCCCCAGGCTGGAGTGCAGTGGTGCCATCATAGCTCACTGCAGCCTCAACCTCTTGGGCTCAAGGCATTCTCTCGCCTCAGCCTCCTGAGCAGCTGGGACTGCAGGCATGAGCCATGGTTCCTGGGCATTTTCTCTTGATATTTTGATGAAGCAGCCTCTTTGTCCCCAGGTCATAGCTGCTTAAGACACTATGTACAGAGATCTTAGTTGAATGAGACAAGTGACTTCTGGCTGTGCCCTGCAGATAGGCCTTGGGTGCAGCCATGGTTTGTAGATTCCCCTGGAGAAATCCAAGCAACACACATGTATTTGGTACTCACTAAGTGCCTACAGAACCAAACCGAAACTGGGCCGCACTGGGGAGGAGATCACCGTGGAGACCGGAGGGCGCACTCACGGAGAGTTGGGATGCAGGAGGGAAGCGCTCAGGGAGCACTGAGGGGCCAGGCTGGTGCTGCAGGGGACGGGTCTGGATCTCGGGTCACCCTGGCTCTGGGCCCTGGGGGCTGCCTCTACCTCTTTCTTGGGGTTTTGTGTAGGTGTGGATGGATGCGGGCACCCAGATCTTCTTCTCCTTTGCCATCTGCCAGGGGTGCCTGACAGCCCTGGGCAGCTACAACAAGTATCACAACAACTGCTACAAGTGAGAACAGCGTGGGCCGGGGTGGGGTGAAGGAGGGTTGGGGCCTGGGGATGGGTTCTGGGCAAAGACCCATAGTCTCTGGGCCCAGACCTTCCTTATTCATTATACGTTGTATCAGACTGAACTTATGGGTTCCTTTCCCAGACTAAATGTCTTCCTTCTTCCTTTTCTCTCTCACTTCTCTCTTTGTTGTCTGCCACCTGATTTTTGTCTTTTTCTTCTACTGTCTTCTTCCCATGCTCTCTTCCCTTCCTCCCCTCCTCTGTGCCTCCCTTGCCTCCCCCTTCTCTCTCCTTGGTCCCCTCTCACTGTCTTTTGACCTCTCCTCCCATGACTGATCTCTCTCTCTTCCTCTCTTTTCCTCCCCGTTCCTGTCTGCCCTTGCCCCACTCCCACAGGGACTGCATCGCCCTCTGCTTCCTGAACAGTGCCACCAGCTTTGTGGCTGGGTTTGTTGTCTTCTCCATCCTGGGCTTCATGTCCCAAGAGCAAGGGGTGCCCATTTCTGAAGTGGCCGAGTCAGGTAGGTGCCACTTTGCTGTCTGGGGCCTGAGGGGAAGGAGAGTCAGAGAACACACTTCTCTCTTGCTGAAAGGCATGAGTCCCAGAAGATGGGCAATATGATTTATTTATGGGTAGTAGGTTTTAATTTTAGCATCTGGGGCAGCGCTTAGCACAAAGCAGGGCTTCCATGGATGGATGAATGGATGGATGGATGGATGGATGGATGGATGGATGGATGGATGGATGGATGGATGGATGGATGGATGGATGGATGGATGGATGGATGGATGGATGGATGGATGGATGGATGGATGGATGGATGGGTAGATGGATGGATGGATGGATGAATGGTATGCTTCCCAGGCCTGGAAAGAGAAGAACAGTGGATGGAATCACCCTTTCCTCTTAAAGTGTGTGCACAGGTACACACACACACAGTGCTTAGAGAGACGCCTCTTCCCCAAGGGCAGCACACGCCCTGGAGCCTCCCTGACTGTGCTGTGTACCTGGCAGGTCCTGGGCTGGCCTTCATCGCCTTCCCCAAGGCTGTGACTATGATGCCCTTATCCCAGCTGTGGTCCTGCCTGTTCTTTATCATGCTCATATTCCTAGGGCTGGACAGCCAGGTACGTCACTGCAGCCCAGCCTGCCCTGCCGTGGTGACCCTCTTGCAAGCCTTTGCTTGTCCTGGGACTACTTTCCCCTCACTCCCACTCCCCTGACCACACACCTGAGGCCCCCTCTGCTGTCCAGGGCTTTTCCTTGGGGTTGGGGGTGTGGCCTGGAGACCCTCTGGGGTGAAGGGGCCACTGGCTTTGTGCTCCCAGCCTTGAGCCTCTGCATGCATGGATGTTTCCTCCCAGATGTTCCTTCAGCTCGAGCTGCCCAGCCCCAGCCCCTGAGCCTCGGGGACAGAACATACCCCCCTCTAACCCTCACTGCTGAGACTCTTTGTCATGGAGTTGTAGTTAAGGGCAGGGTTGGCTCACCCCAGGGCACCCCCATTTCTTCCCTTTGTGCTGCTCCCTGCACCCCTGTGCATCAGTGTGGATGAGCCAGGGGAAGTGGAGGCCAGGGCTGGTGGCCAACAGCCCGCCCCACACCCTCTCATCCAGTTCCCCTCCTGGCCCACAGTTTGTCTGTGTGGAGTGCCTGGTGACAGCCTCCATAGACATGTTCCCCAGGCAGCTCCGGAAGAGCGGGCGGCGCGAGCTCCTCATCCTCACCATCGCCGTCATGTGCTACCTGATAGGGCTTTTCCTGGTCACCGAGGTGAGCTGCGGCCGCCGGCCTGCAGGCCAGGCTCCAGGGGAGGGAGCCACGGGGGACACTGCTGACCCTGCTCAGAGCCTCACTTTTCTTATCTGCTGACGAGGGGTGTGAACGCCTGCCCTGCCTCTCCACAGTGAGGTTGTAGGGACCACACAACATGCATTTGTGAGGTCTCTTTTGGTTGCAGGTGACCAATACAGCTGGCTTAAGCAGAAAGGGGAATGTATTGGGTCAGGTTGCTGAAAACCCTAGGATATCTGGGTTTCGGTGTGGTTGGATCCAGCTGCTCTTGTGGCACTCTCAGGAAGGCTCCTCGGTCTCCTGTGACTTCACTCAGAGGCGGGTTTTCCTCCTGTGACATTAGGGATGGATGCTGGGCTTCAGGCTTACCTGTTACTGTCAGCCAACCCAGGAGGAAAGAGAGGGCCCTTTTCCTGAGAGTGTGGCAAATGTCCAGGCTATGACTCTTATTCAAGCCTGGAGTAGAGAGAGAGGGATACCCCAGTCTAAAAGGAACAAAGAATGAGGGGGTGTCACTTTCCAGAAGGGGAGATGCTGGGCAGACGAGATGATGTGTGTCCACCACAGTCTCCCAGTGCCAGAGGTTATTGTCCTGATGTTGACTGGGGGGCCTGAAGGCAGGGGCAGACAGGGCAAACTCCTTTGAGATGCAAGGAATGGCATCCCACAGGCCGGGCAGGAGTGCACCCCACGTGGGCATTTGCCATCTCACTGAGGGCTGGAGTGTGTCCCAGCTCTGCACTGGCCATGCCCCAGCTCCACGCTCTCCCCACAGGGCGGGATGTACATCTTCCAGCTGTTTGACTACTATGCTTCCAGTGGCATATGCCTGCTGTTCCTGTCATTGTTTGAAGTGGTCTGCATAAGCTGGGTGTATGGTGAGTGGGGTGGAGTGGGGTGGGAAAGCAGGGTGGGAGAAAGACCGTCTAGCCAGCCAGGGGCAGGCTTTGCCTGGGGGAGGCCGTTCTCTGGTCCCCTGGTTTCTGTGTGTCTTTGCGCTGTTGCCCTGCTTCTTCTTACTGGGAAATTTACCCGTGGCTGGGAAGCCTGGCATTTTCATGGCAGCAAGCAGAGCTGTAATGATGACAAAATGGATTTCCTTCAACAGTGAGAGAATGATCAATAACAGTGCACAGCGCACAGTGTCCTCGATATGGAGGTGGCCTGAGGCCCTGTGCCACTGGGAATCTTAGTCAGAAGGGACGTTTATTGCCACTTAGCCCGATCCTCCGCAAACTCCCACACTGCCTTTCCAACAACGAGGCGATCACCCAGACTCTGAGTACTTCCATGGACAGGGAGCTCATTCCTGTGTTTTTGAGGGAGTCTTTTCCATTTATGCATTTCTCTCCTGTACTGAGGTGAATTCTGCCTTTCACTGACTTCCGCCAGCAGCCTGGCCCCCTCAGACTGAGATAGCTACCATACTGAATGCTGCAACAGCCAGGGGGTGACCATGTCCTACACCAGGAAGGGGAAGAAGCCCGATTCACTGAGCCAATGCATGACTGCGTGCCAGGCTGGTTGGTCTCACACACTTACAATCTGTGCAGGGGGAGAGTGAGGCTCAGAGGGGTTCAGTCTCTTGCCTAAGCTCACGTAGCAAGCGGAGAAGCCGTCCTCATACCCCAGGTCCCTCTGACTCCACTGCACCGCTTGGGGGAACCCAGTGCCAATGTCACAAGGTTCAGGGCAGAGGGCCAGTGGGTGCCACACAGTAGGGCCTCAGGAACAGCCATGAGTAGAAAAGACTTTATTTTGCTGCCCTAAGCCTTCCCACTTGTGTCCTTTCCTCTCCATGGAGACGTTCCTTCCTTCTCACCTCAGGCATCTGATGCCTTCCGAATTTCCCCAACTCCTTTTCAAAACTTCTCAGAGAGGACCTGCTAAACTTGGTCACAACAGGTGTGAATGGCTGATAAGCCTCAACATGCTTCACTCACCTGGCCATATCTGGCTTTTAACTTTGGCTTTTCACAGTCAAAGGAACCACTCTTTAATGGTGTGATTTCATGCATCAGGGATCGGTGGGAAGGTATTTTGGGTGGGAAGGTAGAGAGGCCCTCCAAGTATCTTTACCATTCAGTGATTCTTTGCTTCTTAGAAGACTGGCTCTGCCTAGAACTACAGCAAATGTGGAAACTGCAGGAGTGAAACAACAAAAAATACAGCCAGTCAATGTTTTCACTAAACACAAATTAACCTTCTTACCATGCTTTTTTGGGAACTCAGAGGTGGTTCCTCTGGAGTCTGCAATCTAGACCACCGTTCTGTTCCCAGTAGCCCTCTAGCCCTCTATGAGTTTTCTATGATGTGTCTGAACAGCGGGAGCCTTGTTGTTTTGCTGTTTTGGCTTGAACCAAATTCATCTCTGCTACCCGGGTAAACAGGCGTTTGTCTAACCATTGAGCCCCATTTTGGGCTCACACCACTCCTTTGTGGTTAGACCAGTGGGGTCTCCATCACAAGACAGGGAGGCAAGAGACAGCACTGACAAGAGATGGCAGCAGCAGTGTGTGGGGGCAGCCCCTGCCTCGTGACTCGAATGCATCTCATGCAGGGATACAGGGTGTCAGGGAGGCGTCTCACTCACGTGCCCTGTTCCAGTTTCCCTGCACAGGGCGGGGGTGAGGGAAGGGCACAGAGCCAAGTGGGTCTTTCCCAAACACCGGGAAGCTGTTCTCACCCTCTGGCTCTCACACTCTCCCACGCCATGCCTGCTCAGGGGCGGACCGTTTCTATGACAACATTGAGGACATGATTGGCTACCGGCCATGGCCCCTGGTGAAGATCTCCTGGCTCTTCCTGACCCCTGGACTTTGCCTGGTATGTGCCCACCAGCTGCCCCTCTATTCCTTCCTGCCCCCAGAAGACTCCAGAGATGAGGGAAAGGACGGCTGACATGCAGGGCTCTTTCCCCACCTGTCCAGTCTCCCGTGGGGCCTGGTCCATTTCCTGTTCTATGTTGCCTTCCCTGCTCTTCTTTCTGGGGCCATCTCATCCACCCATAAGTAGAATCTTGTTCTACTTCCTACTTCCGGCTCCATCCCTTCCTCACAGTGCCTCCTGCTTCTGCCTGATTTCTCGATGGTTGGTCTCCTGTCTGTCTGAGCTTCTCTTCTGAGCCCTTCCCTTCCTTTGTATCACCCCCTGTCTCCGTCTGTGATGTGAATGATGCTCTTCCGAGCCCCTCCCTTCCTTTGTATCGCCTCCTGTCTCCGTCTGTGATGTGAATGATGCTCTTCCGAGCCCCTCCCTTCCTTTGTATCGCCTCCTGTCTCCGTCTGTGATGTGAATGATGCCTTGGCCTGGGATTTGCAGGGGCTTTTACTCTTCCACCTTACAGACGTGCTGCAGTGCACCTGACTTGTCCTCTGTCCTTGGCTGTACGTAGCTGCGGAGAGGGTTTCAGTCGCCCCCTATCTTACCCATGGCTGCCCCTTCCTTCTCCCAGGCCACTTTCCTCTTCTCCTTGAGCAAGTACACCCCCCTCAAGTACAACAACGTCTATGTGTACCCGCCCTGGGGATACTCCATTGGCTGGTTCCTGGCTCTGTCCTCCATGGTCTGTGTCCCACTCTTCGTCGTCATCACCCTCCTGAAGACTCGGGGTCCTTTCAGGAAGGTAGGTGGTGTAGGGGAGAGTGACCTCTTAAAGGAGGGCACTGAGAGAGGCTGGACTTGGGGCAGGACACACAACTGGGGCCAGGGAGCAGACACAAACTCTGAGTGTGGGGCAGCCCTTCAGTCTCACAGAATCTTAACGAGACGAACTTTGAAGACCAGTCCAGTGGCTTTTCAGAAATGCTCTGAAAAGTCCTAGAGTCCTAGACCTACAGACTCTGACCTCCCATGGATGATCTGGGCAGGCTAACGGAGGGCAAACTGCTGAAAGGTTCAGGAGAAAACTAAGTCACAAACATGAACAGGAAGGTGCCCAGACACAGAAGGTTTACAAGACTATAGATTCCTTGCCCTCGGAAAACTGATAACCAGCAAGCACAGTTCACTCCACACACAGGCTCCTGGCTTCTTTTCTTAACTCTGCCTGGGGACACACGCAAGAGGCTCCCTGTCTAGAGTTTGGGACATATCCTCCTGGAAGGAGCTATAGCCAATGACCCACAAAGGTAGAAATCTATCTTGCCTATAAATAATAGAAAACCCAACCTCCAACAGTTTCAGCAAATAGGCTTGTTTGTTTTTTATGTTTCAAGAAGGTCAGAGATTAGGGCTGCTGGTATTTGGTTTGGCTGCTTAAAGAGGCCCTTAGGGACCAGACTTTTCCTGCATTTCTACACTTCCATCCTGGGCATGCTGTGTTTTCATCATCACGTTTATCACCTCATGGTCACAAGATGGCTGTCACGATTCCAGTCATCACATCTGCATTCAAGGCAAGAAGGAGGGAGCAGATGGCACCACCACCACCACCACCAACAGTCGTAGCAGTACCACTGATAAGAAGAAAAATAATAGATACTTATTGAGCACATAATAATAGTAATAACAATAATGACAATAACAAAAATAGATATTTATTGATCACTTACTCTGTGCCAAGCACTGTTCTGTGAGGTGCATTCTACTATTATTCTCAATTTACAGGTAAGAAAATTGAGGGGGATTAACAGAGGGGTTAAGTGAGCAGCCTTAGGTGGCGCAGGTCGGCAGCAGAGCCAGGACTGGAACCCAGGCAGCGCACACTCATTCGTAGTCACGGTATTGCTGCCTCCCTTCTCACCTCAAACGGTTCATTCATTGACTCACTCATACTGTGCGGTGCTGGCCATGTGCTCCGCTCTGGGCTGGGCCCTGGGGTTGCACACATGAGGAACCTTCTGCGCCTCCCTCACCATCAGCTCCAAATCCCTGCCTCTTCTCTCCACAGCGTCTGCGTCAGCTCATCACCCCTGACTCCAGTCTGCCACAGCCCAAGCAACATCCCTGCTTGGATGGCAGTGCTGGCCGGAACTTTGGGCCCTCCCCAACAAGGGAAGGACTGATAGCCGGGGAGAAGGAGACCCATTTGTAGGGTGTGGCCAGAGGCCAGGCGGCTCCTAAGCCGGGAACCTAGGTCAGGGCCACCCTCCATTCTCAGCGGACAGCCTCTGCCTCTGTCTCCTGCCACAATCCTGCTGGGAACCTCTGGAGAGCCACAGGCACCCCCAGCTGGAGGCCAGACTCCTCTCTTGTGCTAGCTGGAGCAGCTCCTTCCCCTTTGCTGATAACACCACCACTGGGACGTGCCATGTTGGGACGCCACTCCCTGTGGGAAGGCACCATCGTTTTTATAAAGGGGGGTCTTTTTGGAGGCCGCCATCTGATTGCAACACCTCGAGTTATGAGGATTCCACTGTGGGGATGCCTCTTGTTAGAGCGTACTGCATTTGTACACGGGGAGAGGAGCTATAATTGGAACGCACACTGCCGTCCAATGTGGAGAGCCTGATGGGACAATACCCTGTTGGAAGTGACAACTGAACACACTGTGTTGGATCGGAGGTTCCGTTAGGGGATCCTTCCTTAGGCTTAACGACAGAGGCAAGCCTTTGCATGCCGTCAGTCTGGAGTTTCCTCCGAGTCTCTCATGGCATCTCCAGCTCCTGCCCTAGTTCCGCACTGTTCTTGCAGTGTTTCATCAACTCCTGGAGCATTGGAATGGAAGGGGCTTGGGAGATGATTCCTAGACTTCACAAACACTCGGCATGCCTCCCTGCACTGTCCGTTCCTCTGCCCAAGGCCGATATTGCTAACTGATCACAGATTCTTTCCCACCTCACAATCCTTCCGAATGTGCTCCAGGCAGCACCATTTGCCATCCTGCTTCTAACGCAAACCCCTGACTTCATGGATGAGGAACCTGGAGACCAAAGAGACAAAGGGACTTTTTCAAGTTCACATGGGGACCCCCTTCTTGGGGGCCAGAGATATGACTAAAACCTTATCTCCTTGTGCTCAGGCCAGTGTCTTCCCATTAACCCCCTGCCTTAGTTAACAAGTGTGTATGGATTGCCTTCCATGCGTGCTGGTCTCCTTTGCCTTGCTCCGTTTCTGTTGAGCTATGCCGCTTGGGGTGGGGGAAGAGAGGACCCCTCTGTTGGAGGTGGTGAGGAGCTCCCCAGACTAGCGCCCCCGCCTTGGTAATTTCTCCATCAGCCCATCATCACCTGGCCCGATGTCCTCCCAGATCCTTTTGTTCTTGTCCTTGCCACCTCTTATTCCCCCACGGAATGCACGGAGTCTGTGAGAGTGTCCCAGGGGGCGGGTGTGGGGGTGCCCTCCTTAGCTGCCACACATGGCTCCACCCGTTTCCCACCCACTCCTCTTCCCACACCCCTACCGAGTCCCACATGCCTCTTCTGTGGCTGGAAGGCTTCCTGGAGGAGGAGGCAGGGTTTGGATAAGGTCTGTGCTGTTGTGTTCAGAAGGGAAGGGAGGAGAGGGACTGGGGCTGGGGAGGGAATTTCAGGGCAGTTTCCTGGGTCAAGGGAAGCCAGCCAGGATGAGGGGGGTGATTCGTATATAGATGTCACCTGGACCCCCCGCCCAGGGGCTGCAGGAGAAATCAGGTCAGGCTGGGGTGAGTTCCGTCCTCGACAGGCCTATGCCACCTCAGGTACTCTTAGCTTCTGACCGCCCCCCTTGTCTCCCTCTGGACTGCTCTGTGCACCTGTGCCCTCGCTCCTTGGACCGGCTAGTGGGGAGAGAAGGAGGCCCAGGGGAAAGAGAAGGAGAGCAACGGCTTCAGCCAGATGCTCTCAGTTACGAGGCCGGGTCTGGCGGAAAACGAAAAACGCGAGGCCGGCGCAGCGCTGTCTGCGGCCGCCGGGTGGCAGAGGGGAGTAGCGCCGCGTCCCCGCCGCCCTCCCCCGGGGCCCCTAGCACGCGGGCGCGCGCCTCAGCCGGCCCCTGCCCGCAGCTAGTCCAGTACTTCCCGCCGCCTTCTCCCCGCCTGCAAACGCCGCGGCACCCGTCGGTGCTGCACCCTGGAGGGCACGCTTTGGGTCGGGCTCCCAAGCCTCGCTCTCTGCGGACCGCACAGCCCTCTTTCAGATTCCTTCGCCCTGCACCAATTCGCCATCCTCTCTGCTGCCCCAGACCCCCTGGCTTTAGCGCACAGCCTGTCCCGCAAGCTCTCTGCCCTGGCTGAGAGCGTCCACAGCTCCTCCCTCCATCGCTCCCATTCTCTGGATGAGTCCAAAGGGATCTGGATGGGGGTGGGGATGGAGGGAACGGGGAGGGGGGTGCGGGAAAGGGACTTCGGGCCAACCTCACCTCTCACAGGGACCCAGCCATAATGGCTCCACAACCTGGGCAAGGAGCAACTGTTTCACTCTCCAGCCTGCCCAGAGCACCAGTACAGGTGTGTGTGTGTGCCTGTGTGTGCACATGAGTTCACGCGCCTGTGTGTGTGTGGGTGTGCATACGACGTGCGTGCGTAAGGAGCAGCTGTGGGGTCGTGATTTGGGTTTGCTTTTGAGAGGTGACAGCGTGCCCCCAGCCCTCACAGCCCTCGCTCGCTCTCGGCGCCCACTCTGGCTGCGCTTGAGGAGCCCTTCAGCCCCCCGCTGCACTGTGGGAGCCCCTTTCTGGGCTGGCCAAGGCCGGAGCCGGCTCCCTCAGCTTGCAGAGAGGTGTGGAGGGAGAGGCGCTGGCGGGAAGCGGGGCTGCGCGCGGCGCTTGCGGGCCAGCGCGAGTTCCGGGTGGGCGTGGGCTCGGCGGGCCCCACAATCGGAGCGGCCTGCCGGCCCCGCCGGCCCGGGGCAGTGAGGGGCTTAGCACCTGGGCCAGCAGCTGCTGTGCTCAATTTCTCGCTGGGCCTTAGCTGCCTTCCCGTGGGGCAGGGCTCGGAACCTGCAGCTCGCCATGCCTGAGCCTCCCTCCCCCTCCATGGGCTCCTGTGCGGCCCGAGCCTCCCCGACCAGCGCCGCCCCCTGCTCCAGGGCACCCAGTCCCATCGACCACCCAAGGGCTGAGAAGTGCGGGCGCACGGAACCGGACTGGGAGGCAGCTCCACCTGTGGCCCCAGTGAGGGATCCACTGGGTGAAGCCAGCTGGGCTCCTGAGTCTGGTGGGGACTAGGAGAACCTTTATGTCTAGCTCAGGGATTGTAAATACACCAATCGGCACTCTGTATCTAGCTCAAGGTTTGTAAACACACCAATCAGCACCCTGTGTCTAGCTCAGGGTTTGTGAATGCACCAATCCACACTCTGTATCTAGCTTCTCTGGTGGGGACTTGGAGAACCTTTGTGTCTAGCTCAGGCGTTGTAAACACACCAATCAAAACCCTGTCAAAACGGACCAATCAGCGCTCTGTAAAATGGACCAATCGGCTCTCTGTAAAATGGACCAATCAGCAGGATGTGGGTGGGGCCAGGTAAGAGAATAAAAGCAGGCTGCCGGAGGCCCTAGTGGTAACCCGCTGGGGTCGCGTTGTGTGCAGTGGGTGCTGTGTGTGTGGTTTGTTTTTTTTTTTTTTTTTTTTTTTTTTTTTTTTTTTTTTTTTTGCTCTTTTGCAGTAAATCTTGCTGCTGCTCACTGTTTGGGTCTACTCTGCCTTTATGAGGTGTAACACTCATTGGGAAAATCTGCAGGTTTACTTCTGAAACCAGCGAGACCACTGAACCATCGGGAGGAAAAAAAAACTCCAGACGCGCCGCCTTCAGAGTTGTAGCACTCATCGCGAAGGTCCGCAGTTTCACTCCGGAGCTGGTGAGACCACGAACCTACCAGAAGGAAAAAACTCCGAACACATCTGAACGTTAGAAGGAACAAACTCCGGACACGCCGCCTTTAAGAACTGTAACCCTCACTGTGAGGGTCTGCGGCTTCATGCTTGAAGTCAGTGAGACCAAGAACCCACTTACTCTGGGCACACTTTCATCTCGTTTCCTTTGGTGTTTGAGTTGCAGACTGGTGAACAGAGGCCAAATCTGGCAGCTACAATTTGGCCAGTGTGGCATGAAAAAATTGATTTTTGCAGCAGAAGCCCTGAGGCATGCTGGAGTTTGCCACAGTCTTCCCACTTCTGTCACACCTGGTTTTCTCACATATTCGCTTTTGCGTTTGAATTCATAATCTGTGCCCTAGCGGAGAAAGTGAGAACTTTGGGCAGGGGAGGGAACAGGAGCCCTTGGGTGCGACGCAAGGGACAGCAGAGGGCAGTGGTTGGGGGTCCTGGTGCCTCAGAAGGGGTGGTGGTAGCAGGGTTACCACAGGCTCCAGCCTGCTCCGGTGTGGACCTCACACCCTATGATGCTATTCATCCATGAATCCTGGGTCAAGTCTCTCTCCCACCTGGACATTCTCCCGAAGAAGGGTAGTGGATACCTCTAATTTCAGAGCTACATCTCAATAGATGTGTTAACATCAGCAGCGCCCACGTGGCAGAGTACACCAAAGCTTAATTGTCTGGGGGGACAGTTGGCCCAATAGAGAGGCCCACGTGGAATCCAGGCCTCCCACTAATGGTCAACAGCAGCAGCTTGCTGCAAGGTGAATACACTGCGTGGAAATGTATCCTCCCAGCTGGCCAAGGCTTCTAGTGGCAGCAGCCCTGGCTGACACAGGGACTACAGCCTTACAGAGGCACTGAGCCAGAAATGCCCAGCCAAGTGGGCCCCAAATGCCTGACCCCAGTGAGAGGTGAGAAATGCATATGGTTGTTTTAAGCCGTAAGCTTTGGGGTGATTTTTTACACAGCAGTAGATAATACCTATCCTTGGATCCAATTGCTTGCAGTTCCTTCACCTGGCTGACAGCTGCTGTGGCTGCCGGTGGAAGGCCTCGGCTCCTCTCATGTGGGCTCTCTGTTGGGTCAAGTGTGCTCCTGGACAGCTGAGCTTTAGCGTGCACTGTGGCCTGTGGGTGCTGTCGTGGCCACTTCCCAGAGCGCGAGAGTCACCCTCTTTGAGAGTCAGGCGTGGCCCCTCTTCAGAGGCGTCCCTCAGCCCCCTCGTGCCCTTCTGCCTGAGCCTCCTGCCTCTCTGCCACAGCCTCACCTCCTCTGACCCCTCCAGAGCCCTCCCCTGACCCTGGGCTCACCCTGTCCTTGCTGTGAGGAGGTGAAGACTGGCTGTGTCTGTCCCTGCCACCTCCGTGCTCGCATGCCCAGCTTCCTTGCAGGTTCTGCTGCTCAGTGAAGTAACAAGGGCTGATTGGATCTAACAGGGATGAGAAGCTTGTTAACCACCCATTGATGCAGCGGCCATGGGAGGATGTGTTTGCCAGACAGGATGGGGTGAGATGAGAGCCAAGCCTGGCAGGTGGCACAGGGTTGAGGTGGGTCAGTGCCCTGGGCCCTGGCGACCCGCACTCCAGCGCTCTCTGCTTCCAGTCTGGCCACAGCAGGGGCAGATGGCCTGTCAGGTCTGAGGAACCTGCTGGCACGTGACTGGGAAGTAACGGGAGGCGAGTGCAAGTTGCCAGATGATGCCACAGACAGAGAGGGGAGCTTGCTCCCTGCCAAGGCTGAGTCCTTGCAGGCTCGTGTCCATCCACAGGGTCAGTGCATAACCTGTGGCTATAACAAGAGTCTAGCCGGAACTTCTGGTGCAGTCACATTCTGAGGCTTTTTCTGCCCAAGCACATCTCACTAACACACAGAGGGTGGCTGTCACATCCAAAAGGCCCTGGCCCCGAGGCCAGAACTCTGACACTGCACCCCAGCATGAGGGACTCGAAGTGGGCAAGTCCCTTCCCCAAGCAGGACTCAGTCCCCATCTCACTAAGACACGGGCACAGGGAGCAAGCAAAGGTAGCCAGAGTGGGTCCTGAACAAGTGCATTTGGAATTTGGGTTTGTCATGGAGAGGAGGTTCCGGGGAGCAGGACAGAGGGTAGCCATGACAGCGGGTGGGGCCGGGGGAGCGGCCTTACCCGGCCAGCTGTCCGGAGACCTGGGCTCACTGTCCAGCCTCAGCCTTTTCCTCTGGGTTAATTAAAGTTGTTGTTTTCCTCTTGGTTCTTTAGGGTGTTTTACATAGACACTCAGACTGTCTGGAAATAATGACAGTTTTATGTCTCCGATCATGATTCTTTCTCTTATCTTCCTTCACTTGGTAACTAGAAGTGGTGGCAGCTGGCATCCTTGCTTCCTTCCTGGTTTTGACAGGAACCCTAACATTTCATTAGGAAGTATGACGGCTGATGATTTTTTTTTTTTTTTGAGACAGTTTCATTCTGTCCCCCAGGCTGGAGCGCAGTGGCTTGATCTCAGCTCACTACAACCTCTGCCTCCTGGGTTCAAGTGATTCTCCTGCCTCATCCTCCCCAGTAGCTGGATTACAGGCATAAGCCACCATGCTTGGCTAATTTTTGTATTTTTATTTTTTTATTTATTTATTTTTGAGACGGAGTCTTGCTCTGTCGCCCAGGCTAGAGTGCAGTGGCGCCATCTCAGCTCATTGCAAGCTCCGCCTCCCGGGTTCACGCCATTCTCCTGCCTCAGCCTCCCGAGTAGCTGGGACTACAGGCGCCCGCCACCACGCCCGGCTAATTTTTTGTATTTTTAGTAGAGATGGGGTTTCACCGTGTTAGCCAGGATGGTCTCGATCTCCTGACCTCGTGATCCGCCCGCCTCGGCCTCCCAAAGTGCTGGGATTACAGGCATGAACCACCGAATTTTTGTGTTTTTAGTAGAGATGAGGTTTTGCCATGTTGGCCAGACTGGTCTCGAACTCCTGATCTCAAGTGATCCACCCACCTCGGCCTCCCAAAGTGCTGGGATTACAGGTGTGAGCCACCATGCCTGGCCAGCTGATGATTTTTGATAGATATCATTTACTGGGCTATGAAGTTTTCTTCCATTCCAAGTTCTATAGGTTTTTTTCAAATCAACAGTAAGGGTTGAATTTTATGGATTGCTTTTTCTGCATCTATTGAGATAATTATATTGTTTTTCTCCTTTAATTTGTTAATGTAACAAATTATTATATTTTTCTAATATTCAATCATCTGTTCATTCTTGGGGCAAACCCTACTTGGTTATGGCATATTTTTTTTTGTTATTCAGTACTAGGTTCAGTTTGCTAATATTGTGTTTAGAATTTCTGAATTTATGCCCATAAACAAGATTGGTTGGTAGTCTTCTTTTTCTCATACCGTGCTTGTCTGCTTTAGTTTTTGTTTTTGAGATTACACCAGGCTCATGAAAAGGAGTTTGGAGATGTTCTGTTTCTCTTTTCTGAAAGAGTTAATATGATATTGGAATTATCTGTTCCTTGAAGTGTAGTAGAATTTTGTAAAATCATCTGGCCGGGTGTTGTGTGTGTGATTTTTCTTGGGGGTGGGGGCTGGGCGATGGTGAATAGACTTTCCTTCTTTTTTATTTTTTTTGAGACAGAGTCTCACTCTGTCACCCAGGCTGGAGTGACATTAATTTTTTGTATTTTTGGTAGAGACGAGATTTCACGACGTTGCTCAGGCTGGTCTCGAACCCCTGAACTCAAGTGATCTGCCCACCTTGGGCTCCCAAAGTGCTGGGATTACAGGCGTCAGCCACCATACCTGGCCCTCTTTTTCTTTCTTTTTTTTTTCTTTTGAAATAGGGTCTCCCTCTGTTGCCCAGGTTGGAGTTCAGTGGTGCAGTCACGGTTCACTGCAGCCTCAACCTCCTGGGCCCAAGTGATCTGCCTACCTCAGCCTTCGAATAGCTGGGATTACAGTTGCATACCACCATGCCTAGCTTATTTTTAAGATCTGTGTATAGATGGGGGTCTCACTATGTTGCCCAGGCTGGTCTTGAACTCCTGGCTTCAAGTGATCCTCCTGCCTTGGTCTCCCGAAGTGCTGGGATTCCTGGCCCTAAGACTTGTAATTACCTATTCCACTTTAATTTAATGGTTATACATCCCAAATTTTCTGTTTGTTCTTGAGCAAGATTTGGTAAGATATTTTTCTAGCACAGTGTTCATTTTGTGGAGGGTTTCAAAATTATTGCCATAGGTTTATAGTTTATTTGAAGTATTTTATTTTGAAAATCTCTGCAGCATTCATAGTTACGTTCTCCCTGTTGGTCCTCAGGTTATTCATTTGTGCCGTCTCTCTTCTTCGTGATCAGTCTTATCAGAGGTTTGTCAACTTTATTAGTCATTTCTTAGAACTAACTTTTGGTTGTGTTAATCTTTTCTATTGTATATATATTTTCTATTTTATTACTTCTGCTTTTGTCTTTATTGTTTCTTTCCTTTGGGCTTATTCTGTTCTTCTTTTTTAACCTCTTAAGTGAAGTAGTCCCCTTAGCCATAGAAGGATGACTGGCCTGTGACTCAGCCTGCAGGCCTGGCACTGCTGTATGACTCCCCTGCCTTCCATTCCCTCTGAGGGTGCAGGGAGGGAGGCTGACTCCTACCCTAGATGTCTCAGAAGGAAAGGGGATTAGGGTTTCTTGAGGAAAGGAGGGCAGGGCAGGTCTGTCTAGGCAGTTGGAAACGTGGGAGTAACAGCCAGGTCGTCTTCCCAGCAGCCGGTTCCCACAGTTTTCCCAGAGCCAGGCTTGAGGTCACTTAGTCCTTAGGGTCATGGGAGCAGGAAGCGCTGAGGTGCTAGGGGCCGGCTGGTGGGTTAGGCAGCCTGGTTCCCTAGGGAGGGAACCCGTGCAGCCCTGCAGGGGCACGGGAGGGAGGGCGCAGGGGAGGAGAGCACTCCGCCCACCCGCTGAGCTCCAGCTCCCTCTCCTCCAGCCCATCCAGAAGGGAATTCTGGCAGAACCACTTCTGGACCTGTCCCTCTGCACCCCCCATTCCTGCGCCCTCATTTAACCTCCCTGACTCTGACCTGGGCTTGGTCTATCTTGGGGCCTGGCTGCCGTCCTGGGACGGGAAGGGGAGCAGATCAGAACTCAGCCTGCGGCTCCAGGCCGCTGGGCGCTGGCTGGGCCTCACGTTCTCCTGGAAGGACCACCTCCCTTGCCCTCCACGGGGTCTGCCTTTGCTCCCAAGGCTCCGCCCTGGACGGAGCGTCCTTCTTGCCTGGGCGTCTTCAGACCTTCATCTGTGACACCGGGGGCCATGTGGCTCACCCCGAGGAAGGTGAGTGAGGGGACCTGGTGCACAGGGTAGTCGACCGGTTGCTGAGTAGTGAGGAGTCCTGGCAGGAAGCAGCCCTGAGTCCCTGAGCGGCAGAGCTAAGGAGCCAAAGCCAGCACCCCCAGAGCTGCTGTCCGCAAGTGACCTGAGAGCAGTGGCACTAGGAGGGCCACACCTCCCGCCTGCTGCCCCCTGCTCTAAGCTACCTCCCGTCAAAATGCCTTCCTTCCAGGTGTCTCCATGAGGACACCACGGGGCGGTTGGCAAGTTCTTTCATCCTGGAGTCAGCACATGTGATTGATGGTGACTCCCAGAAAGCAGTGATCAATTGGCCACATCTGTCAGAGCTGGGATGGGAGGGGGCATGCCGAGGGCCGCAGCCATGTAGTGCCAGCCCCCTGAAGGAGAAATCAATCTCACTTCCGTTCTGTGGGGTTCACGCTGAGACGTGAAAGGCTGTTAGCCCCTGGACTCCTTGGGACTGCTGTGCAATAGGCCATGGAGTCCATTCCATTATTTAAAAATGGCAAGCCTAGGCCGAGGTGGGTGGATCCCTTGAGGCCAGGAGTTTGAGACCAGCCTGGGCAACGTAGTGAGACTCCGTCTCTACAAAGACAAACAAAAATTATTCAGGCATAGTGGTGCACACCTGCAGTCTCAGTTTACTGGGGAGGCTGAGGAGACAGGATCCCTTGAACCCAGGAATTCAAGACTAACCTGGGCAATATAGAGAGACAGCCTGTCTTTTTATTTTATTTATTTATTTATTTTGAGACAGAGTCTCGCTCTGTCGCCCAGGCTGCAGTGCAGTGGCATGATTCCGGGTCACTGCAACCTCCGCCCCCCAAGTTCAAGCGATTCTCATGCCTCAGCCTCCCAAGTAGCTGTGATTATGGGCTCACGCCACCATGCCTGGCTAATTTTTGCATTTTTAGTAGAGACGGGGTTTCACCATGTTGGCCAGGCTGGAGAGAGACCCTCATCTCTACAAAAATAATAATAGTAATTTAAAAATCAGCAGGGCGTGGCGACATGCACCTGTAGTCTGGGCTACTTGGGAGGCTGAGGCGGCAGGGTCCTTTCAGCCCAGGAGTTGCAGGCTGCAGTAAGCTGTGATCGTACCAGTGCACTCCAGCCTGGGCGACAGACCAAGGCCCCTTCTTTGAAACATAAATACAGGAAAAATTTGAAAATGGCAAACCTGAGCCCTCTTGGTTTGAGGTGACAGAGGAGGAGGTGGACAGCAGGCTGCCTTGACCTGGAGTGGGCTGCTCCCCATCCCTATGCAGGGTCACACAAGCACGTGCTTGCTCTGGGCAGCAGCTGCCTCGGCTCAGGGTAGCCTGACTTCACTGTTGCTGGTTTGTGCTTTCTGCGGTCTACTTCGGTGGCCTGGTCTTCCTGTGGTGGTGGCTGCCCACGTGGCCTAAGCTCTGCCCCACCCCCGGCCCCATCCTTGCCTGTCCAGAGCGCCTGACTGCTCACTCTCAAGCACTTCCTCTCCTGGCCTGTGACTGGTGACCGTCTGCCCTGGATTTGCTAGAAGACCAATTTTGCTTTCCTCAGTAAAGATGTTTTGAATTCATGTTTACACTTAATTCATAAGATTTTTTCATGTAAGTAAACACATATATCAGGAAACAGTTTTTTGACAAACTGTCTTGGTTTCTGCCTCATAAATATGTGGTCATTTGACTTGAAGTGATGGTCTCCGAACTGTTCACCTGCCCTCAGACCAGACCTTGACCTTGTTGAATTCTCCTCCTTGGAGAGGCCTTCCTTGAATGTTCACCCTAAAACAGGCTCTCCCCATCACCCCAGCGGGGTCACCATCCTCTGTGTGAAGGCAGCTGCTCCATTTCTTGTTGATGACACCCCCCAGTGTGAACTTTCCCTGTCCCCTTCACTGCATAGCCCCCAGCACCTGAAACAGTGCTCAGCAGGTGGTCTCAAACTTACGGTTCAGTTCACCCTGATTTCCAGCACTAGCTCTGGGTCACTGCTCTCAGCCAGAAACCAGTACATCCTGGGACCCCTTACTGGGAGCATTCTAAGTCTATGACTGATGAGTCTGACATTCTCCCATCTACAAAGGGTCATTATGGAGGGAGATGCACGGACTGTAGCTCTCCATCCCTACGGCAGATAGGCACAGAGGGGCCTGGACCACCAGACGGGCTCTATCAGAACAGGATGGTCTCCCTCTCACTGGAGGGACAAGCATTCATCCTAGATGACCTCAGGGGCCCGAGGTGTGGAGAATGGTGCCATGGGCCCGCATCTGGCACAGATAGCAGCAGGGCCGTCCTTGGCCCTTGGCTCTCTCCCAGGCCCGGGCTGAGCTGGTTCCCCGCAGAGTGCTCTCAAGGGGCCAGTCCTCAGCTTCCCAGGTCAGAGAATTCCCAGGATGGGACAGGTCATAGCCGGCTTCCAGCTTATTCTGGAATTTCCCATTTCCTGGGAAGAGGGTGAGGTCAAGTTGAGGGTGAGGTCAAGTTTCCTTTCCCTTTAGCTGTTGGGAACAACAGGAACCAGCCTGGGAAGGTGCTGAAGCTGCTGGGATTTCCAGGTGTTCAGAATTCTGGTCACCAGGAGAGCTGGGCGCCCTCTCTGCGAGTGTCCTGGGGCAGCCAATTGCTCTCCTCTGATGACTCAGCATTGCTGGAAGGCTCTCTCCTCTCTCCCCAGCCAGGAGAACCACCCCATCTTAAGCCCCCATGGAGCCGAGCTGAGCACTGCACCTGGCTGTGAACACCTGGCTGAGCTCCTGCCGCTCTCCCAGTCCTCATTCCAGCCTTCCCTGCTTCCTTACAGCCACTCGGCTACTGTCATATCCATATGCTTCCCAGAACCTTGGCATCCCTTCTGGCTCCCAGTAGGGGACCTGGCACACTGTGGGGCTCAGGATATGTTTGCTGAATTGCTCTCTGTGGCTTTGTGCACTGTCCCCAACAATCCTCCTCCAGTCCTTTCACGGGCCCCATGGCTCCTGCATTTCAGAAAGGTTGGACCCAGGGGCTGGACAAACCAGACCCTGCCACTGAGGTCAGGCTTTGGGAGCTGATGCCTGGCATGGCCAGTGGGATGTCCTCCCCCGCACCCTGACAAACCCTCACTCTTCATTGCAGAAAGCCAAGCAGGCCAGAGGTGGTCCTCATCTCCCCCTGGAGGTGCACTGACTGTCGTGGAGCCTCCTCCCTCCACAGCTGCCTTTGGTCTCCATTGTAGCTGCTTTCTGGACTGGCTGAAAGCTGTATGTGTGTGTGCTCAGGAAGGTGGAGTGAGGGGGGTGTATGCATGTGTTAGCGGGTCAGGCCCACACACACGGTGATCAGTTTCCTAGCCCTGCCCCCAGCTCTGCCAGTGCTCACCCATCAGAAGACTTACCTTATCTTCCCACACCCGAGTCTCCTTTATTGAAGACAGGGGTTCCTAACCATGGGACATGAGTGCATTATCCTGGGGTAAAGGAATGGTGCTGCTGTGGCCAGGGGAGAGAAGCCTGAGGGGCTGAGGGCATCGGTGTCCTTCTCAAATCCTCACCAAGAGATGCTCTGATTTAAGGCGAGCCCCCCCCGCTGGGAGAGCAAAAGAAGCTGCGCCGACACAGTTTGCTCAAGTGACATCTTTCAATATAATCTCTAAAACTCTATGAATTGAACAGATAAAATACCTCTGGGCTATTTTGTTACAAAATATTTGCCATTTGGATTAGTTGCTGGGTGCAGCCACCCTGCCTTTCCCTAGAGAGGTTTCTCTCTCTCATGGGTGACGGGTGTGCGGGGAGAGGGTGCAGCAGGAGTTATGTACAGCAAAAACAGGGACGGACAGACAGATGGTCATCAGGGAAGCCTAGTGGGTACAAAGAGACTCCTGGCGGGCCGTGGGGACCGGTGGCACAGGGGCTCGAAGACGCAGGGCTGGATCAAGACACCTGTGCAGACGGGCAGGCAGGCAGGCAGGCTTCCAGGACACGCTGCTGGTAGAGCTTGCTTCAGATCTAGGGGTGGGACTTGTCCAAAAGTGGGTGGAAAACTAGTTTCATCTCCCATTCCCGACTCTGGAGTTGGGGCCGAATGGATCAAATCAGGAGAGGGACCCAGATTTCCCAAAGGTCTAGAGAGTGGATAGAGTGGGGCCATCTTGGGGTGACTGGGTCTGGGGCTCAGCACTCTACTGTCCCCGCAACCTTAGGAGAGCAGGAAGGCCCGAGAGCACCCCCCACCGGCCCTCTGGGGGCTGGAGGCCCTGCCCTGTCTGCTGCCGTGGGGAGGGAGCAGGAGGCTTTTCCTAGGTCCCTGAGGTCTAGGCTCTGGGGACAGGGATGGAGAGGGGTCCCAACCTTGGCCTGGGGACTGAGCAGGGAAGGGAGGTTACAGATGTTGGGCACTTGCTTCCCCTGACAATGAGGAGGGCCAGCTGTGTCCTGCCCCAGGCCCTCAGGGGTGTTAAATGCCCCTCCCAGCTCAGGACTGGCTCCACGGAATACTGACCCCGGCTGGGCTGCTTCCTGGACAGACTCCCTGTGCTGCCCGTGGAGCCCAGGGCAGCCACTGCACCAACCCACGGGGTGGGCCTCTGCCCTGGGGCAGGGGCACTGAGGTGCCTGAGAGTCCGGGTTCTCAGCTAGAGGCCCAGATGCGTGCCAGCCCTAAGACTTGCTGGTTCCGATTTGGAAGATTGGGGCTTCAGCTGAGGTGGGAGGGAGGGCCTGGGGTTGCTGTGCCCTCAACAGGGGAGAGGGCACTTGGTAAGTTTGAAGAGCTGTGTGAGCAGGGGACGGGGTCCTGCCTGTCCTTGGTAAGCTTGAAGAGCTGTGTGAGCAGGGGACGGGGTTCTGCCTGTCCTTGGTAAGCTTGAAGAGCTGTGTGAGCAGGGGACGGGGTCCTGCCTGTCCTTGGTAAGTTTGAAGAGCTGTGTGAGCAGGGGACGGGGTCCTGCCTGGCGGGTCAGGGCTGTCTGGGAGAGTGTCCCTGGCCCCCACGGCCCCCACCCCATAAGTATATTTAGCTCATAGTTCCTATTCCCCCATACCTCGCACTCCCTGCCTCTTAGTCATCGTTTTCATTCTATTTTCAGCTTCCCTCATTTTGATTCCTCCACTCCCATCCCCACAGCTCCACCTCCTCCCAAGTCCCTGACTCCTCCTGTCCAGGCCTTCACTTTAAGGACGATCCCTGCCCTGGCTAAGGGCATCAGAGGTGTCTGAATGCGTGCACCCCATCTGTCATCTGCTCCACTCTGAAAGGCAATGACTGGAGCATCTGTTACAGAAAACAGAGGAGGGCCAGGGCAGCAAGGACACAGAGGGGCAGATGGGCTGGCAGCCACAGGGGAGAGGGCAAATTGGCTGCAAGTTACAGAAACTGGGCCGACGAAGACAGGGCCAGAAATAGATTCACTAGGTGATATCACAGTGACGTCTGGGTGACCACACACACACACACACAAAACGAAACTAGGTCATCTGGAACCTCTGGGAGCAGGGAATGATCCTTGCCTCCTACCTGGCCCGGCTACTGCAGGCGGGGCGGGGTGGGGAGATTCAAGTCCATGTCACCTTTGACTCATGCTCACTGCCTCTCCCAGGAGGCCTTAACCACAGGCTCCAAGTGTTGGGGGACCTGCACATAGGACAGCAGTGAGCTACTGGCACAGGACTGGAGCCTGGCCAGGCTTGGGACAGACACATCCTGATAGGGCCTGACTGCGCAGGCCATGGTACGGCTCCTGTGGTCTCTGGGGTGGCTGCCTCTCGTCTGGCTGGGGAGGGGCCCTTCCCCAGGCTTGGGCTCGTGGGGCCACCTAAGGCTGGCTATCCCATCTTGCTGGGCCCTGGGAGGTCAGCGAGCCCCGCTTGGGTCTCCTTTGCAATTTTGAGGGTCCAGGGACTCTTGGGCACCCCTGCTGGAAGGGGGGGGTCTAGAACCTTCTAGGAGGAGGGAATATTTAAAGGCTGAGGGGCGCAGGGGAAATGCACATGCCTCTGGAGCCCCGGTTTTTCTTGCTTACATCTGCACCCAAGTCCCTCCTGGAGGCCACAGACTCATGCAGGAGGGAGCCCTGCCTCGGGCCGAGCCTCATGCAGGAGGGAGCCCTGCCTCGGGCTGAGCCCCATCTCTGCTGGGCACATTCCTGCCCCGTCTCCAGTTCTGCTTCCACAGCGGAAGGAATGGCCTGGTTCTCATGCGTGTTTGCGTGCACATGCCGGTGCGTACACGGCATTGGCCGGGTATTAGCTGGGGCTGGGGAACTAAGACACTCTTTAAAAAGGTGCATTTTGCAGATACATGACCTCGCGATCCCGTGGCCCTGCTGGACTGACCTATAGAAAGCCGAAAGTGCTCCCCTTCCCGCCTCCCTTTTTCCAGGCTTTTCTGGAGTCTGGGCAGCTCCTGAGGAAGCAGAGGCCCTGGGAGGAGGGGGAAGGACATGGTCAGGACAGCCAATGTCCCTGGGGACCAAGAAGTAGACTCCTGAGAGTTTCAGGCTTGGGGGCGGGGGTGGCAGAAAAAGCCCCCTCCTCACTCCTCCCACCTGTCCCTCCAGGGGTGGGACCAACCCTCCTCCCCTCAGTGCAGCTACAGAGGCACTAGTTCTGGGCTGCGAGCCAGCCACTCTGTCTAGTGCTCCACTGCCGGCCGGCCCAGCCTCATGCTGCTGCCCAAGGCCCGAGGCCCCGGGCACTAACAGACTCAAAGCCTGCAAGCTCGTTAGACCCTCAGCTCGTTTTCTTCAGTCCATGGTCCAATGGGGGAAAGTGGTGGCCAGGGGAAGAGGAGGCCTCGCCGGGTCTGGCTGTGTAGGGCCCTGGGAGAGTGAGGTGTGTCTTCAGATCTGCAGAGGGGGTGCAGCTGAGAAAGGGAAGGATGGTTGGATGAGGCAAACCCAGGTGCCAGGGATTGGGATTCTCTTCCCAAAATGATGGTGATCAGTGACCAGGAACGCATCGTGCCAGGGTATGGGGAGCAGTGGAGGGGCAGCCCAGGCCCCCCAGTGGCCAGCCCTCCCAGGACAGCAGGGTGGTGGGGCAGAGTCTACACCAGGCTCCTTGAGCCACTGGAGTAGCGGTGCCCGTGCAGCAGGGAGCCTGGGGGACAGAACTGGTGAGGGTGGTTGTAGGGGGGTGGGGGCGGGGGCAGCGGAGGCTGGTGGGTGACCTTGACCGGAGAGCCGGGACCGCCCAGGGGTGTGGAGCCGCAGGAGTCAGAGGACGACGAGGTGTAGCAGGAGAGAGCCTGGCTCAGCAGGGGCTCCATGCGGGCCAGGCAGGGCTTGTCCAGGACAATGACCTTGACAATTTGCTGGCACTGCACCAGGGTGCCCGGGGGCGTGGGTGGCGGCGGCGGCAGTGGTGGGGTCTGCTGTCTCGGGGGGCTAGGCTGCAGGTCTGGCGGCGGCACCGGCGCTCCCCTCTCGGCCCCCAGCCCGGAGTTGTGCTGGGACGTTTGAAGCCTGTTGTGAATTGACACCTAGTTTAGAAACAGCCAGAGAAGCATGAAATGTTACAAGACTAATTCCCAGCTGCTAGGACAGGCTGCCCTGTGCCTCCCCTGGCCTCCCTCCCACTCTCAGCCCTCACTCTGACCCTCTCGCCATCTCTCCACCCACAAGAAGACTGGGTTGCGACCCTGGCTTTTGCCCAGGGGGGAGAGAGGAGTCGAGAGGCTGGCATGTTCTGCCACTGACTGTGAGCAGTGTCGCTGTACGGCCTCAGTCTCTTCATCTGTGAGATGGGCTCTGCATACATCTGCTGCCTGATTTCATGGACCTGCTGGGTGTCCTCACTTCCTTTTCCACCACACTCTGAGCTTGAAAGCAGGGGTTATAGTCTTTGCCCCTCCCAGGAGTGTGCTGAGGCAAAGGAGGGCAGACCCAGGGACAGAGCCAAGCGTTATTGAGCCTTTCCCTCTGTTCCCTCCAGCCTTGTTATAGAGGAAGGATCATTGGCACCGTCGACCTCATAGAGGCTTAAACCCCAGAATGCCAGAGGGTGATCTGGACCTACCTGTCCTCCCAGACTCCCCACGGCCATGACCCTGCGTTCGAGAACAGCCCAGACAGCCGAGGGCAGAGTCAGCTCCCCAGCTGCCATTCTGGCCCAAGCTGGGTCCTGGTTAACTTGCCTGGCTGCAGGAGAGGATCCCCAGAGAGGGCTCTAACCTTGATCCCCAAGGCGGGGCAGGAGGAGGTGGCCCAGATGATGCTCATGAGCCCCCTCCCTCAGACCATGGAGGTCACTATGGACTAGCCTGGCCTCCCCTTGCTACCAGCGGGAGGTGGAGGAGATGGGTGGAAGGGAGGCTAGAGGATTCTGGAAGGAGAGGGATTTAACTCCTCACACCGTTCCACCCGCAAGCTCCCCTGCCCGTGGCTATGACACCACCCAACCCCCTCCAAACCCCTGGGTCTTCTAGGGGAGGCTGAGACCCTCCTCCTCTCTGAGGATCTTTCTATTGGGCTGACATCTGTCCTCGGGCAGCACCACCTGGGGCCAGTGCTCAGAGCACAGAGGGAAAGGGAAGCTGCAGGGGAGGTACCTCATCCCAGGCCTAGACCCAGCTGGCCCAGCCCAGAACTATCCCGGAGCCCTAAACTAGCATTTCCTCATCCTGTTTGTTGGCTGCAGGTGCAGTTCAGGGACACCCTTTCCCGGACCTGTGCACTCCCAGGGGGCAACTTCCCTCCCGAGGCTCCGCAGGCCTTTGTCTGCCCCTCAGTATTCATGAGCCCCACTGCCACACTCGGCATGTCACGGGCTTTATTTTTCCTTCTCAGCCTCCAACCTCAGCACATGTTCCAGGCCTGAGGTCTCCCTAAACAAACGAAGGTGCCCTGAGCCCCTCACTGTCCTTCCAAGACATGGCAGGCAGAGAGCATGGCTGGGGCCCACCTGCCTCTGGGGATCCCTCCAGGACCCTCACTCAGGCAGAAGCCGCTGGAGGGCACGGGCTCCTCTCCCCTCCTGCTTGTATTCTGAATTCCTCCCCAGGAGACACGGGGCCTGAGACAGCCAGGACGGGCTTGTGCTCATCTGCCTCCCTCCGCCTGGACTTCGCAGCGGCCTCTCCCCAGGCGAATGTCTGGCTGTCCCAGTCCAGACCCACTGAGCCGTCCTTCTTCTCCCTGAAGCTCCCCGTGCCGCGCCCCCTCTGGGCCACAGCCTGCGCCTCCCGTTTACCTCCCCTGCTCTGGTCCCCCCACTGCATCCCTGGCCCCACCGCAGTCTCTGGATCCTTCCTCTTTAGTGGTCAGTAAGTGAAAAGCAGGAAGTGACAGCAAAATGTCCTCTCATCTGACCCCCTTCTCACCTCCCTGCTCATGAAAGAAAGAATGAGGGGAGTGGGGAGACAGAGGATGGAACATGAGCAGCAGGTCAGAGAACAGCTCAGAGAAGATGGAGAAGCACCTGCCAGAGGGGCTTGGCCAGCAACGGCAGAGAGAGGGCAGAGGAGAGAGAGCCTGGGGTCCAGCTGAGGCCGTGGGAGGCGAGGCTGCCCTCTGCGTGGGAGAGCAGAGGCTGGCAGGGCCCTGAGCTAGCTGAGGGTGGCAGCCTTGCAGATAGCCATATGCTGTTAGGGCAGGAGGGAGGAGTGCGTGGGGTTGGTTGTCCTCCCTGGGTAGCTCAGGCTAGGGCAGGGCAGGGCAGGGCTGGCAGAACAGAACAGAGGGCTGGGCACGGGTGTGCTTATCTGCAAGGCTCAAGAATGGGCAGCTGTGGAGGATGGGGAGTGGAGGGGGGCGGGGAATAGAATACCCACCCTGGGGGCTTGTCAGCGGCTGGGGCAGGAAGCTCCTCCTTGTAAAGGTGCCTCCTCCAGACACGGGTGTGTGGGGGGTGGGGGGCCATGGGGGAGAGAGAAGACACTGAGCTCCCCCGGGGTATCCTGCTGCTTCCCAGGGCTTAGTCAGACTGATGGGTAGGGCAGCTTCCTAAGACACCTAATGGGGGCCCCTCCGGGTCGAGGTTAGGGTTGCGAAGGGAGGTGTCTGTATGAGCAGCCGGTGGCCCCGGGAGGCCGGGCAGAAAAGGAGTGGAGCTGGGACTCACTGGGGTGCAAGAGGACCCAGTGGGAGAGGGGTGGGGCTCACGAGGCTTGTAGGGGCACCTGCACACTCCTCCCATAGGTGGCACTGGGGGGGTTTGGCAGGGACCAGCTGCTGCTGGGTCTTCTGCAGTCCCTCACTGTATGGCATGGAGCCAAATGGGCAGCCTCCCCTCCACCACAGACAGTCTTCAGCTTATCACTTCCCCCAGGACAGCCCTCAGGACAGCCCCACCCTACTCTGTCTCATTTTCTTTTGCACACACATCCCTGCGCCATGGCCAGCTTTCCAGATGGACCAGTTGTTCCGGGGAGGAGTTCCCCCTCCCACCTGCCCCCAAGTCTCAATTCTCCAACCTAGCCCCAGGTGTCCAAGAGGGCAGGGTCTGCCCCAGAAGTGATCGTTTGGGGCCTAAGGGGTAATTCTCCGAGGGAGCCCAGGCTCCCCGCTATGGATGGTGGGAGGACTTGGGGAACGGGATGTGGGGTCTTCTGATACAGCAAGTACTGGGGGAGCAGTGAGCAGTGAGCATTTGCTGGGGAGGTGGATTTGGGGGCACACAGGAAGGATGGCCCTAGGGTGCCGTGAGCTCCGTCTCCACTGTGTTAGTCTGGGAGCTCGGCCTCGGAGGGCAGCAGGCTGGGGAAAGGGGAGAAAGAGCTCGTGGCTTAATTAGGCGCTGGAACAGTGGCATTACCCATGCTAGCAGTAACTTTTAATTGTATCTCTTGAAATTGGTAAAATGGTGAGTCGGGCTGGGGAGGCATTGATTAATACCTGAGAAGAGAAACAACAGAGACGGTGAGAAGAAGAACAAGGGGGCAGGGTAGTCACTCACCTGGGCAACCAGGGCTCCACTTACCTCCACCGTGCTCTCCGCCGGCCTCTCCCTGAGCGCGGCTTCCCTTTTGGCTTTGAATGCAAAGAGCACAGGGCTCATTCTCCACCGGCTGAGCCAAGCCCCTGCCCCTCCCCTGTGCCCCTCAAGCATCTCTGCAGCTAAGACTTGGGGTCACACTGCTCCTCACTGAGGCGGAGGTTGGGAGCCCCACTCTGCCACTTAGGAGCTATGTGACCTGGGCGAGATGCTACATCTCTCTGGGCTGCCGCAGACTAGAAGATCGCTGCCGCTCTTTCTGATGTTGGCATTGTGGAATCTGATTTACCCACAGTCAAAGCCTTCCCAGTACGAACTGTAAAAGGCTTGGAGGGGGCCTGGGTTGTGGGCGCCACGTTCATCAGCCTCCGTGGATCACAGGCTCCTTGAGCGTGGGCCACGCTTCTTTGCTCCAGCCCTGCAGACTGGCTGAGGGGGCAGGACTGAATGGGCTGAGGCCTGCACAGCACTCACCGCAGTGCCGGGCACGGTGAGAGCCGATAACTGCTCTGTAATTACTCTGAGGGCCTTCTGGCCGGCCTGGCACAGCAGCAGGGGCCCTGCGGACCCCCACGGACAGCTCATTGGCTCTTTGTGGCTGAGTCACTCCCAGCTTCCACCCCGACCCCCGCAGGAGCCCCTCTCATTTCCCAACCCCTGGGGGTGCCAGCTTCCCCCTGCTGTGCTCAGCCCTCTGCTTCCTGCAGCAGGAGAGGGAGCTGCACCATTGTTTGGGAATGAGAAAGACCCCGCTGTGGAGGGGACTAAGGGACACGTCCCTGGGGACAGGCATCTGGGCCTAACCAGGGCGGGCAGCTTCCAAAAGAGAGGCAGGAAGGAATGGCAGGGAATGACACACAGCTGAGGGCTGGCTCTGGGGTTCCACAGCTGAGAAAACAAAAGCAGCAACCCGTGCCCTATGACCTTATAGAAATGAAGAGGCCAGTGGAGATCAGGCAGCGTGGAGAATTACGGACGCACGATGGCAGGTCAAACCCATACAGGAAAGATTCCATCACAGAATCTCCACATAGCGAAAAGAGCCCCATGTCCTGCTTGGAAAGTGAATCTCATGTCCTCGCTGCCGTAACTAGTCCCCACGCTGCTGCCTGTTCCAAGTCAGGACTCAGGGCCGACTGTGGCGGGTCATGGACCACACGGGGCCCACTGGAGCTTCTCAGCTCAAGCTGGCGTCTCACTATGACCCTGGCTTTCCAGTGTTCTGCACAGGGCAGCAGCCATTCGAGAAGTGTTTGTTGAGTGTGAGAGTAAGTGACCGAGTTAACTAATGGGTGGACAGTTGTGAATGGCTTGCTGGGATTTCACTGGGATGAGACTGAATTCTCATGCATCTCCCCTCATGCTCTTTATTTGGGGCTGGTGGAGGGAGGTGGTGGAAACCTTTCCTGGCCCCCTGCAGGTGGGGTAAGGTTGGGGCAGGCCAAAGGAGGGGCCAGCTCTGGAGCCAGTGTGACTCGGCTGGAGTGAGCAATTCCACTGGAGAAACCACTAGAGAAGTGGAGTTTGAGGGTCTCTCTGGATTTGGGGTGGGCTGACCTGAGCCAGGGGTCAGGAAGTGCTTGTGGCTCATTAGAGAAGGGACTGTACAGAGAAGAGCAAGATCCAGATCCTTCTGGTCACCCTGCCCTCTTACACTGCCTGGTTGGAGAGTGTTCCTCGTGGGGCTTCTCTTGACCTCGCCTCGTCCAGACAGCCTGGCTGCAGGAGGGAAGGCCTCCCTGCAGGGGCCAGGATGCCAGGACTCTTGCCTGACTCCTCCAGGGCAGACAGTGACATCTCACACGGACTCCAGACCTCTGGTGCAGTTTGCAAAATGGACAGACACATTTCTCTCTCGCCTTCCTCCTCACTCCCACCACTAAAGCTCATGAGATTAAAGAAGGCAAGCCTGGCGCTCCTCAGCAGGAAGAAACACGCCACGGGAATGGGCACCTCTCCCTGCAGATTGCCCAGGACCCACACCCAGGGTCCCCGAGTGGCCTCCATGGGGACTGGTGCCCTGAGCGGAGCCGAGGCTCACCTGTCGGCGATCCTTGCTTTGACTGTGGGTCCCCCTGGGCTCCGCAGGGCTTGAAGGAGAGTGTCTTTGTTCCCTGCTGCTTCTCCAGCTCCCCTAAGGAATGCAGAGGCCCGTGAGCAAGAGAAACCTTAACCTCAACCACACAGAGGCGAGGCAGGAAATGAGGGGCCAGCAGAAAGGGGAGGAAGAGGAGGAGAGGTCCCAGTACATGCTGTGAAACACGGACCTCGGGTCTGGCCCCACCACTGAATAGCAAGTTAAATACCCCCTCGGAGCCGCAGTTTCGTCATCTGTACATGGGGATGATCCTATCTGCTTGAACGTCAGAGAGGCACAGAAGAGGCCGATGTGAGGGAGGTGAACTGCCTGGGTTTGGGTCCTGGTCCTGACACTCCCTGGCTGTGTGGTTTTAGGCAAGTTACCCAACCTCTCCATGCCTCACTCGAGAGGACAGCCAGGCCCACTTCACGGTGTCATTAAGAGGACTGCGTGGGAGATACACATAAAGCACAAGGCCTGGCTAGTGACCTGTACTCCTTAAGTATTAAGGTTTGTGCGAAAGTAATGGCAAAAACCGCAATTACTTTAGCACCAACCTGTATCAGTTTTGTTACATTGTGTGAAACGCACTTGGCACAGCAGAGCCTGCTGACAGGGGTGACACCCACCTCTCCACCCGGCGCCTGGGAGGACGGAGCCTGCCTGGGAGGACAGAGCCTGCCTGGCCAGCTGAGCCTCCGCAAGGTGTTCAAATCTCTCCCAAGGAGGAAAGTCCACACCGAGGGTGTGGAAGCTACAAGCCTGCAGTGCTAGGACATCTGTCTAGGTACTCAACTTTAATTCCTCTCACTGGATTGGAAACCTGTTCCTTCTTGTTCTTCTCTCAGTGGAGCTACAGAACTGCCGGCTGCCATCCTTGGAGATTTGACATGATTATTAAATCACTCCTCCCGCTTCTCTTTTCCAGGAGACATAACTCAAGTTCCTTTTATTAAAGCTACTCTCCTGGGCTCCATTTTCAGTCTCTCTGGTTGTCTAGAAACCAGGGACACTGAACCGTAGGCCCCCAAACCAGAACAATTTGTCCTGGTTGCCTAAATCACACCATCCCATCGATCAATGCTAAATATTTCTACTCAACTGAGAGTTGTTTCTCTCCCCACAGAGGGGCTCTCTTGGCTTTGGAGAAATTAGCCTGATAATTACAAGTGAGGAGTCCTGGGCCATTGGATGCAAACCTTGTTTTGTCACTGACTGTGAACTTGGACAACTTCCCTAAGTGCTTTTAGCCTGTTTCCTTACTTGTAAAATGATGCCCACTGTGGAAAGCTGTTGTGAGGATTAGTCCTCAATAAATGGTAGCTGATACTGTTTTCCATTTTCTTTTCTTTTTTGTAGAGACGAGGACTCGCTGTGTTGGCTGTTCTTGAGCTTCTGGGCTCAAGCAATCCTCCCTCCTGAGCTTCCCAGAGTGCTAGGATTACAGGTGTGAGCCACTGAGCCCAGCCCATTTTCTTTTTTTTTTTTTTCCTGGCTTCCTTTCCTCCCTGTCTCCCTGGCCTACCCTTCCTCTTCCCTCAGCTGTTCCTTCCCTTTCTCTCCAGTGAAGACTAAGGGCCAAGCATGAGCCTTTCTTCCTGCTCTTTTACCCTTGAGGCAGCAGGAGAGGATATTCACCTCCTGACATGACAGATTCTGACGCTATCTGCTCCTCTGTGACTTTGGGAAGCGGGGTATGTGCTGCTCCTGGGCTGATGGGGGAAAGTGCCTCTCCCAGCAATGCTGGTGCCACTTGGTGTGCTACGGCCCCCCAGGGCAGTGCGGAGCCATCTGGGACAGTTAGACAATGAGAGACGTGAAGCCATTTCAAGGTGCTTCCTTGAAAATGCTCCAGAAAAACAGCAGAGGCGGCCTCTCTGGGGATCCGGTCCAGCCCTTGAAAAGAATCTGTTTGTTTCACCACTGAACTCAAATAAGCCAACAGATTGAAGGAAGGGAGTTTCCACGCGCCCCTCCCCACCAAGCAGTTACCTGAGTTCCAGAGTCCAGTCCGATGGATCCCATTTTACCCTGGTTTAAATTGTTTCCTTAGAAAAAAATAAACAGAACCTCTTCTCTCACTCTCCAGTGGAAAGTATAGAATCAAACGTAAATGAAAATGACAGTTTCTAACATGCGCGACCTGGACACGCGGCTGAACTCCGAGCCTCAGCTGCAGAGTGGGGTCAATGCACCTACCTTGCAGCGTCACTGTGAGGATCCACACAACAGAAATAAACTGCTTAGTGTGTAGTAGGAGCCTCAAAAATGATGATTCAAAAGCACCAGCCTGTCACATTCATCCCCTGCTCAAAAACTCTCCCTGCCTTTCCTAGCGCCTAATGGACAGATATTAGTTCAGAAACACTTTATAACTAAGTGGCCATAGAGGCAGGCCTGAAGCCTATTTTCATTTTCTGTTTCAGTTTCTGAATCTGTTCTTATTTAGTCTTCCCTTAAAGGCTATCTGGCGCCTCCGTGATGCTTAATCAGGACAAGCTTGCAGATGGGTACAGGTTGCAGGCCCTTGCCTCTCTTCCCTTAACCCCACAGCAGCCAGTAAACCACCTGGACACAGAAAGAGACCCACATATTCTCTAAAATGCCTGAATGGAACAATCTAGAATCTAAGCATTCCTTATAGGAACAGAGACTACTGTAAGATGCGGGATAGTAAGAAGGCAGCCTAGACTCTTCAAAAGGACAATGTTTTAAAAAAAATGAAGTGGAGGGATGATTCAAGATTAAAAGAGAGTGAAGAAATGAGGCCAACCAGATGCAGTGTACAGACTTGGGCCACAGTGGGGGAGGTGACAGCAGACGGTTTGGTGGGAAGGAACGCACCAGAGCCCCATGGGCCTGCCTGGCCAGCTCGCTTGGTCATCCTGGTAAAACAGCAGAGCTCTCTGTTCCAAGAGGCCCACGCGCAGCCCCACATGCCTGCTGATCTGTGTACACACGTGTGTGCACTCTAGCAAGCCTCACTTTAATTGTGAAGAAACATGGGAACCGGTGCTCCCACCCGGGCTGTGGGAGTGTGGTGCGGTGGGGCCTGGACACGGGGAGGGTCCGAAGTGGGGCCAGCTCCCTGGAGTCAGGCATGTCTGTCTCAAGCTGCCCCTGTCCCTTGCTGAATGGGAACCCCCACCAGCTGCCTCGGGAGCCCGTGTCCTTACACTCTATTCGGATCTGCTCCAGCTCCGTCACCTCAGCAATGGACTCCTTCAGGTCCTCCACGAACTTCTGCATCTCGTCCGAGCCCAGGGCACAGAAATGCAGCACCTGCTTCTTCTCGGAGCCCGAGAGCGGGGTCACCAGTGTGATGCCATGAGAGTAATCTGGAAAGCAGACCCCAGGCCCCCAGTGGGCTGTGAGCAGCAGCAGCCGAGGGCCAGAGCCAGCCAGACATGAGGAGGGCACGGGGTCTCATGCCTCCACCCACTCTGCTGTCCAGCCCTTCTCCCTCAACTCGCCCCAGCCATTTCATCCATTCATTCCTTCTCAAAGACTTACACTGGCTGTCAAAGACTTACACTCGTTCTCAAAGAGCTGGAACTGCATGCCCAGCAGGCCAACTGACTTGCAAAAGGTGTACGTGGAGGAGCTCTTCTTCTTCGGGCAAAGTTTGAGAATCTGTTCAGGAGAGGGAAACAGGCATGCCCTGATGAACAGACACTCACGGACACATGGATGCACAAACACCCGGGGGATGCACGATCACACAAACCCACGCAGTGATGAATGTGCACATACAGGTACAGATATACATATATGTGCACACACTATCCCAAAATGTGCTTCTTCACTGCACAAAACCCTACAGTGGTTATTCCCTCTGTACTTAGAAGCCAAGCCACGGCGCCTGAGCTGGCCTGTAAAACCCACCTGATGTGGTCCTTGCCTTACTCTGGCCTTCTGCCCAAGTGTCCTCCCTGCTGTAGCTTGAGAAGGGCAAGCTCAGTTCCACTGTGGGCCCCTCGCATACACTGTTCCCACTCCACAGCTCTCCCGGCAGCTTTTTGCACGGCTGCATTACTCTCATTACTTAAGTCTCAAATGCTACCTCCTTAGAGATGCCTTCCTGGATCACCTCCTCTAAAAAACAAACCAAAGCAAGCCCAAACCTGGCCCTTAACTCCAGTCACTCTCTGTACTATCACCTGGTTTGTGGCCTTCATAGTGCCTTCCCCCAATCTGATATTATCTTGTTTGTCTGTTTCTTAATTATTTTCTATCTCCCTCCCCTACTAAAATGAAAGCTCGTTTTAGTAAAGTCATCTGGTTGCTTAATAAACAAATTTCTATTCAGCAGCTTCTGTGAGCTGAGCCCTGGAGATACAGGAGAACTCAGGACAGAGCCCCTGCCCTTAAGGTGCTTATGGAATGTGGAGTGTCACAGTGTCCATCAGGTGATCAAACAATAAAGCATAACAGCAAAAAAACAAAACCAAAGTGCTACGTGTTTTGAAGAAAATGAAACAGGGTAAGGAATCAAAAGTGATTTGAGACTTGAATGAAAAGGAGGAGGCCAGGAAGGCAAGAGGAGAGTGCAAGGTCTGGAGGAGCTTTGCAAGAAGGAGCAGCAAGTACAAAGGCCTGGCCCACAGGAGGGAGGCGCCTCCCAGGGCTGAGGAGAGGGCGGGGAGGCAGGTTAGGGAAAGGGGACACGTGGCCTGATGTGCACTCCAGAGAGATCACGCTGCTGCTCTCAGGGGGGTGGGGAGAGCCGTGTGGAGGCTGATGTGGTTCACTGAATGTACCAGGCGTGCACTAAGACTGTAGTAGTGGAGGTGGTGAGAGGTGGTTCAGGCTTGTGATCACTTTGGAGGCAGTGCCAACGTGGCTCATGGATAGAGAGGGCCGGTGCGAGGGAGACACAAGCCCTGCTCCAGTCCTGCTCACCAGTTTTCCAGACCTACAATGATGCCTGGCACATGGTCAACGCTGATCAAATATTTGTTGAATGGATACTTCTTTTCAAAGAGCAAAAAAAGTATCTGTGGGTACAGATGTGTGTATGTGTGTGCACGCACACACACACACCAGCCTCGCCTAGGCCCAGGGACAGAGCATGCTCCGCCTAGGCCCTGCTCCTCCCAGGCCCTGGGGTCTGAGGCACAGCCCTGTGCACTCCCTGTCCTGGGCTTCCTGTAACGTGGAGAGGCCAGTGGTCTGGGAACTAGTTCGTTAACAGTTTGTGCAACCACGAGCAGATCATCTGACGTCTCGGTGTCATGACTTATGAGGTAGGAATTAGCATGTCTGCCTGAGCCCCCTCACGCCCACGGTGTGAAAGCACCATGAAGGCAGATCCGTCCCACGGAACAGGCATTCTGTCTGAAAGCTCTGGGCGTCCTTTCCTGCCCACTTCAGGGACCCTGCCCAGGCTGACCAGGGCGGCAGAGGCAGCCCCAGCCCAGCCCAGTCCCGGAGCGGAGGCCACTCACCACCAGCAGGTCATTGAAGAGGAACACCTCCCTCTGATGCGCTGCCTGCTTCTGCAGCTTGTTCACATCCGTCACCTCGAAGAGCCGGCTGCAGCACACCAGGCGGCGGTGGGGCACGGACAGCACCTGCACGCGGGCAGGGCGCTCAGCGGGAGAGACCAGAGGCCTGGAGGCCTCCCCACCCACGCGCCCATTTTCCAGAAGAGGAGACAGCCCGGGAGAGGGGAGGGGCCCGGTTCTGTGGAGGGAGGAGAGGGGAGGGGTCCGGTTCTGTGGAGGGAGGAGAGGGGAGGGGTCCGGTTCTGTGGAGGGAGGGGAGGGGAGGGGTCCGGTTCTGTGGAGGGAGGGGAGGGGAGGGGTCCGGTTCTGTGGAGGGAGGGGAGGGGAGGGGTCCGGTTCTGTGGAGGGGGAGGGGAGGGCTCCGGTTCTGTGGAGGGAGGAGAGGGGAGGGGTTCGGTTTTGTGGAGAGGGAGGGGAGGGGCTCCGGTTCTGTCCTGGGGCCTGGACTTGACTCTCATCCTTCTCTCTCCTCGTCTGAGGCTCTTTCCCTCGCACGTTCACCCCCTGTCCCAGGGCTCATCCCTGTCATGCTTCTTGGGGAGCACGGCCAGAGAAGGGGCCCACTGAGCCACAGTAAATGAGGGGATAGAGGGACAGGAATAGGAAATTGAGAAGAGCTTGCAGGCTGTTCCAGTCCAGCCACTGTCAACCTGCTTCCCTCCGTAACCTTGAGGGCATCCCCTGCCCCAGGCTGCGGCCTGCAGATATGACACCTCCACCCTTTCTATACTGCAGAGATGCAGGTGTGCGAGAGCGAAGGGATCACAGAGACACCTGGCATCTACTCCAGCGTGTAAGACAAACCAGTCGCTTGCAACCCGACAGATGCTGAGACCTCAGCAATAAAGGCTCTCAAAGCAGAAAAGCCTGTCCCTGCACAGACTGGGAGGAGGGAGCCCAGTGCAGGGCCTCAGAAGAGATCTCCAAACTCTCCCACACCGTCCCCTGAGGCAAGAATATGAGGAGGAGGAACTGGAACCCCCATGACATCCTTTATAGTATAAAGTGTAGTAGCCTACAGAGAAGTCCCACTTTAAAAATCATGGCAGGCTTGGAACATGCTGCCTGGGACACAGGTCACTACCAATAGGACAAATCTATGGTGATGCCACAGCCTGGAGCCTATTGAGCCCATTTCCTGCCTTCCACTCATCAGGACCATCCAGGAATGCCTGGTAGTCATGCTGTCCTAGGAAAGGGATACTAAATCTCATCTGGCCACCCAGATGCTTCCACCCTAGACCACTGGGCAGTCCTTCCTGACATCTCATCTCCGTCTCTCCTGCTGCAGTATCGGGTGGCAAGAGGCAATGAGGAAATCAGGCAAGAAAAAAAAAAAGAGATGCAGTGTCTGGCACACAGTAGGTACTTCATAACTATCATGTGAATGAATATGAAAAAAGAGTTTTGGAAAGGTAAGAAGGAGAATGGGAAGAGATGCCAGGAAGAAAGAAAGGAAAGGAGACGGGAGATAGGTAGCTTGTGGACACTCACTGTCTTCATGCCCACAATGGACTTCTCCACCTTGGTGACGTACGTGACGTGGTCCTCATTGGACTTGAGCTCCTTCTGCTGTATCCTCTCATAGATGCCTACCACCAGCTCCCTGGGGATGTCAGCGCCATCGTCCACACCTAACAACGTGGAGTGGGCAGGGGTGGTGGTGGGGTTGGGAGGGAGGGTGTCAGAGCCCTGGAGCCAGACAGAAGAGACCCCCATCCAGCCTGGAGCTCCCGGGGGGTGGCCTTGGTTCTTGCCATGCCTTCAATGGCTGGTGCCTCATACCCATTCAATTAAGAACAAGTTCCTTAGCCAGGCACCAAAACTAATGATATGGCCCCAACACACATCTCCTGCCTCACCTCCTGATGTTCCCCAACCAGAGTCTTCACGCCCACCTCCCAGGCCTCTTTCCTGATGGCAGATACAGCCTCCATGTTCCTGCTAACCCTGTGCGCCTCTGCAGTTCTGTCGTCTTCCTTGTGTTCGTCTCACCCCCCAGCTCCACCCCACCACTCCAGCATCATAAGGAGCTTCTGTTTCGTTCTCTTTTGGATCTTCCTCCTGCTGGGCTCTCCTCTCCCCTCCAGTAGGGAGCATGGCATTGAGGGCTTAGTCTTTGAAGAGATTCCTCCCTCACTGGGAGCAGTGGGGGAGCAGGCAGACCCCTGGCAATGCAGGCGAGGACACCCCTGTCCCACCTCCTGCTTCATAGTAATGATAAAACTCGGGCAACAAAAAAACACTGGCAGGAAATATGCCAACAAGAAAACACGTTTCTTTTGGAGAAACAGGCGATTAAAATATCTTCTTTCTACTATTTCCAAATCTTTCTTTAATGACTATACGCTTCTTTTATAAGAGGGAAAAATTAAAAATAAAACAACTTTGGCAAGCATCTCTCAAAGGAGTGTTCCCAGCTACTGAAAGGACACCCCGCCTTCCACACGCAGCTCCCGGCCTGCTCTGGTCTCTTCCACGTCTGATCTTGGTTCTCGAAGTCAGGCAAATGAGCCATGCAGCAGCCAAGGAGGCTGAAAGAAATCAGGCGGCGGGTGAGAAAAACCAAGGAGAAAGGCTGAGTGTATGGATGCCCCCAGTTCAAGGTGGCAGGCTGCATGCCTCTGCTGCTTCTGAATACTCGGGAGAAAGGAATCTTTTAGAAAAGCATACACCCACAAAGACAGAGAACAGGGGCACAGGCACCCCAGGACCTGGCAAGTGGATAAATAAGTGGATGGATTTAGCAAACCTGAGAAAGCTGAACCCAGACCAGCAGAGAGGTTAGAAGCCACTCAAACACCACACAGCCACCAAAGGGCTTAGAGCTGGTGGTAACAGCAGCCCCTAAAAGCGAAGGTGAAGGTGGGCTGGGAATTGGAAAACAGGTTGAAAACGGGTTAGAAAGCTGCTGGGCTTCCCTATCCCCTCCTCACTCCAGCAGAAGACTGGGGGTCCATTCTCTGGAACTCTGAGATGAGGGACCCCACACCCAGCCAAGCCGGGACTCTGCTGAATACTGGGGGATGAAGTTGATAACCTATATATTAACCCTCAACTCCACTTCCCACTTAAAGATCTCAGAACTCTGGCAGCCAGAATCATACATTCTGGGCAACAGATTGAACATTTATCTTCTGGGTATCAGGCAGAACAAGAAAAAAATATCTCCAGATACTGCAGTAGGGTCTCCCGGTGAAATGCCTTAAGTAAATCACCCTACAAGAAAGCTCACCAGCCAGCAGCCTCCACCTGTGTTCACAGAGTCATTCATCCGCTTTCTGGTGGCTCACTCTTAAATATGAATGAACAACCAGATTTCATCAACTGCATTTGGAAAGTCTATACCAGGAAAGAGAAAGAAATATGGGGGAAAAAAAAAACAGAAAAAAGGACTCCAGAAGAAATAGAGGCAAACAGAGAGAAAAACAAACAAACAAACCAATATTAACATCTTCACCGAGATGGGAGAAGATATTGCATCTACAAAGCAAGAATAAAATGCTATAAAAGAGGAACATTGAGAGGACAAAAGAGAGCTATTGAGAATGAAAAATATGACAGCAGGAATGAAAAACTTGGTAGGAGACACAAAAGACGGCACTGAGGGACACTTTCCAGAAAGTCAAGGAAGTAAACAAAGATGGCAGGTAGAAAACTATAAAAGTTACGAGGATCAGACTAGGAGATCCACCAACAGAATAGCAGGAGTTCAAGAAAGAGAGTCCAGAGAAATTGGAGGGCAGAAATGATCAAATACAACATTTAAGAAAACTTCCCATGACCGGAGGACATGAGTTTCTAGATGGAAAGGACCAGTCCAGCCCTGGGCATGATGGATGGAAGAAGAACTGTAGCAAGATGCATCATCGTGAACATCCAGAACACGAAGGCAGACAGAAGACCCTGCAAGCTTTCAGAGAGAGAGAAAGAGTAACAGACAAAAGGCCAGCAGCTGGGATGGCAGAGCAGCACTGGCAGCTAAAGGACAATGCAGCAGCAATGCCTTTGAAATCCTGATTGGCGTGTTTTGAGGCTGGAATTCTATCCCCAGCCAAACTCCCAACCAAGGGCAAAGACAGAAAAAGATACATTCAGAAATGCAAGTTCTCAAAAATGGCCTTTTCTCTGAAAGTAAACTAAAAATGAGGAAGCTCTGACATGCAGGAACCAGGAATCTGTCATGAGAGCAAGGGAAGGAGGGCCCAGGATGCAGGCTGTGCCCTGGCCCAGCCACTGTCCAGACTGGAGCAGGACCAGAGGCTCCCGGAAGATGACTCTCCCGCACCACCTCCCAGGTCTGGACATATGGAGAGGAGCTTGATACGTAGGGTGGGAAGTGGGGGCTGAATCAGGGGAGGTCCTCAGAGAGTTAAGCAAATGGAAAGAGAAGCATTAACTCCAAGGAAAGTATAGATGAAGGGAGTTGCAATCATTCTGCACTTGCAGACTCAGCTTTGGAGTGTGTGTGCAGAGCCCTAATAACATGAGCACTGACGTGAGTGGGATGGGTCAGGGAAGGTGGATGAAAGAGGGCTAAATCCTTACATTCTATAATGGGGAATTAATAGATCATGCTTAAAATAAAAATAATTAACAAGGGCCAGGCGTGGTGGCTCATGCCTGTAATCCCAGCACTTTGGGAGGCTGAGGCAGGCGGATCACCTGAGGTTGGGAGTTCAAAACCAGTCTGTTCAACATGGTGAAACCTCATCTGTTCTAAAAATATAAAAATTAGCTGGGTGTGGTGGTGCACACCTGTAATCCCGGCTACTTGGGAGGCTGAGCCATAAGAATTACTTGAACCTGGGAGGTGGAGGTTGCAGTGAGCTGAGACTGCACCACTGCACTCCAGCCTGGGCAACAGAAATAATAATTAACAAGGAGCAGTGTATAAAAGAGACCAGATACCAAAGTATAAATACTGTATAGCTCTATTTAGATGAAGTTCAAGGACTGGCAGGACTCGTCAAATGGTGATAAAAGGCAGAATAGTTGTTACTCTTGGGCGAAGGCATTGACTGGGACGGGACAGGAGAGAACATTCTGGGCAGGTGAAAATGATCCAGATCAGGATCCAGGTGTGATGACACAGTGCACGTGACCGTACACATTCATCAAACTTCAGGCTTACACACTCACAGTCTGGACTTTATGCCAGTTAAAAAAAGAGATAGAAAAAAGCGAAGCAGAAGCCTGCGGTTTATCGATACAGAAGAAACGCAAATAGCTAAAAAAGTCAAAAGTGGTTGCCTCTGGAGAAGGTGAGTGGTGAGAGGGGCAGCGACTAATTTTTTTCTATGATAAGCCTTGTAGGATTATTTGACTTTATTAAATTATGTGGATGTATAACTTTGATTCTTTTAACGGGTAAAAAAAAAAAAACAATTGCGCACACATCACACTCTGCCAGTCCTGGTTTGCTCCCTGCCAGGCAGTGCGCTGCATCGATGAGAGAAGGACTTGCCAGCTGGTGCCATACAGTTATCTGCAAGGCTGACTTAAATGGACCCAGGGCCCTGCTCCTGGCTCCTTCCTTGTAAGTTGTGGAGGGGAAGGGCTGGCACCACTTGAGCCGCCAGCTCTGGTGTCAGGGGCCTAGAGGCCAACCATGTTCCACGGAGGGCAAGAGGCACTGCCCAAGGGCGCTTGCTGTTTGGTAGAGCGGTGGCGGTGGCAGGCTGCATGCCGGAAACTCCCCAGCCGCCTGGCTCACAAGGAATGTTCCCAGCTTGCTATGGGTGACCAGGCCCAGACAGCAGGTGACCATCTGTGATAGGGGCTCAGACTCACAGAATGCACGGTGCACAGAATGGGGCCTGAGCCGTGGCCTTGCCCCTCCTGCCCCAGTGCCCACCTCCTCACCTCGAAGGTTTCGGATGAAGTCCTCCAGCATCATCTTCCGGTCAGGCTTGATGTTGGGGCTGTACATGTCGGTGTTGAGGAGGATGATGGCGAAGGCGAGGATGAAGATGGTGTCGGGGTTGTGGAACTGCTGAACCACTTCGGGGTTGCACATGCAGTAGCGCTGGCTGTGGGGGGGTCAGATGCAGAGCGGACGCTGAGCCCCCGCCCACCCTCCCCCGGGCCCAACAAAGGAAGGGGGTGTCCAGGGGGTATCCCAGCTCTCCGAAGGCTTTAGGTCCAGGGAGACCAGTGTCTGTCCCATACTCTGGTCTTTTTCCCCACACCCCCAAATGCCCCACATTTCCAGCCTGGGGAGCTCGAGGGGTCGGTCCCTTTTCTTCCCTTCCCTTGTTTCTCCCCAGCCATCCTCCTGCCCACACCAGAAGGGGTGTTTCTGGCCCAATGTCCAACCCTCCTGATAGCATCTCCTGTCTCCCAGGCTCACAGCGGCCCGGCTTCCCCACGCTGGGGTCTGTTGGGGAGTGGAGCTGGGAAGCGGCCTTACCTGAAGGCCTCAATGAGCCGCTCCACCTTCTGAGCCTCCCCCTGCACACGGATGTGTGCCTGGAACTTGCGCAGGGCCTCGTCCAGCTCCATGCTGGAGAAGTCCATCTCGTCCACCACGCAGCTGAGGGCAGGCAGGGAGGGTGTGAGGTCAGGTGGCACCCTAAGCACCCTCCAACACCCATTCTCGCTGGCCTCTGTTCCCAGCCAGGACAGGTGCAGGGCCCCTCAGGCTACTCACCCCCGGGGGTCGCCCTTTAATGCCCCAAGAGGACCATCTCCTCCCACCTGCCACAGTAGCCCTTTCGGAACCCAAACCCTGAGGCCAGGAGAGGCTTTGGTGGCCCAGGACACAGGGGTGGAGGGAGGCTGAACTCGGATCTTCCAACTCCAAATCCCAGTTCCTTCCTTCTTAACCTCAGAGTACCCCAAGCAAAGCTTTCAGCATAAATAATACAGTAAACATATTGATTCTTCTGTTCTTTCAGAGACCCGCTAGGAGCCTGTGTTTCTCCCAGGTTTAAATTTCACTTTCTCATTTAGGTCTTGAGGGGGCTGAGTCCTCCGTTGGATCCCTTCTGCTGTAGGCTGAACAGTTAGGAGCAGAGCCCCTCAAGCCCCTGGGGCTTTCTGCAGCCCAGCTCCCCCCAGCTGCCCCAGCTCCCCACAGCTGCCCCAGCTCCCCCCAGCTGCCCCAGCCCTCAGGGGAGGCTGTGATGGGAGGCACAGCCTAAGAGTAAATGACAAATGTGCCTAACGTGAGGGGACAGCGTGACACGCAGGGTCAGATTCTGGTCTGGGCCCTCCTGCGAACTTGGTGTGACTCTGGCTTGCCCACTCACTCCTGGGGCCTCTGTGTGACCTTCTGAAAAGGGAGGAGGCTGGAGTCCCTGCTCCCCAAGGGCCTTGCTACCTCTGAAATGCTGCCTCCAACCCTGGGGGGTTTGCCTGTGAACATCCCGAGCTTCAGTGTGTGTGGGTGGGGGTGTGGGGTCACATGCCAGTTCCCCCCAGCTAAGCAGGCGCCTTCCTCTGGTCTAGCCCGATCCAGGGGACTCTGCACTGCAGGGTCTGAGGCCGAACCCTCCCAGTCCCCTCACCCTGCCTCACCCTCCTTTGGGGTGCCCTGTCCCCAGGGCCATGTGCAGCAAGGCAGGAGTCCAGGCCTGGAAAAGCAGGGGACCCAATGTCCCCTGGGCATTGCTTTCCCTTTGGGAGACGCAGACCAAGCGCGTTAGATTGGGCTCTTGGAGCTGACGTTTGCCCACTCTACACCCACTCACCCTAGTCTCCTCCCACTGGCTATGGCACAGCCCCTGCACTGCCCCTGACACTGCCCACTGCCGGCAAGCAGTCCCACTCTGCTCCCATGGTCCCCTGGCCTGCCTGCCCACCACATCGAGAGCACAGAAAACGCCTGCTGAGTGGCCCTGTGATGGTGACATGAGCTCTGAGGTGGACCCACTTCCTCCATGACCTCAGCTTCCATTCGTGCCCACTGCCTAGAAGACTTGGAGACCCCCAACTCTGCCGTCAGTTTTTAGGAGAAAACAAGGGGAGACGCCACAGTGGAGGTGGTCAGGGCCTGGTGGTCCATGGACTCCGCCTCCCACAGGTTTCTGGGGAGAACAAGGAGAAAAGTGCATCACCGAAGACTCTTAGAAAGGGAGGGGGCGCCGAGAGGGAGCTGGGAGTCTCTCCTCCTCTTTCCTTTTCGCCTCTCTCCCGTAGGCAGGGCCCATGGCCATCTTCAGGCTATGAGTTGTCCTTGGCTTGGTCAAAGCCCACTCCTCTCAGGCTTGCTGGCCGGGACAGTGGGCAGGTGAGGGTGGGGCTGGGGTGGAGGCCAGCATCTTGCCCAAGCATGAGAATCGGCAGCACCAGGATCAGGGCATTTGAGGTTGAGCTGACGGCTGGGGAACAGGGGCCTCCAGAGCCAGCCAGGCGAGAGGCTGCTCTGATTTCCCGGTGGCCCTCCTCACCTCCACCCTGCACCCTTTGCAGCCCTACGTGAGTGCCAAAGGCCCTATGCGGCCACATCCGTGTGTTCCTGTAGCCCAGCCCATCAGGAGTCAGCAACTGGGCACAACAGAGCCACACAGTGACACTGTCCAGGGCTGGTGACCAAGAGGCTGTGGTCCGATGAGTACAGAGAGAGCCTGGAGGAGGTGAACCAGCATGGTCACGCAGCAAGGGGGTCAGAGCGTGTGGGCCAGAGAGATGGGGCGGGGCAGCGAAGGACAAGGAAAGTCTAATTCGACAGAGAGCAAGGAGAGAAAGGGAGGGACAGGCAAGGAGGAAAAGGCAGGAGAGAGATCGCAAAAAGGGAGCAAGACCGGAGACTGAGATAAAGAACAAGCAAAAAACAGAGACAGGGAGGAAGGCGGAAAGACAGAGAGGCACGAGGAGAGGAAGGGACAGGAGGGGAAGAGGAAGAGACAGAAGAAGTCTGGTAGAGATGAAGATGTGAAGTGCACCGCGGACTGTGGTGGGGGCGGCATGGAGCGGCCAGATGCCACCCTCTCAGCCCAGGGGCGCTGACTCTTATGAGGCCAAGAAAGAGGCCTGGGTCCTCAGGGCCCCAGAACGGCCCTTGGTCCCTCTGAGTGCCATCCTGCTGCTCCCCAGGACTTGCCCCCATCTGTCGTGCACCCCACCCCTTCCCTGTTTCTGAACGCTGAGGTCCTGGCACCCGGCTTCCCACATCCACGTTCCTCCCAGAGCCTCTCTCTGAGTGCCTTCTGCCCCAGGGCTATGGACCAGGTCTCACCCTGCAATGGTGGGGGTGCTGGGAGGCCCAGGGCACTGTGGGGGCAGGCTGCCGCAGAGGCAGCGGGAGCAGCTGGTGAGGGTGGCATCTGCCCAGCCAAGCACGATGGCCTAGTTTCCAGCCCTTCACTCAGGTGACAAGCAGCCGTTCACTCACTCAAGTCTGCTGCTAAAAGCCCCGGTAGTGAGCTGAGAGCCTGAGAGCCAAGGACCGGGATGGGGGAAGCAGCCAGGTTGAAAAGTCGGCCCACAGAATGGGAGTTGAATACACCCCTCGTGGGCCTCGAAGCGGGGAGGGCTGCAGGGGTGGACACTTGGGCTGTGGAGCTGGAAGGGCCTCTCATCCAACATCTTCCAGTGTGTGCTCTCAGGACCCCACAGCGGAGTCATAAGGTGGTTTGTTAAAATGCAGCTCGCTGGACCCCACCCCAGACCCAGCAAATTAGAATATTTGGGGGCAAGTCCTGGGAATCAGCATTCTCTGCAAGATCTCCCGGTTGTTCCTAAATTGTGAAACCAAAGACTGAGCTGAGTGCAAGGGTAGGCCTCACTGCGGCTTTTAAAGTGAGTCCAGCAACTCACAGGCCACCAGGCAGCCGTCCTTAGGGGCATGTGTCCCCACCTGGCTATCGGGGCTGCTTTTGCATGGGGGTGGTGAGGGAGGGGTGGATGGAGGCATAAACAGATGTAGTTCTTCCCCTGGCTATGCACCTGCCGTCCTGCCTTCCTCCCCTCACTGCATTTGCCACCACAGGGTATCTGTGTTTCATGAACAGGTGCTATTCTGGGTTTCTCAGACCCTGGGGGAAAAAATGACATTTTCTGGCTGTGAAATCCCTAGCTGGAAGGGAGGAAGCTGTGCTGAGTGGTGGGACACTCTACCCTCCTGCCTGAGGAAGGCACTTCCTCACTGGAGAGCTGGGGGTTGGACCAGGTGACCTCTCAGGACTGGCACCCGGAGGCACGGGCCATCTCTGAAGCACTGCAGACGCTCCCAACGGCAGGGGGCAGACGACCCGCAGCAGCACTCCTGGCTGGCTGGTGGCTTCATCCCCACCCTCCTCTAGGGGGAATCACTGATCACTGTTTGCGTTCCTGATGGGGCCTGTGTCATCCTGGGGAAGGTGGCTGGGGGTGGGACTGTGCTGTCTACCATAAGCCCTGCTCATTCCAGGGTCCGTGTCCCCCTGGAAGCACCTATAAGCCTCGGCCCTCTACAGCATGAGCCTCCTCTGTTCACTCCCTGAGCATAAGCTTCTGCTTGCACCGTGCCCTCTTTTGCTCCCTCCCCTTCTCTCACTCTCTGTCCTGCTGCTTCTCTTATTTTGCAGTGTCTACCAGCACTCCTAATTCCCACTTTCCAGCCTTCTTTGCTGCCCTGGAATCCTCTTGGGGAGCTGAGTGTGGGCAGTTTACCAAATCCATGCTGCAGCCTCCACCCAGGGTGGCCTGGAGTCATCTCTCCTCATTGGTCATCTTTAAGGTAAAGAGCACCACACATTCCCGGGTGGTCTTTTCTGGTGTATCATCTCCCCATTTTACAGAAGACAAAACTAATGCCACGTAGGGCTGGCCCCATGCTCCCACAGCTAGGGAGAGCAGGCTTTCAGCTTCCTAATCTTGTGAGGCCTCTCCCTGCCCCACTGGGCTCTCTTCTCTTCACTCCTGTGTGTGTGTGGGGTGGCAGGGAGGTCCCTTACTCAAGTCGGGGGAGTTCCCTCTGAGCTCTCTGTACTGAGTATGGCTCTAAGTGCTTCACTATGTGTGCAATGACCTCATCTTCTCAAGCTTGTGCAATATGAACCATTGTACCATTATGTTTTTATTACATATGAGACTGAAGTACACTAGACAGCCAGCCCTACAGGCGTGCTGCACACATCTCATTCCTTGCTGACATCTCCTGGGGCAGGTGGTCCCCTGTGCCCTCCTCTCCCTCACCTCTCCCTGGCTCTCTGCTGCTCAGTGGCTGGCACTAATGCATGTCTTCCTAGGGGCTGTGATCTTACCCAGATGGCTTGGTGGGGACCTGTGAGAGGCCAAGGAGAAGCCCGTGGACACAGTTACACAGGAGAGCCTCTTGGTGCATGCGTGGGCAGTCAGCACGGGGGCTCTGTGGTCACCCTGCAGGTTCAGAGCTGGCCTGGGCACCTGGAGCCCACAGCAGGGTCCATATCGCTGACCTCCTGCCTTCCCCTTTCTGGTGCTTTTTGTGCCCTGTGGCAGTGGCTGGTTGACTCTTTCAGCAACGAGCACTGAGTGGCCCCGTGTGCAAGGCTGTGCTCGGGACCTGGTGTAAGTGGCCAGCAACACAGTCTCTGTCTTGGTGGGAGAGACAGGCATTGAACACAGAGTCAAAAATAATTCTTTACCTATAGTCATGATGAGTTCTATGTAGGGAAACGACGGTTCCAGGAGAGGACAAAGGAGATATATTTTATATTGTATGTCTGGAAAGGACTCTTTGGGGACATGGCATTTGAGCTGAGGCCTGAAAGATGAGTAGGAGGTGGCCAAAGGAAGGAGAGAGGGGAGAGCTGTCAGGTGGGCTAAGGGAGGAAGCATATGCAAAGGCTCACGGCAGGGAGGAGCTTCAAGGACCTAGGCAGGGTCCGCAAGGTTGCAGTGCAGACAGTAACAGGGAGAATGGTGACTGTGGGGCAGCAGCCAGGGCTCAGTCTGTCAGCTTTGTGGGTCATGAGAAGGATTTGGGAGTTTATCCTGAATGCACTGGGACACAATAGAGGGTATGATCAGAGGAGCGACAGGGTCCTGTTTGTTCTAAGAAGATTTCCCTGGCTGTTGGAGAGAAAATGAATGGCAGAGGGGCAGGGAAGAAGACAGAAGCAGGGGCCCAGTTAGGATGCTACTGCAGAGGTCCAAGCTACAGATAATGGGGCTTGGGCTAAGGCAGGAGCAGTGGAAACAAACTGAATGAATGATCCAGCTGCATCTTAGAGGAAGAACAGATGGGACTCGAGGTGCAGGGAATGTGGGAAGTGAGGAAAGGGAGGCATCACTGGTGCATCCTGGAGCTCTGGCTGGAGCACCCAGGGGCCTGGAGGTACCGTTCTCTAGTGTGAGTGTATCATGGTGCAGACACACGCTGGAGGAGAGACGGAGTCTCCATCTTGGGGCACACGAAGTCTGAGGTGTTCTTTCAGATAGCTACCGTGCCTCCCCTCTACTGAATCATCTCAGGAGAACCCAGGGGCCTGGAGGTACCATTCTCTAGTGTGAGTGTATCATGGTGCAGACACACGCTGGAGGAGAGACGGAGTCTCCATCTTGGGGCACACGAAGTTTGAGGTGTTCTTTCAGATAGCTACCGTGCCTCCCCTCTACTGAATCATCTCAGGAGCACCCAGGGGCCTGGAGGTACCGTTCTCTAGTGTGAGTGTATCATGGTGCAGACACATGCTGGAGAGACGGAGTCTCCATCTTGGGGCACACGAAGTTTGAGGTGTTCTTTCAGATAGCTACCACGCCTCCCCTCTACTGAATCATCCTCAGGAGCACCCAAGTGCTTGTCTTTTTCATCTTACAAATCAGAACCCTGCCTTGAGCCCTCGTTGCTCTCTAGACACTGCCTCTCTTCTCTCCTCTTTGCTGCCTCCACTTCCTCTTCTCCATTCACTCTTCAACCTGCTCCACTCAAGCATCCAACCCCAGGCACCATTAACACTTCTCTTGTCACGGCCATTGCTGGTTGCTATGTGGCCAAATCCAACGGCCTATCTCTGTCCTCATCCCAGCCCCTTGGCAGCATCGACATGGTTAATTGCTCCCTTCTGGAAACACCGTCTTCTTGGCTTCCATCACCCTCCCTCCCCAGGTGGACTCTTTCCTCTGGAGGAGCCCCTCATCCATTGCAGCTGCCCCTCCTCACTGACCTGAAACTGGGCCCTATCCCCCTCTCAACAACCACTGTCCAGGTGGCTGCCCCCATGCTAGTGGCTGCCCCCATTCCAGTGGCTCTAGCTAGCTAACAGTCTAACTTGCTTGAGTAAATATTTGACAATGTCTAGTTTGATAGATTCTTCAGATGAAATGTCCCTGAATCCAGCATCTCCCTGCCTCTGAAATGGAAAATCTGTACGTGTTTATTTGGTAGATGGAGTACCAACACAGGGGGCCTGAAGCACACGCGTATTCTGAATTCTCATCAGCTCGGAGACCACTGGCTGTGCGCTGGCTGCCTGGCTCCCTCCCACGTGGGCCATGGCCCTGCTGCTTCTCCACGGCCCTGGGCTCTGCCAACTTCTCCCCTCCCCATGCCCACAGCCGCAGTTTAGGGCTTCATCCTTTCTCATCATGGCTGTTAACAGCAGTAGCCTTCTCACCAGTCTCCCTGCCTCCAAACCATCTTCAGAGCCATCCTTCTAGGCTGCTAACTTGGCATCATAGCTCATGTCCCTGCTCACATTTCTCCCAGGGCTCCCCACATCCCTAGTGTGAAACCCAAGTTTCTCAGCAAAGCAAAGACGCCCTGTCTGCTTCCAGCTTCTCTCGCCGCTTCCCCAGCATGGTCCCCCCCTGCAGCCTGGCTCTCACGCCCCCACTTTGGTGCATGCTGTTATTTCTTCCTGCTGCCCAGCCCCAACCCTGCAGGTCTCTGTTTAGCTCTCATCCTCTCTAGGAGTCTTCCCTGACCTCCGTTGTCCCCGGAACCCACCTTCTGTCGACCATTGCGTTTATCTCCCTGTGTCATAACATTTGCCTGCCTGTCTTCCCCACGAGGCTACGGGCTCCTTCAAGATAGGGCAGTTATTTTAATCTCTGCCTCCCTGGTGTATGGGCACCCAATCACTGTTTTGTGGGATGAATGAATGAGTGAGTGAGAGATGACCAGGAATGACTGCATGCCGGCAGCTGGAGAAGGAGCCTCAGTGGCCTGTGCCTTTGGAAGTTCTACCCAACGGCCCAGGATTACTCAGCCTGCTTTGCTGCCAAGATTATCTGGAGCTGACACCGAGACCTGTGATGGACTTGCAAATGGCCCCGAGGCTTCCAGACTCCAGGCAGTGAGGCAGTGTGGAGGGCATAGGCCCCCTTCCTCCCACTGCACATGCAAGTGAGTGAGTGCTGAGAACTAGAGCAATGGGCACCGATTAGACCGCTTCCAGCCAGGCATGACCGGACCTGTCTCAGGAGGTGCTGCTGACGGGCGCGTGGATCACGAGTGGTACCGGTTTTGCTAAGGCCTCCCCCTCTTTCCTGTGAGCTTCTGCAAGGTCTGCAGCAAATACCTCACAAGCGTTGGGGAAAAAGGATGTATGTTCCCTGCCTCTGAAGAAACAGGTACAATCTTGCATAAAATTGCTTGTTAACATTGATCTGTGCGTGGAATCAGTTTGTGTTGCAGGGAAATGAAGCGTCCTACACGCCTGTGATCAAAATGAATTTCATCATCTCAACCTTCTTTTTTTTTTTTAATGATAGCAAGACAGTGTCTGGCAGACAAAGGAACTGGTTGGGAGCTGAAAATAGGTAATGGTAGCAGCAGGGATTTTTAATTGGCTGGAAGAGACGGCGAAGATCTGGAAGGTGAAGCCCTAGCTCGTGCTCCTGGCTGAGACTAAGCCCAGGTTTCAGGATTAGGAAGGAAATCTAAACCACCTATTGCCACGGAATGTAGAAACCCTGGCTTTATTTGGCAGTTGTTGGCTTCTACAATTCAATTAAAAATATCCCCATCCTCCAGAGAGTTATTTTATTCGTCAGAATTCATAACATGCTCAACAAAGGTCAAGGCGTTTTGGCAAAGTGCGATGCGGCTAAGAAAATAGAAGAGAAGGAAGCTGATGCAGGATCTGCCAGTGTTCCTGGTGATGTCATGAGGACGAAGAAACTCTCTTTTGAGGGGGCCTGGGTAGGGCTGGCTGCCACTCACACCTTGAGACTCAGGTACCCAAAGAACTAAGTTCAAACTACCCTTACAATTTAGAAGCCCTGAGCTGATTTTTCTTTTGCTGGGCTCGGCAGCATCCCTGTTTGCTGGTGGGTCTCAAACTGAGTGATGCATTGGAATTGCGTGGCGGGTTTATTAGTGCACGGATTGCTGGGCCCCGAGCCGCAGAGTCTGATTCAGTGGGCCTGGAGCGGGAACTGAGAGTTTGCATTGCTAACAAGCTTCCAGGTGAAGCTGACGCTGCTGGTCCAGGGACCACCTTTTGGAAGCACTGCTCTATGCCAATAACAGTGGGTGGATTAAGAAAAGGCCGTGGAGCTGTTACTTCAAGTCATGGAGCCTCTTGGTGGCTCATTTCCTCACCTTGAGAATGGAGACAACACTGAGAACATCTACTGGGCAGGGGTGTTATGAGTGTTAAAGGAGGCAGTGGGTGTGAAGTTCCTGGTATACAACAGGGCTTAATACATGATCATTTTCATTAGGTGTGGGCTGACCCGCCTGTCAGTGGACAGGACCCCTCCCTGCCCCACCGACTAATTCTGCCTGGAATTGTATCATTAGACAGCCATCCGTCGGCCCTTTAAGATATACATGCACCAGAGAGAGGAAGCTAAATCTGGCTCAGACCTCTTGAGACTTACGAATCAGTTTCTCAGCTGTGCTTTCTTCCCAAATTGAGAGGATCGGGGCATAGCAAATAACGCCAAGGTAAGAGGTGGGAGAGTACCTGATTTTGTTCAATTTCTCTGCCGCTGGCCAGGAGACTAGTCATTTCTTTTCCCCAGGGCCTCAGTTTCTGCCAGGGTAAAATGAGAGGGCTGGACCAGCTGATTGTCTAAGGGGTCTTCAGTGTCATGATTCATGATGGGGGACTGACAAGGACTGTGAGAGCAACCGGACCACAGGGGTCCTGGAATGACGCACGGAGGCTGGATGGTGCAGGGTTAAGGGCTCAGGTGATGAGTCATTGTGCCTGGCTTCAGACCTCAGCCACTGATCAGCTCTGTGACTGTGGGCAAGCTCCCCAACCTCTCTGTTCCTCAGTGCCTTCATTGGGTACAGATTAGCAGCACGTCCCTCCCGGAGTCGCTGTGAAGATGGAACGAGGTTTTGCATGTAAGCCTCTCAGAACAGCACCTGTGGCACACAGCACATGCTGATCTGTGTGAGCTGGCATAATATTTCACGGCCTGCTTGGTCACAAACGGCCCTCCTGGAGATATGACAGCCCTGCCCTGGAGACAGTGACACCCCGGAAGACCCTTCTAGAAGGCCCACGTCCGAGTGGCCTGTTGCAGCCACAGCTATCACACAGAGGAGACTGACTCCTCCAGAGCAAAGGCCTGAGTAGTCAGGGGAGGACTGGGTGGCAGGTAGGTCCATTTTTATATAAAAGTCCAATTTATATGCCAAAGTGACGAAGCCAAAGGGAGTCTCAATCCTGGACTGAAGGTCCCAAGGTCTCCAGCTACAGAAGTAAGTAGGTCTTAAACTCTCACAACTGTTGACTGTTCAGGAGAATCCCTTGTCTATCTGTGGTGGGAGTGGGGCAGGAGAGAGTGGAGAGGTGAAGGGTCAAGGCCATAACCCCAAAGACACCACTTTTGAAGATGTTCTCCTTCCAGCCTTCTGGTGCTGGCAGTGTACCGTTTCCAAAGCAGTGGAAATGACCCTAACTCTTCTATTCCTGCCTGCCTGCACTGGGTCTCTGTCTCTCTCTATCTATCTCTCTCTTTCTTCCTCCTCCCTCCCTCCCTCCCTTCCTCCCACTCTCCTCTCTCTCTCTCTTTCTCTCTTTCTTTCTTCTTTTTTGAGACAGGCTCCCACTCTGTTGTCCAGGCTTCCAGGCTAGAGTGCAGTGGCACGGTCACAACTCACTGCAGTTTCCATCTCCTGGGCTCAAGTGATTCCCCTGCCTTGGCCTCCCGAGTAGCTGGGACCACAGGTGCCCGCCACCACACCTGGCTACTTAAAAAAAATTTTTTTGTAGAGATGAGGTCTCTTTTGCCCAGGCTGGAGTGCAGTGGTGCCGTAAGAGCTCACAGTAGCCCTAACCTCCTAGGTTCAAGTGATTCTGATGCCTTGGCCTCCCAAAGTGCTGCGACCACAGGTGTGAGCCACAATCCCTGCCTGGGCCTCTTTTTATCTCCTCCGGACACATAAGGTCTGCCTGGGCCCCAGCCTGCTCTCCCCTTCCTCATGGGAATTCCTCAGGAATAAGGTAACTGAGATTATACACAGCAATGTGGGCAGGACATTCTCAAATGATTTCTTCCTAGCAATGAAAGGCCAGAGCCTTCCAGACTGTTGAATTTGACAGACAATCTGTCTTCATTTCTAAACGTCCTCTAAGAAGAACAAATCTGTTATACTCTGGCCAACATATTTCCATGGAAATAAAATAATGAAATCTGACCCAAACGTCAAACCCTGATATGTCTTGGAATTTAACAAAGGATGGAGCAGACGCAGTGGAGGGAAGGAACACCCAGGAAGCTTTCTTCCGGCAGCTCAACCCAGAAGCTGCCTTCCTGCATTTCATGGAGATGGTAGACACCAATGCTCTCCACGTGCATGGGATTCACACCAGAAAAAATCATCCAGGCCAGAAAGAGGCCGCTCACAGCCAGCATGGAACGTTCCCCATCCGCTGGACTTTAAACCTGCTGAAGCGAACATTTCAGAAAGGAAATAGAGCAGAGCCAAATTCCCCAGCCATGTGAAAACCGAGAGGGAGAGGCTTCCAGCCCTAGAGGGCCCTAGCTCTGGCTGCTGTCTGGCTCCTGCCGCTGGCCTGCCACCGCGTGACTCTCAGCTTCTGGACCGGGCTTCCTCAGGCTGCAGGATGCTCCCCAGATTGAGCTGACCCCCTTCCCAGCAAAGCCCAGCAAGTTCCAGCAAGTTCTCATTGTCTGCCTAGTAGACCTGAGTTTGAGTCATGTTTGAGGAGGTTTCCTTGTGCGCGGGGAATGGGATGGCGGGGAGTGGAGGGTTCTAATGTCTGTGCTTTTAAGTAGAAAAGATAATAATGAAATAGCTAACATTTAGCCTGTAGTCCCAGCTACTCAGGAGGCCGAGGTAGGAGGAGCACTTGGGCCCGGGAGTTCAAGTTGCAGCGAGCTTTGATCATGCCACTGCCCAGTAGCCCTGGTGACAAAGAGAGATCCTGTCTCTAATAGAAAAAGAAAAGAAAGAGCTAACATTTACAGATAACTTACTAAGCATCAGGCACTTCATGTACATTGAAAACGTTTGATTCATATGAGACAGGTACTCTTACCAGCATTTTACTAATGAGGAAACTGAGGCTGATTTCTTCTCTAAAAACAAACAGGCTGGGCCTAGTGATTCATGCCTGTAATTCCAGCATTTTGGGAGGCTGAGGTGGGAGCACTGTGTGAGGCCAGGAGTTTGAGACCAGCTGGGCAACACAGTGAGACCCCCATCGCTACAAAAATATTTAACAATTAGCCAGGTGTGGTGGCACATGCCAGTGGTTTCAGCTCTTCAGGAGGCTGAGGTGAGGGGTTCTCTTGAGCCTGGGAATTTAAGGCTGCAGTGAGCCATGGTTGCACCACTGCACTCCAGGCAACAGAGCAAGACTCTGTCTCAAAAAAACCAAAAGCGAAACCTTTGCAGGTAAACACTGGAATGGGTGTGGCTCTTTGAGCTCAGAATGCCTTCTATTATTGTCATTTGATAAGGCCTGGTAAGAATACATTCCTTCTTGGAATGTGTCTTCTGTGAAAATAAGATACAAAAGGATGGAGATGTCAGCTTCCAAGAGCGCTGAGGGCCGAATTCTGAAAGCAAATGTCACAGCATTCATGATGCTCAGACACAGACCAGCAGCCGAGGTGGCAGCTGCTCTCTCCCTCCTCTTCCTTTCCGCACAGGCCTGACGGTTGGGAAGCACACCCTTCCCCTCTCAGAGGCTTTCTCATCGGCTCTTCCTCATCGGCTGCTTCTTGGGAGAGTGCTGCGGTTTGGGCTGTTTTAGTCTCCAAGGGGATGGGTGATTTATATCCTTTTATTCGGCAAACAGCTTTGTACAGAATGAATACCGCTTGCTGAATGTCACCAGGCGGGGGCAGGGGAGCCGTATAGAATCCCAGTGAAGCCTTCCAGGCCTGGGCAAAATGGCACCTGGCGACTCGGTTAGTGTGTGTGTTTTCTCCGGCGGGAGTAAGGAAGACACAGTCAGAGTGGAAGGGAAATGCAAAGACTCCAGCGCCCCCCTCCCCTGCTAGTGCCTGCCACTTTCTGCTTCTCCATCTTCTCCTGCCCTTTGCAGGACAGGGCCCTCTCCACCTCGGAGAGAAGCAAGGCAGTCAGTGACCTATGGACTTCAGGGAGGGGCTCCTTTCTGTGGCGCTGAGTCAGCATGCCAGGCCTGCAGGGCTACACAATCAAGCATGAGGGATTGCGGCTTTCACCAGGGCATATCAGGGCTTAGCTCTGCACTCAACCTTGCCCAAGCCAGGGTTCCGGCTGGAGGCCCCTTGCTCTTCTCACTCTCTTTCCATGCTCCTGCTTCTCACCTCTCCCCATCCACACCTGGGTCTGTACGTTCCCTGAGACTGTGAGCCATGCCTCTTCACACACACACACACACACACACACACACACACACACACACGGGTGCCCAGCGTGGCCCCATTCTCAACACACAATAAATAAGTGCTCGATGTTTGTTGAATGAATAACAAATGGCCAACTCATTCCCCCATGAACCCTGGCACCCCAGCACTGCCCTGCATGAACCCTGGCACCCCAGCACTGCCCTGCATGAACGCTGGCACCCCAGCACTGCCCTGCATGAACGCTGGCACCCCAGCACTGCCCTGCATGAACTCTGGCACCCCAGCACTGCCCTGCATGAACTCTGGCACCCCAGCACGGCCCTGGGGCCTGTGGGCTGCTCTGGCAGGATGACAAATCATGCCCCAGTGTTTAGGGCAGTGCTACCAATGCACTAAGAGATGGGAAAGGTGGTAGATTCTCAGGACTTGGAGAAACTTTTGCAATCACATCGCCCAGCCCTCTCATTTTACAGATGAGGACACCGAGGCCCAGAGAGGTGTCCTGCCAAAGCCACACAGCACAGAGGAGCAGAGCCCGGGTCCAGCTATTTCTCCTATCTCACCACGCTGCCTCTTCTCACTGGAAGAGTGTACCAACGCGGGAGTCTGGCCCCTACCCATCCCAAGCCTGATCCCTACCTAAGGTTAGCCCAGCCCCCAGCCCCCAGCCCAGCTCCCCTCCTCAGCACAGGCTTGCAGCCACTGCTCCAAGCCTCCAGCCCACAGCCCATACACGCAGCCTCCCAGGGAAGAGGGCAATTAGTTTCCATTGTGCGACTCAGCACCACCTGGGCTGCAGGAAAACGCTGTGTTCCCAGCACTCCAGATCAATGTGGGCCTTGCAGGTTAGAATTTAGGGCGCAGGCCACATGGAGACTGGGAAAGACAGAAGAAAACAGACAACAGTCAGGGCCTGTGGGTGAAGCAGAGTCACTCCTGCCCCCAGAGCAGAGAGACAGCAGGGGTGCCTGGGGCTACGGGGCCAGCACCTCACCCTGGCTTGGGAAGGGATGGACTGGGACAACAGTGCAGGAAAGCCAGAGAGATGAGCCAACTAGGGGACACAGAAAAGGAAGGGCGTGAGGAAATGCCATCTCTCCCCTTCTGCAACCTAGATGTATCCTGGATCCCAGTAGCACCTCCATGGGCCCCCACAGCAGTGCTGGGGAAGGGAAGGGAAGCCGGAGGGAGAAGAGAAAGGAGGTGAGAGGGAGGCGCTGCCTAGCATTGTCTCTCTTTCCTCTTTGAGGTCCACAGAGCGTCTCCACCAGCAGCTCCAGGAGGGATGATAAATTGTCAAAAGCCACCAAGAGTCAGGGACAGGAACTCAGTTCTGCCCAGCTGAGGGCTGTGCAGGGATTTCAAGGTACCTGTGCGAACCCCAGCCCTCACTCATTGAACTCAGTCAGAAAACCACCGCGTCAGTGGATTTAGAAATGTGACAGGGATTTCAGAGGGCAATGGGTCCAGCCCTCACAACCCAGCACCACTCTGCAGGCATGGAAACGCAGGCCCAGAGGACAGGGGCTTCTCAATATGGGCACACAGCACCAAGACAGCTCCATAAATAGAAGTGAAATATCCAAGCTCCCACTCCAGGGAAGCTGACCACTGGGTGGATGACTCCCCCAGCGTCCAAACCCTCTCTGGCAGTCCCTTGCTGCTCCAGGAGCGAGGATGAAAGGGAGAGCTCTTCCCAGGGCCTCCGGGGAGACACTTCTGCTGACTGTCCCCAAGGAGAAAGAGGGGAGAGAAATGAGGGAGGGTCCCTGAAGAATGGAGACCTTCAAGAAGGAGGCCAACCTCGGGGACCAGTGGAAGCCAGAAAGAGCACGGGGGCATGGCAGGGGCTGAAGCCGATGTCCCAGGGAAGGAGTAGCTGCAAGGCCCCTCAGCCTCAGAGGAGCGCCAGCCCCGCCCTGCCATTCTGGACAAGGCATGAGTGTGAAGAGACTCTTGCCTGTCCACACTATCAAGGCTGAGCGGGGGCAAAGGCAGCCCCCTGGGGGTCCCCACCCTGCTACTGGACTTTAAAACCATTTTCTTTGGTTTTAAAGAAACAATTTTTCTTTGGTCATGATTTTGTTGGTAGATTTATCTTTATGGAATTGTAGTATTTTCTTGCTCTAAAACCCTCAGTTTAACCCCTTCTTTTTTCTGTCTCACATTTTTGCCTCCAGCGATATGAAAATGAACCTTGGAGAATGGGAGGGTCCTGGGGGAGGGGGGCTGAGGGGCTCTTCACCAGGCAGAGATGAACCCCAGTGCTGACACAAGCCCTTTCCTTTTCCTGGTTTCTCTTGCCCTGGAGAGTGACAGGCAGAAAGGGCTTTTTGTCTCTTTGGACCATTTCTGTATCCCTGCTGCCTCAAACGAAGCCTGGCCTGGGGCGAACTCAATCAATGACTCTGACGGGAGACAGGGCTCCGGCCCACTGGGGTGATGGGCTAAAGAGGGGATTCTGGTTCCTGTGGACAATCTGGAAGCTGGAAGCTGTTAGAACTGGAGCGAGGATTTCACCAAGGAGCTCACAGAGAGAGCCCGGGCAGGTGGGGTGTGGGAAGGAGTGGGGAAAGCCCGGAGTGTGGGGTACTCACTCCAGCACGTCGCGGTTGAACTGCTTCTTGCTGTTGCCCAGGAACTCTCCAATCATCTGGCGGCTGAGGCCCTTTCGCTGGAGGAGGAAATGGGCCACACCGATGGGGGTGTCCGGGATGAAGCCGCGTGAGATCAGGAACTGGATGCCCTTGTCGGGGTTTCTGGAGGTGGGGGTGGGGAGAAGCAGTAGAGAGTGAGCTGAAGCCATCCATGACTCTTTCCTCCCTGTCTTCCACCCATAGAAGTACCCAGAGGTTCTTGGAAATCCAGTTCCCCATTGAAGCTTCTCTCACCAGAGCCTCAACCCACTGAATGTCCTCACGCAGAGGATGGTGTGTGACCAGAAGGAGGACAGGGGAGATCTGCAAACAAAGTGAATTCCAGAGCAGATGGAGGAGAAGTACCCTTCTCTGTCCCTGCCTCCTGGGTCTTACCCCAGTCCTGCCCTTCCCCCTACCCATATCCTGTTGTCAATATGCAGGTCCCCACCGCAGACGCCCCAACCCTGGAGAGAGGGTGGGAGAAACAGAGGTGAGACCTCCGCCACACCACCTCTTCCCTTTGCAAGCTTTGAAGCCATGCTGCTCCCTGAGCTGTTCCTCACAGGTCCGGGAGGAGATAAGTACAGAAACACAAGGTAAGCACTGAGAACCTCCCATAGCATTTCGACATTTTCCGGGACAGCCAGGCATGTGATTGTCTTTCTAGCACCTCATTTTTATTGTATTTTACAAAAGTATTAGCCCACAATGTATTTTCAGAAGGGTGTGGGGGAACAAAACTGGTTCTTCACTATGGATAGTTTAAGAATTCCTGTCTTGGGGCAGATGAGTGTCTGTATGAGTTTTCATGTGCATGCAGAAGAGACACTGCAGAAGTGGGAGTGGTTCAGAGTCAGATCCGCCTTTCCCTAGGTCTGCCGAGTACTAGCTATTTCATCGTGTGCATTTCGCCTTACTGGTGTGAGCCGGCTTCTTTTCTGTAAAACAGCATGGTAATACCTCTGTGTAGATACTGCTGGAAGATTACAGATGCTTTATGTAAGGTGAGCTATGAACAGTAGCTACTTCCCCTAGAATAGGAGCCTCTTGAGGCCAGGGGATGTGTCCTTCTCACCTCTGTGGTCACAGTGCCTGGCACCCAATAAATAACAGCCGAATGAACGAATGAACACGCATTAGGGCCGGGGAGATGTGCTCTTGGCGCAGGGTTATGAAGGGGCGAGTGGAGGATGGAGGCGAGTGCCTGCCTCCTGGACCTGACATTTCCATGGGAGGGGCAGGTGTGCTTCCTTTCCTCTGCTTGGGACTGGCTGTATACATTCGGTGCAGGACCAGTCCCGGTCTCGCTGGGGTCTCTGAGCTATGGCGGTCGGTCATTTCTCCCCTGTTCTCTTTCTCCTGTGCCTCTGCCTGCTTCACACTCTCTCTTCCTCGTAGCCCTCCCCTCTCCTGCTCTCAGCCGGCATTCTTTACGAGGCGCCTCTCCTCCCTCCCCCACCCAGCCTCGCATTTCACCAACCCTGGGAGCTAATGCGTTTTCCCTGGCTTCATATCCACCCGAATGATTGCTGCGTAATCCTCAAACGGCCTGGACTGTTATTTACTTAATACTGTCTTTTCTTTTACATTCTCTTACTTTTCAAACCCTAGCTTCATCTTAAGCTGTAACAGTTGTGAAAGCATGTGTCTGATGTGTTATTTTTTTCCTTTAATCTTTCTTAAAATAAACTCAGGATGATTAAAATAAAATATGTACTTCCTAAACATGACCTCAGGGATCAGGCACGGCACAGATGCGCCTGCCTGGAGGACCCTGGCATGACGTGGGAAGTTACCTGGCGCCCTGCTTGGTGGAGGGAAGGTGCCCTCCTCCTTCCCTCCCTCCCAGGACGCCCAGGACTCCGGGCTGGGGGCCGGGGCTGACTTACATGTTGAAGAGGTTGAGGCCGATGCGGTAGAGCCGCTTGCGCAGGGTGTCGGTGGAGAGCGTGGGCGACTTGCAGCTGGCTGGGTTCTCGCAGTGGTAGCGCGGCAGGCTCAGGATCATGGCCTGCAGGGCGTCCTTGGAGGCGGAGGCCGACGCCTCCGAGCCTGACTTGGCGGACTTGGTGGACGTGCTGCTGCTGCTCAGCTGCTCCAAGTCGCCTGCCTCGGCCTCGGCCCCTCTCCCCACCTCCGCCGTCTCCTCCTCCTCCTCTTCCTCCTCTGTTTTGGGGGCTGTGGCCCCATCCGCCGCCCCACTAGCCGCAGCCTCTGCGCATGAGTCCTCGGCTGACGCGTCCTCCCGGCCCACGGCGGGGGCTTCCGGGGCCTCCCGCCCAGAGGTCTCGCCCTGCTCGGCCTTGCCCGCCGCGGGCTCTGCGGGGGCCTGGACCGTCTGAGCGCCCAGGCAGTTGGCCACCGACAGAGCCGTGGAGGAGGAGACGGATATGTTCTGGTTGGCGATCTGCACCGTGACGTCCCGGAAAGCCATCATGAGGGTCCCGCTGTGGGCCGGGGGCAGGCCGGGGGTCTCCGCGGCGTCATCCCCGGGCCCGGGGCCCGCGCTCTCCGGCGCCCGCCCCTCGGCCTCCAGGCCTGGGGGCCCCGCGGCCGCCTGCAGGGCCTGGTGGAGCTGGTAAGCGCCACTCTCCCGCAGGGAGCACATGGTCTTGAGGCTCCACGTGCTGAGCGCGTCGTCGATGGACTTGGCCAGGGATTGCACCTGCTCGGTGAAGGAGTCCTCCAGCTCGGTGAGGGTGCCTGCGAAGGTGGGCGGCAGGGAGGGCGAGCGCACCAGCGGCAGCCCCACGAGGCCGTAGCCCTCCATGAGCGCTTTCTCGGCCGCCAGGCTCTCGGCCGTGGGTGACCGCACCTTGCGCAGGGAGATCCGCCGTGGCAGGCGGCTCTCCAGAAGCGAGTTGCGGATTTTCTCGAAGTTCTTGCTGAGCTGGTATTGGCGGAAGGCGGTTTGGATGGTGCAAGCGGCGCGCCGGGACACCAGGTGACCGCCGTACTTATGTTCTAGCATTTCAATCTGCAAGGACGAGGACAGAGAGGAGGAAGGGCTCAGAGGGGAAGGGTGGTCAGCCCTTCTGAGGAGTGGTGGAGTCACCCGGCCACACTCGGGTGGGGCCCAGGAATGGACGGGGGCGGGGGGGCGCTCCTGGGCAGCTAAAGTCTGAACCGCCTAGAACGTCCTGGCCACGTGGCAAGACTCCTAGAGGTGTAGGACGGAGGGGTCCGTTCTGGGGACTAGTGATGTCTCAAGGGCCAGGAGGGAGGTGCTGCATATGGCGTTCAGATATCGATGCTGTGGCGGGTATTACAAAATGTTCATGGCCGGGCGCATTAGCTCAGGCCTGCAGTCCTAGCATCTTGGGAGGCTAAGGAGAGAAGATTGCTTGAGCTCAGGAGTTTGCGACCAGGCTGGGCAACATAGCTAGACCTTGTCTCTCTCTTGAAAAAAAAAAAAAAATTAACTGGGTGTCCTGGTGCGCGCACGCCTGTGGTCCTCAGCTACTGGGAAGGCTGAGGTGGGAGGACTGCTTGAGCCCAAGGAGTTGGAGATTACAGTGAGCTATGATTGTACCACAGCACTCCAGCCTGGGCAAAACAGTGAGACCTTGTCTCTGTTTTTTTCTTTTCTTTTCTTCTTTTTTTTTTTTTTTTTAAGTTCATGTCAGAGATGCATACAGAAGTACTTATGGGTAAAATGCATGATATCTTGAAGTTGTGTTAAAATATTCTGTCAAAAAATGTGGAAGAGTTAGATGACACAATATTAATGTTAATAAATATTAATAAAATGGTTACAGCTGGATGATAGCTACGGGGGAGTTTATAACACTGTCGTTTCTACTTTTGTGCACACTTTAAAACAATAAACAATGAAAAACAGAAATGCTAAAAAACCTCACAGCTCCTCGTGCTTCCCCGCTCCTCCCCTAAACAATGAAAAACATAAATGCTAAAAACCCTCACAGCTCCTCGTGCTTCCCTGCTCCTCCCCAGCAACCATGTCTCTGTGTTGGGGTGGCTCCTTTCCCTGGGAACATCAGAAGGGTCGGGATTGGGGTTGGACCATCTGTGTGTTCCCAGTACATAGTTAGCTGCTCAGTAAACGTGGATTTGCTAAAAAGTTGAGTGGGTGTCTCAAGAATGGGGGTCCCTCCAGGCCACCATTACCAAGAGTTCCCCAATTTGAGTCACCTCTGCTCTTACGGTGGGAGCTGTCCAACCAGGGCAGGGCTGGGTGGGGTGGGCTCGGGGGCATGGCACCTCACCTGGGCAGATCTGATCCCAGGAAAACTTCTGTCAGGGGGCCAGCGTGCCTCCTCTCGGCTCTGTCCTCCTGTCCGTGGGTTTTCTCCTCTCAGGTTGCTACGCTCTCACTTTTCCTCCCTATGGAAACTTCTCAGGAAAGGACTGGGGAGGTATGACAGCCATGCCCCCAGAGGCTTCTGCCTTTAAATAAGGGACAAGGCCTGTGTGAAGGTGATGGGCTTAAATGGTGGCATCCTAGACTCTGATCAGCCCTCAGAGAAGTTTGGGAAGTGCGAGTGTTTCCTATTCACAACCAGACATGCCACTTACACGTGGTGTCCTTCCCGAATGAACGAAGAATCGGGATGGGTGCGCTGAGATGAACGACTCAAGGCAAGAACAGGGACGTCCCGTGTTCTCCAGGGATCATGGGTGGGGAGGGTACAGATTGTTCTCCAGGGATCATGGATGGCGAGGGTACAGATAGAAAGGCCATACTTCATCCCTCAGCACAACACTTCAACCTGCTTCCTGCTCCACTGGAGCCCCCAAAGGCTGCAGCCAGAATGAATGCCTGCCTCCCACAGCCCAGCCGTGCCCTCTGCTCCCTCCCTGCAGGGTGTGATGGGTGCCCCATTCCACGCTAGCAGAGGTAGCCTCTTAGCTCAGGACACCTTGTGGATTCAACCCCAATCCCCAAGGACAATCCCAGATAAAATGAGACATCCTTAGTGCTTGCCTCCAGTGCTTCCAGCCTGGCCATTCCCATTCCCCATTCCCAAACCTGGGGACATCATTCTGTCTCCCCCAACATCCAACTCTACCCTTGGAGATCGTTGGAACTCACGCAGATTAATGTGTAAATGGCAACTAAGCCTTCCTATATGGCTTCTCCCAAAGTTACTTGCATTTCATGAGGGACAAGGCCCTGAGCAGGAGGAAGCTCCCAGTGCTATCACAATCCCCCTATTGGAGGGGTCTTCAAGGTGCTCTAAACCACACCAAGTGTATTCCTCATCTATTGCTGTGTAACACATGACCACAAATCCAGCCACTTAAAGTAGCACCTGTTTATTTCTCATGCAGCTCTGTGAATCTAGTCTGGGCACAGCTCATCTGGGTTATCTGCTCGGGATCTCACCAGGCTGAAACCAAGATATCAGTCAGGGCTGCAATATCATCTAAGGTGTGGGGTCCTCCTTTGAGCTCGCTCTTGTTGGCACAATTCAATTCCTTGTAATCACAGGACTTAGGCCCTCAGTCACTAGAGGTTGCCTGCTGTCCCCTACCATGTGGCCTGCTTCATAACCTGATAGCTTGGTCCTTCAAGGCTAACGGCACAGTGTCTGTCTGGGGCTTCAGCTTCATTTATAGGGCTGACCTGATTAGCTCAGACCCACCCTGGGTGATGTTTCTTTTTATTAACTCAAAATCAACCAATTGGTAACCTAATCATTGGAGTGATGTCCCATCACATTCACTCATCCTGCCCATACTCAAGGGAAGGGGATTATATAGGATGTGTACACTAGCATGAAGGGGACTTGGGGGCCATCTGAGAATTTTGCCCACGGTACGAACTGGACACTTCCCCACTTGATCTTTACTAGGTATGACCTCATGCACCCATAAGAGACACAGATACTTGCCTCTGAGGCATTCTGTTCCTGCTCCTGTGGAAATAATGTAGCTTGGCTCATTCTCCCTGCTGAACTTTGACACATTCCCTGAGGCCTGGAATAGGGACTTGGCTTTGGCTCAGGCAGGAAAGTCCTTCCCCAAGGGGAAATGTAGAGAGGAAGGGGAACTGATCACTAAAATGTCTCCTTTTCTCTCAATTTCTGTCTGTCAGCCCTATTCAAGCACCATGAGAAACTGACAGATTTCACATTTCTTTTTTTTTTCTTTGAGATGGAGTCCCGCTCTGTCACCCAGGCTGGAGTGCAGTGGCACGATCTCGGCTCACCATAACCTCCGCCTCCTGGGTTCAAGCGATTCTCCTGCCTCAGCCTCCTGAGTAGCTGGGATTACAGGTGTGCGCCACTGTGCCTGGCTAATTTTTGTATTTTTTTAAGTAGAGACAGGGTTTTGCCATGTTTGCCAGGCTGGACTTGAACTCCTGGTGCCTTGGTGATCCGCCCACCTTGGCCTCCCAGAGTGCTGGGATTACAGGCGTGAGCCACCGTGCCCGGCCAGATTTCACATTTCTTTCCCGTCTGGCCTATTTATACCCCACCTTGGCCTCCCAAAGTGCTGGGATTACAGGCATGTGCCACTGTGCCTGGCTAACTTTTGTATTTTTTTTAGTAGAGACAGAGTTTTGCTATGTTGGCCAGGCTGGACCTGAACTCCTGGCACCTCGGTGATCCGCCCACCTTGGCCTCCCAAAGTGCTGGGATTACAGGCGTGGGCCACTGCGCCCGGCCAGATTTCACATTTCTTTCCCGTCTGGCCTATTTATACTTCTAGGAAAACCCCAGGCCCAAGAGCATCCTTTTGCAGCACGAGATGCTGTTGGCAACACAGGGAAGGTATGAAATCCATTGCTTGAGATGCTTCCAAAATGGTGATGGGGTCCATGCCCTTGGCATGGTATCATCCTGCTTGAAGGCAGAAGACCAGCTGACATAACCCTAGGAGACTCCGTGTACTACTGGGCAATGTCTATGCTTCACCCAAGCAGGAAAGAAAACCAGATTTTAAATTCTTGCATCTGTCCCATCACATCCTCTACTAGACATCAAGTCCCACGAGGGCAGATTTCACCTGCCGTGGCCACTGCTATCTCCTCCAATGCTTGGACAGTGCCCAGCACATAGTGGGCCTTCAATGAGTGTGTATTCGACAAATTAATTCCAAAGTTATATTTGTGACTCTCAAAAACCTTCCTAATCTGACTCAGCAGACGCTCTCCCGCTCCTGCCTCCTTTGTGTGTTCAGCTCACCCTACACATGCTCTTTTTACTCCCATTTCCTTCGTCCTATCTGCAGCTTTGCACCTGGCCACAGATCTCCCCAGGCTACAGCGTAACTGCTGACTCCGCTGCCGCTGGGGCACTAGCCTGTTCCCTTTCTTCCTATTTTACACTGAACCTCCAGAACAATAACCTCTGCCTCACTCCAGGAGCAAATGCCAGATACTGACCCAACCCTGCCCTAGCCTGTTCCCTTTCTTCCTATTTCACACTGAACCTCCAGAACACTAACCTCTGCCTCACTCCAGGAGCAAATGCCAGATGCTGACCCAACCCTGCCCTAGCCTGTTCCCTTTCTTCCTATTTTACACTGAACCTCCAGAACACTAACCTCTGCCTCACTCCAGGAGCAAATGCCAGATACTGACCCAACCCTGCCCTAGCCTGTTCCCTTTCTTCCTATTTTACACTGAACCTCCAGAACACTAACCTGTGCCTCACTCCAGGAGCAAAGGCCAGATGCTGACCCAACCCTGCCCTGAGCCCTGTGCTCTGGGTCCTGCTGCCTCCCATCTCAGTCAAGGGCGAGAGATGTTAAACTCATCCAAGGCCAACCAGCAAGGAAGAGGCAGATCTGGGGCTTGTCACTCAGCCCCAGGGGCCTCCTCAGCCTCCCTCCTGGCTCCTTTCTGCAACTCTCCCCAGTGCTCATGACTCAGTCTATCCTGGTTGTCCTGTCTCCCTACAACCCCTTAATCCTGTATTCTGGCCACAAAACCCCTACGTGTGCTGATTACGAGTCACATGGGTGCCACTGCCAGTCTCCACACGTTTTAATTTTCCCCGTACACTCTGGACATCATCCACGGCTTCTGTGTTGGACATCATCAGAGGAGCCCGTGATGGGTGATAATTAACAATGAATTAAGAAGGGAGCTGTGTCAGTCAGAGCCTTCCAGGTCACTGTAAACGTGCTCCCCAGGTGGATACCTTCTCAGCCCTGTCTGCCTTCCCTCTGAGGACCCAGTCCACTCTCTTAACTTCTACTTTGATGGGCCAGTGAGCAAGTGGCAAGTAAGGGGAATGGCCAGCCCCAGATCCCAGCTGATTGGACTTGGATGAATTTAACATCTTTGACTCTCAGTTTTCATATCTATTAAGTGGGGTTTATCCTGCTGACCCTGTATCTTCTTGTGAGGATTAAATTATTTCATGGAGCACCCAGCAGAGAGCAGGAGCTTCATAAGTGGTAGCTGCTTAATGGTGACAGTGACAATGATGGGAATGACTCTCAAGCCTCCATACCTAGCCTTGATCCTAGACCCACATTTCCAGCAGCCTGTGTATCCTCTGTCCATCTAGGCTATGCCACTGTTTTCCCTACCTCACCCAAACCAGCTCTTGTTGACTTCCTTATTGGCCTGACAAGCACCCAGCCTGGGAAACTTGCCTTGTCCTGGGGTTTTCGTTTGCCCTGTCCACTGTGTTTGTCAGCCTCCTGTAGCTCCTGGGACCCCCCACCCCTATACCTTTTGCAATCATCCATGATATCCTTCCAGAATGTCACCACGTAGGGCTCTTTTTCTTCCCACTTGGACCATGCCAGCAGCATCCTTACTATCTCTGTGTCCTTCTTACTCCCACCATCACCTTACACTGCAGAACCAGACCCAAGCTCTCAGACAGCAGGTGTCAACACAGGCTTTTCTTTGTTTGAGAACCATTGCCCCAAACAGATAAAAACGCTTCTTCCTGGTTTTCCAACCCTAACAATCTGGCTGGGCCACAAAGTCCTACTCCACAAAGTCCACATTGCTCAGCAGCTCCTGCCTGCTCTCCCCCGACCGCCCCCACGAGGCTCCCTGCTTGGGGACTCATTTGTGTTCTCTCCCAGCCTGCAATGCTCTCCCCAACCTCAACTCCCAGCCTCCCCTTTCCTCCAGGTAGAAATGTCCTCTTCTTCGAGACCTATCTCAAATGTGTCTCCTCCATGCAGCCCTCTCAATGCCCCGAACAGACGGGGTCTCCCTGCCTCGGGCCCCAATTTCTCTTTGACACTCAGTCTCCTCCACTAATCTTTGTGGCATTTCTCCAACCCATCCTTCCCTCCCTTTCCCTCCCCCAGGCTCCAACAGAGCATAAGTTATTCACGGCATCAAATATGTCTTAGTCATCCTGTCCAGCACCGAGCACCTTAACTGGCATGGAGCAACTGCTCCCTGAATAACACTGGAATTCAGTTCCGGGTTCACCATCGTGTGTCCTAACCCATTTATCAACCAACTCCCACTGATCCCAGAGTTGGGCCTGCCAGGCCCCCAACCTGCACTGTCCCCTACACCTTCCTCCCCACCCTCAATGCTCAGTGCCACCTTCCTCCCCACCCTCAATGCTCAGTGCCACCCCCTGCTCAGAGCTCTCGCTGCGGACTGTCCATCACAGGCAAGACATCTGTCTCTGCATCTCTTGTGCCCAGTGCTGTGCCAGACCTGTGGCTGAGGCTGAATAAGTGTTTGCAGACATGAACTAAACTGAATTCTCTCTTGTGACCCCAGGGAAATCAAATTCCAGACTCTTGTCCAGGCCGGGGCTTGGAACCCAGCACTCCATCCTTCCTCCCACCCTGGCATCCTGGCAGGACCTGGGGACTCAGTAATGGCCCAGGTCAGCTCCATCCATGACAGCGAGGCCCTCCCGTCTACCCCAATCCCGTTCTGAACCAGGGCCAGGTCAGAGAGCAGAGAGAGGTGCGGGAGGGTAGGCAGCCCCAGGGAGTGGGGGGTCTCTGGGCCTGTAGGCCAGGGAGCAGCTCTGCTCACTTCCCTCTAAACCCCAGGAACCAGGAGGAATGATGGCCTCGCCCCCTGCCAAGAGAGCAATTTCTCAGCTTCTGCCAGAAGAAGCAGCGGCAGGGGCGCGGGGGCCTCCGTCTCTCTAATGAGCCTCTCAGTGTTAATTAGAACGTGCCCCCTTCTTTCAGGTTGCTGTGGCAGCTGAGCCTGAAGAGGCCGCTGAAAGATGGCGGCCAAGCCAGAGGGTGGGGAGGAAGAGCCGCTAGCTGGGGGGCACAGTGCTGAGGAGCGGGGGCCAGGTGTGGGGAGGAAGAGCCGCTAGCTGGGGGGCACAGTGCTGAGGATCGCGGGGAGGTGTGGGGGGCTTCCAAGGGTTTGTTCCCATCCAAGACTTCCCAGTTGAGACCATGAAAGCACAGCATGTTGTGAGCCTCCAGAACTTGGCCTGGCGAGCCCGGGTGTGAGGCTGAGGAGCAGAGAGACTGGGGAAGCTGGTGCTTTGGGGGTGTTCAGAGAGGCCCACAGGAGCCTTGGGTCTGTGCTGGGCAGGGCTGTGGCCTCCTGCAAGGCAGGGGACTCATGCCTGCTCTGTGTGCCCTCCTCCCAGCCTGCTGTCTGGAATACAGCAAGTGCTTGACACGCAGGGCGTTGAGGCCTGCCTGGGAGTGGGCAGCCAGGTAGGCATGGGGGACACGCTATGGCTCAGCTAGTAGTGAGGTCATGAGACCCTCCAGTGGGGCTGCCCCAGGAGCTGGCTCTGATCCCAGGTTGGGCTGCCTGCCCTCCTCATGCTCCACAGACCCTGTGTGCCACTTCCATGGGGCCTGTTCCTCACTGTAATGCCAAGAGATGGTGGAAGGTACAGGGTCGAAACCATGGGCTGCGGAGTCCATGTCTTGGCTGCATTACTTCCTAGGACTGTGTCCTTGGGCAAGTTACTTAACATCACCATCACTCAGCCTTAATCTTCCCATTCCAGAAATGGGACGGTAATGGTGCCAATCTCACGGGGACGTTGTGCAGACCCGGGGAGATAACACATGGCAACCGTTAGCCTGGGCCTGACACAGAGCTAGTGCTCAGGTAGTAACACTGGTGCTGGCCCCGTGTCTGCCCACCACTGGGCTGTGGGCACCCTGATGACTAGGCCTGTATCTTTTGCATCATAGCATCTCCAGGCCTAGCACAGGGCCTGCGACAGAGCAGCTGTGCAGTGCTGTTCCCTGAACTGAATGAACCGGGGAGAGGGACAACCCATGGAGTGCCCTGTCCTCACCACTGTCCTCTGTAGGCTGGTGCCCTGGTGCTCTCTGTGCCCATGGTAGAAATCTCACTTTCAGCGTGGGAAGGGGCCAGGAGGCCCTCTGGTACAGCCTTTGGTTCACACATGAGGAAACCAAGATGCAAAGAGGGAAAGTGACTTAGAAACATAGCCACCACATCTTCCTGAAGAGGTGCCCCATAGTGAGGCTGGACCCTGAGGCTTGGGGTATGGGGATCTGTGGGGAGGGGCTGCTCTCCAGCAGAACATGGCTTCTGTCCAGGACCCGGCTCGGGGAGCAGGGCCCAGATTCTACTGACTGCAACTCCACAGCCCTCTGGCCTGAGCAGCCCAGAGGGCTCTGCAATTCAGATGGCTAAGAAGGGCTCCAGTCGCTCTGCAACAGGACACAAACTCCCTAGAGGGCTTGGAGGAATTTCAAAATGACACCTAGGCCCTCTATTCCTAAAGGGCTCCCCAAAGGGACCTGCATGCTCACTCCTTGGCCTGCCCTAGGTTGTATCCCCCAGGACTGCTGGGGTGGGGTGAGAGGGTCGAAGGCAGAGGGAGAAGGGGAGAAGAGCTGGCAGGAGGACCGTCTTGCTGTGCGACTTGTGACAGGTGCTGGGGAAGGGGCCAGCAGGGAGAACAGGAAGCTGGAGGGTAGGCCTCGTTTGCTCATTCACTTGTGCCTTCATTCCTATGTTCCTTCCCTGCTGAGCAGTTCCTAGGTGCCCAAGACTGTGCAAGGTGCAGGGCGGCAAAGATGGGCAAGGACAGGACAGTTCCCAGGGCACAGCTCCAGGAGCGCTGGCTCTTCACGTGGGCTATGCAGCACCCTGGAGGTGTCCCGAGCACCACCTGCTCAACTCCACACAGCCCTGAGAACAACATGGTCCATGCTGTTGAGCGGAACAGCTCCCACTCCCAGACAGCACAGAGGAGGCAACAGGCAATGGGTAAAAGCACGTGCCTCGGCTGCGACCTGAAGTATGAGCAGAAGTCTTCCAGATGCAGCAGATGGGGTCGGGGACAGGTGAGGAGAATCCCCAGGAGAGGAAACAAAGCCACACAAAAGCCCAGAGGTGAGGGTGGCTTGAGATTCGGGACAGCAAATAGGAACGGCTGGAACCCCCATGGGGCTGGGACTGTGGCAGGGAGCCTGGAGAGGCCTCTGTCCTGCACACCGTGAGGAGCCATCAGAGGCTTTCCCGAGGATCAGCGCGGTCAGAGGTGCACTTTAGGAAGATGATTCAGCTGCAATGTGGAGGTGAGGTTGGAAGGGACAGAGCTCAAAGAAGGGGAAGCACAGGAGGTCTCCCGGCGTGCAGGCAAGAGGAAGGATGGCCTGGCCTCCTGGGGCAGGGGCACTGGGGAAGGCAAGAGAGGGTGGGATTCGGGAACTGTTAAGAGGCAGCATCAGTGGGGCTTGGGGCTAGAGCAGAGGCGAAGGAAGGAGAACAGCCAAGGAAAACCGTCCTGGGGATCTGGACTGGCTGACAGAGGAGGCTTGGCGGGTCGGTGGGCTGGGGAGCTAAGATTGTCCAACACCCCTCCCAGGCCATGGAACACGGGATTCAGTGTGGCTGGCGGAATCACTGGGTTGGAATATCAAGTGTTAGATCTCAAAGAGACCTAAGGCAGAGTCAGTTCCTGGCGCCATGCTGTATACCCATCCCATCCCCCTTTATGTCACTAAGTGATCATTTCCCGTCTCTTATCCTTCCAGCAGCTTCTTCGCCAGGCACTGCATTAAGCACTGAGAATATAATGAGGAACAAGTCATGCACCTGCCTTCAAGGAGGGGGTCAAGCAAACAGGAAATGCTGACACAGGGCTGAAGGGCTGTGACGGGGACACCCGGGCCCTGTGGGATGACTGAGAGGGACACCCAGTGCAGGCTTGGGAGGCAGGGAAAACTGCCTGAGAGGAGGAAGAGGTACCTAAAGCAAGTACTAAAGCAAGAGAAGGCCAAGTGCAGGGGTGTGGAGGGGAGCGGAAACTTCAGAGATTGAGGCCAAGGGAAGAGCCTGTGAAGTCCCAGACATAGGAGGCAGCTGAGGCCAGAGAAGTCAAGCAACTTGCCCAAGGCCATACAGCTCATGGCAGAAGAGAGAGGAGTCGAGTTCAGTCTCCTATAGATGTGTGCCATGTTCAACAAAAGCCAAAGTTGACAAATGGGATCTAATTAAACTAAAGAGCTCCTGCACAGCAAAAGAAACTACCATCAGAGTGAACAGGCAACCTACAAAATGGGAGAAAATTTTCGCAACCTACTCATCTGACAAAGGGCTAATATCCAGAATCTACAATGAACTCAAACAAATTTACAAGAAAAAAACAAACAACCCCATCAAAAAGTGGGCAAAGGACATGAACAGACACTTCTCAAAAAGTGGGCGAAGGGCCTGAATGTCTTATGCTAGTGCTGTGGGGTTTTCGAAGCTGGGAGCAGAATTTTAGATTTTTCCACATTTCATCCGACTTTTTTTTTTTCATTAAAACCATCCTTCTGTCCTGATGAGGTGTTTTTTGTTTTGTTTTGTTTTGTTTTGAGACAGAGTCTCACTCTGTCGCCCAGGCTGGAGTGCTGTGGTGCAATCTTGGCTCACTGCAACCTCCGCCTCCCGCATTCAAGGAATTCTGCCTCAGCCTCCTGAGTAGCTGGGATTACAGGCATGCGCCACCACGCCTGGCTAATTTTTGTATTTTTAGTACAGACAGGGTTTCACCATATTGGGCGGGCTGGTCTCAAACTCCTGGCCTCGTGATCCACCCGCCTTGGCCTCCCAAAGTGCTGGGATTACAGGTATGAGCCACCACGCCTGGCCCCTGATGAGGTTTTTACAAAGTCTGGGATGCTATCACCAAGGTATCAGCTGTTCTCTTTCAGCTTTATGTCATCAGAAAGCCAGGTGAATGTAACTTGTATGCCTCAAATTGGTGCCTTATCAGTGACCTGGACAGCATGTCCACTCAACTCCCTGGGATTTTTTTTGATGAATATTTTTTGGATAATTCGGTTTGAGAACAACCCTCCTTACTATATTGTTAGTAATCCACACATTCCTGGCATGTGCACATAGGGTATCTTGGGGGATTTGGTCAAACACTTTACTGATGTGCTGCCTACAGCTGGCCTGAGCCAGGATATGAGCTTGGCATCAATGCCAAGAGAGGAAGGAGGTTAGTTTGGCTTGACTCAGTCTTAGTGGCCTTCCCACTAGCTTCCTTTCTGAAGATACCTTGCCTATTGGGTTGAAGAATTGTTCTCTAGAACCTACACATTTTGGGGCAGAAGGGACCTTGGAGGTGATTCAAAGTTAATTCTCATTTTTTTGCAGATGAGGAAACGAATGCCCAGAGGGTTTAACTGGCAACTCCCAAAGTCACTGAGTTCATAGGAGGAAGAGCGAGGACTGGATCCCATGTCTACATCTCCAAGTTCAAAGCTCTTTCCTTAACAGTATCACACCATCACACCTTTCTCTAAGCGCACACACACACACACACACACACACACACCTTCCATCAAGACTCTTGTCTGCCAAGACAAACTGAGGCATTATCTTTTTTGGGGGTTCAATGGGGGCCCCACAATTGGCCACTTTCTCTTCCTGAATGGAAAATGGAGGCCCAGGCCCCTCCATGGAATCTGTTCTCCAATAGAGGAGCTTTGGACTCCCCCAGTCTGGACTGATCTTGGGAATCCTGTCTGCTTCGAGGAGACCATTGTCTTTGTGCCTCGTTTGTGCCTGTGGGTGCCTAACACCGGCTCCCTTGGTGGGCGTGGAAGCTGGACTATGGCCTCTAAGCAGCAGATGGAGGTGGGGACACCCCAGAGAACAGTGGGCTCCTTGCCTAGTGGTCAGTGGGGCGGTGGAGGCTTGCTGAGCACTGTGTGAGGAGCAGAGCCCCTGGACGTGCTGCCCAAGGGCCTGGCATTGCGAGGGTATGAGCCCTGCCATGGTAGAAGGCAGAGGCCTGTGGCTGGTCCAGGGAAGGGCAAACTAGGTCGCTCAATGCAGGAGAACTGTGGCAAAAGAGGTGTGCCTGTAGCGGAGGGGACCCAGCGGGGATATCCCTGGTACCCTCGACAGCCCCCAAAGCAGGGCCCCTTCACCACCCTCCCCGCCCCCCTAGGAGGCCCTGGGTACCTGTTTATTCTTTAGGTCAAGGGAGAGTTCGTAATCGGAGGCGGCAGGGGCGTGGGGGCACAGCGCCGTCGCCAGGGCAGGCTGCTGCCGGCCGGGGGAGGCCTTGTGCTGGGGGCCAGCCCTTGGGGAGGCAGCCCCTGCCCCCGGCCGCTCCTCCTCCTCCTGCAGCTCCTGGGCTTGAGCCTTCGGGGCATGGGCACTGGGTCTGCCGGCTGCCACCGCCGCCGCTGCCACCACGGAGTCCTCCATGCCCCCACCGGCCTGGGTGCAGGAGCCATCACTGTGAACAGAAGGCAACGGTGCTCGGTTGGGGGAGAGGGCGACAGGGTGCGTGTGGATGTGGGGGTCGGGGAGAGAAGCTAGGCACTCTGGCCTGCCTTTCCTGTGGCAAGGACTGGAGGGGGTGTCTTTCACAGTCTCCTCTAGGGAGGGGCTACCATGGCAGGGATGAGCCCTGGGCACGGAGAAGAACCCGCACCTGGGGAGGCAGCTCAGACAGAGGGAAGGGGCAGCTATGGCCAGGGCTCAGGAGCCTCTGCTTAGAAGCAGTATGGCAGAGCGGTGCATCTGGGCTCTGCCTCTTACGAGCTGTGTGACCCTGAGCAGGTCACTCAGCCTCATTGCACCTCTGTTTCTCCATCTATAAAATGGGCACAGTAACAGTACCTACCTCACAGGGATACTGGCGGCTGAAGTTACTTACAACTCTTTAAGCTGTGCCTGAGTCATGGTGACTGCTACATGTGTTACCTATTGTAAGTATCGGTGGCCCGGCTCCTTGGGCACAGGCTCAGGTGGCTGGGGAAGCTGATCTACACTAAGCCAGCTCATCTTTAGACTGACCAAATGAGTCTGGAGGAGGCAGGGTGCCTGGCCTGGCTTGGGCATAAGCCTTTCCAGGGGGGTGGACTCCAGGTGTGGGGGCTGCGGCTGTGAAGAGGAGGCTTCCTGCCCTGCTGGGTTTAGAAAACACCTGCTCCTCCCTGACCCATCCTCTGTTCCCCGGGAGCCACAGCAGGCTGAGCCATGGCTGCAGCCCTCCTGCCTACTCTAAGAAGACACCTTGCTGCCTGGAGCAGACATGGTCCAGCCTGCTTTGTAGAGTTGGTTCCCTCAGATTGCTTCCTTCCCCACTAGCCTCCAAGTTCTGCCCCTCCCTTGAGGCCCAGTGCTAAGCCACCTCCTCCATGAGGCCTTCCTGGACGACTGCAGCTTTCACTGCTGTGTCTCCTGGAACACTAGGAGCTGTCCTTAGAGAGTCACTGTCTATTTCCCAGAGGAGGAGAGTCATCGTGGTTAACACCATGGCCTCAAATTCAAGCTCTACGACTGTGTGGCTTTGGGCAACTGGCTTTTCCTCTGAGTCTTGGTTCCCTTGTCCTAATTCCTACCTTAGGAGGTCCTAGTTCCTACCTTAGGAGGTTACAGTGAGGAAGAAAGGAGGCAGCAGAGGTCAGGTGCTTAGCACAGAGTATGTGCTCAGTAAATAAACTTTCTTTTTCTTTTCTTTTTTTTTTTTTTTTGAGATGGAGTTTCACTCTTGTTGCCCAGGCTGGAGTGCAATGGTGAGATCTTGGCTCACTGCAACCTCCACCTCCTGGATTCAAGTGATTCTCCTGCCTCAGCTTCCCGAGTGGCTGGGATTACAGGCATGCACCACCACGCCCAGCTAATTTTTTTGTATTTTTAGCAGAGACAGGGTTTCACCATGTCAGCCAGGCTGGTCTCGAACTCCTGACCTCAGGTGATCCACCCGCCTCAGCCTCCCAAAGCGCTAGGATTACAGGTGTGAGCCACTGTGCCCGGCCCAGTAAATAAACTCTTATTTCCCCAGCTATCCCTTCCTAGAAGCCAGGGCCTATGTGTTATTTCATTACGTCCCCCAGCCCCTTCATGCTGGGCAAATGCTGAGTGCTTAGTCAACACTTGTTGATGGTGAACTGAGGAGAACCCAGGGGCCACGGGGATGGCTCTACAGTGGACAGTGACAGAAAATCAGGACTGGAAGGGACCTCAAGGTCATCTAATGCAGCCTCCCAACCTCCCCATTTTTATAAATGAGGAACAGGGGCCCAGGGTGGTGGGGTGGCCCTGGTGCAGGACAGCTGCAACCTAAGGACTTATGTCTTCCAAGACTTTGCCACCATGAAAGATGGGCCAAATGACACCAGAGGAGGGACCTCTTCCTGCGGCTTCCACTGGACCTTAGGGTGCAGAGAGGTGTTCCTCCTGGTGCTTCCTCCCAGCCAAGGGTGGGGTTGAGAATCTCCCTTCTCTCAATCTCCATCTGCCCTCCCAGCACTCTCCTGCACCTCTGGCAGATAAAGGAGTGCTTGCTGGCTGGCCCTGGCCGTGAAAAATCTTCATTGCTGCTGCCTTTTTCTATGTCCACCATTTCTTCTGTGGCCACCAATCAAGCTGCATGGCTCAATATAGCTCTAGATGTCTTTTTTAAAATTATTATTTATTTATTTTTGAGCCAGTGTCTCACTCACCCAGGCTGGAGTGCAGTGGCTCAATCACAGCTCACTGCAGCCTCAACCTCCTGGGATCAAGCAATCCTCCCACCTCAGCCTACTGAGTACCTGGGACTCCAGGTGGGTACGCACCACCACACCGGGCTACAGGTGGGTACGCACCACCATACCGGGCAAATTTTTAAATTTTTTTTGTAGAGACAGGGTCCCACTATGTTGCCCAGTCTAGTCTTGAACTCCTGGGCTCGAATGATTGTCCCTTCTCAGCCTCCCAAAGTGCTGGGATTGCAGGCATGAGCCAGCGTGCCCAGCCTCTAGACATCTTTGATATGTTTTTCACTAGTGTCACTGGGAAGTTCTTTTTAAGCTCTAACTTCAACCTCTCTTGCTGTATTACCTGACATCTCTTCCCCTGGAGCACGTGGAAATAGCCCCTTCCCACCACAGCACAGCCTGTGTCCAGGGCCTGCCGGGCAGCATACAGTTTTACTCATCTTTCCTCCAGATTGTCCTTGGCACTGATGCCCAGGATCTCTCTACCCTAAAAGGTTTTCAAGACTCTTTAGGGAACTGGTGGCTACTCAAGGGTCCAGACACCTTTAATACCAGCCCTCTGCTTTCTTTGATTGCTGGAATGTGCTTGGCAAGAGGTGCTGGGTGCCGACGTCCCTTGATGGCAGCACTCGGCCAATGACAACGGGGTTGTTGCATAAATGCCCCAGCTTCCCTGTCCCTTGCACGGGACAACTCTGAGGCACACCCTATACCATCTCCCTAAGTCCCCAGTGGGATCGAGCCCCAGTGGCCCAAAGCAGTCACTTGATAATTAATGAACTCTGCCATGGCTTCATTCTCTTCTGTGTTTCATTTCCCTACTCCTCTACAGCCCTTTCCTGGGGTCACCTTGTCCCAAATAAACTACTTGTGATAAAACAAAACAAATTTTAAAAAATAGCCTTGTTGTGGGCCTTTGTTCATGGGCCACCCCTCACACACAATCTCTCTCTCACATATACTCATGTACACACACACTCACGCACACACAATGCTTCTAACTAGCTCTGTGGCTTTGGGCAATTTGTGTCCTCCTCCTGGGCCAGTCTCCTCATCTGTTCCACGGAGGGAGCTTGCTCTTCTCTAGGGACCCTTCCTGCTTGGACACTCTAGGAGCTTGAATCCCAGGGCAGAGGCCGGCCTATCAAGGCCCACTGGCCCCAAGGTTCCAGGCTCTCTGGCTGGTGGACCCAGCTCCACCTTGCCCATCTCCGTGCTCGGGGACCTGAGAGACTGGGGCCCTCTCAGGTATACAATGAAAAAGTGTTGGAAAGGGAACCCCTATCCTTGCCTGCCTTCCATAGACTTACCTAGAAGACCGTGTGGTGGAAGGTGGCCACAAAACCCCTGGACTGTTCTCAACGTGGCAATGTTGAAGATAACATCGTGGAGGGCAAAGAACATACACGGCTTTGGTGTCAGGGAGACCTGGGTTAGAATCCCGGCTCTGCTACTTACTATGTGACTTGGGCAAGTTATCCTAATAACAACTTTTCAAGGTTGCTGTCAGGAAAAAATAAAGCACACACAGCACCTAGGACAGCGCCCGGAACACAGTAGACCCTAATACAGGGTGACGGCGATGGCGGCTGTTTTCTGAGCTAGAATCGTATGGCATGGAGTCCCAAAGGAGTCCCCAGAAAAATGAAATGAAGAATTCTGTAGCGGGGGGGTGTTCTCAACATTTAGCCCCCTTGTCAACCTTCATGGAACTGAAAAAGTAGGGTTTTCCCACTATTCCCCATGGCCTTCCCCAGCCTTCCAAATGGACAGGCTTTCTGGAGGCTTCCTCCTACCCCGTTCCAGCCACTGGAGCAGCAAACAGCGAAAGGGCCTTGGTCTTGGGTGTCACCAACACATGGGACCCATGATGTGGGGATTCCTGGGTGGGCATTTGTCAGTGTGGATTTGAGCTTTGGTGCTTTGCCAGGGCACAGCAGAGGCCTGAGTCCTTACACCCTCTCTTTGGTGGCTGAGCATCAAGAGCATGTCCTCAGCCTCTGTTTTCCTCTGCACTCCATCTACAAATAAGTCTGAGGAAGAGGCTGGAATCTTCACCTTAGGCTGTCATAGTGGAAGGACCATCTATTTAACTTGAAGGCCATCTACTTCAATCCAGTCTCTTATGGAACTGGAAGCCCATCGCTCTAGCTCCCAGAACATCTCTCCTCTCCTTCCAAGACACAGGCTGTGTCTCTCCAGCTTCCACAGTCTGCAGCTGTCATCCCTAGTGGGTCAGATTTCAGGCAGCCTGGCCCTTCGACAGGAAGTATGTGGATGGGATTCTCTCTGGGACCTGAGCAGCTTCTTAAAGGCCCTTCCCAGAGCACTGGAGGGGGGTCCTGGGGCTCTCCACTCTCTTAGGCTGCAGAAACATTCCGAGTGGCAGTGCGCTAGCCGGGAGAAAACGTGAGGTCACTGCTGGTATATGAGCGATGCTGGTCACAGGATTACTCCCTGGGCTGGGGCACCCATTTGAGAAGCCAAAAGTAGAACGTGGGTGGCACCAAGATGAAGGGGTCCTTCAGAAAGCTTTCCACAGAAAGCTTTGATGTGTTCACATGACATTAGGCTGATACACACAGGGCCCAGTGCATCAACAGTCATTCCATGGATGAGAGCAGGATTTGAGTATGGGAAGTGAACATCTTTGAGAAAGTAGGGAAACAGGGCCATCGCTCATTCTCAGAGGAATATCACATGTGCCAAAGAGCAGAATGACCTGTGTGTTGGAACAGAACAACATCACATCCGAGGGTCACTCAGGTGGGAAGCTGGCTTATGCTTAGAGGTATGCTAGGCACCTGCTGAGCATGCCTGGTCCTGGCACACAGATGGTGCCCTGGGGTTCCAGTGGCCACCACAGCCTGTCTATCCTCAGAGCTGATTTCCGCAAGGCCAACCCTCTGCCCAAACCCGTCAGTGACTCCACAATACTGGTGGGATAAAGTCCATTCCCAATCTTACTCCAATCTCCCTTTCTACCCTCATCCCCACCGAGTGACCTGTCCACTCCGTCCACACTGATACTTTTGCCAGATCTGCCGAACCCTCTCAGGCCACCATCCCGCTTTATGATTTCCTTCTGCTGGAGATGCCTTCCATCCACTCCTTTCTCTGCATCGTCACCTCTTTCAGGAATCGCTCACTTCCCCAGGAGGAGTCAGTCCCACCCTCCTCTATGCTCTAACAATTCTTGGTACTTGCCTGTATTTCAGCAATGACCACTTTGTGCTTTAATTATTCACTGATGTGTCTCTCTCCTCCACCAGACGGTGCCATGTGCACCTTTTTATCACAGGTACTTATTATAGGTGGTTGGCTCATAAGATGTGTGCAATAAATGTTAAATGGGTGGATGGATGGATGGATAGGTAGATATTATTTATTCTCCACTACTTTTCCAAGGGCAGAAATGCTGGGCTGGGCTTGGTGATGTGCCACCCAGACCCTCCTTCAAGGGAGGACTTCTCGCTCAGCTGCTGGGAGCACTGTGGAGAGTGCCTTTAGCTGTCAGCCCCATCAGCCCCACCAAAGATTGGCTCAGCTACAGAGAGCTACCTGGCCCAAAGTCACATCCTTCCAAGGGCTGTCCACACGCAGGCACCAATTTCAGTGGGGATGTAAAGGCTCACCATTCTTACCCAACATGGGCTGAGGTTGATGTGCCACGTGGGATTGGCCAAGGCTGCTGCTGGGCTTTTGCGGTAGACTCTGCCCCATGCTGTGTGCCTCCCCTCCCTTCCATGGGTGTTGATCCCAAGTGCATCACCTGGTAAAAAGTCAACATTCTGAACTCGAGTCTGCTTCCTCAAGAACTGAATCCCCCTGGGAGCCTCAGCCTTTCTTTCTCCTTTCTTTCTCTTGGTAGCCAGGATTACCCTGGTCTCTCTGCCCCCAGATCTGTGGAACTTTTCTGGGTTCCAGATACCTTTGCTAAGGGCTCAGGGCTCTCTTCCTAGAAAAACGCACATGATTTCACACATGCCAAATTTTACCTTCATGTCAGGGGCTTTACAGACTCCATAGGCCCCAGGCTAAGCACACTATTATGGAGAGAAAATCATGGAGTATTTTCCATATGCTGAGAAGAGTGCCAAGGGATATAGGCAGCTCTCTGGTCACACAGATAAAATATTTCAGGGCTTTTCAGAGCCTGGTCATCTTCATCCTTGGCACTGACGGAATCCTCACGCAAACGGAAGAGAGCCTGAGTGGAGTGAGGCCCCAGGCTCTGCAACTACCTGCTAGGAGGTCTTGAGAACCACACCCAACTTTTCTGGACCACGGTTTTCTCATCAGCAAAATGGGGATGCAAATACCTCCTTTCCAGGATAGTGATGAAGATGAAATGAACCCATAGGTTAGCATATCCACCACGGTGGGAAGTACAACTTTCCACCCAGGAATAGGTGAGAAGGGAGAACACCTGCAGTGGCCCCCAGCATTTGTGCTCACACAGCTCCTGCCAGGGAGCTGACTCGGGGTAGTGAGCCTCTCTGGGCTCCCAGGCAGGCCCTGGCAGCCACATTGCCCACTGCCAGGAGCTAAGGGGACAGGAGCAACTGAAGGGCTATGTGAGAGCCAGGAGAGGAGGGGGAGGAGGAAGGTGCTGACCGAGGCCCGGCACTCTCCTACCAGAGGGGCTGGAATGAGGAGCTACCTGCAGGCTCAGCCCCTGAGGGAGTCTGCTGTTGATAGTGGGGTGGCTTGCCAGAGCAGGAGCTTGAGGGCTGTTCTCCTATCTCGGCAATGGCTAGCACAGTAATTACTAGAGACTCTACCAGGAGCATTTTGAAGGCTGATGGACTCCTTGGGTATGAAGACTCCTCCAGAGGGCCTGGCCAATTGCACTAGATTATCCCAGACTCTGCCAGCCATTCTTAAAGCTCTTCTGGGACAAAGCTATGAAGCATTTTCTAGACAAAAGCTAACAACATGCGTCACGTCCCCTCAAGATTTTTAGCCCTTTCTAAAACACTTCTTTTCCCTCCTTTCTTTGAATCAATATGGTGATCTCAGACGGGCAGAATAAAGGCACCGAGCACAGAAAGCCAGGTGTCTTTTGAGGTCCCAGATGGCATGAGGGGGGTGGAGGTGAACAGAAGGCCAGTGTTAGTGACAAGACAAGAAATCAACTCACTTCATGCTGATTCGAAGCCCGAGCTGGAAGGTCCTGCCCAAGGTGGTGGAGAGGGCACTGGGCCAGGAGTCAGGAGGCAATCCCACCGCAGCCTGCAGAGTGTGCGGCATAACTGTGGGCAAATCACTTCCCCTCTCTGGGCTCTGTATCCTCATTGTAAGAGGGCAGCTTGGACAAGACACTTTGGCATCAGGCAGGAAGGAGAGGCCCAGCTCCCTCCCTCCCCACTTGCCATTTGCTTGGGCCCTGGCCACACCCGCTGTGTCGCTGCTCCATCCCTGCTCCTGCTAACCTGAAGCCATCAGATGAACTTCAGCTCCCAGTGACACAGCATAAGCCTCCCCTGCCATGGCCCCTTGATTGCCACCATCCAGGCCAGAAGCCCCTGCAGGAGGGCAGATGTGGCTGTCCCGGCTCTCTTCCACTTCCAGAGGCTGCCCTGACCTCGCTGGCTGTAAGAGATGCTTCTCCTGTCTGGCTCCCAAGGAGAGAAGAAGTTCTTCCTCTCCTTGTTGCCTCCAGGCTTTGGTCTCACAGCTGCTCCTAAAGGTGTGGGTGGGGGCTGGCTTGTCTCTAGAGTGTTCCTGTCAAAGGGTCGCAGCCACTTCTCTGGGCTCAGCCCTCCCCTCACCTAGGCCAGAATACCCCGGCCACTCCCTCAAGGTGGGCCACAGGGTGGCTCCTGCAGACTGTCCCCATGGGCGAATGTGGAGCCCTCCCCTGCTCAGCCCATCCCACAGGAAGGCCTCCTCTGGAAGCTTCCTCAGGCCTCCTCAGGCACCGCCTCCCTCATAGCCTCCCAGGCTGGGCCATACTGGCGAGTGCCATCTTACTGCCCCCGGAATCCTACTGTCTTTGAGCATTTTACATTGTCATAAACAGGCATGGCTCTGGTGGCAATTTCAAGCTCGAAGAACATCCTCCCTGCCCGCTTCCCAACACATGACACACAGTTTCACACAGGCACGTCTCTCTCTGGCCCAGGCAGACACAGCTCACTGTACACCTTGGTTTTCTCACCTTTCACGTCTGCTCTTGTGATTACCCCAGGAGAAGAGAGCTCCCATCTCTCAACATTCTCACCCAGCCTCAGGATAAGGCTGCAGAACCACGGCCTCTTCATCCTGCCCTGGCCACAACCCAAAGTCATCTCCCTGTGGCTTCAGTACAGCCTAGTGAACTCCAGATATTACTTATTTTTTCTTTTATTATGAGGTATTTTATATATGCAAATATAGGTAACACAGAGATGAAACATACAGAAAAATATCCACATGTACTCAGCTCAAGAAAGAGCACGTTTGAAGCCTCTGATGCCCTGTGTATTCCTCTCCCCTCCTCAGAAGAATCCCTGTCCTGAATTTGTGTCGGTCCTTCCCTAGCTCTTCCCTATGGGCAAACGCCCCCCTTGTCTTTACATAATCAACACTGCTGCCTCACATGAGTGCCAGAATTGCACAGCCATCCTCGTGGGAGCCTCAGGAGCCTCGTGGGAGCCTCGTGGGAGCCTCAGGAGCAGTCAGGGTCTTGCAGATCCCAAAGGGTCAGGGAAGTGCCTCCAAGGGGATTGGCCCCACAGCTCCATGCTGGCAAGACTGGAAAGATGGCAGGAGTCTGACTGCAGCTGGGCTGGGCCTCACAGTCTTGGACCCCAATATTACAGCAAGGAAGACTTTTAGAAAACAAAATGGAGTTACTCCTTAAGCCCTCTACACCCCAGCCCTTTGTGGCCTGAGTAAGCAATAGGTTCCAAAGGGACCACGGGTGACCATCAGGAACCACAAAAGAATAGCTCACGGAAATGCCGGGGATGCTGGGAGAGGGTACTCCACAGGAGAGGCAGCTGGGGACCAGGTCTCCGGGGCGAGTGCCTTTGGGGTCCCTGAGAGGAGGGAGCACATGAGGCTGCAGCCAGGGTCAGCCTACTTGTAATTAGGGGTAGAGTCGCAGCCTCTAACTGTAGTGCAGACTTGGAGCCCGACCACTAGGGTTTGAACGCTCGCTGTACCAGCTACCTGCGTTGTGGCCTTGGGCAAGTCGCTTAAACTCCTGTGCCTCAAGGTCCTGTGAAAGGAGGTGTCCCAAGAACGAAGGGCTAATACACGTACAATGGTTGGCAAGCCCTAGTAAGTAGCAACTATCTTCTCTTTTGGGACGTCCCATGTTTTATTTTGTCAAATAAGAAAATAAAAAGCAAAAGTATCATTCACTTTTCCTGTAATATTATTAAAAAAATGAAAAGTAGGAAGAATATAATTTCAGAACAAAGGACAACCCTTTAGCTTGCTGTATCAGTTTCTTATCGCTCTTGGTGTCTTGTGCTAGAGTTCTCTAAATCGAGATGTGCTGGCCTCTTCTGTGTGGTGTAATCGGTGACTCTGAGTTACAGATGATGCCAGAGGAGCTTACCAGAGGGTAACAAGGGCTGGAAGGCAGCAGAGTGGTATAACTATGAGATTTAGAACCAGAGAGACTGACTGTGGTTAAAATCCCGCCACTCACTAGCTGTGTGGCACTGGGCTAGTTCCTTAACCTCTCTGAGCCCATTTGCTTGTGTGTAAAGTAGGGATACCTGCTACATGATTTTGCTGTGAGAGTGAGTGAAATAATCTACACGAAGCCTATGGCATCTACTTGATGCTTGGTAACTGTGGCTATTCTCCCCTAATCTGGGCCCTTTATGCATCCCCAGCTTCCGGTTCATGAGCTAATTGCTCCCTGGAGAGCAGGGACCTTGTCTCATTCTTTCTAGCTCCCTCGCGGAGCCCTGTTATGGTGACCCACACAAATCATGTGTGCATAAAGCCCATACCAGAGGCAGGCATGAGGCCATGCCTGGGTGTTTCATATTCTCTTGGCTCTAAAGCCCCTTCATTCCATCTTCCTTCTGTTCCAACCCAGGTCAGCCCTACTTCACCCCAGCAGAGCACATGTTTCTTGGGTCCTGAGCTATTTCCAGGGAAGAACAGCTCCTCACAGGCCCAAGTTTACCACATGCCAGAGGAAATCTGATGACCTACAGGTGCCTGTGGAGGTCAGGTGCATTCTTGCTGAAAACAGGAGTCTTGTGACCCAAGAAATGGAAATGGCAGAATTACCAGTAGGGTAGGACATTGCTCTGGACATTTAGCTAGTTACCAGGGAGCAAGATTCCCCACTTGTTTCCCTGCAGTTAACGTCCTTATCTTCAGTGGTCCTACTGGAAGTCCTACCTGATATCTAGCTCCAGGCTTTCATGCTGCACATATCAGATTGGCCACACTGTTTCCCGCATGCCTTGTGGCTTCCATGTGTTATCTCTGCAAGTGTTAAGAGGAAGGGACGTGCTAGGCTCCTGCTGTATGTGTGACAATGGAATATCTGCTCACTGTCTCTGCAGGACACACTTTGGAAGAAGCCTTAGAGATCCTGGCATGGGGAATACCCCATGGGGCAGGCCAGGGGACAGTGCCAGGCCATAAGCCTTTCCCTGTTGGGATAAACAATCTTCTCTCAGGAGAACAGGCAGTCAAACTGTTGGCTGATAAAATAAATGCTTCCGATCTTAATCCCATCCCAGTCTTCACTGTGGCAGCCTGTTGCTGAGTTAAATCATTTCCTCTCCTGCCCTGATGTCTAGAAAATCTCCTCTCTGAGCCTGTTGGCCCTACTTGATTGACATTCATCCGGGTCTTTAGCTTCTTTGATCTCTTCCCCAAATTTGTCCTTCAGTTCTCAGAGTCTCTCTCTTTCTCTCTTTTTGAATATTCGGCTCTATCCTGCCACCACTCCATGTCAGGAGCTGGGCCTGAACAGAAACATCTGAAAGACTGCCTCTTCTCCACGCCCAACACCTGCTATCCCATGGGACGGACTAGACCTTGCCAGAGCCCCTGGTATGGCAAGCATGTTGTTCAGGTCCCTGAGGTGTGTCTGAACAACATGCTTGGAACCTGAAGAACATGCTTGCCATAGCAGAGGCTCATCACATGAAGCATGTGGCCTGTACTTTCTAAACATTCCCTAGTCATATCTGAATTTCTAGACCTTAAATCTTGTTTGAGTTCTCCCTCTCTGCCCTCGAAAATCCAGCTTTAACATAGCTAGCACGTATGCAGTCCTTACTAGATGCTGGACACCTTTCCAGGCATTATCACATTTAATCCTGCCAAACACCCTAAGAAGTTAAGTGCTATGCTCCTTTTACAGATGAGTTAACTCAAGGTTGGAAAGCTTATGGAATTTAACCAAGGTCATAGAGTTTGTGAGTGGCCAAGCCAGGACCTGAACCTAGATTTGAATTATCTGGTTTATGCTTTCAAGTGCCACACATTACAGTGATTCCCTGAAGTTCTGAATTTATCTTCTAGTCCAGGGAACTCCTTTGCCACTTCCTCGCCTCTCTCTTTCTCTTTCCAAGCTAGAAAGGAATCCACAAAACCATGTGGTGCTCATTCCTCTGCACCTGGGGAGGGAAGGGACCTTCGCTATTTTTAAGTTCTTCAGTGATCAGTAAACATGAGTATCCTGTTCATCAGGACAGTTTCTCATTACAAATTCGTAAATTCATACTAATATGATATGTCAGTCTCTTATGAGTTTGTTTCTGATGAGTCAGTTCCCTCGATTCCTGAGGAATCTGAGGACTCATGGCAGCCTAATTGATTCTCCAAGACTTCAAAGCTTCAGTATAAACATGGAACATGGTGACCACACCAAGATCCCACCAGGCCGTGTGGCAGTGGCACCTGGGGAGTGAGCAAGGTGACACATTCAAACAGGAACAAGGAAGAAGCAGGTTTAAAGCCTCTGCTCCACTGTTGCCCTCTCTTTGCATAGGCTCTGGTCTTAACCTCTGCCTGCTTCTACCTTTGTGACCTTCAACAAGTTGCTTATCTTCTCCGAGTATTTCCTCAGCTGTAAAATGGACACAGTGATTCTTGCCCTTCTGACTGTTTACAAGGTCAGAGGCTGAGGATCCTTGTGGTGAGAATCAAGTAAGCAGAAGGACAGAAGGAGTTCTGTAACTCGGAAAATGCAGTATCGATGCTGGTTGTTAAAACCCTCATCATTCCTATCATTTCTGTCCTTGGAGTGCAAGAAACTGCATCCAAGCCCAGGATAAACGCTAAGAGCTGCCAGCATGGAGGGAAGGAAGTGGGGGCCAGGCTGTTCCCCGTGGCATTCCGGGGGCACTTCCCAGTGTCCAGGCCGCACTGCCCAAGACGAATGGAGAAGAGGGACAATGAGAGGCGATCCTCTGCAGGACTATGAGTGGGGTGAAATTCTTCTCCTTTTTGAAACTGCCTTGTTTCAAAATAATAATAATAAATATTAATAATAAAATATTATGATAATATTTTTACAATAATAAGTGAAATGTAGGAAAAAAAACAGTGCACAGGCCTACAGAGGGCTTCCCTTGCCATGCTCTTTTGCTCCAATACTGCATTTCACCAGAGGGTCAACATTCGCACCCCACCACCTGCCATTTGTTTTGCTTTGCAATTGCCCTGGGTCTCTCCATGAGCAGGTCCCATCCCTGGCCATGCAGAATGCCTTCTTACAGAATCCCTGGTAGAGGGCCTTGGGGATTAGACAGTGCAACCCCTCATGCTATGGTTGAGGAAGCTGGGGCCCAGAGAAGAGGGGGATGCCTTGTGCCTTGTCTAGGTCAGTGTGGTGGAAGCACCAGCTTCTTCTGGAAGCCCAGGTGCTGCCTGGGTCTGCCCTTCCCCTCGGCTCCCTTCCAAATCCCAAGCTTCTAGGTCACACGACACTTTCTCTTACTCCCCTGGCTCTTTGAAGGAAATAATGTATACAGTGGGCCATTTCCAGGATGAAGTGCCTGAATTGGCTTAGGTCAGCAAACTACAGAAGAAACAGGATACACTAGGCCCCTGCTTGGATAGCTGATGCCTGCTTCTCGGCCTCCCCCACTTCCCCACCATCCCCCTTCCCCCCACTTCCCCACTCCTTAGTTGCCCTCCCCGAACCAAAGAAGTTTAGTCTAAGATGAAAGTTTACTAGCCTACAAAATAGTTCATTTTGTTTGTTCTTATCAGCCTGCCCAGCTACTTCGGTCATAAATCAAATACTTTATGAGCCCCTGAGCTAGCTAGGATTGCAATGCATTGTGGGCTGCAACAAAATGGAGCAAAACAACCCTAAAAAACCACCTACAGCCCCTGCCCAGCAATGAACAGGCATCATCCGGGAAGATTGTAACCCATAATACTCAGCCTATGAGGAACCAGGGGAGAGACCTGTGCACTAGGGGATAAACTGCTTGTTGAAACTGTGCTGGGTGTGCCTGCTCAAGAGACACCCGATTTTGCAAGACCGTCATCACAAGTCTCACTTTCGCTGTTCTCTGGGTCTCTGAGTCCATTCTTTGGGTTTGGACGGGTGAGTCTGTTTCTCACAACCTGGTGGCCCATATGGGGATTTCCATGCCTGCATGGAGTGAGACTCCAGCTGACAGGGGAGATGTGTCCCACTCGATTTGTGTGGCCCACTCTGTCCAGGTGTCTCAGCTCCCCGAAGAAGCCATAGACAAACCTGAAACTGTTATTCAGGAGACAACTAAAGTGACACAGGGAGAAAAGCAGGCAACCAGGCAACCTCACGCATGAGCCAAGGTAGGAAAATTGATCTGTAAGTACTGCTTGGTAGTTGTGCATTTTCGGAGGTCTTGGGGTGTGTAAGAAACCTCCAGTAAGGGAGGCTGAGTACACAGGGAAAAGCTCAGACACAGAGACTAACCAAAAATGGGAAACAAGAATTCTAGGCCTAGAGAACAGAGGAAAGAGGGAACTAAAGAGAACCCTTCTGACATTCCCCCAAATAGTCCGCTGGGGAGAATGCTGCAGGTTTGAAGGGATAGTCCTCAAACCAGGGACAAGGAAAAGCAAAAGATGATAAAGTTTGTTGTTTTATCTGGCCCAAAAAGCCCATTCGTCAACCTTTGGTCTTTTGGCCTGAGTTTGGCTCAGATGAGGATTGGGTGTGCCAAGCTTTAATTTTCTGTGAATAATAAAACTCCATCCTCACGAGAGGAGACAGGTTATGCTCTTTGTTGGATTAGTGAATTAACCCCCATGTTCCCCTTTAAAAAGAAGAAAAAGAGCATAGTAAAAAGCCCTCACCCAATGAAAAGCCCTGGGATCCCCTAACACGCTTGCCCCCCCATACATCTCAGGAAGAACAGAACAGGGCGATCGGGGGGCAGCAAGAAGGTCGGAGGAAGAGGAATCGGGGGGTCACGAAGAAGCTAAACCCAATGCTTCCTTAAATCCTTATCCAAACTAGAGGAAAGAATTAGAACAATGTAAGAAGGACATTGAGAATTTCCCCGTTCCTTCTAAACAGCAGATGTCTAACAGGTACCCTCTTAGAGAAGTCTCTACGGGACAGAGAGGAGTTGGGTTTGTTGGGTTTGTGAGTGTGCCTCTAGCAAGTACTGAGGTTCAGAATTCTAAAAAGAAAATGAGGCCACTCTGGGAAGACCCCCTCGGTTTAGCAGAGCAGCTAGATCAATTTTTATGACCCCATTTTTATACTTGGGCTAAGATAATGTCAATCATAAATATTCTGTTTCCTGGGGAAGAGAGGGGAATGATTATAAGGGCAGCCATGACCATTTGGGAGAGACCCCATTCTCCCGGGTAAGGAGTCCTGCCAGCTGAGCAGAAATTCCCAAATGCAAATCCCAGAGGGGATAACAATAACCTCAGAGATCAGGCCCCAGTGCAGGACCCAAGGGAACTAATAATTAAAGGGATTAAAAAGTCCACTCTTAGAACACAAAATGTCTTGAAAGCATTCGAGATCCAACAATAAAAAGAGAAGACTCCCTCCGCATTTCTGCAGAGGCTCAGGGATCAAATAAGAAAATATTCAGGATTAGGTCCAGAGCACCCAGTAGGGCAAGGCCTTTTAGGACTTAGTTCTGTGACAAAAGCTGGCCTGATATTACTAAGAAACTGCAAAAGATTGATAGGTGGAATGAAAAACCGATTAAGGAATTACTGAGGGAAGCTCAGAAGGTTTTTGTAAGAAGAAAGAAAAGAGAAACTGGAAAAGGGAGAAAGAGAAAAAGTAAAAAAGAAAATTGGAAAGACAAAGGGGAGGAAATGGCAAACATAGAGGGCCAGAGAGAGAAAGAGTTAAGCTGCTGACCCTGAAGGCAAGGGAGAGGCGGCCACACAACTGTGTGTGGAAGCTGGCTGCTGAAAGCTGTTGATAAAAGTTGTTGCTGAATCTTTGTTGTTTCGACAGAGCTGTCCATCTTTGCAGATTGTCAGGGGCCAGGGCCCAGCACAGTTTAGCTTGTGCCCAGAGAGAGAAAGAGAAAGAAACTAAGTGTGAGGGAAAAAGGAAACAGGATGATAGAGATAGATAGAAAAAGAAAACGAGCGAGAGCAAGAGACTGGAAAAGACAGATCAAAGAGAGACACCAAAGTTAAGACTGGGGAGAAAAATAATGCAAAAGGAAGAAAGAGTACAAGAGGAAGTGAGAGGATGTGGAGAGGTTGGCAGGGCTGGGGGAAGGTTCTAGAGGCTCAAGCAACAAGGAGGTGCTGGGAAAGGGTGCAGTGCGGCCACTGAGGAGGGACAGGGTCCGGGAACTGGGGGATGCAAGTGAGAAGGGGATGTGGAGGAGAGTTTAGGATCAGGCTGCCTGAGGAATAGTGGGTTGCGTACGGCAAAGACTAGATGGCTGTTTGTCAGGAGGGTGTAGAAAGGGTTCAGGATGTGGAAGGGTGAGTGGATGAGATGAGCATTAAGGTTTGCTGCTGTTTCACTGAGAGGCTGTGAGTCCACCAGGGGCAGCCGTCAGTAAGGCTGCAGAGAGGCCGGGGGGCTACATAAGGAAGATCCGAACTAGGGTTATAAACTCAAAGGACAACACGGCCAGCAAATGGTGAGAAGGAGGGCTGCAGGGCTGGATGGGGACTGTGGCTAACTGAAGAGGGCACACCTCTGCAGCTGCTCGACTGTTCTCACAGTGCCAGCCCTGTGTTGCCAGACTGTCTGCTTTGTCAGAGGCCAGAATTCTGACTTTTTATGTGAAACAGGATTTTTAAATGCTGGTGATCAGTTAAAAAAACTTAATAACCCAATACAGGTGATAGAAAATGCCAGTTTGCAATCCCTGAAGTAGAGAGAGCGCGTGCTGGGGAGAAGTCCGCCAGGATGCTTTGAGGTGGGGTGTATAAAAGTTCTGTTTCCCAGAGCTGGGCTGGGCCAAGGGGCGACCCTTGCAGCTGACGAAAAGCCACCAAGTCCCCTCCCAGAGCGGGACAAACCTGGGACCCTTTGCAGTTGCTGGGTCACCAGCAGGGGTGGCGTGGAATACAAACAGTGCAGCTCTCGGCCTGCCAGGGAGACGGATGGTGCCTTCAAAGCAAAGAAGGAGCCAGGGATGCCTTTGCTGATGAGAGTGCCCATCAGGGAAGGCACCACAGGCTGGCAGCTCTTCAAACCAGCAGCTGTTGGCCCAGAGCCAGACCCGGCAGAGCCCGGCTAAAGACACCCTGAAAGGCCAGCTGGTCAGCCCCTTGCCTCCTCAAGTTCCTCCTGGGGTCAGTGGGCCCTGGAAAGGCGCCTAAATGAACTCCAGTCAGTTTCTTACGGAAATGAGAGGAGAATAAGCAGGTATCAGACCATAACTGTTTACATATGATAGAATATCAAACCAAAGTTAGACCAGACCTTAAAGAAATTCCACTACTCGATGGAATGAGGCTGTTTGTGAATAGGCCATCCTGAGTGATAGATGGTAAAAGACACAATGTCCAGGCTGTCATTGATGGAAACAAACAAACCTTATGAGAAAAAGGTAGATTACCCAATAACTGCTCAGCCCAAACCTGTGAATTACATGCTCTTAACCAAGCCCTGAAGCTCATATAAGGCCAAGAAGGCACTGTATATGCTATTTCCAGATATGCCTATGGAGTAGTACACACCTTTGGAAAGATCTGGACAAAGTGGAGCCTAATAAATAGCAGGTAGAAAGAATTGGTATATGGGAAACTGGTCAAACAAGTTTTAAAAAGCCTCCTGCTTCCAGCAGAGGTAGCCATAGTTCATGTAAACGGCCATCAGAAAGGAAACTCTATAGAAGCTAGGGTTAGGGTTAGGGTTAGGGTTAGGGTTAGGGAACAGGCTTGTGGATAAAGCTGCTAAGCAGCCTCCCTGGAGGTAGAAGTTAAACTATTTGGCCTAATCCCAGATATCCCTAAGGTGGTATTAAAACCCCAACTTTCTGAAGAGGAGGAGGAAGAGCTGGGCAAGATAGGGCCACTCAAACTGAGGATGGGAGGTGGGTGCTCCCTGATGGGACCGAAATGATAAGCAAACTCACAAGGAGAGAACTGATATCCATACTCTGTAAGGGAGGTCACTGGGGTCCCCAGGCCATGTGTGATGCAATACTCAAGAATTACGGGTGTATAGGGATCTACACCCTTGTTAAACAAGTGTGTGGGTGTTATGTGACCTGCCAGAGAATAAACAAAAAGGTAGTTAGAAAACAGACTACCGGCCGGGCGCGGTGGCTCACGCCTGTAATCCCAGCACTTTGGGAGGCCGAGGTGGGCGGATCACGAGGTCAGGAGATCGAGACCATCCTGGCTAACACAGTGAAACCCCGTCTCTACTAAAAATACAAAAAAATTAGCCGGGCACGGTGGCGGGCACCTGTAGTCCCAGCTACTCGGGAGGCTGAGGCAGGAGAATGGCGTGAACCCGGGAGGCGGAGCTTGCAGTGAGCCGAGATTGTGCCACTGCACCCCAGCCTGAGCCACAGAGCAAGACTCCGTCTCAAAAAAAAAAAAAAAAAAAAAAAAAGAAAACAGACTACCGGAGGGAAACCTCCTGGGTTAAGGCCATTTCAAAGCATTCAAGTAGATTTTACAGAAATGTCCAAAATAGGGAGACTAACGTATCTGCTGGTAATGGTAGACCACCTCTCCAGGGTGGAGGCCTTCCCCTCCCAGCTGCCACTGCCGGGGATGTGGTCAAAATAATCTTAGAACAAATTATACCCAGATTTGGCCTGGTAGAAAATACTGATTCAGACAATGGGAGCCACTTTAACTTGAGGGTGCTAAAGGAATTATGGAAAGTGTCCCTGCTGGAGACAGCAACACACTCCAGTCTTTCTTCATAGGCAGCTGTCCTTCCTGTTTTGTTTTTTTAATCATAATAAAAGAAATCTCTAAAAACCTCGTTTCTTAAGCCATTCCATGGTCTCTTGAGGGCAGTAAAATGTCTTAAGAATGCCATATCTGATCAAATCACTCTTGCTATAGATTATTTCTTCGTTTTTGGTTTGATGAAACAAATTAAAAACCCTTTTTGTCATACAAACAGATACAAAATCATTTTTATGGTCATGTTATTGGTCAGAAGATAAGTGAATGGGTAAAGAACTTTCAGAAGAGAAAATAAAACAAAGCACAAGAAATAGTGGGATTAGAAAAATCTCTACGCCTACAAAGGTTACTCTTCCTGGAAGTGAGAAAAGAAGATACAAAAGATTCCAACAAGAAGCTTCCAGTAAATGAAACAAGAACATATTTCCCAGAAAACTGGATAAAACTGCATTACCGAATACCCTGGACTAGAGAAAGCTTAGATGTTCCTCGTGGCATCTCTCACTTGTTCTGGAAGTATTATCTTTAGTTAGGGGTATTTCCTTAACTAATAAAGCCTAGCATTGCTGTTGTTGCTGTTTCTGTCCCTAAAAATATTCTCTGCGTCACTCCTCTGGAGTCCACACATGGCCTCAAGGGGCAGGGCGGAGGGGCAGGGAAGAGAGGCCAGGCCTTTTGAGGCCCTGAACAATAACCTATGTGCTCTCAGCCACCCGCTGGCTGTGGCTGGGGACATGGGAAGCAGCTGTTCACCTTCCTGCCTCACTTTCGCTTCCCATACTTGACAACACCTGCCTTCTGCTATCCTCCTGCCCTGGTGGTTACAGGCTGCAACTGACAAGCACCTGGTTCAAAACCTAGCTCTGCTCTTCATCAGCCACATGGACCATGCTCAAGGCATTCGTTGTCTCTGATCCTCAGTTTCCTTGTCTGTAAAATGGGAATAATATTTCACCAGCTTCTATTAGGGGTTAAACAAGATAATTCTTGCATAGCACATAGCAAGCACTCAGGACATGGTGGCTAGTATTTGCTTCCTCTCTCTCATGGGTGGGAGACACAAAACCGACACAGAGTTAGCAGGACTTCTCCTCCAATCATCTCTAAACATGCTGCTGACAAAAAGTTGCGTGCCTTAACGAGCAGCAATTTGAGGGCAGCCCAAGCACCAACAGGTTTCCCAAGCACCCTCTGGCGACAGCCTAGGTCACATGAAGGGGCCAGTCTCAGAGGATGCTCAAGGCCTGGCAGGGAAAATTACACAAGGAAATTGGCCTGGGCAAATAGCTGACTCCAAACAGGAGTTTCACATCCCTGCTGAGGAGAGCCCTCTGGACAGAAAGTCAAAACTCAATGACAAGACAAAACCTTCCTAATACTCTCTGGGATATTTTAATACGCCCTCCCAAAGTGTCAAAGTACTTTGACCTCTATTTTGGTTTTTATGCCTCCTGAATCTGGCGATTCAGGACAAATGAGACAAAAATGCACAGGGTGGTAAAGTGACAGGTCACACAGTTCCCTAGGGCAGATTCCTGTAGCTCCACGTCGGAATTCGGCCATCTTCCTGGGCATGGAGCCCAGGTCGGCTGGATTCTGCTCTAACTACACAGCTCCTCAGATCACCCAGGAGCACACCTGCTCTCAAAGCCCAATCCACAGGAGCAAGCCCCCTGTCCCCAGGATGCTCCCCTCTGTGCAGGTGCCACTCTGTCCCACCCCAGAGCCCAGGCTTCAAACCCCAGGATTCCCGCCCCCACCCTGCCCCTGCCAGCGGGCAAGATGCTCCCGCCACTGCAGGGGGCTTGTGGGGATTTTCACCCCATCCCAACCTCTCCAAAGACCTCTCCCAACCAACCAGTGAACCATGAAGGAGACAAAGAACACTTCCTTTAACCTCCCCTGCCGCCATCGCTTTCCTGGGGCGGGAGGCAGAGACCCAGAGCTTGGGGCCAGGCAGGCAGGGTGGGCCTGCCCCATGGGGCCTGTGGGGGAAGCCGAGGGCTTTTCTGCCCTTTTCTAGGGAAAGAGGACGCGGCTGTACCGCCCGACCGACCCACGCTGCCGCCCTAAGCCACCAGTGCGTGGTGCCGGTTTCTCAGCAGCCTGGATGCGACTCCCGGAGCAGGCACGTGAGGCCGCGGCGCCCCAGCCCAGCTGTTTGAAGACGTAACTGTATCGACTGAGAATTTAATTGCTCCGTAATCGCTGGGTAAACACTGGCTGGTCCATTGCTCATGTTTCAGGCCCCATCACAGCCGATGGAAAGAGGCAGGAGAGGCAGAAATGCCCCAGCTATGCCAATGCAGGGCTATCCCCGCAGCCGTTCTCGGAAGCGCGCCCCGTCCTCCAGGGTACCCCGCGTGGCGGCCTCGGCAGAGCCCCTGCCTTGCTGCTGCCTAGCGGCAACGACGCCAGCCACGTGGGCCACCAGGGCGGGCGGCCCGGGAGGAAGTGGTTAGGGTAGGAGGCCTCTAAGGGGGCGCAGTACGCCTCGCCAAGTGGGAAATGCAGACTACAAAATCTTTTTTTTTTAAAATGGGCGTGGGAAGGACGTAAAACCCAACGCAGAGAAAAATAAAACACTGGGAGGCTGCACACTAAAATATTAACATCAGTTAATTCTACATGATGAAGTCCCATTTATATTTTCTTCTTTATATTTTGTATTTTCCACATTTCCAACAACTAGCGTGTATGACTTATAATCAGAGGAAATAGATGTTATTTAAGATCCAGTGAAATGGATGGGAGGATTTCTCTTGAGCGCTTAAAAAAAATTCTAGCAGCAGCTCTTTGAAAAGACGTTGTGTGTAGGAGTTGGACCTGGGTTCACTGTCCAGCTCCAGAAATAATTAGCAGTGGTCCCTCGGCCAAGATACCTAACTTCTCTCCATCCTGGATTCCTTATCTGTAAATGGGAATAACATCTATCTCACAGAATTACGTGAGATAAAATATCAAGAGTGCCCAGCACGTTGTCCCTGGCACGTTCAATAAATAATGTGTTCACTATGTCTTCCATCTTGGAGTAAGGATGGGGTGGTTGAGAAGGAAGAAGCAAGGACCAGCAGTGAGTCAGTTCAGTTAGCAGAGGCTCAGAGTGCCCCTTAGACCCCTACCCAGATCCCTTCTTGCTCTGGAGGCCTAGGGGTTGTTCTGTTTCCTGCCTAGCACTTCCCCCTCCTGAGCCCCGCCTCCCCTCCCGAGCCCCCGCCTCCCCTCCCGAGCCGCCTCCCCTCATGAACTCCACCTCTCCCTCCTGAGTCCTGCCTCCCCACCTGAGTCCCACGTCTCCTGCCTGAGCCCCGCCTCCCCTCCTGAGCCCCACCTCCCCCCAGCCCTGCCTCCCCCCGAACTCCACCTCTCCCTCCTGAGTCCCACCTCCCCTCCTGAGCCCCCACCTACCCCTGAGCCCTGCCTCCCCACCGAACTCCACCTCTCCCTCCTGAGCCCCGCCTCCCCCCTGAACTCCACCTCTCCCTCCTGAGCCCCACCTCCCCTCCTGAGCCCCCACCTCCCCCTGAGCCCTGCCTCCCCACCGAACTCCACCTCTCCCTCCTGAGTCCCACCTCCCCTCCTGAGCCCCCACCTACCCCCCGAGCCCCGCCTCCCCTCCTGAGCCCCGCCTCTCCTGCCTGAGCCCCGCCTCCCCTCCTGAGCCAACCTTCTCCATCTTGAGCCCCACTTCGTCTTCTGAGCCCTGCCTCCCCATCCTGAACTCCACCTCCCCTCCTAAGCCCACCTCCTTCTCCTGAGCCCCACCCTCTCCCACAGCCGCCTCCTCCCATTACTCTAATAGAGGCCCACCTTCCTCATCTTGGCCCCATTATCACCCTTGAGACAAATGGGCTCTATGCTGGGAGGCAGCTGGCCAGCTACCGGGTCATTGTCACTGAGAGCCTGAAAGGGAAGGGAGGCGGCAGGATCGAAAGTAGGGCTGCAATTACTGGCATATTCAGCGCCCCAGAATAAAGCCCTGTCATTAGCTGGCAGCAGGGAGGCGGTCGGTAGGGGCAACGACCAGGGGGCGATCTTTTCTGGGGAGAAAGAGCCTGGCACGCAGTTGCTGCTTCCTGGCTGGCTGCTGGGAGGAGGCACCACCCCCAGCTCCCACCTGAGGGCCTAACTACCCTGGCAGACATACATTGCCTTCCTAGGGGGGTTTGGGGAACCAGGGCACAGCAGAACCCATAATAACTCTATCTGGTTATCCAGCTTCGCAGGGCTTTCAGGGCTTTGCCAGCCCCGTAGCTGCTCCACTGTACTCCAGATCGCTGACGCCCTCCCTTCAGCCTCCCTTTGCAGACACCCACGCTTCCAGATGTGCTCAATTTCAGGTGTTCCCACTCCTGGGAGAATCACTCCCTGTCCGGCTCCCAGCCCCAAGACAGAGTTCCCCTGACACCAGCCCCCAGCTGCTCCTCTGCAGGTGGCTGGGGAAGGCTGTCCTGGCCTCGGTAGGGCTGAGGCTTCTCTGCCTCTTCGGGAGGGGTGAGGCTCTGTTCTGGCCCTGGGTCTTTCTGGGAGGGAGCAGACTTTCCTCTGGGCTGAGCAGCATCTCCACATCTCTGATCAGATAGATGAGCAGCCACTGCAGTGCTGCAGTGAAGGCACTTGCTCAGGAAAGGGACCCTTGCTCAGCCCCGGAGCTGGAGTGGGGGCCGGCCTTAGCCAGACTGCAGAGGAGGATGGCCAGGGAGATCCTGTGGCTGGCTGAGTCCACACAACAAAGGTCCTGACACCTGATTCACTGACTTTGGATTCCTTACTGGGGTCTCCTATGGAGGCCAACTGCTGATCCCAGAAATCCTCAGGAGGCCATGATTCCTACTGGCTGAGCTAGCGGGAAACCAGACTGACTGACAGGGGAGGAGCCAGACTGATGGGGGAGGAGCCAGACTGACGGGGGAGGAGCCAGACTGACGGGGAGGAGCCAGACTGATGGGGGAGGAGCCAGACTGACGGGGGAGGAGCCAGACTGATGGGGGAGGAGCCAGACTGATGGGGGAGGAGCCTGGCTTGTCTCAGAGCTCCAGAGTCCATACCAGATCTCCTCAGAGGGCTGTGTGACCTACCCGCCTGTGCCAGCCCCACAGGCTGGCCTCTGACTGTGACACATTCCACTAGAGGAGCTTACTGGGAAGTTGTGGCTATGCTCTGGAGGTGGGACAGCTGGGCTAGGGGAAGGGATGAGGTTTGGTGAAGGAATCGTTGGTAGGGTTAGGAGCAGGGATGCTGAGAGTCTGATCAGGGAAAACTTATCTTAGCATAGAATTCCCCCAAGAAGCCAAGAGCAAACACGTACACTGTTGGGCTGCCCAGAAAACATCCAGAGGGTCTCCTCTCGGAGAAGCCAGGAAAGCCACATCAGACAGACAGACAGACAGACAAAAACAGGCTCTAGGAAACTACAAATCAGACAGATAGACAGGACAACTTGGAGTAACTGGGAACTAGAGACAGCAGCTGAAGCCCTGGACCATCTCAGGGGGCAAGTCCTCCCTGTCCCCAGCCAGGGGGAGGGCCCCCGTAAGCAGGGTGTATAGGCGCCTCCATGAACCAACATTCAAGAGAATATCCCAACTCCCACACTCCCTCCCCGGAGCACCTCCTGTCCCCAACCTCAAAGCCCGCACCTCCCAGGGGAAGGTGAACAACAAGCTGAAGAACAAACCTCTTGGAAACTAAGGTCATGGGTTTCCTATCATCCACCTCAAACCCTGGAAAATAACCCTATTCCCTTGGAGCTCCAGCCCCTTGAGAGGGCAGCACCCCTCCCCTGCCCCACATCTACCTACATTCTGGCGTGCTGCTGGGGCCGCCTCTCTCCCACTCCTTCCCACCTGGAGCTAGGGCTGCAGGTGGGCACGACACAGGCAGCAGGGGAGTGCTGGTGTGTGAGCGAGCTTGCAGGCTGAGAGTGGATGGGAGGAGAGACCACAGGAAGCCCAAGGGATAGTCTCTGGTGCCCGCCCCTGCCAGGCCTGGGCTTCTCAAGGGTGTGTTATCCATCCTCACTGAGGCCTGGTGCTTGGTTAGTATCAATAAAATGCTCACTGAATTGAGTTGAATTGATGGAGCTGGAGGCAGGCCAGACAGCTTTTCTCTCTTCTACCAAGGAAGGCAGTTTCTAGGAAGAAGACTCGGGCCCTGTGTCTGAACAGTGAGGGCTTATGGGGAGGGGCCAGGGAACTCAGGGTCTTCCTCTACAACATCCTGGTGTCTTCCACATCTCCACGCTCTCCTCTTTCCTTCTCCCTCCACCGTTTCATTCTCCCATTTCTCTTCTTCCTTCTAATTTGCAGGTGAGCAGTTTTTCTTTTGAGGGTATCCTGATGTCCCACTGCATGGGGAACTTCTCAAGGGTCCAAGTTGGCCTTATGTGCTTTTATGTCCCCAGGCCTGGCCCAAAACTTGTCACAGAGGACACCGAAAACATCAGCCTCCCATCTCCAACATGGTTGGCTTCAGTAACTCCCATCCCTCCCTCAGCCCTGGATTTAAGGGCCTCTTGGGTGTGTGGCCTCTCCGAGTCCTCCTCAGAGCCCCGCCTCTTTCTCTGACCTCTGCTGGCTCCCCTATGAGGCAAAATGAACAGCAATGCCTTTCACGGGGTGGCTGTCTGTGCCCCAAGATCACTAGCCACCACTTCTGATCACTGTCCAGTTATTTTCCAGAGGATAAAGGGGGAAAGATCACAGAATCATTGGATCTTAAACCTGAAAATGGTGAGCATGAGGAGTCCGGCGCCCTAAGCTTCCTGTGGCTGCACTGGTCCTTGCTCTGTGACTGTGGACAAGTCTCTGGGTCCTCCGACCCTTACTCTCCTCTCATCCTTCAGGGACAAGAAGACCTGCCCAGTCTGGCCCCACTGAGCAGCTCAGAGACTCGACGGGATGATAGGTGAATGCCACTTTTGAGACAGACCAAGCCCTTCACTATCCAGATGAGGAAACTGAGGCCCAGGGCAGTGGAGTAACTTGCCCAAATTCACTCCATAACAGGAGACTGAGAGACTGGGCAAATTTCAGGCCAGAATCCAAGTGGAGTAAAGAACAAGTCAAGAAAAGAGAAACGTGCAGAATGGAGACAGACAAACTGGTGGAAAAGAGAAAAGAGTGAGAGAGAGATTGACAGAACACAGATCGGGGGGCGGGTGGGGAGCACGACGTGGGCACAGAAGAGGAGAAACGAGAAACACAAGGGCAGAGAGACAGAGGCAGATGCGGAGGGAGAAGGCTGATCACGGGACGGAGACGGAACTCCAGGAAGCGGGACAGGGAGGCAGAGGGCAGGAGGATAACCCAGGAAAAAACAGAGGAGAAAGCTCAGGACTGTGGCTCTGAAACCTGACTCCTCAACACTCCCGCTCCAGTCCGAGGCTGTCAACTAAAGCAGCCAGGGCTGAGAGAGCCTTAACATTAAAGACAGGCACCTCGGCTGACTGGAAGAAGAGAAACCAGAAAGAAAAGTATAAATCCTTGATGTAAGAGGAAGGCTGGGCACTGGGCATGGGCTGAGCGCACACCACTGTGTGCCAGGCACCCTACCGTGTGAGAGACACGAATATCCCCAATCAAATCAACTTTCCCGGCTGCTTACAAAAGTTAGATTTTACATGGGCCGTTTAGAAGGAAGGAGCCTACGTGTGGGGTGTGATCGACAGGGCATAATCACCTTAAAAGTTGGGAACGGCTCATTTGGGGTCCAGAGGGAGCAGAGAGAAACTGAAGTCTGAGGAAGGAGGTGAAAGCAAACAAATTACCCCACATGAGACTCAAGAGGAGGAGGCCCAATAGCTAGTGCAGTGGTACGTGCTTTGTTGTAACAGGAAGGAAGGTGGGGATGCGGAAGGGAGGAAGGGCCACAGTTCCCACCTTTGGGAGGCCAGGTCGGAGCAGGCGTCGGCGGCTGGGCAGCAGAACTGGTGCAGCACGGTCTCATTCCTGCGGGCAGAGCAGAGGGAGATCAGAGCGCCTGAGGCAGGCTGGGTCCCCGCCCTGCCTGACACTAAAGCATTTCTGCCCTGAAATCTTGCTGCTCCTACCCCCGCCCTTTTGAGCCCCTGTGTAAAAATCAGGCAGCCAATCACTGCTCTGGGCAAGAGTGCAGCATCGATGCTCTGTCCATCAGAGGCCTCTTAAATCACCCATTAGGCTCAATTCAGATGCTACCTCCTGTGTGCAGCCTCCTTGACCTCCCTGGGAACTCACCCTTCCTACTTCTGCACGCCCTCCCCGCAGCAGGCTCTTTCGCGTGCATGTACCAAATGTCCTGCTCTGTTATCGTAGTTTGTTCTTTATGACCCTGTTCTCCACGATGGTCCTGCAAGGTAGAACTAAGTCTATTTGTCTAGGATGCACAGAATTGCGTGCAGTGAATACTTTTAAGCTGATCATATACAAAGATACAAAACATTCATACAGGGACTTCAGTGTTGCCAGCTAAAAATCCAAGGAGTGGTGCTTGATGAGGCATTTGGTGTCGATGAAAAAGCCAACGCAGAAGGCAGGGATCTGGGTTCTAGTCCCAGCTCTACAGTTCGCCAGCTGTGTCATACGAGGCTAACCTTTTCTGGGCTTCAGCTGACTTACTAATGAAATAAGGGAGTTGAACTAGCGAAGTGGTTCTCAGCCCTAGCTGCATATTAGAATCATGAGGAAATTTTTAAAACGACTCATGCCTAGACCCTTCCCTTCCCCCCAGGACTCTGATTTATGTGGTCTGGCATCAGTCCAGGGCACCGGGACTTTTTAATAAACTCCCAGGTGATTCTAAAGGCAGCCAGGATTGAGAGGCACTAGACTAGAGGATTTCCTAGGTCCCTTCCACCTCTAAAATGCTGTGATTCCAATATCCGCTTTGAGCCAACCTGGGATTCAATATTGAAATTACTTTTGGATAAAGATACACCGACCCATTGCCTTCTCTTCCTTAATAAGCAGTTGCCGTCCTAGGCATTACTGAGTCAGAGAATGTCAAACCTGGAAGGGCCCCCAGAGATCATCTGAAAGGGATTTTCAAAATTCCTTCAGCTTCAGAACACTTTGTCCAAACCAAATCTTTACTGGAAGCCTATTTTGTAAAACAACAAAAGTAGAATATCTCCATGGCTGGGGGAAGGGGCATCTGTACCACTTCCCCAGACCTCCTAGCCCCGAATTTGGTAGCCACCTCCCAGGCACGTGTTGGGGGCCCACAGGGTCTGAGAGTGTAGACAGGAAGTGCTGAATTTGGCTATCTGCATGGAAGAAAGAACACTGTAGCGTATCTTAACTTTTGTTTGTTATTTTAGAGACAGGGCTTTGCTGTGTTGCCCAGGCTGGAGTGCAGTGGTGTGATCATAGCTCACTGTAACCTTGGCCTTCTGGGCTCAAGCAATCCTCCTGTCTCAGCTACAGGCATGTGCCACCAGGCTCAGCTAATTTAAAAAAATTTCATAGAGATAGAGGTCTCACTATGTTGCCCAGCCTGGTCTCGAACTCCTGGCCTCAGGCAATCCTCCCGTCTTGGCCTCCTAAAGCACTGGGATTACAGGCATGAGCCATCACACCTGTCTGAGCCAACCTTAATTTGACAAAAAGTAAATTCCAGAAAGGTTATATGTTTAAATGAGAGAAATTAAAAGGAAAAAATCGAAGGAAGCTTAGGAATATAGCTTATGTGTTGAGGAGATTTTAAAAACAAAATGGAGAACTGAAAAGCCATTAAAAAAAGATAAACATGTCTGACTACATAAAGTGAAGAAAAAAATCTGTATGAAAACAAATACCCTAATAAGTCAAAAGACACATGATAGACTAGGAAAGTATATGTGCAAAATGTATGACAGAAGGCAAGTTAATACTCTGCACTGAGCTCCAGCACATTCATGGTGCAAAGACAAACCCAGCAGAAAAAACAGCCAAAGCATAGGAATAGCAGTTGACAGAACGAGAACCCTAAAGAGCCAACAAATACGCTTCACATCTGTGCTATTCTGCCTCACAAACTCAAATTAAGAACAAATTCATAGCCAATGGAAAGATGCTTACTAGTAAATAGGAAAATGCCAATTAAAGTCACGCTGAGATGCCATTTCTCATCCATCAGACTGGTTGGTACCCATTAAAAAGACTGCTAACTATGAGTGCTGGTGAGGCTGTGGAGAGAGGGCTGCCCTGACCCATTATCTGTGTAGATGTGAATTATGAAGCGTTTATGGAAATGTAAATGAAAGATAAAATTCTAAGCCCCCCAGTTGACTGAATGGACCTCCTTCTCAGCCAAGGGCATTCCAAAGAAACCTAGTTCAGGCCATGATGGGAAGTAGGGGTAGGACATGCCTCCATATCCCTCCTCCCTTAGGAATTCAGGCACAGCTGACCAGCATTAATATTTAACAAAAAACATTAAAACAGTCTTAACAGAGCTCTTAAGACTGAAAAAACAGACTCTTTGTAGCAATAAGACAAATTTGTAGCAAATTCCAACCTGACTCTAGTATAGCATCACATGACAGGTAGCAGGCCCTGAAAGAAACTGAACTATTTTACAGCAAAATACATTTCTTTTATATATATTGGCCCTGCAAATATGTTTCAGAAATGGCCCTGGAAAGCTGTCTCTTGTGGGGAAAATCTACATTCTGTAGAGAATCCTCTTCCTATTCCAGGTCTTTTCCCTGATCCAGGAGAAAATCAGTTAAGAGTCTCGCACCTTTTTAAGTCTGATAAGAAAAACTTATAATCTATTCTCTCTGAAGCCTGTACCTGGAGGCTTCATCTGCATAATAAGAACCTTGGTCTTTACACCGTCTCATTTTAACCCAGACACTCCCTTCTACTGATTCCACGTCTTTTGATAATAATGACTCTTCAACCAATTGTCAATCAGAAAATCTTTGAATCCACCTGTGACCGCCATATTTCAAATTGTCCCACCCTTCCAGATTGAACCAATGTGCACCTTGGTTCAGTCTCACTTTCTTACTTACATAAGTCACTGATGTCTCATGTCCCCCTAAAACGTATAAAACAAAGCTGCAGCCCAACCACCTTGGGTGCGTGTTCTTAGGACCTCTTAAGACTGTGCCTCAGGCCATGGTCACTCCTATTTGGCTCAGAATAAATCTCTTCAAATATTTTACAGAGTTTGACTCTTTTCTTCAACAGAAGAATTGTTTTTAGTGTGGTGGTGGAGGGGGGAAATGCAAACAGCCCAAGTCCTCATCAATCAGGAAATGATTGAATAAACTGTAATACCTTCAACCATACCATGGAATTACGCCTACCTATTCAAAAAGAACTAGTTAGCAGTCTATCTCTCAGTCTGGATGGATTTCCACAACATATTGTTAAATGAGAAAAGCAAGTTGCAGAGAAATATATAAAGAGTGATCCCAGTTTTATAAAACAAAAAATGACTCCTCTCACCAAATGCAAATTCTTTGCATGTGTACTCTATTTATATATGAATGCAAACCCAAGTATTAACATTGGCTACCTCAGCAGATGAGAGCAGGGAAAAAACATGGAGGTAGGAAAAAGAGAAGGAAAAGCAATGCTTAGGGTAAAATGTTGACTGACAATGTTAAATATCAATTCCCATGTGTGATATTACCGTAAATCCATTAAAACTGAATATGAACCTAGATAAGAGCTGGAAGATGTCAGAAACCAACACAAATATTGATGCCATTTCACAGACTAGATCATGGGCAATGTTTATCTTGGACTTTTGTTCATTAATACATTTTTTGTTACAGATTATATATAATCTATAGGTCATAGACTAATAATTGATGCAACAAACATGAATTTTTTAAAGGGCAATAAAGAAAATAATTAAATCTGAGCCCTCATTTTACAAATGAGAAAACTGAGGCTGAGTGGAGAAGTCATTTACCTACAGTGGTTCCCCGGCCAAAATTCCAGGTCAGTCTTCCAGCCCGAGGTTCATTCCCGGGGCAAATCAAAGACTTTAGAGAACTGTCTGAAACCTAAACATCTTTTGATGGCACCCAAGGCTTCCTGGCCTGAAGAAAAGGGGAAAATGGAATGAGGAGATGGAGCAGGAGCAAGAAGGCAAGAGCCCAGACAATGCAGGGTAGGTGGACCTAGGTGTGCAGGACAGTGGAGAGCCTACACCCCCAGTTCCAGGCCTCCAGCTGCTCCGGGGTCCCAGGACAGGTTTGGAATTCCTGACAAAAGCCATCAAGAGCATACGCAAAGAAGCATTGCTTGTTCACTACCCACAGCGCTGGCATTTCAGGAAGGAAAGTTCACCTACATGGTCATAGGCTGGCACAGTGGTGCCTGGGGGGACTCTGTTCTGATCCTGCCCCTGTTTCCCAGAGGCTTCCTCCCAAGGTTAGGAGCCACTCGTCTGTCCAGACACTGAGGGCAGGCACCTGCTGGTCCTCCCAGGTCCCCAGACTCAGCTGCAGTGACACATGTGATGGGTAACTGAATGCCCCCAAGACCTGCAGCACCTTGGGCTTGGGCCGGCAGTGCTGTTGGGGCTTCTGCTGCCACTGGGGGACAGTTCAGCCAAGAGGGGAGCTTGTCTTCCAGTTCTGCCTCTGCGCTCCTCCATCCACCTCCTGCTCCTTGGGTCTCCTCAGCCTAGGCCAGAACCCTTCTTGTCTTCTTTCAGGGTTTAGCTCATGCTGAATTGTAAGTCCTGCCTTGCCTGCCTTTGACCAGCCTGGCCACCCACCCTGCCCAAGGTCATGGTCTAAGTTTCCTGACCTGGGCATGTCTTAGCTTAAGTTTCCTAAGGTCACACAGCTAGTTAGTAGCAGAGCCTAAACCCCAGGCAGGCTCCTGTCAAGGATCATGCCCACAACTCTTCTTCAAAGGGTTTTTGGCAAGCGGGCATTCATGTGTTCATTTACCAAGACCAGGCAGGGAGTCCCTAGTGCCTACATCAGTGCCTGGTATAGTGATGGCACTCAATGCTTGAGTATGCAAAGAAGCATCACTGCAGTCCCTGCCTCAGGGAGTCCACCAGCTAGGAGAATGCTTTAATCTGTCTGTGTTGCTATAAAAGAATATCTGAGGCTGAGTAACTTACAAAGAAAAGAGGTTTATTTGGCTCACGGTTCTGCAGGATGAACAAGAGGCATGGCTGCAGCATCTGCTTCTGGTGAGGCCTCAGGCTGCTTCCATTCATAGTGGAAGGGGAAGGGCAGCCAGTGTGTGCAGAGATGACAGAGCAAGAGAAGAAGCAAAAGAGAGAGGGGAGGGAGGTGCCAGCTCTCAGGGGAACTAACAGAGTGAGAAGTCACTCACCCCCAACTCCCCAGAGAGGGTGTTAATCTATTCGTGAGGAAGCCACTCCCATAACCCAGATACCTCGAGTTAGGCCCCACCTCCAACTCTGGGACTGAATTTCCACGTGAGGTTTGGAGGGGACAAACATTCAAAACATAGCAGAAAACATTCACATCAAGAAAGGCCCAAGTTCCTGTTTGGTTGTAGCTGGAAAGGAGCCATACTGAGACCGTGGGCAGAGGGATCATTGCCTAGGTCATCCTCTGACGCTGCCTCCAAGCTTCTTCCTGAATCCTTAGTCTTCAGGCCACAGCCTTCCCCTCTGTCTCTGCCTTGCTCTCTTCCCACCCTCCCTGGAACACTGCCACCATAGCAGATGGACACTGGACACCAGGGGCTGGCAAGGTGAGCAGGGGACAGGAAGGGACGGGATCTCTTGGTGGCACCAACCTGAGGTTGTTGCCAGGATGTCCCATCAGAATCTGTCCACCTGGGAGGCAGGGGACCATGGGCACAACCTGCTTCTGTCCACAGACCCCAGAGTAAGGCTTTCTTACCTCAGGAGGGCTGGCTTGAGGTCCTGCCACCACCCTCAAACCCCAGTGAAGCTTTGGGGGGGTCCATGCCAGGTGCACCAGTTCTCCACAAGTGGATCACAATCCCTGTGTGCATTCATTTAAGTCCTTATCTCTCAAAGCCTCAGTTTTCTTGCCAGTAAAGCTAGGATAATAGTAGCTCCTGCACCTTGCAGGGCTTTTAGGAGGGCAAATACAACAGCGAATGGCAAGGCACATTATAAAGGCAAAGGCCACACAAAAGTACCTTTTATTCATTCACCTTCCTGACCCAGCCCTTTTATTTCATCTGTGAAAATGACAGAAAGAAAGGAAGTATTTCTTCCTCAGATAATGCTTCTTGCATTCTTGAAATCAACCAGTGCTGCATTTTGTGAGCACCAAGGGGCAGAAAATGTCTCCTCAATACAGCAAGAACCAGCTGTTCTCAGAACCTGCTTCCCAGGGGCTGCACACTCAACACGCTCAGCTCTCTGTACCTGAATCGTCACACCAGGGCAGATGGTGGCATGCAGCATCTCTGCATCCCTATTTCATTGTGGTGGAAACTGAGGCCTACAGCAGAGTGAGACAGGGTCCCAGCAGGTCGAGCAAATCCTGAGATGCGGGGCCTTTAGGGAGGGGGCCCGGGACCCGGATCTCGGCTGCTCCCCATCGCTGCTGGAGAAGTAAAGAAAGGAGAGAGGTCCCCGTAGGCCCGAGTGCAATCACCACACTTGGGGTGGGGGCAGCAGGGGAACCACTCAAGTGCCTTAGGCCTTTGGAACCATACAGCCCCCAATCTACCTCACAGCACGAGCCTGGGAGGGGCATTCTCAGAGCCCCTGTGACACACAAGTCTGGGGGTACCATTCACATTGTAGTCATGGGAACCACAGCCCAAGGCTGTGGCCCTGCGAGTTCTGCGGCTGGAGGGGCCGAAGGAAACTGGCAATGGAAGGACCTCTATGAAAAAGGAACATCGTCATTCTCGGTCTCTGGCTTTTTCTCTTCCAAAAGCCAAGAACTGAGACTGGGCCATGTTCCTTGAGGGAAGCTTACAGAATCCCAGCCAAAGACTTCTTCCAGGGCCAATGGCTTGAAGCAGAATTCAGTCCCCTGTGGCTTCAGCAGTCCCAAATCCCCCATATTGATGAGTTCTGATGGGGCAGCTGGACTGTTGGATGGATGTGGTAAAACCTAAACATGAGGTAGTCTGTGGGCCCAGTATGAGGTTTTTATGTGTTGGGGATCCCTAGTCGTGCTGTGAGGCTGGGCTGGGCAGGAGCTTGCCGCACTCAGAATGAGACTGGACCAGGGTAGGAGGCTGTGTTCCTTGGCCATCAAGGAGCAGCTGGCTCTGGGAATTCCAAGGCATCTCCCAAGCGAGATGGGAGTCAATGGTCTGCACTGGAGGCAGCGCAGACCTGAAGGAAGAGGGGAAGCTGGGGGTCAGTCAGGAAAGAACCCTGCTTCTTTCTTTTCTTTCTTTCTTTTTTTTGAGACAGGGTCTCACTCCATCGCCCAGCCTGGAGTGCAGTGGCACGATCTCAGCTCACTGCAACCTCCAACCTCCAACCTCCAACCTCCCAGGCTCAAGCAATGCTCCCAAGTAGTTGGGACCACAGGCATGTGCCACCACACCCAGATACTTTCTTTTTGACTTTTTTGTAGAGACAGAGTTTCATCATGCTGCCCAGGCTGGTCTCGAACTCCTCGGCTCCAGTGATCCATCCACCTTGGCCTCCCAAAGTGCTGGGATTACAGGCATGAACAACCGCGCTGGGCCTCCCTGTTTCTTAAAGAACCAGGAAGATGGGGGAGTAGCGCTGCCAGAGGAGCAACAGTCAGGGCCAGCTGGCCAGATGGGGAAGGAGCATCAAGTGCAGCAAGGAGCTCAGGAAAGCCGCATCCAGAGCCAGGCTCACAGGATTACAGGAGGCTGTGCGCTGTAACTTCCCACATCTATATTTAGTGTCAGACTCAGGGTTCCACTGCATGGCCATAAAAATAGTTGAGTGGTTTAGAAGAACTGATGAAGAGTGCAGTACCACAGTGGGAGAAGCAGGAGAGGGCTTGAGCGGGAGGGAGGTGCTCCCAGCAGGAGAATAAAGGAGGCCAAGCCGGAAGTCCCAGGGGGCAACTCTGAAGGAGGATCCCCCTCCCTTCACCAAGCTGAGGATAGCAGACTGAATCCCCAGCCTTCAGAAGGAAACAGCCAGGGAACCTCTCTAAAGGAGCTGCCTTGAGCTCCAGGAGAAGGGAGAAATCATAAAATTGCTTCTGGTCACCTGCCCCATCCCCACCCATCTTGGTACCACCATCACTACTGCTGGTGGAGCCTGCAGACTGGATTTTTTTCCACTTTCTCTTAATTTTCTCACCTCCTCCAAAGAGCCTTTTCTATTTAAACTTAATAAATAGGAAGAAAAGAAACCCTTATTTTTTCAGAAACCTCTGATTCCTGGGGTGAGGAGGAGGAGGGGATAGCCAAAACAACTTTGAAAAACAAGAACAAGTTGTAGGACTTCACTGGATGGTTTCAAGACTGAAAATGAAGCTACCATAATTAAGATGGTGCAGTGGTGGCATAAGAATAGACACACAGATTGAACAAAAAGAGAAGCCAGAAATAGATCCATACATATATCATAAATTGACCCTTGGTAAAAGTACCAAGGCATTCAAAAAGGAATGATAAACTTTTTAACAGATAGTGCTGAAACAACTGGATATCCAGATGCAAAAAAATAGACTTCAATCCATGCCTTATGCCATACATAAAAATTTAAAAAATAGATCATAGACTTAAAATAACAGATAAAACCATAACACATCTCAAAGAAAATATAGAAGATAATATGTGGCTTTAGGATATGCAAAGATTTCATAGATAGGACCAGAAAGCACAAGCCACGAAACAAAAAAATTGCTAAGTTAGCCTTCATTGAAATGAAAAAGGTACATCAATTTTTCTCTTTGAAGAACTGCTACAACTCAATAATAAAAAGACAAACAACCTGATAGGAAAATGTACAAGAGATTTGAACAGACACTTCTCCAAAGGAAATATACTAAGGACAAACAAGCACACGACAAGATCTTCAACATCACTAGTCATTAGGGAATTGCCAATTAAAACCACAAGCAGATACTATTACACACCCACTAGAATGAATAAAATCTGTGTCTGACAAAACCGAGTGTTGACAAGGGTGCGGAGCACCTGGAACTCTCATACACCTCTGAAAGGAATGCAAAATAGTGCCACACTTTGGAAAACAGTCTTGCAGTTTCTTCTAAAGTTAAACATACATTTATCATATACCCTTCCAATTGCATTCCTAGGTATTTACCCAAGATAAACAAAAAGTTATACTGATACGAAACTATTCATGTATGTAAAAAACCACCCAGAAACAATGTAAATGTCCACTAACTGGCAAATGGATAAATTGTGGTATGTCCATTCAATGTAATACTATTCAGCAATAAAAAGGAACATGCTTACTGATACATCAGCCAACATGGATGAATTTCATAAACGTTGTATTAAATAAAGGAAGGTGTCCACAAAAGACTCCATATTGTATGATTCCACTTATATAATATTCTAGAAAAGACACAACTATATTGACAGAGGTAAGTTTCAGCAATGCAGGAAGGAAGGGATGAACTGTAAGAGGGAACAAAGGGTCACTTGGCTGATGAAAATGTTTGTATCTTGACTGAGATAGTTGTTACACAAGTGTAATGTTTCAAAACTCATCAAGTTATACATGTAAAACGGCTGAATTTTATTGTATCTAATTTTAGCTTAATCCAACTGATTTTTAAAAAGAAAAAAGACCAAAATCTTTTCCTCTTCCTTCTCATTTCTTGCTATTTTATCAAGAGGCTTTAGAATAATTTCCTTTCTAATTTCCCTCCACCCATTGCCCCCAGATCACCTAATGATTAACCCCCTTCCAAGCAGTAGAAAAAGACATTATATTTTTCTTTCCTTTCAACTGCTAGATTGTATTTTCAGAGACTAGATGGTTCATCACTGAGCCAAAGGAGTCCAGGGGGCCAGAAACTGGGACAATGAGAAAATTGGGGGTGGGGATGGCTGAATGGGGGAAATTTGGGGCCTGGGCCTAAGGACTGAGAGTCCCTAGAAGGTTTGATAGAAACAGCTCTGGGCTGGAGATGCAGACCCAGCCCCTACTCTATGCTCACCTTTGGGAGGGTCAGGTCATGGTAAACAAGGCTCCTACACCTGCCTTATTTATTTTACTGAACTGTGGGGGATTCATATTCAAGCAAGACTTGAATATGAAACTACCTTGAGAGAAACATAATAAACCCTGCACAAATGCAAAACCTTATAATGAATATTACTGATATTATTAGTCTCTGCTACTGAGAAACTCAGCAACCACAATTCTCTTTCAAACAGAGCCCTACCAGGATGCCATCTTGACTTCCTTCTTTCTGGTCCCTATTTTCTTCTGCAGGCCTGGGGGCTGTGGAGGGAGAGGTAGATTTCCTTTGCTCACTGGTGCAATCTACCACTGTACAGTCTTCCACAGAGAGCTTTGGGAAGATCTTAATAAGGCAAGCAGTTACAGCTGTTCCAGAAGCCGGGGCAAAAGGCTGTAGAAAACATTGGCCTGTTGGTATCCAGACCCAGGTTGGCCAACCAGGTTCAGTGTTCTGCCCCAAGCCTGCCAGAGGATGGAATCTCCACAGGGACCCCCTGCTCTCCAGGACTTGCTTCTCTTTGATTCTCTGCTCACTTTTCTTTGGGGGAGCTTTGACGTTCTTCTAGTCCATGCCTCTGCCATCAAGGAAAAGAAGGATAACAGAGTCCTAGGAAAACAGTGACCTGCCCCTTTATTATTCAGTGAGGTTTTTCCTAAAAACACACTGTACGTTTTTCAGATGTTCATAAAAGAGTATGAGTTTGGTCTTGCAGTAACTCAGTGTTTTTTCTGTTGTACTCCGAAGAGGCCCAGTGCCCCACCAGCTGCTGCAGGGACCTTATTAAGGTTAAGAGGAGAATGGAGAAGGCAGAGCACAGAACCTTCCATTCAACTAATGAAGCTCTGATTTGGTTAGTTTTATGTCTTAGGAATATCTGTTAGGTTTAATTTTGAAAAAAATAAGTTTCCTTTTTTAAGAAACAGCTGAGAAAACATGCTTCTAACCCGAAGCCCTCCTGCTGCTTCGGGAAGCCAGCTCTGCCGTGTCCAGTCATGCTGGCCTTAGAGAGGTGCTGCGTGCCCCTCCCTGCAAGGGCCCGCCATAGTCCTCCTTTCGGTGAAGCCTGCGGGAATCCTTCCTGAGGAATCCTACCTAACCGCACGTATACAACAGAACTTTTTTAAAGGACTGTATAAGGATGAAATGAGTTAAAACACTTTGAAAGCCCTTACAACAGAACACGGCTAATACATGGTAGCTGTTATGAATGTGTCCTACTTCTGATACCTTTGATCTCAAGGAAGAGCTGTTTGCCTTCCCTCCAAGCCCTATCGCTCTTTACCCCCTTTCCTCCCCCACTGGTCTTCAGTGTCATTATTTTCATAGGCCCTTTTTCTTCAGCATATAAACATGCTCAAATCTCTCATCCTAAAACCATGATTATTCCCTACAACTCTGCTCCCCTGGTTACAACTCTTTCCTTCTGCAGTCAGTCTTCCAAAAAGAGTTGTCTGCTTGTGTGAGCTTCCTTTCACCTTGATCTCTTGCCAACTTGCTGTCATCTGGGTTCTTCCCCCAGAGGCCTAGCAGAATTTAATCTAGGGAGGTCCCTAGTGATCTCTTAGTTGCCAAATCTAAGAACTTCTCAGCGTCTGACTTCACTTTTCTGTAGCATACGTTGGCCCAAATCTCCCTATTTGAAACACTCCCCTCCCATGACTTTCAGAGAAGTGTTCTGCCCTGGTTTTCCTAGTACTTTTTTTGCATGGTGATGAGAGGAAATCAGCCTTCATGCTGGGAGGAAGCCCAAATGACTCCATGGAGAGGCGTGCATGGAAAGGAACAAACAGCCATCCCCAGCTTGACAGCCGCTTGATGACCATCCTGATAATGAACCTCCATCCTCCAAGCCCCTCTAGCAGATATGATGCAGAACAGAAAAAAGCTGTCCCCAATAAGCTCTGCCAAAACTACAGATTTCTGAGCAAAACAGAGATCTGTTTTGTTATTTTGAGTTTTGAGGTAGCTCTCACAGCATGTTGTTGGTTATTTGCCTCTGGTCCTAGGAGTGCACCTGCATATAGCTGAGAGGGAGCCACAGAACACTTTGGGGAAGGAATTTCATGGAGGCCCTTTCTAGAACCACAGGAGAGAGCACAATTTCACGGAGAGCTGTAGGCCTTCCCAGATCTAAGGATCTGGGAAGACCTGCATAGCATCCTTGCCCTTCCAAAAGATGGGTGTGGAATCACAGGCAGATTATCTGATCTTCTTCAGCCTCGGTCTCCTGAACTGTAAAAGGGAGGTCATACAAGAAATGACCTCATCAGGTTGTTGTGAAGGTCAAACAAGATACCTGTGTTGTGCTTAGTACAATACCTAGCACAGAGCAGGCACACACACACAAAAATGCTTGTACTAGGCCGTGCGCTGATATGGGGTAGGCAGGAGCTGTCTGGAGTTCAAAGTCCGTCTTTGCTATTTTCCTGTTAATATCTTTGCCTGACTGAGCCTCAGTTTCCTTACTCATAAAATAGGATATGGACAGCATCTATCTCGAAGGCTTATTGTGATGAGCAAATGAGCTAACAGATCTAAAATGCTTAGATCTGAGCCTGGTCCAATGAGTAAGCCCTCACTGTCCCAGACCCGATTACCGCACACTCCAAAGCCTCACAGTATTATGGGGACAGCAAAGCCTGTACCCATACCACCATGTTACAATTAGGAAATAGGCTAAAGGTGATGGCCATCTCAGCCAGTGATCCCAGGCTTCTCAGAAATCTAGACATCCAGAATCTGCCCAGCCTTCAGAGTCCAGTGCCAAAGACATTCCTCCCACAAAGCCTTCCCTTGTTTGTTTTGTGCTCACCCCCAACCCTGCTGGCCTCTGCCCCACCTAGGCCGGAAGCGCCCACCTCTGAACTCCTTCAGCAGCTTCCCTGAGACATTAGTGGAATGCAACATCTATTTTTTCCACTCTGTATCACTGATGTTTATATACATGTCATATCTCCCTATACTAGAATGAGTTTTCCAGAGCCATGCCTGTGACCAATTCATCTCTACATCCAGTACAGAACATAGCCTGGCACATGGCTTAGAGCAGAAATGGTTTGTTGACTGAATGTGTGAATAAATCCCGATTCCTAAGGGTGCTGGAGAGAAATGGGGGATTAAGTGTGCACATATATGAAACATGCACATGCCTGGAAACAAAGGCACAACACATGCTAGAGACACAGACCTACTCATCAGTATCAACACACGCTCAAGGCAGTACAACATCTCTATAACTAATCCTCATTTTACAGATGAGGAGGCTCAGAGAGTCTAAGATATTTGCTCAGTATCACAGCCTTGGCATCTACCTGGCAGTCTTGGGGGAGCTTAACTCAGAACAGGAAACCCAGGCTGTAACTTGAGCATGCCAGGAGGCCCTAGCTTCCTTTTCGGCCATGCTCACCCCGCCACTCAGCCCAGCCCCAGAACAGTGAGAGCTTGCTGTCAGTCCTCGAGCTCCATGCCACTGTCTCTCTTCCTGCCCAGCAGGGTGGCACTGTCAGAAATGCCAGAGCCATTTAGTTGCCCAGCTTGAGGCCTAGTTCTTTGAACTCCAGCAGACTTTGCAGGGAGCCAAGAGGGCTCCCAGTGCCAGGCGTGGCAGCACAGCATGAATTGCAGAGCTGGGCCCGTGGCTGCATCCTGCCAGCTTCCCTCACAAGAGATCTCTGTATTACCTGGCAGATGGGTGCCTGGCAGCTAGGCAAAGCCAGCTTGAAAGGACGGATCAAAGCCATTGGGCCTCTGCCAGGCTCTGAGGCTGCTCCTCACCAAGTCCTGCCTCACAGCGCCAGGGCAGCATGCCTCCACAGCGTTCCTAACCCACCTTTCGTCAGCTGTGGGCACGCAGTGTTTCTCCAGGAATGGCGAAGGCAAGTCCTGACCAATAGCAACACTGCATTTATGCATGTTTCTGATTTAAAAAACCTTTCTGAACATCCTAAGAGTAATCCCATGGAAAAATATGATACTAATGATAATTAATGTCATTATTATTATTAATGCCATTTGAGGCTAACGGAGGTTTGACGACCTCCCGAGGACCCACAGCTCTGACTTTTTTTGCTGCACGCTGCTTCTGGCATCCATTCTCACTGTACCCCCTGACCCCAGGCATCTGCAGAGGAGGTGGCCTCTGGGCTGTGAGTGGAAGAGCCTTGATCTTGCCCTTCATAGCACAGTCAGACTCTTGAAGTTTGACAGAAACATCAAAACCTACCCAGCCAATCCCCAATTCCAGAGCTTCAACTGACCTTCTAGCATAGACTGCTCAGGTACCTCAATCACATGCCCACAAAAACAGCTGTTTGCTTCTGGTGAATCTGCTAAACCCAAAGGCTCAACATACTCATACACACCTGCCTGGGTGCACAAAGATGTGTACACACAAACATACACCCGTACCTCTTGGTGGACACACATATACATGCAGGCTTCCCTTCATGCACTCATTCAGAGCTCTTACAACAATGCACATAGGTCCTAAACGCCCCAAACCTATGCACACACCATCCTGCACATGTGTGCACACTCCTGGATTTGTAAATGCATACATACACACATACATATTCTCACATACAACCCTGCCCGTGCACACATGTGCAGGCATACACGCACACATGCAGAGCTGAGAACAAGGATGTTTTGTCCACTATGTGAACCCTCCTGACCATATGGGCCACGCAGGGATGTGATGTCCCATGGGGACCTGTAAACCATTCATCTTGTGGCTGCATGTGGGTGGTACTCTGCCAGTCATCAAGCCCAGTCCTGCCAGGCTGGGCACTGAGATGAGTGGGCCACGGGCCAAATTCAGAGCTGCAGCAACGTGAACAACTGTCATATGGGCACGATGCCACCAGCCTTTCTGTTCCTGAACAATGGTCTCTGTCCCAGATTAGGCTTTGCCTGGGGGAAGCACTTCCCACACCACAGGGGACTCCTCTTACAGTGAGGACAGCTATGCCAGGGTGTAAGAGGCTCACACACGAATCCTGAAGATGTCACTTTAGCTGTGTGACCCTGGGTGGATCACCTTAACCTCTTTGAGCCTCAGTTTGCCTCTGTGAAGTAGGGACTGTAATATCTTCCCGTCAGTACCATGTGGATAAATGAGATAACAAATGCACAGCAATGTCGAGCACACAGCAGAAATCAAGTAAGTGGAGGTTGAAAGGAAGGTTGGATAAATGAGTGGACACCAAACAAGGGTGCACGGCGCTCCGGGGCTCCCTGCTGAACTGCTCTCCCTTCTCTGCCTTTGAACCCCTAAGCTCTGTTTTCTAGTGTGGATCACATCATTCCACTTCTCAACCCACCTCCTCCCCCGCCCGCCTTCCCATCAACCTCTCTCCCCACAAACTCCCTCAGAAGGCCCACTGTGATGCCATCTCCTCTCCCTGTCTCTTTCCTCCCTCTCTTGCTCCCCTCTGGCCCCCCTTCCCTTCTTCTGTTCTTTGAACACATGCCTTTCCTTCAGCCCCAGGGCCTTTACACGGAACGCTTTCCCCTGAGGTCTTCACGTGCTCTGTTTTATTTCATCTCTCTGCTCAGATGCCACCCCCTAAGTGAGGACTTCTCTTCAGAGCTATCCTCCCCCTAGCCACCCCCGTACTTTTCTTCTAGTCCTTGGGAATTTCTGTTATACGTGTGTGAATTTTCTTGTTAAATATCTGCCTTCTCCTCTGGAATGGGAGCTCCATGACGGCAGGGGCTTTGTTCGACTTGTTCACCGCGAATCCCTGTGCCCCTGACATGCCGTAGGTGCTCAACAAATACTTGTGAAATGAATGTATACATATGATTCTGGCCCTTGAGGAACCTAAACAGAATTTCCCATCCCTAAATGACAATGCCACGCTCAGCTGCCCTCCTCTCCTTTCTCCTGTACAGCCCAGCTCATCACATTTTAATTTTTTCCCTAGCCTCAGCCAGCCTAATTACCCACAGCACCGGTGTGAACCCTGGTGTATGCGACGATAAGTGAGTGTGCCCAGGCTGATATATCCTGATGGTTTTCCAGCAGGGAACTGCGTCAGAACCTCCTGAGAGCCTCACTGCAAGCATTTGTGGCTGTCTTCTTTCCCCTATCCCCTGCTGAACAACAGTCTCCAGTGCTGAGGCTGGGCCACGTGGATTTGGAAAAAACTTCTCCTGGAGATTTGGATGCATGTTACTGTAGTTGTCTGCGGGGTGGCCATGGAGAGTAGAGGCTAGGAGCACTGCCTGCCAGGGTCACACTGGCTGAGTGTGAATCTGCACAAGCAACCTCACGTTGCTTGGAATACAGAATGGAGCCTAGCTCGGGAAGGTGTTATTAGGACACATCGAGAGAAAGTTTGTAAAGTGCTTAACACCGTGCCTCACTCATAGTAAGTGCATGGTCAATGTCAGCTTTCATTAAATGATGACTTTCCTCCAGGAGTGATGTAGTCATTCTCAGTTTCCCTACAGGAGTTAGGACAGGGCCTTTGCTGCGGTGGACGGTCAGCATGTGTAGTTAGCTGACATGCTGCTGAAACAAACATGCTATGACTTCTCCCATCTTAAAGAACAATCCTTTGTCTTGAACCCGCTTCGTCCCTTCAGCGGTCACCCCATTTCTTTGCTTCTCTTTATAGCAAAACTCATCAGAACTTTCTACAATTCCTCCCATTCTGGCATCTTTTACACATTTTATTAGGGAAATGTCAAACATATATTTTGCCAGTCTTCTACTTCCCAACTTTTTTGCTACAGTGTTATAAAGCAAGCCCCAGAAATATCATTTCACCCACAATGTATCCCTCTAATAGGTAAGAACTTTAAAAAGATATGAGTACCATAATCATACCTAACTAAATTAACAATTTTCTAACATCACCTAATACTTCATCTACGTTCAAATTCCCCGACTGTCTTAAAAATGTCTAGTTCCAATGGCTTTGTCTAAATCAAGCCGGATCAAAGGTCCACATGTTCTATTTGGTTGATTTGTCTCTAAAGTCTCTCCTCCCTTCTCTCTCAAACCCACTAATCAAGCCTCCAAATCCACTCCCAAGACTATGCTTTTCAAGGTCACCAATTACCTGAATGTTGCTAAAGCTAATGGACAGTTCTCAGTCTGCATCCTCCACGTTTCAGCAGCCTTTGAAACGCTCTTTGCCAGAACACTAGGTGCTTCTCCTGGCTGTTCTCCTCCCTCTGGGTGCTCCTTCTCAGCTCCCATGCCCACCTTTTAGTGTTGTGTGCATTGCAAATCTGCCCTAGGCCTCTTTCATCTTCTGTTCTCACTCCTTGGTGGCGTGGCCCAGTCTCAAGGCTTTAAAAGCATCCCAAAGTTATACCTCCAGCCCATTCCAAATGCCTACTGCACATCTCCTCTCAAACATCTAAGAGCTGTCTCAAACGCCATCCGTCAAATGCTCAAACCTCCTCATCCCCCATGGACTTCTCCATCCCATCCTTCTAATAACTTTGGCCCCAAACCTTGAGCTCATCCTCAACTCCTCTTTGTCTCACATCCCACACTGATCCCTCAGGAAGTACTGTTGTCTTGGCTGCAGATCATACTTTCATTGCTACTACCCTGGTCCAAGCTACTAGCATCTCTTACCTGGGCTGTGTAACAACCTTCTACCTGAACTCCCTGCTTCTGCCTTTCTTCCCTCTTCAGTCTATTCTCAAACCAGCATCCAAAGTTCCTTTTAAGCACCCTCTGCTCAAAGTCATCCACTGGTTCCTAGTTTTTCTGAAGGTAAAAGCCAAACACTTCCTAACGGACTCCAATGCCCTCAACAACAAGAAACAGGGGCATTTCTGGCAGGAAAATTCTTCACTGTGTGGTCTGTCCCACACACTGCAGGATGTTTGACATGGCCCTTACCCACTGCATGCCACAGAACAACAACCTTCCTCATCCAAGCCCCATCAGCATTTGTGACAACTAAAATGTGCCCACACATTCCAAATGCTCCCTGGTGGACCTGGAAATCCCAGTTGAGAATCTCTTACAAGATCTGCTACGCGCCTGCACCCTCCTACCCTCCCATGCCCCAACAATCTCTCTGACTTGGCCTCAGGCGCCTCTCCCTGTGCTCTCGGCCCTTGTCTTACTTGAACAACCTGGCAGGGTCCCACCCTTGGCCTCTATGCTAGCTGTTTGTCCTGCCAGGAATGCCCGTCCCCAGACAGCCACAGAACTCCCTCCCTCCCCTCCTCCAGGACTTTGCTCAGGTGCTGTCTCCCCAGGGCACCCAGTTTGAAAGTGCAGATTCCTTTATTCCGGGTCTCTTCTCTGCTTTTTCTCCAGGGCTCTTATCCCATCAGATGCACTATAAGTTTTCATTAGTGATCTTGTTTGTCTGTAAGCTTCATAAAGGAATTTGGGAGTTTTTTTGTTCACTGCTATACCCCAGGGCCTAGAATAGTAACTGGCACACAGCAGATAATAAATATTTGTTAAGTGAAAGGAAGAATACAGATGCCAGGAAAATATATACTTACAGAAAGAAGAAAACAAGCTTTTCTAAGCCACAAGAATAAAGAACTAATTTTGTTCTTAGCAAGGACTGGTGTGTGCTCAGCCTGGGGTGAAAAGTAAGGAGTGAGGCTATAAGAACATCTATTTATTTATCAGATCGGTTCAGGAAGGCTTCCTGAAACTGCTGGGGTTGTAGGACTCACCTTCAGCTGGTTTAGAGCCAGATGCTAACACCCTGATGGCTCCCCCAAACTTGATAACTGCTGACAACAAAGGGAGCCCCGGGGAGCAAAAGTGAACCAAGCTGGAGTTTTCAGACGGAGAAGCACTTGCCGAATCGTATTTCTGCTGCAACTGACCCATGTCTGCAGGAGGCTGCAGCAGCACGTCAGCCAGAGAGGCAAGTTCAAATGCAGCTGCTCAATCATACCTGCTTCCTCCCCTCTCTGGCCCTCAGAAAGCCCACCTTAAATAATTACTTGCCTTCCAAAACTCTCAGCAGACAGCAGAAAGGACCTAGCTTCACAGCCATACAGTGGAATATTTTGCGGCTATTAAAAAAGAACGCGGCAGCTCTTTTTATATTTAATAAGGAAAGATCACTAAGATACATTATTAGGGAACAAAACTCAAGGTGCAGAACAGCATATAGGATACTAGTATCTCTGTAAAAAGAAATAAACATTTTGCTTAAATGTACATATAGCTGGAAAGACGTGAGAAATAATAGTGGTTGCTGGAAGGTGTGGGGGCGGGCAGGAATTCGAGTGGTTAGGAAACAAGGATGGGGGCGATGCTTTTCACTGTAAACTCTTTTCTTTTGAATCTTGTACTAGGTCAATGTATTGTCTATTTGAAAAGAGTAAATCAAGCTACTCTGGAGGCTGAATTGGGAAGATTGCTTGAGGCCAGGAGTTCGAGACCAGCCTGGGCAACATAGGGAGGCCTCCGTCTCTACAAAAACAAAGAAAATTAGTCAGGTGTCGTGATGCATGCCTGTAGTCCTAGCTACCTGGGAGGCTGAGGTGGGAGGATCACTTGAGCGCAGGAGTTCGAGGCTGCAGAGAGCAATGATTGTGCCACTGTACTCCAGCCTGGGTGACAGAGTCACCATCTCTTAAAGAAAGGAAAAGGTGAATTACATTAAAAGCAAATTACATTAGCAATTTTGTGTGTATGTTAAAAGCCACCTGTACAAGTACAGGTGGCCAGAAGCCAGAGTCCTTCAAGTGAAAGAGCCCTGAGGCTTTAGCTGACCTCATGTGTGATAGGTCCCATCTGTGGCTGGGGCTGAGAAAGCCAGTGGGTCCCTAGCCACCATCCAAAGCTAGGCGGGGGGTGAGGGAGGGCCTCCCTGTGCCCAAAGCTGGTCTGGCCACAGCCCCTGCGCTGCAGGGCTCACTCCCAGCTCCCTCTGTGTTCTCGGAGAGCAGTAACCCAGGTGAGGCAGGGCCACCCGCAGAACCATGAGGAGCAGGAAGTGCCAGGATCAGGTATGTTCTCCTGAAAGTAGATGGCGGAGGGGTGTCAGTGGACTGGAAGGCAAGGGAAGGGAAGGATGGCTATCTGCCTTCAAATATTTGAAAGGGTGTGAAGTCAAACAGGGAAGGAGTCCTGTTCAGAGCCCCTTAGAAGATGCCGGGGTCAGGGTGGGGGGTGGTGAGGCCTCTCACCTTCAAAGAGCACCTTCTGCCACTGGAAGGGTCCCAAAGTGACAGCAACCACCCCGCGTCGAGCCCTCACTGCGTGCCAGGCACTCGGCTTGCCTGACGCTTTACTGGCATCACCCCTGAATTTTCCCAGCAATCCCAGGAGGGTGGTACCATTCGTATTCCTTATTTTACGAACGGGAAACGCGAGGCTCTCATTGCTTGAGATCACACAGCTAGTGAACGACTGAGTCGAGATTCAAACCCAGGGCCCTGCTCAGAACTATTATGCCGCACCGTAGGCTGAGGAGACCTACAGCCCTGGGAATTCTAAGACTGTGATGCGATAAAACACAAACATAAACATGAGAAGGCCAAGATAAGGCTGGGAGTTTTAAATTTATTTTTTTTTTTTGCTGAGGTGTCTTGGGTACAAGGAAGACAGGAAAGGTGGATGCTGAGTAGAATTTGTACCTCGGTGTCACCGTCCTCATCCCCGACCCCTCCTAGCCGCCCCCGCCTCAATGTCCCCTTCTTCTCCAAGGCAATCTACTCGCACCATCACACTAGCCCCGGCTGCGGCCCGTGGAGGCCGAGGAGGGGCGCGCACCCAGCACCCAGCACCCGGCCCGAAGGCCGCGGCCCCGATGCTCCCCGGGCTGGCGGCGGGCGGTGCCGCAGCGCCGAAGCCCCTTCCGAGCCCCCTCGGGCCGGGAACGCGGGAGGAGGCGGCGCCCTGCGCCGGGAGGCCCCAGACACCGTGGGCGGGCGGCTGTGCGCGGGGGTTGGGGCGCGGGGAGGCGGGGGCGCCCGGGCCGCGCTTCCCTTCGCGGGTGACTCAGCAGCCGCCTTCCTCAGCGGGGCGGCGGGGGCGCGCGGAGGCTGTGGGCACGCGGCTTCCCCGCGCCGGGGTGCAGGTCCTCGCCGCCGCCCCCGCGAGGAAGTGCGAGGCTGGACGCTGGGAGGGGGCGCGTGGGCCGGGAGATTCCTTCTCGCCTGCCGGCTGCCAGCCGGCCCGCCCACGCCGCCGAGATCCCGACTCCACGTTCCCTCCCCACGTAGGAGTCGGGGCAGCGCACGGAGGCGGAAAGGCTTTCCCCAGGCTGGCCCGGCGAGGGTCGGGGGCGCAGGGACTGAGGGGACACCCCAGGGGGGCCAGCTGCACCCCCGCCCTCCCCTCCTGCTGCTCCCGGGTTTTACGCACTCACGGTCGGAGGGAGCCGGCTGGAGATTTCTGGGGTCTTAGATGTGGAAGTCCGTGCAGAATTTACCTCGTTCTGCCCCAGGGCCCCCGGGTACCTGCCACCTTTTGTTCTTGAAAGGGAGAGATGCCCCTCTGCTGAGCCAGCTGGAGCGTCCTTTCTGTGGCTCTTGCCGTGTAGAAGTCTTTTTTCGTATCTAAGCTCGGTCCCTCCTGCTGCGGTGACCCCCAGACAGCTCTGCTTCGCCAGACTCGGCGACTGGGTAGAGTGGGCAAGAAGGAGGACCAAGAACGTCCCCACTGAGCAGGAGGGGAAATCAAGGCCCAGAGAAGGGGAGGGGCTTCCTTCAAGCTTATAGCTGGGGGTGTGTGAGAGAGGTGCTGACCTCAGTACTCAGGAGTTCCGGCTTCTAGGTCAGAGTCCAGCTGCTTGAAAAGATAATATTCCTCCCTGGTGCTGCCCAGCGCAGTGCCTCTACCTGTCTCTGGAAATCCCTTTGGCCTTCTCTGATGGGTTCTTACCATGCGTTAAGTCGCATCAAGACTGTCGGAGATGCCAGATGATGCCGGTTCGGAAGCATCCAGGGTAAAGACCGGGCTGTGCGCGGGAAACACGGAGGCTAGACCCAAGCAGGAAATTCCCACCCGCTTTGCAGAGTTTTTGTAGCTGCTGTTTTTAAATAATCATTGGTTGATTTGATGCATTGAATGAAAATTGTGGTAGATAGGAATCATTCATCAAGGAAGAAATTGTGGAACTCCCTTGTCTCTCTGCCTGGGATGGGGCGTGCATTCCTGATTGGAGGCAGGTGGTTGGCTGGTTTGACCTGGTGCATCCAAAGCCCTGAGAGGTCATTGGTACCAGGCCCTGGCCACAGCTAGGCCGAGATATCCTGCAGGGAAAATCACACTACAGCTTTGTGTGTGTCTGGCCGCCCCGTACCTGAGCTTCCAGACACTATACCTCCGTAGAGTTCAGTGGCACAGCTCCTGTACCTGTCCCCTTCCACACAGCCTTCTTCCCAGGAGCTCACGCCTCTGGGGCCTGGTCTCCCGCATGCTCCAGACAGAGTGGGTATGGAGGCGTGGTAGATTTGCCCCATTTTACAGAGGGGAAGAACCAGGAGGATCTGGCTAGCCAATGGAGATGAAACACTTCATGCAGAGAAAGGAAAAGGAACTGGGAGTGCTGATGGCGTGACCAGGCCAGGGGTCATTGGGAGATACTGAGATAAAGCTATGCTGATCTTTGCTGTGAAGCCTATGCATCTTTAGTATAGTGTGGGTTGTCCTCCAACTCCCCCAGCCCAAGTCAGTAACACACAGTTGCCCACGCAGTCGTGCCCACTCAGGTCCACAAACGCCTGCGCACCACCTGCTCACCGTCCCGTCACGGTATTGACACTTCCCTGAACACAGCTGATCCTGCCTGGTAAGGGGCCTGGAATCTGGGTGCTGCTGGTTCATGACCCCGGAATCCAGCTCTTTCCTCTCTTTTCCCCCAGAGATACGGCCACAATGCCAGCCTCCTTTCCCTCCTGCCTTCATAGGCCCATTGCCCGTTTCTCACTCCACCTGCTGAGGCCTTGTGTGTGTGTGTGTGTGTGTGTGTGTGTGTGTGTGTGTGTGTGTGATGAAACTCTCACTGCAGAGATTTGTTCTTAATGCAGCTTCCTGGGCTGACAGAGTGGTCAGAGGCTGGGGGCAGAGGGAGTAGAGGGCTCTCCCTGCTCATAGCTAGGATTGGGGTCGGTTCTGTTTATTGCCGGGGGCAGTCTTCTCCTCACCCCTCATCCGTCTCACACCCCAACCAGCCTGAAGAACTGAACCTCTGAGAGCAGCTTTCCGCATGGGCTCAGCTTCAGGACAGTGAGCTGTGCTGTTGGACCCAGGGGTCCTCCCTTCTGCCCAACTCTTCCTCAGCCCTGATACCACAACCCACCTCCACTCAACAATCCATGAGCCTGCCTGGGCCCTACAGACGGAGAGTTTATGTATTCAACCAGTATTTATCATGCACCTTCTAGGTGTTGAGTTTGACTCTCATCTCCCATCCCCTTCAGGCTCGTGCGACACCAACCTCTGCTGCCTGCCAGCTCTTCCTGCCCACATCTTCCTGCCCCATAGCAAACCCCAACAGAGTCATGTGACATTTCACCATCCAAAAAATTATTTTAAGATCCTAGAAAGGAGCAAACAAGCTTATCACACATCATGATGCTCTTTAACTTCTTGCTTTATGTCTTCCACACATGAAGTTCGTTGGAAAAGTATCCCTTCTACAGCCCAAAGACTTACTATTCCATGACCAGTCAGTGGAAGTGCCCTGTGTCCCTCCCCTTTCCTTACCAGAGCCAAACAAGGCAATTCCAATTCTCTGCAAAATTTAGTTGAGCTAAAAATACATTTAGACTGATCTGCCTCCCTCATGAGCCCTTCAGCTCCTTAGCAGCCTCCTTCCCTGGCCTTTAGTTAACCACTGCTACCCCAGTATCCTCCCTTCTTACCAAACCCTTCTCTGGGAGATTGCTCAAATAAACTCTTTCACACTAAAGTATAAAAGACTAATAAGAATAAATGTGTTGATTTGTCCCCCTTCCTAGGAGAATTTGCATTTAAACAAGGAGGATAACCTTGAAGTACCTAAAGTCGTCTCTGACTGTGGAATTATTAACATAGTTGAGATATCCTGGAAGGCACGGGGACCTCCCTGGGGTTATGGGACTAGCTGTAAGTTTGGCCTTGCACACCTGTGAAGCAGCCCTGATGGGCTCTTTTGGTCCATCGTCACATAATGTTGAGAGCAGTGGATGAAGAGTTAAGAGAATCTGAGCTCTAAACCTAGTTCTGACACTAGCTAGTTTGGAAGCAACAGTCACTTCCTCCTCAGGCCTTAGTTTTCTCATTTGCCAAATGAGAATCTTGAACAGGTTACCTTAAAGAATCCTTCTAGCTCTGATATCTGGTTAACTCCCCAATGGGGCTAGGAGACCCTGGCCCAGCTCCTAAAAGCCTCTAGCCCCTGAAGCTGTGGCTTAGAGGGAATGGTCTGATGCCAGCACAGAGCACGGGGCCCTTCTCTGGGCAGGGACTTGGACAGGCTGCCCGCATGACCATAGCAGCCCACCTGCCAGGGAGGAAAGGTGCCGCTCAGCACGCACACCAGTCTTGAAGAGTTACATAACCCTCCCAGATCCCTTATTCCAACCAAAGAGCAACAGCAAAACAGTCTGCCCTCCACCCCCACCCGGGCACACACACACATCAGCAGTCTTTGCCTATGGTGGCCTCACAGTCACAAACACCCTGGGAGAGAATTTTAGAAGGCCACCATCTTTTCTTTTTCATTTGTTTTCATTTTCCTGGAAGATATCTCATGTAAGAAAAGTCTTTAAGAGAAGAAAACCCACAACCACACATCAGGCCTCTTAGTCCCTCCCTGCTGTTCTTTTCAGCTTTCTGACCTCAGAGTTCTGAAAAGTACAGGTCTACCTTCCATCCCTAGGAAGGAGGAACTTGGAGAAATTGATTCAGCCTCATTCTGAAGAAGTGGGAAGCACTTCCTGGGTTCAGATGCCATTTCCCTCACTCTCCACTTTTGTCCTTGACAAGTCAGTGTACCTTCTCCTAGATGAGACTGTAATTTTCCTAATTAGGAAATAGGGGTGATTGTTCTCACCATGGGGCATCGGGTGATAACTCAGATCTCTTTGATATCCTTAAGAGAAGTGCAAATAATCTTAAAATTCAACAGAAGAGGTTTTAGTTGGGCTTAAAGAAGCCTTTGCCAACTAGAAATTTGTGAGACAGCATTACAGATCACAGAGGGATGGTGGATTTGTGCTGCTGGTTGCTTTTCAGGGTATGCTCAACATTCCTGTGTCTGGAATGGCTAAATGAGAATAGAGCACATGTAGAAAGGTGGCCTGGCAGTGTAGAAGAAACCCTGAGCCTGCATTCTAGTCTGTCACTGTCATCTGACAACAGGTGAACCTTTTATCTTTCTTGGGCCCTGGTTTCTTTTTCTTTTTCTTTTTCTTTTTTTTTGGGGTCATGGAGTCTCGCTCTGTGGCCCAGACTGGAGTGCAGTGGCGCAATCTCAGCTCACTGCAACCTCAGCCTCCTAGATTCAAGTGATTCTCCTGCCTCAGCCTCCCGAGTAGCTGGGACTACTATGGACCACCATCCCTGGCTAATTTTGTATTTTTAGTAGAGACAGGGTTTCACCATGTTGGCCAGGCTGGTCTCAAACTCCTGACCTCAGCTGATCTGCCATCTTGGTTTCTTTATCTGTAGAAATACTGCAATGTATTGAGCACTTACTATGTACCCCAAACAGTACTAAATAAATGATATGTAATTTTTACAACTTTACGACAAGTCTTTAAGGTAGATATTTTCCCCATTTTATAAGTGGAAAAACAGAGGCTAAAAGAAAGTAAACAGTGAAGGCGACGTCTCACAGCTGGGGAGGTACCAAGATTTCTCCCCAGGCGTGCTTGCCCAAAGCCCATGTTCTCAACCATCTGGATCTTGAACACTGTGTGATCCAGTGGTTACCTGAAATTCCTTTCAGCCTGAAAGATTTAGCTTTGCCCTTGCCTTACTCCTGATTCCCTTTTTTATTTATTTATTTATTTATTTATTTATTTATTTATTTATTTATTTATATTTTAGGCAGAGTGTCGCTCTGTCACCCAGGCTGGAGTACAGTGGCACGATCTCAGCTCACTGCAAGCTCTGCCTCCTGGGTTCACGCCATTCTCCTGCCTCAGCCTCCCGAGTACCTGGGACTACAGGCGCCCGCCACCATGAGCAGCTAATTTTTTTGCATTTTTTAGTTGAGACGGGTTTTTACCATGTTAGCTAGGATGGTCTCGATCTCCTGACCTTGTGATCTGCCCGCCTCAGCCTCCCAAAGTGCTGGGATGACAGGCGTGAGCCACCACGCCTGGCCCTGATTCCCTTTCTTTTTGTTAATGCCCTCATTGACTGAAATAAAGATGACCACCCCTTTCTTCCATGGAAATAAGCAGCCCTTTGGAGCCTCTGTGGGAACCTGCACTTTGTGCTTTTCCAGAAGCAGAGGAGCAAGTTGCTACAGTGGTCCCAGCCTTGGAAACCCTGCCAGATGGCCTCACCTCTGAGAGTCTGCTGGGTGCAGTGAGAGTGTCCCCAGGGCCTCTTACTAAGAACTCCTTACTAAGCTGCCATTGCCCTGTGCCCAGGGCCACTGAGATATGCTTAGGCTCCAGTGAAAAAAAATGTTCAGGCTTCCCAACAAGGCAGCTTGTCCAAAAATCTTTACATGGGGTGTAAATTCAGCAGTTGAGTCTCTTTCCAGATTGTGAGCCCTGATGTTTGTCCCAGCCCTTCCCTCTTTTTTAATGTTACCCTCCCTTCCATTCCTTCTCCACCCAGCCCCGACCCCAGCTGCCTTTTCTCGTAAGTGACCTTTGAAACTCGGGCTGCGCAGAGATTTGCTGAATCAGCAGGACCAACTGTTGTTTCCTTTGCTTGGTTTTGGGCCAGCAGGAAAATGTGCCAGGATGCCTTTGTGAGGCCCTATGGCATTCACTGCATTGGTCTGGGGAGAGATTGGGAGTGAGGAAAGAGGGAGCTGGAGGCTGGTAAGGAGGAGTGAGACAATCAGGGTTTCCCAGAGACCATGGGATGACTTGGTTCTCTTAAATGCATTATTTTTGGATGAAAAGAAAGGAAGAGCAGTGGCCTAGGCCTTCAGGAAGGCAAAGGGCAGCAAATCTTTGCAAGTGGTCACACTATGCCAGCTTCTAGCTATGAATAAAAAGACGCACACTCCCTTCTCCCAGTGAGCCTTCATCCTGGCCCCATTTCTTAGACTAGAAACTCTCTCCCTGCTGGGGATAGGGGAAGAACAAGAGGATAGGCAGATTGATGAGCATGGGCCATACGATGCCACCTCAGCAACCAGGCCTTCTGGGCACAAGGTAGACAAAGTCCCTGTGTGTTGAGACTGTCCTCACCTAGTGATAGGGTTTGGCCTCATGGGTAGGGACTTAGGATGAGCAGAGGGCTGTATCATCAGAGGCTGGAATGAAATGGACATGCAAAACAGGTATCTCCATAGATTGAATTTTCTGCTTTCTGTTCCCTTTCCAGCTATCCTTGCCTCTTACAATTCTGACATAAACCTTTGACTTCAGTGAAGAAAACCTGCTCTTTGGCTGTTAACATAATTTGTATACTCACCCTTTTTACCTTGTGCTGTTCTGATAGAGGATTGCTTTAGGCAGCTGCAATATACTTACACTTGTTTAGGCATTTCTAGATATGTGTCTCTTTTATTTTGAGCAAGGACCATTTGCTTCTTTCCAATCTTTCCACAGCACTGAGTGCAGGGTTTTGAATAGACTGGACACTTGATACATATAGTTGACTGACAGACCTTCACACTTTCTTTCTTAATAGTTTCCAGGATGGGCCAGTCATGAGCTATCACCTTCAAGCATGCAACTCTGACTCAATAGGAGCAGAGATCCCAGTTCCCATCAGCATCTTAGACAAATCAGGATAAAAAGCACATCCAGAACTCTTCTAGCTATCCCCAGCCTCCAGCCAGAATGAGAAGAGGGAGCTCAAAAGATACTCAAGATTGATTTTGTGTTTAAAGGATAAGGGTAGAGAAGAAAGAGATTTCCCTGTGTAGCTTATGTGGAAGAAGGATAGAAGGAAGAGAAGATGGGAGAGATAAAGTGTTTGGGGGAGAGGTAGAAGGGGAGAAGAGAATGAAGGAAAAAGGGTAGTGAGGCAGAGGAGGGATGTGAAAGGAAGAAGCAATGTAACAGAGAGAAGACAGGAGCTGTGGAGCCCTTCAGACTTCATAGTCATATTGAGGTTGGGATTTGGAGTAGGAGATGAATTTGAATGGGGATGCAAGAATTTATCCTCCAGCAATCATCTGCCTGTGGCCTTGGAGACATGGACAAGCCCTGTCATCCATGGACACTAAACGCATGACTGGTGGTTGGGCAAATGTGCTTAGAAGCCACTGAAGCCAGCCACTTCAGATAAGTTCATGTGCTTCCATGGCAAGAGGATTTGTCAGGTCAAGTTGAGGTTCTGGCACCAGCCAGGAAAGGGATAGTAATAAATTCTGTAGATGCCGTGAGCCTTGATTGAAAAAATAAGGAGGAGGAAGCTATGTTTGCTGCTTTCATTAAGAGGCAAAAGCAGTGGGGGTCAGAGCTTAGCAAGAATCAAGAAGCATGCAGAGAAATAATTTTAACCCTTCAAATGTTTTTCTTCCATAATATCTCTGCATTCACTCACCCACATATTGCTGCTTTCTTGGACTGACCTCCAAGACCACCACCTTTGTGTCTCCCTCAGCTGAAGGAGGGAGAGAGGCCAGATTATGTATTAATGCAGATAAGATGGCAATTAAATGATTCATTATTTTCCAGTCCCAGTTATCTAGGGCTTCTGCCTCTCCTGGAATTGGGTAGGAAGAGGAGTTCTGGGGATAAAAGTCAAACTGTGTGAGGACATAATGCATCTACCAGAGTGCCTGGCCTCTGGAAACCCTCACCCACTCTTCAGCCACCTCAGTGGGGTCGCGTTCTTGCTGAAAGGAGGCCAGAGGAAGAATGAGGGAGGATTCACAGGAAACCCATGATTGGAAGACCCACTGTGCCATCTCTTCCTCCCGCTTCAGCACTCCCAGTAGAGAACCAGTTCTGCGGGGAGCTCCCCAGGAGCAATACCAGGGAGGGGGCTGCTGGCTCTGCTCTCCTCCTCCTCACCTCTCCCTCTCCATGGAGATCTCTGTCTGCCTGCTGGCTCCATCTTGTCCTGCATCATAGACAACTATGGGCAGAGGAGAACAAACATACAAAACGGGCCACGGGCAGAGAGCAGGGTAGGACGAAACATGTCATTAGCAATGGTGATTCCGTCCTGAGCTCTGTGGGGAAATTGGTGTTGAAGTTGGGCCACTGTGGGGAAAGAAATGAGTGGTCCAGAAGATATTCAACCAGCCAAGATTACCATGTTTTCACATCCAAGGAAGGAGAGCTGCAGGGATGAGGGGAGGCAGGCACATCTATGGTCTCTATGTTTCTGAGTGTGCAGGATTGGGGAGCAGGAGAAAAAGCTGGAGAATCTGGAGAAAGTAAGGCATTACTGTTAAGTGCCTGGGGCAACTTTCTAAGTGAAAGATTCCAATAACTTCCACTCTGCTCCACCATGCTAATTATTTTTTATTTTTGTTCTGCTCCTTTGGGAAGCAAAAGCAGGACAGGTGAGAAGGAAAGGTGAGGATATTATAACTCCTCTCCAGAATTGACATGTGGAGCTGGACAGGAGCCCAGATGATTCCTAAATCCCAGGATTCCGAGCAGGACCAACTGAGTGAAAGGGTTTGGGTTCCGTAGGCCACTCTGAAGGCTATGGCTATGTCTTTGTCTAAGAAAAATAATCTTTCCTCAACTCTTCTTGGCCACACAGTGCCCTGAAGAGATGCAAAGAAAGTGGAGTTGCAGTGGGAGAGACAGGAGACACCAAAAGTCATGAGGAGAGAAATCATAATGACCAGGTAGCTGTGGCTGCCCTCAGGGAAGGGGACTGGAAAAATTCATCCCCTCATGTGGGGGAAAAGACCACTTAGTATCTTGGAACAATGTTGCCTTTTGCTGAGCCTTGGGCATTGAGGGAAAACTGACTTTCTGCTTTTTATGCCAGATAAGGAAAAAATAAAAATAAAAATGTGAAACTGAGGGAAGTACAAAGGGGTTTTGAGGGAGTTGGGGTAGAAAACTGTATCTTCTTGGGACTTGAATCAAATGTTTTAAGTCTGCCAAGCCAGATCATGTTAGACCTTCACCTCTTAGATCCTGTGGTTTTGATCAACGTGCTCTGTGAGCTACCCTGCCCTAACCCAACTTCTCTAACTCTACCACAGATGGTAAAAGAAAATGAGTTTTGAAGGAATACAGCAAATATTCACAAGTATCTCCCAGACTTAATGCACCTGGATGAAGATGAGATTCTCAGCTCTACTTCCCCCTCCCCATTCCCTTATGCATCACCATTGTCAAGGTCAGGTGCTGACCAGGGACAATTTCCCTTGAACTGTTCTTTGTTTAGTTCTCCATCACTTGCCTAATCAGAGAAAAGAAGCAGACATGGCCACAGCCTTTCCAGTACAGAGGAGAGAACATCCCAGACACTTTCATATCTTCTTCCCATATTCCTAGTTCATGGACCTCCTGAGTGAAGAAAGAGCTTGAAGTTCTAGGAACTGAGAGGTTAACATTTCTCTCAGGACCCAAGGCAAGATTTCAGTGATCACCAGATAACCGGGAAAAAAGGGTTTGCAGTTGCTGGCCTTAACAGGGAGATTTAAACAGGCATGGCATCTGAATACCAACTCCATCTGCCAACTGTCCCCCATGTCATTGCTCCCTTTCAACAACGGCCAAACACCCTGTATGAAAAACCCTCCTTGAGTTGGAGGAAAAAGCTGTAACCAGACTGAGTCCTCAAGCCATGCCTGAGTCCTCCATTGGTTTGATGGGATGTTCCCTTGCACCTCTTCGGCTCTGCGGGAATTCAGAGGAAGGGTGTCCAATCAGGTCAGAGAAGAGAAAGCTTCCCTAAATGAGCCACTCCTAGCTGTGGCTCCCACTTCACCAGCTAAAGAGCCACATTTTCTCTTCCTCTGCCTCCAGCTCCCTTGGTTTCCCACATCACTCCTGCTTTTCAGGTTTGTCCCCGGCCTCCTGGATTCCCCTCTACCCCAGTCCTACTCTTCCTGGGCCCCAGCCTTTTTAAAGCTCTTCACATGCCTCTTTCCAAGCCTTCAGCTTTTCTCACATCTCAGTCTCCATGCAAATACTTTTACTACCCAAACTTCCTTCCAAATTTTTTCTCACTTAAAAAGATTCCTTCAATGGTTCTCTTTTCTACAGTTTAATCTTCACTCGAACTTCAACCCAGCCTAACCCCGTTTAAATGCTGTCAGTTCCCAGTATCACCAATCGCTTAACACCCACCTCCTTCCTCCTTTGCTCCTACTAATGGTCTGGTTACTCCTTTTTGCTCCAGCATTCCCCAAAACCTTCTCAAGCAGGGATATCGTTCCCTCATTTACCCAAAATCTCCTTTGCACACTTCTGGCGCCTTCAGGCCACATCACTCCGGTCCTTTAGACTCCTACGCACCCAACGTCCCCGTCTCTCCCTCACACCCACTTGCTTCCCTTGCTCCCACCACAACAGTGCCCATCTCCTCTCCCCGCTCACTCAGGTCTCCTGCTCAGGACGCCCTTGCCGAGGGCGGAGGGGGATTTGTGCTGAAGGAGGGCTCCGGCAGCAGCGCAGCAACTCGGGGGACGCTCCTTCTCCTTGTCAGTCACGGCCCCTTGTGTCCCCAGATGCTTGTGGGGCGACTGGGGTGTGTGAGCCCTGCTGCCAGGGCCCCGCTGGGGCTGCTCCAGGAGCTGTCCGTGGTGCTGACGCGGCGGCCGATCGGGCGCGGGATGCGGCGCGGCTGCTGAGCGCTGTCCCTGGTCCTGGAGAGGTTCCTGGGCCCTGGCGGCGGCGGCAGGAGCGGTGGCCGGAGCGGCCGGCAGCGGGGCCGATGACGGGGGGACGAGCCCGGGCGGAGGCTGGGCTTGCAGCAGCTGCTGGTGCTCCCACAGGCTGCGGTTCTCAGCGCTCAGCTCGTCCAGCCGCCGCTCCAGCTCGTCGATACGCTCTCGCTGGGTGTGGATGAGGCTCTGCTGGTTCTGCACGATGGCCGTGAGCTCCTTGAGGTAGAGCACGGCGCGCACCGGATTCTCCAGCAGGCTCTCCATGCCGCCCGCCGCCGCCTGCGCCCTGCCTGCGCCTGGGCTGGCGGCGGGGAGCGCGAGGGCGCGGGAGCCCAGCAGCCCAGCGGTCGGCTCGCCTCCCTCTCCCACCGGCCCAGCCTCCCTCCCCCCGCCGGCGCCGCGTCACTGCCACCCCGACCTTCACACACGCATCGCGGGGCGGGGCGGCTGCGCAAGGCCCCACCCCCACCCCACCCCCTACCTCCAGACCTCCCCAACTCCTCGCCTCCCCACCTCGCTGCCTCTTGGCGTCAGCGAAGGCTCTGCTGCCTGCAGGGCAGAGAGGAGAGGGAGGAGGCCAGCGAGAGGGAGCCTCTGTCGGGGCGTGGGAGGAAAGCAAGATAACGCAGGCGACCCGAGAAGGACGGTGAATCTGACTGGCCAGACTGGGAAGTAGGCGAAGGGGAAGCAGCGATACTGGGAAGGTGCGGTGGGACCTGTAGGAGAAGAGAAACAGAAAAGAAAGGAAGAGAAGGGGAGAGGCCAGCAGAGAGGAAGCAGAAAAAGGGAAGGTGGGGCCAAGAAAGAGAAATGTGCTGGAGGACAGGAAGGCGTGGGGCCCTGAAGGGACGCGAATTCTTTTTTCCCAGGTCCAGGCCTTCCAGAGGCTGGGGTTCATCTAGAGACCTGCTGAGGAGGGGCCACACTCGCCTCTTTTGCTCGCAGCAATCTATTCTGCCAGGGGATTCCCTGGAACACAAGAATCCTGGGGCTCTAAGGGACCCTAAAGAGCGTCTGGTCCTGCTCCTTCCTTCATCCGTGACGAAACTTGGGATGGGAAGGCTGTTCATGCTGGGTTTCCTCTGGGAGTGAGACCTCAAGACAACTGTGGCAGTTCCTGATAGAAACACTAAATAAACGAGGTCCTCTGTGGCAAGGGCTAACGCTTCCAGAAGCTTCTGAATAGATCATTCTATTTGACAAACAGTTATAAAATGCACACTATTACCAAACACTGTGCTAGATGGTGGTAAGAGAAGCATGACTAGAATGGAATGTTAGGCTTTTTGAAGCTTATAAATAAGTGGGTGAAATTGGTCATGATTAACTTTGACGTATGATAGTGGTGGTGAGTAATCAGGCAGAGGTTTGCCCAGAGTGCTATAGGAGCCAGCAGCTTGGAGATCCAGGGAGGCTTCTTACAGGAAGTGACCCTTGGTGTGGGAAGGGTTTTCCATAAAGGGAAGACAGCATGAGCAAAAGCTCAGAGACATTAATCAGCACCGATTGAATCATTCATTCATGTCTACAATAATCACCACTCACTAGGTGCAAAGTAATGTACAGAATCTATGCAAGCCACATCTAGCATAGATAATAAGTTATCATTTCTATAATCAAGTTGATTCCAATCTCATAGAGTAGATATGCCATGCACATGAATAAGTAAAACACAACTCAAGATTTCTGTAAGAGCTCTTCAAGCCAAGTGCCATAGAGTTCAGGGGAGGGAGAGGATTCATTTGACTGTGTTGATCTGATAAGTTCTGACAGAGGTGTTACTCAAGTTGGGCCACGAAGAATGGGAAATATTTCAACAGGTAGACAGAACAGGGGGCCAGATATGAGAAAGATACATCAGGCAGCAGGGAAAAAACTAATGAATGGAAATAGAGCACTTGGTTTAAATTAATTTGGCAGGGAAATATCCCTTTCCTTTTCTTTTCCTTTACTTTTTTTTTTTTTTAAAGTCTTGTCTGTCACCGAGGCTGGAGTGCAGTGGCAGGATCATAGCTTACTCCATCCTTGACCTCCTGGGATCAAGGAATCCTCTAGCCTCAGCTTCCTGAGTAGGTGGGACTACAGATGCATACCACCATGCCCCGTGAAGGAAATGAGTTGTTCTTTCCTCTTTTATAGGAATGGGATGGGAAGGAGGAAGGGCTATGAGTACGCTTCGCATGTTTGTTATTGTGTTGTTCCGTTCTTCACACACATGTCCATCAGGCTCCCTGTCAACCTTCCATTCCCCCAGGGTAGGCATATTTATGGGTACCATGTGCCCAGTGAGCTGGCCCACCCCCCACCACCACGTGGTGCCAGACTTGAATGACCTTATGAGAAGGAACTTGTGCTCTGCACATATATTGGTTTATCTGCATTCCTGATGTGTTTTTATTTTGCTTTTCTCCCATTTATCTTCCTAGCAAACTTTCTTTGGTAAAGAATGAATAAAGGAAGCTTATCCACAGCTGAGCTCACGGTTAGGGGAAACAGCACACAGGAGGATGCTTTGGTAGTGACCAGCATTCCAGCTAAAGAATGGAGGTTGGGGGATGAAACAAGGGCACACAAAAACTCAAACTCTTTTTTCTGAATTTTCTTTGTTTGCCTAGTTGATTTGCTGTCCAAGAATTGGGTGCTTGGACAGCAAATTAGAGACGAATACGATAAGTGAAACAGCCTGCAGCATAATTATCCATGCGGATTGTTGAAAATGCAGATTTCTGAGCCCTATATTGTAGCAGGACAAGCCGCAGACAAAATTCCTCAGACACCGAGTTAAAGAAGGAAGGGGTTTATTTGGCTGGGGGCATCGGCAAGACTCCTGTCTCAAGAGCTGAGCTCCCCGAGTGAGCAATTTCTGTCCTTTTTAAGGGTTCACAACTCTAAGGGGGTGCGCGTGAGAGGGTCGTGGTCGATTAAGCAAGCAGGGGGTACGTGACTGGGGGCTGCATGCACCGGTAATTAGATCGGAACACAACAGGATAGGGATTTTTCACAGTGCTTTTCTATACAATGTCTGTAATCTATAGATAACATAACCGATTAGGTCAGGGGTCGATCTTTAACTACCAGGCCCAGGGTGTGGCGCCGGGCTGTCTGCTTGTGGATTTCATTTCTGCCTTTTAGTTTTTAGTTTTTCTTTCTTTGGAGGCAGAAAATGGGCATAAGGCAATATGAGGGGTGGTCTCCTCCCATAATACCAGTCCTGCTGTATTGGAATCACTAGGAATGGGGACCAAGAATTTTTATTTTAAAAACTTTTTTCATTAAAAAAATCAACTTTGTTGACTTATAATTTATATCCAATGATATGCTCCCATTTTATGTGCACAGTTCAATGAATTTTGACAAATGTTCATGCCCTATTTTAGTCAGTTCCTCTCATCCTCAGCTCCAGTTAACCACTGACTTGCTGTCTGCCAGTATATGTTAGTTTTGTCTGTTGTGGAATTTCACATAAAAATCATACAGTATACACTACTTCGTGTCTTTCTTTTTAAATTTTTTATTATTTTAAAAATTACTATGATGATTTTTGTTTTAATAGTTTCTGGGGAACATGTGGTGTTTGGTTACATAGATAAGTTCTTTTGTGGTGATTTCTGAGATTTTGGAGCACCCATCACCTGAGCAGTGTACACCGTACCTAATGTGTAGTCTTTTATCTCTTACCCCACTCCCACCCTTCTCCCAAGTCCCCAGAGTCCATTGCATCATCCTTAAGCCTTTGAGTCCTCATAGCTTAGTTCCCACTTACACATGAGAACATATGATATTTGGTTTTCCATTCCTGAGTTACTTCACTTGGAATAATGATCTCCAACTCCATCCAGGTTGCTGCCAATGCCATTATTTCATTCCTTTTTAAATCCACTCATTGATTGATGGGCATTTGGGCTGGTTTCATATTTTTGCAATTGTGAATTGTGCTGCTATAAACATATGTGTGCAAGTGTCTTTTTTTCATATAATGCTTTCTTTTCCTCTGGATAAATACCCAGTAGTGGGATTGCTGGATCAAATGGTAGATCTACGTTTAGTTCTTTAAGGAATCTCCATACTGTTTTCCATAGTGGTCGTACTAGTTTACATTCCCACCAGCAGTGTAAAAGTGTTTCCTTTTCACCAAATTCATGCCAATATCTATTATTTTTTGATTTTTAAATTATGGCCATTCTTGCAGGAGTTAGGTGGTATCACATTGTGTGGTGTTTTTTGTTGTTGTTGTTTGTTTTGTTTGTTTGTTTTTGAGATAAAGTCTTGTTCTGTCACCCAGGCTGGAGTGCAGTGGCTCGACCTCAGCTCACTGCAACCTCCACCTCCTGGGTTCAAGTGATTCATCTGCCTCAGCCTTTGGAGTTCAAGTGATTCTCCTGCCTCAGCCTCCCAAGTACCAAGTAGCTGGGACTACAGGAGTGTACAACCATGCCCGGCAATTTTTGTGTTTTTAGTAGAGATGTGGGTTTCACCCTGTTGGTCTTGAACTCCTGACCTCAGGTGATCCACCTGCCGCAGCCTCCCAAAGTGCTGGGATTACAGGTGTGAGCCACGATGTCTGGCCAGCACTGTGGTTTTGATTTGCATTTCCCTTATCACTAGTGATGTTGAGCATTTTTTTCATATGTTTGTTGGCCATTTGTATATATTCTTTTGAGAATTGTTATTTATGTCCTTAGCCCACTTTTTGATGGGATTATTTGTTTTTTTCTTGCTGATTTGTTTGAGTTCCTTGTAGATTCTGGATATTAGACCTGTGTTGGATGCATAGTTTGTGAAAATTTCCCCCACTCTGTGGGTTGTCTGTTTACTCTGCTGATTATTTCTTTTGCTGTGCAGAAGCTTTCTAGTTTAATTAAGTCCTTCTATTTATCTTTGTTGCATTTGCTTTCAGGTTGTTGGTCATGAACTCTTTGCCTAAGCCAATGTCTAGAAGAGTTTTTCCAATGTTATCTTTTAGAATTTTTATGATTTCAGGTCTTAGATTTAAGTATTTGATTCATCTTGAATTGATTTTTGTATAAGGTGAGAGATGAGGGTGCAGATTTATTCTTCTACATGTGGCTAGCCAATTATCCCAGCACCACTTGTTGAATAGTGTGTCCTTTCCCTATTTTATGTTCTCATTTGCTTTGTCAAAGATCAGTTGGGTGTAAGTATTTGGCTTTATTTCTGGGATTGCTAGTCTCTTCCATTGGTCTGTGTGCCTATTTTTATACCAGTACCATGCTGTTTTGGTGATGATAGCCTGGTAGTATAGTTTGAAGTCAGGTAATGTGATGCCTCCAGATTTGATCTTTTTCTTTAGTCTTGGTTTGGCTATGTGGGCTCTTTTGTTCCATATGAATTTAAGGTTTTTTTTTTTTCTAGTTCTGTGAAGAACGATAATGGTATTTTGATGAGAATTGCATTGAATTTATAGATTGCTTTTGGCAGTATGGTCATTTTCACAATATTGATTCTATTCATTCATGAGTATGGGGTATGTTTCCATTTGTTTGTGTCATCTATGATTTCTTTCAGCAATGTTTTGTAGTTTTCCTTGCAGAGATCTTTCACCTCCTTGGTTAGGTATATTCCTAAGTATTTTATTTTATTTTTTGCAGTTATTGTAAAAGGGGTTGAGTTATTGCTTTGTTTCTCAGCTTGGTTGCTGTTGGAGTCTAGCAGTGTTACTGATTTGTGTACATTGATTTTGTATCCTGAAACTTTACTGAATTCATTTATCAGATCTCGGAGCTTTTTGGGTGAGTGCTTAGGGTGTTCTAGGTATACAATCATATCATCAGCAAATAGCAACAGTTTGACTTCCTCATTACCAATTTGGATGTCATTTATTTCTTTCTCTTGTCTGATTGCTCTGGCTAGGACTTCCAGTACTATGTTGAATAGAAGTGGTGAAAGTGGGCATCCTTACATTGTTCCAGTGCTCAGGGGGAATGCTTTCAGCTTTTTCCCCTTCAATATAATGTTGGCTGTGGGTTTGTCACAGATGGCTTTTATTACCTTAAGGTATGTTTTTTTCTATGTAGATTTTGTTGAGGGTTTTAATCATAAAGGGATGCTGGATTTTGTCAAATGCTTTTTCTGTGTCTATTGAGATGACAATGTGATTTTTTTAACAAAAATTCTGTTTATGTGGTGTATCACATTTATTGACTTGTGGATGTTAAACCATCCCTGTATCCCTGGTGTGAAACCCACTTGATCATGGGGGATTATCTTTTTGCTATGCTGTTGGATTTGGTTAGGTAGTATTTTGTTGAGGATTTTTATATCTATATTCATCAGGGACATTGGTCTGTAGTTTTCTTTTTTTGTTATGTCCTTCCCTAGTTTTGATATTAGGGTGATACTGGCTTTATGGAATTATTTAAGGAGGATTCCCTCTTTCTCTGTCTTTTGGAATAATTTCAGTAGAATTGTTGAGAATTCTTCTTTGAATGTCTGATAGAATTCAGTTGTGAATCCTTCTGGTCCTGGACTTTTTTTTTTGTTTGGCAATTTTTAAATTACCATTTGAATCTCACTGCTTGTTATTGGTCTGTTCAGAGTTTCTATTTCTTCCTGGTTTAATCTAGGAAGGTTGCTTATTTCAGGAATTTATCTGTCTCCTCTAGATTTTCTAGTTTAGCTTGTAAAGGTGTTCATAGTAGCATTGAATGATTCTTTGTATTTCTATTTTATCGGTTGTAGTATCTCCTGTTTCATTTCTAATTGAGCTTATTAGGACTTTCTCCTTCTTTTCTTGGTTAACCTCACTAATGATCTATCAATTTTGTTTATCTTTTCAAAGAGCCAGCTTTTTCCTTAGCTTTTTTTATTTTTTTGTTTCAATTTCATTTAGTTCTCCTCAGATCGTTGCTATTTCTTTTCTTCTGCTAGGGTTTGGTTTGGTTTGTTCTTGTTGCTGTAGTTCCTTGAGGTGTGACCTTAGATTGTGTATTTGTGCTCTTTCAGACTTTTTTAAGGTAGGACTGTAATGTTATGAAATTTCCTCTTTTTTTTTTAAATTTTTACTTTTTGGAGATGGAATTTCGCTCTTGTTGTCCAGGCTGGAGTGCAATGGCAAGATCTTGGCTCACCGCAACCTCCTTCTCCCAGGTTCAAGCAATTATTCTGCCTTAGCCTCCCAAGTAGCTGGGACTACAGGCATGCACCACCACACCCAGCTAATTTTGTATTTTTAGTAGAGACGGGGTTTCTCCATGTTAGTCAGGCTAGTCTCGAACTCCCAACCTGAGGTGATCTGCCCGCCTTGGCTGAAGTTTTCTCTTAGCACTGTTTTTGCTGTATCCCAGAGGTTTTGATAGGTTGTGTCACTATTATCATTCAGTTTAAGGAATTTTTAAATTTCCATCTTGATTTCATTGTTGACTCAAACTTTGTTCAGGAACAGATTATTTAATTTCCATGCATTTGCTTGGTTTTGAGAGTTCCTTTGGAGTTCATTTCCAATTTTATTTCACTGTGGTCTGAAAGAGTACTTGATATAATTTTGATTTTCTTAAATTTATTGCAACTTGTTTTGTGGCCTATGTATGATCTGTCTTGGAGAATGTTCCATGTGCTAATGGATGTTTTTAGGGTATAGTTTAAGTCCACTGTTTCTTTGTTGGCTTTCTGTCTTGATGACTTGTCTAGTGCTGTCAGTGGAGTATTGAAGTCCCCCACTATCATTGTGTTGCCTTCTATCTCATTTCTTTGGGCTAGTAGTAATTGTTTTATAAATTTTGAAGCTCCAGTGTTAGGTGCATATATATTTAGGACTGTAATATTTTCCTGTTAGACTAGTCCTTTTATCATTATATAATGCCCTTCATTGTCTTTTTTAACTGTTGTTACATTAAAATCTCTTTTGTCTGATATAAGAATAGCTACTCCTGATCACTTTTGGTGTCCATTTGCATGGAATATCTTTTTCCACCCCTTTACCTTAAGTTTATGTGAGTCCTTATGTGTTAGGTGAGTCTCTTGAAGACAGCAGATACTTGGTTGGTGAATTATTATCCATTCTGCCATTCTGTATCTTTTAAGAGGAGCATTTCAGCCATTTACATTCAATGTTAGTATTGAGATTTGAGGTACTATTCTGCTCATTGTGCTGGTTGTTGCCTGAATACCTTGTTTTTTCATTGTGTTATTGTATGGTCCCCATGAGATTTATGCTTTAAGGAGGTTCTATTTTTGTGTATTTCAAGGTTTTGTTTCAAGATTTATAACTACTTTTAGCAGTTCTTGTAGTGCTGGCTTGTTGGTAGTGAATTCTCTCAGTATTTGTCTGAAAAAGACTTTATCTTTCCTTCATTTATGATGCTTAGTTTCACTGGATACAAAATTCTTGCTGGATAATTATTTTGTTTAAGGAGGCTAAAGATAGGATCTCCGTCCCTCCTGGCTTGCAGAGTTTCTGCTAGGAAGTCTGCTGTTAATTTAACAGGCTTTCCTTTATTGGTTACCTGATACTTTTGCCTCACATCTCTTAAGATCCCTTTTTTCTTTTCAACTTTAGATAACCTGATGACTATGTGGCTAAGTGATGATCTTTTGGTGATGAACTTCCCAGGTGTTCTTCGAGCTTCTTGTATTTAGACGTCTAGATCTCTAGCAAGGCCAGGGAAGTTTTCTTCAATTATTCCCTCAAATAAGTTTTTCAAACTTTCAGATTTCTCTTCTTCTTCAGGAATACCAATTACTCTTATGTTTGGTCATTTAACATAATATCAAACTTCCTGGAGGCTTTGTTCATTTTTAAAATGCTCTTTTCTTTGTCTTTGTCAGGTTGGATTAATTCAAAAGCCTTGTCTTTGAGCTCTGAAGTTCTTTCTTCTACCTGTTTGATTCTATTGTTGAAACTTTCCAGTGTGTTTTGCATTTCTCTAAGTGCGTCATTAGTTTCCAGAAGTTGTGATTGCTTTTTAATTATGAGATCTATTTATTTGGAGATTTTTTTCATCCACATCCTGTATTATTTTTTAAGTTTCTTTAAGTTGATTTTCACCTTTCTCTGATACCTCCTTGAGTAGCTTAATAATTGACCTTCTGAATTCTCTTTCTGACAATTCAGAGATTTCTTCTTGGTTTGGATCCATGTTTGCTGGTGAGCTAGTGTGACCTTTTGGGGTGTTATAGAACGTTGTTTTATTATACTACCAGAATTGTTTTTCTGGTTCTTTCTCATTTGGGTAGACTATGTCAGAGGAAAGATTTGGGGTGCAAGGGCTGCTGTTCAGATTTGTCCCACTGGCGATCCTTTGATGTGGTGCTCTCCCCTTTCCTCTAGAGATGCGGCTTTCTGAAAGCTGGACTGCAGCGATTGTTATTGCTTTTCTCGGTCTAGCCACCCAGCGGGGCTACCAGGCTCTGGGCTGTTACTGGGGAGTGTCTGCAAAGAGTCCTGTGATGTGATTCATCTTCAGGTCTCTCAGCTGTGGATACCAGCACCCGCTCAGCTGGAGGTAGCAGGGGAGTGAAGTGGACTCTGTCAGAGTCCTTGGTTGTAGTTTTGTTTAGTGTGCTGTTTTTCTCGAATGCTGGTTATACTAGCAATGAAGTTGCTACATGGACAGACTCAGGGCCTCTGGGGACCCAAGATGTTACAGGCAGTGGAATTGGCTGTTGTTTTCTCCTTTTTTGGAGCAGTGCTGTTCTGTTATGAGTTGCTGTAATGGCTTGAGTTGGTTGGCCTCCCACTAGGAGGTGGTGCTTTCAAGAGAGCATTAGCTGTGGTAGTATAGGGGTGGATACAAGCTTGCTCTAAGGTCACCTGGGTAAGTATTTGGGTTTCTCAGGTGATGGGCAGGGCCATAGAGCTCCCATGAGTTCGTCTTTTGTCTTCAGCTACCAGGGCTGGTAAAGAAACACCATTAGGTTGGGGCAGTGTTAGGCATGTCTGAGCTCAGACTCTCCTAGGGCTGGGCTTGCTGTGGCCACTGTGGGGGATGGGGGGTTGTTCTCAGGTCAGTGGAGTTATGCTCCAAGAGGGATTATGGCTGCCTCTGATGCTTCATACAAGTCCCAGGGAAGTGGGGGAAAGCCGGCAGCAACAGGTCTCACCCAGCTCCCGTGTAGCCAGCAAGGCCAGTGCTCCTGTCATGCTCTCCCGACAGAGCTGAATTTATATCCAGGCCTCAGGTTTGCAAGGCTGAGATATTGCCCCAGGCTACAAGCCTCTCTGCTGAGAAAGCAAGCAGGGCTTTCAGGTCTCACCCCTCTCTGCTTGCCTTGGCTTCTGTGCTCATATCTGCACTTCCCGTTTTTGCCCTACCCCACAATGCTGTCCAGGAAAATTCATGCTCAGTCGAAATTATTACAAAGTTCTGCTGGAAGTCTCCTCCTTGTGACCCTTCCCCAGTCCCACTCTCTGCCCTCCCTGAGGACCCCTGTGAGAGAAAGTCAGAAATGGCTTCCCTGGGCTTCCCTGGGGGCTGGGAGTACTTACAGAGCTCTTCTCACCGCTGCTTCTACTTTTATATTTCACTCGGCTCTCTAAATTTATTTCACCTCTACGTAAGGTTAAATCCTTCTCCTGTGATCTGGATTTTCAGTTTCCCCAGTAAGGATGTGTATTTGGAGGCAGACCTTCCCCCTCTCACACTTTAGGCACTCACAGTTTTTTGGCTGTCTCATGAAGTTTGCAGCGGCGAGCTGCTTCTTTCAAAGGGTCTGTGAATTCCTTTGGGTTTCCTGGTATGTTTTGCGGTAGTTCTTGGAGCAAAAGTTCATAATGTGAGTCTTCACACACTGTTCTGTCTCCATCTGAGTGGGAGCTGCAAGTTAGACCTGCCTCCTATTTGCCATTTTTTTCTGAGTCCCCTTTTTTAGTTTTTTGAGACAGGGTCTCACTCCATCACCCAGGCTGGAGTGAAGTGGTATGATCACAGCTCACTGCAGCCTCAACCTCACAGGCTCAGGTGATCCTCTCACCTCAGCCTCCCTAGTAGCTGGGACTACAGGTGCATGTCACTACATCCAGCTAATTTTTGTATTTTTTGTAGAGACAAAGTTTTCCCATGTTGTGCATGCTGGTCTAAAACTCCTGGGATCAAGCAATCTGCCTTCCTCAGCCTCCCAAAATGATGGGATTACAGGTGTGAGTCACCATGCCTGGCCATGTTTTTCTTTTTTGCTCAGCATAATACTTTTGAGGTTCCTCCATTCTGTTATAGGTATCATTCATTTGTTCCTTTTATTTTAGAGTTGTACTCACAGTAGATGTACCATAATTCATGTCATCAACTGTTGATGGACATTTTGGTTGTTTCCGGATTCTGGTTATTTTGAATAAAGCTGCTGTGATTATTAATGGACAAGTTTTTGTGGGGACATATATTTTAATATGTTTCATGTGTTTTATTAAGAGTAAAAACATAGAATTGAAATTGCTAGATCATATAAAAGTATGTATTGGCTGGGCGCAGTGGCTTATACCTGTAATCCCAGCCTGGATCATGAGGTCAGGAGATCAAGACCATCCTGGCTAACACGGTGAAACCCTGTCTCTACTAAAAATACAAAGAAATTCGCCAGTCATGGTGACGGGCACCTGTAGTCCCAGCTACTCGGGAGGCTGGGGCAGGAGAATGGTGTGAACCCGGGAGGTGGAGCTTGCAGATAGAGTGGGTGAGTTGCTTGAAGTGACACAGCCATGGAGGCACAACTAGGGCTGAAACCCATGCCTCCTACCCTAAGCCCCGCCCCTATTTCTCTGCACCACACATTAGGACGTCTGATGTGAAGAGAGTACCTGGGGCAGGGAGTTAGCGATGATCCTGAAAATGGATGCTTGATGACGTGATGTCAAGTATGCAAAGGGAACAGAGGTGCACAGAAATAAAGTGACTTGTCCAAAGCTAGTACACAGCAGAGCCAGAAATGCCACCCAGACCAGGTTGCCCTGAGTTTTCTCAGCCAGGGGTTCTCTTAAACGCAGCCCGAGGCACAAATTTTTTGTGTCTCACATAGCGACAGTCAATTGAGGGGATGCAGTGTACAGCCTAGGGATGGGAGGGCATCTCTGGGTACCTGCTATAGTCACATTCTGAGCTAGGAAAACCCTACTCTCCCCCGATGCCCGCCTGATGGGTGGAGCCAGTCCTGCCAGGCACTGAGCCATCTGGAGCACCCAGGCCCTCACCCCTTCTCCCAGGACACCATTTCCTTGGAGCTTCTCTGGATTTAAAAGTGGAATAAGGTCGTGGAAAAGAATATGGATTCTGGAAAAGGCAGGCACGGGTCTGAACTCTCATTCTGCCCCTTCCCAGCATTGGGGTCTTGGGGAAGTTATGTAACTTCTCTGAGCCTCAGTTTCCTCCCCCGTACTATGGGTATAATGGAGTTGTGGGAGCACAGTATCTTGCGTAGAGTAAATGCTCAGCAGGTTTTAGTGTTTAGTAGGAGCAGTGAGAGTTTTCCTGGAGCCAGAAGACTGAGTTTGTCACTCTGGTCATGGGAACTGGGGTGAGTTTTTTCTCTCTCTGAGCTTCCCTATCCTCATCTGTGAACTGGGTCTGTGTTGGTATCCCCTGAGCTTACATCTGTACATTCTACATGCACAGGAAAGTGCTAGACAAATTGTTTGGGGAGTGAGACCAGGTCTAAACAGAACTTTTGGGACCAGCTAAACGTGGGAACACCCCTCCCCCATTGCACCCCCACCTCCAGCCCTAGTAAATGACCTGCCTTGATTTGGAGAAGGTTAGAAGCCTCCATGACAGACATGTTAAACAATCCATCAAGCCCTGCTGTGAGAAGGGCATAGAAAGAATTTTCCTCTTTTTTTTTTTTTTTTTTTTGATACAGTCTTGCTCTGTCACCCAGGCTGGAGTGCAGTGGCATGATCACAGCTCACTGCAACCTTGACCTCCTGGGCTCAAGTGATTCTCCCACCTCAGCCTTCCAAGTAGCTGGGACCACAGATGTGTGCCAACATGCTCAGATAATTATTTTACTTTTTACAGAGACAGGGTCTTCCTGTGTTGCCCAGGCTGGTCTCGAACTTCTGGGCTCAAGTCACCCTCCTGCCTTGGACTCCCAACATGCTGGGATTACAGGCATGAGCCACTGAGCCTGACCTCCTCTTTCTTTAACACTGGCTTTGAGGAGGGCACAATGGTAGTGAATTGAGTATCCCTGAGAAAGCTTCAAGCTGGAGGTACACATCAGAGAATCCTGGTTACTGCTCTAACCTGTCCTCACTGCCCCCACTCCCTGTGAGCTGGGACCATACTCTGCCTTTCCCTGGGCCTTGAAAGTCTCACAGCGGAGCCAGGTGGAAATGGAATCACATGATTTGGGAGTAAGAAGGACTCACCCACTCTAAGACACCCTTCCACGGCATCAGGCACCCACTACATCATTCCTGATCAGCAGGCTCTGCCCAAAATTTCCCAGGACAACAGCTCTCTGCATCACGAGATGATTATTCAATTTTAGGATGACAAGGTGGTTAGAAAGATTTTCCTTAGATTGAGCTTTGATCGACCTTCCTTTGTCTTTCACCCACTGGTCTGAGTCCAGCCCTCTGGAGTCTCATTATACAAGTTAATCCTTAATACCCCTTCTAGTTCTGCCTAGAGGAGGAGACAAGAAGGAGGGAAGCAAGAATGAAGCCACATTCCAAGCCACCCAAGCTTTCTTACATCACTCTGTCTACACATAAGCTGCAGGTTGTCACATTTGACAAATTGTTTTAAAATCTTCTCTTTTCCTAATTCCTGCCAACTCTTCCTCACCCTCACCCACAGAAACTTCTCTAAGAATGACCCAGGAAGGGGGGAGAGTCATAGAACCCCACCCCTGAGGACTTTTGCAGTTTAAATAGCAATCTTGAGTAGTTTTCAAGTTTTTATTTTTTATAATTCTTCAGAATTCCTTTATTAAATAAACTCTTATATGAAACTCGAGATGGATGCATAGGTGGGTGGGCAGATGGATGGATGTATGGGTGGATGTTTGGATGAATGGGTGGGTGAATGGATGGGTTGGTGGGAGGGAGGGAGGTAAAACAATGGGAATAGTGTAGTTAAACAGACACACCCTAGAGCCAGACTACAAAGGCTTGAATCCTTGCCTTGTCATTTACTAGCTGTGTGACCTTGAGTAGTCACTTAGACATTCAGCACTTCAGTTTCTCATCTGATGATGGGCATAGAAGTTGAAACCCATCTCATAGGAATATCGTGACTACTGCATGAGTGAATGTATGTGAAACATTTATGATGGCACCTGGGGCAGTGGGTACTCTGTAAATGTTTCCTATTATTATTATTATTATTTGAGACGGAGCCTCACTCTGTTGCCAGGCTGGAGTGCAGTGGTGCAATCTTGGCTCATGCAACCTCCACCTCCCAGGTTCAGGTGATTCTCCTGCCTCAGCCTCCCAAGTAGCTGGGAGTACAGGCACACGCCACCACGCCCAGCTAATTTTTGTATTTTTAGTAGAGACAGGGTTTCACCATGTTGGCCAGGATTGTCTCGATCTCCTGACCTTGTGATCCACCCCCCTTGGCTTCCCAAAGTGCTGGGATTACAGGCGTGAGCCACCACACCCAGCCTCCTGTTATTATTATTACTGCTGACTGAAGCTGGGGAGAATCTCCCCTGTCCCGACCAGTGCAATTCCTGAGACATCAGAGCTCCTGGGAAACATTGCTTTTAGGCCACTTAACTAGTTCCTTTTCTCATTTAATGGAGCAGATAATGAGGCCCAGAGAGAAGATATCACTTGCCCAGGCTCACACAAAGCCAGATTTTGAACCCAGGTCTCCTGGCTCTTGGGCTTTGTGATTCTCAGAGATCTTTCTGCATGTGATGAAAATCAAGGCAGTACATGAGGAATTTGAGAAGGTCCAGCAACCTGTGGCTCTGACCTTGACTGAGCTGCTCTGTCTGCTCCCGGACCCCTCCAGGATGGGTCCAGAGGCCTTCTGCTAATGAAGTAGCAACTCGAGCTCTCTTCTGGAGCGGCGACGGAGGTGGATGAAGGCAGTGAGCTATGAGCTTAGTTCACACTTGGACCATGTCTTAAGAGCATAGGATACAAGGTGTGACCTGCAGTACATGCAAAGTGCGGTGATTAATTCACAGATAAGCCTTGTCAGCTTCCCCTCATGCCCTCCCTCTCACTCTTGCTCTGACATATTAGAGCAACTGTCTCTCTCCTCTCCAGAAAGATAGGCAATCACAGGCAGTGGTGCCCCTCTGACATTTATGTAGGATCTCCAAGGTGAGGGAGGAGAGAGGCCTTTAGTTTGTATCAAAACCAGAAGAACTGTTTATCTTCTATCAGGTGACAACCCTTCATTCCTTTACTTAACACATTGATTAGCATCTGCTATGTGGCCATGTGCTAGGCAGGGCCACTTTCTGAGTCCTGCGAAGTCAGTTGCATAGTGTCCTGCACTTGAAAGTGCCCCGCATTCGGTTTAACGCTCTGCTGTCACATTAATAATGATATCTTCACACTTCTGTTTTGTCAGCGAAGTCCTGTAGGACAAGGCGGCATGCACAGGAGCAGAGGAGCCACATGTGATGTGTGTGGCCGCCGTTCCCTGCCACCCCATTCACATAATCTTCTCCATGCCCCTGGGGAGCCATGCTGTGGGATGTGCAGGAAACTCAGCATGCTGTGAGTAGAGGCAGGGTTGTTAGTCAGTGACTGAGTGAGCGGGGCACTAACCAACTGGAGAGGCCTCACTTTCCACTGAAACCAGAATGTGCTTGTACACAGAAAGAAGGCAATGACATCTGAAGAGACACAAATGACTGAGGAGCCCTGTTGTATCCTCTTATTGGAGTTACTTCCCTGTGCTAACCGACCCCCGTGTTGAGATGACATGAAAGGAAAGGGCAGGACACTATGGCCACAGTGCCCTGAGGGTGCCCAATCTCGTCTCAGAAGCTAAGCAGGGCCTGGCCTCGTTAGTACTTGTATGGAACAAGGAAAGGGGAAGAGAGAGCAGCCTATAGCTCCTGTCCTTTCAGTCCTTCCTTAGTGTCCATGATCCCAAGGTAGAGAGTGTTGCTGGAGTGTGTGGGTGTCAGGAAGTGAGATAGAAAGAGCTGGGCTACTTTTGTGCAGCGTATCTACTGGTTTAGCAAGAATGAAATACATACACATGGATGAGCTATGGAATGTGAATTGTGTAATTGTGTTGATTCTACATATGAGGTCAATGCTAATATTTTCATTTATACCTTGCGTCCTACAATATAAAAACAAATGGTAAAAAGTCACGATAATTTAAATTTATTTTTTATTTTATTTTATCTTATTTTTTTTAGATGGAGTCTCGCTCTGTCACCCAGGCTGGAGTGCAATGGCATAATCTTGGCTCACTGCAACCTCTGCCTCCCACGTCCAAGCCATTCTCCTGCCTCAGTCTCCCGAGTAGCTGGGATTACAGGCACCCGCCACCACGCCCAACTAATTTTTTGTATTTTTAGGAGAGATGGGGTTTCACTATGTTGTCCAGGCTGGTCTCGAACTCCTGACCTCATGATCCGCCCACCTCAGCCTCTCAAAGTGCTGGGATTACATGCGTGAGCCATCGCACCCAGCCTTAAATTTGTTTTTTAACTTAGCATGACATTAAATAGCAAATAAAAATACCATGACAAGTCAAGTGAGAGAGAACACAGAAGAAAGGAAAACGCCGTATCTTTGAGCCCCTTCAATGGCGCCTTTTCCTGCTCTTTGAACAGAAGCACTCTGCGTTTTCATTTTGCCCTGGGCCTCATGTTACGCAGCTGGTCCTGGTGTTAGGTACCCGGACGCACCACAAACGAAACAGATTCGTTCCCCGCAGAGCTTATTAGTCTAGTGAGAGAAACATACTTTGAATAGTCCCAGAAATACATCATTATAAGATAAGTCTATGAAAGAAGCGTAGAGCATTCCTAATCTTGTCTCTGAACAGGGCAGACTTCTTGGAGGAAGTGAAATTTGAACTGCGATGTGAAGAATGAGCAGGAGTTAGTGAGGTGAAGAAGAGAGAAGGAGTGTTGCAAACACAGGTCAGTCTGTGCAAAGGCCCTGAGACACAAGGAGCCTAGAACCATGGCTCGAAGACAACCGTCTGGCTGGGGCATGGCTCGTCTTACAGATCACATTAAGGAACAAATAATTATGTTAAGAGTTATGGGCTGCCATTAAGGATTTGGGTAAGAGAGTCTTACAATCACATCTGTGTTTTCTAAAGGCCTGACACTGATTGGTACATGGAGTACAGCCTGAAGGGAACAAGACTTGTTAGAAAGGAAGCTATTGACTGGGTGTGGTGGCTCGTGCCTATAATCCCAGCACTTTGGGAGGCTGAGGTGGGCAGATTACTTGAGGCCAGGCGTTCGAGATCATCCTGGCCAACATGGTGAAACCCTGTCTCTACTAAAAATACAAAAATTAGCGGGTTGTGGTGGTGAGCACCTATAATCCCAGCTGCTTGGGAGGCTGAGGCAGGAGAATTGCTTGAATCTGGGAGGCTGAGGTTGCAGTGAGCCCAGGTTGCGCCACTGCACTCCAGCCTGGGTGACAGAGACTTCCTTTCCAAAATAAAAAAAAGAAAGAAAGAAAGAAGAAAGAAAGAAAGGAGGCTATTGCAGTAATGCAAGTGAGAGACCATGGTGGCTTAGGCAATGGTGGAGATGGAGGAATTTGGGGGAATTGATTGGGTTCAAGAAATAGGCAGGAGGAAACGCGATGGATTGGGTGGGAGTAGGGAAACAGATGAGAAGAGGTATCAGGAAAGCTGCCTAGGTTTCTGGTCTGTGCCACTGTGTGGATGATGAGGTCATCTACTAGAGGATGTGTCGGTGGTGGAGGCCAAGGTCTGAAAGTGGAGGGGGGAAGAGTGAGAGAGGAAATTGTAAGTTTACCTTTATGTTCAGCTGAGGTCCTTTCAAAACATACAAGCAGCAGTATGAAGAATTCCATTGATATATTTGTCCGGAGCCCAGAGTGAGGTTTAAATAAGAAGAAATAAACTCGCTAGTAAAAATTGCAGACACAAAAAGGCTTGAACAGGCACTTCACAAAATAGATTATCCAAATGACCAATAAACACATAAGTACTCAACATCATTAGCCATTAGAAAAATGCAAGTTAAAACCGCAATGAGATACCATTTCACACTAGAATGACTAAAATTTTAAAAGACTGACAATGCTAAATGTTCCCAGGATGCAGAACAACCAAAACCCTCATATATTATGGGGGACATGGAAAATTGTACAACTGCTTTGGAAAACAGGTAGTTTCTACAGAATTTCAATATATACATACCATACAACTAAGCCATTGCATTCCTATTTACCCAACAGAAATAAAATCATTTGTCTACTGAAAAATTTGCAAAAGAATGTTCATTGCAGCTGTAGCCATTATAACCCTCAAACGGAAACAACCCAATGTGCATGGATTGTGAATAGATGACAAATGGTGGTCCATCTATACAATGGAATATTGCTCTTCAACAGAAACAAACTACAGGTCCATGTAGCAACATGATGAGTGAAAGAAGTCAGATGTAAAAAAGTACATATGTATGTTGCAATTTATACGACACTCTAGAATAGGCAAAACTCATCCTTAGTGATGAAATCAGATCTGAGGTTGCCTGGGGCAGAGATGGGGGTAGCTGACTGCAAGGAGGTGTGGGGAGGGTTGTGAATTTTGGGGAGTGATGGAGCTGCTCTGTATCTCAATTGTGATGTGGTTACACAACTGCATGCATTTGTCAAAACTCACAGAACTACACTCTAAAACGTATAAATTTTACTGCATGTAAATCTTACCTTAATTAAAAATTAAAAAAATTGAAGATGTGGATTTAGGTAAGATTCACTAAGTGATAAAGATAGAGTTGAGTTACAAGAGAATTGCTATCTCCATCTTGCATGGGAGGAAAATGAAGCTCAGAGAAGTGAAGTGGCTTCCCAAGATCACACAGCTACTAAGTAGCACAGCTGGGGCTCAAAACCAGAGCCATGTGATCAGATGGCCCATATTCTTTTTGTTCCCTCCCATCAACCAAGCCCAGGCCCATGGCTGAGCATGATGGCCAAGCAGGGAGGAGGGCCAGCTCCTCTTCAAGGAAGAAGACAGCGTGCTGTTCTTTATATATGTAAATGATGTTCTGTTCCTCACCCATCACCAATCACACAGGTACTTAGGTTGCAAGGTGTGGGGACTGCCATGGTGATGATGGCTCTCCCCACCAGTCCTCAATGGGAATACCAGCAAGACGCCAGGCCACAGTAAGGGATTCTGTCTGGGCCCTCCAGACACCCAGAGGGCCACGATGAGATCTACTCCAGAGGAGTAATTGTACCCTGCCCCAAACTACCAGGGATCTTGACACTGACATAGCTCTTTATACTTTCCAACTCCAGAAGTATTAACTGGGAACAACTACATTTTCCAGCCCTGAGCTTGTGGACCAGCTCCAGATCTTGTGATCTGATCTCTCCCTATGACTGTTACAACTGCCTCAAGATGGCTTACTCTGCCTCCCGTCCCATCCCACTCCTAATCGCTCCCCACACTGCTACCAGAGGGACTTCCTTATACCTTATACAAAAGTTAACTCAGATAGATCAAATACTTAAATGTAAAACCCCAAACTATAAAAATCCTAGAAGAAAATCTAGGCAATACCATTCAGAACATAGGCATGGGCAAAGATTTTATGATGAAATTGCCAAAAGCAATTTCAACAAAAGCTAAAATTGACAAATGGGACATAATTACACTAAAGAGTTTCTGCACAGTGAAAGAAACTATCTTCAGAGTGCACAGGTAACCTACAGAATGGGAGAAAATTTTTGCAATCTATTCATCTGACAAAGGTCTAATATCCAGAATTTACAAGGAACTTAAATAAATTTACAAGAAAAAAACCCATCCCCATCAAAAAGTGGGCAAAGACATGAACAGACACTTCTCAAAAGAAGACATTTATGTGGCCAACAAACATGTGAGAAAAAGCTCAACATCACTGATCATTAGAGACATGCAAATCAAAACCTCAGTGAGATACCATTTATGCCAGTCAGAATGGCGATTATTAAAAAGTCAAGAAACGCAGATGTTGGGGAGGCTGTGGAGAAACAGGAATGTTTTTACACTGTTGGTGGGAATGTAAATTAGTTCAACCATGGTGGAAGACAGCGTGGCAATTCCTCAAGGGTCCAGAACCAGAAATACCATTTGACCCAGGAATCCCATTACTGGGTATATACCCAAAGGAATAGAAATCATTCTTTTATAAAGACACATACACACGTATGTTTATTGCAGCACTATTCACAATAGCAAAGACATGGAACCAATCCAAATGACCATCAGTGATAGACTGGATAAAGAAAATGTGGTACATATACAGCATGGAATACTATGCAACCGTAAAAAGGAATGAGATCATGTCCTTTGCAGAGACACGGATAGAACTGGAAACCATCGTCCTCAGCAAAATAACACAGGAACAGAAAACCAAACACTGCATGTTCTCACTCATAAGTGGGAGCTAAACAATGAAAGCACATGGATACAGGGAGGGGAACAACACACACCAGGGCGTGTTGTGGGGGTGAGGGGAGGGAGAGCATCAGGACAAATAGCTAATGCATGTGGGGCTTAATACCTAGGTGACGGGTTGATAGGTGCAGCAAACCACCTTGGCACACATTTACCTATGTAACAAGCCTGCACATTCTGCACATGTATCCTAGAGCTTAAAATAAAATAAAATAAACCCAAGGAGGTAAAGACAAGAGGGAGAGAGGGGAAACAGAAACAAGGAAGGACAGTGCCAGAAGAGGAAGTCAGGCAGAAGAGGGAAGGAAGGGAGAGGAGGAGTGCACAGGAGAGCTGGACAGAGGAAGGCCTGGCGGGGCCACTCTGGTTCTCTGGCTCTTCTTTGCCTGGCCAACGCCCAGAGAACCCTGCTCCCCTGGGAGCCGGGACCACATCTGCCCTTCTGTGTGTCAGCCAGGGGCATCTGGCGTCCGGCAAGTGGCAGCTCCCTCATCATCCTGTCTGATCCAAATTCAACCCACATTCAGCCAGGTGACCATGGTGGCTCCTCCCCAGGGTGGAGGTCTGTCCTGAGGCTGTCTGCACTTCCCAGTGGAGCTGGCTTTGAGCCCACTGCTCTTGCCTCTCTGTCCATTCCCTAGAAGGCTGGCCTGCTCTTGCCTCTCTGTCCATTCCCTAGAAGGCTGGCCTGCTCTTGCCTCTCTGTCCATTCCCTAGAAGGCTGGCCTGCTCTTGCCTCTCTGTCCATTCCCTAGAAGGCTGGCCTGCTCTTGCCTCTCTGTCCATTCCCTAGAAGGCTGGCCTGCTCTTGCCTCTCTGTCCATTCCCTAGAAGGCTGGCCTGCTCTTGCCTCTCTGTCCATTCCCTAGAAGGCTGGCCTGCTCTTGCCTCTCTGTCCATTCCCTAGAAGGCTGGCCTGCTCTTGCCTCTCTGTCCATTCCCTAGAAGGCTGGCCTGCTCTTGCCTCTCTGTCCATTCCCTAGAAGGCTGGCTGCCCCTGGGGATGTTTTGCACCAAGCCACTGTCTCCAGCTGGGGACTAGCATCAGGAGAGCTCCTTTCTGTCTCCTAGGTCTGGAATGAAATGACGAGAGTGACCTTGGTCAAGTTTGACTGCTCTGTATCCAGCCATCCTCATGTATAAAGAGGAGGAAAGGAGAGGCACTTCTGTTACTACCGACCAGTTACCAGGTGTGACATTGTGCAGGTCACTGCACACACTTAAAGCAACCAGATGTATATCCATAGTCATCGGTGTTTTATAGAACATAGGAATAGACTCACAGTCCATTCCCCTCCTGCAAGACTACATATTCTATCGTAAAGGATGTGTCAAGGAAGAGCGTGTTGGAGTTCTGACTCTGGAGGTCCGCCAGCCAGAAAATGGCCTCCAGCCTCCCAGTCTCTTCCTGCTCATCAGCATAACCATCCTCCATCCATGAATCCCCACGGCTCACTCATTTTCTCTGCTAGTACTTAGTGAGCACTTCCTATGACCTGGGGATACAGCAGTAAATAAAACAGGCAAACACATTGGAGAGAAAGAAAGCCTGGGAGGCTGAGGTAGGTGGATCGTTTGAGTCCAGGAGTTCAAGACCAGTCTGGGTAACATGGTGAAACCCTGTATCTACAAAAAAAAAAAAAAAAGACAATATGGTGTGTGCCTGTAGTCCCAGCTACCTCAGAGGCTGAGACAGAAGAACCTCTTGACCTGGTGAGGCAGAGGTTGCAGTGAGCCGAGATCATGTCACCGCACTCCAGGCTGGGTGACAGAGAGAGAACCTGTGTCAAAAAAAAAAAGAAGAAGGAAGAAGAAAGGAAATATGGCATGTTGGGGATGGGGATGGAAGTGGGTTGCAATTGTTAAAAGGGTAGCCAGGGAAATCCTTACCGAGATTTTTAAGTACAAGTCTGAAGGAGGCAAGGGAGTGAGTCAAACATATACATGCAGGAAGGGCTCTCTAGGAGGCGAAAGCAGTGAGAGCAAAGGCTGGGAGCCAATGCAGGCCTGGTGGCTTCGAAGAACAGCAGAGGGCCAGCGTGGCTACGGCAGAGGGAGTCAGGGCAGTGTGCTAGGAAGTGAAGGCAGGGAGATGCAGGAGGTGTGGATTGTTGGGGCGTCACAGGCCGTGTGACTCCCAATTGCTGTGTGACAAATTCCCACAAATCCAGCAGCTGCAAATACGACCCAATGTTCCCCAGCTTCTGCAGGTCAGGAGTTGGCACAGCCTAACTGGTCCTCTGTAAGGTGCCATCAGGGTGTCAGCCAGCACTGGGTTCTCATCTGGGGCTCAGCTGTGTGGATGGCTCTGCTTCCAAGCTCACATGGCAGCATTCAGTTCCATGCAGGGTGCTGGACACAAGACCTCAGCTTCCTGGTGAGCATCGACTGGAGGGGGCTCTTAGTTCCTCGCAGCTGATCCCCTCCATGAGGCAGCTTGCAACATGGCAGCCTGCTTCTTCAAAGGCGTCAATAGAGATTCCCCAGAAAGACAGGTTATGATCTTAACATTTTATTTATTTTTTGAGACAGAGTCTCACTCTGTCACTGAGGCTGGAGTGCAGTGGCACGATCTTGGCTCACTGCCACCTCCACCTCCTGAGTTCAAGCAATTCTCCTGCTTCAGCCTCTTGAGTAGCTGTGATTACAGGCGTGCACCACTATGCCTGGCTAATTTTTGTATTTTTAGTAGAGGCGGGGTTTTGCCATGTTGGCCAGCCTGGTCTCGAACTCCTGACCTCAGGTGATCCACCCACCTCAGCCTCCCAAAGTGTTGGGATTACAGGCACGAGCCACTGCATCCAGCCAGTGATCTTATACAATATGATCAGTACATGAATCACATATATACCGCCTCCTTCATAAGCAAGCCACAGGTTCTGCTTACAACCAGAGAAGGGGATTATTCAAGGGTGTGAATGGCAGAGGTGGGGGTTGTGGGGGGTCACCTTAGTATCTGCCACCACAGCCTGTCCTCTGTCCCCAAGACTCATGTCCCTTGGGCATGCAAAACACATTCACCCCTGTTGAGATCCCTTCATGCTCACAGTCCCGAATCTCATCTAAATCGGGTTTAGGTGTAGAACAGATTTCTTTGGATGTTCCTCTGATCTGGAAAACTAAAGATACAAGCTATCTGCCCCCTACATATGCAACACACAATGGTGGGTGAAGCTGGAGACATCGCTGTTCAGAAAGAGGTAGCAGGGGAGGGATGAAGGAATGGTGGTTCTGAAATCCAGCTGGACAGATGCTGGTGTTCCCTAAACAGGTTTTTTTTTTTTTTTTTTTTTTTTTTTTTTTTATTTTTATTGATCATTCTTGGGTGTTTCTCGCAGAGGGGGATTTGGCAGGGTCATAGGACAATAGTGGAGGGAAGGTCAGCAGATAAACAAGTGAACAAAGGTCTCTGGTTTTCCTAGGCAGAGGACCCTGCGGCCTTCCGCAGTGTTTGTGTCCCTGGGTACTTAAGATTAGGGAGTGGTGATGACTCTTAACGAGCATGCTGCCTTCAAGCATCTGTTTAACAAAGCACATCTTGCACCGCCCTTAATCCATTTAACCCTGAGTGGACACAGCACATGTTTCAGAGAGCACAGGGTTGGGGATAAGGTCACAGATCAACAGGATCCCAAGGCAGAAGAATTTTTCTTAGTACAGAACAAAATGAAAAGTCTCCCATGTCTACTTCTATCCACACAGACCCCGCAACCATCCGATTTCTCAATTTTTTCCCCACCCTTCCCGCCTTTCTATTCCACAAAACCGCCATTGTCATCATGGCCCATCCCCAATGAGCCGCTGGGCACACCTCCCAGACGGGGTCGTGGCCGGGCAGAGGGGCTCCTCACTTCCCAGTAGGGGCGGCCCGGCAGAAGTGCCCCTCACCTCCCAGATGGGGCGGCTGGCCGGGAGGGGGGCTGACCCCCCCACCGCCCTCCCGGACGGGGCGGCTGGCCAGGCAGAGGGGCTCCTCACTTCCCAGTAGGGGCGGCCGGGCAGAGGCGCCCCTCACCTCCTGGATAGGGCGGCTGGCCGGGCGGGGGACTGTTCCCCCCACCTCCCTCCCGGACGGGGCGGCTGGCTGGGCAGAGGGGTCCTCACTTCCCAGTAGGGGCGGCCGGGCAGAGGCGCCCCTCACCTCCCGGACGGGGCGGCTGGCCAGGCAGGGGGCTGATCCCCCCACCTCCCTCCCGGACGGGGCGGCTGGCCGGGCGGGGGGCTGACCCCCCCACCTCCCTCCCGGACGGGGCGGCTGGCCGGGCAGAGGGGTCCTCACTTCCCAGTAGGGGCGGCCGGGCAGAGGCGCCCCTCACCTCCCGGACGGGGCGGCTGGCCAGGCAGGGGGCTGATCCCCCCACCTCCCTCCCGGACGGGGCGGCTGGCCGGGCGGGGGGCTCCTCACTTCCCAGTAGGGGCGGCCGGGCAGAGGAGCCCCTCACCTCCCGGACGGGGCGGCTGGCCGGGCGGGGGGCTGACCCCCCCCACCTCCCTCCCGGACGGGGTGGCTGCCGGGCGGAGACGCTCCTCACTTCCCAGACGGGGTGGTTGCCAGACGGAGGGGCTCCTCACTTCTCAGACGGGGCGGTTGCCAGGCAGAGGGTTTCCTCACTTCTCAGACGGAGCGGCCGGGCAGAGACACTCCTCACCTCCCAGACAGGGTTGCGGCCCAGCAGAGGCGCTCCTCACATCCCAGACAGGGCGGTGGGGCAGAGGTGCTCCCCACATCTCAGACGATGGGCGGCCGGGCAGAGACGCTCCTCACTTCCTAGATGGGATGGCGGCGGGGAAGAGGGGCTTCTCGCTTCCTAGATGGGATGGCGGCCGGGCAGAGACGCTCCTCACTTTCCACACTGGGCAGCCAGGCAGAGGGGCTCCTCATATCCCAGACGATGGGTGGCCAAGCAGAGACGCTCCTCACTTCCCAGACGGGGTGGCGGCCGGGCAGAGGCTGCAATCTCGGCTCTTTGGGAGGCCAAGGCAGGCGGCTGGGAGGTGGTTGTAGCGAGCCGAGATCACGCCACTGCACTCCAGCCTGGGCACCATTGAGCACTGAGTGAACGAGACTCCATCTGCAATCCCGGCACCTCGGGAGGCCGAGGCTGGCGGATCACTCGCGGTTAGGAGCTGGAGATCAGCCCGGCCAACACAGCGAAACCCCATCTCCACCAAAAAAAAACGAAAACCAGTCAGGCGTGGCGGCGCGCGCCTGCAATCGCAGGCACTCGGCAGGCTGAGGCAGGAGAATCAGGCAGGGAGGTTGCAGTGAGCCGAGATGGCAGCAGTACCGTCCAGCTTTGGCTCGGCATGAGAGGGAGAGGGAGACGGGAGAGGGAGAGGGAGACGGGAGAGGGAGAGGGAGACGGGAGAGGGAGAGGGAGACGGGAGCCCCTAAACAGGTTTTAAGATGTGGGAAGATTCCATGTCTCTTGGCTCTGCCTTCTGGGCTTCTGCCTCTGGGTCATCCTTCTTTTCTCACGAAAGATCCACGTGTTTGCAGCCAAGTAGTTTTATCAGCCTTCTTCTTGACAGCAGAGTTTGGGGGCTCTGACAGTCTTCTTTCATTTTGCACTCTGTCCCCTACAGACCAATCTGCCAGCACTGTGGGTGAAACAGCTTTCCCAAACCCTTTGCCTGTCCTCTGTGGGTTTCAGTGGGGCTCATAGTCGATTTGTCAAGAGCCATACCCATGAATCTTTTAGAGATAAACTCTACCTTTCTACCTTCAGCTCCTGCCAAGATGGCCCCCAGGGTAACTCACTGAAGCTTCCCAGGGGCCCTAAGGTTTGGTGGAGAGGTTCTGCATGGTACACCCTTATAATCTCTTGCAACAGACCTCTGTGTGACTCATTGCTACTCCCATCCTTTGATCTTTATGCATAATCACAAAAGACTGTACAGTTACACCCTATGCCACATGCTCAGAAGCCATTTGTTAATTTCAGCATCTTTTGCCATGTGGGGAGACTGACAATTTTCAAAATCATCAAGTCCTGATTCAATTTTAACAGTTTAAAAACCAGTCTGTTTCTCAATTTATCTCTCTTCTCTCACACTATATTATAAGCAGTAAGAAGAAACCAGGCAGCATCCTCAACATTTTACTTGGAAATCTCCTCAACTGCATACCCAATTTATCACTTACATGATGTGTTTTCCACATAACTGCAGGAGACCACTTTTCTAAGCTTTCTGCTCCTACCTAACAAGGATCCCTGTCCTCCAGCTTCTAGTGCGAAAATCCTCACTGCCTTTGAGCAGTGGCGAGTCCTCCAAGCCCAGATATCTAGCAACAGTCTGCTCACCTTAGAGTCTGTCTGTCACCACCTGGGCCATTTCTAAGGGACCAGAGCTTTCCTCTGAGATGAGGCTTTGAGCTGAGGAGCCACATGATCTGACATGGTTAAGGATGCCTCTGGCTTCCCTGTTGAGAATAGACTGAAGGGGCAAAAATGGAAGCAGAAGAGCAGTTAGGAGGTTCCTGTCAAACCCACGTGGAAGGCAGGCTCTGGGCTGTGTTACTGGACTAACACTAACACCGTCCCCTTGCACTTCTGAGGGTCCCTGGAACTTCCCCAGGGGATGAGACTCCTGGCTAGCAGGACTCAGCCCCTCCCCTTCAACTTTACTCAGGACCTGGTCTCCCCTCCTTAAGGTCTCTGGAGCCCAACGCACACTTCAGCCCACTCTCACAGGCATTCTCTCTGTCCACAAAATATCACCGAAGAGTCTTCTGTGAGTGCAACATGGTGTGAACACTGGGAGTACAAGGAGAAATAAGACACAGTTGCTGTGCTGGAGAAGCTTGTGCCCAGTGGTGGTGATACTGCCTGAGGTGAGACCACTATGCCAGCACAGGAACAAAGACGGCAGGGGCACAGGGCAATTCAGGGGTGCAGATCTGGAGGCATCCAAGAGGCTCCTAAGCCTCAGTGTATAAACTGACAGGTCACAGCCTGCTCTAGGAAACACCTTCCTAAGGGTTGGAGTTATCTCTGTGCATCCCATCCCCACCCCACCAAGCCGCCCTTGGCTCTGCCCTCAGGAGCTTCTGCTTGGCCTTGCTAATTCCTCTCTTCTCCCTGAAGCTAGAGTGAGGTACCTCTTGGCAGCCTTTGTATCTAGAGAGAGCCGTCCAATAGAAACATAAGGTGAGCAACATGCTTAATTTTAACATTTCTAGTAGCTACATTAAACATTTTTAAGTGAAATTAACTTTAATAATACATTTACTTAACCCAATATATCCAAAAGATTATCATTTCAACATGCAATCCTATTTTAAAAATAACTAGTGAGGTACCTGACAAAAAAAATCCCTTTTCATACTAAGTCCAGAAGATCTTTGTGTATTTTATACTCATAGGACATCTGAGTTTGGATGTTACCTTTTTATTGGAAATATGGGATCTGTACTTAGATTTCACTGAATTTACATTGAAAAGGTAGGTTCACATACCCAAGTTGTCTCACACATACCTAAATGTTTTCTGGTAACTGGATGGAGTATCAGTTTTTATATTTATCTTTGCATTAGCTAAAAAACAAATTAATAGTTCAGGTCCTCAGCCGCACGCAGGCAGTTTTCTCCACCGTCCAAATGGTTGCCCGAATTCACCCAGACCCCGCCGTCCTCCGCTTTTTCATGCAGACATTCAAACAACTGCCTCCCTTCCTCCTGGCACCCCCATCCCATCGCCAGCAGCCTCCGAACCAGTTTCCCTCCTGTCCCCATCTCAGCCACCCATGACTCACACACACATCTGTCTCCCCTGGCCCACTTTTCATCTAGTCCTCATAATCTATGCATAAACATTAACATACCACAGAGTCAATCTGCATACTGATTACTTCTGCTCTGGTCAAATTCTTGCTTTCAGGATCAGGAGGCTTTCTCCCCACACCAAACTGGGCCTGAGGAAATAGTGTCTTGTCTTCCTGTCACCCCTCCCGTAGTTGCATGTCTAATGAGACAAGGGGTGTCTCAGGTGAAGCAGGACAGGGAGGATGCCAGCACTTGGGTGGTAGAGGTTTGAGGAGTGCCTGTTGGGGGATGTGTTGGGGAAGGAGGACTTTTCACATATGGCTCATTGTGTCGGGATGATTTCGTTGTTAAATAAGCACCTACAGGATGATTTCACATTCCATACTTCTAAGTTTTTATAATTTAAATTCTTTCCGCCAGGCTGGGTTTTTTTTTTTTTTTCCAAACTTTAAATCTGTGGCTAGAATTGGTTTGATTTACATAATCCTGCCCCTGAGATTTAGCCCCACCCCTGAGAGCCCCCTCAGAGCCACCCACAGCCAGGACACCTCTGCTGGCCTCCCCTTCCCCAGCCTTCCAACTTGTGGCAGGCCCCTGGCTCTGGCCTCCCCCTATATGGGAATGAGCCAGCTGCACCGCTGCTGACAGTGGCTGGGATAATCCTCCCTGAGCTGTTCCAAGGATTAGTCCTGCTGCCCTGTGCCCAGCTCCCACACAACGGGGTTTCGGGGCTGTGGACCCTGTGCCAGGAAAGGAAGGGCGCAGCTCCTGCAATGCGGAGCAGCCAGGGCAGTGGGCACCAGGCTTTAGCCTCCCTTTCTCACCCTACAGAGGGCAGGCCCTTCAGCTCCATTCTCCTCCAAGGCTGCAGAGGGGGCAGGAATTGGGGGTGACAGGAGAGCTGTAAGGTCTCCAGTGGGTCATTCTGGGCCCAGAGATGGGTGCTGAAGCTCCCACACCTGCCTGTGAAAATGGATTCCTCTCTCACCTGGGAGAGCCAGGTGCTGCCCCGAGAAGGATGCATTTATGGCTTCATGAAGTCTTTCCTGACCCCCGATGCTGCTGACTATAGGTAAGTCTGAGCAAATCTGGGGGAGCCTCATCTTGGCATGAGAAAGAGATGGCTTCTTCTAAGCCCACTGGCTGTGATCCCAGGATTATAACACATTCTGGCTCAAGTCCAGACTATTTGTAGAACACAGGAGATCCTCCATGAGAGGTAGTATAATATAGAGGATATGTGTGCTTACTAAGAGGCTGCCTGTCTGACCTTGGACAAGTTCTTTTTATTTATTTATTTATTTATTTTTTATAGAGACAAAGTCTCACTATGTTGCTCAGGCTGGTCTTGAACTCCTGGCCTCAAGCGATCCTCCCACCTTAGCCTCCCAAAGTGTTGGGATTATAGACATGAGCCACTGCACCTGGCCAACCTTGGGCAAGTTCTTAAACCCTTCAAAGCCTCATTTTTCTCCAATCATAAAAGGGAAAGATGGTAATATTTTCCCCGCCAAATTCTTGTAAGTATTAAACATTGTATATGTATTTTGAACACGATTAAGCTCTAAACACTTGTTAGGAAGCAGGAGTAGCATTTGAAACAAACAGCTCTTTTCCCACAGGTCGGATGCCCTCACAGAATTGAGATTATGTACGTAAAACACCAGGTGCCTAACCCGGCACAGAGCAGGAGGGCTAAGCGTGACATCCAGCATGTGGTCAGTGGAATCCAGTATTCCTACCCACCTCTCTAGTCTCCCCTCCACCCCTCTCCCTTTCAGAGGCACCAAGCTGCTTGTGGTCTTGTCTATTCCCACTCCCTGCCCGACTGAACATTTTCTCTACCTCCTGATCATCAGCAGCAGAAACTGGCTGCTCTTCCTCCTGGGTAGACAGCCAGACTGTATTTCCCAGCTGCCCCTGCAGTGAGATGTGGCCATCGGAGCCAGCATTGGCCAATGGACTCTGCATGGGAGTGACGCATGCTGCCTCCAGGCTTGTCTCTAAAACCTCCCACGTGTCCTCCACCTGCTCTTCCCACCTCCAAGGAGCACGGCAATTGTGGAAGACCCAGATTAGTGATGGCAGAACCATAGATGGGAGGAACCTGGGTCCCTGACTTAAAGTATCATGGATTTGGATGTTCCCTTAGTGAGAAATAAACTTCCATTGTGTTTAAGCCTTTATTTGTTTATAGTTGGTTACAGCAACTGCCTTCTTTTAATTAAAACACTCCTGCTGCTTCAAGTTGCTGGAATGCTTGTAACCCTGCCCTGCTTCACCAGGGTAACTCCTACTTGGCCTTTAAGTTTATCTCTGCTGTCACACCGTCCAGAAAGCCTTCTCCCAGCACCACAACCCCTCCACCAAGGGTTAGGTGTCTCCAGCAGATGCTGCACAGCTGGCTGCCCTTTGCCCACCCTCCCCTTCTTTCTCATAGAATCCTAGGACTCCTCTGTATCTAGAAGAAGTTGTGTGGTCCAGTGCTGGCCAAGAAGATGTGAGAGCAAGTCGCTGGGTGGAGATTCTTAGGAAAACTTCTTAAAAAGAACGAGACTGGGCTCCTTTCTGCCTTTTACCATTTTTGTGTATGCTTGCCTTCTTCCCACCTGGGACTCTGATGCAGCACCTGTGAATGGGCACACATATTACAACTCTTAGGCTGAAACCCACGTTCTCAGGCAGAGGTCTCTTGTGGGCATTTAGTGCTATAAATGTCTCTTTACACACTGCTTTAAATGCGTCCCAGGTCTTAGGGTATATACCCAAAGGATTATAAATCGTGCTACTATAAAGACACATGCACATGTATGTTTATTGTGGCAGTATTCACAATAGCAAAGACTTTGAACCAACCCAAATGTCCATCAATGACAGACTGGATTAAGAGAATGTGGCACATATATACCATGGGATACCATGCAGCCATTAAAAAGGATGAGTTCATGTCCTTTGCAGGGACATGGATGAAGCTGGAAACCATCATTCTGAGCAAACTATCACAAAGACAGAAAACCAAACACTGCATGTTCTCACTCACAGGTGGGAATTGAACAATGAGAACGCTTGGACATGGGGCAGAGAACATCATACACTGGGGCCTGTCAGTGGGTGGGGGGCTGGGGGAGGGATAGCATTAGAAGAAATACCTAATGTAAATGACAAGTTGATGGGTGCAGCAAACCAACATGGCACACTCATATCTATGTATCCAACCTGCACATTATGCACATGTACCCTAGAACTTAAGTATATAAAAAAAAAAGAAAAAAAACTTTCACCTTTTTCCAAAGTGTTGGGATTATGGGTGTGAGCAACCACGTCTGGTCCTTTTTTTTTTTTTAATGGAGGTGAAATTCACATAAGTTTGACCATTTTAAAGTGAACAATCAGTGGCATTCAGTACATTCACCATGTTGTGCCAACACTATCTCTATGTAGTTCCAAAACATTTTCATCAGCTCAAAATGAAACCTTGTACCCATGAAGCAGCCACTTCCCATTCTCCCCTCCCCTTAGCCCCTGGAAATCGGCTTTCTTTCTCCACGGATTTACATATTCTGTATATTTCCTATAAATGGAATTACACAATAGGTGACCTGTGTCTGGCTTCTTCCACTTAACCTAATGCTTTTGAGGTTCAGTCACATGGTGCCATGGATCAGCTCTGCCTTCCTTTTTATGACTAATACTCCACTGTATGTCCATATCACCATTTGTGTATTCACTCATTAATCTATGGACACAAGCCTCATTTTTAAGCACTTCAAATATGTTAACTCACTGAATCCTCACCACAAAGACAGATGCAGTTATTACATATTGATAGAGTGAAAACTGAGGCACAGGTAACATGCCTAGGATCACGTGGCTATGAAGCAGAAAGAGGACTCCAGCCGAGGCAGTCTAGTCCCAAAGTCCTTCCCTTCCTAGTAACCACTATGCTCTCCTGCCTCTCAGAGAACAACCCACATAGCACAACACGAGGGCTAAGCTGTCTGGTCTGTCTGGTGAAGCTTCAAATGCTGTTCATTTCAGATAAGGGGAGGTTCCTGGGCTGCAGAGGCTTCCTAGAGGAGGAAGACCATGTAAGGTCTAACTCAGGGCAGGTCAGGATGGTGTGAACTCACTCTGAACACAGTCACCGATGGGTGTTTATGAAAACTGGCTCTGGAACTCCCACAGGGAAGGTTCTTATCTTTGCGTGCACAACACAGAGCCCTCTGGGTAGACTTCTAGACCCAGGCCTCTTTCAAATACATTAGAAACCTCAGCAAGATAAACTATTTTCTGTCTGGCTGCATCTGTCTATCTGTTTAGAGAGCAGGACATTTCCATCCTCCTCTCTCCAGGCATCCTTGGAAGTCTTTCCCACAAGCAAGACATCTTGGTGAAATTTAATGCTGCGGAGGGAAGTGGTTTTCAGGAGAGAGGAGTCTGTTCCCGGAACTGTAGCACAAAAGCTAGAGGCTGAGTAGGAACATCTTAAACTAAGTCCTCAGTCTTATTTCCAGTTTTCTTCCTGTAGATCGGGGCTTAGGACACCCTGTCACATTTTCTTCACTCCTCCACCAGGAATTCCTAAAGTCCATGCTCTTGGATCCTGGCAAATCCAGGAGGCTGGGGGATGTGGCAAGCTTCAGCAAGACTGCCTGGGACCAACCCTGCAGCCTTAATTTCCCAGGCCCACTCAGCCCAGCTGGCCAGCAAAGGCAGGCAGGGCTTCCGTGTCCACACATGAGAATGACCTGCAGCTGTTCTTTGTCCAGGCTGAGGTCCAGGATTCCCATTGCAGCTCCTAGGAAATCTTTAAAATTAGGTCGGGGATGCGCCTGTCAGTAGATTAGGTAGGGAACTTTTATGAAGTTGAGGGTGAACCATCTGGAGGGTGAACTGGCTGGTGTGATTCTAGAACTGGGGGTGGTGCCTAGCAGTGCATTTGTGAGAAGACACAGCCAGGCTTGGTATATGATGTGGTGTGTGTGTATATTCACAGGCATCGTGGAGCATATACACTTTTTTTGTGTGTGTTGAAATAAACCTTACAGATTACCAAGTACTTTTTTTTTTTCTGAGACAGGGTCTCTCTCTGTCGCCCAGCCTGGAGTGCAGTGGTACAATCATAGCTCACTGCAGCCTCGATCTCCCAAGCTCAAGTGATCCTCCCACCTCAGCCTCCCATGTAGCTGGGACTACAGGTGTGTGACACCATGACTGGCTATTTTATTTTATTTTTGTAGAGATGGAATCTCACAATATTGCCCAGGCTGATCTCAAACTCTTGGGCTCAAGCAGTCCTCTCGCGTCAGCCTACCAAAGTGCTGGGATTACAGGCATGAGCCACCACGCCCAGCCAGATTACAAAATACTTTGACATCTTTTCTCTACAGCCCTCAAAAGGAGGCAGGGCAAGCACAATTAAATCCCATTACAAATGGGGTGACTGAAGCTCCATTCATGGCTTGCCCAGGGTCACACAAAGAATGAATAGCAGAGCCCTGAGCCTGTGTGCTTCCCTCTGTGCCAGGCTGCTTTACCCAGGCATGGGTGCACCTTGTGCATGGGACATTTCTCCTTTGTTGTGTCCTGAGTACCTTAAGCCACTCAGATATTGCTCAGGTGGAGTGAGGGGAAAATGTTTTCAGGTTGTATTAGTCAAAACAAAATACCACACACTGGGCGACTTTAAAATCATACATTTATCCCTCACAGTTCTGGAGGCTTGGAAGTCCAAGTTCAAGGTGGCAGCTGGACGGGTTCCCGGTGAGGGCTCTCTTCCTGGTTTGCAGACAGCCACCTTCTCTTCGCATCCTCACTTGGTGGGAAAAGACAGAGGAGAGAAAGAGAGAGAGAGAAAAATGAGATAGAGAGAGAGAGAGAAATGAGATAGAGAGAAATGAGAGAGAGAGAGAGAGAGAGAGAGAGGGAGACACAGAGACAATGCTCTCTTTTCTTACCAGATCTATAATGAGGGCCCCACCCCATGACCTCATCTAACCGTAATTACCTACCAAAGGCCCATCTCCACATACCATCACATTAGGGGTTAGGGTTTCAACATAAGCATTTGGAGAGGACATAAACATTCTGTCTACAACATGAGTGGAGATCCATCTCTTCTTTACCTCTGGTAAGGGGACCACACGCTGCAGCCAGCGAGACAGTGGCATGTTCTTGTTACAACTCGATCTAACTCCCCCAGAAGAGGAGGCAGGGAAGGCGGACAAAACTGGGAGAGGGAGAGAGTGTTAGGAAGAGAGTAGGGTGGCCAGAGGCAGCAAATAAAATATAAAATGCTTAATTCTGAATCTCAGATAAACAACCAATAATGTTTTTTAGCATAAGTATGTCCCAAACTAAGCTTGGGACATATTTACGCTACGAAATTATTCGTTGTTTATCTAAAATTCAAACTAGCTGGGCATCCTGTCTTTTAATCTGGCAACCCTAAAAGGCAAGGGCCAAAAATGCCGGAGGCAAGCCAACGGATTCCAGGAGGGACAACTGCTGGACTTGACTGATGATGCTCTTTTTATATATTTAACTTTTTAAAAAAGCCTCTTTTCTTTCTTTTTACCAGCTTTTCACTAGCTTTTTAAAAATTGTGGTAAAACATACATAACCTAAAATTCACCGTCTAAACCATTTTTCAGCATACAGTTCAGTGGGATTAAGTAGATTCACACCGTTGTGCCGCCATCACTACCACTCATTTCCAGCACCCTTCCATCACCCCAGCCTGAAACTCTACCCATTGAACACGAGCTGCCCAACTCCGCCTTGCTTCCCCATTCCTGGCGACCACTGCTTCTGTCTCTGTGAATTTTGACTATTCTAGGCACTTCACAAAACTGGACTCATACGATATCTGTAGTTTTGCGTCTGGCTTCTCTATTTAATTCTTAAAGGGGGGTGGGAACTAAGCAGATCACAAGGGAGCTGCCCACAGAGGTAAAGACAAGGTCAGGTAGGCTGAGAGACGCAGGAAAGCGGGTCAAGGCGTAGGGCTGGAGGGCAGGGGCGGGCCCTGGGCCTGGGCTGGGGGTCCTGCCCCGGGGCGCACCCCGGGCAAGGGCTGCCCGGAGGAGCCGAGGCTGGCGGACAGCTTGGCCCTGAGCTTGAGGGGAAGGCAGCGATGGGACAAAGGACGGAGGTCTGGGAAGAGGGTCTGCAGAGCAGAAAGCACGGGTAGGGGCGGCCTGACGCTCGGAAGACAACGCATGGGAGCCGTGTGCACGTCGGGAGCTCGGAGTGAGCGTGAGTTCCGTGCCCAGGCCCGCGACTCGGCCCGACAGGACAGCGCTCCGGGTCGACGGGGTCCTGGAGCCGCGCTCGGGGAGGGCGCAGCGGAGGGCGAGCGGCGGCGTTAGGACCCGGAGGCGCGGGCGGACTGTGGGCGGCGGGGCTAGGACCCAGCGGCTCCGGCAGAGCGGAAGCGGCGGCGGGAGCTTCCGGGAGGGCGGCTCGCAGGTGAGGAGGCGTCCGGGGCCGCGGGAAGTAGGGTCGTGGGGGCCTGGCGGGGCGAAGTAGGGGACCCGGAGGGGCTGGAGGGAGGCGGGCGGGAGGCCCGGGACCGTTCCTGACCGAGAAGCCTGCGCCAAGCTGGTGTTCCGCGGCCGCTGCCCGGTGCCCGGCTCCACTGCGAACGCCGCCGCTGGGCCCCGACCGCCCGGGAGGCGTCTTGGGCTCGCCCCGGAGCTTCCTCCCTGGAGCCGCGCCCTGCACCCGGCCTTGCCCGGCCCTAGCAGGGAAGCCAAGGCTTGTGGGGCGCAGGGACCCGGGCTCTGCGGGGTCCCGGTTCCGCCTCCCCACTTCTGCGTCTTCCCGCCCCGGCCGGGTTCTGGGAAGCCTCGCGCGGCTCTTCCGCAGCTGCTGCCCGCCCGGAGCTCCTGGTCCCTCGTAGGGGACCCCACTTCTCTGACACCGCGTTGGGTTCCCGGGGCCTACAGCGAGGCCTGTAACTCCGGGAGAGACCCTGGAGCGGGGTGTGGGAGAACGGTCTGGAGGAAGGGCTCCGAGCACTTCGAAAGTATAAACCGCGGTCCCAAAGAGGCGTGCTGTGTCTGCATTTTCCTGGGAGTGCACGGTTTACATTCTGTAAAGCAGTGCTGTCGACTAGAAATATTGTGCGATACACATGTACAAGTTTTGTCACTTAAAAAGAATTTGAAAAAACTTCATAGATGCAAAAAAAAAAACCCCACCATTATTAAATAATACTTAGGTATTTGTGGAATGCATTGAAGAGTTAACAAAATGGATAGGCAGGAAATATCGCAGACCTAGAATGAATTACAGTTACCCACTGTGGAACTGAGGAGCTAGGGTTTCTCATAAAACTCCCTGATAGAAGACGACTTTTGATAAAATTTTTTTTCCGCCAACAAAATCCCCTGTCTTCTCAACTAGTTACTGTCTGTCCACTAAATAAGAGGTGGTCCATCACTTCTTCAGATGAGCAACTACAGGCTTTTCAAAAGATAATTGCTAATCAACCCCTTTGTGCCTGGGTTTTCTTATTTGTAAAAATAGATACTACTACCTAACTCCAAAGTGTGTGGTGAAGACAAACAATTGGGGTGATGTATACTAAAGTAACGAAAGTGTTGACCACACACTACGGGCTGGTTAGTGTTAGATTCCCTTGTTTTTCCCTCAGTATCAAAAACAGATCTAATTTAGGTTTACATAAAGACAAAGTATGAAGATAAGGTGACTTACAGTTGGTACTACTAACAAAATGTTTGGGCTAAGATTTGCATTATTGCATGAAAACAACAAAACATATCAATAACAAAAAGCTTGGAATTCAGACGACAGATCCAAGTCTGGGCTTGATCTCAAGCTAGTGTTTTGATGTTGAAAAAATGTTATTTGGTCTTTCTAACCCCATTTCCTTATGTAAAATAGGGGATGATGATAAATTCACTGATAATAAGAGTTAAATGAGATTCTTGAGGAGTCAGAATGGTTCTAACATGTGTAGGTATTATTAGCAGTCATACTGTAGCATAAGAAAATACCGTCTGCTGAAAGAGGGACAATAAAGATTATCTACATGGTCATCATTTAAAAGCTACCAGATATAGGAAGAAGGGGCCATAAAATGATAACGTTATGATGATTAATTTTGATGCTTAGGTCAGAGTCCATTCTAGGATATCTGCTGCCCAAAAACAGCAGAGACTCATTTCTTTGGAATCACAGGACGCTGAGTGAGAGGAAAGAAAAAGAAAAGAAATATTTAAGTCACATATGTGATTTCTAAAAGTAAAAAGAAACAGATGAAATTAGTGATATATTTTTAAAATCCAGTATATCCCAAATATGGTTATTTTAGCATGTAATCAATATAAAATAATAAGATATTTTACATTCTTTTTTTCTAGTCTTTGAAATTTGGTGCATATTTTACACTTATGGCACATCTCAATTCAGACTATCCACATTTCAAGTGCTCAGTGGCTGCATGTGCCTGGTGGCTACCATATTGGACAGCACAGGTCTAAGGATTTCATTCCTGCCACAAGTCCAAACTCCTAGCTTTAATTTTGAGTGTTTTTAACAAACTGGCCTCTGTTTATCATTCTTTCTTCTAGTACTTCCCCAAGGATGATTGTACCCTCAGCACTCAAGACCGCTTGCGGTTCCCCTACACACTTTTTGTTCAAGCTGTTTCTTTTACCTGGAATGCTGTCTTTGCACCTTCTTCCTGGACCTGGTTCACCCTTGTTGCCTAGGCTGGAGTGCCATGGCGCGATCTTGGCACACTGCAACCTCCACCTCCCTGGTTCAAGTGATTCTCCTTCCTCAGCCTCCCGAGTAGCGGGGATTACAGGCATGCACCACCACGCCTGGCTAATTTTGTATTTTTAGTAGAGATGGAGTTTCACCATGTTGGTCAGACTGGTCTCGAACTCCCGACCTCAGGTGATCTGCCTGCCTTCGCCTCCCAAAGTGCTGGGATTACAGGCGTGAGCCGATGCGCCCGGCCGAGAGGCACACATTCTGCTAAGAGCTTTTTCCTGACTCCCCTAACTCCAAGAGGGATTTGTCACTCCTTAGCTTTGTACTCATGACTGGAGTAGAATGAATTTAATTTGAGTTTAGTTGTTTTTGAGACTCTCCCTGGCTAGTGTAGTGTCTTATTCGTCTTTGTTGTGATCATGGTCTGCACCTAACAGATGATCAGTAGATGTTTGCAGACAGAAAGTAAACCACTCATCAGGTGTATTCAGTCCCATTCTTGAACGGGCTTGCTGTCTCCTTTTTGAGGAGATTTGTGTATGTACTCTTCTTTCACGCATATGTGTGAGCAAACACACACACACTAACAAGAAATTCATCTGAAGATGTGCACAGGAAATATCTTGCATCTTTACCCCCTTTGTGATCTTACATATGGGAGAACTGAGGCACAGAAATAAGTTAGGACAGCCAGCAAACTTGCATCAGTATAAATACAAAGAAGGGGAGGGAGGAACATGCTTGAAAGGGGTGTGCTGGTCTCAGAGGGTTAGGTTTCTCAGTTGGCTGGGCATCAGCTGGCCATGCTTTAGTTATTTGATGGGAGGAAAAATAAGTGCGAGGTGAGGAGTAACTCCTGGGCTCTGATGAGTATTCTAGGCAAGTACAGATCTGGAAAGCCTGTATGCAAAGGAGGAACTCACTGAAAAGTGCTGGCCTGAGGAGGGCAGAAGGGAGGGCTGGGGAAGCCAGCAGGGGGAGCAAAGGAGTAGGCTTCAGCTGGGTGAATCCGGTGTGGTATGTTATGTAAAATATACAAATTATTATTGGGAATAACCACGTCTCAGCAGTGCTAGTTCTCAGTTTGGAGAATGGGAAATCGAAAGGATCAGATTCAGAGACGGCAACTTACTCAAGGTCACAGCATTTTAAACCCAAATGAAATCTCCTAGGCCCTTCATGCCACACTCATCCATCCCTACCTACTTGTGTTGCAACCAAGGGCCCCACTGTAGTGCCTAGGGGAGCAGGTCTAGGGCATAGTGCCAGGCCTGATTAATGTCTTCCTTACCATTTTCCAGCGAGGGGCTGTGATTAGGCCTATTTATAGGGGCCTGGTCCCTTAATATTCTGCCTGGTGCATCTCTTGCCAATCAAATCAGTGCTGTCTGCAGTGTGATTGCTGCTGTAGTGGCACCAGGGAGAGGAGTTAATTAAACCCAATATAAATAGACTCTCCCCTCACTGTGCAATTCCAGGAGTGTTTTTCCTTCCTGTCCTCCACCCCCACAGGCACCTCTTTCCTCTTGGCCCCCTAAGCTCTAGCCTGGGTGAGCAGGGCTGGATACTCCTATACCTAGAGTCACTAGCCACTGCCCAGTCTGTTTCAGGAGCAGACCTCAAATTCCTCAGGGGTTAAAGTGGGAAGAACCCGTGTGTGCACATTTTTTGTGCTTTTCCAGAACTGTGTACCATTTGGCAGTTGATCAGGCAATCTCCCCCGCTACCCCATTTCTACCCCTTTGTTTCCAGCCTCTTTTTTCCTCTGCAACCAAGGTTTCTTGTTTATCCAAGGTGGGGAGCTGAACTGAGACAAGGTATGGAAAGGGTGCCTGGCAGGTAGCAAGCACCTTGTAGGGGGTCAGAAATGTTGCACCTTCTCTGAACTCCTCCATTGACCCTAGAGATTCCCCAGTCCCTGGCCCTGCCCTTTCCCTCATTCACTCAGCAGGCATCAGCAGAGTCCCATCTATGCGCTCCTGGCCTCTCAGCAAATGCTCTGTCCCCTACTCCCCTATCTGTGCAGGCTGAAGCTATGTGCATAGTTGGGATGAGGGCTGTGTTGTCTCAACACCACGCTGCCCTGTGGTGGGGGCGTGCCGGTGGTCGTGGGTGGCTCTGATGCTCCGGCTCCGACCCACAGGCACCATGACTCCTGTGAGGATGCAGCACTCCCTGGCAGGTCAGACCTATGCCGTGCCCCTCATCCAGCCAGACCTGCGGCGAGAGGAGGCCGTCCAGCAGATGGCGGATGCCCTGCAGTACCTGCAGAAGGTCTCTGGAGACATCTTCAGCAGGTGGGTGCTGCCACTCACCCCCACCTGATGAGAGGGCCATCCCTGTCCTGGGCAATCCCAGCAACACACCCTCTGGGAGCAGCCCCCTTGGGGAATCCTGGTCCTGGGGAACCCATCTGGTTTCCCTGTGTGGGAGGGGCTGAAGTGAGAGCCCAACTTGGAAGCTTTTACTCCTGGGAGTCCGAGAGCTCACTCCCTTCCACCCCACTTAGCCTCCTGGTTTCCTGTGGTGGCTCTGCTCTCACAACTCATGCTTTTCCTCCCATTGGAGGGCCTATTCCTTCACGTTTTCCTGCAGCCAACAAATATTTACCCAGCAGTGCTCGTGTGCAAGGCAGTGTGGGAATCTCTATATATCCAGCCATGGATAAGGCAACATACCTCTCCACCTGGAGCGCACATTCTGGCAGGAGAGAAAGACCTAAATAAGCAATAGATGATTAGTTCTTCAATAACAGTTGTGACAAGGTCTATTGATAATATTTTGTAATCACTAATATTCATATAAACCGTGCACCACCATTGATTTGAGTGCATTAACTCACACTTCATGAGCAGGCACTGCCGTCATCTCATTTTACAGATGAGGAAACTGAGGCACAGAAAGGCTGAGAGACCTGGCCTAGTGACAGAGCCAGGATTCAAAGCCATAGATCATGGCCCCGGGTTACGTAGGTTATTACTGCATCTGTTCAGGGGAGATGGGGTACTGTGAGGCTCGTCATGGGAAGCCTGGCTTGGTCTCAGGTCAGGGAAGGCAGATGTGAGGAAATGACATTTATGGTAAAGTCTGAGGGTTGAGTGGGTGGGTTGGGAAGAACATTCCAGAAAGAAGCACATGAACTACAGCCTGGAGGTGGAGGACCTAAAAGGAAGCCAGCATGGCTGGAGCACGGAGTGGCCATTGAGGGAGGCGAGCTGGAGGGGTGCAGCTTCTTGTATTGGCAGCGCTGACCTCGCACAGTCCTTGGGCTCCAGTGACTTCACTCAGTGTTTATCTTACATGAGTGAGTGAATGGTGTTTGCTGTTTTTTTGGCAAAGGTCCCAGGGGTTGTCGGGTACACAGGTCCTGTCTTTGGCCATAAGCAAACTGAAATGAGGCTTGGTCTCCTTCCCAGGATCCCACACCATGCCTCACATGGTAGACCCCAGCGGGAAGTATGTGACTGCCTGACTCAGGTGCCTCTCGTGGTCCAAGCCATCCCTGCCCTGTCCCTTCCCTGGTTGTCGCCAGACCTGGAGCCCCTGCTCCTTCACTTTGCAGCCTCCTCTTCTGTCACCAACTGGGAACCCACCTCTTCCTGAAAGTCCTCCCCCACTGACTCACCGGCTTGCCCCAAGCTTGTCAAGAATGTCCCAGTAACCAGGGGACACACACTGAAGTGACTGAGGGGTTACCTTGGAGTTGATGCCTTGGCTCAGATCCAGCTCCCCTGTTTTCTTCCTCTGTAACCTTGGGCAACCCAACCCCTCTAAGCCTCGGTGTTCTCATTTGTGAAGTTGTGGTAATAATGGTAGCTTCCTGGTAGAATTATTGTAAATATTAAATTAATCAAAACATGCAAAGGAATGGAACAGTGCCTGGCACCTAGGAAGCCTTCAGGAAATGCTGTCTCTTCCCTGTTGATAATCTTGACCCGTACACTGCCTTTGGTTGCCATTCATGAACCTGCCACCAATAGTAACAAAGTGCTGGATGCACCTTTTGTGCTTATCTTTGTGCTAAATGTGCCTGAGGGACGCCTAGGGAAGAGGATGCAGGTCTTTAAGAGCCATCAGCTCCAGATTATGGCCACCCCATGTCCAGCACTTAGAATGGAGGCCAAAACCATTCCCTCGGAAATTGTGTTTCCTTGCCAAGATGGGGACTGCGTGGTTGCCCTTCTCTGAGGGCAGCGCTGGATTTTTGGCATCTTTCCTTTCCTGTCCTGGTACTTGGCACCTTGTAGACAGTTGCATGTCCCCTGCCCAGGGATGGGATGAGGAGAGGGCAGGAAGGCATTTCCTGGGTAGTGGAGTGCTGCGTTCATTGAGTGTGGGTTCTCCAAGCTGCTGGCACAGCGCAGGGAGGGCCAGATGCCTCTCAGGAGCCTTGGGCCTGAGTCCTGGCTCCCTCACTCCTGGGTTCCAGGTCAATGCATCTGTCTCTCCACCATGTGCTCCACCTCGTGCTGGACCTTAAGAGATACCAATTATGTGGCTGACACTGTGTCCTAGAGGCTGGAATGGGAACACATAGGGCGAGATTGATTGTTAATTGCTAGCATGAACCGCGTGGGCTTCTCAGGGTCTAGAGTGGAGAGAAATCGGTAAGAATTGGTGGCACGCCTGTCAGAACTCCCCAAACCAAGCTAAGCAGAAATTAACCAATCAGTAGAGCAGCCTTCGGAGTAAGGGCTAAAATGATGTCCTCAGGGCCTGGTTTTGCTTTTCTTCCATGTCAGTTTGCTTCTTTGGGTCTGGCTGCATTCCCAGACAGGCCATGCTGTCGTGGTAGCAAGGTGACACGACACAGGGTCAGGTCCAGCAGGAAAGAATGCTCTCCTGTGTCCCCACTTCCTCCAGAAGCCACACTCACCCATCCCACCTGGCTTGGTCCTCATGTCTATCCCAGAATCCATTAATGGGGCCAGGGGACTATGACACAACCACTTGGCTTAGACTGAGGAGCTCTGTGGGCAGCCCCACCTGAAGCTCTGGGACTAAGCCTGCGAGAGAGATGGATTCCCCAAGGGAAATGGGGCCATTGCTTGAGTAAAAAGGAAATAGTTGCTGAAGAGTAAAACCACTTGCTTACTCCACATAGGGCAGACTCCTGGAAGAGGGGGGCAGGGTAGGGAGGTGGATATGCAGGTTGCCCTGGTGGGGTCTGGAAATGGGGGCTGCAGGCTTGGAGGGAGGCCTCAGTGTGGCTTGGAACGTGGTGTATGGTGGTCTGCCGCGAAGGCCGGCCTGCACAGGGGTGGGAGGGGGGAGCTTCTGCATGGGAAGCACAGACAGCGCTGCCTCTCCCTTGCACTCAGCTCTCGGGGCATGAGAGGCTGACTTTCCGTGAGCCTGTGGGCCAGGCCTCTTTGAATGGGGCTGAGGGAGCTTTGCCCTGGTTCCTTTGTGTCCCCACGGTGCCACGGGAGGCTCCCTGGCAGGGTGTGGGGCAAGGCAGTGAGTGAAGAGTTGGGATGAGTGAGTTAGGGCCCACGGATTACTCAAGACAGGACTTCACGTTGATTCAGGAGCGTTAGGGAGCTGTGATTGGATTTTGAGCAGGGCAGGGATGGGACAGAAGAGTTTGGGGAAGGTTCCTCAGGCATCCGTCACGGAAGGGATAAGAAGGGAGAGAGAGTGGATGCCGGGGACACCCAGAAGCTGTTATTGTAGTCAGGATGCGACAGGGGTGAGGCTACAGACAGGGGACTTGCAAGCAGGGAGGGCAGGGTGAGACATTCAGAGGAAACGACGACAGGAAATGGTGACAGATAGGGAACGAGGATGAAGGGAAGGGAGAGCCAGTGACGACTGGCAGTGGAGTGGGGAGCACCGCCACCTCTCCTCCTCCACTTGCCCCCTCCTGTGGCACTGGACAAGCGAGTGGGCTTTTCGTTGTCCGTGGGCTTTTTTGTTGGGGATGTGACCAGCTTTGAACCCTTCCCCTTAAACATGCTCCTCCTGCACGGAAGAGACAGGGGCAGGGGAGAGACTCTCTCCCCACCACCCCATCTCAGGCCCCAGCACAGCCCGGCCTCTGGCCTCACTGGCGTCTGTGCCCAGTGACGCAGGCAGGTGAGCTCCTGGCAAATTAGCATTCCAGGCCGTGCTCTCTCCTCCTGCTCTGCTGCAGCCGGGAGTGTGCAGAGACTGGAGGGGATGACAGTCACCTCCCAGGCTGTCTTCAGCTGTGCCCTCCAGCCCCTCCCTGTCCCCTCTTTCTGCCCCTCCAGCTGCTGCTCCCTCTTCACCTGGGAGAAGCCAGGCCCCCAAAATAACTTGCCAGATATGTCACCTGCTTCCCATGACGTAGATGACAAGGCAGAAGGGAGTTGGGATGGCACGGGGAAGAGGAAGGAACAGACTCTGTGTGTGGAAGTTTGGATGCTGTCATCTGCCATTGCCCGTCAGCCCCTGCCCAACCTCTTCCCCCAAGAGGCAGTGCCACTGCCCAGCACCTTCCCCCTGGGAAGGGTGATTTTCTCTGCGAAGCTCTTGGTCCTTTCCTCCATCTCTTTGTCCTTTTCCCCACCTCTTCCTTTCTTCTCCCCTTCCTCCTTTCCCCTTTCCCCTTGTCCTCGCTTCCTCCATCCTTCCTTCTCCCCTGTTCTCTCTACCGATTGGCACCTGGTGGCCCCGAAGGTTACACATTGCACTAGATCACTGCATAATTAGCAAGTCATTCTTAATTATCCCAGAGTGGAGAAGATAAAGGTGAAGGCAAGAGCCCAGGTTCAGCGTCTGCTTCCCTGGGGTCATGACAGAGGCAGGGGAGGAGAAGCAGTGAATGTGAATCTGGGTCAGGAGTGGGTGCTCCCTGCTTCTTCCTCCCCAGCAGCCTCTAGGGGGACTGGTGTGCTGATGTTGATGGGCCATGATCAGCTCCTTCTCACCTTCACAGTAATCCCATGATGGAGAAGGGACCATTCCTGTTTTTCAGTGGAAGAAGCTGAGGCAAAGACCAGTTAGTGACCTCCCCAGGGTCACACTGCTGCTAAACAGATGTGAAACCCAGGCCTGTGGGATGTTGTGGTTATTGATATTCATTTCTTACTTCCCCAGGAGCCCTGAGTCCCTTTGAATGTGGATGTGTGTCGTCTGATTCGTCTTTGACTCCCACGGCCCCAGCATGTGCTCTACAAATGGGATGCACTCTGGTTATTGAACAGTGAGGGGTGGAGGGGGGAGAAGGAAAGCAAGGGATGCTTGGAGATGGTCCTCTCCGGGGCAGATAGAGGAAGATGGACCCTTAGTGAGACCACGCGCAGAACAGGCTGGGTGAGCCACTTCCGTCCCTGATGTCCACAGAGGCAGCTTCCTCTCTAGTGCTGGGTGAGCGTGCCATAGGGTATGGCTTCAGCACTGAGCTTGTAAACTGACCTACCTTGAAGTAGGCCACCAAGCCAAGGGCGTCTGGACCAGGAATGACAAACAAATGGCACCATTCCCCCACCCTCAGGGTGGACATTGTTCATCAACGGCCTGGCCCCAGTGAGGCCTAAGGGCCTTCCCGACACAGCCTTCCAGACCATCCTGCTAGTCCATGGAGATAGCAGATACGCTGCAAGCTTTCTGATCCTGAGTCTGCACTTGTCCTCGGCACCATAGCCTGTGACCGTAAGAGAATAGACTGTCCGGGGGCTTTGTCAAGAAGCACGATGTTCCTTAGTCTCATGGGCTCTTGGCTAAGGAAAGAGTCCCAGGGTCATGTCTTCTACCTCCACCTTAGGCAGGATTCACCCTTGGGGCACCCCCGGAAGGCGCTTGTGAGCTGGAACCTAATTGCTCTGCAAAGTGATGCAGTTTATGGAATTTTTTTTTTTAACAGAACAGAGATCTGTTTCCTTGCAACTCTGCCCGCTATTCCTGATACAAGTTTACTCACTTCTCCACCTGACAGCCCTTTGGATATTTTGATATTCGAAGGGAATGATCATATTCTCAAAGTCTTCTGATCTTTAGCCAGAACATCCTTCAGTTATCTTCACATGTCGGGAGTTTCTCGCTCATCACCATCCTCATTACCCTTCTTGAGATGTTTGCTCATCTGTCACTTTCTGTTCAGCCAGCGGCTGTTACACATCAGGCCCCATCCCAGGTGCTAGAGACTTAGCAGTGAATGAGGCTGACTTCGCAGTCTGCAGGGGAGTTCAGAGTCCTCTTACTGTGTGGATCCAGTTTAAAGGGATGTGACTGTGGCTGAGACTGGTGCCTGGCATGGATTCGTTCATGAGTCCAGGGCTCTGTTTTCTGTGGTGGCTCCAAGAGAGTGCACGGTCCCTGCTGATTGAAAGAAGGATGAAGGGCAGAAGAGGGGTGGGGAGCTGTGTGCCCTAAGATCTCATTGCCTTTTTATGCCGATTAACATGCTTTTAGCCCCTACTGAGCTTATAGTTAACAGAAGTTTCCAGGTCTTTCTTCACCTGAACTGTGTCTAAAACAAGTTCCCTCCACCTTCTGTATTTATACGCTTGATTTTTAAAACCTAAATGTTGGGCTTCACATTTGTTCCCTGTAAATTTCATCTTGGTGATTGCAGTCTACCCTCTGGCCTTTAAAAATTGTCTGAGCCTTGATTCGATCATGAAACCAGCTTACCCTTCCCCTGTGTGCTGGCCCCAGTTTTCTAACCAGGTGTTGAATGAACTGGATGGACTCTGCCAGATCCCTCCGTGCAAGGCTGGAATCAGTCCATTGTTCAACTGTGCCCTTTGGGACTGTGGTTCATTTGGCTCTGATTTTTCCTATATGTTCTCTCCTCCAACCCCCATAGCTCCATCTTGTCTACAAGATTCTGTTAGAAGCCGTCAAAATCCGGCTGACTCGAGATGCGCTGTGGTGCATGTTTTCCCCGGGCACAGCAGGCTAATAATCCTGTTACAAAGAGAAATGCTGTACATTTCGAGCAGTGCTGGCCCCTGGGACTCACTGCGGCCTTTTCTAAGTGCTTACAGACTCTCTGTTTAATAATCCATTCCAGAAATTTTCCAGGGCTCATTGTTGAGCTTGGTGTTCACAACTTTGAGTGATCAGCCCTTCTCCTTTGTGGGAGCACCAGGACAGAGCAGCCTTTGTCCCTCCCCAGTCTCAGTTCCCTCCCACTGCCCCTGTGGACCTCGAATGCAGAGCTTATGCACCTACCGAAGGTCGTGTCAGCACCCAAGGCAGAACGAGGCTGCCCTGGGAACTAGGGTCAATTAAGACAGCTTGTGCTGGAGGACCCTTTACAGCAGATGAAGGCCTCTCCCCAGCCAGAAAAGATGGAGCACACGCTGGGTGGTGGCCCCGCTTCCTCACTGGAAGGAGATGGTGCTCTTCTTTTTTCTTTCTGAATTGTGGCCACCTTCATACCAGTCTGTCATGGAACACTTAAGCCGCTTGAGTGCCTGCTGGTACTCCCAGCCCTGCCATGCCTGAGCCCCCTGCACACAAGGAGCCAGGAGTAATCAGGGCAGACCCATTAGGGCACGGGGACTCCTGGATTGTGAAATTGGCTCTCTGGGGGCCAAGGCCTTCTAACGTTGGTGGAAGTGGCTTTGGCTTATTGGGTCCGGTTCTAGGCCATTCATTCCAACCTTTAGAGGCATGCCAGCTTTCCCTAGCCCAGAGTCTGCAGCCCCTCCACCATCCCACATCCTCCCCCTCCCTTTCCTCATGAACCCCAGTCGCGCCTCTGCCTTCTCATCCCTGCGCACCACACAGGCTCGCTCGTGCCCGGTGAGTGCTGAGGCTGCTCTGCACGTGGAGTGTGGCCCTGTGGGCATGGGCTGGGCTCTTGGAGGTAGGGGAGCTACAGGGGCGACTGGGAGGAGGATGTCGTGTTACACACGCATCAGAGTTAACTTTGCAGTGAGAGCGGCCTTGCTGCGGCCAAAGAACATGGAAAAGCATGAGTGGGGTGATGTGCCTTAAAGCATCAGACACTTGGGCCTCGGGCATCAGGAGCCAGCCACAGGGATGTCTGGGGAAATGGCGTTCCATGAGACGCAAGCACACAAGAATGCACTTGGCACATCTGGGGAACAGCAGGCAGCCGATATCACTGGGCCCACCCCGCACCAGGGAGGATGGAAGCAGGTGAGGAGCTAGACCACACTGAGGCGGTGGTCGGGACTCAGGGTTTGCTCAGTGAGCCGTTCACTATGTGCAGGGGCAGTTCCCCGTCTGAATTTAGGTGACGACACTCAGGTCCAGCCTTGCCAGTCTCAGCCTCCGGTCTCCATTCCCCCTCTGCAGAGGCGACTTTGTCTGCTGCACGTGATCATGAGGGGTTGTGAAGTGCTTGCCCCATCAGTAGCCATGTGTGCATGTGTAAATACCATCCTCTGTGTGCCCTGGAGGCTGTCCTTCAGATAGCAGGTACAGGTGGCAGCATAGGGCCTGTCCCTACTGAGAGTGCAGGGAACTCAGCACCGTCAACTCCTCGACCCTGCAGGTCAGATTATCCTTGTAGAGGCCCCCTGGATGGCACCAAGATCGGCCCTGGCAAGCAGGTGACCCTGACTTCAGAGCCCTTGCCTGAGGGCCTGGCCTGGCAGCTCTGCTGTTAGAAGCAGGAGGTGTGCAGGGGGTGGGGAGCAGCCCAGCCTCTGTGATCTTCTCCATGGCAGGATCTCCCAGCAGGTAGAGCAGAGCCGGAGCCAGGTGCAGGCCATTGGAGAGAAGGTCTCCTTGGCCCAGGCCAAGATTGAGAAGATCAAGGGCAGCAAGAAGGCCATCAAGGTAGTCCCCATACCCCTGTGTCCTGAGACTTTTCCCCGTGCCTCTGAGGCCGCCCATTCTCTGCCCTGCTGCCCACCTGTACCTTGGGCTTTCTTCTCGCCCAGGCTTCCAACTCCACCCTCTCCTGCCAAGCAATCCTAGCCCTCTGAGCCTCTTAGGGCCCCCTCAGACTTGTCCCTGTGTCCACAGGTGTTCTCCAGTGCCAAGTACCCTGCTCCAGAGCACCTGCAGGAATATGGCTCCATCTTCACGGGCGCCCAGGACCCTGGCCTGCAGAGACGCTCCCGCCACAGGATCCAGAGCAAGCACCGCCCCCTGGACGAGCGGGCCCTGCAGGTCTGCTGGCTGCGCACATAACTTAGCCTGTCACACACCAGGAGGACTGGATACTGGGGAGGAGCCGGGGCCACCATAGGGTTCTGTCCCCCAGAGGAGGCTGACTGGGATGGGGTGGCAGCTGATTAGGCCCAGCACCAAATATTCACCATCCCTTGGCCATCCTGGCCCTCCCAGGAGAAGCTGAAGGAATTTCCTGTGTGCGTGAGCACCAAGCCGGAGCCTGAGGACGATGCAGAAGAGGGACTTGGGGGTCTTCCCAGCAACATCAGCTCTGTCAGCTCCTTGCTGCTTTTCAACACCACCGAGAACCTGTATGGCCAGAAGGCAGGGCCGAGGGGTGTGGGCGGGAGGCCCGGCCTGGCTTAGTGGGGACCCAGGGCATCAGACACAGGTACAGCACATAGCCCAGGAGCCAGGGGGTGACTGGGGTGGCTCGGCTTGGGAGGCCTGGGACCCCACAGTGCACGCTGTGCCCCTGATGATGTGGGAGAGGAACATGGGCTCAGGACAGCGGGTGTCATCTTGCCTGACCCCCATGTCGCCTCTGTAGGTAGAAGAAGTATGTCTTCCTGGACCCCCTGGCTGGTGCTGTAACAAAGACCCATGTGATGCTGGGGGCAGAGACAGAGGAGAAGCTGTTTGATGCCCCCTTGTCCATCAGCAAGAGAGAGCAGCTGGAACAGCAGGTGGGAGGGGTGGGACAGAGGTGGAGACAGGTGCAGTGGCCCAGGGCCTTGCCAGAGCTCCTCTCCAGTCAAGGCTGTTGGGCCCCTTATTCCACCCATGGGAGGTGCACACAAGGTCTTGTTGGCTGCCCCTGCAGGTCCCTGTCACCTCTCACATGTCCCTGCCTAATCTTGCAGGTCCCAGAGAACTACTTCTATGTGCCAGACCTGGGCCAGGTGCCTGAGATTGATGTTCCATCCTACCTGCCTGACCTGCCCAGCATTGCCAACGACCTCATGTACATTGCCGACCTGGGCCCCGGCATTGCCCCCTCTGCCCCTGGCACCATTCCAGAACTGCCCACCTTCCACACTGAGGTAGCCGAGCCTCTCAAGGCAGGTGAGCTGGGTTCTGGGATGGGAGCTGTGCCGGGGACCTCCCTGCTGACACACCTTCTTCCCTAGACACCCCACACTTTGTGTTTCAGACCTACAAGATGGGGTACTAACACCACCCCCACCGCCCCCACCACCACCCCCAGCTCCTGAGGTGCTGGCCAGTGCACCCCCACTCCCACCCTCAACCGCGGCCCCTGTAGGCCAAGGCGCCAGGCAGGACGACAGCAGCAGCAGCACGTCTCCTTCAGGTGGGAGCAGCTCTTTGAGGCCACCTGATTTCTGGCGTGCTCAGTGCACTCGGGTGGATTTTCTGTGGGTTTGTTAAGTGGTCAGAAATTCTCAATTTTTTGAATAGTTTCCATTTCAAATATCTTGTTCTACTTGGTTCATAAAATAGTGGCTTTCAAACTGTAGAGCTCTGGACTTCTCACTTCTAGGGCAGAGGGAGCCTGAACAAGTGAGGCTCTGGGTTCCTCATTCCTAATTAAACCAATGGAAAGAAGGGGTCTAATAACAAACTACAGCAACACATTTTTCATTTCAGCTTCACTGCTGTATCTCCCAGTGTAACCCTAGCATCCAGAAGTGGCACAAAACCCCTCTGCTGGCTCATGTGTGCAACTGAGACTGTCAGAGCATGGCTAGCTCAGGGGTCCAGCTCTGCAGGGTGGGGGCTAGAGAGGAAGCAGGGAGTATCTGCACACAGGATGCCCGCGCTCAGGTGGTTGCAGAAGTCAGTGCCCAGGCCCCACACAGTCTCCAAAGGTCCGGCCTCCCCAGCGCGGGGCTCCTCGTTTGAGGGGAGGTGACTTCCCTCCCAGCAGGCTCTTGGACACAGTAAGCTTCCCCAGCCCTGCCTGAGCAGCCTTTCCTCCTTGCCCTGTTCCCCACCTCCCGGCTCCAGTCCAGGGAGCTCCCAGGGAAGTGGTCGACCCCTCCGGTGGCTGGGCCACTCTGCTAGAGTCCATCCGCCAAGCTGGGGGCATCGGCAAGGCCAAGCTGCGCAGCATGAAGGAGCGAAAGCTGGAGAAGAAGAAGCAGAAGGAGCAGGAGCAAGGTGAGCGGGCCCTGGAGCCTGCAGTCGGAGGGCCTTGGGCAAGATCGCCTCCTCCCCTCCAGCCCTGAGTCCACCGGGTGCTTTCTGCCCACCCCCTGCTCTTGCCAGCTGGCCCCTGCTTCCCCTAGGGCACATGCTGGAAGCCCTGGGCCGCCACCAGAGGTCCTCAGCCCTCCTGCCTGGGCTATGGCTCCTTCCTGGTTTGGGAGCCATAGTGGAGCTTTCCTCTCTAAGCTCACCCAGCTCAAACTGTGACAGGAGAATCTTCTTCGACAGCCAAGAGCGGTCCAAGGCAATGGTCAGCCACTGCAGCCTCCTGAGATATTTTTAGAGACTGGACCTGAGGCCTCTGGAGGCTACTGATGATGCCTGTTGTGAACGCAGACACTGGTGTGATGCGATGCCTGCGCCTGCAGCGGCAGTGCCCTGGGCACTATGGTTTTGAGCTTGTACCCAGCGCTGCTTTTGCCTTGCTCTGTGACCCCAGGCAAGCTGCCTCACCTCTCTGGGCCAGTTTCCCCATCGTACAGTGGTGCTGCACACCCTGGCCCTGGCCCCGAGGTGGCTGGGAGGTGGCTCCTCAAACAGCCGCTTTCTCATCAGTGCCCGGTGCTGGGTCAGGGATCGACTGAGGCTCTGAGCTAACTAGGAAACACAGTGGCCTTGGAGGGCTGGGGAGTGTCATGGGGGTGGGGACAGGGAGCCACCGGTCGCATGTGACTGAACTCTTCACCCCAGTCTGTGGCTTTCCCGTTGCAGTGAGAGCCACGAGCCAAGGTGGGCACTTGATGTCGGATCTCTTCAACAAGCTGGTCATGAGGCACAAGGGTAGGAGGCAGGGCCGCTGCCCGCCCTGGGCCGGCACCTTGTAATTCTGTCCTGCCTTTTTCTTCCTGTATTTAAGTCTCTGGGGGCTGGGGGAACCAGGGTTTCCCACCAACCACCCTCACTCAGCCTTTTCCCTCCAGGCATCTCTGGGAAAGGACCTGGGGCTGGTGAGGGGCCCGGAGGAGCCTTTGCCCGCGTGTCAGACTCCATCCCTCCTCTGCCGCCACCGCAGCAGCCACAGGTAGACGAGGACAAGGACGACTGGGAATCCTAGGGGGCTCCATGACACCTTCCCCCCCAGACCCAGACTTGGGCCGTTGCTCTGACATGGACACAGCCAGGACAAGCTGCTCAGACCTGCTTCCCTGGGAGGGGGTGACGGAACCAGCACTGTGTGGAGACCAGCTTCAAGGAGCGGAAGGCTGGCTTGAGGCCACACAGCTGGGGCGGGGACTTCTGTCTGCCTGTGCTCCATGGGGGGACGGCTCCACCCAGCCTGCGCCACTGTGTTCTTAAGAGGCTTCCAGAGAAAACGGCACACCAATCAATAAAGAACTGAGCAGAAACCAACAGTGTGCTTTTAATAAAGGACCTCTAGCTGTGCAGGATGCAAACGTCTCGGGGTCAGTGACTGCCTCCTGCCCCTGTTGGTCCCTAGGCAGTGGGGGCAGAAGCTCCCAGCTGACCTGTTTCTCTGGGAGAGAAGGGCAGTCAGCAGGGGCAGCTGTTGCAGATGGGAGGAATAGTCTCCCACAAAAAAGGTTTCAGTGACAGTCACGGGGTCTCTAAAAATAGTCATGCTGAGAGCCTAATGGCCCTTGGCACAATTGCTGGTGTTGGGGTAGAAGATGTCTTGGAGTTTGCTCAAGTGGTTGAGAGGGAGGGAGGTGCCATCGACTTGGAGGAACTGGCACCAAGCCAGGGAGATAGAAATCCAGGCAAGGCTGTGGGGCAGGTTAGGGAGCAAGGCTGCAGGAGTGACTCATGAAGAAGGTGGGGGAGGTGACAAGCTCCCAGGCAGGTGCCCTGTGGCCATGGGGATCTTTTTAAATTGAGACTAGGGGGTGAATAGTCCAGGGCAGCTAACTTTAGTTATTATAGAAAGGGCAGTAGCAGATGAGTCTGCTCCGTCTCGCTTCTAAGAAGGTGGGCAGGACACATGGCAGCCTCCTGCAGAGGCCCAGTGAGAAGCCTGGCCCTCGGCCACGCAGGATGGAAGACAGATTGGATTCCACAGAGGGGAGCTGCCCTGGGAAGATCTCACGGATGGCCAGGACCCACCATTTCTTCAGGATTCCCCTGTTTTCTCCAACGGGCACTAATGCCTGTGCCTGGGTCCTGGCAACACTCTGGACTCCACACTCTCCTGGGTTTCACCTTTGTAGCAGGATCCCTGCAGACCAGGCCCATGACAAACACCGTCTCCAGCGGGCAGAGCAAAGGAAGGGCGCAGCGCCAGGCAGTGGTGCAGCTGCCTGTCAGGAAGAGGCCTACTTCTGGTGAAACTGGGCAGACAAAAGGCAGTGAGAAATGCGATCTCGGGGTGGTGGAGGCTCTCGGGAAAGGAAAAGGCAGGAGTGAACTTCCACACAGCAGCAATGGCAGAACCAAAGGTGGCTTTGACCTCCACGAGGGCTCAGATCCAGGCCAACAGCCTGTCCAGGACAGGGTGCCGGGTGTATCACTGGTCCAGGAGCACTATGCTGGCAGAATCCCTTTGGTGCCTGATGGCCCTGCCTTCGTGGGAACAGAGGCTAAGGCTTTGAGTTACAGCTGCCTCCCCAACAGTGCATCCCCCTTTCCTTCCTCAGCCTCAGGTGGGAGACAGGGCAGGCAGCCCCCCTTTCCTCTTCTCCCCTTCTCCAGCCCCTGTCTGTCCACCCAGCTGGAGGCAGCCAGGCTTGCCTATGGACTGGTTGACAGCCTTCATGCACAGGTTCTCCACCAGAGCCTTTCTTGGGGGCCCCTGGCCTGGGCTCTGAGCTGGGAGTGAAGGGGATGACCCATGCGGACTGTTTCCTGCTTGTAGCTTTCCCTGGGAAAGACTGTGCCAGGCCTTGGAGCCAGACCAGGAGGCTTTATAGGCCACTGCAAGCAGCAGGCCTCCAGATGACATCACGGGGAAGATCAAGAGGGTGTGGAGGGGCATCCAAGCCTCCCCAGGAGACAGGAGACGCCAGCCCAGCAGAGCCCTAGGGGCGACACCACTCCCACTCACCGCCTACTCTCCTCTCACCTCTGCAACACTGGGGACACTCACAAGACTGTGATCCAAGTCGGCCGTCGTCTTCTGCAGCTCTGGAGACCTGATGCTGGGGAAGGGCATGCCTGGCATCACCACACACCTGGGGGGAGACAGGAGCCTGGGGCCGGTGGGCCCACACATCACCAGCTGCTCCGTTCTACCATTTCTTCAGCCCTCTTCGCTGTGCCTGCGGCTCTGCCCCTCCCCTCTCTGCACCTACCACACAGAGAGGCCTTGTTGAGCTCAGAGATCCCACCTAGGCCAATCCACTGGGTTCTGCGGCAGCGATGGCCTGCCTGATCTTCCACCTGCTCTCCCAGGGCCAAAGCCAGAGCTGCTGAGCCCCTCCAGCTGGCTGGTCTGAGCAGTCACAGCCCGGCTTTGGGCTCCGATGGCAGCAGACGGCAGGTAGGGGTGCAGCTGCTGGAGCGAGGGCCGGCCACGTATCACAGCCAAGGAGATGAGCACAAGCACTACTTAGTGGCCTAGGTTGTCAGAGAAGTTGATGCTCTCACTCATCTTTCCTCCAATCTTTCCCCTATGCCTGGTTGTGGTATTAAGTTACATGCAGACAACAGGGGCCAGAAGATGAACAATGGCCCATCCCACTCTAGGCATGGCTCCTCTCCACAGGGAAACTCCACTCCAGTGCTCAGCTTGCACCCTGGCACAGGCCAGCAGTTGCTGGAAGTCAGACACCTGCAGATGAAGACCACAGCATCAAGACCCTGTGACCTCTCAAAGGCCCGGTGGAAAGGACACGGGAAGTCTGGGCTAAGAGACAGCAAATACACATGAACAGAAAGAAGAGGTCAAAGAAAAGGCTGACGGCAAGTTAACGAAAAGAAAAATGGTGAATGATACCCGGTGCTGGCAATCTCGTTTAAACTACATGCAGGAACAGCAAAGGAAATCCGGCAAATTTGCGCAGTCATTCTCAACACCGGCCATGCAGCAAAATCATCAGTGGAAATTTAAGAAAATACACATGGCCAGGCCCCAGCCCAAATCACTAAGAAGAATCTCCAGGGGTTCACCTGTTAGACTGGCAAAAATCCAAAAGTAAACACTTTGTGGAGAAACAGGCATTCCTAGACATTGCTGGTGGGATACAGAACAGTACAATTCTGATGGTAATCAGTTAACAAATTAAACATATTTATTTTATACTTTTAAACCAAGGAATCCCATATTTAGGAGCCTACTGAGACCAAACAGCATATGCTCCGGGTGTTTCCCTATAATCCGCCACTACTGTTGGAGCAAGAGGGCCCGGCAGTGTCCCCAGCTGCCAGCAGGCGGGCGTGCTGCCACTACACCTTGAGCAAGAGGACCCTGCAATGTCCCTAGCTGCCAGCAGGCGGCGTGCCACCACTATACAGTAAGCAAGAGGGCCCTGCAGTGCCCCGGCGCCAGCAGGGGGCGCTGGCCACCACTCTAAGCAAGAGAGCCCTGCAGTTGCCCTAGTCGCCAGCAGGGGGCGCCCTGGCACAGCACCGTGAGCAAGCGGGTCCTGTAGTGCCCGGCTGCAAGCAAGGGGCTGTCGATCCCGGCGTTTCGGATTACTGAGGTTCCACCCGTCTCTGCGCCGCGCCGCCGTGACGTGAGTTTCTGCGCGTGCACGGCGCCACCCCCCCCCCCCGCCCCCAGCCCGGCGCCGTGCGACTTTGCTCCTGTAACACACGCCCCCCCAACCCCCGCCCGTAGGCGTGCGTCTCTGCGCCTGCGCCACGCCTCCACCCCGGACGCGCTAGCATGTGTCTCTGCGCCTGCGCCGGCGCGGCGCGCCTCTCTGCGCCTGCGCCACGCCTCCTCCCCTGGGCGCGCTAGCATGTGTCTCTGCGCCTGCGCCACGCCTCCTCCCCTGGACGCGCTAGCATGTGTCTCTGCGCCTGCGCCGGCGCGGCGCGCCTCTCTGCGCCTGCGCCGGCGCGGCGCGCCTCTCTGCGCCTGCGCCGGCGCGGCGCGCCTCTCTGCGCCTGCGCCGGCGCGGCGCGCCTCTCTGCGCCTGCGCCGGCGCGGCGCGCCTCTCTGCGCCTGCGCCGGCGCGGCGCGCCTCTCTGCGCCTGCGCCGGCGCGGCGCGCCTCTCTGCGCCTGCGCCGGCGGAGTTGCGTTCTCTTCAGCACAGACCCGGAGAGCACCGCGAGGGCGGAGCTGCGTTGTCCTCTGCACAGATTTCGGTGGTACTGCGAAGGCGGAGCAGAGTTCTCCTCAGGTCAGACCCGGGCGGGCGGGCCGGCTGAGGGTACCGCCAGGGTTAGGGTTAGGGTTAGGGTTGGGGTTGGGGTTAGGGTTAGGGTTAGGGTTAGGGTTAGGGTAGGGTTAGGGTTAGGGTTGGGGTTGGGGTTGGGGTTAGGGTTAGGGTTAGGGTTAGGGTAGGGTTAGGGTTAGGGTTAGGGGTTAGGGGTTAGGGGTTAGGGTTAGGGTTAGGGTTAGGGTAGGGTTAGGGTTAGGGTTAGGGTTAGGGTAGGGTTAGGGTTAGGGTTAGGGGTTAGGGTTAGGGTTAGGGTTAGGGTTACGGTTTGGGGTTGGGGTTAGGGTTAGGGTTAGGGTTAGGGGTAGGGTTAGGGTTAGGGTTAGGGTTAGGGTTAGGGTTAGGGTTAGGGTTAGGGTTAGGGTTAGGGTTAGGGTTAGGGTTAGGGGTTGGGTTGGGGTAGGGGTTTGGGTTAGGGGTTAGGGTTAGGGTTGGGGTAGGGTTAGGGTTAGGGTTAGGGTTAGGGTTAAGGTTAGGGTTAGGGTTAGGGTTAGGGTTAGGGTTAGGGTTAGGGTTAGGGTTAGGGTTAGGGTTAGGGTTAGGGTTAGGGTTAGGGTTAGGGTTAGGGTTAGGGTTAGGGTTAG